>NC_000003.12:2510000-3760000 GCF_000001405.40 Homo sapiens | reverse complement strand
GTGTTTCTTTTATCTCCAGAATGAAGCACTCTTAAAAAGTTTTGCAAGGCCAGAACCGTATCTTCACTCTCTTGTCAATGACTCTTAATTGCCCTGTCCTAAACACATTATTTAAAACTTATCTATTTGTTAGTATTAATGAATACTACTTCTTAGTATTTTATTTTACTCAGTAGGGCATCTAGCTCTCTGAGGACATTTGGCTCATTAATCATCTCAAAATGTATTGTTGAGCCCTCTTTCTATTCGGTCACTGAGTGTGACCACACACTGCACCTTCATGCTACCTGATTACTACCCGTAATGAATCCTTCCTAACTTGGAGTTTCATTCCGAAGTTCCTTGGAACTACTTGCCTGACTCATAATTCTTTATCTACCCTTCTCTACTTAGACAGAAGATATATATCTACAACTTATGAACAGATGTACAGGAGAATAAATAGAAGAAACAATACACTTACATGTAATCTCTTCTAATTATTATAACCAATTGAAAAGAATACATGCATATTTATAGTCACTCTTCTTTTTGCAACAGAATGACTGCTTAGATCACTTTGTGTTAACTTTCTCCGTTTGTTTTCAGAATAGAATCATGGTCAACTATTTTTCCCAATGTTCTCAAAAGCACCATTTTTTTTTTTTTAAGCAAATTTGGTTGTTCCAGGATGTCCTGATATTACTCAGTTTCAAGGCAGGGGATCAGTCACCCTCTAAGAATCCTAGGTTTCTTTTCAGGAGAAACTTACTGGTAACTGATATCTGGACCCTAGAGATCCACATAAAGAGTTGATGAGGTAAAAGTGCTGCTGACATTGTTGGGTCAATTTTAGAGAAAAAAAATGAAAAAAAATTTCCTTTTAGGTAAATTGAGTTCATTTTGATTTTTCCAACTTAACTATTATATTACTCAATTCTCCTTTAAATGTGATTTTCTAATTAATTTTCTCCATACTAAAAAAAGTTGTCCCACAACCAAGCTGTAATAGTATAATCTCTGTTACAATTCTTATATATTCTCATATTCCACCAATCTGTAGTCATTTTGGGGGTTTCTTCCTCCTCGGTAGAATGACTCTAATAACACGCAGCTGGCAGGGTTGTTGTGAGGAGCATAAAAGAACTCTCACAATGCATAGCAGAGGACGCATTTGGTGAACAGAAGCTAACATGGTTAAGCATACATAACCCAGCAGCACACATACCTACCATGCAAAATACCTCTTGCTCAGAAAGTAGAATTTGTATGTAAGCTGTAGAAGCTCTATTTAAAATGTACTAGTGATACACAGAAAAAAAATTACTTTTCCAAAAATAAATGCCTTCTATCTCTTTTGTATTGCTAATCCTCTGTGTGACATTCTGTAGCTCTTTTAAATATTTTTGTATTAACATTGAAATTATCCATCTGGGTGGTTTCTGCATCTGCTTGGGTGTTAATAGTCTATTCTGATCTGTCTCCATTTTGGAGGAGCTGTTATACCATTAAGGGTTGGGATTGTGTGGCTGGAAACCAGTAGGAAAAAAAACAGACCCATAGGTTAGGTAACTCAGATGTATCTTGAGCAACCTTGGCCACAATCACAGACAACTGTTTTTTTGTAGCTGTGTTTTAAATCCAAAAATTACTGTCCATGGCAGTATAAAAGATGAATCCTTATCCTCAGTTCTTCTGCATTACCGATAAAGCTGATTTTGAAGGAGGCCTCATTTTAATCATTAACCAGCAGTCATTTCGTCTTTCAGTACTACCCACTAAATACCTACAATGTGGTTAAAGCTATCTTGGGCACATAGGGGCGTTTGTATCAAGGGTCCTGTATTTGAAGACTCTTTACTGTTATGGTCAAAGAGCACTAGTGTTGGAATCAAAGGTCCTCATTTTAAACTCAGCTCTGTCTGATTAGCTGTGCAATCTCAAGTTAATTGGTTCCCTTTTCTGAGCCTCTCTGTTTTCCCCTCTGTCCACAGGTAAATAAAATATCTACCTAAGTAATAGGGATTAAATTTAATGAGATAAGGTTTGTCAATATGCTTTATATACTGTATATGTATAAACAAATGTTTTACTAGTAAAGAGTGTAAGATACATTGCTCTTATGACTTAGACATACCTATTGTTTGCTAACTGCAAAATGATAAATTGTCATTGCAAAAGAAAAAAAAGGATCATTTTCATGAGGTGCCTTACAAGGAGAAAAAGGGCATACCTTAGAAGTTAGGGAGTTGGCCACGTGGTGGCTCATGCCTGTAATACCAACACTTTGGGAGGTCAAGGTGGGCGGATCACGAGGTCAGGAGATCGAGACCATGTTGGCCAACATGGTAAAAGCCCGTCTCTACCAAAAATACAAAAATTAGTTGGGTGTGGTGGCGGGTGCCTGTAATCCCGGCTACTTGGGAGGCTGAGGCATGAGAATCGCTTGAACCCAGGAGGCAGAAGTTGCAGTGAGCCAAGATGGCTCCACTGCACTCCAGCCTGGCTACAGAGCGAGACTTTGCCTCAAAAAAACAAAAAAAGAAGTTAGGGAGTTTAGGCAAAGATATATATTAGAACTCAGATTTAACTTAGGCTTTGAGGAAGTGTTAAGAATTTGAAAAGAAAATAAATGAACAGAGGCAAAGAACACCCTAACATCTAGGAGGTAGTCAATAGATCCACCTGACTGTAACAGAAGGTTCCTGAGAGGGGCAGAAAGATGTGAAATTGGATGAGTAAGATGGAGATTAATGTTGCAGGGCTTTAAATGCCTGGCTAAAGATTTCAGACTCTCCGGTCGGCAATATGGGGAAACTGTAATGGCCTACAAATCAATTTTAAACAATCAGCTTCCTGAAACACAGAGATTTTTATTTATTCTATTCACAGAGAGGCAACTTCTTTATTCAATGATGGGCTGAAATTTGCTTTGATTTTCAATAATTTTCAAATAATCTTTTCAGTGGTTCTTAAAGATGATTCTGGGAAACATTTTTCTTTTCCTTTACAAAGGCAAAATTTCTGGATGAAATTCAAGCCCAGTGTGTTTGTTCTCTAAGCCCATCTCTTCATTTCCTCTTTCCTCTTGGAGACAAATACTTTGATCTGTTTCCCAAACATTTCTGTTTATAGACCTTCTCGGGCTGCCTAGCAGGCTGTCGTGTGTGTGGTAGCATTCCGTTGCTCTATGAATGTGGAGACCCATCTGCAATAGTACCAGACACATAGTAAGCGCTCAGGAAAAATTTGCTGGACAGGTGAGGAAAGGAAGGAAACAGGAAAGGTTAAAAATAAAGGACTGAAGAGAGAAATGCAAGCCTACCTGGAAAATGATGGGGCAGCATCATTTGAACCCAGCAAATTGCAATCCCATGCCTTGGACCGTTTACAAGCTCACTTCTTCATGAGTAGAGTGTTAAAGACTGAAATCAATAAGAAAGATTTATCTTTCAAAATAGCAGAATAGTTTGAGAAACACCTTGTAATAGAAGGCCAGCAGGGAATTGCTAATGGACCATATATTCCTGACCATTTTCCCCATCCCTCCACTTGGTATGATGTAATTTAAAAGGGCCTGGGGAGCTCAAAGCAGATTTGAAGGAACTCTGAGTGGTGATATGAAAAATAGGAGGGTTGGGTAATAGTTGCTCTGTCAGTTGACTGCCGCTACATATTGACAAAGCAAACTTATGTACAAATAAGTTTTCTGTGGCCTTCTAACTTTTTTCTTCCATCAAAGAGGAAGACTCTATGTCAAAAATGTGGTAATATTTTTAGGAGAAAATGTGTATAGAAGCACAAGTAATAAATAATGCTAACCTATTATTTATAGACATTAACAAGCTCTTCTGTGTATATGTGGCTTTGAATTGAGGGTGGGAGGTGGCTGGGAATGGGCAGAAAATAGCATCAGGAGACTAAATTGCAGAGTGACCTTTAAAATGCTTTCAATGTATTACCTGTCTCCTATGGGACTAAGTTTGTTTGGGAGCAGGGGTTTCATTCAGCTATAAAAAAAGGGAAGTCACCACTTTTTGTTTTGCCATTAATATCCCTCTAGAACTGTGACACCCATTATGGCAGGTCAAGCCATATGTGGCTCTTTAAATTTAATTTAAACAAATTCGAGTTGCATAAAATGTAAATTCAATGCCTCAGTCACATTACTACATTTAAAGTGGTCAGTTGTCACATGTGGCTAATGACAACCATATTGGGTAGGGCAGATACAGAAAGTAGAAAGTTCCACCATGATGGAAAGTTCTGTTGTGCAGTGCTGTTCTTGAAACCAGCCAGGTTTGGGGCCTAATTATCAATAGCCAGTGTCACCTGTCTTGGATTTCACAGTACCTTTAGGTCTTTCACTTTGGATTTTTTTTAAAGTGATTTCACTTTTATCACTTGTATGAATGGCAGCGATTTTACTAAGCCTGTTGGGAAAGCCTAGGTTGGTTTGGTAGGAAACAGCAAAGAAAAAAAAACCTGTATGAATCACACTTAAATGTTTGTTTCTTACTATATGAGAGATTGAGAAATAATATTAGGTTGGTGCAAAGGTAATTGTGGCTTTTGTCATTACTTTTATGGCAAAAACCTCATTTACTTTTGTACCAACCTATACATTAACTAGTTACAAGCCTCTTTATAACTCCTAATTTAACATTTTCCAAAATGCACTGTGAAGGACACACTGGAGAAAGACCCTTGGAGAAAGCAGGGATCCACAGTCAAATCACAGTGGAAAATGCCCCAGGCCATCCTCCATACCCAGTCAGAGTGAGCTTGTAAAACTGCTAAGGAGAGTTCACTTCCTTCTAAAACTAAACCAAAATGACCTTCAAGTGCTTGCTTTTGCATTTTAAAATCCAAACTCCCCAATAGGAGCTCCAAGACCATATACGTAGCTCGTGCCTGCATTTCCAAATTCATCTCTTCTTATTCTCTCCCGCTACCAACTCTAGTCCAGGCAAAATGGCCTTTTTAGTCCTTTAAATGACCACATCCTTTTCAGCCTTGAGGTTTTGCCTGTGCTGTTCTTCTCACCTAAAATGCTTTTCCCGTCCTTGCTGCCCTGACAGGTTCCTTCTGATAATTTAGTTCTCAACTTTTTGGGGGAGGACTCACGTGATCATCTCCCTAGTTTCCAGTGGTTGGCTATCTCACACGGCTCAGTAATTTTCCCCTTGGCCATCCTCTGCACAATTCAGCCTCATTGTTTATTAACTCATGAGGTTTATTCACTAATTTTTTTTTGTCACCTGCCCTAGACTGGATGTTTACAAGGCCAGAGAGCATAGCTGTTTTGCTCATTATTGTTCATTCATTAGTGGTTATCACCTATGTTGTAATAGGTGGAACCAGCTTGCACTGGCTGGTGAGTGCCGATTGGGTGCGTTTCTTCCCTACTCTGAGTTCAGTGATGTCATATTGATAGCTTGTAATCAGCCATGTGGGAATAGTTACACCACAGAAATGGGCAAACGCTACAAATTAGTTTTTTTTTTTTTTCCTAAGAGAGCTGGTTTTAAAACATTTACCAATATACCTTTGTAAACATATTACCTGGCAAATGGTAGATTCTTAATGTTTGTCAAATGAATGAATGAACATAGTGTTTCTCTCTTGGGCGATCAGAATACTCACCAATAGGTAAATGCCCTGAGTTCTGTAGATTGAATTCATACATAACTTGATAATCCCAAATATACGTGGCCTAGGCACTCCTTTTCAAGTAACTTCTGTTTCTTTCACTCAGAACTAGTGAGAAGCACATTTTGAAAAATGTTATCTTAAACATTAGGGAAGAGGAAGTATCCATGCCCTAATTTGTCTCCTCTGTTGTGCAAAGACTCCTAATGCAGAAGTTCCCACAGCATCTATTCTAGGGAAACTACAAAAAATTTAAAAATTTCTTTTAAAAATAATCATAATCATTGGGCATTACTGCTGTGCCTACTACATAGCACACAATGCTGGGCAAAAGCGGTAATCTTATTCAGTAGGGAAGTATTAGTTGGGGGTGGGGCTACTTATACAATCTATATTCCAGGTAAAGGCAGGGGGGTGGGAAAATATCCCGCTTGATTGGTCCCTTCTGTGGGAACAAGGGGCTCACATCATACTTGAAAAGGCAAATCAAAGTTTGAGGGCCTTGTATGGCAAGTTAGAGGATTTGGACTTGACTGATAAAGCGGGGAGGCTCTGAAAATTTGGGGAAATGAAGATGAAATTTATAATAGAGGATTCTGCTTCAGAGAGACTCTTCATGGGTGAGTGCAGCCAAATCATTAATCCATTAATCCTCCCTACAAAGCCCTTACATGGTCTGGCCTTGTCTGTGTCTATGGCATCACCTTGTGGGATTCCTTCCACGACCACTGCTCTGCATTCCAGACACCCTGGGCTTGCTTCAGGTCCCTGAACTATGCTATGCTCCTTCTCCTCCGGGGCCTTTTCTCCAGGGCTTTTCCTCTGGCTGGACTGCTCCCCTCCACTCCCCCATTCGCCCCTTTAGCTAGTTAACTTCTCTGTCTTTTAGGTCTCTGCTCAATTGTCATTTCTCTAGGGAAGCCTTTCCTTATCACTCTCCTGCCTATATCTACATTAGAATACTTAGCTATAATCACTAATAAAATTGTACTTTTAATTTCAGAGAGTTTGTAGCTATACATTCATTATTCTGATCAATTATAACCTGCAATTTTTCACTAGATTGTATATTTCCTAAGAATAGGGAGCAATGTTATTGATCCCCAGAGGCTAGCCCAGAATCTGACACCATAATTGACAATAT
The DNA here is from genome assembly GCF_000001405.40 of Homo sapiens. NCBI lineage: Eukaryota > Metazoa > Chordata > Mammalia > Primates > Hominidae > Homo > Homo sapiens. The sequence goes on along the minus strand of NC_000003.12, from coordinate 3,753,225 downwards.
ATGTCAGTTGAATGAATGAAGTAGTGAATTAAATGCAATTGATCAAAACGATAAATGCAGAATAGGTTGAGGGAGCTAGCATTTTAGGTCACAGATATACCCTCCAAAATTACAATGGGCCAAATGCAATAGGATGAAATTTAAGAGGGAAAATGTAATGAAGTGAGGGGGCAGAGTAGAGCAGATGGGGAAGGAGCGAGTTTGAATGAACTGCAGGTTTCATGTGGTCTCAGAGTGGCGAGGCAGGAAAGCTGATGCAGCCTCCAACTGCAGTCATGGAAACATGTACACTCACTCCACGTGAAAGATCACTGTTTCTGTCTCCTCTGCATTCAGCCGACTACTCATGGAAGATTGTGCCCAATTCTGGAGGAAGAATGTAGAGAAAAAGAACTGTGTTTAAAGGAGGATGCCCAGAATGATGTGGGAGACCCAAAAAGATGTTTTGAGAGCAAACTTCAAGGAATTAGCAATGCTAATCCTGGAGGAAAGAAAGCTTGGCCAGATGGGATGGTTTTTCTGGGAGGGGTCACGCTGGGCATCTGAAAGTCTCTGCTTATTGTAAATATTTTAAGAGAATAAATTTCAAAAGTGCTTGAAAAATCAATAAAGCAATAATTCTTACTTTTTTTTCTTTCAACAATAGAAAAATACTAAGAGTTTTCTCATGGATGGAGCCTGAAGCCATTATCCTTAGCAAACTAATGCAGGAACAGACAGCCAAATACCACATGTTCTCACTTATATGTGGCAGCTAAATGACGAGAAGTATTAAAATGAACTAAATATGGCCTGAGAAGGACTCTGTACTTCTATATTTGTGTCCTTGTGGACGAACTGTAACCTAACTTAATAGGTAGTCAGGACAGAAAACCTAACTTAGGAGTATGCACCTATAACAATGGTGGAGTCTTGGACAATCCCAGCAGCCATACTTCAACCACTGATACACTGCTGAGTGTCAAATTGTGTTCAAATAAGGCAAATGTCAACCCGTAACCAATCCAGCTGTTTCTCTACCTCACTTCTGATTTCTGTACGTCACTACCTTTTTTTTTTTTGTCTATAAATTTGTTCTGACCACGAGGCATCCTGGGAGTCTCTCTGAATCTGCTATGATTCTGGGGGCTACCCTATTCGTGAATCGTTCATTGCTCAATTAAACTCCTTTCAGTTTAATTTGGCTGAAGTTTTTCTTTTAGCAGAATGCTTGGACACATAGAGGAAAACAACACACTGGGGCCTATTGGAGGGTGGGAGGAGGGAGAGGATCAGGAAAAATAACTAGTGGATACTAGGCTTTATACCTTGATGATGAAATCATCTGTACAACACACCCCCATGCACAAGTTTACCAAGTAATAAACCTGCACATTCTGCACATGTACCTCTGAAACTAAAAGTTAAAAACAAAGAAAAATACTGAGATTTTCATGTAAAAAGATAATTTGGAAACACATAGAAAGGAACTAGATTTATCTTGAAAGGTGTAGGAGAAAACCCACCATTAGGAGAATTGTTTAATAATAAATAGAAATATTCTGTAATGAAACGGGCTGCCTTATGAAAATGATGAGTTATCATTAGAGGAAGAAGCAAGCAAAGTCAGACAGTCTGTTGGAGTTGTTGCTAAGGGGAATTCATGCGTTCCTTAAGAGTTGTCTTGGTCACCTTTGAAATTAAATAAGAAAATAAAGACAGCAATTATTCTGAGCTAGCCACTCTTTAAATAAGTAAGTTTAAAAGCAAATTGTTGAACTTGGAGGCAACCAAGCTCTTCTTCAGTAGGTGAATGGATAAACTGTGGTATATCTAGACAGTGAAAAATTATGGAAGAACATTAAATGCATATTATTAAGTGAAAGAAGCCCATCTCAAAAGGCTATATACTGCGTGATTCCAACTTTATGACATTCTGGAAAAGTCAAAATTATGGAGACAGGAAAAAGATCAGTGGTTGTCCAGAACTGGGGAGAAGGAAGGACTAACAAGTTGAGCACAGGGGATTTTTAGGACAATGACACTATTCCGTGTGATGTTATAATGGTGGCTACATGGCATTACACATTTGTCAAGACCCATAGACTGTAGTGAACCCTAATTCAACTATGGCCTGTGGGTGCTAAGGATGTATCAATGTAGGTTAATCAGTTGTAACAAACGTGCCATCTGGTGAGGGATCTTGATCAGGGAGGCTACGCATGGTGTGGGATGGTTATATGGAAATTCTATATTTTCTGCTTAATTTCGTAGTGAACCCAAAACTGCTCTAGAAACAGTATATGTATGTTTTAAAAAAAATAATTGTTGTACTAGTTCATGGGAATGTAGAGCCATCATCTTATCTTTCTTCATTTAAGACTTTTTGATTTTCAAATTTTGACCATGCCTCCCTGTTTTTACCAAATATTTAACACGTTTGTTGTAGTTTTACTGAAAGTGTAGAAACACGTCTTTTGAGTATTAGTGCCAAAATCACTTAAGTGATTTTCCCCCAGTATGTTATACAAACATCTAAATTTAGCCACAAAAATGTTTTAGATTTATCTGATAGCATATGCAAAATCATATTCTGAGTAATATGGTACTTTGCTATTCAGGACAATGGAAAAGTGAAAAAAAATAGGAGAATGTAAGACCTCAACATGTTTTTCTTCCTTTTGTAATAAATAGAAATCGAGAATCAGTTCCCACAAGGGAAATGTTAGTATTTTGGGAAATGAAGAAGAATGCTTGATTCTCTCTGGTTGCCAATATAATTCAGATTCTAAAACAGTGATTTTGCAAGCTTCAAAAGAATATTTGCTTTTGATTTTTGCTGTTCCTGAAATCCATCTTCTCCCAGTAACCTGTGGTCTAAATCTACTCAATGGGGCTGTTGGGTTTCTGAGGTTGCCTTAGATGAGAACAGTGGTCTGGACCACATGGGATCAGTCACTGCTTTGATTTTTATCAACTAAAAGATTTAAAAACTTAAAATTTGGGATGTTTATCTGTATCTCTATCTACTTAGAAAGAGTATAGGGAATTCTGAGGTCTTTCCTAACAGATTTTCATTCCTGTCTGCCCCATGTCAGCATTTTCATATCTACGTTTGTTTGATGTTTATCTAGTGGATGTTCATATAAGAGAGAGAAGTCCCTCCATTATGGTCAGCATTTTGATTCAAACTCCAAAGAGACTCCCAGTAGGGGAACGATTCAGGTGTTCATGCTGTTGTAAAGGGAAATGAAATCTGGGTTTTCTAATGCTATTGAATCAGAAGTGAATGTTTTCATTAAACAAAGCTGGAAAGTAGAGTGTCCTAAGGAGGGGAAGTCTTGAGCTCCAAGTACCTGAGGGCCTTGAACTGAGGTTGAGGGACCAGGCCTCCCTGATGCTGGGCAAGTCAGCCGTGAACACCCAGCACCTATAGATAGCTTGGTCCTGGGGAGTTGGTGGAGGAGGAGTTCTCAGCGGGCCCTTTCCACACAGCACCTTCAGGTCAAATGCTTCTGCCTCTCAGAAACCCATCAAGGACTCATGAAGCAACATTGTTGTTTTCTTTTATGGGTAAACGTTGTGATCTTTTTTTTTTTTTTTTTTTTTTTTTTTGAGATAGAGTTTTCGCTCTGTTGCCCAGGCTGGAGTGCGGTGGCACTATCTTGGCTCACTGCAACCTCTGCCTCCTGGGTTCAAGCAATTCTCCTGCCTCAGCCTCCACAGTAGCTGGGACTACGGGCACACAGCACCATGCCTGGCTAATTTTTGTATTTTTAGTAGAGACGGGGTCTCACCATGTTGCCCAGGCTGGTCTCAAACTCCTGACCTCAGGTGATCCGCCAGCCGCAGCCTCTCAAAGCGCTGGGATTACAGGCATGAGCCACCGTGCCCGGCCTGATCTGACTTTCTATGGTAGCTTCCACTGAGGAGGTGAAATGCCCTTTCCTTCTTCCTCTTAGCCTTCTTTCCTCTTTCTCCATGGAGTGGGAATAAGCTACAGATTATAGAACTCAAAGCTCTGTGGAGTGTCAGGGGGAGGTCCCCTGGGATGGAAGGAAAGGAGCCAGGCAAAGCCAAGGGAGAAAAATGCAGACAGGCCCTACTCACATGCAAAACTCTCCACAACCCTGCCTGTGGCTTCATGTCTCCCATTCCTTCTCTGTGTTGTGTTCTTCCCAACACACCAAGCCACTTCCCACACATGGACACATGCTCATTATTTTGTCTACACCTTCCATGACCTTCTCCTGTCATTGAGCAGCTAGCTCTTAATCCTTCCTTCAAGAAGTCTTCCCTGGCTCCCTCACAGCTGGCTTGGTACTCCCATAGCCCTCTGTGCATAATTCTTGCCTTTTCCACATTTCTTTACAATGACCTTTTGAAACATGTCTCTTGTACCAGAGAGTGAGTTCCTTGAGGGTAGGGACTGTATCTGATTCATGTTTTTATTCCCTGTGCTTAACAATAATCTGGAATATAATTGATGTTAAAGAAATGCTTTCGAATAAATAAATGAATGAATGGATAGATTAATAAAATACTTCTCCTGCTATGCTTTTCCTGGAGCTTGGGTCCCTTCATGAATTCAGTCATTTATACACATTTTTATTGAGAATGTGCTAAACTTGGGGGTTTTTTACCTCTAGTATATCCATAATATCTCTTCCTGAAAGCAGATAGAAATACCCCCTCTAAGGTCCACTTTTACAGTATTGCAGTAAATGGTTAGATGGATTGTGGGGCTCAGTTGAACAAAGCTCTACCACCATTAATTCCCAGTCGAATGCATGGTGAGGGCCATTTACATTTCTTTTCTTTTTTTTTTTTTTTTTTTGAGATAGGGCCTTGCTCTGTCACCCAGGCTGGAGTGCAGTGGTGCTATCTCAGCTCAATGCCGCCTCAACTTCCTGGGCTCAAGCGTTCCTCCCACCTCAGCCTCATGAGTAGCTGGGACTACAGGCATGCGCCATCATGCCTGGCTAATTTTGGTGTTTTTTGTACAGATAGAGTTTCGCCATGTTGGCCAGGCTGGTCTTGAACTCCTGACCTCAAGTGATCTCCCCACCTTGGCCTCCCAAAGTGCTGGGATTACAGGTGTGAGCCATTGTGCCTGGCCTACATTTCTTTGTAGAGTATAAAGCATTGATTTTTAAACCAGCCTCCTGGAGCACTAGGGAGTCTTTGCAGAACTCAGGAGCAGGCCCAAGGAACAAGAAGGGAGAGAGGCTCATACTGGGAATATTCGTTACCTCCATCTCATGCCTCACTTTCAACTCCATATTTTTTTTTTACAGTTATTTTTCTTATGAAACTTTGTTAGAAGAATGGATTTGCTCTTTGTAAAAAAGCTTGAAAACCACTGGTATTGTTTTTGAAAAATGAGGATGTTAAAGAAAGAAAATAGTTGCCCATATTCTTTTTTTAAGTTGTGGCAAAAAACCCATAATATAAAATTTACCATCTTCACCATTTTAAATGTACAGTGCAGAGTTGTTAACTACATACACATCATTGTGCAACACATTTCTAGAACTTGTTCATCTTGCAAAACTGACATATTCTTTTAAATGCATAACATTTGATATAGAATAGTGTGACATTTCGCTATTAATTGCTCCTTTCGGCCTGTCTTATAATCTATTCCTCCCCCCACCCAGCAAATTTATCATGGTATTACGATAAAAGATATTTATTTCCCCCTCCTATGTTTTTGCATGAAGAAGAATTATTAGCATGCTAAACTATGACCCTTCATTCTTAAATACCATGTCTTGACTTGATTTATGTAATACAAGCCTCTAAGGACTTGGATTTCATTTAGATTACCTAGTTCAACCCTCCTTATTTGACAGATGAGAAAACAGGTCCAAAGAAGCTAAGTGACTTGCTCCCAATCACAGAACAAGTTAATTGCAACATATGGACTGGTTTTCTTATTTCCTGATCCAATGTGGTTCATCTTCTTATAAGCTTCACTTCAGAATCAAGGGTTCCTGAATTATCTGGTGTTTGTTTGGCTATGTGGCATTAAATCTTTGGCTATGTGCACACTCCAATTATTTTTGCAACTATTTATGGTGGGGAGGAGGGAGAAAACTAAAGAAGGAATGTGTCTAATAGCTACCTGCTTCTATTCTAGGCGTCACATTAGGGGATTTCCTTAAACTATTTCACATTTTAAACAATGTTTTAGGATTTATTTTTTAAATTTATTTTAAAAATTAGAGTAAAATATATATAACATAAGATTTGCCATCGTAACCATTTTTAAAGTGTACAGTTTAGTGGCATTAGGGATATTCACATCGTTTTGAAACCATCATGAGCAGCCATTTCCAGAACTCTTTTCATCTTGCAAAATTAAAGCTCTCTACCCAGTGAACAGTAGCTCCTCATTCTACCCTCCCCCTGGACCTTGGCAAAAGCCTTTATGTTTTTTACCTCTATGAATTTGATGACTTTAGGTACCTCACATAAGTGGAATAATACAGTATCTGTCTATTGATGACTGGTTTATTTCACTTAGCATAATGTTCTCAAGGTTAATCCATGTTATAGCGTGTGTCAGAATTTCCTTCCTTTTTAAGGCTGAATAATATTCCATTATATGTACATAGCACATTTTGTTTATCCATTCATCCACTGCAGGTTACGCTCTCTCACTTTTGAAGGAGTATTATTTTCCTAATTTCGCAGATGAAGAAACCAAGGCTGAACAAAGCTACATAACTTCCCACTGGTCACAGAGCTGTAGGGGTAAAGGTGGAAGTTGAATCCATATGTACTTGAATCTAAAAGCCGTGTTCTTCTCAGTTTATGAGGCTATTTCCCAATATCTGAAATACAGTTTACCTACATCAGCATGGTTGGGGGAATTCAATATTGCATTTTAGAGCCTTTATTTCTTTTATTTTAGGAATAATATAGAAGGTGCATTTTCTAGCCATGTTTAAATTGTTCAGATTTTTAACATTTAGGGTTTATTTACTTACTGGGAGTAAGGTATTTATTCAAGGCAATTGTATCATAGTATGAATACATGGCAATACTCAAATAAAAAGTAAATTTTATTCAAATATATAGTTCCTTTGTAAAGTACAAGATGTAAAAATCAACTTACGCTGTTATGAAAAATCATTATGCCCTTTAGAGTTGGAGGAAAATGTTATCCATATGGACTTCTGTATAAGCAAAGCAAAATAAATTGAGCTCTAAGGCTCTATATCCCCATTTCATAATAATACTAGCTAACATTTGATGCCTTCCAGCCATGTGCCAGGCACTGTGCTAATCCTTCTACATGCATAGCCCCAGGTTCTCCACAGCCCTGTGAGGTCAGCACTTTTATCCTCATTTTATAAAGGGGAAGTGGTGTTAGGAGGGAGGTTAGGTAACTCTAATGGGTTGAAATGTCTGTCACATAAAAGATACATTGATGTCCTAATTCCTAGTATCTCAAAAAAATGTGGCCTTATTTAGAAATAGGATCTTTATGGAGGTAATCAAGTTAATATCAGGTCGTTTGTTGGGGTCTAATTCATTAGGACTGCAGTCCCTATAGAAAGGGGAAATTGGGACACGGAGACCAACATGCACAAAGAGAAGATGGCAATGGACAGGAGTGGCATATCTACAAACCAAGGAATGCCAAGGACTGCCAGCAAATACCAGAAGCTAGAAAAGGAGAGGAGAGATTATCCCCTAGAGTCCCCAGAGACAGCATGGCCCTGGGACACCTTAATTTCAGACTTCCAGCCCTTACAGCTGTGAGGAGATACATTTCTGTGGTTTAAGCACCTAGTGTTAGGTACTTTGTTATGGCAGCCCTGTGAGACTAATACAGTCACTTTCCAAGCTCAAATCAACAGCAAGTGGTAGAGCTGATTTTTGGACGGAGGCGTCTATTAAGAGCTCAATAAATATTATCTGCTATTATTATTTATAACTTTATCAGCAATGATATTTAATGTTATTATTAATAATAAAACCTGGGGCGCTTGTGGTTTCCTTTCTCTTAAGCCTGTGCTATTATATCTGTCTACTATGCTACAATTGGGTCTTGCTTGTCATAGATTCAAAGGCCCATCAGTCTCCCTCTAAACTGAATGTGAAATCCGTTATCTGTGTATGAGCGGCTTGGCAAATTCAGACAACAGATAGTCCCCACTAAAAGGAAATATACCCCCAACTGCCAGCGTGAGGCATCTGTGAAACTTTTTGAGAGAACATATGCAAAATAATCACTAAATATAGGCCCTGCACACAGTCCACACCCAAAGCTGAAGCCCGAGTCCTGAGCAAGTGAAAAGAGCAGATTGCTGAAGTCCTGTGTTTTGACCAGGATTTTTCTGGAGAGGATTGTTAGAACTCTCTTCTCTGCACTAGTGCCTACCGTCTGAATATGCATCCACGAGAACATAATTCAACTTTTTAATTTTCCAGGCCTACCGATAATTGGTTCCACAGAGACACAAAGACTCACGCTCTCAATGCTGCTTACCAGTAATCAGAGGATCGGCTCCCTTTGAAGTTAGAAAAATGAGTGTAGCAGGGGTAGTGGGCTGGGCAGAGCTTCAGTTCTGGGTTCCTTATCGTAATTATAGTGGATTATGATTTTTTAAGGTAAATCAAATCTAGCAGCACAAACCCAAATTCTTCACCCTCTCCCTGCCCCATACCTTAGCTAAAGTCTCGTGTGATTTGCATGCTGAAGAGTACATTGAATTGGAAACAACGTGAGCAATCGTTCTATTTTCATAAATTATCCTTGTTCTCATCTTTGGGGAAATCATAAGCAGTTAAGCGAGGACAGCGCTGAGGATGTGGATAGGACATTTGGAGGTGCGGTTTCTAACTCAGGTTTGATGTTATCGACTTGCTCTGGCCCCGTAGTAAGTCACATGTTGCGACCTTGGTGGGGTTATTGGTAAAATACCACACACACAGCCCAGAGCTGCAGTATGAAGTTGCTGGAAGGGTTATAGTGATGAACTTTGTAAACATGGAATCTTCAAAAGTGAAGGGCACTGTTAGGGAACACTGTCTCTATCTTGAATTTGTTGGCATGGCATAATGTATCCAATTCTTAGAATAGTTGGGGAGAAGAGTAGCATGGCTAAAATTAGGCAGTGATTTAAACCTCCTTTCTTACCTAGCCTTTTTATCATAGCTTTGGAATCAAAATAATTCCACAAATCTTCATTACCTTTCAGTTCCGCTAAGTGATTCTGGCTATATGCAAGGGCGAAAGAGTCAGGGTCAAAGGTTATAAACAGCAGCTATAATGAACTCCAGCATGAACTCTGTCTCAGAGTTGTGAAAGCCATTCCTTTATCCTGACCTGAACTCCAGCTCTGAACTATTTTTCTCTGTAGTTCAGCTGCCCTGAATTTCAGATTATTTCATTGGTATCCCTCTTGTATTGGCACGTGGTAATAGTTCAATTGCCTTATTATCTTGGAATCCCACCCCTGGCTTTTGGCCCCCACTTGAGAAATTTAGATCCAAAAGAGCAAGTCTCACATCTTCTCTGGAACAAGTAGCTCTAGGTGGTAAATCCACAATATAATGAAGGGTTCCTGTGTGTGTGCTGTCTCAGTCTTAGTGCTAGACAAATTCAGAGAAGGGGAGAGCATAGGATTGGTTTACCTGTTCCAGTGAGAAACAGCTAGAACCACTGCTCCCTAAATCCTGCAAATATTTTCAGATTAATCTTAAAGCCTCAGTACATACCCTTCCCTCCTCTAAGACCCTTCAGTAACTCTCCAGTTGTATCAGTAGTTTTCACTGCATACTAAACCGCTCTAAAACTTAGTGGACTAAAACAAAGAATTATTATTTATCATAATTCTGAGGGTTAGTTAGATCCTTCTGGTGTGGGTCACCTCTGCTGGGGCTGGTGTGTCTAGGATGGCTTCATTCATGGGTGTGAAGGTGGGTAGGCTGGTTGGTATGGGAGCCTTTTGAGGACAGCTTGTCTTTGGTGTACCTGGTCTCTCATCCTCTGGCAGGCTAAGCCTTGGCTTCTTCATATGTGATCTTAGGGTTCCTAAGGGCAGCAAGAGAAGCCAAGCCCCAATATGGAAGTACTTCTCAGGCTTTGCTTGTATCACATTTGCTAACGTACCATTAGCCAAGCCCAGAATCACAACAGGGATATAGGGAGCTCTGATTCTTGCAGGGGCTTATCACTACCACACCATATAATAAGGTCCAAGATCCTCAGTGAGATATTAATTTATTCCAACTGCAATCTAGCATCCCAACGCACCAGACACTGCTTGCACTTGTATTCCAGCCAAACTGAACTTCTTGCTTTTTCTAGTTGGTAGCATACATGCTGGTCTCCATTATTCATGCAAATCTTTCTGCTGGGATACCTTTCTTCTGCTTGCCACTTGGCCAGGTTTACCACAGAACAAAAATGTATTAAGTCCCTGCAATGTGCTAAGTATGCTAGGTTCTGGAGATACAATGAATATAGCCTAAGGTTCCCAGAAGCTCAGAGGCTACCTATCCTCAAAGAGCCGGTTCAACTGTTGCCTCTTTAAAACCTTCATGATACCCCCTCAATAAAAGTAAATTTTATCCCCTTTTAATCTCCCTTGGTAATTTAATGGTCTTTTCATGGTTCTGATCAGTTACTATATTGTATTATAGTTAACAATATCTGTGTATATTTCCTCTATTCATTCATTCAATATTTATTGGGACCAGCCATGTGCCAGGCATTGTGCTAGGAGCCAGGGATCTAGAGGAATAGAAGATACTGCTGGTGTCCTGCCCATTTTCCTGAGGGCATTGGCTGTGTCAGTGCCTGCTGCTGATGTTCTAGGCAAGCTCCTGCAACTCTCTGCCTGGGGCCTTTCTCTCAGGTACCCAGGGCAGGTAGAAGTGCCAAGGAATCAATGTGCCAACAGCAGCCCTCACCCAAGAGTGAATGGGAATTAGTGGATTAACAGCCCTGCTTCCTCGCTCGCTCAACTCTTACCTTCGTGCAAAGATGGACATGCTGGGGTAGATAAGCACCCAGCTTGCTCACCGTTCCAGTGGGAAACCCCTGAAGCATGCTGTGCCAGAGGATCCCAATGGGACTGAGCCTCAGCCGCCCACAGCAGTAGCAGGCTAGACACTGCATTCACCACTCCCTCCCCCTTTCCTGCCTTGTTTCCCTAGTCTCCTACTCCTGCCTTGTGGGACCACCACCAAATGAACTTATTGCTCTCAAATCCTTGTCTTGCGATGCTTCTGGAGCAAGCCAGCCTAAGCGAAGAGATGAGCATGGAAGTCAGTTTCTATTCTTACATAATTTATTGTTTATCAGGGGACTCAAACGAGAGAATGGGTAATTACAATACAGTATAAGAGCTAACATTTATTGTGTAGTCTAAAAGCAATTCTAATAAAAATGAGAAATATTATTCCTACTTTATTCCCACATTACATATGATGAAATCAAGGTTTAGAGAAGTTAAGGAGTCACCCAGGAGCAACACAGACTGACAGCTTTTGGGGATTTCGTTTCAGGTTTGTAAGATTTCAGAGCCAGAACTCTGCCATTTAGTTACCTGCCTCTCACTTAGTTCTTCCTCCTCCATTGGCAGATGGTTTCAGGAGGGTTTGATTTATTAAAAAATCTTAACAGAGATTGAACTCATGGGCCATAAACATCACCCAGGTGTCTAATTAATGGTTACGATCCATCACGTGGAAACTTGGCACAGAGTAGTGAGGCTCTGGGGCCCCGAGCTGCTCAGGCCCTGAGATGTGCACATCCCTTTAAGCCAGTTGGTTGCTTACAGCTAACCCCCTTTCTCCAAATGCCAGCTAGGTCCTGGGAATACATGGGTCGCTTCCTGTAGCAGAGCCAAAGGGCTCTGACATCTTGGATAACAGCAGCTCCTAGGATTGTCTGCTCCCAAGTGGTCAAGGCCCCCAGACTCCCAGCTCACTGTAATATTGTGATGAGGGCAGGGCTCTTTCACTTCTACTTCCCAGGTCACTGATGGCAGCAGTTCAGCATGAACAGCTAATTGCTCCATTCTCCAAATGACCCTTTTGTGTGTTCCAGGTCACCAGGGCACCCTTTCCCACAGGAAGTCGGAGAGGCTGCTTGTTGCTGAGAGCTGGCCTTGTGGGGAGCACAGCACTGGGCACCTGGGGAGAGCCAGGGAAGCAGCTTCAGGGCTAATGGCCCCTGGGCTGGTGTTTAGCAGAGATGTCACTCACAGTTAGGATGCAGCACCTGGAAGGCCAGCAACCTGTCTCACTTTCACCCTTCCTCCTCAGATTAAAAGCAAACATGTAAGCAACAAAACTCCAAAACAACAAACACCAAAATCATGATAAATTATTCCATTCTGTCTTTACCAATTGCTGTGAGTGCTAAAACCTAGATTTGAGCTTCTGTTCTACCAGTCCCTGGCTGTGTGACTTTGAGCAAATGGCCTTGCCTCTCCCACTCTCTGCTTCTTCAGAGGTCACATGGATTAAGTGCTTTAAGGACATGCAGTGAAGGTGGCACAGCTGGGACTTTATCCCATGCCTTCATTGGTATCAAAACACACATTGCTCCCTCTTAGAAAGGGGTTTGGTGCATAGTAAGGGCTCAATAAGTTAAGCTCTGGGTCACCGCACTGCCACTGTGGGGAATCTGTGAAGGAGGTATGAAGTATGTGCTCATTGCTCTCAGCAGCTTTCTTTCTGTCCTAAACTTCACACACTCAGAATCCTTTACATCTTTCCCCTTTACCCCATCACACCTGCTCCTTCAAAAGAGCCTGGAATTTGGACTCCAAAATTCAGAAATTCTTGGACGTGGGTTCCTGCTCTGCCACTTACTGGCTGCATAATGGTGGTTGCATACTTCTACTGTCTGCTTCTCCATTTCTCATTCTTTAAAAAGAAAGCATTGGTCTAAATGATCTATACATTCCTTTCTTAGTTTAAAAGATAAATCTGATGTCAGGTGATCAGGATGATAGTTTCCAGGTGTGTGCACTGGGGCACGCCTTTACCTTGCCTAAGTCTGCAGTCACTTGTAGAATGGGAATCATGAAAGCCCTTGCCTCATAGGTAGTTGTGAGAATGACTTAGTGTAAGTGAAGCATTTGTTAGGATAGCACCTGGACCGTACTATCGTCAGTAGCACCAGTAGCTATAATATTCTCAATCTAAGATTCTATAATCTAGGATCAGGTGGATCATTTCCACCTTCAACCTGAGTTTCAGTCATGGTGTTTTCTTTCCCTGGGGGCAGTTGCTTTATAGAGACATTGTTAGCTGTTAAAAGGATTTCAGTCAAAAGGAAGTATTTCAGAGGTTTTCCAAGCTCCCTGGAAATCATGCCTCTTGGGCATCTGTCCACCTCAACAATCTGTAAAACCTGTTTTGTGTGGAGCAACCAGGTAGTTAGGCCAGGAGGTCAGATTTTTTCTTAGAGGCTCTCTGTGGAATCCCAAGAACTATAGACCAAAGTCTTCAGTGTGTGTGTGCTTGTGTGTGTGTGTGTGTGTGTGTGTATGTGTGTGTGTTGGGGGAGGAAGGTGGAGGAGCTTGGCTGAAGATGCAACTCAGCTCCGGTCTGACATTTTCTTTTTAGAATTTAGAAAGGCTTCCTATGCCTTTGCTTTCTCTTGGCTCGGCCTGCTTGGCATTCTTATTCAAATCAGACCCCAATCAGAGGGGAGTACACATCATTCTGTCAGACACGCTTGCATGTGTGGGCTTTAATTACCCTGTGCCTTCCGACCGTTCACACCCAAAGGAAATCACTGCAGCGCAGGATCTGGACTATATTCTCAAAGGAAACTCTCAGTGAATAGAAAGTGCAAAACCCGTGAAATGCGATGGAAATTGGCACACAGTCATAGATGGAGGCAGGCCATGGAAACTCAGTCAGGGTGACTCTCGGGACCCAGGAGAGAACCTCCAAGTCCTCAACTACCGGACAGTACATTTTCCCAGGAGGCACTTATTTGATATTTTTACTTGTGATCTGTAAGCTTCTACAACTGAAGTCCTTCTAGTGATAGGAGCACAGCCTCGTGTGGTTCAAAGGAACTTTCATGGGCACATGGCCTAATCATCCATCCAAAGTCCGAATCCCCAATGCCTTAGTCAGGGTTCTCCAGAGAAACAGAATCAATAGAATATATATAAATGCATTGAAGGGAAGATTTATTCTAGGAATTCGCTCACTTGGTTATGAAGGTCAACAAATTCCATGACCTGCTGCTAAGTGGGGAACCAGGAAAGCCAGTGGTGTAATTCAGTTTGTGTTCGAAGACTGTGAATCGGTGGGTTTGGGGTGATGGTATAAATCCTAGTTTAAGTCCAAAAGCCTGAGAACCAGGAGCTTCCATGTCTGTAGGCAGGAAAGATGGACATCTCAGCTCAAACAGAGAAAGTGAGTTTTCCTGTCCTCTGCCTTTTTGTTCTGTCTGAGCCCTTAGTGAATTGGATGATGCCAGCCTATGTTGCTGAGGACTGATCTTTTTTACTCAGTTTACTGATTTAAATGCTAATTAATCTCCTCCAGAAACACCCTCACTGTCACACTCAGAAATAATGTTTTACCAACTCTATGGACATTCTTTAGCCTTGTCAAGTTGACACCTAAAATTAACCATCATATAATGTTTGCTTGAATGTCTCCAGCAGCAAAATGGTTACCTGGTCCAGTCCATCTTTGTTCAGCTATCTTAAAAAGTTCCTCCATCACAAAATACTCTTCCTGAAGCTTCCATCTTTTGCTTCTGGAATCTTTTTGGACCACCCAGAACATCTATATGAATGCTTCCCAAAATTTAGTCATTCATGTACCCCCTTTACAATTGTTTTATATCTGAGTACTACCTGTAATGTTATTCACTTAATACTTTTTAATTGACTTACTTTTTTAACTTAAATACTTTAGTTTTATCCTAAGCAAAATGACCTGTGAAACTATGGCTTTGAAAGGGGAGTACATACATATACCATGTAAAATCATCGTGTGCACCATGCGGGGCAGCACAGCATTTGTCTATATTTCATGTAACACAGCCTTATTGTAGTTAATTAAATGAAATAAATGGGGGGGCATTAATATTGAGCAATTATTCTGTGCCAGATACATAGTAGGGGCTTCATATGTTATCTCAGTGAGTACTTTGATACTCAGGGTAATCCTCTGAGCTCAGTGTTATCTTTATACTTGTTTTACACATGAAAGAGTGGAAATTCAGAAAGGAGAAATCCTTGTCTGAAGTTACACAGTTAGTGACTATAAAGGTTAGGACTTGAATTCATGTCTTCTGGTTTCAAATGCCACACTTTGTTCACTGGGCCGCAGAATGACTAGGGGTTCTAGTTGTCCCAGAAAGAAGGAACTTCCAGTGGCTTTGTGCCTTTCTTTATTGTCTGAGCCATGGTGGAAGAAGATATCTTTTTCTCCAAACAGCTGACTGCTGATTAGAACAGTTGTTCATTCTTCAGTGAGTGCTCTTAAATATTCTAAATAGATAGCTCAATTGACAGACATATATGTGGCAGGTGTATTTTAGCCACAAATCCTTTCTCTTGAGAAATATCTTGGTCTCTAATGGAGCCCAAGGCATGCCAGACACAAATAACAGATGTAGATATAGAATTGGGATAGGGTGGGGGAAGAGACAAGAATCATTAGTTTTCTAATCCTTTCAGCCCCTTTATAAAATGTGTTTGCGTATCATGTAGTGGGATAGGGGAGGGGAATGAGAGACAAGATGAGGGCAAGTTGCAGGAAATCTATAAGACCAGTTTGCTTACTCAGGACTGACGAAAAATTGTTAAGCCACCACAATCCTCAGGAAAGAGCATCCTTTCTTCTGTTATCTCTAGGAGATATTAATATTCAGGATTTCCCAAACAGAGCTCTGCAGAATACTGAGGTTTTATAATATCTTAAAAAGAATTCCATGAAAAAGAGTCTCACAGCCACATAAATTTGGAAAATAGTCCATGCTATATTACCTTCTTATTGATTCTAAATGGCTCTTAACCATTAAAGGCTTTGAGAACAGCTGGTAACTTCGTTTAACTCAATGTTTGTCAAAATTATTTGATCACTATCAGGAAAAGTTGAAAGATTGAAATGGCCAGAAGAGATTTCTGGGTGTCCCTTTAATTGAATATGAGGTATTAACTACTGCCTTGCTCTTTTGGGTTATCTGATTTTATGAGTCTTGGTTTTTTATTGCCTTTTTTTTTTCTTTTGAGACAGAGTCTTACTGAGTTGTGCAGGCTGGAGCGCAGTGGTGCCATCATGGCTCACTGCAGCCTCTAACTCTTGGGCTCAAGTGATCCTCTCACCTCAGCCTCCTGAGTAGCTGGGACTAGAGACATGTGCCACCACACTTGGCTAATTTTTAAAATTTTTTTGTGGAGATGGGGGTTTCACTTTTTTGCCCAGGTTGGTCTCAAACTTCTGGCCTTAACAATCCTTTCACCACAGCCTCCCAAAGTGATCTACTCTGCCTGGCCAAAATAGTTCCTACCTCATGGGGTGGTTTGAGACTTCTGTAAGATTTTTATTTTGTTTTTAGAGACGCGGTCTGGCTCTGTCACCCAGGTTGGAGGGCAGTGGCACAATCATAGGTCACTGCAGCCTGGAACTCCTGGCCTCAAGTAGTCATCCCACCTCAGTGTCCCAAAGTGCAGAGGTTACAGGCATGAGCCATCATCGCACCTGCCTCTTGTTGTCTTTGACCAAGCTATTTTACAAATCTGCAAATTATAGGAAACTAACAGTAATGCAAATGATTCTTGTACTTGGAAGTATAATTGCATGTTTTTATTTGGTGGAGTTACCAGGCTACACCTCTGGCAGGTTGATTTCAGCACTCCTGGTTGCCTCTATGTTCTTTGGATTTCCCTTTGTACTCAGTTTTTACATCTTACTTATTCCCTCATTATTTGATGAGCTAAATAAAATCTTTGACACATTTTAATTTTACATTTGTAGGAGAGGCATGATTTTTTCCTTTTTTCTAAAAATTATCTTTTCATACCCATAACTTCCTTTTGTTTCTTGCCTGTTATTAATTTTGTCTCTTCACATACCTACATGTCTAGCCCTGTGCCCTACCAGTTCTGGCTCCTGGTTTCTCTTTCTCTTCTAGTTTAGTATCTCTAAGTCAGACTCCTGCAGTAACTGACTTCCTTCTGGTTCTCAGGACTCCCTCCTTGTAATGCCTGTGGGTCAGGTAGCCTAAGAAAGCGCATCATCTGACATGGTTTCCTTGCCCATTCTTCCTAGAATATACTTTCCTTTTCTTTTTTCTTTCTTTCTTTTTTCTTTTTTTTTTTTTTTTTTTGAGAAAGAATCTAGCTCTGTTACCCAGGCTGGAATGCAGTAGTGTGATCTCTGCTCACTGCAACCTACACCTCCTGAGTTCAAGCAATTCTCATGCCTCAGCCTCCCGAGTACCTGGATTTACAGGTGCGTACCACCACATCCGGCTTTTTCTTTTTTTGGTAGAGATCAGGTTTTACCATGTCACCCAGGCTGGTCTTGAACTCCTGACCTCAAGTGATCCACCTGTCTCGGCCTCCCAAAGTGCTGGGATTACAGGCGTGAGCCACCACACCCAGCCCCACTTTTCTTTTTTCCACCTTCACTTCTGGCATCATTTTCTGCTTTTCCTGAGTTGCCATCACCTAATCTTTGTGTATCCAAATCCTTCCTATCCTTCCAGACCCAACCCCTCCCTCCATGCAGCTGTCCATGGCTATCCCAGCCTGAATTACTTTATTCCTGTGCTGCTGAAATGCCTCGACATTTCATATCCCCCACGTGGCCTTCTTCATATACGTCCTGATGTCATGTCATTTAAAAATCTCAACCAATTCCGGAAGGGAGAGCACAATTTATATTTTTTGATGGAAGAATTATACAGCCTATTCTAGTCCATGAATTTGTTCTCACTGAACCAAAGTGGGGCGTATGTGGGGGGGCAAGTAATTTCTTTAGGAAGGGCTCCAAAGGGAGACTGGTGTGCATGACAGGGAATGAAGGAATGGGAGGAAGTCACGCAAAGGTGAAGTCTCGTGCAGAACCTTTCGGAGGCTGTGTTCAGCCTGATCCCATGGGAGCTCTGCAGCATAAGCTGTGCGCAGAGTTCTCCTAACTGGGCAGCACTCCTGAGTTGTTGGCTGGAGGCCATCCAGGCACTTCCTGGGCATTGGTGAGTGCAAAGTGGCTCAAGTTACCTGAGGGAAGTCCTCAAAAGATAATCTATGGGTGCTGGTTGCTGGAATCAAGATTATACAAGAATGGGATGCACAAAAATGTTGAACAGGAACCCGGAGCACCAACAGTGTCCACGATACTCTGCTTCCTAAGAAATTTTTAAAAGTTGGCGTAAAGTACACGTAACATAAAATTCACCATCTTAGTCACTTTTAAGTGTACATTTCAGTGGCATTAAGTGCATTCACATTGTCATGCTGCCATCACCGTTATCCAGCCACAGAACTCTATCTTGCAAAACTGAAGCTACACATTAAACAACAACTCTCCATTTCCCCTCCCTCCAGGCCCCTGACAACTACTTCTATTTAATATCTCTATGAATTTGACTACTCTAGGTACTTCCTATAAGTGGAATCATACAGAATTTGTCCTTTTGGAAAACTGTAATATCTTTTAGCAAATGCCAATGGTACTTTAAAAAGTAGTGCCCTGAAATATTTACATCACAGAAATGGCCTCTCCAGCCTTTTCTTATTCTTATTGGGCACTAGAGACACCTCTCTCTCCTGCCAACAATTTCAAATAATAGATAAAAAATGGGCCCAAGAGGACCCTGATTTACGTGGAGTTCTATGACACCTCATCCTACAGGTGAGATCAAGCTGCCATGGTACCTCTTAAAGTGCCAATTCCAAGTTTCCTCCCAGGCCTGGGACTCAGAATCTCCCATGCTGGGAGTATATATTCTCTTTAAGAAGATTCTTTCCATGTGGATTTTATGAAGACAGAAAAGCATTTTCAAAATCAGCAACCTTGAAAGGGTAGTTTTCAGCCTTGAGTTTAAACCACTGAATGCTACCTTGAAATGACATTTCTCCCAGGACACCATTTCCCAAAACAGGAAAGCAGAGCTAATTTTAATGATGGGGAAGTGAGGAAAAGGCCTGAGGACTCAGTCGCATCTCACCTTTCTCTGCAGTTCCTGCTATGGCACCTCAGAGCCCCAAGGCTTTTTGGAAACAGCTTGAAAACTAATGATCTAAAAAATAGATATGGAAGTCTTCTTTTCTCTACCCTTGTGTGGTAGGTTGAAAAATAGCCCCTTAGAAGATATCCACATCGAGTCTCTGGAACCTGTGAATGTGACCTTGTTTGGAAAAACGGTCTTTGCAGATGTGATGGAGTTAAGGATTTTGAGATGAGCGGGTTACCTGGATTACTCTGGTTGTCCCTAGTTACTGTCATACATATCCTTACAAGAGGGAGGCGGAGGGAGATTCAGACAGAAGAGAAGACACAGACACACAGAGAACAAGGCGATGTGAAGACAGGCAGAGATTGGAGTGATGCCGCCACAAACCTGGGAAGTCTGGGGCAGCCGCAGGAACTAGAGGAGGCAGGGAACGGAGTCTTCCCTAGAGCCCTGGGAGAGAGCACGGACCTGCCCGAATTTGGACTTGTAGCCTCTGGAACTGAGAGAGAATACATTTCTATCATTTGAAGCCATCAAGCTAGTGGTAATTTGTTATAGCAGCCATTGGAACCAATACACCGTGTAATTAAAAATAATTTTCAGAGGTGTTATAAAATGTCCATAGCCATTCTCTGTGAAAACAATTGTTGATTCTTGTCATCAGCCTCCCCTAGGAAGAAGATGGGCCCAATATTAACATTTTGGATAAGCGGGAAAATTGAATCAGAAACCTTCCTTTCTCTTTCCTCCTTAAGGGAAATAATAACTATCATTTCAGCTGGTTTGATTTTCAAGCGCCCCCTATCAACTCAGGCTTTAGAGGAACTCTTATGTGAGAAGAGATTCCAATAGTTTCAGAGCACAAGCCCTTCCTCCAGTCAAATTTCTCCCTGCAAGGACTATATTTGTTTCTATGCCACGAATCCATTTACATAAGTTCTGTCTTGGGGAAATGCAAATACAAATGACTTGGAAAAAGAGGACTCTGTCTGCAGTAAGAGATAATGTACCTTTTTATTTTGTGGAAATTAAGCTATTACTGAGTCCACATAATATAAATATTTAAGCATTAAGTGACATTTTATGCAAATCAATAAATGAGAAGGAAACAGCACTTGCAGAAAGATAAAATCCACTTTGTAGAAGTAGCAAGGCCACTTCCAGTCAGTTCTTATGTGCAGCATAATCAATAGGATGGCCATGTGCTGTAAAGCTCAAAAACTAAACTGACAATTAGGTATACTTTATTCCTAATCATTCCTAATGTTGGTGTAGTACTTTTACAGCTTGCAAGATGCTTTTGTAGCCATTTGTTATGGGTTGAATTGTGAGCCCCTCCAAATTTCATATTCTGAAGTCCTAACCCCCAGTATCCTAGAATATGACCTTATTTGTAAATAGGCTCATTTCAGATGTAATTAGATAAGATGAGGTGATGCTGAAATAGGGTGGTCCCCTAATCCAATATGACTGGTGTCCTTATAAAAAGGGAAAATTTGGAGAGAGACACACATGGAGGAAAGATGATATAAAATAAAACAGGGAGAAAAATGCCTGAGGCTTCCAGAAGCTGGGAGAGAGTTCTGGAACAGATGTTTCCTTCACAGCCCTCAGAAGGAACCAACTCTGTCAACATCTTGATCTTGGACTTCTAACCTCCCAAACTGTGAGACAATAAATTCGTGTTGTTTGAGCCATCCAGGTTGCGACATTTTGTCATGGCAACCCTAGCAAACTAATACATTAGTAGAGTTTAGGAAGTGTTTTCATATCTAGAGACTATTTGGCAAGATCATGTAGAATGCATGCAGGATGAAAACCTAGATGTTCCGATTCCAGTAAAGTGATGTGAAAATTTCAGGTTCTATTGGGTTGAGGTACCAGAGCTGGGTCAGATGAGGGGAACCACTATCTGCAGCTGAGGAATATCATGGGATGAGTTAAGTTTAATATCATCCTCTTCTAGCATTGAGACTAGAGAGGTTGAGAATCCTGGGCACTTAGCATGGACTAAATACAGCCATGAACTTTGAGTCATCTTAAGCAGGTAGGTTATGGGGGTTTGCAGGGATGTGCAAAGTCTAACAAATAGCAATTGGTTTATGGGTCAGAAAGTGGCTAATGGCTGAAGAGCTCAAAGAGTTGATGAGTTAAAGCCAAGCCCAGCTTTCCAGCAGCCC
Organism: Homo sapiens; assembly: GCF_000001405.40. Taxonomy (NCBI): domain Eukaryota; kingdom Metazoa; phylum Chordata; class Mammalia; order Primates; family Hominidae; genus Homo; species Homo sapiens. Next base: position 3,731,876 of record NC_000003.12, on the reverse strand, counting down.
AAGAATATACCCAGAATAGGGCAGGAGCCCTATCAACCAGGTGTGGGAATCTCTGTGGGACTCAAGGGAGCATGTTCCCAGAAGCAGGGGTTTCCCCAAAGAGCATGTAAGTTGTCCTTGCTCATGACTGTTATCCACTTGGTGCTTGCTTTTGTATGGATACATGTTAGGGAAATAGTGTGTTGCAAAGAGGGCTGGATGCCAATTGACGTTCTCTAGCTACCTTTGATAGGAGCCCTGGAGTGAGCCAACAATTGAGGACAACTGCATGGTCCCCTGCTAAGACATATATCTGATAGATAGAGGATATCAGTCATGGCCTGCTGCTCTCTGAAAGTCAGTTGTGTGTGTGATAATGAAATGTGCAGTCCAATGGGAAGCATGGAAGGTAGATTCTTTGGGTTACGGGAAAGGGAGACAGTCAGGGTATCTTAAGGATCCAGTATTATTGTATATTGATTCATGGATGAATAAAGAAGACAAGAATATTGGCCATGCAGTTACTCCTCTCAGAAGCTTGAGTATTGTTTGGATAATGGAGGGATCTGCACCTCTCAGTGATCTGGGTATCACACTGCCCATCAGCAGAGCAAGTTCCCCAATTCCTAATCCTGTCCTCTGCTTCTCCTTCTCTCTCCTGTGATTTCTGCCAAAGGAGGCTGCAGGAAACAGAAAACCCAAAATGTGACACAGATATTATGGCCAGTGAAAGTTCTGGGGCAGGATAAAGAGTGTTTCCCAAGGGAAGGCATGGGGAGGTAGATGCCTGGCCAATTTACTGTTTGAATAATAGCAGAAAAATTTTGTTCTGAGAATTTGAGGATACAAAAGTGATCAAGCTACCGATTCAAATTTAGTTAATTTTTTAAAAAAAGAATTGGCTATGCACTATACTTGATGCCTTTACCTAAATTATTTAATTTTGAAGCTGAAAGTACAATTCCTGTTCAAAGGAGAATTTAGGGAATGCTTGGATTGATGGCTTCTCTGGAACTCCTTCCTGCACCCCACTTTTTATGGGCGAAAGGCAGACATGGAAATATCTGAAGCTCTGTGTAATGAAGCCGGTGAATGTCGAATTTCCAAAGACAGCCTGAGAAGGAGGGGTTTTAGCATCCTGCAAGTTAATCCCTGCAATGACTCTGTGAGAGGGATACCCTTGCTATCTTTATATCACCAAATAGAAGACTGTGTACAGTAAGTTTAGAAATCTGCACAGAGCCATACAGCTAACTAGTTACAGATAAGATTTAAACACATTCCGTTTGACAGTAAAATTTGCACTCTTAACCATTAGGCTGTACTACTTAGAAACATTTGCCTGTTAATATGTATCTCATGCAATAACAAAAAATAAATCCCGAGTATCTCCAAGTAAATTTCCACTTGGCTTGAAGAATCTAGCTTCCCTTTCCAATGTACAAGCAGTGGGTCTGGTTTGCAGAGATGCAACCTGCATGGTGTTCTTGAAGCTGGTCATTGTGAGGCAGATGAGAGCCTCTGCTTTCTTTCCAAAGAGTGGGTGTAACAGCAACAGAAAAAAATGGCATCACAACAGAGCTGCTTCTTACATTCTTGGATTAGATTGACTTTGTAATATGTTATGACCAAGAGAGGGAGGCTGAAAGTTATGCTGTTTTTGAGATAATGCAGTAAACTGGAATGCTTAAGTGCTTATCAGGGAAATTACTTACCAAAAAAAAAAAAAAAACACAGAAAACAGATTCTATTTAGAGAATTTAAGCAAATGTACCTTTAATGTGGACTGGACAGCCTATTACTAGAGTGGACGTAGCTAATTGTAAGCTTCTGCACAGATTGATATCCCTCAGGTCATTGGTAGGGAGAGATGGAGTGTCCAATTCCATTTGTGGTAGAGACCATGTGTTGAGCTCAGAAACTTACAAAAATCACTTTTAATTTGCTTCTGCTGTAAGCGGATTATATAGAATTTGATTTTCACGTTCTGAGGATCTTGCTTCTAACCCAGGCACTATTACTAGAGCTGTCACAGGGAAGGGAGATGCTCGTGTTCTGCAAAGCCAAATTGCAGTGTTTCCATTGAATTTCACAGCAACAGAAGACAGGAGCGTTTTCTCTAGTTATACTTTGCTTTAAATCCTGAAAAACCTGGAGATATTACACATCCACCTAACTTTTTGAAAACGGAGGATTCCTCTGGGGTGTTTATTTCTTTCATAACCACAAGATGAATTGATAGTGTGTGTGCTGCGAGAGAGGAAACAAATAGACCATTTCCAAATGCTTTTGCAATGAATATAACTAAACTGTCTTAAAAAGCCAGCCTAGTCAAAATAAGTGCAATTATTTTAAAAAATAAGTCATCTTTATAGGAGAAGCAGTCTGAAAGTGTAAGTTGGGAAAAGCTGTGTGTGTGTATGTGTGTGGGTGTGTGTGTGTGTTCCCGCGTGCATTTGGGTGTCAGTCTTCAAAGGCTGCAATTATGTGACAGTGCTTCCTTAAATTCTTCAGAGAATTTTTCACTGTAGTGTATATCAAATAAAGAAGGATAAGAAAATCTAGCAAACCATTGTGTAGTTCAGGATCTAGCCTATACATTGTGCCCAGGGTTCGTATGATGAAAAGCATTAATTTCCCTTAGTTCCTAAGAGGGTTTGTGAACATAGGTGTCTATTCCCAGCTCTGTGGGGATGCATTTTTATGTATTTATTATATTCGTAAAAGCCATGAAAACCTGGTCCCATTTAGCCTCAGGATGTGCTAATGTCATTTAAAAATATGCAGAATTAATAACCATTTAAAAATTTCTATTGTTTTTGTATCTTAAAGAAAAAAGAAATTCAGGAAGGCAGGATGGAAGGAAAGAAAAATAGGAAACTAAAAACATATCAAACTCGCTGGCCAGTGGGATAGCTTGAGAGCTGAGTCCCTCTTCCCTCACTTCATAAATGACTTTGTGTGGCACAGTGACATCTTTGCAACACAGTGGCTGCTCATTCAATATTTGTCTTTCTTTGGAACTGTTGGAAGAAGAAACCTACAAATTGAGTAGTAATGGCCATAACATTAACTATTATTTGTATATAGTCCTTTAGAGATTACAAGGCAAATGCCACACCATTAGACCCTGGTGACTATTGGGGATTTGTCAGATAAAATGTGACCAGGGGTTGAGGTTGGATGGAGAGTCCTGGGAAGGGACGATATTGGCCCTTCACAGGTAATAACTCCTTGTTTATTCCTTGATTTCAATCATGGTTCTTTTACTATCAGTTGTTAACTTTTAAAGGTAAGAAATTGAGAAATGGGCCAGGTGTGGTGGCTCATGCCTGTAATCCTAGCACTTTGGGAGGCCAAGGTGGGTGGATCACCTGAGGCCAGGAGTTCGAGACCAGTCTGGCCAACATGGCAAAATGCAGTGTCTACTAAAAATACCAAAATTAGCTGGCTGTGGTGGCATGCACGTATACTCCCAGCTACTCTGGAGGCTGAGGCAGGAGAATCGCTTGAACCTGGGAGGTGGAGGTTGCAGTGAGCCAAGATCGTGCCACTTCACTCCAGCCTGGGCAAAAGACCAAAACTCCACCTCAAAAAAAAAAAAAAAAAAAAAAGAAATTGAGAAATGAATAAAAGCTAAGAACTTATTCCTTAGACAAATAAACACACAACTAAAACTGTCTTTATTTTCAGCAGGTTAGTAGATGCCTTGCTGGCTAGCTGTGGACCTGGCTTAGGGAATTCTGCCTCTTAGTTCTTAGTACAAGATGGACGATAAAGAACAGATAGCTAAGAGATTGTAGGCAGTTATTTTTTACATCTACTTATAGCTGTATGCCTAATACTTAGCATTTCAGCTGGCAGGTAGAACGTGTTCAGTAGATATCCATTGGATGAATGAATTAATGAAAATGAGACTGTATTTCTATAATTTGACTTTCAACCAAGCATCTTAAAGTGTTATTATGGTCATCCCTTGATTGCTCAAGGCTAGTTGTGGTTTTCAGGAATATCAGCAGGAAATATTCAATTCAGGTCACTTTTTTTTTTTTCCTGCTGTATCCTCTTGTCTGACTTCTAACCAAGTGGGTACTGGTTCTTATGTCTCATAAGCAGCTTTGTGACTTTGAACAAATCTTGTCTTTGCCAAAGTTGAGATGCTAATTTAATAGCTTTTCTCCTGATCCCACTGGGATGTTAGAGAAAGGAAGTAAAATATGTGTGAATTTTGTTTTAAAGGGGCCAAATATTTTTTAAAGTATTCTAACTTACCATTGGTGTGGTGCCAGAGGTAAGACTTCACCCTGTTTGTCGTTGTGGGAGGATGTACAATATGCTATTAAACATCAGGTGGCCAAGGTTTTGTCAGCCACACAGGTGATGTTTTAGGGCATCGTGTTTAGGTGATGTTTTATAATGGTATTTTCTCAGGCAGATAATAAATTATTAAACAATACATTGGAAGGGTTGCTTATCTGCCTAATACTGAACCAGGGACCTCCTACTTCCTTCTCTTCTGACATCTTCCTTTCCCACCATGCCACCATCATCATCCTAACAGATTAGTCCAGAGTTTCTCACCAGAGCGATGATCTCGATAGTTGTCTTTCCCAAGACACTCCAAATAAAGCCTTTTTGCTTTATCTGTCTTGCTGGTTTGGAAATTTAAGCTCCTCTCTATTTTCAAGGATGTCATTTAAATAATAACTGTTGTTAAAATCACCACACGTTCCTGTACATCACCACACCCATGAAGAGTCTCCTTCTCCCTTTTTTGTTTTGTCCTGTGATTAAAGACCCTTGCTCCATTGTAAGACAGACTTGGGTTTAAATTTAAGGTCTGCTGCTTACCAGCTGTATGTTCATGAGTAAGTTTTTAACCACCTAAGATTCAGTGTTCTTATTCTGTGACATAGGAATAATATGATAACCTCATAGGGTTATTGTAAGGCTTAAATCTAAAAAAGAAAAAAGCTTAAATAGAAAAGATAATGCTATGCAGCGCTTAGTACAGTGTGTGACCACGAGAAAGAGCTTTGTAGCTCTTAGTTGCCGTCATCTTGTCATTGATGCTGGTGACATTTGTATGTTGAAGAAGCTGTCCTGAGAATGGTAGTCTGGCTGTGACTTTAGAGTGATTACTGTGGCCTCACAAAAGAGGCTTCCCCCAGGGCACTCCTGCTGGGCCTTCAGTCAAGCTTCAGCTCAGCTGTCTGCCGACGCTTATAATCTGACACTCTGAGACTTTTTCCAGGAGGCCTTGAGACTTTTTCTTCCTGGGTCAGGATGCACAGAAGCTTCATCAGGAGATGAGCCTCTTAATATTCAAGGAGCTGATGAAATAAACTTTTTCTTGGAGTAAAAACTCAGCAAGAACCCCAGAACTCTCTACCTACCCACAAATAGCAGTTTCTAGAAGTACAGCTCTACACAAAAGGCTCCGTTTGGTCCATACTAACTTTGCTAGACCCTGCTAGTATCTCTCTTTGCTAATACTTTAGTGCTTCTGTATTCGACAAATTGCCACGTCAGAAACTCTTTTTTTTTTTTTTTGAGATGGAGTCTCACACTGTCACCTGGGCTGCAGTGCAGTGGCGCGATCTCGGCTCACTGCAACCTCCGCCTCCCAGGTTCAAGCGATTCTCCTGCCTCAGCCTCCCGAGTAGCTGGGATTACAGGTGCCCACCACCACGCCCAGCTAATTTTTTGTATTTTTAGTAGAGATGGGTTGTCACCATGTTGGCCAGGCTGGTCTTGAACTCCTGACCTCGTGATTCGCCTGGCTCGGCCTCCCAAAGTGCTGGAATTACAGGTGTGAGCCACCAAACCTGGCCCAGAAACTCTTAATCAATCTCCTCTTTACCACTAGACAAACCAGTTCTTTCTATCCCCTATGTCAAACATACTGCCTAATGCCCAGCTAATGCAGATTGTCCCCAGCTAATGGCCAGTTCTCTGTTTCATCTTGGTACTTCTGTTCCCACCAGTGCAGTTGATCACTTGCCAAGAGTCAGTTGTGCTGCTGCCCATATCTATTTATGCCAGTTTTATTTGTTATGTAATTACATGCTTTGATTAAATGTTTCATAAACTGATTTAATATAAGCACAAAAAGATAGCTGTTGATTCTATGAATGTTTTGGAAACAGTAGGGTTGAGTTGCTAAAAACGCTGCTGAATTAGATGTGGGTGAGATAACACTAAAAGCCTTAGGGGTGGAAGGAATCATAAAAACTCCAGAGTCCGCACTCAGATTGTTCCACAAAGGTCTTTACATTCTCACTTTGCTTTAAAGAAATAAACTTGTAAATCCCAGGAGACGGTGCATGTAAGTTTTTCCTGCAACAAAGACAATGTGAACTCTGACTACTGAACCAATTTAAAGTCAATCACACTACAAAGCCTTGGCATCAAAAGCTTAGAAGTGGATCCAGTTTATACGTTGTAAGTGACAATCAAAATTTAAGTTATGTATACATCATTTTATTTTTATTTTCTTTTATTTTTTAAGTTTTTTTTTCTTTTATTATTATACTTTAAGTTTTAGGGTACATGTGCACATTATGCAGGTTAGTTACATGTGCCATGCTGGTGCGCTGCACCCACTAACTTGTCATCTAGCATTAGGTATATCTCCCAGTGCTATCCCTCCCCACTCCCGCCACTCCACAATAGTCCCCAGAGTGTGATATTCCCCTTCCTGTGTGCATGTGATCTCATTGTTCAATTCCCACCTATGAGTGAGAATATGCGGTGTTTGGTTTTTTGTTCTTGTGATAGTTTACTGAGAATGATGATTTCCAATTTCACCCATGTCCCTACAAAGGACATGAACTCATCATTTTTTATGGCTGCATAGTATTCCATGGTGTATATGTGCCACATTTTCTTAATCCAGTCTATCATTGTCGGACATTTGGGTTGGCTCCAAGTCTTTGCTATTGTGAATAATGCCGCAATAAACATACGTGTGCATGTGTCTTTATAGCAGCATGATTTATAGTCCTTTGGGTATATACCCAGTAATGGGATGGCTGGGTCAAATGGTATTTCTAGTTCTAGATCCCTGAGGAATCGCCACACTGACTTCCACAATGGTTGAACTAGTTTACAGTCCCACCAACAGTGTCAAAGTGTTCCTATTTCTCCACATCCTCTCCAGCACCTGTTGTTTCCTGACTTTTTAATAATCACCATTCTAACTGGTGTGAGATGGTATCTCATTGTGGTTTTGATTTGCATTTCTCTGATGGCCAGTGATGATGAGTATTTTTTCATGTGTTTTTTGGCTGCATAAATGTCTTCTTGTGAGAAGTGTCTGTTCATGTCCTTTGCCCACTTTTTGTTGGGGTTGTTTGTTTTTTTCTTGTAAATGTGTTTGAGTTCATTGTAGATTCTGGATATTAGCCGTTTGTCAGATGAGTAGGTTGCGAAAATTTTCTCCCATTTTGTAGGTTGCCTGTTTACTCTGATGGTAGTTTCTTTTGCTGTGCAGAAGCTCTTTAGTTTAATTAGATCCCATTTGTCAATTTTGGCTTTTGTTGCCATTGCTTTTGGTGTTTTAGACATGAAGTCCTTGCCTGTGCCTATGTCCTGAATGGTAATGCCTAGGGTTTTTATGGTTTTAGGTCTAACATTTAAGTCTTTAATCCATCTTGAATTGATTTTTGTATAAGGTGTAAGGAAGGGATCCAGTTTCAGCTTTCTACATATGGCTAGCCAATTTTCCCAGCACCATTTATTAAATAGGGAATCTTTTCCCCATTGCTTGTTTTTCTCAGGTTTGTCAAAGATCAGATAGTTGTAGATATGTGGTGTTATTTCTGAGGGCTCTGTTCTGTTCTATTGATCTATATCTCTGTTTTGGTACCAGTACCATGCTGTTTTGGTTACTGTAGCCTTGTAGTATAGTTTGAAGTCAGGTAGTGTGATGCCTCCAGCTTTGTTCTTTTGGCTTAGGATTGACTTCGCGATGCGGGCTCTTTTTTGGTTCCATATGAACTTTAAAGTAGTTTTTTCCAGTTCTGTGAAGAAAGGCATTGGTAGCTTGATGGGGATGGCATTGAATCTGTAAATTACCTTGGGCAGTATGGCCATTTTCACGATATTGATTCTTCCTACCCATGAGCATGGAATGTTCTTCCATTTGTTTGTGTCCTCTTTTATTTCCTTGAGCAGTGGTTTGTAGTTCTCCTTGAAGAGGTCCTTCACATCCCTTGTAAGTTGGATTCCTAGGTATTTTATTCTCTTTGAAGCAATTGTGAATGGGAGTTCACTCATGATTTGACTCTCTGTTTGTCTGTTATTGGTGTATAAGAATGCTTGTGATTTTCGTACATTGATTTTGTATCCTGAGACTTTGCTGAAGTTGCTTATCAACTTAAGGAGATTTTGGGCTGAGACAATGGGGTTTTCTAGATATACAATCATGTCATCTGCAAACAGGGACAATTTGATTTCCTCTTTTCCTAATTGAATACCCTTTATTTCCTTCTCCGGCCTAATTGCCCTGGCCAGAACTTCCAACACTATGTTGAATAGGAGTGGTGAGAGAGGGCATCCCTGTCTTGTGCCAGTTTTCAAAGGGAATGCTTCCAGTTTTTGCCCATTCAGTATGCTATTGGCTGTGGGTTTGTCATAGATAGCTCTTATTATTTTGAAATACATCCCATCAATACCTAATTTATTGAGAGTTTTTAGCATGAAGGGTTGTTGAATTTTGTCAAAGGCCTTTTCTGCATCTATTGAGATAATCATGTGGTTTTTGTCTTTGATTCTGTTTATATGCTGGATTACATTTATTGATTTGCATATATTGAACCAGCCTTGCATCCCAGGGATGAAGCCCACTTGATCATGGTGGATAAGCTTTTTGATGTGCTGCTGGATTCGGTTTGCCAGTATTTTATTGAGGATTTTTGCATCAATGATCATCAAGGATATTGGTCTAAAATTCTCTTTTTTGGTTGTGTCTCTGCCCGGCTTTGGTATCAGAATGATGCTGGCCTCATCAAATGAGTTAGGGAGGATTCCCTCTTTTTCTATTGATTGGAATAGTTTCAGAAGGAATGGTACCAGTTCCTCCTTGTACCTCTGGTAGAATTTGGCTGTGAATCCATCTGGTCCTGGACTCTTTTTGGTTGGTAAGCTATTGATTATTGCCACAATTTCAGATCCTGTTGTTGGTCTATTCAGAGATTCAACTTCTTCCTGGTTTAGTCTTGGGAGGGTGTATGTGTCCAGGAATTTATCCATTTCTTCTAGATTTTCTAGTTTATTTGGGTAGAGGTGTTTGTAGTATTCTCTGATGGTAGTTTGTATTTCTGTGGGATTGGTGGCGATATCCCCTTTATCATTTTTTATTGCGTCTATTTGATTCTTCTCTCTTTTTTTCTTTATTAGTCTTGCTAGCGGTCTATCTATTTTGTTGATCCTTTCAAAAAACCAGCTCCTGGATTCATTAATTTTTTGAAGGGTTTTTTGTGTCTCTATTTCCTTCAGTTCTGCTCTAATTTTAGTTATTTCTTGCCTTCTGCTAGCTTTTGAATGTGTTTGCTCTTGCTTTTCTAGTTCTTTTAATTGTGATGTTAGGGTGTCAATTTTGGATCTTTCCTGCTTTCTCTTGTGGGCATTTAGTGCTATAAATTTCCCTCTACACACTGCTTTGAATGCATCCCAGAGATTCTGGTATGTTGTGTCTTTGTTCTTGTTGGTTTCAAAGAACATCTTTATCTCTGCCTTCATTTCGTTATGTACCCAGTAGTCATTCAGGAGCAGGTTGTTCAGTTTCCATGTAGTTGAGCGGTTTTGAGATTCTTAATCCTGAGTTCTAGTTTGATTGCACTGTGGTCTGAGAGATAGTTTGTTATAATTTCTGTTCTTTTACATTTGCTGAGGAGAGCTTTACTCCAAGTATGTGGTCAATTTTGGAATAGGTGTGGTGTGGTGCTGAAAAAAATGTATATTCTGTTGATTTGGGGTGGAGAGTTCTGTAGATGTCTATTAGGTCCACTTGGTGCAGAGCTGAGTTCAATTCTTGGGTATCCTTGTTGACTTTCCATCTTGTTGATCTGTCTAATGCTGACAGTGGGGTGTTAAAGTCTCCCATTATTAATGTGTGGGAGTCTAAGTCTCTTTGTAGGTCACTCAGGACTTGCTTTATGTATCTGGGTGCTCCTGTATTGGGTGCATATATATTTAGGATAGTTAGCTCTTCTTGTTGAATTGATCCCTTTACCATTATGTAATGGCCTTCTTTGTCTCTTTTGATCTTTGTTGGTTTAAGGTCTGTTTTATCAGAGACTAGGATTGCAACCCCTGCCTTTTTTTGTTTTCCATTTGCTTGGTAGATCTTCCTCCATCCTTTTATTTTGAGCCTATGTGTGTCTCTGCACGTGAGATGGGTTTCCTGAATACAGCACACTGATGGGTCTTGACTCTTTATCCAATTTGCCAGTCTGTGTCTTTTAATTGGAGCATTTAGTCCATTTACATTTAAAGTTAATATTGTTATGTGTGAATTTGATCCTGTCATTATGATGTTAGCTGGTGATTTTGCTCGTTAGTTGATGCAGTTTCTTCCTAGTCTCGATGGTCTTTACATTTTGGCATGATTTTGGGGCGGCTGTTACCGGTTGTTCCTTTCCATGTTTAGCGCTTCCTTGAGGAGCTCTTTTAGGGCAGGCCTGGTGGTGACAAAATCTCTCTGCATTTGCTTTCTGTAAAGTATTTTATTTCTCCTTCACTTATGAAGCTTAGTTTGGCTGGATATGAAATTCTGGGTTGAAAATTCTTTTCTTTAAGAATGTTGAATATTGGTCCCCACTCTCTTCTGGCTTGTAGGGTTTCTGCCAAGAGATCCGCTGTTAGTCTGATGGGCTTCCCTTTGAGGGTAACCCGACCTTTCTCTCTGGCTGCCCTGAACATTTTTTCCTTCATTTCAACTTTGGTGAATCTGACAATTATGTGTCTTGGAGTTGCTCTTTTCGAGGAGTATCTTTGTGGCGTTCTCTGTATTTCCTGAATCTGAACGTTGGCCTGCCTTGCTAGATTGGGGAAGTTCTCCTGGATAATATCCTGCAGAGTGTTTTCCAACTTGGTTCCATTCTCCCCATCACTTTCAGGTACACCAATCAGATGTAGATTTGGTCTTTTCACATAGTCCCATATTTCTTGGAGGCTTTGCTCATTTCTTTTTATTCTTTTTTCTCTAAACTTCCCTTCTGGCTTCATTTCATTCATTTCATCTTCCATTGCTGATACCCTTTCTTCCAGTTGATCGCGTCGGCTCCTGAGGCTTCTGCTTTCTTCACGTAGTTCTCGAGCCTTGGTCTTCAGCTCCATCAGCTCCTTTAAGCACTTCTCTGTATTGGTTATTCTAGTTATATATTCTTCTAAATATTTTTTCAAAGTTTTCAACTTCTTTGCCTTTGGTTTGAATGTCCTCCCGTAGCTCAGAGTAATTTGATCATCTGAAGCCTTCTTCTCTCAGCTCGTCAAAGTCATTCTCCGTCCAGCTTTGTTCCGTTGCTGTTGAGGAACTGCGTTCCTTTGGAGGAGGAGAGGCGCTCTGCGTTTTAGAGTTTCCAGTTTTTCTGTTCTGTTTTTTCCCCATCTTTGTGGTTTTATCTACTTTTGGTCTTTGATGATGGTGATGTACAGATGGGTTTTTGGTGTGGATGTCCTTTCTGTTTGTTAGTTTTCCTTCTAACAGACAGGACCCTCAGCTGCAGGTCTGTTGGAGTACCCTGCCGTGTGAGGTGTCAGTGTGCCTCTGTTGGGGGGTGCCTCCCAGTTAGGCTGCTCGGGGGTCAGGGACCCACTTGAGGAGGCAGTCTGCCTCTTCTCAGATCTCCAGCTGTGTACTGGGAGAACCACTGCTCTCTTCAAAGCTGTCAGACAGGGACATTTAAGTCTGCAGAGGTTACTGCTGTCTTTTTGTTTGTCTGTGCCCTGCCCCCAGAGGTGCAGCCTACAGAGGCAGGCAGGCCTCCTTGAGCTGTGGTGGGCTCCACCCAGTTGGAGCTTCCTGGCTGCTTTGTTTACCTAAGCGAGCCTGGGCAATGGCGGGCGCCCCTCCCCCAGCCTCGCTGCCACCTTGCAGTTTGATCTCAGACTGCTGTGCTAGCAATCAGCGAGACTCTGTGGTCATAGGACCCTCTGAGCCAGGTGCGGGATATAATCTCATGGTGCGCTGTTTTTTAAGCCCGTCGGAAAAGCACAGTATTCGGGTGGGAGTGGCCTGATTTTCCAGGGCCGTCCGTCACCCCTTTCTTTGACTAGGAAAGGGAACTCCCTGACCCCTTGCGCTTCCCGAGTGAGGCAATGCCTCGACCTGCTTCGGCTCGCGCACGGTGCGCGCACCCACTGACCTGCGCCCACTGTCTGGCACTCCCTAGTGAGATGAACCCGGTACCTCAGATGGAAATGCAGAAATCACCCATCTTCTGCCTCGCTCTCACTGGGAGCTGTAGACTGGAGCTGTTCCTATTCGGCCATCTTGGCTCCTCCCTGTATACATCATTTTAAAGGATTTTCCAATTTACCAGTAGTCTCCGTTAACTGACCTACTACCCATTTTGTCACACTGCATAACAACAGAGCATTTCTACTGCTTAAGGTGTCCCTTCCATGTTATCTGATGCACCAACTGTCCACAGCACAAGCTCTGTGGAGACTGGCCAATGGTGGCAGTGGCTTGTACAGGCAGGTTCACCATCTCTGACCTGGTCTCCTTTGAGCTTACCTGTAGGGCTGAGGGTGCAGCCTGTGGCTGAAGAATATACATGTGGATGCCTTTCTATATTAACTAATACTTTATGGATAATTTTTTATATACTGTTTTGTTGTATCTCCACATAGCCCCCTGGGAGGTAGGAATTATTATCACTGCTTTATAGATGGAGCTGCTGAGGTTCAGAGAGGGTAAATAACTTGGGCCCAGTCACACATCAGTTAGAGACATGGCTAAGGTGAGTCCTAGACTCTAAGTCCTGTTATTTTTCCATCAAGACTGATGTGCCTGGTGATTTGGGTGGTAACGTTGAGTGATCCACTTGGTGCTGAGATCCAGGCCCTGATGCCTTTAGCACTGAGTTTAACCAGCTTCATCTTCAGGTTCTCAATGGTTGGTCTAGATGTAGGTGGAGAACTTGATGCAAGATCGTTCTCTGAGTTTCCAAGTCAGGAATTCATCACAGGAGCACAGCTCCTGGCGAACCTCAATTCCTCTCCATTCTCCAGCTGGCTGTGCTGCAGGGAAGCTGTGAGTGAGTGGACACACTAAAAAATTCAAAGTGAGCCACCAGAGAAGAGGGAAATGCTGTTGGCAGCACATGTCATTTGCAGTGTTGCAACACCTGCTCGTTTTGAAAAGAGTCTGTCAGAATTTCCATATTCCCCCTATTCATTGGGAAAGTCATTTGGCGAACTCTAGTCCCTCTGGTCTACAATTTGGGATATGGTATGTCAGCTTAGCTAACATTGCTTTATCATGAAAATTATTGTTGATCATTTTGGGTTAGTATTGAACCAAATACACCTGCTTGTTTTTTGTTCCCTGGTCTACTTGGGAAAAAGCACAAGAGAAAGAACCTGACTTTTGATTAAAATCAGGGAAGAAGCAAAGCACTTGACAGTTTAAATTAACATTTTGTAAAATTTTGTCTGTGATCCACACTATTGGAATCACTTAAGTGGCTTATTAACCACACACATTTCTGGGCTTTACCCTGAATATGCTCAGTCAGACCTGGTAGAAGTGGAACCTGGGATCACAAGTCTGAGAGTCACTAGTTTAAATGAGTTAGATGGAGCAATAAACACCTGTATCAGTTTCCAACAGCTGCTCTAACAAAATACCACAAACCCGGTGACTGAAAACCACAGAAATTAGGATGGGTGTGGCGGCTCGCACCTGTAATCCCAGCACTTTGGGAGGCCAAGGCAGGTGGATCACCTGAAGTCAGGAGTTTGAGACCAGCCTGGCCAACATGGCGAAACTCTGTCTCTACTAAAAATACAAATACAAAAATCAGCTGGATGTGGTGGCCGGTGCCTATAATCCCAGCTACTCTGGAGGCTGAGGTGGGAGAATCACTTGAACCCAGGAAGTGGAGGTTGCAGTGAGCCGAGATCATGCCACTGCACTCCAGCCTGGGCAATAAAACGAGACTATCTCAAAAAAAAAAAAAAAAAAAAAAAAAAAACACATGCAAGAAATTAATTTTCTTACAGTTCTGGAGGCCAGATATTTGAAATCAAGGTGTTGGCAGGGCCATCCTCTTTCTGAGGACTCCAGGGGCTGTTGTGTGCCTTTCTCTTAGTTTCTGATGTTGCTAACAACCCTTGATGTTCTTTGACTTGTAGATTAATAACTTCAATCTCTACCTCCATCTTTGCAGTGTTCTCCCTGTATGTCTGTGTGTCTCTTCTCCTCTTCGTATAAGGATACCAGTCTGATCGAACACACCCTCATCTTACTTTGAATACATTTGCAAAGACCCTTTTTCCAAATAAGGTCACATTCACAGGTACTGAGGGCTGGGCTTAAACCTGTCTTTTTTGGGGACACAATTCAACCCATAAAAACATTTTCTGTGAGGACCTTTATATCAATGAAAATTGTACATATTTACATCCTAATGTGAAAATTTAGCAGGATTTATGAGAAATAAGCATTCAACTCAAACTGGAGATATTACTTTTTATTTCATGATAGCCACTTGAAATTCTGAAACCTTATTTACAGTGTGCATTTAGTCATGAAACCTCTTTCACTTAAAGAACTCTTAAATTTCTTATTTTAAAAAATAATTTTTCTACTAATCAGAAAATAGTGGTGAATTTCTCCATTTTGCAACTTATCCTAAACACATGATTTAATTGCCAAGCTCTCCCACTTATTCATTCAGAAATATGTATTACACCATCCCTTATATTCCAGGCACTGTTTTAGGTTTTGAAGATACAAAAGCAAAAAAGTCACAAGTCCTTAGCATTGAAGGATTTGCATTCCAGTGGTGGGGACTGAGAAATGCATTAGATATTACACACACTGTGGTGGCAAGTATTATGATCAAAGTAAAGAAAACTTGGCAGTTGGGGGAGGTAAGAGGATGGGCAAGGAAGGCTTCCTGGAGGGGCTACATTTTAGTAGAGGTTTGAAGGAAAAGTAGAGATTTGCCAAGCAAAGAGGATAGGAAGGGTGGAACAAAAGACAGCTAGTCTATCTGGAAAACCTGCAGGTGTTCGTCAAGGTGGAGCAAAAGGAATGGTGAGCTGGCGATGGGAGATGGAAGGGTTGATGGGTCTACTATGGACTGAATGTGTCCCCCCGAAATTCATTTATGGAAGTCCTAACCCCCAGTGTGATGGTATTGGAGGTGGGGCCTGTGGGAGATCCTTAGAACTAGATAGGTCTTGAAGGTGGGGCCTTTATGATAGAATTAATACTCTTCTAAAAAGAGGAAGAAACATAAGAGCTTGCTCTCTCTCTCTCTTCAAGCATATACACCAAGGAAAGGGCCCTGTGAGTGCACAGTGAGAAGGTGACCATTTACAAGTGCTAGGACCTGAATGTTTATATCCCTCCCCAATTCATATAATGAAATCCTAAACCCCAATGTGGTGCTATTAGGAGGTGGGGCATTTTGGAGGTGGTTAGATCATGAGGGTGGAGCTCTTATGAATGGGATGAGTGCCCTTATAAAAAGATTTGGAGGGAGGGGGCATTCCCTTTGCTCTTTCTACCATGGGAGGACACAGAAGATGGCCATTTGCAGAAGAAGGCCATCACCAGAACCCAATCATGCTGGCACCCTAATCTTGGACCTCACATCCTCTAGAACTGTGAGAAAGAAATTTCTGTTGTTTATAAGCTAGCCTGTCAATGACGTTTTGTTTCGACAGCACAAATGGACTAAGACAAAAGCTAGGAAGTGGGTCCTCACCAGAAACCAAATCTGCACCTTAATTTTGGACTTCCAGGCCTCTGGAACTATGAGAAATAAATGTCTGTTGCGTAAGCCCCTAAGTCTATAATTTGTTTATTGTTGTTGTTTTTGTTGTTAGAGCTAAGATAGTAATGGACCGTTCAGAGCCTGTGTCTACTGGATGATTTGCCCAAGTTTTTCTCTGAAACAGAGTTTGCTAAAAGTTGAACAGTATTCAATGCAAAAACCTATTAGAGAAAGTAAGTAATACCAGTACTTTCTGGTAAAGTAGTTTCTAAACAATGCATATTACTGCACGTTTCTTTCGTATAGATTCACAGGTCTTTCCCTATCAAAGACTCTAAAATACCCTGCAGAAAAGAAGCCCATTTTAATGCAACTTAGCATTTTTCCAAACTTCTCTGATAGTGGAACTCCATTATGTAACTGTGACTCGAAGAGTTTTCTTGTCCTGCATTGGAATAGGCTGAGGGGATGGGGCTGGAGCTGGATAAGGGAACCTGGGTAGAAACTCCTCCAAAGTGGCTCAGAAACAATCCCTTCTTAGTCTCAAGTGTGAAGTTTTATAATGTTGCTGCTCTGAGTTAGCAAATAAGACAGGAATAAAAGGAATATCAAAGAAAATTGTATTAAGGGATATAAAAGATCCTAAGGTTAGGGATGCTTTTTTTTTTGATAAATAAGATTTTAAATTAAAAACAAATCATTGTAAGGTAATATATGTTCATGGGCTTAAAAAATTTAAAATAATATCTAAGTGTATAAAGTAAAATAGAAACAATTTTTTTCATATTTATTTATAAATTAGATCATGCTCTAATCCCTGTTTTCCAAGTTGTTGTTTCACTTAACTATATATTTTAACTATGTTTTTACATAGAACATCATCACATTTTGTTGCATACTTTAAGTAATTTATCCACATCCTTAAAGATTTTAGAATTACTTATGTTTGGTTGTTTCAAATAGTGCTGCAGTAACTATCCTTAGGCATGTATCTTTGATACCTGTGTGACTAGTTGCTGGAAGTAGAAGTCCTGTGTTAGATGCAAGGCAAAGATTGCTAGTTGCCCCTCAATATTCATTCTTTCCTTTTTCTTTCACAATATAACCTCACATTTATTTCAGGGAGCAGAGCAGTCAGCTAAAAGACTACATTTCCCAGATTCCCTTGTAGCTAGGTATGGCCATGTGACTTACTTTTAACCAATGAAATTTGATCTCAAGTGTTATTTAATTTTTTTTAAGCAGTCTCCTTACTAGTTAAAGAGCAAACTTTTCTTCATTCCTTCCTTTTTCATGCTAACTGGACTTGGGAAGCTGTGGTGAATCATGGGGTGACATGCTAAGGTCACAGGGGAACAGCAAGACTAACAGAGCCTGGGCTCCTGAAAACTTTGAGCCACCATAGTATCCCTGGAGTATTTGACTCTGGATTTCTTTTACAAAAAGAGAACTAAGTTTCTATATTGTTTCAGCTACTACAAAAAGTTTTCCCTGTTACACACTGTCACATGAAATCCTAACTTATTCAAATGAAATATATATTGAAATATTTGAAAATAATATCTAAATGTCCTGAAAGGGAGCTGTACCTGTAGAAACTCTCATCTGCAATGAATGAGATTGCCTGAAAGAAAGTAAAATTCATTACAAATAATGCAGTCTTTATCATTTTTATTCAAAAGAATTTTAAGGGTTTTCAGGACCACTGTTTTAAGCTTTCAAATATCCATAAATCAACAGCATTCAGTAGAGACGAAGTAGAGTCATACAAACCTGTGTTGAAATCTTGACTTGGCCACTGAACAGCTGTGTGGCTGTTACCCTGAGCTAGTTTATAATCTTTTAGAGCCTCAATTTCCTAATTTGTAAAATGGGGTTAATAACAGTAACTCCTTGGGTAATTATGAGGAGTGAATAAGATAATGCATGTAACATGCTTAGCCTGGATAACATACTCCACAAACGTTAGCCGTTGTATGTAATAAACAAATTAATTATCTGCTTTTGTGAGTTATTGTGTGGGAGACAAGTATGGATGGCACAGTGCCTAAGATCAAGTAGCTCAATAGACTAGTTGGGATCACAAATACTGTAACCACTACAGTGAAGAAAGCAGGAATCCCAAAAGAGAAAAATACACAATCACAGGAATGAAGGGAGGGGAAGATTACTTCTGTTTAGGGGCACAGTGTAAAGAAAATCATTGCAAAGCCTTTGAAGGATGGGGGAGATTCCAGCTGCCAGAAATATCAGAGGACTTCTTTGTAAACCAGCCAGCATGGCAGCAGCAAGAAGTTGGGATGGGAAGGCATGGGTTAGCTGGTGAGGCAGGTGGCTGCAGAGCAAGGAACATGCAGGGAAAACGCAGGGAGCCACAGCAGAAAGGTGAGGCCAGATCCTAAAAGGCTCTCACTGAACAGCTTGAATGGGTCTCTAATGCACTGGAGGATCACTGAAGGGCTTCAGCATGCGTGTGAGGGCAGAGAGGCGAGCAGAGGTGTGCTGTGCGAAAGTCCACCTGGCACTGGGGTGCAGCATGGATTCAACAGAAGCAAAACAGGAGGGGGTGATGGAAATTAATAGGATCACGTCTCTGCACAGAGCATCCATCAGATAATTTTTTTCTGATTACCATTTGGGGAAACCAAGAGGCAGAGCAGCCCTATGTCTTCCAAGATTGATAAATGAGTCAGTAACGAAACCATTGGCAAGTTGCTTTTGATTCCTTTTCCTTATCCACAGGGCAAGTTTGTCTCTTAGCAACACATTTTGAACTTGGCAGCACTCAAAGCTCTCTGTGAATGAATAAAGCAAAATGGAGGCAAATGTGAAAGTTATTTTGATGTGAGAAAGTGTAGATGCTGGGCCTGTGTATGCTGGGCATGTGCCGGATCCCTAAATCACAGGGAGCCCGTGAAACGTATAGTAGGAGACTCAGCACTCAGTAAATCGAAAGTTCCCTTCTCCCTGCAGTTGGAAATAGGACATGGTTTTAAAATACATAAATTAGGCACTTATAGAGGATTGCCTACTTTTTGTTACTATAGAAAAGGACAGTCTGATATGAGAGGTGACTTTTCAAAGGATATAAAGAATACCTGTAAAGCTAAAATTTAAGCAGAATCACCACTGCATCAGCCCCATCATGTCCCTTGGTATGTGGGCTTGATGCATCTTGAAGGCCTGCCCTGTGTCTTTGTAATCAATAGGTCCATTGCTTATTGTTTTATTATATACAGGTAACTTTTTAATACCTTATATTCTTATTCATTTAACACATTGATTGAAAACTTGCTATGTTCTGGACAGAGTTTTTAGGCCCTTGAAGTATTTTAGGCATGAATTTGACATGGGGAGATTTGTTTTGAAACAGGATGAAGAAAAGAGAAAAACTGTGGATAGAAGAGCAATGGCAAGGGCCTTCTTGCACCTGTCCAGCTAAGACATTATCAGAGCCTGCATACTTTTCTATTGTGCGTAACAAATTGTCACAAACTTAGCAGCTTACAGCAACACACATTTATTACCTTACAGTTTCTGTGGATCAGAAGTCCAGGAATGACTTAGCTGGGTTCTCACTGAGGTTGTTTCAGGGTCTTTCACAAGGCTGCAATCAAGGTGTCGGCTGGGTTGCATTGTCTTCTGGGGCTTGACTGGAGAAGAATCTGTTTCCAAGCTCTCACAAGTTATTGGCAGAATTTACCTGCTTATTTATTTTGCAACTGTAGTGCTAAGAGCTGCCCTCAGCTCCTGCAGGGGATTGGCAGGGTGGCTTGTTTCCCTGCCACGCAGTCCTCTCCATAGGCAGTTTATTATCTTTCAGCTCACCTTTTTAGGCCAGCAGTGCAGAGACTTGAAGTAAGTCTGGCAAGGAATCTTATAAAATGTGAGCACAGGAGAGACCTATTTTGATATATACTCTTTGTTAGAAGCAAGTCACAGGTCCACCTTCCCACATACACTCAAGGGGAGAAGATTACACAAAAAGATTACCATAGCATGTGGAGACTAGTTGGGGTCAGCTTACCGTTGTTAAAGTAGGTTCTTCACCAGGCCTGAAGAATCTCTGAGCAGACAAAGCCAGTGCCCTTAACTCTGATTACATTGCAAACGTAAGTGAAACATAATTTGAGCTCTTTCTTGTAAATGTCTGTATTAAAGAAAGGCAGAACTTAAGCTCAACCAATCAGGAGCAGTGAACAAACTTTTGTAAATAGAGACTTTCGAACAGGATAGACCAAGTAAGGCAACCGTATAACTATAACCAGTCAAATATTTTCTTTGCTTTACTTCTGCATTTGTCGTATAAAGCCTCCTCCTTGAGTTCCTTCAGCGGATCCCCTAAACCACTTCTGGTTTGGAGCTACCCAATTCATAAATCCTTATTTGCTCAAATAAACCCTTTAAAACTTTATTGCTCCTCTGTTTACTTTTTAACAGAGTCTGTCCACCACAGAGGGCATTGGAATTAGAAGACAATTATTTAAATTAAGCTTGGAATATATTTTATTTAACTTTCTATCCTTATTGCCCTGCACATAGTAACTAATGGAAAATATCAACTTGATTGGGCTTCTTTCTTTGCTGATTGGATGTGAGGAGTGAGGAAGGAGTAAGTGAAGAGGAAGCGTTAAACACGACCTTGGGGTTTCTACTCAGGATTAACTGGATGCTGATGCCATTAACAAGGACAGGAAAACAAGTGAAAGAAATGTCAAAGTTTAGAGATATAATAGGTTAACTTTCAGATACTAGGTGAAGGAATCTTACAGAGCTTCTTAAACCTTAATGGGATATGGGCCACTTGGGAATTGTATTTGAATGATTCTGATTCAACAAGGTTGAGGGGAGGCCTGCTATATCTATTTATAACAAGTTCTCAGGGATGCCACTGGAGTCTCACTTTGAGTAGCAAGGCTCAAGAACAATGGGTTTCAAACATTTTTGCTTCTGAACTACCTAAAGAAGTTTGGAAATCTACTCTCTTGCACATCTCTAAGTTTACAGCTGTTATTTTTAATTGTGTTTAAACAGTTACAAAGGATAATTTCTAGCCTGTTGTAGTGACAACATATCTTAAATAACACAGTTATATCCTTCTGTATTAGTTCATTTTCACTCTTCTATAAAGAAATACCTGAGAATGGGTAATTTGTAAAGGAAAGAGGTTTAATTGATACACAATTCCACATGACTGGGGAGGCCTCAGGAGACTTATAATCATGGCAGAAGGTGAAGCAAACATATCCTTCTTCACAAGGCAGCAGGAGAGAGAAGTAAGGAGTGAAGGGGAAAGGGCCCCTTATAAAACCATCAGATCTCATGAGAACTCACTCACTGTCATGAGAACAGCAAGGGGAAACTTCCCCCATGATGTAATCACCCCCAAAAGGTCCCTACTCCAACCCGTGGGGATTACATTTTGGATTACAATTCAAAATGAGATTTGGGTGGGGACACAGAGTCAGAACATATCACTCTCTTTTAAATGAATCCATGCGCCTATGAAACATAGTGATTTGATTTCCATTATCATCTATTTAAAATACACTCGAACAAGCACAATATACTTGTATTTAAAATATAGTTGAACAAGTTTTTCTTACACAGCCAAAAAAAAATACATCATTCCTTTTACTCATATTTCTTTCTATGTTTCCCACAAAATTTTATCCTAAAGTGATAGATGTTTGTGTTGAAAGTTTTTTTTCTTTTTTTTTTTTTATTATACTTTAAGTTTTAGGGTACATGTGCACAACGTGCGGGTTAGTTACATATACCTAATGTTAAATGACGAGTTAATGGGTGCAGCACACCAACATGGCACGTGTGTTGAAAGTTTTTTAGTATTCTGTCTACTTCGCTACCATAAAAGTATGCATATAAATTGAAATTTTAAAAGGATCAAAGTTTTTTTAAGGCCGTAAGGTCCAAATGTTAAAAAACTTTCTTCTGGATTAAGTTGTTTGTTTCAATTAGTTGACAACTGGTCAAAATAACACCTAATACACATTTCAATAAATACTAAATATAAAATAATTATATTGGAAATCTTTATATTCGAATCTCTTAATTAGATGATTGAGGCTGGTTTCCTTTTTAATTAGCTCATGTATTAATAAAGATTACTTATTGTTGGAATGAGAGATGATGCAGCATCAATTCTCTGTCATTTTTCTGTTTGTTTGTTTTTTTCTTTTTAAGGGCAATGTTACTCAAGTCTATGAATGCCTTTACAGATATCTGCTAAAAAACCACGTAATACTTTATCATCAAACTAATTTTTAGTGATGTGTTAGTGGTCATGTTTATTAAATTCTTCATGTTTGTTGAAAGCAAAGAATTGGAGATTGCCAAATTGATCTTACAAAGGTAAGATCAGGATAGATGAGACTTAAGCTTTTCTTTTGTTAAAATGGAGAAAAAGGGGTCGTTGGGAGGGTGGAAAGAATATTGCATAATGCTGACTACAAGCACTTTCTCAGGCAGATAGGTTAGGCAAAAAGCACGTGTAGGATCTGGAAATGTCTTCCCTTGAAACTATTTGTGCTCACATACCCTTTGGAATGTCTGTACATTGAAATGTCAGAGGGCAGGGATATCCCAGTTTGGAGATTGCTGCAGTAGAGAATTGAAAATGTGTAAAGCTCAGGGAAGGGGCTGGCCTGAGGGTAAAATTAGGGGATAGGCAGACAGAAATTTAGGCACATTAAAACCTTCATTGCACAGACCTTATGAATTCAGAATTTTGGAGGTAGAGTCTGGATGGAAGGGAATTTTGTCCTATATATGAAAAGAAGAAAAGTGGTTAGCAAATGACATTGCAGAACAGGCTTATAGGGAAAGGGGTCTTGATCCAGATCCCAAGAGAGGGTTCTTGGATCTCACATAAGAAATAATTCAGGGTGAGTCCACAGTGTAAAGCAAAAGCAAGTTTATTTATTAAGAAAGTGAAATGGTGAAAAAAAAGCTACTCCATAGACAGAGTAGGGCATTCCTGAAAGTGAGAGGAGGAATGTGTTCACCTTGGGTACAGTGTTTGTTTACATAGAGGATAAAAAAAGATCATGGGGAAATGCATTATGTTACAAGGGTTTGTGATAAAGGATTAATTTCCTTAATTACTATATTTTGCAAGAATCAATATTATTTTTAAAGCAAAATTAGGAGTGCTTCTGTTCTCAAGATATCAGGATATCAGGACACTCTTAAGTCTGGGTCTGTTTAGTAAATGTTATCGATCTGTTCCCTTAACTGCACACATTTAGAGGCTAGGAATACCTCACTTGTTGGGAATGCAGCCCAGCAAGCCCTAGCTTCATTTTACCCAGCCTCTATTTAAGACGGAGTTTTTCTGGTTCAAACACATCTGACAGAAGCACACAAAGTACCTTCAAACCCTTTAGGACATTCATGTGTACATACATAATTGATAAATGACTATAAGCCTCCCTTATCTATTTGTTAGAGTTGGTTCTCCGCTCAGCAACACTTCCTCAGCTTAGTTCTAGTTACTCAGTGTAGACAGTGTGCCTGGGGTAGTAAAACCTCATTACCTTAAAAACAGAAAGGAAATGAAATTTGACCCTTTCCTTCAATCTACCTGTCCCTCTCTTGCTACATCTGCTACATTTATGTAGGTGTTTAGAAGTTTCTTTCAACATCAAGGTATCTTGATTGTACAAATTGGTCATCCTTTGTGGTTATATAAAATAGACTGAGTCACACTTTTCTTTTTTACTTTTACTTTGAACAGATCCTTGGAAAGACCTACCCAGATCTGCGTATTTTTGTAGGGATGACAGGTAGGAGAGCGAGGGTGAGAACTTCTACTCCCAAATTGGTATGGGAGCTCTCCTTTGTTTGCATCTTGCTCAAAGCATTGATAAGGAAATGCTATAATCCAAGGCTGGGGAATGGCTGCTTTAGTGGAACAAGCACAAGGAAAACAACTACAGGGGTGCCAGCCACATTCTAAAGCTAAATCATCATTCTCGGAAAGAAAGTCTTATCTGTCTCCCACATCCCCAGGTCTATTTTGTGCCCACCTCTGTCATTTCTTTGTGCTTTTCCCTTTCTGAGCAGCAGGCTTTTGCCTGCCCTATTGGTATCTATCTATGATCAAATACCTTGTGACATTTAAGCTTAAGCAGCAAGATACTCCTGAGAACAACTATGGTTCGATATTTTCCATAGAACTAATAATAATTCTGCTGCCTTAGAAACTATAAAGAGCAACTGATGCCTCATGGAAAATGTAGAGGAGATTGAATTTTTTCAGTAGAGTCACGGGGCTAGAAGAGACCTTTCTATGTTCCTATGAATCCATCCTGGGTATTTTCTTCCCCCTCACTCCACTCCCACTTTCATGAGAAAGTTACAGGAGGCATAATAAAAGGTTCTAGATTCTGGCCTATACATTTGTTATATCTCCTCCCCCCCCACTTCTGTCCTATTTCTCCTCTTCTGACCTAATACTCATGTGCACCCTTCCCGTTTAAATAGGTTAGAGGTGATGCCCACACTCTGAAGCAGCAAGTCAGCAGGGAGAATAACTGGGATCAAAACTCCACTTCACTGCAGAATTTAAATGCAGAAAAGCAAAGCTGCTTTTGCCTAATACATCTTTTATCTTTTCTTCATCTGCCAAAGCATGCTTGGCATTAAGTAAGAGCTTAATTCTTAAAATTGGATGCAGAATTTTGCACGTTACTGCATTTTTCTCCCTAGCTTTCATCAGAACCTTGAAGAGAGAAATTTCTCCCCAAAGATAAAGAACTGCTAATGTGATGGGCTGTTTTTACTCTGTGACATCGAGTGACTCTTGGGATTGCCCTCATGAAGTGAATTCAGGGCACCTCCAACACCTAATCTTTGGATATTTGACAACTTCAGCTAAATAAAGACCAAAGTTTGCCCTCTGCCTATGTTCCATTGGAAAAACTGTCCTCTTTAGCTCTAGACAATTTCAATTGTTTTTTTGTTTGTTTGTTTGTTTGTTTTTGTTTGTTTGTAAAAAATCAAGTGGAGATCATGAGAATATTTTTTCAAGGTCTGCTATGTAACTGGAAAATCTTGTCTATATAATCTGATACTGATTCACTAGTATCTAAATACTACATCTCCCCCAGCATTTATTAGGTCCTTGCTGTATGTCAGGCACTATGCTAAGTGCTTCATGAGCATTATGTTGCTTAATTCTTTTAATAACCCTACTAGGTAGGCATGATGACCATTCCCATTTTGGATATTGGGATATTGGCACAGAGAGGTCAGGATCTTTCTTATAGTCACACAGCTGATATATGATAAAGCCCACACTTACACCCAGACAACATGTTCATGGAACCCGGGCTCTGGTTTATTGAGCTGTTCCTGTCATCAGCTGTTCCTGGATGACATCCATAATGGTATGATGAACCTAGCAAGTGAATGAGAAAACAGAGATATATCCTTAGAAGCCTGGCCTCGGAGAGGGAGCACTGGGTTGGGATCCTGGTGTCAGAGGCATTTGAATCAGAGCAACTGCATCTTGAATAGGAGCTGGGTAAAATAAGGCTGGGACCTACTGGGCTGCATTCCCAGATGGTTAGGCATTGTAAGTCACAGGATGAGATAGGAGGTCAGCACAAGATACAGGTCATAAAGACCTTGCTGATAAAACAGATTGTATTAAAGAAGCCAGCTAAAACCTACCAAAATTAAGATGGCCACAAGAGTGACCTCTGGTCGTCCTCACTGCTATGCTTCCACCAGCGCCATGACAGTTTACAAATGCCATCATAATGTTAGGAAGTTACCCTATATGGTCTAAAAAGGGGGAGCATGAATAATCCATCCTTTGATTAGCATATAATCAAGAAATAACCATAAAAATAGGCAACCAGCAGCCCTCGTGTCTGTTCTGTCTAGGGAGTAGCCATTATTTTATTCCTTTACTTTCTTAATACACTTGCTTTAATTTTACTCTGTGGACTGACCCTAAATTATTTCTTGCACAAAATCTAAGAACCCTCTCTTGGTGTCTGGATGGGGACCCCTGTCTGGTAACACTGGGAGTCTGTTTCCCAATATCCCCTTGGTCATCTACATCCAGGGTAATATTAGGATAGTTATTTACTATTTCTCTGCCGGTTCCTCTAAAACATGGAAAGTTATTATTTAAAAAATTTATTTTTTATTATTCAAGTTAAAGAATAGATACCAAGAGCTTGGATGAAGGAAATAATGATGATAGTAATGATACCAATATCAATGCATCCGTAGATTCAGAGTAAAGGCCTGAATGCAGAAAAGCCTCAGGTTTCCTTTGTGGAAAAGATCCCTTTGTCAGCATTACTTTGAGCATGGTTCTTATTGTCAATAAGTGAATTCCAGTCTTTTCTTTAGGGATCTCCTATTACTCTCTCTCTCTCTCTCCCCCTCCCCCAACCCCCTTCATTTCTTTCCCCCTCATCCTTCTCCCTCCCTCTCCTTCCTCCCTTTGCCCCTCTCCTTCCCTCTTTCCCCTCCTTTCTTTCCCTCCCCCGCTCCCCTGTCTTGGATTACAAAGACAGCACTGTGCCTGGGAGAGTGCCGAAGGGGTGCAGTGGGAGATGAGAATAAGGCCAAATAAGTTTTAACAAACTCAGTCTCTTTTTGCAGCTGCTGTTTGGAAAGCAGGCTTCCTGCCATTCTGGGGCTGAACCTGCCAAATGCCTTATCCTGGGCTGAGCCCCAGGACCTCAGCTACAGACTACTTTCTATGGCATTTCCAAATGCAGTCCCTCAGCTGTGCTGCAGGCAATAAATATCTCTTTCTGTAATAGGGAAATGGGCCCACGAAATCTATCTGTTCATCCTTCCGCGCCTCCACTGGGCTGCCTCTTTATTTTTCACCAAAATTGCATTATTGCTCTTTAAGATATAATCTGCAGAAATTTCTCAAGTGCCTGTGTCAAAGTTCTGTTAGAATATTCTCAAATTCTCCAAGGGAAGAATCAATAGAAAATTGTAGTCAGATGACTGATTAGCAAGATAGTATAGAAGATACATATTTTTTTCCCTAGAGACTGTAGCCTGCTCGACTCACATCACTTAAATTTCCTAGCCCCTTATTATTAAAGATAGTAACTCCAGGTCTTAAGGTTAGAAAAGCTAAATTTATTTTCTTACCATTAAAAGATAGAA
Source organism: Homo sapiens (assembly GCF_000001405.40). NCBI lineage: Eukaryota > Metazoa > Chordata > Mammalia > Primates > Hominidae > Homo > Homo sapiens. The sequence continues at coordinate 3,704,769 of NC_000003.12, read as the reverse complement.
CTAGGACCACTATATAAAAGTAATTTGATGTGTCAGATAAACCAAATGATGATAGCAATAACAATATGAACTATTATCATTTATTCATACATATTTTGTGGGCCAGGCTAAATGTATGAAATTTCTATCTCTATATCATCTCATTCAATGTTCACAAAAAGGCTTGCAAAATATTGTTAGCTGACTTTTAAAAGTAAGAAAACCAAAACTAAGATACTTTAGCCTTTATGTTTTCTTCCTCATATTCTACATCTTAAGTTTAGATGCTGAAAAGTAGACATTCTCATATACTGTTGGTAGGAGTGTAAATGCGACTGTAGATAATTTTGCAATGAATCAAAATTGAATGTAAGTATAACATATATTATAACCTTTTTCAAAAAATGGACTATATATAGCCATATTTATGCATGTGTATTTTTATATGTGTGTGTATATAAAAACAGCAATTACATTTATTTTTTCTTTGGGCAAACATTATGGAAGGATATGCATGGTTGTCTCTAAGGAATGACCCTGGAAATGGAGTAGAAAAAGAGGGCTTTTGTTGGTAACTTTATAGTCATCTGAACTTTTAATATATTACTTTTTGCCAAAATTATATATTACATTTACAGTATAAAAAACTAGTTTAAAATGAAATGAAAATAAGCATAATCTTTGACTCAGCCATTATATTATTTGGAGTGTATCCCAGGGAATAACTAGACAATTGTATACAAGTATGAATAGAAGGGTATTGATACGGTTTGGATCTCTGTCCCCACCCAAATCTCATGTTCAATTGTAATCCCCAATGTTGGAAGTGGTGCCTGGTGATTGGATCATGGGGGGTGGATCCTTCATGAATGGTTTAGCACCATCACTTTGGTGCTGTTCTCGTAATAGAGTTCTCATGAGATCTGGTTGTTTAAAAGTGTGTGGCACCTCCCAACTCTCTCTCTTCCTCCTGCTCCAGCCATGTAAGATGTGCCTGCTTCCCCTTTGCTTTCTGCCATGTCTGAAAGTTTCCTGAGGCCTCCCCAGAAAAGCTGCTATGCTTCCTGTACAGTGTGCAGAGCCATGAGCCAGTTAAACCTCTTTCCTTATAAATGACCCAGTCTCAGGTATTTCTTTCTAGCAGTGCAAGAGCTAATACAGGTATTCATTGCACTATCATTAGAGACATCACACTATCTATTAACAGATATCCAGTTAAATAAAATATGGTACATTCATACAATGGAATGCTATCACACAGATTTTAGAAATAAACAAATAGATCTGTGCATATTGGAATCAACTTCTCTACAGGCAGAGGCCACCAGGAATACATCTATAGTTGAACCAGTGGGTTGATTACTCATTGTAGTGAGAGAGAATGATTCCATGGGGGACTGTGGGTTATGTGAGTAAGAGGGTGTCCGAAAGAACTTGACCAGGTTTTTATTTTAAAACGGTTCCTTTGTCAATTGTGAGGAGAGGCATGGTAGGGCTTAAGAGTTGGTTCATGGAGGCTGGGAAGGTGATGGTTGTGTTAAGTGCAAGTGAGGGTGCCTTGTAGTATGGTGATGGCCTTGGGGGTGGTAATAAAGGGATTCATTGGGTAGATATACAGAAGTTAGTATAGCACTCTTTAAAAAATTACAAACTGTATCCGTTACTCTGCCTACTGGACAGAAAATGTATATACAGAAATCTTGGGAGGAAATAATGAGAGCATCTTATGGAAAACCCAGCCTTAGTACAGCAGAAGTTACCCAAGGTTGGTGGCATTATCATCTTATCCGACATATTATACCAGTCCCCAAACTGCATCTCTGCCCCTCCCTTCCACATCCATATACAGAAGACACCACTGATTGATCAGCGTTCCCAAATGAACCCCTTTGAGCCCCATTTCCTCACATAGAAAATGGGGATAGTAATAGTTCCTAGTGCCTAGAGTTGTTCTGAAAATTAAATGAAACTGTGCATATAAAGTGGTAAGCACCAAATGGGTATTAGCAGTTGTTATCGTTGCTATTATTATTATTATTTTTAATGTGTAGGGGTTTGAGCCAAGTACAGGGCCTTCTGCATGTACCAGATTCAGAGACAAACCACTGATTGATCAACGTTTCCCATATCAAGCAGCCTCTAAGCAGCCTGTAAGAACTGTTCCAAGCCCCTAAGAACACGTTCCAAGCAGCCTTTAAGAACTGTTCAGGATGATCATGGATGAAAATGTCTATCTGCCGCTTTGCTTAATTAGGGGAGTGATTATTTCACAAGTGCTCTTACTGATTAAGTAGATTTCCTATGGCTTCATCTCTCTCCCCTGCACCAGGCGATCTGAGCACCTGATGGCAGAACTGGAAGAGGTGAAAGAAAACCCCAGGGACACTCTGGACATGTTCTGTATTATTTGGATCCAGACTGGTCTGAATTTATCAAAAGAGATTAACATGATATAAACCAAGAGGGAAATGAAGAAACGAAGCATGTTCATTTTGGATTGAAGAAAAGTTTGTCATTATAATGTATCTTCAGATTTGGTTGCCGTGCAGGGCAATTTACTGTTCTTTTGATCTTTTTCTCTGTTTAAAAAGACATGGACTAGGCGAGGAATGGAGCAGGTGAAGCACCGCTGACATTATTAGTGTGCGTGTGAACCTCTGATATGCTAATAGGCAAAGTGGGTGGAATGGAATTGCTCTTAAATAAGTAAAAAACTTAACATTCAATTACCTTTAAAAATGGGCATAATTTGGAGGGTTTCATTTAACACACTGCAGGTAAAATCTAATTTTGTTTTTCTAAACTTTCCTTTGCTAATGCAAGGCAGGAGAGTTTTGTGTGTGTTTAAATAGACCAAAGTCTCACTGGGGAGAGTCAGAGGTCTGGGATTCTCATATTTTGGAGATAGTAATTTGATTTTCCTAGGATCCTTTTTTTTTTTTTTTTTTAGCAGAAAAATGTGGTAACAGTGTCATCCAGTCACAGCCATGGAGACGACCCAGTAGGGATTCATAGAATTTTGCAAATGCTCCTCTGTCCCGTGAGATGAAATTCCTTTCCCATCCAAAGTACCCACCCAAAGAGAAAACTATCCTAGGACTTTTGCTTCTTCCAGAAATTACTTCAGACATCTCCCCCTTTCAGACTCTCTCTCTTTCCCCTGCTGTTTCATTTCCTCTGGTTGTAGTAATGTAGAAACCCTTTGTGTCGTGCAGGGGCTAAGAGCGTGCTCTCTGAAGCCACGCAGCCTCCCAGACAGTCTAGACACTGCTGTTGATGAACTGTACCATCTTGATTATTTCACTGAACCCCTTTGAGGTTTTCCTCACATAGAAAATGGGGATAGTAATAGTTCCTACTGCCTAGTGTTGTTTTGAAGATTAAATGAAACTGTGCATGTAAAGTGGTAAGCACCAAATGGTGTTAGCAGTTGTTATTGTTGCTATTATTATTACTATTACTTTTAACTTGTAGGTGTTTGAGCCAAGCCCAGGGCCTCCTGCATGTGCCAGCTTCAGTAGCTGCACCAGCAGTCCCCATTGGGCACTGTGGCAGTGGTGGTGATGGAGGAGGAGGTGGTGGTAAAGAGGGGAACAAGTGGATTAAGCAGAGGGAGGTGAGGCAGGAGGAAGGCATGATGGGAGGGTAATATGGTTAGGCTTTGTATCCCTACCCAAATCTCATCTTGAATTGTAATTCCCAGGTGGTTAGGGAGAGACTGGTGGGAAGTGATTGGATTATGGGGGCAGTTTCCTACACGCTGTTCTCATCTCGTGGTAGTGAGTGAGTTCTCGCTAGATCTGATGATTTTATAAGGGGCTCTTCCCGCTTCAATCCTCATACTCTCTCTCCTGCCGCCATGTGAGGGAAGGTCTTAGCTTGCTTCTCCTTTGCCTTCTGCCATGATTGTAAATTTCCTGAGGCCTCCGCAGCCATGTGGAACTGTGAGTCAATTAAACCTCTTTCCTTTATAAATTACCCAGTCTCAGATATGTCTTTATAACAGTGTGAAAACTAATACAAAGGGAGAGGCTGGAAGAGCACCTAGAATCAGGAAGCATCACACATTGAAACTGTGATCACTGAATCCATGAATCAGAGAGCTTTCTTATCCAAGGTGCAATGTCAGTGTTGAATAATAACTGATAATATGAAATTTTCTTTTAATGCCTAATCACGCTTGAAACATAATGTGACAAGGAGCTTTCACCCTTGGCATTTAGAATACTTAAAGGGTTTAATAATAAGAACAATCATTTTTGAACAATAGCACCTGGACCACTTGAAAAGAAATGCTGCAAATAGCTGGTCAAGTCAGAATGCAGGAAATGATTTCATTTAACCACTGAGAATGTTAACTATCTGACCTGCCCATACAGTGGCTGGCATGGCACTTATCTCCACATGCCTGACTAGACGATTGTAGTTATTTGCTTTCTGTCAAATACACCTGGATTCTTAGTAAACACCCTGATTTATGTCTACTGGAACTCAAAATAGAATCAACAAAATCAGGGTATAACTGCTTATGATTGTGTGTGGGTAGAAAACTGATCATTTTTCAGGCCTGGAACCACCAAAGAATAACTACTTTTTAAGTTCCTATTTACCAAGGGGTAGCACGGAGCTAAGTTTAATAGGCATAACCCCTGATTTCAAGGAAGTTATAATCTTCCTGCCAGGCCAGTGGGAGTAGCTATTAGGAGTCACACGGCCCACATTCAAATTCTGGCTCTGCCATTTACCAGCTTTCTTATCTCGAGAAAATCACTTTATCTCTTTGTGCTTCTCTGACAATAATAATGGTATCTACCTCACAGGGATGTTTTGAAGGTTAAATAAGTTGATACGTGTATAGTGGTTTGCCCCAGATACAGGCAAGAAGCTGCAGCCAAGGCAGGACATGCATTGTTCATAGAGAATTTAGGAAGAATAATGAAACCAACGAATCATCTGGATGCTTTTTATTATCATCCTGCAGCTGAAATTCTAAACAATATCAGTGATAGCATACTCCCCATTGGGGATCAGTATGAAGAACTGTGCCTGCACAGAAAGCCCTCAGTGCATTGTCTCCTGCTATTATTTTTCCTTGAAGTTCCATTTCTCATCATTGACTCAAAATCCTTCACGGGCTCCCTACTGCCAGCAGAAAGGTGATTCAGACTGAGCCTGCCATTCAGGGCCTCCATATCTGATTCCAGCACGTGTTTTTCTAATCAGAGACCCATGCGGCACCTTGTTTGAACTTTCAGGGAAACGAAGAGTTGTTTTTCCCTGAAAGCTTCCAGTCACGTGTGTGTAGCATATTCCTTCTTTTATCTCTTCATGACCAAAGAATGCATGGTCTCCAAGATCTAACCAAAATGAAGCCTATTCTTTTTTTTTTTTTTTTTTTTTTTGAGATGGAGTGTCCCTCTGTCACCCAGGCTGGAGTGCAGTGGCACCATCTCGGCTCACTGCAACCAGCTCCCGGGTTCAAGCAATTCTTCTGCCTCAGTCTCCCAAGTAGCTAGGACTACAGGCATGTAACACCACACCCAGCTAATTTTTGTATTTTCAGTAGAGATGGGGTTTCACCATATTGGCCAGGCTGGACTTGAACTCCTGACCTCGTGATCCGTCTGCCTCAGCCTCCCAAAGTGCTGGGATTACAGGTGTGAATCACTGTGCCTGGTCAAAATGAAGCCTATTCTAAATTTCTCCATCAAAATCATTGCTATCACTCAGAACTTTCCCAGCATTTCATCTCTTTTTGTCTTGGGATTGCTTTTCCTTCTTTCCACCTAATTACATCAACACCTTCTGTCTCCCACTGTACTCTAATTCCCAGGACAGAATCTAAGGCAAATTAACCTTTGATTTCTCACAGTACCTTGCACAGCACTTTACTCCTACTGAATATGAATAAAGGCATGTTGAATGAATGGGTTCCAGGAACTACTATGCACTACTATGCAATGAATTCCAAAGCCAGTCTTCCTAAGGGGGAAGACTCACACTTTGCCACCATGATCGCCACTCAACAGAAACACTCTACAAGGCAATGAGCCACGCTGTACATTTGAGTTGGCTCTTCCTAGAGATTTAGAAATTGGATAGTATGCTAAGGATAACCAGTTGTATAATTTGTTTTAAAAACTTGGTTTTTTTTGGCTGGGCACAGTGGCTCATGCCTGTAATCCCAGTACTTTGGGAGGCTGAGGTGGGTGGATCACAAGGTCAGGAGATTGAGACCATCCTGGCAATGGTGAAACCCTGTCTCTACTAAAAATACAAAAAAAAAAAAAAAAAAAAAAAAATTAGCCAGGCGTGGTGGCAGACACCTGTAGTCCCAGCTACTTGGGAGGCTGAAGCAGGAGAATAGTGTGAACCCAGGAGGTGGAGCTTGCAGAGAGCCGAGATCGCACCACTGCACTCCAGCCTGGTCTACAGAGTGAGACTCTGTCTCAAAAAAAAACAACAACAACCAAAACTTCTTTTTTTTAATAAAGGTGGTCATTCAAGTTGCAAATACTGAGTGCTATATATACAGCAAGAATGCATTAGAGATGGGTCTGAAGATAGAAGACATCATCCCTGCCTCTATGAAGCTTACAGTCTGGTTGGTTAAAGAAAAATGTATGCTAGCTAGAAAGTAGGCAACACTTATAAAGCACTGTGTATACACAGAGCAAAATGTACACATTTGCTGAATAAATGTTACGTGAATAAATAGAGTTATTCAGGGGACTTTTCTTTTTTCTTTCTTTTTTTTATTATTTTTTTTTATAGGGTCCTGCTCTGTTGCCTGGGCTGGAGTGCAGTGGCATGATCATAGGTCACTGCAGCCTCAAACTCCCAGGTGCAGGCAATCCTCTCACCTCAACCTCTTGAGTAGCTGAGACTACAGGTGTGCACCACCATGCCTGGCTAATTTTTCAATATTTTTGTAGAGACGGGGATCCACTAGATTGCCTAAGCTGGTCTCGAACTCCTGGGCTGAAGCAATCCTCCCACCTTGGACTCCCAATGTGTTGAGATTACAGGAGTGAGCCACCACGCCTGACCTCACCGGACTTTTCAAAGGAGGAGGCAGTGGTGCTGGGAGCTGAGTGTGCTGGATATTCTCTGTTCACCTTCTCCCCGGGTAGGCTCTCCACCCCACTCCATGCCCTTCATGGACTGCCTGGACACTTGGCCATGCTTTCTCACTTCCCATTGTGTTCAGCCAATGGAGGCGCTGGCAAGAGAGGGAAGGGCTTGAAGGAAAGACGAGGGGAGAGAGAGGTTGGGGAGGAGGTATGTGGCCAGGAAGTCCTTCCCTTCCGAGATACAGGTCAGCTGGTTTCTTCTAAAGAAGGTCAGGCAGTGCGCTCTTAGCACCTACAGCTTCCATGACTTTCTCAGAGTTCCTGTAACAGTTGTCTTCCCCTCACCCTGTCAGGGCTACCAGGGGTAGTAATTATTGCCATTGCTAGCTTTGGGGTGCTTCACCACCCCTTGATGGTGGATTCACCCTAATGCTGCTTAGATCTTGTCAATAGTCCCTTTGGTAAACTCACCTCAATTGCCCTGTGTGCATGGACTATCTGTTTCTTGCTGGGCCTCTGACTAATAACACAAGCGAAGAGATGGATGATGCATGGGTTCAATTCTGGAAACACCTCTTGAAAATCTCTCCTTGTCAGGCATAGTTCTAAGCACTGAAGACAAAATGAGATTAAAACAAAGTCTGTGCCATTAAGGGACTTAATGTGTGATTAGGTTGTTTCAAACTGAAAATGGGCATTAGAAGAATGCATTGTAACCGATAACAAAGAGGGAGGTGCTTATGGAAGAGAGGAATAAGGCTAAAGCTAGCTGGCTGACATTTTATTGTAAAATATTATCAGGATTTTTAGAACTAGAAGGGATGATAGATATTTATCTGGCCCAATGCCTTTATTTTACAGAGGAGATACTGCAGGGTCCGTTGAATTAAAATGACCTATCCCCACTATTGAGTAGTGACCAAATGGAGGGAGACCCCAAGTATTCTCACTCCCAGCCTGCTGTCGTCTGTACCCCTATCCTAGACTGCAGATCCTGCCAATTCTAACTCCATCTATGTCCTCCGAGCCTGTCTTGGCTTCTTCTGCCTGAGCCATTTTTCATTTCAAAGCACATGAGTCTGTGGAGCAAGGAGGGTGAACTTATTGATTTCAATATTCTCATTGTCACAGTCAGAGGGAAAGGTGAAGAGGGCTGAGACATATGGAGGTGAAGTGTGTGGCTAAGGATATATCACCAATACTAATCCACTGGCAACCAGAAGCAATCTGCGTGTCGGCAGGCTTTGAAGTGTTTCCAAGCCTCCTTCCTGTGCTTGGGAGTGTCCTGGAGACTCTAGCTCGGCTGGGGCGCTAATAGACATCTTGAGTGCAGCTGATTCATCCTTCCTTCCACCAGCATCACCAAAAGGCTAAAACTACAGCGTGGATTTTTCCACATGATATTTTCAATGATAGGAAAATAAACTGCTTGTTTAAAATGACTTTGAATGTTACAACTTAATTTGCTTGGGTGCGGAAAGACTGATGTTATTCACACAAGTAATTGCGAGTGGTTCAGAGTTACCTTAAACATTAGGATTTTAATAAGAACTGCACTTACAGAGTGATTACTGTGTGTCAGGCACTGTCCAAAGAAAACTACATGTCTTGACTAATTTCATCCTATGAAGTAGACAATATTATGATTATTAATATTGTTATTATTTTCACCTTACAGATGAGGAAACAAAGGCACTTAGAGTGGAGGTAACTTGTCCAAGGTCACACATCTCATTAGCTGTAGATACAAACTCAGGCATGGGGCCCCAGGGTCAGTCTTGTGCATTATGTTAGGATTCTTATATAGACAGTTGTCCAAATGGTAGTCTTTTGTTTGACTTTTTTTTTGGACAAGGTCTTACTTTGTCACTTAAGCTGGAGTGCGGTGGTGCGATCATGGCTATCTGCACTCTGGAGCTCCTGGGCTCAAGTGATCCTCCCACTTCTCAGCCTCCCAAAATGCTAGAATTACAGGCATGAGCTGCCATAGCCAGTGTGCACCCCCCTGCCACACCCATTTTTTCTTTTGTTTCCTTTTATTTACTGGAATACTTTCTTTCCAGGTATGAGGGTAGGGAAATTGGAGGTAGATATGTAACCTCTGGGAGCAGGATCTTCAACTCAGGGCCTCATGAGTTTTTAAGCATCAGGTCCGATCTCAGCATGTATCACAGATTTGAATCATGAAAGGAGTCAGTTGAAGTGTTTGTCTGTGGAGGAAGGCTGGTGCAATACGAAGCCTAGCGGAATGCATGAGGTTGAGGTGATGAAGCTTAGGTCTTCTGTGAGCTCCTGACACAACAGCATGTCCATTATGCTAGGGTGGCCGATTGTTCCAGTATATCTGGGACTGAATGGTTTCCTGGAACATGGGACTGTCCATGCTAACATTGAGAAAGTTCTGGGTAAATTAGAATGAGTTGATCACCCTACTTTTTGCATTGTTGGGACCAGTTGAAGCTCACTCCGTTCTCAGACTTTGAAATTAACCTTAACTTAATTCACTGCTTCCTAACCAAATCCATAAGCAACCTGCATCTGAGGCACTTAGGACCCTTATTAAAAATGCTGATTCCCAGACTTCACTCTAAACCTACGGAAGCATAACATATGGGTAAGGTATGGTGAGGACTTACCTTTAAATATTTAAAACAAGCCTGCAAGGTTATTCTTATGCACGTAAATGTCCCCAAGCTACTGACTTCATTTTTAACAAAATGAAGAAACTGAAATTTCATAGCTTAGGGGCTCTGAATCTATCACTCTTGCTGCTGCACTTATTTTGACTTGGTGCTCAGTTTTTGTCAGTGGGGTCTTGTTTTGTTTCTTAATCTTTATGTGTACCTCAGTTTCCAGAACTGTGTTCTCAGTCTCTACTCTCCACTCTATGCATCCTATTGTCTGCCTTGAACTGGATCTAGCTTCTCATTTCTATGAGACCAGACCTGACCCTGCCCTTCTCTGTTCTCCTGGAGCTCAAATTTCTCTCCTGAAGTCCTATTACCTGTAGATTTCCAAGCAGTCAACCTGTAGTCTGTCTAATGCCACCTTTACATCTGCTGGTCAGAGTCAAGGGTAGAATAAAGTAATTGTTTTCATATTTCTTGTAAGAAACTGCTTGTCTGTTTTACTGTCAACAGCTTGGAACATCTACATTAGCTCTGAAAACAGGGCACGTTGAAACCTGTACCTACCTAAGCAAAAGCATATGTATATATAAATATATTTATAAATATATATTTATATTTATATAATATAAAATAAAAGCATATAAAATAAAATAAAAGCATATATATAAACATGTATGTTTAAACAGTGAATCTGATCACAGCTGATGCAAAGGTAGGACTCACTGAACTATCTGTGGTCTGATATTCTACTTGAATGTATTTGCAATTAAGTAGCAGTCTTCCACCTTCACTCCTTGTATTTTGTAGAGCAGTGATCCACAACCTTTTTGGCACCAGGGACTGGTTCCGTGGAAGACAATTTTTCCACAGACGGGAGATCATTTTGGATGAAACTGTCCCACCTCAGATCATCAGGCATTAGATTCTCATAAAAAGCGCACAACCTACCTAGATCCTTTGCATGCACAGTTCACAATAGGGTTTGTGGTCCTATGAGAATCTAATGCTACCACTGATCTGATGGGAGGCAGAGCTCAAGTGGTCATGCTCACTCACCCACCACTCACCTCCTGCTGTGCGACCAGTTGCTAAAATGCCATGACCCAGTACCAGTTCACAGCCTGGGGACTGGGGACCCCTGTTCTGGAGAATACTCAGTCATCTCAGGCATCTATTGTCCTCTGAAATGTTGACTTCCAGGTAGAACTGATTCTTTCCTCTTCTGGGTCCCATTCTACAATGGTGGACTCTAAATCACCATCTGTGGCAGAGGCTGCTGATGTCATACCCATGCTCCTTGGCCACTGTAGAGTTCACGGGAAGCTGTGGTGGGTGTCTCCCCTGTGTGCCCATGGCTCCCCACCTCAAGAGCCTGCATCTCTCTGCTTCTCTGCCTAAGGGCTTTTTATGGGCCAGACAGCCCAGAAGTTCCAGGGACAACCTTCAACCAGTGAGGAGGAGGGTGATGGAGACCTCTGCTTTCCCATTTCTAGCAGGATGATTCTGAATACACTGTACGTGGTTCCTCACAAGACCTCGGTGGCATTGAATCCCAGCAGCCCACGAGGTCACCTACTCATTTGTGTTCCTAGGGTCCACTTCCAAGTAAACTACCTGCACCCATGTCTTTGTAAGAGGGCCTGCTTTGGGGGAAGCCCAAACTAAGCCACCATTTTTTCCATATTACTAGAAGTGTATGTTTTTATGCCTGTCTTCTCCTCTCAGACAAGACATGGTCCCCTATGGAAGGCATCATTGTTCCCTAACATGCAGCTTGACTGACACCCAATAGGTAGGTACTGAAGCAACATTTGTAGTGTAAAAGAGTGAGTTTATCTGCATTTCAGTGACATAATGATGTCTCTGAGGTGCAGTAAAATCTTAAGGTATGTCCTAAAGCAGCCATTGTAGTGCTATGGGGATTTTGACATAGTAAAATTTCTTTTAAAAATTAGAAATCTAGGCTGGGCATGGTGGCTCATGCCTGTAATCCCAGCACTTTGGGAGGCTGAGGCGGGAGGATCACTTGAGGTCAGGAGTTCGAGACCAGCCTGGCCAACATAGTGAAACTCTGTCTCTACTAAAAATACAAAAATTAGCTGGGTGTGGTGGCAGATACCTGTAATCCCAGCTACTTGGGAGGCTGAGGCAGGAGAATTGCTTGAACCCAGGAGGTGGAGGTTGCAGTGAGCCCAGATCACACCATTGCACTCCAGCCAAAAAAAAAAAAAAAAATTAGAAATCTACTAGGTTTCTACAGGAAAGTTAATATTAACTCTCTTATGGGATTAACCAGAACATTCTATCCCTATTATTGAACCAGATAAAAGAATTTATTGTATTTTTCTAATTGTTTTACTATACTTTGCTTAAGTCAGGGAAAATCTGAGTCATTTCTTCATGGACTATAATAACTGTTAAGCCTATATTGAAAGTAAATCTTTCATCTGTAAATGAGGATAGTGCTAAAGAGGACTGGGGAAATTGTTAATAAACTGAGGACTCCTTTTTGTTGTTCCATTGAAATATATATATATATATATATATATTTTTAAATGTATTAGACTGAGAAAAATTCAAATTAGTCTATTCTTCAGGGACTACAGTCTTTAACTACCTTTCACTGGAGAAAGAACTCTGGCAGTGTGTGCCATTTTGTTAATATTTTCAGAAAGCTGGCAGTTCTTGAGCATTATTATTAAACCAATAATTTATTCCAGTTTCTCTCTGGAATCAGTAAGCAAGACATTTGACATCAGTGAGCTCTTTCTTCTTTATTTAATTTTTTTCTTCAAAGTTATGCACATTCATTTGCTTCAGCAGTGAAAAAACACAAAGCCTGCAGAATTATGACTGTCACTTTGCTTCTAACAAAACACCAGAAAGGATTGAAGGAACACAATATTAACTAACATAAGATGCACCAGGTGACCAGAGAACAAGTTCTAATAAGTATTTATGGTTTAAAAATGAATAATTTTCTATTTATCATCCTTCTCTATACAAGAATAAGTGAGATTTTATTCATAAGAGCAATGAAAAGGCTGAGCTTACAAGAAGGTTTTTAGATAATTTATGTCAGAAACATTGCTGTGATGAGCTATTATTTTTAACAAATCACTCTAATAATCACATAACATTGAGCTTTTGGGTATCCTAGTTTTCATTAAAATATACAGTTACTCAAATATTTAAAAAGCTTGATAGATTTACTATAGTTAAGGATCTAAATCACAAAAGAATGTTCAGGAAAAATATAAATGTTGATATGGGGCTTTCCAACCAACATTTAAAAATAGCAAGAAACTCATCTTTATATTACAAGAGATACCTAGCATTGCAATAACACAACCAGGTAGATAAAAAAATAAATTGGTCTACAAAAGAATGTTGTGGTATAGATGTTTATTGTACCAATTTTGATTGACCTTGCTTCTTTATTATATTTTAAGCTCCCCAAAAGTAAAACCTTTACATTTCCCTTGGCTAGTGCACATAATAGCATTTCAATTGCCTTTTGAATAGATATTTCCCCTTTAAATATTAAAACAAATCTTAAAAGTAATTGTGGAAATCCTTGTGAAAGGACAAAAGTAGAAACAGGAGATTGTGATTTATTCCAACAAGTCAAAGAAACCATCTTCTAAAGCAAACATACGTCATGGGCATTTGGTTTTCCCCAAGAAAAATAGATTGCTCTATACAAATACATGGTAAAGCCTGAACAACTAAAGACAACGTATTCCAAAAGTCTAAGTTTGTCAATGCATCTACAGGGAAAATAATAGAAATAATAATTTTCTTTGTTATAAAGAGCTGTAATCTTTCCTCTTGCAAGGTTCCTGAAATTTTTAATTCATGTACTGTGTGTTAATCCTCAGCTGGTATGCAGTACCCAAAAATGCTCCTCTCATGTTTATTCAATTACTTTACTACATACTTGTATAGAAAGTCTTACTATAAATTCAGCCCATGCATTGAAATTCTTGCATCAGGAAGAAAAGTTAAGCAACTGTGAGGGAGATTGGTTTCTAAATCCATATAGCCAGATAATATTTTGAGAGTGTTCTGAGGTTTTCTTCACCTGAGTTTCTTTTATATGGACCCTTTCATTGTCCACTTTCTTGAATAAATTGCTCTCTCTTATTTAATCATAAGCATTCATTGTTCCAGATAAGAGAGAATATGGCAGAAAAGCAGAAAACCTACTCAAAATGTACACAAAAACAAAGGCTGATGTGTCAGAAGAACCTGGAATTAGTTTCAAAAGTTAAAGCCCTGAAGGATTTAGAGTGTAAAATTTATGCAATGAATTAGATGAATTGAAATATAGGCTGCTCCCCTCCAGCATACTTACCTCTAAATTGGGATTACTACAGTGTGAGCTGGGCTCTCTAGCTTTGAGCAATGCATTTGAAAACATTTTACATAATACCCTTGAGAAAAATGTCTGCATTTGATGGTGTCTAAGGGGAATTCAAAAGTTGATTGATGTATAGGTATCAACTTGGAGGCCAGGTTGCTAGTGTCATTCTATGTGGCTCTGTTTTATTCAATAATTTTGTTAATTATTTAGATAAGATATGAAAGGGTTTGCCAATCAGATTTGTGGGAAGCTTGACATTGGGGAAGTTTGGAATCATGTTAGAAAATTCATGGCAGATTTAAACAAAAATAGCTAGGAACACAAATCAGACCAAATTTAAAAAGGTAAAAATATACAAGTAAGACCTTTGCTTAGGGTTTAAACAAGCAAACAAACAAAAACCCACATTAACTACACAAATGAGGGGGTGGCAATGCCTGCTTGAAGAAAATGTTCCTGTGGGGCTATGAGTTAACTTCACTCAAGCTGAATGAGTGACTTTTTTGCCAGAAAAGATACTGTTGCAATAGGTTATGTTCAAGGGGATAGAAATGGACCCACTGTACTTTGCACTTTGTACCTGTAAGATTGTGTTCAATTCTGATCTTTATCATTTGGGTAGGTTATTAATAAACTGTAGGACAGGTAGAGTATGTGGCTATATTTTATATTTAGCAAAAATGTTTTTGAATTTCTCTTATATCCTAGCTATTGTCCTAGGTATTGGGGATGTATTGGTGAACAAGAGTTTCTGGAAAAAGGGATGATTAATCTGGAGATGATAATAGAGGCCCTTGCTAGCTGACAGCAATTGAACAGCTGACATGCAGAAAAAGAATTAGCCCAATACTGTGTGGCTCCATGGGGATTAGGCAGAAGTTATAGGGATGCAGATTTTGGTTACAGCATCTGTTCACAAGTGAAGAGCATGGTCTTGGGTTAGAAAGTGCCTTGTCATATTCCAGCGCAGGCAGATGTGCATCTGTCAGGGCACATGACATAATGCAGAAAACACTTAGCACAGTACCTGGGCACGTCACAAGTGCTCAGCCAATGGAACAAAATAGTTGGACAGGGGATTCTTCTGTCTTTGGGGAATATGTGATAGATCATTCTAGAATTCTAAAGAACAGGAACTCTTGCCCATATTTTTATCCCTCCTCTCCATCACTGAGCTTGGCATATGGTTGGTGGTCTTTAAATGTCTAATAAATGAATGAGAGGTTTGTATCATCTCCAAAGTGTACATTAATAATTATGATACTAAAAGAATCATAAGCCTTCACTGTTCCAGAAAAGAGGGAAGATGGCAGAAAAACAGAAAAACTACTCAAAAAGTACACAAAAACAAAGGCTTTTGTGTCACAAGAAACTGGAATTGATATCAAAATTTAGAGTAGCATTTACAGTTCAGAAATCATTGATTCCAGCTTGTGGTTTACTGGCAGTGTGATCTGATGTTATATGTTACAGCATCTTTTTTTCCTACTTACTTAAAGAAAATCTCAGTTATTCTCAGGAGCACACAAATCTTTTTGTCATTTCATAGAATGTCAACATTTGGTGGCTTGTGGATTTACTGAGAGTTTACAGAAGATTCATAAGTTCATTCTCCAAATCAAGTAGGGTCCCATTTAATCTTGTTATAACTTGCATTATTCTGATCCACACAATTCATCTTTCTCTTAATTTACGAAGTCTTCTGACTTCCAGAAGGTTCTTTGTATTTCCTTTCTTTTAAAAATGAATATTGTATTAGTCTGTTTTCACACTGCTGATAAAGACATACCCAATACTGGGAAGAAAAAGGGGTTTAATTGGACTTACAGTTTCACATAGCTGGGGAGGCCTCAGAATCATGGCAGGAGGCAAAAGGCACTTCTTACATGGTGGTGGCAAGAGAAAATGAGAAGGATGCAAAAGTGGAAACCCCTGATAAAACCATCAGATCTCATGAGACTTATTCACTACCATGAGAACAGTATGGGGGAACCCACCCCATGAGTCAAATTATCTCCTACTGGGTCCCTCTCACAGTATGTGGGAATTATGGGAGTACAGTTCAAGATGAGATTTGGGTAGGGACACAGAGCCAAACCATATCAAATGTTGTAATTCTTATAAACTGAAGAAATAAAATTCTAAGCCCTCCAACCATCAGAATGGACCCCTCCTCTCGGCCAAGGGCATTCCAAAGTTAACCTGAAAAACTAGTTCAGGCCATGATGTGAAGGGTTTGGGGGGCCAGACATACTTCATTATACCCTCCTCCCTTTTGGAATACAGGCACAACTGACTAGCATTAACATTAAAACAGAGATCTTAAGACTTTTTGTAGCAATAAGACACCAAATTCCAGCCTGACTCTAGTGTAGCATCACCTGACAGAGAGCAGGCCTTGAAAAAAATAAAAGTATTTTA
Organism: Homo sapiens; assembly: GCF_000001405.40. NCBI lineage: Eukaryota > Metazoa > Chordata > Mammalia > Primates > Hominidae > Homo > Homo sapiens. Next base: position 3,688,300 of record NC_000003.12, on the reverse strand, counting down.
CCCTAAAGTATATTTATTTGACGTATTGTGAATTGGCCCTGCAAAGCTATCTCTTGTGGGGAAAATTTACATTCTGTAGAGAATCCCCTTCCCTTTCTGGGTCTTTCCCCTGATGTGGGAGAGAACTAACTAAGAATCTGGCACCTTTTTAAGTCTAATAGGAAACATTTACAATCTATTCTCTCTGAAGCCTGATACCTGGAGGCTTCATCTGCATAGAACCTTGGGCTCCACAACCCCTTATCTTAACCCAGAGACTCTGTTCTATTGCTTCCAGGTCTTTAGATAAACTCTTTCAATCAGTTGCTAATCAGAAAATCTTTGAATCCACCAGTGACCTGGAAGCTCTCAATTCAAGTTGTCCCACCTTTCCAGACGTCACCCATGTACATCTTACATGTATTGATTGATGTTTTATGTCTCCCTAAAATGTATAAAACCAAGCTGCGGCCTGACCACCCTGAGCACATGTCATCAGGACCTCCTGAGGCTGTGTCACGGGCACATCCTTAACCTTGGCAAAAGAAACTTCTGCATTGGTTGAGACTTGTCTCAGATACTTTCTAGTTTATGTTTTCAATACCCTTTCTAACCACCCTTCTCTCCCTCTAAACTCATTCTGGAAATAATTGATTATTTCCAGTTTTCCCATGACATGTCAATATCCAAAAAAAAAAAACAAAAACAAAAACCGAAGACTCCTCTGCCATCTCTAGAATGCTTATTATATACCAGGGGCCCTACATATATTATCTCATTTAATGCTCATGACAACTTTAACTGTCAATGCTACTATTTCCAATTTACAAATGAGGAAATGGAGAGTCTGAGAAGGTCAACAAACAGCTCATTACTGAAACCACTAGAGTTTGAACTCATTTCTTTCTGTTAACTCCACATTCTATGGACTATTCAAGTTAACTGGAATTTTAGATCGAAAGTATAAACACTCAAAAAGGAGAAGTTGAAAACTGAGCTCTGTTCTGAATGGGGTTTATTTTTGTCAAATAAATTGCATAGCTCCTTAATGCAATTAACCATAAACAATGAGAGATTTAAAAGACTGATATCTCCCAAAGTATTGTCATGCCTTCAGAGTTAGATGGCTCCTATCACCAGACTAGAAACACCCTTTCAGAGGATTGAGGTCAACCTCCTCCTCGTTTTAGGACACAGAGTGTGGTGTGGTGTGTTGACTTGCTAAGGTCACCTAGCTGGTCATCAGCTCAGTGAGGACCAGAGGCCAGACTCCCAGATTCCCAAACTATTCCTAGAGAACTTTGAACAAAATCATGTATACTTTTCCCTGAACAGAAACTCTACTCAAACATAAGACACAACAGAAGAGATACATTTTGATAGTTTCAAGGTAAAAAAAAAAAAAGTCTTGATTTAAGATCAAGCAAGTGTTTAAAAGCATTTCTGAACCCCTTGGAGAAAGGCACTTTCTAAATAAAAGTTTCATTCGATCTTTTTAAAATGTTTATTTTAGGCAAGCATCCTTCTCATAAAATATTTACACGTTCTAATAGCAAACATTCACATTAGTATGTGTTAAAGATCTGAAATTTACTTAACCAAAATTGTTTGCTTTTCTGCGTCCAACCGGCAGGATTTCCAGAAATCCAAAAGAGATAAAGAGATTTTCTTACAAAGCCAGTTAAAGCATCAGATAGAAATTTGGAAAGGGCAATTCTAAAATAAGGCTCTTTTAGAATAAGAACTTGCTGAAGATCTTGACTTGAGGAGTCCACACTAGCTCAAACACCTGCAAAATGAGCAAATAAGGCATAATTTCCCCAAGACGTTATGCCGGAATCTTGCTAAATTCTTTTCACTGCCAAGGACTCAGTTAATGTTTCAAAGGATAAAGCGCAGCAGGTTTTAGCAGTTTTTCTGGGTATCGAGAAGAGAGAATAGATTTAGGAACTGCCTGTTTTTATCAAAAGAGAACAGATAAGGAGTCGTCTTCTGCCTCCATTAGAGTTGCTTCTGGAGATGTCAAAATATTTCTAATGTTGGCAGCAGGCTCTGTGGTAGGTATATTTTGGGTAGAAAACAACTCCACCTGTTTCTTGGAACTTATTTTGAATAAATCTCCTGGGAAATCATGAGGCACAAGCTCTTTATGAAAAGAGGAAATCTCACTGCTGGAAGCCCCGCCATATGCAGAAAGAGCATCAGGACAAGATAACCTGGAGTTCTAGTTCTTCCTCCAACTTTGCTGCCTGTCAGATACGTGGCCGTAGGTAAATCGCTTACCCGGCCTGGACTTCAGTTTCTGTCTCTGTAAAAGGAAAACATTGGACAGTTTCTAAGTCTTCACTAGCGTTCTGTTATCACTGTCCTTTCCTGGCATGTTGGCTGTGGCTATTACCAGCCTCCTTCTCCCAGAAGCACTATATCCTTACGAGACACGACTTCTATCTACCCTTGTAAATGATATTTATAAGGCAAAAGGCACATATATAAATTTCTCATTTTTTAATGACTTTTAAATACTTCTAGTAAATACAATTTACTAGCAAATTGTATCTAGTAAAACTTCCTTGGCTGGAACCCTATTAAATTCTTTCTTTCAGAAGAGAAAGAGGAGGTCACTTAAGAAAACTATTTTAGTTAGGTTTGTAAGGAGAAACTTAAGAAAATTAACTCTTTAGGCATTGTGGTAGCAGACAGTCACTAATAATGAGATAATGACAAGACTAAATATACTGAGTTGGGTAAGGGTTAACAATCTGTTAGTCTTAGTTGGATTTACAACACATGATTAAAGGTAATGAGGCCCATTTCTTTAATAGTGGTCTATGGTTGAGATTTTTCACTCTTTGTGGCCGCACACATAGAACTAATTAGGCCTTTGGATCCAAATTGGCCTATCAAATTGAGTATCAAGAGGAAAAAAATCTGATTAGTTACATTTTTCAAAAGTACAATTGGCCAAAATAGTTAATCTGATTGCACATCTAAATAAATGCTTTTCAGTCTGTGGATCAAGACTCATTAGTGTGTTATGAGATCAATGCATTGAGTCTTGGAGGGCAGTTTGGTTGTTTTTTTTTTTTTAATAACAATACTAGAATAGAAAATATCAGAGTATATCATAATAATGGCTAGTATTAGTTTGTGAACATTTATTTTATGTATATAGGGAGAATATATATATATACACACACACATATGTGTGCCTGGTCACAATTGTAAATTTTATTTCTCACTCTAGGTCTGGTAAAGAGAAGGTCAGTTTCCCTGGGAAAGGTTCTGAGATGGAGATCTGTGTGCAGTGAACTTATTGAAAAGTACAGTGTGGAAACAATACCTGTGCAAAAGATGAGGGCAGCAGGACTGGTCAGCGGAGGAAATTGAACAGAGATGTCATTGCAACAGAAGTCTAAGCTGATCCCCATGGGTAACTGTAGAGCTTGGATGGCCCTGCAGATTTGTCCTGAATTGAGGCCAGAGGGTGGCAGGACCTTTGTATCCTCACAGCCAGATGGATATTGGGCAGCCCCTGGGGATAGTTGGGGAAAGGGTGTCACCTTAAGTGAGGTAGCTTTCTTCACTGACCAAAGGTAATTACAGAGGGGGTTTCTGTTGCCAGCTGGGCAGCAGGGCTGCTCATCACTGGAGGACCCCAGCAATGAGGGAGCCTGTCTGGGAGGCAGCCTCAACATCCACACAGCCACCACCTAGATACAGCGTGAGTCAGACTAGCCTTCTTCCTGCGCAGGGGTTCTCAACCTTGGCATTATTGAGATTTGGGGTTAGATAAATCTTCATCATGGGGGCTCTCCTGTGTATTGCAGGATAGAATAAAGAGTCTGACTCCGTTTTTTATCATTGACCACCGACAACGTTCCAGTCCCACCACCCTCTATTTCCCTCTTGCCCCTCATCTGTGCAAGCCTTAACTAAGAAAGCTTGAACCATCTCTCTCTTGGCTCCAGGGGGAAGTTCAAACCAAGCAAACACAGGTCCATGGGTGGGAATCTTCACCCTAGCTCACTTCCTAACCATAATAAAAACCCAAGCCACATTCAGACTGACTTGGGTCTCTGCCTTGCATTCTCCAGAAAGCCTTATTATGTGAGTAATAAACCTTTGCATACCCCCTTGGTGTGTGGGTATGGCATCAGCAGCCTTAACATTGGAACCAAATCTTGGGCATAGGGCATTCAACAGTATCCCTGGCTTCTACCCACTAGATGCCATTAGTAATCCCCTCCCAAATTGTGGCAACCAAAATGTCCCCACACATTGCCAGATGCTCCTGGGGGAACAAAATCTCTCCTGGGGGAACAAAATCACCCCTGGTTGAAAGCCACTGCTCCAGGTATAAATTAATGTTGGCTAGATAGGCCATTGATAGCAAGATTTAAGTCCAGTGTTCCCTGCCCCAAGTATTGTGTAGGGTACTCAGAAAAGACCTGTGGTAGCTCTAAATCCTCATTACCCAACAGGATGGCAAAGATAGTTTCATGGGTTCTCTCTGATTTCTTACTTCCAGTACGGCTGTGAAATCAGAGTGGATGGTCTGGTGTGAAAACAGGCTGAAGGCTTTAAACTTTGATTGTTTTATTTATGGGGCACATTAGCTGCTTCTTTAGAAGACACATAAAATCATTTAGGCTCAGTAAAATGGGATAATGTGCTGATTTGCATTTGCCTGCCATTTACAAAATCCATTTTATGAAGTGGGAGTGAAGCAGAATGGTATAGTTGGATTTTAATCACTAGAGTGTCTACCTCCCTGCTTGGGAGTTTTCATGCTATTCCAAAGACTGGAAGCTACAGAGAGCAAGAGAAGTAGGGGTGGCTGAGCTGAAGGAGTGGCTCTTAAGTGAGTCATTGCTGAGGATGTTTCTGCTAACAATTGTAGACCACAGAATCACTCACTTGTCCTTGGTTGCCTTAATTTTTAAGTCCATGCTTACACTAAAATATGGGTGTTGAGATGAAGTAGAATTAAGTGACACAATTGCGTTAGACCCTCTAGTAGTTATTTTCAAATACTTATTTGGAGTACAAGAGTAAATCTTTCCCAGCTTTCATTCAAGGTTCTTTTTTTTTTTTTGAAATGGAGTCTCACTCTGTTGCCCAGGCTGGAGTGCAGTGGCATGATCTCGGCTCACAGCAGCCTCCACCTCCCAGGTTCAAGCAATTCTCCTGCCTCAGCCTCCCGAGTAGCTGGGAAAACAGGCATGTGCCACCGTGCCTGGCTAATTTTTGTATTTTTGATAGAGATGGGGTTTCACCACATTGGCCAGGATGGTCTTGATCTCCTGACCTCGTGATCTGTTGGCCTCAGCCTCTGAAAGTGCTGGGATTACAGGCGTGAGCCACCATACCCAGTCCTCCCCCCCCTTTTTTTTTAAAGACAGGGTTTCACTCTGTCACCCAGGCTGGAGTACAGTGGCACAATCATGGTTCACTGCAGCCTCGACCTCACAGGCTCAGGTGATCCTCCTACCTCAGCCTCCTAAGTTGCTGGGACTACAGGTATGTGTCGCCATGCCCTGCTTATTTTTGTAGTTTTTATGGAGACAGGGTTTCAACATATTGCCCAGGCTGGTCTTGATCTCCTGAGCTCAAGTGATTCGCTGCCTTGGCTTCCCAAAGTGCTGGGATTACAAGTGTGAGCTTCCACACGTGGCTGGAGCCACCACACCCAGCCCACGAAAGTAGGTTTTAATGGGGAAATTATTAAGTCATCTAGAAAGAAGTTGTTGTCTTGTCCTGGGCTTGAGTGCCAAGGACATCAAGTATAGAGTCAATTATTTTCTGCGGATATCTACTTAGATTATAAATGGTTCAGATATACGGGACTAAGGGCAGGAGTTGACATGACTTGCTCTGAACTTCACACTGTTGCTGACCCAGAGTCCCAAAGCCAGATTTCTAGGAAAATAATCAGACTAGGTTATGTGTCCATCCTTTGTCCTCAGCTGTGGCTACTGGGCCAGCTCCTTCAGCAGAGTTGTGGGTGCGTGGATAAGAATAAGAAACCAGGTCTCCTAGGCTTTCATTTTAAAGAGGAGAGAATTGAACACCTGTGAGGTGAAGTGATTTGTCCATGATTATACAGCCAGTTACTGATTTACAGACAGCAATGAAACCCAGGGCTCCTTATTCCTCTATAGTCCACACCATTTTGCCTTTAAAAAAAAATCACCAAAGGTTTATTATATCTGTCCCACTTTTCTAGCACTTCTCCTTAATTAAAGGGAAGAAGGACACCCTTAGGTTGGGAAACCGAAGCAAAGGCTGACTTGCACATCACAGAAATGCATCTAAGTTTTCTACGTTACTATTCAGTAATTCAGTAGGTTGTCAGTTTGACTTCTTTTCTACTGTTTTATTGAGATATAATTTACATACCATACAATTCATATTTTTTTTTTTTTTGAGATGGAGACTCGCTCTGTCACCCAGGCTGGAGTACAGTGGCACAATCTCGGTTCATTGCAACCTCCACCTCCTGAGTTCAAACGATTTTCCTGCCTCAGCCTCCCCAAGTAGCTGGGACTATAGGTGCACACTACCACGCCTGGCTAATTTGTCTCTACTAAAAATGCACACATTTTAAGTGTATAAGTCAATGCACTTATGTGTATTTCCAGAATTGTTCAACTGTCCCCACAGTCTAGTTTTAGTATATTTCCATCACCGCATGCACATTTACAGTCACTCCTCATTCCTACACCATGGAGTAACTGGTATCCTACTGACTTGCTGTAGGTTTGTCTTTGTTGAACATATCATAAAAGTGGAATAATAGAATGTGTGTTATTTTGTATCTGGCATCTTTCACAAAGGATGATGTTTTTGAAGTTCGTTTGTTTTGTAACATGTATCAGTACTTAGTTCCTTTTTATTGCTGTATAATATTTCAATATATACATATAATACATTTTGTTACTCTGTTCATCAGTTAATGAATATTTAGATTTTTCCACTTGGCAGGGTCTTGCTCTGTCACTCAGACTAGAATGCAGTGGCATGATCATGACTCACTGCAGCTTCAGCCTCCTGGGCTCAAGTGATCCTCCTGCCTCAGCCTCCTGAGTAGCTAGGACCACACAGGTATGTACCACCACAGCTGGCTAAATTTTTTTTCTTTTTTTTGAGATGGAGTCTCATTCTGTTGCCCAGGCTGGAGTGCAGTGGTGCGATCTTGGCTCACTGCAAGCTCTCCCTCTGGGTTCATGCCATTCTCTTGCCTCAGCCTCCCGAGTAGCTGGGACTACAGGCACCTGCCACCACGCCTGGCTAATTTTTGTATTTTTAGTAGAGATGAGGTTTCACCGTGTTAGCCAGGATGGTCTCGATCTCCTGACCTCGTGATCCACCTGCCTCAGCCTCCCAAAGTTCTGGAATTACATGTGTGAGCCACTGCGCCTAGCCCCACAGCTGGCTAATTTTTTAAATTTTTAGTGGAGATGTCTCACTATGTTACCCAGGCTGGTCTCAAACTCTTGGGCTCAAGTGATCCTCCTGCCTCGGCCTCCCAAAGTACTGGGATTACAGGTGTGAGTCACCAAACGCAGCCTGTTTGCACCTTTTGGCTATTATGAATAATACTGCTGTGAATATTTGTGTACAAGTCTTTGTGTAGACATATAATTTTTTAAAATTTCTCTTGAGTATACACCTGATAGTGGAATTGCTGGATTATATGGTAACTCTATGTGTCAAATTGCTTCCCAAAGCAAGTCCACCATTTTACATTCCCATCAGCAATGTTTGCAGATTGTTTCTCCACATCCTCACCAACATTTGGTTTTGTCTGTCTTTTAACTTTTAGCCATCCTAGTGGATGTGGCATGGCATATTCTTATGGGTTTGAATTGCATTTCCCTAATGACTAGTGGTGCTAAGCATCTTTCCATGTGATTATTGACTATGCATTTTTTTTTTGGAGAAATGTCTATTCAAATCTTTTGTCCATTTTAAAATTAGGCTACTTATCTTTTCATTATTGAGTTGTAAGTGTTCTTTATGTATTCTGGACACAAATCTTTTATTGAATATAATTTGCAAAAGTATGTTGAATTTTGCATACCCAACAAAAATTGAATCCAGTACATTTTGTATTTTTCGGCTATACTGTAAAGTAGGCATTGTGCTAAAATTGCTATAAAACTGTCCTTGTATATCTTACATAAGGTGTGACATATATAAAATAATACATGATAATGCCATAATAGACGTACGGATAAAGTGCTATGGAGACACAGAGGAAGAACCAGTTAATTCATCATTAGATAATATAATAATTTATAATAACTATAACATTTAAGTGGCTGCCAATTATGAAAATTACTGGATAACAATGTATTGATAAATTTTCATACACAATCTAATTTAACTCTAAAACTAATTTTATGGAAAATGTGTCCCCACATTTTCTCATTCAGAGATTGTGACTTCTGAAAATACATATAATTTTAAACAAATTCTGGAAATAGATATTGACTATCTATGTGGAAGTCACTGTGGATAACACTAGAAAATGTGATCCTGGCCTTTATAAATCTAGGAGGGGATAGGATATATTTACCAATACTATTTTATACAGGCAGATTATTACCATCTCTCTTCAAATAGCCATAAAATCAAAAATAGGGAAGAATGATAACTTATAAAATTAGGGAAGGCTTCTTGTAAGAAGTAGTGATTAAGCTCTACATTGAATAATAGGGAATATTTTCAAAGATAAAAGTTGACATTGAGGGCCAGTCACGGTGGCTCACTCCTGTAATCCCAGCACTTTAGGAGGCGGAGGTCAGTGGATCACTTGAGCCTAGGAGTTTGGGACCAGCCTGACAGCCTGAGCAACGTACTGAAACCCCATGGCTCGTACTTGTATTCCCAGCTGCTCAGGATGCTGAGGTGGGAGGATCACCTGAGGCCCAGGAGGTTCAGTTGCAGTGAGCCGAGATCACACCGCTGCATTCCAGGCTGGGTGACAGAGTGACACCCTGTCTTAAAAAAATAGAAAAAAAGGCATTGGTAAGATGATAACTTATTGTTTATACTTAGACAACAGGAGAGAGACCAGAGATAAAAAAGGCAGTATTCCCAATTATGTGGATGTGATATGAATAAACTGGGATGTCCTGGGAAAATTGGGATATGTGGTCACCCTAGTCATTGGAAGGAAGGTAGCATAGGTGGAGAAGATTGAGCAGAAGTTCAAAGGTGGGAAAGGGGAGTCCATTTAAGGATATAGCACATGAAATGATTTGGCTGTGCTTACCAGTACTCTTGTTCATAGAGGACATGTATAATGGGATCTGTCCTCTCCCACCTTTGTGGGTCATGAATTTGATTCCCACTAATTCCCCACTTTTATTTGGGGAACAACAAGAGATGAGGGTCCAGGGAAGCATAAGGAGATAAGGACTTCGGATATTCCATGGCCAGTGGGCTAGACCTTGAGGATCAGCACTTAGCTCCCAGTTCACTTTCTTTCCCCAGGAATGGTCCTTTTTCCTCCTTCCCACCTCAAGTATGCCAGGTTCTTTACTCCCAAAGTCTAAGTTATCTTTTTAATTTCTTCTCCCCCTTCCTAGCCCAGTTTTGTCTGTTTTTGTAGAAAAGCAAACTCTGCAAAATTTTCTCTCTCCAACTTCTGCCAGCTAATTATTTGAGCCTTTGTTTCTAGTTCAGTGTGAGCTGAGGGATAAAGATGAGTTATAACTCTGCCATACAATTAATCTATTGTGGTTTCTACCTAGTTGTAACTAGGGCAGTGGTTGTGAGACTGAAAACACTCATGAATGAGGGACACGATTGTTTTCACTGTAATTCCTGTGGTCCAGTTTCAAATGCAAAATCTTATAGAAGTAGAGAAATTATATGTCTTCAACATGGAACATATGATACCTATGACAAAGGAATCAGGTATTTAATATGGAGCTTAAACTAAGACTCTAGAATGTGAGGCCAACAAAAGAATAAATCATGCTGATATAAAGACACATGCACACATATGTTTATTGCGGCACTATTCACAATAGCAAAGACTTGGAACCAAGCCAAATGTCCAACAATGATAGACTGGATTAAGAAAATGTGGCACATATACACCATGGAATACTATGCAGCCATAAAAAATGATGAGTTCATGTCCTTTGTAGGGACATGGATGAAGCTGGAAACCATCATTCTCAGCAAACTATCTCAAGGACAGAAAACCAAACACTGCATGTTCTCCCTCATAGGTGGGAATTGAACAATGAGAACACATGGACACAGGAAGGGGAACATCACACACTGGGGCCTGTTGTGGGGTGGGGGGAGGGGGGAGGGATAGCATTAGGAGACATACCTAATGTTAAATGATGAGTTAATGGGTGCAGCACACCAGCATGGCACATGTATACATATGTAACTAACCTGCACATTGTGCACATGTACCCTAAAACTTAAAGTATAATAATAAAAAAAAAGAATTGGTTATAAATATTTTTAAATGGTGCTGAAAATTTTTTTTTAAAGACTGTTTTGTTTAGAAGAGATTCTGTGCATAGACTCACAGTGCTAGAATTTTGGGACTAATTTAAAGAAGATTTAATATGGGAAGGCTTGAGCTGTGTCTTTCACAGAAGCTACCTGAACCTACCCAGACGTCTGCCTCTTGTCTTGCATCTTGACAAAAGTCATGTTTTATCAGTTGCTTTGCTCTAAGGATTACATAGTTCCTTGCCATGAAGCAGTAAGAGGAAAACTGTACATGAGAAGCTATGGTGGGCTATGTACATGTGGGATTTGTTTCAAGATATTGCTTAGAAGTCAAAAGCCTCCTAAAATGATGACTGAAAGAACCTTCCACTCGTTTCCCATCTATCAACATTTCACTGTGCTTAATAAATATAATGATTCTAAGATTTCCAGAACCTATATAGTTTTCTAATTTCCATATGAAATATTAATATTAAGTAGGTTTAAACAAAGGTAGGACTTTGGTTTCATGTGCTTCTGGAGCAATTTAATAAATATACCATTATAATAAACTGGCAACATTTCAAAGATACTAACTCCAAAATGAAACAAAGTGATCTTTATGTACACGAAGCTAATTAAAAAGAACTTGGTAATTTAAGTTTTTCCATTGTGGTTGTAAGTCAAAGTATAATTAAAATCATGAAAATAATATTATGAGACACTGATATTTTCATTCCAATGATGCTCCTATGATGTGAATCAACACGTTGGAGCCATCATTATTCTGTTAAAATTGAATCAGCTTTGAGTGTCTGTCAAAATTTATCACAGTCCTATTATGAAGCCACATTAGCTGTAGTTTATTTAAACTGCCAGCATACAAAAATCTCTACGGAGGTTCTTATTAAGAGCATAAATCTAAAAGAAATGAATAAATCCATAGCATTATTGCAATAAACAGAGACAGTTCTTTCATTGTAACCTAAAGATTATAGAATTTTACCCAAGTGAAGAGCACTGGCTTTCATCTTGTACAATCTAACATTTTATCAATGAGGAAATCGAAGATAAGTAAGTTACCTGTGTTACCCAAGATCAGACAGCTAACCAGCAATTGATCTAGAACTAGAACCCATGTGATAAAGTGATAAATATTAATAGGAAGTAGTGTCCTTCATAGAATACTGCCATGTAATTGTGTCTTACTGTAAAACTCTTTACAGAGAGGTGTGCGTTAGTTTTAATGAGGGATGAATGGTCAAGTATCTCCCTACCACTTACCAGCTATCACCAAATGATTTAAACTCAGTGCCACGATTTATTTATTGGTGAATGGAGATCTTAGTCATGCTTCCTTCTTAGGGTTGTTGTAAAGAACAAATGAAGAAGAGATTCCTTTATTTATTCCATATTTTGTTGGACACTTACATGTTTGTATTGTAGTGTTGAGTGTTAGCTCAAAAGTAAACCGGGTAGTTGAGGAGCTCAGACTTATCTGTCTTCCCCACCAGACCGTAAAATGTGTTTACTGCTGTATCCCCAGAATCTATCACAATGTTTGATATGCAGTCGATGTTCAAGAAACACTAAGTGGATAAATGAATAAAGGACCAATTGAGCATCTAGAAGTAACTCCAGTGGAAAGTAAGAAGTAGTAAGGGCTGTAAAGGAACAGCAAATTGAGTGTTCTAGGTGTTTACAGGTCATTGATAGATTCCAAAGGGCCCATGAAGATAGTGTTAACACACTGAGCTTAACCAGAAGCCTCGGGCCTAGGGCCAGATATTAACACTGTACCTGTATCTATGACCTTGACCAAACCACTTAGACCTCTCAGTTTTTTTTTGCAAAGTGGAAAGGTTAGACCACAGAGCCCAGGCTGATAATGTAAATGAGTGAAGTAGAATGAGTGCAAGATAATGGGTGCTGACAGGGACTGTGCTAATCTAGAAAGCATACTCTGTCTGGAAGGACTCACCCCTTCTTAATCTAACAAATTGTTTCCTTCAGGAATGAGGGCCAAGTGTTGTCTGCTCTTTCACATTTTCAAGGGAAATTTAGATTTTTTAGCTTTCAGAATTTTCTAATTTTTAAATGTTGGCAACTAATTCAAAATTAAAACAATCAGAAAGCACCAAGTGACCATGCAAGTCAGACAAATATTTGTCTGGGCCAGATTCGGCCCATGGAGTGCTAGTATTTGAGCTCTAGATTGGTTGATCTTCAAAATTCTAACAATCTGACTCCCTGCTTTAGCTGCATGTCTTAAACTAAGATTGCTGTTTCAGAAATGATGTGGTTAATTTTGGAGTGACCCTTGATTCCTCCCCCAAATATGTCCCAGTCCATTTTTCTTTAGGAGGTTTGTGCTGACAGTTTACCATGCAGATATGGTCTGTCACACCACAACATAAATGTTAATTCTTGGGATTTTGAGAGATAATTAATGCTTGAAAACCATACTGGGATCTGGAATGGCTGCTAACCACAGAAGAACAAAAAACAAAGAGTTTATCTTTATCAGGCTCTCTTTGTTCAGTTTATCTTGCTGAATTTTTTGTGCACTGTTTTCCCAGAGAGTATACCCTTAATTGAATGCTGACAGCTTAGAACTAAATGGAAGAGGTTCTTGGCTTTCCCATCATGCATTTCTCTCTCTGGTCTGGGTATCCATTTTCCATGAGCTGGCTGTTTTAGAACAGTAGATGCCTCTTATTATTGCTGACATAGATCTTGAGTTTTTTTTTTTTTTTCCACATTTGCACCATGTAGATTGATTTCTTTTATGTTTATTCAGCTAAAACTTGCGTGCCTGAGAAAAATTGAAATGGTATGCCATTTGTCATTCTACCTGGCCATGTCTTTAAATAACACTTGCTTTTTATTGAATATTTGAAAAATAATTTCTTTATAGAATTTACACAAAGGCAGCCTGGCAGCATATTATGATATCTTCCATCTCTTGACCTTAAACTGCACTTCTCTCTACTTCCTTTGTGCGATATATGTTTTAGTGGGAGGGCTCCTTTTGCTTTCCTGTACTCTAGTCTGCCATCAGGAATTTATCTTCACTGTGAGTTTACTCTAAGTAGTTTTTGAACTAAGAAAAATAAAATAAAATAAAATATTGCATGGAATAACATGGTATAGGCTCTGAGTTAGATTGTGGGGGTTTGACTTTCATCCATTTCTATCACTTACTCTGTGACTTTGGGCAAGTTATTTAACTAAGCTAAACCTCAGTTTCCTTATCTGCAAAATGGAGATAATACTACCACCTCAAGGGATTATTTTAAGAATTAAATCTACTCTTTTGGCTTAGGATTGACTTGGCGATGCAGGCTCTTTTTTGCATCCATATGAACTTTAAAGTAGTTTTTTCCAGTTCTGTGAAGAAAGGCATTGGTAGCTTGATGGGGATGGCATTGAATCTGTAAATTACCTTGGGCAGTATGGCCATTTTCACGATATTGATTCTTCCTACCCATGAGCATGGAATGTTCTTCCATTTGTTTGTGTCCTCTTTTATTTCCTTGAGCAGTGGTTTGTAGTTCTCCTTGAAGAGGTCCTTCACATCCCTTGTAAGTTGGATTCCTAGGTATTTTATTCTCTTTGAAGCAATTGTGAATGGGAGTTCACTCATGATTTGGCTCTCTGTTTGTCTGTTGTTGATGTATAAGAATGCTTGTGACTTTTGTACATTGATTTTGTATCCTGAGACTTTGCTGAAGTTGCTTATCAGCTTAAGGAGATTTTGGGCTGAGACAATGGGGTTTTCTAGATATACAATCATGTCGTCTGCAAACAGGGACAATTTGACTTCCTCTTTTCCTAATTGTAAAATTAGGAAATTATTTCCTTCTCCTGCCTAATTGCCCTGGCCAGAACTTCCAACACTATGTTGAATAGGAGTGGTGAGAGAGGGCATCCCTGTCTTGTGCCAGTTTTCAAAGGGAATGCTTCCAGTTTTTGCCCATTCAGTATGATATTGGCTGTGAGTTTGTCATAGATAGCTCTTATTATTTTGAAATATGTCCCATCAATACCTAATTTATTGAGTTTTTAGCATGAAGGGTTGTTGAATTTTGTCAAAGGCTTTTTCTGCATCTATTCAGATAATCATGTGGTTTTTGTCTTTGGCTCTGTTTATATGCTGGATTACATTTATTGATTTGCATATATTGAACCAGCCTTGCATCCCAGGGGTGAAGCCCACTTGATCATGGTGGATAAGCTTTTTGATGTGCTGCTGGATTCAGTTTGCCAGTATTTTATTGAGGATTTTTGCATCAATGTTCATCAAGGATATTGGTCTAAAATTCTCTTTTTTGGTTGTGTCTCTGCCCAGCTTTGGTATCAGAATGATGCTGGCCTCATCAAATGAGTTAGGGAGGATTCCCTCTTTTTCTGTTGATTGGAATAGTTTCAGAAGGAATGGTACCAGCTCCTCCTTGTACCTCTGGTAGAATTCGGCTGTGAATCCATCTGGTCCTGGACTCTTTTTTGTTGGTAAGCTATTGATTATTGCCACAATTTCAGCTCCTGTTATTGGTCTATTCAGAGATTCAACTTCTTCCTGGTTTAGTCTTGGGAGGGTGTATGTGTCCAGGAATTTATCCATTTCTTCTAGATTTTCTAGTTTATTTGCATAGAGGTGTTTGTAGTATTCTCTGATGGTAGTTTGTATTTCTGTGGGATTGGTGGCGATATCCCCTTTATCATTTTTTATTGCGTCTATTTGATTCTTCTCTCTTTTCTTCTTTATTAGTCTTGCTAGCGGTCTATCTATTTTGTTGATCCTTTCAAAAAACCAGCTCCTGGATTCATTAATTTTTTGAAGGGTTTCTTGTGTCTCTGTTTCCTTCAGTTCTGCTCTGATTTTAGTTATTTCTTGCCTTCTGCTAACTTTCGAATGTATTTGCTCTTGCCTTTCTAGTTCTTTTAATTGTGATGTTAGGGTGTCAATTTTGGATCTTTCCTGCTTTCTCTTGTGGGCATTTAGTGCTATAAATTTCCCTCTACACACTGCTTTGAATGCGTCCCAGAGATTCTGGTAAGCCAAAAGAACAAAGCTGGAGGCATCACACTACCTGACTTCAAACTATACTACAAGGCTACAGTAACCAAAACAGCATGGTACTGGTACCAAAACAGAGATATAGATCAATGGAACAGAACAGAGCCCTCAGAAATAACGTCGCATATCTACAACTATCTGATCTTTGACAAACCTGAGAAAAACAAGCAATGGGGAAAGGATTCCCTATTTAATAAATGGTGCTGGGAAAACTGGCTAGCCATATGTAGAAAGCTGAAACTGTATCCCTTCCTTACACCTTATACAAAAATCAATTCAAGATGGATTAAAGACTTAAACGTTAGACCTAAAACCATAAAAACCCTAGAAGAAAACCTAGGCATTACCATTCAGGACATAGGCATGGGCAAGGACTTCATGTCTAAATCACCAAAAGCAATGGCAACAGAAGACAAAATTGACAAATGGGATCTAATTAAACTAAAGAACTTCTGCACCACAAAAGAAACTACCATCAGAGTGAACAGGCGACCCACAAAATGGGAGAAAATTTTTGCAACCTACTCATCTGACAACGGGCTAATATCCAGAATCTACAATGAACGCAAACAAATTTACAAGAAAAAAACAAACAACCCCATCCAAAAGTGGGCAAAGGACATGAACAGACACTTCTCAAAAGAAGACATTTATGCAGCCAAAAAACACATGAAAAAATACTCATCATCACTGGCCATCAGAGAAATGCAAATCAAAACCACAATGAGATACCATCTCACACCAGTTATAATGGCAATCATTAAAAAGTCAGGAAACAACAGGTGCTGGAGAGGATGTGGAGAAATAGGAACACTTTTACACTGTTGGTGGGACTGTAAACTAGTTCAACCATTGTGGAAGTCAGTGTGGCGATTCCTCAGGGATCTAGAACTGGAAATACCATTTGACCCAGCCATCCCCTTACTGGGTATATACCCAAAGGACTATAAATCATGCTGCTATAAAGACACATGCACACGTATGTTTATTGCGGCATTATTCACAATAGCAAAGACTTGGAACCAACCCAAATGTCCAACAATGATAGACTGGATTAAGAAAATGTGGCACATATACACCATGGAATACTATGCAGCCATAAAAAATGATGAGTTCATGTCCTTTGTAGGGACATGGATGAAATTGGAAATCATCATTCTCAGTAAACTATCACAAGAACAAAAAACCAAACACCGCATATTCTCACTCATAGGTGGGAATGGAACAATGAGATCACATGGACACAGGAAGGGGAATATCACACTCTGGGGACTGTTGTGGGGTGGGGGGAGGGGGGAGGTATAGCATCGGGAGATATACCTAATGCTAGATGACAAGTTAGTGGGTGCAGCGCACCAGCATGGCACATGTATACACATGTAACTAACCTGCACAATGTGCACATGTAACCTTATACTTAAAGTATAATAAAAAAAAGAAAAAAAAAGAATTAAATCTAACAATAGCAAATGGTACACAATAATTGTTACACAATAAATATAAACTATTATGTTTATTATTACTATTTTAAACTCTGCAGTTTAGAGAATAACGTTTACATTGCACCACCTACTTTTCAAAAAAATTCTTCCTTTCCTCCTGCCTTTCATTGTTGCCTCTCCGTGTTTTCTCACTCTTACTCTCTCTTTAATTTATTCATTGAATATTTGAGTCCCCACGAAGTGCTCGGTACTGGGCAAGAGACCAAGAAAACAGTGGTGATCAAAAGAGACTCAGTCCCAGCTTTCAGGAGCTTGTAGGATGCTGAGGGGCAGGAAAAGCCATTAGTATAATAATCACTTGGATATACAATTACAAACTATGACAGCTAACCAAAATTAATGAGCACTTTCAACTTTCTCTTTCTTGAAGAACTGTGAACGATAATAGTGTTATCAATTAATGTGTATAAAGTGTTTACCTCTTGCAAAGCACTTGTACTTACTTTTTTTTATTTGAACCTTATAATGGTGCTGTGATGTAGATATTATTCATTCCCACTTCACAGATGAAGAACCTGAGAAGTTAAATGACTTGCTTAAGGTCACACAGTAATCTTATTAAGAGTCAAGGCAGGATCTTCTATCTCTAAACTTTATAATCCTAATAATCTATAAAATAAGAATTCTTGAATTGTCTGACTCACCTGGCATCTTCTGGAAATGACTGTGTGTCTTAAGGGACATGTATTCAAGTGGCATTTTAGAACCCAAGCTCTATGCGTCAAACCCTGAACAGGTAAATTGGACAGCCTAACTCTAGGCTGTGATTGAAATTCCAGTCAGTTCTCCCAAGAGCAAGTTCCAGATACCAAGGAAGGCCATTGAGAACATAGCCCTAACTTCTCAGTACCACCTACAGCTCTTGGGAGAGTGCCCTTAAGACCCAGAAAAATATTTCCCACCCACTTTGGTTGCCAGCCTATATGCCAGAGTTCTTGTTGTTGCCACCCCCACCCATCTTGGTTTTTCTTAGTTTACAAAGACAGAAAGGCAAATTAGAGAAACATCCATTGCTTTTTAGCAGAACTGGAATTTTTAGAGTTGCAAAGCCACCAACCATGGCTTGATCAGGTAGGAATTCTGTTCTTCCAGATGTGTGTGCCTGTGCTTCCCTGGGCACAGTAGAGCCCACAGTGGCTTTACATTTCAGGAAATGTGCCTGGGACCCAGTCATCATACCTGGGATACATGCTTGAAGAAATATGTGGGGACGCTTTGCATGTATTTCCCTTGAGGTTACACATTTCAACAGTTCATTGTGTTGACTTCCTTGCTTTTTAGTAAATGTGGCTCTAATATGAGTTATCCTATTTCATTACATTCAGGAGGACTATCAGCAGTCATGTAACACCAGGCAGCCCATCATGTAGTAATGATGCCTAGTTTCAGGGATCAACCCTGAACGTGTTCCCAACTCCATCCTTGAGACTTCCTAGTGGTTATATAGCCATGACACTGTAACTTAGTGATACGGTTTGGCTCTATGTCCCCACAGAAATCTTACCTTGAATTGTAATAACCTCCACGTGTCAAGAGTAGGACCAGATGGAGATAGCTGAATCATGGGGGGACACTTTCCCCCATGCTGTTCTCATGATAGTGAGTTCTCAAAAATCTGATGGTTTTTAAGGGACTTCCCCTTCACATGACACTAATTCTCTCTCCTGCCGCCCTGTGAAGAGGTGCCTTCCGCCATGATTGTAAGTGTCCTGAGGCCTCCCCAGTCATGTGAAAGTGTGTGTCAATGAAACCTCTTTTCTTTATAAATTACCCAGTCTTGGGTATTTCTTCATAGCAGCATGAGAATGGACTAATACACTTAGTCTCTGTCATTTGTCTTAAATGAAGTGAGCACCCTCTTCAACTGAGAGATTCTGCCTTCAAACTCTCAGCAAACTTGTCTAGGATTTGTTGCAAAAAAGAAACATAACGCCTGTAATCCCAGCACTTTGGGAGGCCGAGGCGGGTGGATCATGAGGTCAGGAGATCGAGACCATCCTGGCTAACAAGGTGAAACCCCGTCTCTACTAAAAATACAAAAAATTAGCCGGGCGCGGTGGCGGGCGCCTGTAGTCCCAGCTACTGGGGAGGCTGAGGCAGGAGAATGGCGGGAACCCGGGAGGCGGAGCTTGCAGTGAGCCGAGATGGCGCCACTGCAGTCCGCAGTCCGGCCTGGGCGACAGAGCGAGACTCTGTCTCAAAAAAAAAAAAAAAAAAAAAAAGAAACATAACTTCTAGTTTTGACAAAATATGGAAGCAAAACAAGTCATGACATTTTGGATTTGAAAGAGCTTTAGCTCAATGCTTTCATTTACTGAAAAGGAAATCAGAGCATTGTGGAAGGCAGAATAATGGCTCCCTAAAGATATCTCCATCTCAATCCCAGAGCCTAGGACAATGTTACGTTACATGGCAAAAGGGACTTTCAGATGTGGTTAAGGTTAGGGACCCTGAGATGGGGAGATTATCCTGGATTATGCTAATGAGCCTAATCTGATTATGAATGCTATGAAGAGAAAAGCAGAATAGATCAGAGAGAAGTGATGTGAGAAGGACTTCACCATCATTGATGACTTTGAAGAAGGAGGAAGGGGTTTATGAGCCCAAGAATGTGGAGGTTGTAAGTGCTGGGGTTGGCCCTCCCTTACGGGCAGCAAGAGAGCCAGAAACTCAGTCTTATAACAGCAAGGAACTAAATTTTGCCACTGCATGTCTCAAGGGACAAGTATTCAAGTGGCATTTTAGAGCCCAAGCTCTAAGTGTCAACCCCTGAACAGGCAAACTGGACAGTAACAACCTGAATGAGAAAAAAGAAAAAAGAAAGAAAGAAAAAAAAAATAGATTTTCTTCTGTAGCCTCCAGAAAGAAACACAGCTCTGCTTAATCCTTGCTTTTAGCCCAGTAAAACCTGTGTCAGATTTCTGACCTACGGAAGTCTAGGGTAATATATTTGTGTTGGTTTAAGTTGTTAAATGTGTGTCAATTTGTTACAGCAGCAATAGGAAATGAATACAGATACAGAGAGGGAAAGAGACTTGTCTAATGTCACATGCCTAATTTGTGGCACAATAAGGCTGTGGTCACTAGTAGTTATAGTCAGGATTTTTCATTTCCTGTTTATCTAGATATTCCCCACCCATCCCAATCCCAATTATTCTCTCACACAACACTGGATTATTTCCTTTGTCCTGCTTATCACAGCCCAAGCAAATCTGAATTTATCTTGCTTCCTTATTTCATTTATCATCTGTGTCTATTTAGAATGGAAGCTCTATGAGGACAGAGGCTATTTTTCTTGTTCACTACTTTGTACTTAGGTATCAGTACAGTCCTGGACATGGAACAGGGTTCAATAAAATTTGTTGAATAAATGAAAAAAATGAATGAATGAGTGAATACTATGTCAAAATGAATGAAAAAAGGAACTAACAAGCTAAAGAGGATTTTATAAAATTTTGCTCCAATCTCTCATTTTACAAATGAGGAAACCTGGGACTCAGGAGGACACAGGTCCTGTTCTTAGCAGCTCCAGAACCTTGATCTCCTGACCACTAGCAGAGCACGTTCCTGTTTTTCATTTGACCTGCACCAAAACATCTCATTTTAAAAGCAGTGTGGAAGTAGATGGATATTGTTCAACTAGAGGGTAAAAATGGGAACTGACATCTCCTGAGTGTGTATTTTTCTGAAAACACCCAGGGGCAATACCTGTCCTAAAACTGTTCACCTTTTAAATCTTCCTTTCTATATTAGATCAGCTGGACTCCAGACAAGCATGCACTTTCCTTCATTCTTGAATAAAGATCATAAAACACTTTAGAAGGAATAGGCTCGGCCTGTCAAGCATCCTGATTGTGTGTTCTGGAGTAGTAGGAGTTCACTGTCTGGGCTACTATATCTATATAGAGATATTTGGCTTTTAGAACTCACTTCTAACTAGCTCATTTTTGTCCCTGTTTCTTTATGGCTTTTATACGTTCAATGTCCAGTTTTGGAGATGGGATCTCACTATGTTGTCCAGGCTGGACTCCAACTCCTGGGCTCAAGCAATCCTCCTGCCTCAGCTTCCTTAGTAGCTGGGACTACAGCCATGTACCACGGCACTTAGCTCTGTGTCCAATGTTTTAATTACCACCTCCAGGTGTTTAAGTAAAACGTTCGCTGGTTTTGTTTGTGTTTTGTTCTGCTAGAAAAGAATTTGGAATCAAGTAATTTCTGAGCTATCAGTTTCATCACTAAAAATCTCTTGATAATCTACCATTGATGGGAGCAGAAAAACCACCTTTGAGGAAATGTGCAGGCTTAGACCTCCCTGCTGCGACTGTTACAAGTAGACGCTTGCAGGGGTTTCCCTGAAAGGGTCACAGCAAGGCCACTGATGCCTTGTGACACCAGGCAGCAGGCCAAATTGTGGTTTGCACTCCTGCATATACTTGGGGTGTGATTTTCTGTTTGAGACATTTTTCTTTGATTTATAAATCCTTCCCCACTCGTCAACACTGGCTACATCTCCTTCTCTTCCCTGAACAAAACAACCCCTCACCCATCAGGGTGCAGGATGAGAAAACCAGGATATTTCTTAAATGGGAAGTAAACAGCCCAACAGAATCAAGGGAAAGACAGTAAAACATCAATTCCTGGCCACTAGTGACCACAGCCTTATTGGATTTCTCTCCTTTCTTGTCCTGCGTTGCCATTTCCACTTTTGCCAGGCAGTATCTTCCGTAGGGCCAGAAGGACAAGTCAGATATGTCTCCTGAGCTGCCTGGAAGCACAGACTGTGCCCAGGCTGGTGGCATCTATCAGTGTGGCAGCCGATGACAGCTTCGCCTCGGCCTCCTGCCAGCAGTGAGGAAGTGGCAAGCGCAACCTGGCTCCCATGGGTGACAGCCACAAATCACATTGTCATTCCCTTCATAAACCTGACCGAGGCCATCACTTCCATGAGATGGCCGTTTTCCAGGAGAGCTTTGTCGATTCTGACAAAACCCATGAGGCAACTATTTTGTGAAGAGATTGAATCTAGCCTTCCTATCAGGAAGAAAACTTGCAAAATTATACTCCAGGCAATGTTGATGTCAGTACTCAGCAGCAGGCACCTCGGAGTCCAGTTTCATTTCTGCTGCTGAGCACCTGGGCCACGGTGGGAAACATGTTTTAACCTCTCTGGGCCTTGGTTTTCCCATCGGTAAAGTGAGAATCGATCTAGAAGCAGAGATTACAAAATGGAGGCCTGGGGTCTGAAATTAGTTTACATGTTTATTTGATTTATTCTGAGCAATTCCCCTCTCCCTCCCTCCTTCTCTCCTCCCTCCCTCCCTCCCCCTGTCCTTTCTTCCTTCCATCCTCCCTCCCTCTTTCCCTCTCTCCCTCCCTCCCTCCCTCCCTTCCTACCTTCCTTCCTTCCTCTGTCTTTCTCTCTTTCCTGCCCTTCCTCCCTTCCCTTCCCTTCCCTTTTTTCTTTTTTGAGACAGGGTCTTACTCTTTCATCCAGGCTGGAATGCAGTGAAACAATCATGACTCACTGCAGCCTAGACTTCCTGGGCTCAAGCAATCCTCCTGCCTCAGCCCCTCAAGTCGCTGGGACTACCAGCACATGCCACCACACCTAGCTGATTTTTAAGTTTTTTATAGAGATGGGATCTTGGTATGTCACCCAGTCTGGTCTTGAACCCCTGGGTTCAAACGATTCCCCCACCTTGGCTTCCCAAAGTGCTGGGATTATAGATATGAGCCACTGTGCCTGGCTTTTTTTTTTTTTTTTTAAGCAAGAATTTTAATTGTCTCAATTGGGGTAGTTTCCAGCCATTTTCTCAGTCTCTCCTGCTCCATTATGGCTTAAACTCATTTAAGCCAAATTTTGCTCATTTATCTTACTTATTTGGTCTCTAAAGCATTTAGGTTTGCAATCCCTGGACTAGATAATCTTCACTTTATTACTGGATTTAACAGTTTATTATTTCCTGATACTAAATCGTCTGCAACTAAACAAAACAAACAAATTAGACATTTCAATAATGTGTTCACCTAAACTCTGGATTCTTGGGGACAATTACTTTCCATTTCACACATTCTCAAATTTCCATGCGTGGTGGTAATTCCCGGCAGTAACTCTGTCTTTGGTAAATGTTTGGTAAGTGACTCAATGCCTTATGAAAGAAGAAAACACGATAGGTGGTGGTTAAGCCAGGCAAGGGAATGTATTTGATAGTTATGGATTTGCAGAAAGGAAAAACTCTGGTTGATGACAGAGTGGCCATAATTCTCCACCCTTCCCTTTATGCATAACCTTGGCAATGTGACTGTGTACCCTTTCCCATCGAGAGATAGTTAATTTCTCCACTCCTTGAATCTGGGCTGGATTGTGACTTTCTTTGGTCAACAGAATGTGGCAGAAGTGATGTTATGCCAATTCCAAACCTCCAGCCTCAAGGGACCTGACATGCTTCCACTTTTTGTCTCAGAACCGTGACAGCTGCCATATGAATAAGCCCTGGTTAGCTTGCTGTGGCTCATACCTGTAATCCCAACACTTTGGGAGACTAAGGCAGGTGGATCATTTGAGGTCTGGAGTTCGAGACCAGCTTGGCCAACATGGTGAAGCCCCATCTCTACTAAAAATACACAAATTAGCCAGGCATGGTGGCCAGCTCCTGTAATCCCAGCTTCTCAGGAGGCTGAGGTAGGAGTTTGAACCTGGGAGGTAGAGGTTGCAGTGAGCCAAGATCGCATCACTGCACTCCAGCCTGGGCAGCAGAACAAGACTCTGTGTGAAAAACAAAACAAAACACCAGTTATTCAAGAGGTACAACTAAAATATTTTGGTAAGCTTTGATCTAATCTGATATTTTCCCTTTACCAGGAAAAGGAACCAAATAGTTGTTATGATGGTTAATTTTATGTGTCAACTTGACTGGTTCATGGGGTGCCCAGATATTTAGTTAAACATTATTTTTGGTGTGTCTGTAACAGTCTTTCTCGATAAGATTGAATTTGAATTAGTGAGTAAAGCAGGTGGTCTTCCTCAATGTGGGTGGGCAGCCTTCAATCCACTGACCACCTAAAAAGAACAAAAAGGTAGAGAAAGGGATAAATTTTTCTCTCTGCCTGACTGCTTGACCTGGAACATTGGTTTTCTCTTACTCTTGGACTGGAAATTACACCATTGCCTCTCTTGGGTCTCTAGCCATGGCAGATTACTGAACTTCTCATACTCCATAATCATGTGAGCCAATTCCTTATCCTCTGTCTCTCTCTCCCCATGTGTATTAGTCTGTTCTCACCCTGGTAATAAAGACATACCCAAGACTGAGTAACTTATAAAGGAAAGAGGTTTAATTGACTCACAGTTCACAGATTGCAAGGCGGGAGGCCTCACAATCATGGTGGAAGGTGAAGAGCAAAGTCACATCTTACATGGCAGCAGGCAAGACAGCTTGTATAGGGGAACTCTCCTTTAAAAAACCATCAGATTTCATGAAACTTATTCATTATCATGAGAATAGCATGGGAAAGACCCACCCCCATGATTTAATTACCTCCCACCAAGTCCCTTCCATGACACATGGGAATTATGGGAGCTACAATTCAAGGGAAATTTGGGTGGGGACACAGCCAAACCATATTACCATGTGTGCACACTATTGGTTCTGTTTCTCTGGAGTACCCTAATACAATGTCTATGTCATTTACTGAAAATCACACACCCAGTTAGTGCTAGAGGTACTAGGACCCAGGTCTCCCTGAGAGACCCCAGTCAGGAACAATGAGCACATTGAATCCACAAGACGGAGCAAGCCTAAGCCTTGCAAGCTAGAACCACAGGGGAAGTGCCCTGGTGGTGGTGGAACTGGGTTGGGTATTGAGTGACAAGGAGGATTAGACAGGACAACTGAAGCTCAGGGCATTCCAGAGAGTGCACCAAACATTCCAGATAGGACCTGCTGTCACTACTGCATTGCTCTTATATTTGCCGTAATAGATGGAACCAAAATACAGCAAAATACTTCCATTTTGTGCAAGAAAAGCATAATCCAATTAGGGGAAAGTACTACATTGCATTACAAATACACTTTATAAGGGATTTGGGTTTAGGTTTTTTAGCCACACATTCATGCTGTGATATTATGAATACTATCCAGTCACCTAACAGGATAGAGTTCTCTTCTCTCTCTTCTCGCTTGTGCTTGAGTACGTGATCATTAATTGCTCTTGTCCTCTGCATATGACTTTGCTTTCAGAGTGTATTGATTCAGCTAAGATTGAGGAATAAGCCAGAAGCTTTTTAGGAAATTACAAGGGCAGGGTAGTGAACAAAGATTTGTTTACCAATATTAATTACATAATGTTGTGAAGATGCCGTGTGGAAGTCATGTAGATTAGGAGTAGAGGAATCGCACAGAATGTCAGAATAAACTGATGACATGTCTGAACAAATGATGAGCGTTGCCCAAGCCAGAATTCCATTATACCTGATGTGTTCTTAGTCTCCAGCATGACAAATGGGTCTTTTGTTCCTGCATTGAGTATTCACACTAAGCAAGGAGAGTACATTTAAACACGAAGAGAGAAAAATCAAAGAAAATAAATTAAGGAAGGAAAAGTTAAAATGTATAATATGTCTTTAGATTGGAGGGCAAAGGGGCCTTCTATTGAAATTTTGAGTATGATATTCTTGCTCCTTAATTTAATTTCCCCCTAAATGGACACAAATTTAGTGCTGGGTTGACCACTCTGGAGGGGGTTATTCCCTCCCCCTCTCCTTACAACAGGGATAATGCAGAATTTGTCAGAGGTCTTCTCTCTCCATATCTCTCTTCAATTTGTTTTTGCTTCAGGTTCCTCCCTACTCTTGTAATTTAAAATATGCACATTTTTTAGAGAGAACGTTATCTTTTTTTCTCATTTAAATTTGTTAGCCCTACTTCCAGAGATCAGAGGCATTGGTTAGCAGGTGTAAGACATGTCCTTGCTGTGGCCAGTATCCCCTCTCTAATGAAATTTACATGGGATCATGAAAAACAGGTGTTTTAAAAGTTCTCTGCAACTTCAGTCCCATTTTTTGAAGCCTCAGGTTAACCTCCGGAACTTTGTTAGCCCAAATCTTACAGTTGGCGTCTCCTTAGATGTAGCAGTCTGTTTCTTCTAAACCTGCTGCTTTCTCTCCAGGCTGGATCCTGCTTCTTTCCTCCCCGCCTAGAGAAGCAACGTGCTTCTTGCTTCTGGGAACAGAGCAGAAGTGAACTGCAGCGGGGTTGGTGTTCAGCTTCCACTCCACACATCTCTAGCTGACTGATTTACAGAGACTCAGTTCACAATGGCTGTCCTGGGACCAATAAAGACTTTTAAAGAAGGGGATTATGGAGAAGGAATGGCCCGGTCTTTTCCGTGAGAATTTGTCTGTCCTCCAGAGAGGGTCTGAGTTTCACAGGATGGTAGGATCATGGCTGCACATTGCAGCTTTCTGGATAATGGACTGTAGGGTTCCCCAGGCAGGACTGGAAAGGGCTGGGTGGGGGCAGTTTGGCAGAGAGGTCATAAGGCATTGGAGGAGACCTTAAGTGATGGAAAACATAACACCTGTCCTCCAGGAAAGCAGAGTCCATTGTAGATAGGCAGTAAGGTCACAAGGAAGGGGAGAAGAAATAACTGTAAGTCACTAAAATGGTAATATGATAGATGAATATCATGGGCAACAATTGTGAAAGCATTCAGAGGGGAAACATTATTTCTTTCCAGAATGTTCTTGGAAAAGTTTCAGAGAGAAAGTAGAACATGATTTGGAGTTCAAAGAGTCAGTGTTAAATCAACTTAAAAATTAAGACATTTGAGATATAAAAAAACATTTTTAATGTAAAAATCTTCCAATAAAACAAAACCATGACCCTATCTATCATGAATACAAAGCAACTACTTTTATGTTGCCTTTCAATCTTGGACTCTATATTTCAGAGTTATAGTGTGCAACCAGTAATATATTGTGCTTTTTCTCCCATATTGTTTTGGTAATAAAAAGAGAAAAAAGCAAAATTAACCAATCTGTTATGTATTTCAAAATGTAAACAAATGCCTGGTCATAGCTACAAGGAAGGCCTACTGAATTGATCCAATGGTTAACTCTATATACAGAATCGCTGGAATCACATTTTTATCCTATATATATTTTGAATATATTTTGTAGATACTTCCATAGATGTACTGGATATGGCAATGTAAAATAGAGTGATCAAAGCATTCTGTTTTTGTTTTTGTTTTTTCTGAGACTTTTCTGGTTTCAGCACTGAAAGCTCTCCATTCAGCAACTCCCTTTTCCTCAGCCTCCCAATCCCAGCAAACTGGGACTGTTGGTCATTCTATAAAAAGACTGTGGCCTCGGGGAGATTACAGTGTGGTAGAGACAAGACTGTTAAGAGTGTAATTGGGATCTTATAATGATGAGCCAGGCAAAGACATCCTAGAGGAAGTTACATTACCTTCTTAGAGGAAGGTTGGACTTCCTCTGAGAAAAGTTAGGAGAAGAATCACCTTAAATACATTACATCTGGAGACACACCCAATGTGGGAAGTCAAGTCATAATCTTAAATTACTATTGACTCTAGATTCAAGGTAAGGAGTTCATGAAGAGTGACTATAATGTTTAGTTATGGTAGAACTTTCCATAGGACACATTAGTAAAACTGCCTATCAGTTTTAATTCTGTAATAATAAAAAGTTTTTTTGTTTTAATTTTCTGTATTGGTAACAAATTTTGCAAGTTTTCAATTATTGAAAAAAGTGTTAATTTGTGGGTCACAATTTATTTAACTGACTTCATATTTTTCTGACCTTTCCTCATGTCCCTGACAGTTCCACACATTTATTTCTGAAAAATTAGGGACACAGGACTTTGATCTTCCCTTTGTTTTACTATGCTTAAGAAAGGGTGACAATCTTAAAGGATTCCTCTTGCTATGGTTTGAATGTGTCCCCCAAAGTTCATGTATTAGAAACTTAATCCCCAATGTAACAGTGTTGAGTGGTGAGGCCTTTAAGAAGTGATTAGATCTTGAGTACTCTGCCCTCATGAATTGGTTGACGCGTTTATTGCAGGAGTGGGGTCCTGATAAAAGAATAAGTTCTGCCGCCTTCCTTTTTCTCTTGTTCTCTCTTGCATATGCTCTTTTCCCTTCTGCCTTCTGCCATGGGATGATGCAGTAAGAAGGCCCTCACTAGATGCCTGTCTCTCTTTCTTGTACTTCTCAGCCTCCAGAAACATTAGCCAAATAAATTTCTGTTCTTCATGAATTACCCAGTTTCAGGTGTTCTGTTATAGCAGCAAAAAGTGGACTAAGACAACCCTCATGAAGCTAATGTGGCTCTTTAAGGACAGAATGCTGGAGGGCACTGCATCTCCTCAGGCCTGGATAAATGCTGTCCAAATCTTTCCCTGAGGACATCTCTTTTCTTTCTTTCTTTCTTTCTTTCTTTCTTTTTTTTTTTTTTTTTTTTTGAGACAGAGTCTCGTTCTGTCCCCCCAGTCTGGAGTGCAGTGGCAAGATCTCGGCTCACTGCAAGCTCTGCCTCCTGGGTTCACGCCGTTCTCCTGCCTCAGCCTCCCAAGTAGCTGGGACTACAGGCGCCCGCCACCACACCCGGCTAATTTTTTGTATTTTTAGTAGAGACGGGGTTTCACCGTGTTAGCCAGGATGGTCTCAATCTCCTGACCTCGTGATCCACCCACCTCAGCCTCCCAAAGTTCTGGGATTATAGGCGTGAGCCACCTCTTATATTCCACATGGGCCATACCCCATGTCTATTGAAATGCTGTCTCTTCAGATATGTTAATACCATTGATTAAGCTACAGCTTTCTTATGTACTCAGACTTTGATTAGATTTTCCCAGTTCTTTTCTTTTTGTCTTTGGGCCTGAGAAATATTCTACAATGAGAGCTGGAACAGACTAAAATCATCCATTAGGATTTTACTAATGAAGCTCTCAGAGATTGCAGGGGTATTTCACAGGTTCCCCTGTGTTTTCAATATATTTCTCTATTGATGTTCTCTCCCCAAATCCAAAAAGAGGATTTTATGTGGTTGGTGCCTCCTTAGGCTTCCAATAGAGTACCTACCCCTGAGCAGGAACAATGCCATCAGCCCCAATGGGGGGCTTAGAAGTAGAAGTTATCTTTACTCCCAAGAACCTGACTTTCAAAAGCTGTCATTATGCATTATTTATTTCCAAATGAAGGATAGAAAAAAAAAGTGTTTAATTCCAAGGAGAGATAATGTTTTTGTGTAATCCGAGAATACTTAATGGAGGAAGATACTTGATCTGGATTTTCAGAACCAGAGAGAGTGGATCTCACAGTAGAAATTGCTATTTCCTTTATTAGCATACTGTCACTAGTAATGTTAAGGTCTGGCAGTATTTTCCTTTACAAATGTGTTTTATATACTATTCAAGACTTCACATCAAGCCTACTAACCCACTAAAAGAGGCCTTCAGAATGTCCTTCAAACAGGCACACCCCTGACCTGGAATGGATTACAACTAGTAATCTGAGGCGAAAGGTTTGCTTCTCCATGTCTGTCTAAGCTAATGAATGTACCTCTGTGGCCAGCCTGCCACTGTGCCATTTATACAACAGCATCTTCTAAAGAGAGGATAATATATAATGGCCTCTTGGACAGAGTAGTGTGTGGGGCATGGAAATTTAGTAGGGAGCTGGGAACAAGAAAGAAAGGCTCTCAGGATGGAGATCAACTGATTAGATTACCGATCTTGCAAACTATGGAGTCAGGCACAAATACAACTTTACCACTGCATAAATAATAGATCATGAAGGAGAATGCGCTACATTTTTTCAAAATTAAGTTTTCATTGATGCCCATGACTTCCGAAGAGTAAAAATGCAGCTAAGACAGATATTTGTTTTGTGGATGAATAAAATAAAATTTCAACTGGGAAAAAAATTAATAATAGAATAAATGCAAGTTTAATGTCTAACAAGACATACAGTATGTAATTAAACTCAACTTTATCAGCTCCAACATTCATTAATGGATTCAAAGCCTGGGGAGCTATGAAGTTCTTTAAGAGGCAATCAATAACCCATTACAATTGTGACATAAACTCTGAACCCTAACGACCAGCGACAGAAGAGTTGTGGCCTATTTAATGAGATAGTAGTAGTATTAAAGGTGAGCAAACGTATGTGAGGGTTAAACCGCACTGGCTTTTATTTCACCCAAACTTACACCTTCATTTTTCCTTTGCAATACATCTAGGAAAAATGCTAATTAGAGCTGTTCATTGGACCATCTTGTTCTTTCTAACCTTGAACTCCAGGTTTGTTCCTTCTGAAAAGTTTGCTGTTCAAGTGCTCTGAAAAGTGGATCTTTTAATTTTATGGGATTTTACAATATTTCCACTGAATGTTTCCTTTTTTCAGCGGTCTTGTGAATTGCCTTTACCATTCTTTCTTTTAATGCCCTTTAATTGACTCTGAGAGAATCCTGCTCCCTACAGGCATTTTCACTGGGATCTTTGGAGTGTCATTGTCATTGAACACTTTATATTGAAGCTTCCCCGTGCCTGCTCTACTAGAACAGATTTGAAAATACCAAGTTTAGTACATGTTATTACCCTATGTTTCTGATGTTACCTACTATCTTACTTTCGGCTCTCCAGAAGGAAACCCTGAGACAAGATTTGATGCAAGAAGCTTATTTGGGAAGTCAAGAGGCCACCAACAGGGATTGGGGAAGTAAGACAGTCAAGGAGAAATGTGGTCTAACAAATACATATGCTCTTGGTCCCAGGTTCCCTGCACAGAGCTCCTAAAACCCTTGGAATTTCCTAAGTGATACTAGTATCTTTTATTATTCACTAGAAGCCCTTTTTGGTCACATATGAGTTCATGCTAATGGGGTGACTTAGGAATAGCCTCAGGATGGAAAGGGTCACCAGAAAGACAAGTGATTAGAAGGCAGAGGAGGTGCTGGAGATTACGCTGTACAAAAACTCTTTTCGTTTGTTGGTTTGTTTGCTTGTTTTGAGACAGAGGGTCACTCTGTCACCCATGTTGGAGTGCAGTGGCATGATCATGGCTCACTGCAGCCTTGATCTCCTGGGTTCAAGCCATCCTTCCACATCAGCCTTCTGAGAAGCTGGGACTACAGGTGCACATCACCATGCCTAGCTAATTTTTAAGTTTTTCTATAGAGATGGGGTCTCACTATGTTGACTAGGCTGATACAAAAACTCTTGACCAAGGGGATTTGAAAAATTTGGGCCTGGAAGGGTGATGTGCCCAGAGAGGGCACAGAAGCTCTACGCTGCCCCTCCCTACCTCTATACTTTGCCCTAGACATCTTTTCCATCTGTCTGTTCTTCCATTGTATTCTTTATCATAAATTTAGGTACACCTAGGTAAAGTGCTTTCCTGAATTCTATCAGCCATTCTAACAAATTATTGAACCTGGGGAGGGGGTTTTGGGAACCTCCTATTTAGAGCCAGTCAGACTGATGTGTTGGTACCTGGGACCTCCTACTTGCAGCTGGCATGTGAAATGGGAAATCAGTCTTGTGGGGCTGGATCCTTAATCTCTGTGGTCTGCACTAACTCAGGGTAGATGGAATCAGAATTGAGTTAAATTGTAAGACATCTTGGTTTCCAGGGATTTGGAGAATTGGTTGGTGTTGGAAAACAGTCCAGAGGAAGGTAGTCACTAAAGAAGGGTGCTCAGCAAACCAGATTTACCATGGCCCCTTGGAGCTTAATTCTGCTGGGGAAACTTAATTCTGCTGTGGAGGCCAGGGTAGAATATACACCCAAAAGTCCTGTCACCCAGTGGGCAAAGGAGCTCGGTATTTTTATACCAATTCCTGTTGGTCATTGGTTGAGGACTGCTCTAAAGGTGTATTAATTCCCCGGTACTTCTCATCTGCCACTTGGGTGGCAAAGAGTGCTCAGAGCTCAGAGAACACCCTCAGTATTGGCAATTGGAAGTCAGGCTGCTGTGCACTAGTGTGGTAGGGGAAGGGGCGTGAGAGATCACCCAAAACTCTACCCCATATACCATTGGTAGACCTTCTGCCTGAGCCTCCTCTTATAGTTTGGATATTTGTCCCCACCCAGATCTCATGTTTAATTGTAATCCCCAATACTGGAGGTGGGGCCTTGTGGGAGGTGTTTAGATCACGTGGGTGAATCCCTCATGGTTTGGTGCTATTTCATGATAGTGAGTTCTTGAGAAATCTAGGTGTTTAAAAGTGTATGTCACCCCCACCCCCCAACACTCTCTTGCTTACTCCTGCTTTCTCCATGTGATGGGCCTGCTCCCCCTTCGCCTTCCACCATGACTGTAAGCTTTCTGAGACCTTTTGAGAAGCCGAGCAGATGCCAGCACTGTCTTCCTGTAAAGCCTGCAGAACTGTGAGCCAATTAAACCTATTTTCTTTACAAATTACCCAGTCTCAGGTATTTCTCTTTATATCAATGCAAGAACAGCCTAATGCACGTCCTTTAGTACATGAAGGCTATAGGACCTTGATTAGAATTTTACATTCCTAGCAATGCTTGTTGTCCTGTTAGACATTTAGATTTACACTGAATATTAGTAGCTGGAGAAATGGGCTTAAAGATAGCTATAGAAATATAATAGATGAGAACTTGGAAGGAAGGAAGCTTAGTGTTGTTATATGAGAAGATGTGGGGAGAAGATGCTTTTACTGACTGTCCCTGGAGATTTTTTAGTGGCGCAGAGGTCATTTGACAACTTCTGGTGGCATCCAAGTGTCAGAATTAGGTAATAGCCTAGGATTAGACTGGGTATGGGAGGGTGCAAGATGTGGTGTGTGTGTGTGTGTGTGTGGGTGTGTATGTGTACCTGTGTATGCCAGAGCATGTGTGATACAAGCACATATACTGGGAGACAGACTCAGAACTCCAAATCTGACATCATGTGTTTTGTTTAAGTTTTGCATGAGTCTAAACACCCTAATGCAAACCATTATTCCCCTTTCCCTTGTTCTAAAACACTATGCTTCAGTTTATTTTCAAACCACAACCTGTCTCGAAAGACCAAAAGATTCCAAGTAAATGGTATTGTTTTAATGAAGAAACAGAAGGACTCCTTAAGGAATTCAGCTGATTATCCTGAACATAACCCATGAGGCTTTTCTGTGATCTCAGTTTTCTCTTTAGCAGTGCTATTTTGGGGAGGAAAATCAGCATGTGTGAGGTTAGAGTTCCAGACTGAGTTAAGAGTGAGAAAAATCAGATTTAGCTTTTCAGCCTGGATTTTTCAATTGTCTCTTTTTGGGGCTATCAGTGCTTATGGTGGCAAATCCTGCAATTGCGTATGCTTACCTAAGTCATCTAGATAGGAACATGTATAGATTACATTGTGCATATGCATGCAAATGGAATCACTTTAGTATCTGGAAGTTTCTTTTGTTTTGATTGAGCTCTCATCCAAAGTATTTTTTCCCATTCGTTTTCTGCTTCTCAAGGACCATTTGTATATCTTAAACTGATTTTATATGCAATAGTCCTGTGGATGCTAATTAGAAAATCATCAGCTTTTGTAGCCTTTTGGAATCTCTTAGGAAATTAACATAATTGGCTATTTCTTGCATTTTGAAATTTCACACACTTGGTGAAGTTCACATTCATCTTGCATTGATTGATTATTCCTCAATTCCACACCCACCCTGCTCTTTATACCTAATAGCTGTTCAAAAAATCTTGGTTGAAATAAATCCATCATTTACGTCTTTCAAAGTCAGTCCTTCAGTGTGTCTAATGAATACTCTAGAATGTTTCAAGACAGTCAAGAAACAATCAAGCTGTACTTGTTTACCAGTGTCTTTCAATTGCAAAGATCTATAAGTCCCACTGCAGACTCAGTTTACCCAGTTTGTGATTCAGTCTCTATTCAAGTAGGCAGTTATAATGTTAGCCAAAGGGGTAGAGTGAATTTTGGGATTAGACTTATTGCTCCAGATTTGGATCTGTTTTGCCTGGGGTGGGGGTGCATGTCCACTAAGCCTCGGCATGCCCTTCCCATGGTGGCCTAGGATGTACGGCTGTGACTTTGCCTTAATTTCCTTCCCTAATTGGTACTCAGTTCCCTACTGAAAATGCAACCTGTGTGGGATCCAGTTTGCTCAGTTGAGGCCCTGATACCTTACTTAAATCAAGCTAGCTCTTTCTCCTAGGAGCTGAATCATACACAGATAACTCAAGACCACTGTCTGTAGTTCTCCTGTGAATGTGCTTGTCACCCACAGCTATTCTTCTGCCACACACTATACCTGAAGAATTTGTCATCACTTAGACCTATGACATTGTATTGTCCTGCTTAAATTTGATCACCTCGGTTTTCTGTTTTCCTTAGCCATTCATCCATCTACCCATCCAATTGTTTATTCATTCACTCCCTTACCCTTCTGTGGGGACCATTATGCCTTATGCACAATTCCAAAATAGATTCTACATTTTTGGACCTGAACTTTAGATTGTCAATTACTGCACCAACCATCAATTTTACATCTAGTCGATTTCCCTTATCTCTTGATTTTCACCCAGACTAAACTTCTCCTCCTTAACAATGCAGTTATAGAAGTCCTTATTTGTCTTACATCCAAGCCTACCGCAGTTTTTTTGTTTGTTTATTTTGAGACAGAGTGTCACTTTGTCACCCAGGCTGGAGTGCAATGGCATGATCTTGGCTTACTGCAACCTCTACCTCCCAGGTTCGAGCAATTCTCCTGCCTCAGCCTCCCGAGTAGCTGGAATTACAGGCGTGCACCACCAAGCCTAGCTAATTTTTGTAATTTTAGTAGAGATGGGGTTTCACCATATTGGCCAGGCTGGTCTTGAACTTCTGACCTCAAGTAATGCACCCTCCCTGGCCTCCCAAAGTGCTGAGATTACAGGCGTGAGCCACCACGCCACTCCCGGCTGCCTACTACAGTTTTAATAAGGGCTCCTCTCACTTTGGCCTTTCTATTCCATCTATTCTTGCTGAGTACATCCTATTATTTCTTTATAACTTATATGGAAATTGGGGTTGAGAATTAAGTTTTGTATCCTCAAAGGAAGAATAAAATTATATAAGTTTATTTGCTGGACAAATGCATATTCTGTGTGAGGCACGGTGGGAAACAGTGAACGAGACAGACTGGACTCCTGTTCTCATGAAGCTTATACTCTAGCAAGGGAAACATTCATTAAATAAGGAGAGTCAATCCCTCATTTTTTGTGGATTCTGTATTTGCAAATTTGTTTACTCACCAACATTTGTTTGTAAGCCTAAAATCCATACTCACAGCCCTTTCATAGTCATTCAGGGACATGCACAGAGCAGCGCAGAATTCAAGTTGTTGCAAGCTGAGGTTGAACAAGGTGATGCTCTACCTTCTTGTTTCACCTCTCAGAATGTAAAGAAGTATCCTTATTGTGGTAGATTTAGCACCATGTTTTTTTGCATTTTTATATACAAAATGCAAAATTGTGGTGATTTTGCTGTTTCAAAGGACCCCCAAATGTAGTGCTGAAGTGCTGTCTAGTGTTTCTAAGCACAAGAAGGCTGTGATGTGCTTTATGGAGAAAATATGTGTGTTAGATAAGATTCACTGAATCATGAGTTACAGAGCTGTTGGCCGCATGAGTTTGATGCTAATGAAACAGCAATATATAGTAGATACTGTGTCTTTAAACAGACACAGGCATCAGACAAAGTCATGAATTGAGCTGTTGATGAAACTCTCCTAACCAGAGGCTTGCAGGAACCCAATCTTGTATTTGCTAATTTAGTGTTCACAGTGACTTTGTAGAACCTAAGGACTGTGAATAGCAAGAATGACTGTAATTAAATGAATAACTCTTTAATTGCTAATATGATAAGTGCTACACATTAATAGCACTCCGTACCACAACAGCATCTATAGAGGAACTTATCCTGACCTTAGAGGTTAGGAAAGGCTTCCCTGAGGAAGTGGGGTTTCCCCTGTGATGTGAAAGAGATGTAGGGATTAGCTGAGTTGAGAGTAGGAGGTAGGGAATTTCAGACAGAGGGAACAGCATGGGTAAAAGCCCTGATGTAGGAAAGAGTGTGATTCATTGGAGGAATAAGAGAAGGCCCCCATGAGAAGATGATTGTGTGTGGGGTGGGGAGGGGAGGGTACAGGGGAGAGTGGTAAAAAAGAGAATAAAGCTGTAGACATGGACAGAAGACAGTTCATAGAGGACTCTGTGGGCCAGGTTAAAAATCTAAACTTTATTAAAATAGCCATGAAAAAATACTGATGGGTTTTCACTAGAGAACTGATAGTTCCTTCTGCTCTGTGAAGAATGGATTAAAGACAGGGAAAGTGAATAAGGGGACACCTGGCAGGAATCCAGACAGGGGATGACAATGGCTTGAGCTGGGGTTTGAATTAGGGTGTGACCATGGATATGGAGAGGAGGAGACAGACTCATAATAGATATTGAAAGTAAAAACGGTAACATTCAGTGAGTGAGGAGACATGGAGGATGAGGGAAAAGGAGAAGTCGAGGATAATCATGGCGGCAGCAACTGAGTACTTAATGATATAATTTATGAGAAGGGGAACTCTGGAAAAGGAACACCATTAGAGAGAATATAGTACATTTTGTTTCCAAAAATGGCTGCAACGGTATCTCCCACCTCACCTGCTTTTTTTTACAGTGTGACCTTACCACTCTCCCACTAAGAGGCAGAACTTATTTCCCTTCCCCTTGAATCTGGGCTGATCCTGTGGTCTGCTTTGTCTAATAGAATATAGTGGAAGTGATGCTTTATAGCTTCTGAGCCTGATATTTAAGAGAATTGCAACTTCTGCCTTTGTTTCTTGAAATGTTCCTCCTTGGAATCCAGTTGCCATCTTTGAGGAATCTCAAGTGGCTACACGGAGATGCTAACATGAAGGAGAATCAGAACCCATGGCTGATAATCCCAGCTGGCCTCGAGCTGGAAGCCAGCATGGACTGTCAGCTATGTGAATCTTGGACCTTCCAGCCTTCTCAGCACCCTAGCTGCACTACGTGAGCGGAAGAACCATCCAGGTAACCTACAGAAGCATGAGAAACAATAATTTGCTGCAATAGATTCTAAAACAGAGTATGTAGGAATTCAGTTTTGGACATGTACATGAAATGTTGTGGGGCACTCAGATGAAGATGACTGTTAAGGAGTTGGTTATAAATATCTAGAGCTGAGAAGTGAGATCTGGGTCAGAGATATACATTTGAAAGTTGCTAGTGCTTAAATCATATTTGTAACCATGGGAGTTGCTAAAAATCTGTTGAGACTGTAGAGTGAATAGAAAAGCAATATAGAATTAGGACTGGGACTGAACTTTGAAGAATTCTAGCTTTGAATGGCCGTGTTGCGAGGAGGTGCCCTCATTGGAGATTAAGAAGGAGCAACCACAGTTTTCTTGTTATCACAGAAGCCAAGAGAGGAGAGGAGACTACTTCCAGAAGGAGTGTGTGCTCCATAGTAGTATCAGAGGCAAGTGAGAAGTTACAGAACATGAGTTTGAAAAGTTTCCATTATTGATTAAGAAACACGGTGGTCATCGATAATTCATCTAAGTAAATTTCCAGAGAGCTCTCATTTACTTTTTACAGTGCTGACGACATTTTTGTTTTAACCATTTTAATGATAATAGCTTACATTGCATACTTTGTGTATGCCAGGCACTGTGTAGGATTCTGCATCTACATTACATCATCTTTGATTTAACCATAACAATTACATGTATTTTTGAGGCAACTGAAGCTTAGGGAAATTAAACGAGTTCCCTAAAATTATTCAGCTAGTCGGTGGCTACGTGCCCTTCCTCCCCGCCCCACCTAATCTACTGCTGTAAGTCTGTTGAAGGAAAGAAAGCCACATTATTGTTAATTGTTTTAGGTACAGTGATGGTCATTTTTATGGGAGTCTTTTTGGAGCTTATATCTTTTAGAAATACAAACTGAAATATTTACAGTTGAAGTTTTATATCTTACATATGCGTCAAAATAATCTAAGTGGTAAAGAGGGAGTCATTATACCATACTCTCTATTTTTCTATAGTTTGAAATATTCTATAATGGCAAGTTGTTTTATTTTAAAGTGTCTCAGTGAGGTTCTGAGGTCTACCCAGTGAATAAAGGTACAAGGGCTTTGCGTTAGCTATTTTAGGTACTCAGAGTTTTATTTCTGGTAGTTTTTCTCTGATGTTGTGGATAGCGAGTGGTCTAGATAAATGGTCACTGGACATGGGAGGAACTATTAAGTCCTCCATAAAGCCTGCAAAAATAAGGTAACAAACCTTCATATTTTGATTTACTGAATAATTGTGAACGGTGACGTTCATCATCACTCAAAAGGCTTAGCAGCATTTGTGAGATGACAATTAATTAGCAGGATGGCTTTATGAAATGCATGTTGCTTTTCATTGCTATGGCCCATTTTCCTTGTTTAATGCAAACTTGGAGGCTCTTAAATGCATCCTCAATCTTTCTGGATTTGTTGTTGCATGGTTCCACAGACATTTTCCCCTAGAGACATGGTAATTTTGCAACTTTTAAATATTCAACACAATTCTAATTATAAATAGTTCTCTTTCAAAAGCGATAGCCAGACACTTCGCACAAACCACATCTTGTTATATTGGAAAAGGATGACAGCATAATGACTGATGATATGTGTTAGATTCTCTCATTTCTCTTAATTAGAATTTTCTCTGCATTATCATGCTTTGTAACTAACCAGCTTATTCCTGACAGTGGTTAATGTGATTAGGAATGGTTTTAACTTTGTATTTCATTTGGAGAAACAGCCCAGCCATTCTGTCTGATAGCCTGTGTGGGCAGAGGAACAAATTTCTCCCAGTCCTCCAATATTTCTGTTCTGCTTGGGCTGGTCTGGTCAGGATATGAGAAGAGACCAGGGGAATGGGAGCATGTTTTGTGCTGTCAGAAAGAGAGAGATACTTGCAAAAGGAAGAAGAGTGTAGCCTTGGTACAGAAGGCAATGAGAAGGTTAGAAAGGGTGACCATATGGAGCCATAAATCAGTAGCTACCCAGGCAACAAAGCTGACTCTGTACATCTGGTATGTGACGCACCAGTTACTTATTGAGCACCTGCTGTGAGCACAACCCGGCCATCACCACTGTTGGGGAGTACAAAATACTCCAGAGACCTTTTCTTTGCCTTCAACTCTAGTTGGAGGCAGACTTCTACAACTTAACATCCTCCTTCAAGACAAGGACTCATCTCTTCGGTTCCTCCTCATATCCCATTGCCTGGTACGAGGTTTAGCTCACAGTAGTTACCCTTAATAAATGATTCGCTAATAAATGAATGAATGGATGAATATAATAACATGAGAATAGTTACAGGGTCACTTACAAGAGATCTAATAACCCACTTTAAACTAAATATGTAAATGCCAATAGGGTGGTCATAGAATAAAGGAATATCAGAGCAGCATGAGGTTCTGCAAAAAGATTTCAGGCTTCTGACAAGCCTGTGCTGGTTTCCACTTCCTCAGTCTCCCCAGACAGGGTAAATTAAGATGACGGCCCTGATGGTTAAAGTGCCCAGGTCCCACTCATGGAACATGCATGCCAGCAAAACTTCTGGAAATTATCCCTCAAGGTAAGTGAGAGGGTGTCTGGTAGATACAAGAAGGTGAGTGGGTTTCACCTCCTAATAAGTTGCACAGACATTCCTGGGCCTGGGACACCTGAGAGAGGAGATCGTGCAGCCTTACAAGGGTCCCAGGTGAGCTGGATGCAGAGTACAGGTGGATTTTATGATATCTGTTTTTTGACTGTGCTGTGGCCAATCCTGAACCTTTTGAAACATAAGGAGACACAGTGTCCCAGAGGTCAGTCATTACAGAGTCCTGGAAAAAGGGATTTCTGAGCCTTCTACTCACGATTTGAGAGAGAGATCTGTGGCAGCTTTATCTGCATTATCCTGGAAAATTAAGAGAAGATACTATGGTTTGCCTTTAGCTCACAGATTGCTTGCTATCAGCAAAGTGAAGACTTTGGGAGGAGCTGAAAACATAATTTTTGTTTGGGGATGCTCCTCTGAATTCAGCAGAATACCTGACTTGAAACAAATATTTGGATTATCTGTGGGGTTGCTTTATCTAGAAATCCACATATTTGTGCTTCAGACTAGTGGTATATATGAAAAAAAATAATTCAGCTAGAGAATTTATGAGGAACACCCTTCCGTCCTTCTCTTCCCCACACACAGATATTCAGGAACGTTTTTTTCTTCTTCCAGTGAATATGTGAACGTTTTGCTAAGTAGAACTTGTTAATTGCCACCACATGGCCAGACCTCTTCTTAGGGAAGAATATCATTGTTATGAACTGAATTGTGTCCCCCTAAAATTCATAGGCAGAACTCAATGTGACTGTATTTGGAGATAGGGCCTTGAAGGAGGTAATTAGGGTTAAAGGATATTATAAGAGTGGGTTACTAATCTAATAAAACTAGTGTCCTTAGAAGAAGAGGAAGATGCCAGGATGCCTGTGCACAGGGGGAAGGCTGGGTGGGGACCCAGCAGAAAGGAGAACATCTGCAAGCCAGGATGAGAAGCCTCACCAGAAGCCAACGCTGCCAGTGCCTTGAGCTTCGATTTCCAGTGTTCAAACCTGGAGAAAATACGTTTCTGTTATTTAACCCGCCTCGTCTGTAGTATTCTGCTATGGTAGCCTCAGTGGATTAATACACTAAAAGTAAATAAATAACACATGGCTTCTGTGGTTAGCGGATTTACTGCAGTCAGTTGAGGAGAAAAAACAAATGTGGATAAAATGGAGAGAATATACTGTTATGTTGAGCAAAGCTGACAGTAATATAATAAATATAATATAATACAGACAGTAATATAATAACAAGAGCTTATTTTAATGATTAACTTACCATGTGTTAGTTTCATGTGAAGGGTTGAATTGTGTGTCCCCAAAAAGATATGTGGAAATCCTAACCCCTAGTAACTTTGTATGTGACTTTATTTGGAGATACAGTCATATAGAAATAATCACATTAAAATGAGATCATCAGAATGGACTCCAATCTTGTATGACTGATGTCGTACAAGGGGGAAATTTGGACACAGAAACAGACATGTGCAGAGAAAAGATGTCATGATGTCATGAGGACACACAGGGAGAAGATACCATGTGACTGGAAGAGGCATCTACAAACCAAGGAGTGCCAAGGACTGCCAGCAAACACCAGAAGATGTTTGGTTAGTGTTGTAGCAGGCAAGCTGCAGACAAAACCCCTCAGACACCGAGTTAAAGAAGGAAGGGCTTTATTCGGCCGGGAGCTTTGGCAAGACTCACGTCTCCAACAACCGAGCTCCCGAGTGAGCAATTCCTGTCCCTTTTAAGGGCTTAGAACTCTAAGGGAGTCCGCGTGAGAGGGTCGTGATCGATTGAGCAAACAGTGGGTACGTGACTGGGGGCTGCATGCACCAGTAATCAGAATGGAACAGAACAGGA
Organism: Homo sapiens; assembly: GCF_000001405.40. Lineage (NCBI taxonomy): Eukaryota > Metazoa > Chordata > Mammalia > Primates > Hominidae > Homo > Homo sapiens. The sequence continues at coordinate 3,646,740 of NC_000003.12, read as the reverse complement.
CAGGGATTTTCACAATGCTTTTCCATATAATGTCTGGAATCTATAGGTAACATAACCGGTTAGGTCAGGGGTCAATGTTTAACCAGGCCCAGGGCGCGGCGCTGGGCTGTCTGCCTGTGGATTTCACTTCTGCCTTTTAGTTTTTACTTCTTCTTTCTTTGGAGGCAGAAATTGGGCATAAGACAATACGAGGGGTGGTCTCCTCCCTTAGTGTAATCGCAATTTTTGCCATTACTTTCAATGGCAAAAACCACAATTACTTTTGCACCAACCTAATAGCAGCTACAAGGAAGGATTCTTTCCTAGAGTCTTCAGAGAGAGAGAGAGACAGAGAGAAAGAGCTCGGCCCCCCTGACATGTGATTTCAGATTTCCACCCTCCAGAACTGCGAGATAACACATTTCTGTAGTTTCAGCCACCTAGTTTTTGGTGCTTTGTTTCAGCAGTGCAGGGAAATGAATACAGCCTTGTTCTCAGAGCTGGACAGGGCAGCTTCCTTAGTCACTAATTCACCACAGATTTTAAGCTATCACTGGAATGATTTAGAAATTATAGTGCCAGTTCACTCAGGTTTCCTCACATGGGGTGAGCTGTCCTCACTGAAGTACTGAAGTGTCTCTAATGGAAAGAAAATAATATGAATAATATAAAACATCACTTGTCATTGACGAACTAATGCTGTATTTTTGTGATGCACACACAAGTTGTATAGTGACTACCTATAAAGTAGCTACTATTATTATCTTATTTTATAGCTCAGGAAATGAGAGTCAGAGAAATTCAATGATTTGCCTGACTTACCCTTGGTCTCACACCCAGTAAATCCTGCAGCTGGCATTCAAACTCAGGTTTCCTCTAGCTAGGTAGTGAAAGGTAGGATTTGGATAAATAGTGTAGGAAGTACTTCTGAGCTGTGAGACTAAACAGAATTATTTCCACTAGAGATATTTCCAGGCATAGCTAAAAGAGAGAGTCAAAAGTGTGCTTGGAGAACGAGGAGCCCAACATAACAGGACTGGCATGGATAAGACTTCAAGGTGGCCCGTTAGTTTCATGGAAGGTCAACGTTTCCCCATCCTTAGGAATTCCTGCTTCCAAGAATTGATTAGTGATAAGCAGACAATAGAACTTGACCCAAATCCATTTCACATGCGTTTCCCACTGAAACTGCCTTTCCAAAAATTATGACAGTGAAAGAAATCTGACCTAACTGACTCCATCTTTCTTTTAACCTTTAAACTACCCTTGTTCATTCCTGTGTGTTAGCCAAAGTAACTTTGGAAGGAATTTAGTTTGTAGTTTAACTTTGAAACAAAGAGTATAACAGCCCCTCCCCAAAACAAACTACCTCCTTACTTGGGGAGCAGACCACCTTTGTAAAACTGACAAATTAGCCACAGAATTAGAAAGTGTGGTCAGGAATCATGCAGCCAGAGACCATAAGATTCCTAACCTCACCAATTGCTCCTGCAGATAACATTGCTGTTGTAAAACCTAAGATCAGTGTCCAAGACAGTTTTCAGACCTTGCATTATGACAGACCAGCCGCTGCCACCCAGACTGGCAATCTGGCTCAACTAGTTCTGCAATCCCACCCAGGAACAGAAGAGAGCAAGAAGAACCTGCTCCAACCCCCTATGATTTCATCCCTGACCTAATTAATTGGCGTTTCCCATTTCCTAGCTCCCCACCTGCCAAACTCTCTGAAAACTCCTAGCCTCCACATTTTCAGGAAGGCTGAGCTGAGTAATAATAAAACTCTAGTCTCCCCTTTAGCCGGCTCTGTGGGTATTAAACTCTTTCTCCACTGCAGTTCCTCTGTCTTGATAAATCAGCTCAATTTGGGAGGTGGACAAGAGGAACCCACCCAGTGGCTACACCAGCATGAAATTCTGTGTCATCTTCTTGCCTCCTCTCTATACTCCTTATCTCTCAAGTTTCTCTGTGGCATGGGGGATAATGGAGAACATTGACCATATCAATCACATGGAAAATCCATGTGTCCCTTCTGAGATTTACATAGCAACACCTAAGCAAATAGGGAGTTTTCTCCAGAACTATTCAGTATTTTATAAACAAGTAGCAGTAACATCCATCATCTTTAAAATCTCCATTCATTAAGCACTGTGCTGTAGCAAAACAAAACAAAATGAAACGAACAAAAGAAACCCCAGAATACAATATAACATGGCAAGACAAAACAATAACAACTAACTTAATGCAGATATACTTAGAGCAAGACCATCCTGCTTTACAGAAATTCTGAGTTGTGGAGTATTTAACAAGAAATATAGCTTTATAGCAAAAGTCTCCAGCTAAATATGGGGCAGTCGAGTGTAGCCAAATGCAAGCCTAAGATTTCTTTACTAGGCAAGAGCAATTTGTCATTACCAAAGCAAGAGAAGAGGGGTAGCATTGAGTAGAAAAAGTGGTCATTTGTGATGGGATCATCTGGTGTGGGTTTCGCTGCTGTGTGGCTTTGGGGTCTCTTTGTCTCCCAGGGCCTGTGTTTTCATCTATAAAATGAGGAAATTTCACTAAAAATCATAAATTCCTCTTAAGCTCTATGTCCTGCCTTATAGAAATCAGTGCTTCTCAAGTGCCTAAAACTTCTTCAAAGTGGGCTTTTTATGATTTGAACCTCTTTAAGATGGGGAAGTATCTTCTCCAAGCATTACCTTTCGGCTTGGAAAACCCTATCTTGGTCCAATTTAAATTATGATAAATGCAAATCAATGACATCTAAATTAGAAAGGTCTTATGATAGTTGATCATACAAGAAGGCTTCGGTCATTATATTAATATGACTTTTCTCTAATCAGGTATTTCTCATGTCATATTGATAATTTATTCCTTGGCAAATGACTATATGTCTTACATTGTGAACCTGGTTATTTATGGTTGTATCGATATACAAGCCTAGGTCAACTGCTCGTATTATCATCCCAAACATAGAATATCTATGGAAGTCACTGCTACAGTCTTCTGGATTTCACATATTATCTACATGGAGTTCCTTTGGTACATATGTTAATTAGACATAAGACAGCTAATGACACCAATCATACTATTTGGAGAAAAGAGTAATGTTTCTTATCTCCTAATTCATCTACTCATCTGGTAGGGAACTTCTGTCCCTTCTCTTTCTATTCTTCCTATTCTTAAAAGTATTTATAATATTCAGCTTTCCTATAAAAGGATTCCCTATTCAATAAATGGTGCTGGGATAACTGGCTAGCCATATGCAGAGAATTGAAACTGGACCCCTTACTTATACCATATACAAAAATTAACTCAAGATGGATTAAAAACTTAAATGTAAAACCTAAAACTATAAAATCTCTGGAAGACAACCTAGGCAATACCATTCAGGACATAGGCATGGGCAAAGATTTCACGACAAAGGCGCCAAGAGCTATCCACCCATCAGTGTGGAAAATGCACAGAAGACAATTCTAATACCCTTCTATTCTCCTTCAGGGCTACCTTTCTGTTCTTCATAATGCTTTAGTCTGAATTCATTAAATCTATAATTTTTTAAAGACATTCATTCTCATTTCTGATATTAGCTAGCATTAATAATTAATACATGGGGCCTATCAGATACTCTACATAATTGCTTATTCTATCAGCCTTTGAGCTAAATTAGAAAAAAAAAGATGTTTCAAGTGAGAAGTGGTAAGTTAAAGGAAGCTAACTGAGGGACAAGTTAGAATGGTTTATAAAAGAACTATACTAAAGCTGAAATGAAAAAAAACTAAGTTTGAGGATTTTACTCCACTATTTACTATCTGGATGACTGAAGATAATTAATTTCTCTCAGTCTATTTCCTCATCTATAAAATATAACTAAATAATAAATACACAAAGATAAATAAATAATAACAATATGCTCATCCTCAAATTCTTAGTGCCCAGCACACAGTAAGTGTTCAAATAATGCCTGCTGAATGTCTGATCTTCACCATTTTATTGGTAAATAGAAAATAAGTATGGGGCAAGCATTTAGTGTTGTCAGCATCAATGAAAATAATAAATACAAAAACACCTCATGAACCATAAAGCACTGTACAAATGCAAGGGCTTTTAAAAACCCAAAGGAACATGATGGCTTTCCCACATAGAAGATATAAAATCCTAACCCACTCTCTCTTTTCCCTTCTGTTACAATACAATGGCAGCAACAGCAATTTCAGCATTGGGTTGTGAAACAAGTTACAGGAGCTAGGCTTCATGCCCCAAAGCACAAACAGGTGGAGATATAGGAGCATCTTCCTGACTCGGCAAAGGAAAGTTTTAAGAGCAATAAGCGAGAAGACAAAGCTTTTCAGAATTGCGCTGTGTTTCAGAGCTTCCCTCTGCCATCTCTGGGCCCTGGGAAAGGCAGTGTCAGGAAAGCACAGGGGAAACATATGGTGGGAGAACAGCATGCTGACAGCTGAAGCACAGTTTTATAATAACACATAAAAGTAACAGCTATGCTAGTTAAAACAGGATTACTTTAAAATATATGCATAGATACACACACACACACACAGACGTGTCTTGAAAACTGGGATACAGAGGCTGTCTGAAGAGGCAGCCAGAATCAGAGGAAGAGTTAGGAGTTTGCAAGCTCTTGTCTACAATGCTGACACACAGCATCGTTGGAAGCTGGGAGGGGGCCAAGACTCAGCCCTCCTCCTTCCCAGGGTCTTAACCAGTGGATGTGAGAAACTGACACAACACATCAGCTTTACCCATGGCTGGGCAAGCGCCCAGTGATCCTCAAATGCTGGGGTCTGGTAAATAATTTTTGAGAATGTAGCTTGGATTCAAGGTCACCAAACACCTTTTATTTCTTCCATAAGCCTGGATCTTGAGGTCAACCTGTGTGAAGGTATCTGAATCTGCAAAGGAAATTTGTTCCCCTGCCTGGCTGAACGGAAGAGCAGGACCTGCCCCAAACACCATCACCAGTAGAATGCAACCACAACAAAGCAACGGATGGGCTGGGGTTGTGTTTGTAATTTAGTTATTCCATCCTTTAGAAAATATGGCTCAACAAATGTTCCAGTTCTGACCAATCTGATTATTTATTCCCCCTAAAGTAGGGAAGAATAGGAAGAGGAGGGACAGAAGTTCCCTACCATATGGGTAGATGAATTAGGAGAAAGAAACATTACTCTTTGCCCCAAAAAGTATGATTTATGTCATTAGCTGCCTTATGTCTAATTAATATACATACTTAAGGAACTCCATGTAGATAATATGTGAAATCCAGGAAATTGTAGGGATTTCCATAGGTATTCTATAGTTGGGATGATAACTGCCAAAAGCAATTGCAACAAAAGCAAAAATTGACAAATGGGATCTAATTAAACTAAAGAGTTTCTGCACAGCAAAAGAAACTATCAATAGAGTAAACAGACAACCTACAAAATGGGAGAAAATTTCTGCAAACTATGTGTCTGACAAAGGTCTAATATCCCCACCTAAAAGGAACTTAAAGAAATTTACAAGAAAAAAACAATCCCAATGAAAAGTGAGCAAAGGACATGAACAGACACTTCTCAAAAGAAGACATACATGCAGCTAAAAAGCCTATGAAAAAAAGCTCAACATCCCTGATCATTAGAGAAATGCAAATCAAAACCACAGTGAGATACCATCTCACACTAGTCAGAATAACTATTATTAACAAGTCAAAAAACAGCAGATGCTGGTGAGGTTGTGAAGAAAAAGGAATGTTTATACACTTTTGTTGGAAGAATAAATTAGTTCAACCATTGTGAAAGACAGTGTGGTGATCCCTCAAAGAACTAAACAAAGAAGTACCATTCCACCCAGCAATCCCATTACTGGGTATATACCCAAAGGAATATGAATCATACTATTATAAAGACACATCCATGTGTATGTTAATTTCAGCACTATTCACGATAGCAAAGACATGGACTCAACCTAAATGCCCATCAGTGATAGACTGGATAAAGAAATTACAGTACATATACACCATGGAATACTATGAAGCCATAGCAAAGAGTAAGATCATGTCCTTTGCAGGGACATAGATGGAGCTGGAGGCTATTATCCTTAGCAAACTCACACAGGAACAGAAAACCAAATACTGCATGTTCTCACTTATAAGTGGGACCTAATGATGAGAACACATGGACACACAGAGGGGAGCAACACACATGGGGGTCTTTCAGAGGGTGGAGGTGGGAAGGAGGGAGAGGATCAGGAAAAATAACTAATGGATAGTAGACTTAATACCTGAGTGATGAAATAATCTGTACAACAAACCCCCATACCATAACACAAGTTTACCTAGGTAACAAACCTGCACATCCTGCAGATCTACCCCTGAACTTAAAATAAAAGTAAAAAAAAAAAGGCCTATAAACGTATACGAAAGCTCAAACTTCTAATAAAAAAATCAAACAACAAAATATACAATTTTTCAACTATTAAGGTGAAAACTGTTTGGCAACATTTTAAAAATGATAATTTTTAGTGGTAGCACATTCAAGAAGCATGGTCAGAAAAATAGAATAAACTTTTATACTCTTACCACTAGACAGGGGGTATGGGTTGGTGTGATCATCCTGAAGGGAATAAACTATCAATCAAAGGTCTTACCAGTATTCGTGACCTTTGACCCAATAATTTGACTTTCAGAAATTCAAGAGAGATATATATAAACAATAATGCTTAGGAATGTTTACTGTATTATTTATTTATTTATTATTTATTTATTTGAGATGGAGTCTCGCTGTCACCCAGGCTGGAGTGCAATTGTACGATCTCGGCTCACTGCAACCTCCGCCTCCTGTGTTCAAGCGATTCTCCCGCCTCAGCCTCCCGAGTAGCTGGGATTACAGGCACCCATCACCATGCCCAGCTAATTTTTGTATTTTTAGTACAGACTGGGTTTCGCCATGTTGGCCAGGCTGGTTTCAGACTCCTGACCTCAGGAGATCCGCACGCCTCAGCCTCCCAAAGTGCTGGGATTACAGGCATGAGCCACCATGCCGGGCTTGTATTATTTATTTTTAACAAAAATCAGAAAGCTCATTGTTTGATGATGAATGACAAACCTATAATTTATATATAAATGATTGACTACTTTGCAACTATTAATATGTTTTCAAAGAATAGCTTAGAAAATAGGAAAATATTGCAAATATAACATTAGGTGAAAACAAAATAGGACCCACAATTATATATGTGAATGAGTCATTGAGTTAAAAACCACCCTACCCTGTCAATAATGGCTATATGTTGGAGATAAAACTTAGGGCCATTTTAATATTATTCTTTATAAGTTTTTATATTTTCAAATTGTCTATAAAGAGTATGTGTTATAGTTACATTTTTAAATGATGAATTATATTTATTCTTTTCCATATTTATTATTTAGTTAAAAGAATTATTTTATGTATTCAAAACCCAAAAGTTAGTTAATTGCAAAGTCAGCTAATCAACAAGATTCCATTTCTCTGAATGCTTCCCTTGGTTATAATTGTACAAATTTCTGCTCGAGATATGCCATTTAATAATTATAAGTAGTATTTTTGATGTTTTAATTGGTATTTTTTGATATTAATAACATAATTTCATATATTAAGTGATTATTATTTCTACCAATTGTTTTTATATACTGAATACGAAGATATAACTCTTTTCTATACATTCTGTTGAATTCGTCAATTATGAATGTTGGAGAAAAATTATCAACTATCCTACTCCATTCATCTCTGGCTGTTCTTGTGTTACTACCATATATTAACTGTATAGTACCTAATTTTGTGATATGCCTTCCATATCCAGCAGAGTAAGTCATTCTTGCATGGGCAAATTATTCTCCCTTTCCTCTGAAGCTCTTCTTGTACTTCTTTTTAAAGTAGTCTCAGCTGTTGATTTTTTTGAGAGGTTCGTTGGTATACAGTAGAACTTGTTTTCTGAGATAAATAGACTATGACACTTAAGATTACGTAGTTGGGGCCAAACTTTTAAATATATATTATATTTGAGTTGATGATATAAACCCCACTACTAAATAATTTTCAATCAAGAATTCACGCCTGTAATCCCAGCACTTTGGGAGGCCAAGGTGGGCAGGTAGCTTGAGTCCAGGAGCTTGAGACCAGCCTGGGCAACATAGTGAGACCTCTACTCTACAAAAAATACAAAAAAAATTAGCCGGTATGGTGGCGTGCACCTGTAGTCCCAGCTACTCTGGAGGCTGAGGTGGGAGGATCCCTTGAGCCTGGGAGGTGGAGGTTGCAGTGAGCTGAGATCATGCCGCTGCACTCCAGCCTGGGTGACAGAGCCATTTTCTGATTTGCCATTTACTAAACAAGTGACGTGTCACTTTCTCGGAGCCCTAGCTTCCCAATCAGTTCAAGGAATATTAACTAGTCTATGATTTCCTCATGGGGTGGTGTAAAGATAGAAAGTGATCGTTGAAACTGTAAAGTGCTATGTAGATAGAAATAAGAGGTAGTGTTGCATATAAGATGGCTGTATGCTCAGTATGGCTGGCTGGTGGCCCACTTTTCTTTGGTTTTGGCCACAAGGCACCCTCGTAAAGGGCATTAGGCTTTCTACTAATATCCCTTTTCCTTGCATAAATGGAAGAGAACAGCTAGCTGACCGAACAAAACTAGCTTTAAAAACTAACTGCTAATTTTGAAAAAGAATCTCCCATCTAGAATATTTGGAACTAGTTCTATTACCTAAGAGGTTGTGGAGCTTTTTTTTTTTTCCTATAAACTACAGTTCCTGTATTGGACAGTGTTAGGGGCTGAATTGGGCCCCACCCAAATTCATATGCTGAAGTCCGAAGCCCTAGTACCTCAGAATGTGACTGTATTTGAAGATAGGGTTTTTACAAAGGTAATCAAATTAAAATGAGGTCATTAGGGTAGGCACTAATTCAGTAAGACTGGTGTCTCTACAAGAAGAGGAGATTAGGACACAGGGACAGAGAGAAGACCCTGTGAGGACACAACCAGAAGGTCACCATCTGTAAGCTGAGGACAGAGGCCTCGGAAGAAACCAACCCTGTGGACACATCCATCTCTCTGACTTCCAGCCTCCAGAATTGTGAGGAAATAAATTTCTGTTGATTAAGCCACCCAGTCTGTGGTACTTGGTAGTGGCAGACCTAGCAAACTAATACAGATGGCCATTCTAAGTGTTTCTCTCTAGAAAGCCACAGCACATAAAATACACATCTGGTCTTCTGACTCCAAGGTGTTGGGGTAATTTCAGTAAATAAAACTTCGCTCTAGAAAAGGCTTTGTGTTTTCATTACCTGCCATACTACGGCTTTTCATGGAGAGCAGGGACAAAGGCCAAACCCATATAAATTCAGATGGAATTGTTCAAGGGGTTGTTGTAAATTCATCACTTCTGGGTTCCAAGGAATTCTCAATCCCTCCTCTCCTGCAGCCTTGGAGAACAAGGTTCTGTGGCCTTCCGTGGGCGGCATCTGTTGCTTCTCTGTGTGCTCAGCCTCAAGGCTACGTGCTCTGCTTGTTTGTAAGTGTCTAGCTAAAACCAGATATGTTGGATTGTTGGTGATGGCACTGCAAAATGAAGTCTCTAGCTCGCAAATGTTTTGTATTCATCTTGGCCAAGTTTAGCAGATGAGACCTGAAAGCATTTTGTTACTCTCCTGGGATGATGGCTAATTTGACCCTGGGGCATCTTTGGAGCAAGATGCATCTTCCTCAGAAGTTGCTTTCCCTTCCAAGATAGTCCTGGAATGTGCTCAAACATGCTCTGTTGTTTGTACTTGTTCCTGCAAGAGCCTGGGGCAGTGCTCCGGCTGGAGCCAGGTTGCCAGGGCTCTGCCATTTCCTGACTTTATGATGTTGGGCAAGTTATTTAACCTCACTGTGCTTTAATTTCCTTTCCTGTGAAAAAAGATAATCCTACTACCTACCTCCTATGGTAGTTGTGAGGATTAAGCAAATTACTGCAGGTAAAGTTATTAGAGCAGTACTTGGCATTGTAGTAGTCTTTCAATAAATGTTACCAGTGTGGATGGAATACACCAGCTGTTCAATATGAGTTCTTTTTTTCTCAATATTCTAGAATGAGAATGGAGTCACAAAATTTTTGCCATGTAAATGCTGCAATGTATTTGCTCCCTTGGGCATAAAAAAAAGTATTTATTGAGATTTCTTATTTTCCAGGCACCATGCTGAGTAATTTATGTGCTTTATCTTAGTTAAACCTCGTAACAATCCTGTGAGGTCAACACTCTGTTCCAGTTAGGATAGGTTAGGTCATACTGCAGTAGCCAATAATACTAAAATCTCAATGGTTAATGGAACAAAGATTTATTTATTGTTCATACTGTCTTTTCAATGCAGGTAGTCAGGGGTCTCTGCTTACCATTATTACTCAGGAACCAAAGCCAATGGAGGATGATACTGTCATCTCAACAAATGTCTTCAGGACTAGCCATGGGAGGGGAAGAGAGCAAGGGGAATTGGGTGCCAAGTCTTCAATACTTCTACACTGGAGTGCTACACATAATTTCTGCTTGGATTAGCTGCAGAAAGTCAAATGACTATGCCTAACTTCAGGAAGGAGTATGTCTGGAAGAAGAGGAGAAAGAATAATCTCAGCACATACTGACACTGTTCCTATTTTATACCTGAGAACACTTTCAGCTTAGAGGAAAAGGGAAAAGTAGTTGGTTCAACATCACATACACACAGTAGTAAAGGGAAAGCCACAATTCCAGTATTCCACTGGCTCTAAAATTAGTGCTTCCAGTCTCTTTGATCACTGCCTGTAGAGGCTGGTGACATTCTTGCTGGAGCCTGTTGGGAGTTGAATTGTGCTCACCAAAAAGATATGTTGAGATTCTAACCCCTGGAACATCTACATGTGCTCTCATTCGGAAATAGGGTCCTTGCAAATGTAATCAAGATGAGGTCATATTCCATTAGGGTGGGCCCTAATCCAATATGAATGGTGTCCTTATAAGACAAAACAGAGACACAGACAGACACATGGGGGAAATACCTTGTGATGATGGAGGCAGAGCCAAAAATGCCAAGGATTGCCAGTAACTCCAGAAACTAGGAAGAGACAAAGACAGATACTTCCCTGAGTCTTGACAGGGAGCAGGGGCTCCCAACACCTTGATTTTTGACTTCTAAATTGTGAGAGAGTAACTTTCTCTTGTTTAAAGCCACCCAGTTTGTGGTACTTTTTTTATGTCATCCCTAGGAAATGAATATAGAGCTTATCCTGTAATTCTGTGTGTTGGATCTTAATTTTCACATTGTTTATTTAGCCACATGTCCCTTCTAACAAGCTTGGGCTCTTCTCAGGAGCTATCTCCTTCAGGAAGCCTTCCATGAGAGGGCCCTGTGCCATGTCTTACTCTTGAGGTCTGGTACTCTCAGATCAGACAGTATCTGATGCTGACTAGGCATTCAGGAAATGTTTGTTGAATGAATACAATGGCGTTGGTTTCTATTCTTTTTCTCTAATCTTCTCACCAGAGTTTAGATGTTTCAACTTTGTAACAGGATGGGACATCTATTTCAGACTTGGAGAGACTCTGAAGAGTTTGTCAGAGGACAGACAGTTCATTAGTTGGTTCTCATTTTGAAATGCTTGAACTCAGGGAACACATCTCAGCTTCATACACAGAGCCTTTGTGGTTGGATCCATGCTGGTCTTTCAGGATGGGTTCTCTGGAAGCAGATGCCAGATGGAGTTTGGGACTGAAGATATTTATCAGAGAGCAGTGTTAGTAGAAAGGAAGGGGAGTAGTATTGGACAAAAGAAGTCAAATTGGGATGCAGGCCTGACACAGCCTTGTCAACCTATCTGTGAGGGAGCTCTGGAAAAGTACCTCCAGGGTGTCATCCATCAGGCCAAAGTCGTCGGTCTTTACAACCTGGAAGGGTAAAACTCTGACAAAGCAAGCGCACCTGAGGCTGACCCTGAGACAGTGGCAGCGGAAGGCCATCTGCTGACTGCACCTCCTGTGGCTGGGGTGCAAGGCTTTCTTTAAAGGGTAATTTAGGTGGCCCATATTTTTATCTGTCTCTCTGACTTTATTTCACGCCACTTTTCTTTTGCCCACTGTCAACTCCAAAGCACCAGCCTCCTTCAGTTTCCTTCACCCCAACCACAGTAACTATGAGCAGATCTTCATATACGCCCCCCTGTTTTCCACCTCCCTGCCATCACATTACCACCCCCGCCTCCTAGAATACCGCTCCTCTCTCTCTTCCAGCAAACTCTGTCTTATTCTCCAACACGCCACATCTTACCTTTTTAGGAAGTCTTTGCTGCCTTTACATTCATTTCTTCTTGAACTTTTAAATACCTTGCAACGTCACCCTAACTGTACTTATTAGACACCATCACATCTACTCACTAGACCATAAACTGCCCTAAAAAGGACTTAGAATTCAAACTTTGTAAAGGTGCTCGTGTCTAGTTTGGTGCCTGGCACATATAGGCAATTAATCAGTGCTCATTAATGATGACTGAATAAAATATGCAAAGGAAACAGAAGGAGTCATGTGATGTCAAGGGAGGGAATATTTGACTTGATTTTAGTAGAATTCAAATGACAATGATGTATTTATTATCCACTTTCACTTGGCTTTAGGCCAATCAGAACCAGCGTCCTGTGTAAGCCAGTTCTAACAGAGCAATTCCTCTCAGACCTGAGAATCCACACAAGAATGCTACAAAGGCAAACAGGAAATATGCATGACCCAAAGGATGCATAACCAAACCAGACTCCAACCTGCAGAGGGAAATGTGCCCTAAGGACTCTTTACTGGAGTCAGCCTGCTCTTTAAGCAACTAGTCCAGAGGCCCAAAGGTAGCTGCCTATCTCCAATCAGGGCTTTACAGAGCCCTAGATGGCCTAGCGGACATCTTCTATCACTGTCTAGTCAGTACCAGTTTCTTCTTTATCTGAAACAGCCCTAGTTTTTTTTTTTTTTTTCTTTATTTCTCATTTGCATCCAATCCTGGGGAGACTATCAGTCAAAGATTCTACCCTCCCTCAGATACAATGAATAGTTTTGCAGAGGTCATGAGCCCTAAGCCAGGCCAATCAAACCAGTGGGCATCAGCTCTGGGAAGGAGAAGCTCTTATTCTACTAGTTGTTAGGGTGACAGATGGTAAGACTGAAACACTGGAGATCGTGAGGAGACCAGGCAGGGAGAGCTGCCTGAGATGAAGCCAGTATAAAGAGCATCAGCCACAAAGGAGGGGAAAGGACAAGTCCTCAATGACGTTGTTAGAGCACCAGGATTTAGATTAGCTTGGATTTAATATAATTGTCAAATGTTGAGTTAGTGAGCCAATACATCAATCACCCTTTTTTGCTTAAGCTCTTTTTTTTTCCGTTTTATTGGGGGTATAATTGACAAATAGAAATGATATATAATTAAGGTGTATGGTTTGATGTTTTGATACATGTATACATCGTGAGATGTTCACCACAGTCAAGCTAGTTAACATAGTCATCACATCCACATAGTTACTTTTTTGGGGGTTGGCACGGTGAGAAAACTTAAGTGTTATCCTTTTGGCAAATTGCAAGTGTACCATATAGTATTGTTAACTGTAGTGACCATGCTGTACATTAGGTCACCAAAATTTACTTATCTTGTATAACTGAAACTTCGTACCCTTTGACCAACATCTCCCTGTCTCCCCCATCCTCCAACCCCTGACAGCTAGCATTCTACTCTGTGCTTCTATGAGTTCAACTGTTTAAGAATCCACATATAATTGAGATGGTGCAGTATTTGTCTTTCTGTGTCTGGTTTATTTCACTTAGCATGTCTTCCAGGTTCATCCATGTTGTCACAAATGAGAGGATTTCCTTCTTGTTTAAGGCTGAATGATATTCAGTTGTATATAAAGATATACACCACGTTCTCTTCATCTATTCATTTGTTGATTGGCATTTAGGTTGTTTCTGTATCTTGGCTATTGTCAATAATGCTGCAATGAGTATGGGTGTGCAGATATCTCTTTGACATACTGATTCCATTTCCTTTGGCCTATATACCCAGAATTGGAATTGCTGAATCATACGGTAGTTCTATTTTTGGTTTTTGAGGAAGTTCCATGCTGTCTTACCCAAGGTCTATACCAACTTACATTCCCATCAACAATGTATAAGTGTTCTCTTTTCTTCATACCCTTATCTCTTGTCTTTTTGATATTAGCCATTCTAAAAGGTATGAGGTATTTCACTGTGAATTTAACTTGCATTTTTCTAATGATTAGTGATGTTGAACATCTTTTCATATACCTGTTGGCCATTAGTGTGACTTCTTTTGAGATTGTCTATTTAACTCTCTAGCTTGTTTTAAAATCAGGTTACTTGGTTTTGTTGTTGTTGTTGTTCTTGAGTTGTTTGAGTTCCATATACACTTTGTAGATTGGCCTTTTTTCAGATACATGATTTGCTTAAGCTAGTTTGAATTGGGTTTCTATTCCTTGAAATGGAAAGATTCCGTCTACAGACACCATCTTGTCCTTTCTCTTACATTTTCAGATGAAAAGAGTAAGAGCCCTATAGCAGGAACTAGCTCTTGGGTCTTCCATATCTTCGACTAAGCTTTGTACTTCAGATTAAAAAAAAAAAAAAATCCGGAGTAGAACAACTATTTTATATTGTTTAGAAAGTGAATTTTGTCCCAAAAAATGACAAAAGATTTATGAGAGCTCTTCTCTGTCCTCAAGCCATGCATAGTTTAACTGGAGAGACAGGCTCAGCATATATCAAAACAAGGCAGTGTTTTAAGATTTAGTTCTTGTTAATCAGGGCCAAAAAAAACCCAACTTCTGATGAACTTGGTTCATTCACTCTTTGGTAGAAATGGTAGCAGACCCATAATGTTCATATTTCTACCAACATGGTTAACAGGCAGTTTCATCTGGGGTCATGAGTTGGTGATTCCTTCACCCTGATAATTAGGTTTTGCCAGCCTGGGGTTTAATGAAAATTATTAAAATGGTGAATTGGAGGAGACTTGCCTAGCTGTGTTAACAGGAGCATAGTTCCTTGGGGATAGATTGCTCAGAGCTTCAGTGTTTTCAGGATTGAACTGAATCATTTATTGGTCACATTGTTTAAGAAACAATAATAAACAAATAATAAAAACTTGAGAGGCATGGGAGATGGCCTAGTTTTTGAAGGGCTGTGGAATACAGTTAGGGATCTCTAGACTTGGTTCCACACATAACATAGCTTTTTACAGTTATCACTGGACATTTACAATATGCCAGATACTACGCTAAGCACTTTATATGGATTATTTCATTTAATTCTCATAACAGCTCTTGAGGAATGTAATTCATTCTCCTTTTGCAGTTATGCAAACTGTGACTCAGAAAAGTGAATTTGCTTGCCCAAAGTTAGACAGCTAATAAACGTGGGAGGCAGAATTTGAAATCAGTTCCAGAGCCTGAGTCTTAACATTACCTATACCGCCTTCCCAGTAAAGGAAAGAACCCAGGGATAGCAGGGACCAGGGGGGAGGAGTGTCACTTTGCAGAGAGATGTGCACTGAGAGGACCCTGGATTCTAATGGACTAGCTCACGATGTGCTTCACTTATCCCAGAACAAAGTAAAGAAGGCCCGAGTAGGTGCAATGGCAGGAGGAGAGGCAAGGAGGATGGCAATGGGAGATTTTGCAAAAGAACACTGCAAGACTTAGAAAAAAATGAAAGAGAGATGAGTCAAAACATATCAGAGTCCATTTTAAACGCGGGTATAAAATATCAGTGTCCAAAATAGTAGCTGTCAAGAGATTACTTGTAGCGTATTCCGGGAATGCATTTAGTTTCCATGGCAGAAAGCTGTGTCAAGGAAAGAACTATTCATGTATACATTTATTGGAGACTCATTAGTCTATTTAATGTATTTTTAAATTTTTAAAAGGCCACTCACCACAATTACATCTGGGCAAATATACAGGGGGAGAAAATCAATGTTGAATTTTACAAATAGACGCTGTCTCAGCCTTCGCTTTATCATTCCCATTATTAGGCAAATGGAAAATCAACATAATTGTGCAGAGTGGAGTTTTTCAGCGGGCTTGAAGAAAGTTCCTAAAATGTGATTCCACTTTTATAACACAAGTTCTTGATGTCAGCTTTTCTTCTGTTTCATTTTCACAGTGACCCACACTGTGTTTATTATTTTTGAAGGCTCATGTTGAAATAGATGAATAGGAAGGATAGCAGATGGGTTTCCCAAAGCCTGCAGGCTGGGGTGAGCCTATATCGCAAAAATGCCCACTTAATACTCGGGAAGAAATAGCAGTCGGGGCTTGGAGGACACGGTGAACCAGCTGTTGGGTGCTACAAGGTCTGACCATAAAGCCTGGTTTTATTTGCTACAAGATTCAGAGACCTGGCCAACCCAGGTCTCTGATCATTTTCAGCACTTCCCATGACATGCTCTCCTTAAGATACCATCAGCATTTAGTACCAAAAAAAGTATGTCAGGCTTTCTCTTACCCTCCCCCTATATTCATTCCTCTAAGCACTTCTGTACTGGTGAAGTTGCTGACTCAAGGTGATGAAAAGACCCCTGCACTGAGGTCAAAAGACTGAGATGGAGTCCTAGCTGTGTAGAGTTGGGTGAGTCATTTCCTTGTGCTGGGCTTAGATTCCATCTGAAAAATTAGAGATTGTTTTGTGATGGTTTCTTGGCATTTACACAATATGATTCTATTCATGTGGAATACTTCTGAGACACATAAGATAAAAGAATATGGATTTGTTGGGGGAAATAGTGTAATAAACTGAATTCAAAAATGAGTAAGTGGCAATGTAAGATGATTTCGGATGATATGCAGATAAACATTTTAAATTTTAAGTCACTCATCTCCTTTAATATGTATTAGAAAAGATATGATTAGCAATAATCAAACCTGTGATTACATTATGTTGTTGTTTGTGATTATGGTTAATTAATTTATGGCAAAAAGGGAATTGATTTAAAAGCGTCGGCCGGGCGTGGTGGCTCACGCCTGTAATCCCAGCACTTTGGGAGGCCAAGGCGGGCGGATCACGAGGTCAGGAGATCGAGACCATCCTGGCTAACACGGTGAAACCCCGTCTCTACTAAAAATACAAAAAATTAGCCGGGCGTGGTGGCGGCGCCTGTAGTCCCAGCTACTCGGGAGGCTGAGGCAGGAGAATGGCGTGAACCCGGGGGGCGGAGCTTGCAATGAGCCGAGATGGCGCCACTGGACTCCAGCCTGGGCGACAGAGCAAGACTCCGTCTCAAAAAAAATTTAAAAAAAATTTTTTAAAAAAGCGTCATATAGTAGATAATTTGGCTGCCGTTTGTCCCTGGCTATTGGGGAGTAATCTCTTAATCTTTGGAATTGCCAAGCGATAGAAGAGTCTTTGTTATTCATAGAGGGCTCTTCTTGAGTTTATGTCAACAAAGTAACTCATGCTGGACCTTAGGTAGTTTCAGGATGAGAACTGGCTATGCTAGAATGACCACCAATACAATTTAAGGGTTGGGACTTTGAGCCAGGTTGTACCAACTGTCCTCTGGGGAGTCTGTGGATTGAGTGCAGCCACATGGCCAATCAATCAGTCATAACTACATAATGAAACCATAATGAAACCTCTGGACACTGAGCATGGTTGAGCTTCCTTGTTGGTCATGCACATTAATGTGCTGGGAGGGTGATGCATCCTGAGGACATGGATATTTTGTTTTTGGGACCCTCCTAGATCTCACCCTATGTGTCTCTGCACTTGGTTGGTCCTGCAGTGTATCATTCATAAGAAAACTAGAATCATAAATATAGCTTTCCTGGAGTTCTATGAGTCATTCTAGCAAATTATCAAACCTGAGGAGGTAATGAGAACCCCTGAATTTGTAGCCAGTTGGGCAGAAGTACTGGTGACCTTGGAACCCTGGAACTTGTGGCCGGTGTCTGAAGTGAGGGCAGTCTCGTGGAGGAGTATGCCCTTGAGCTTTGAAATTTGACCATCCCTAGGGAGCGAGTGTCAGAATTGCATTGCACAAAGGCAATATCAAGTGAATAGGAGTATTAACTACTTAATAATAAAATGGTACACAGATATATTGTCAAAATCCTATGCATAGTTTAAAAATGACCAAAGTTTGAGAAAACATTAATATAATATTCTCTGTAGTGAGATTGACTACAGTAAGCCTATTATACAAATTTGGTAATTTACTCCCTGCAAGCACCCTGTGAGGCAGGTAACTACTAATATCTCCATTTTACTGATTTTAAAAACAGGGGCTTTAAGCAGTTAAATAACTTCCCCAAGGTCATGTCATAATTAAGTGGCAGGATTAGGATATAAACTCAGGTAGTCTGGCTCTAGAATTCTTTGTTCTTAGATATGTTCGTTACCACACTGTTGAAGTACCTGCCTCGTAGAATCACTGTGAAGATGGAATGAAATACTGCATACAAAGTTCATTGGAAAGCTTCCAGTACATAGTAATCACTCAGCAAATGTTAGCTTTTATTATTCTTATTCTATATCAAGTAATGTCAATTCTTAAATTAGGAGACATTTAATTTGGTTATACACTATAACACTGTCTAGTATCAATTGATAGGCATATACATTTTTTGTTATATATGAAAACAGAGAGATTTTATGTTTGTAAGTTAGAGAAGGTACAGGACTTACATTGCAGATCTTTCTAGCATGAAGCGATTTCTTTTCCAGTCAAGAAACATTAAGTCCAAAAGCAAAGTCAGTATGATAAAGAACCTGGTTTTTACGACCTTTTTCTTGATATTATGTAATTCTAGTTCACATCGTCGAAGACAATGAGAGGAGAAATTTTAGCAAACAAAGCAAAATTTGGGTTTCAAGATTTATTTAAGTGACTACAATGGCTTAGTTAGTTAGAATGCTCTAGACTGGTAATTCATCTTTATTTGTCAGCTCCCAAGAGTCAAGTATGAAGGGCAAAAAGTGAGCAGGAAGCAAAAATAACTGCCTGTTTTTGACTAATGATCATCCTCAGATTTGGGGTGGATACATTTCTAAAAACTCTTGCTGGAAAAAACCTAAGTGCTCCCCTAAAATGTTAAATGTGTAAGTTGGAACTGGGAAACATATTAATAGTTTGTATATTTTCTTTCACATAGATACATAACAATACTAACAATATTAGCTGTGGATATAATATCTATATATATTAGGAAAAACTACAATTTATTAGAATAAAGGGGCTATTAACAGTGTATAGGAAAAATGTTGTCCTGAGCCCTTATTCTGGCTGTGATATTTAGTGAAACAGTCCAGTCATGGGTCCTATGAGAGAAGTCACTCTGTGAGTTTCCATGGAGGAAGAAAAAGCTTCATTTTTTTACCCTGCAGCAACAGCAGAGGGAGGGAGAGCCTATCTTCTTTGCAAATTCATTAACTTTGTGGTTGAAGGGAGCAGCGTCAGAAACTGCTTTAGCACAGTGGGAGGAAAACAAACAGATTCATCTCCAGAAACCAAAGGAAAGGGTAAGTGGGTTTTTATTAGCCAGCTGTATCCTAGATGGTCAATTTCCAGTGGATGAATACACCTTACGTACGTTTCTCTTGCTTCCTACCTAGGCCTGATCAGCTGGGCACTTAAATCATTCCGTTGGGGTAGCTGTAACACTGGACAGTGTATTGGAAATTCTGTTTTCTGGCCTGTTCACGAATGAGCTATTCTATTTTGGTTAGTTAAATATTCTGATTATCAGGGTTATCAGGGTAGATGACAGCTGTGGTACTAATTCACTCATACATCTACCCTACAAATATTTATTGAGGGCTTTCCATGTACCAGGCATAATTTTATTTTTTTATTTTTTATTTTTTTGAGACAGATTCTCACTCTGTTGTCCAGGCTGGAATGCAGTGGCACGATCTCAGCTCACTGCAACCTCTACCTCTTGGGCTCAAGTGATCCTCCCACCTCAGCCTCCCAAGTAGGTAGGACTACAGGCATGCACCACCATGCCTGGCTAATTTTGTGTATTTTTTTATAGAGATGGGGGTCTCACAATGTTTTCCACACTGGTCTTGAACTCCTGGGCTCAAGCAATCCTCCTGCCAGGCACCATTTTAGATACTGTGAATATAAGATGCTTGTGAATACAACGAACAAGATCCCTGCTTTCCTGGAATTTACATTCTAGTGGAAGGCAATATAAAGGTTCACAGATGCATATGATTATTTCAAACAGTGAAAAGTGCTTGAAGAAAGTAAATAGACTGCTGGAGCCAATTAACAGTTTTCAGAGAATATCTTCAGTGTAGAGGGAATGTCAAGTGCAAAGACCCTGAGGTGGAAGAAAGAAGGTAGATGCACTCACAGGACAGAAAAGAAGTCTCATGTGAACTGGAGCATTGTGAACAGAGAAAGTAAGGTTGAGAGGTCAAAGTGGTAGGCAGGACTCACATCATGTAGAGCCTTGAAGCCTTGAGGTAAAACAAAGTCTGGGGTTTTATTTTATAAGTGATGGGAAACCATCAGAGGGCTGATGCAGAGGAGTGACATGATATGCTACGTATTTTTAAAGCATTAATCTGGTAGCTAGATGTTCAATGGGTTGATTGTAGGGTGGGAGGTGGGGTGGAGACAGATGGAAGAGTGGGCCCATTTGTGCTTCCAAAAGTCGGAGAAAACTAGTAGAAGAAATGTCATTATCTATTAAATGGAACAAACAGAACCTGGAGTCAGACTTCACTGTCACTCACTTGTCATGTTGTCTTAGGCAAGTCTCTTCCCTCTCTGAAACTCGGTCATGTCATCTGAAAGAGAGAAACAGCCTTTAGTCCTAGATTCCCTTCCAAGTGCTTCTGCACACTAACATATGATTCAGAGGGTGTAGCCCTGTCTAAAGGCAGTAAAATCTCCAAGACTGAAACTAAAACCTGTAGCCAAGCCCAAGCATGGATGATGGAAGCAGTGGGGTGAAAGGGAATCCCTGGGTGGCAATCACTTCTCGTGATCTGGTATATTGCTCCTTTGTTGACATGAGCTTAGCATATAGGAATTAGCCTTTGTTTGGTGGCTCTTATCAGTCCTCATTTGTGTGGTTATCTTTCATCTTTGCTGCCTCTTGACATTCCTTGGTCCTAGCATTGTTCCTCACTGCATCATGCCTGAGTAGTTTGGGGACCTGTTGCAACAGAAAGTATGTCTGACTTCATTAACATATACACCATTTTGGTGAGTCGGGGTGTCAGCTTTGACCCTTCAAAGTAGGAAAAGATGAGAAGGGAACCATTCAGTACTTGGCACCTCTGCAGTCAGGGATTACTGCAAATCCAGAATGAATGGACAGGCTACAAATTCCTGCCTAAACTTATGTAGACATCTTCATGTAGACGTCACATCATAATTTAATAGCAAGGTGGTGCCTTAAGAAACATAATGTCATTGGACCTATTCGGCCTACCCTTGCACCTGTAAAGAGGGGAGTTTCTTTTCCCTCAAATTGTTATTTTCATGGTTTAACTTCTTTTGAATTACCTCTTCAAGAATTATTGTTTAGGTATCCAGTTTGGAAATATCTGTATTGTCATGTCACTTTTTAGTGGAATATGTGAGGTATGGAATAACTTGAGATGAAGTTAGATTTTGAAAACTAAAAAAATATTAAAAATTGTTTTAGCTAAGAGAGTGGGAATATTTGCAAACCTTATACCTGATAAGCGCTAATATCCAGTGTATATAAAGAACCCACATGACTCAGTAGCAGAAAAGCAACTTGATTAAAAAAATGGGCAAAGAACTTGAATAGACGTTTCTCAAAAGAAGACATAGTGTATAGACAGTTTTCCAAAGAAGAATAAAAACGATCAACAGGTATGTGAAAAGGTGCTCAATATTACTAATCATCAGGGAAATGCAAATTAAAACCATGTGGAGATATCACCTCACACCGGTTAGGACAGTTATAAAGGCAAGAGATGACAAGTTTTGACGAGGTTGTGGAGAAAAGGGAACACTTGTACACTGTTGGTGAAATTGTAGATTGATGTAGCCATTGTGGGAAACAGTAGGAAGATTCCTGAAGAAATTAAAAATAGAATCATCATATGACCCAGCAATCCCTCTTCTGGTTAGATACCCAAAGAAGGTGATATCACCACCTTGAAGAGATACCTGCATTCCCATGTTCATTGCAGCATTATTCACAACAGCGAAGATATAGAAACAACCAGAGTGTCTATTGATGGATAAATGGATAAAGAAACTGTGGTATCTACAAAAAGGAAAATTATTCAACCTTAAGAACTGAGATCTTGCCATTTTCCACAACAAGGATGAACCTGGAAGAAATTAAGCTAAATGAAATAAGACAAACACAAAGGGAAAAATGCTGCATGATCTCACGTGTGGAATCTTTAGGGATTCAATCAATCAAATGTGGTTATGGAGGAGGTGGGCAGTGGGAGGCAATGGAGAGATGTAGGTCAAAGTGGCAGACATGTAAGATGAACAGATCTGGAGACCACAGGTACAACAGGAGGACTATACTATAGTTAACAATATTGTAGTGTATTCAAGATTTTTCTAAAAGAGTAGAATTTAGGTGTTCTCACAATGCCAAAAAACAGATAACTGTGGGATGATGGATGTTAACTCACTTGACTATAGTGATGATTTCACTGTCTATATACATATCAAAACCTCATGTTGTATAACTTAAATATATACCATAAAATTTAACAATAAAGAAAGGAATATGTATAAACACACAATATACATATCAAAACCTCATGTTGTGTAACTTAAATATATACAATAAAATTTAACGATAAAGAAAGGAATATGTATAAACACACCATACTATTTTCCAAATGTTATTTGAATTATCCTGAATGATAGTACCTGATTTTCTCACTAGACTAGACATTTTGGTACTTATCTCTTTACTTGGTATATTAGTTTTTGTTGCTGTGTAACAATTTAGCAGCTTAAAACAATGCCTATTTATTTATTCATGATGCTGTAAGTGAGAAGTTCAGGTGAGCTCAGCTGGGTTCTCTGCTCAGGGTATTGCAAGGCTGAAATCTAGGTGTTGGCTGGGCTGAATTCTCATCTGAAGGCTCTGGGGGAAAAATGTGTTCCAAGCTAATTCTTGTTGGAATGATTCAGTTCCTTGTGGCTGTCGGACTGAGGTCCAGTTTTATTTTTTTTTTGCCAGCTGTCAGCTCTCAGTTCCTAGAGGCATCTGCATTCCTTGCTATGTGGCCCTGTGTCCATCCACAAGACAGCAATGGTGAACATGTGGAATCCTCCTCATGCATCAGATCTCTCTGACTTCCTCTTGTGCAGCCAGCCAGAGACAAGCTCTCAGCTGGGTTCATGTGATTAGGTTAGGCTCACCTGAATAATCTCCCTATGTTAAAGTCAACGATATCATAAGATAGAACCTCATTTTGGAAGTAAAATCTATCCTATTCAGTCTTGAGGATTGTGCAGGGCAGGTATTCCATGGGATGGGAAATCTTAAGGCCTACCTTAGAATTCTGCCTATCACACTTGATTACTCAACACAAATTTAGTTGAGAATTGTGTTAATTTGGGTTATCCTAACAGGAGGCATGGATTTCGGTACACATAATTTATTTGGGAGGTTGTCCCAGTTAGCACAGTGAGGAAGTGGGGAAAGTGGGGCAAGGAGGAAAGTCAACAAAGGAGCCAGTTTCTGATGCAAGCAAGTAGGGCTCAGTCCTTCTTGGGACTCTCCAAGAAAGGGTAATACATCCCTCAAAACTGCTCACTCCCACTCAACTCCCATTTGTTGAAACTTGCTCTGAGGACAATCGTCTTTTCATCCCTCAGTTTAGATCAGGGAGTGGATATTATTGTTGCAATTTTGCACATTAGGAAACTGAGACTTAGGGGGTTAGGTTTGTCTAAGACTATTTTACTGTGAGGTGGTGGCCTATATTTCACCTTTTGTCCAACTTGCCTATAGCATATGCAGGCTACTGAGAAAGACAGAGCCAGAAGTCACTCTCCTGCCTCCTGATGTTGCTCATTGCCTCTTTTGAGTCCATTTTTAAACCACCTAGGGGTAAATAAATGCTGAGATTTTAAATGAAGGTAATCAGAATGATAATAATCTGTGAAGGCTGAATGGGGAAGGTCCGTGCTAATTCTCAAAGGGAAAATAACAGGCTACCTCACGTTTGTGTAACTCTACTGCAGACTCCCAGAAACCCACAGTTACTAATAAAATCCCATATATGGGAATGTGTTTTAATTTTCAAAATGCCTTTTTATTCAGGATGCTCTTTGCTCCTCCTATCCATCTCTGAGGTCTATGAGAAAGGTACTATACTGCTGTCATTCTGAGCTTGGGTTTTGGACTCTGACCCATCTAAGTTTAAAACCAGGTTCTGCCACTTTGGGTGATCTTAAATTACTTAAGTTCTGCTGGCCTCAGTGCCTTCTTCAAAGAACTCTTGTGAAGGCCAGAGCAGATGGCATGCTCAAAGTGTACAGCATTATAAAGTACTCAAATATATGGTAGCTGTTTTATTATTCTCATTGACATATGAGAAAACTAATGTTCAGAGAGAAGTGACTTGCCCAGAGTCATCTGCTAGATGGTGGTGGAATTAGGGTTAGAACCCAGTCTCAGGGTTTCAGGTGAGCTCTGTTCTCCTCTTCATGGAGAGAAGATAAGAATCTTCCTTCCTGTCCTCCAAGATGAGGACAATATCCAGGCAAATCACCTGGTCTCTTTTAAGAGCCACTTTGGATGTCACACAATAGTCAATTCTCCTCTCGAGGTGTAGGGCTTTGTGTCAAGAAAGTGGAATAGAGGTAGCATCCTCTCCCCTTGGGAAGTTCTTTCTACAGTTCCTCTGGGCACATGGCCCTCACTGTACAGTTCCAGGAATCAACTAGAGGCAGAGAAATGGTTTCCAGTAGGTGGTAGTGGAGGGGCTGTCTCTGACCACTTCCTTGATGGATTTGAGGTGTTTTAAAGTTCATTTCTCTGCATTGTGGCCAGCATGGGCATTAGATTTTATGGTGGCAAATCCTGCCAATTTTTATATGAAGATGCAAGATTTACTTCTGAGCAAATATCTATAGACTTTTTTTTTTCTTGTCCACCCTAACAGACGAGTTGAAATCTGGATTTTCCTGTCACAATTTTTCACTCAGTCTTTCCTTCACTATTCATTTTTTCATTTAATCAATATGTATTGAATGTCTGCCATGCACCAGGCACTATTCTACACCTTGGGAATACAGTGGTCAACAAAATATACAGAGCCCTTGCCTTCATTGAGTTTCTAGGGGAGAGAGAAATTGCAAAAGAAAAAAAAATCAAGTGAATTATGTAATATGTCAAGAAAATAAAATAAGGTACAGAGGATAGAGAAGGCTGGAGGTTTATACGAGGAAGATCAGGAAAAGGTGGTTTGAGAAGATGATATGTTAACAGAGGACTGGAAGAAATGATGCAGAGAACCACAAGAATATAAAGGTGAAAGGAACTGATAGTTGGCAGTATATTTGGTGTGCAACTTGAGGAATAGTAGGGAAGCATGGCTAGGAGAGTGAAAAAAGTAGAGAACGGTAGTTGATGAGTAGAAAAATAGTCAGGAGCCATGGCTGGTTTGCCATTGTGAGGACTTCAGCTTCAACTCTGAGCACTCCTCAGACCCCTATATGTCTGGCTTTACAGTTTTCTTCAAAGTATTAAACAGCTTAGATGTAATGATGCTTAGATGTAACAAGGCAGTCAATCCAAGCAGGAGGACGTTTGTGGAAAATATTTTAAGTCCTAGTACTAAGAGTTGCAAGAGAGATCTTTGGGCGATTCCTCTACTACCCTGTGGGGCTTTAACAATGGGATCCTGCTAAACTTGGGGTTATTTCTGGTTCTTTAAATTTTGATTTTCTTCATTTTTTATTCTTTCACGTCTTGATGTTCTCAGCTAAGAATCATCCTTTCAAAAGAAAATTTTAGAAAAAGACATAGAATGAACTGGCAATATCTTAACCCTCTAGCATCAATCATTGACTTTGAAATTAGAGTTTGAATAATTAAAATCAATTTTTGTGCGTTTTGCCACCCCCACAACAGGATATTTCTGTCAGAAGGCTCCTGTGGGCTCCAGATTAAGTTTGTTAATGGGATCTGGCCCATCTATAGCCAACGCATTTCCAGCAAAAAGCCAATAAAGCTCCAATTGCACAGGCTATTCTTTTAAAAATTCTCCATGGTGATTCTATTAAGCCACATTACAAGAAGCAAAATTGCATTATTAAAATGACCACTTGATTATTTTTTCTTTTTTTTTTTTAATTCTTCTTACTGTTATGGAAAAAAAATCTCATTTTAGGTCTCCTTAGGGTTTGTTTCTTCTAAGAATTTACTCTGAAATAGAGGCTGGTGGGAAACTTGCAAGCCTTTGCACAAGTAATAATGGACCATTTTACTGTGCTAACCAATATGCACGTATTAAATCTGTGTATTTGAAAGAAATACATTTGGACAATAGTATTAGTGTCATAAACTGCATCAGGATTCCCTGCAGGGCTTGTAAAACACATTATTGTACCCCACCCCAAGGCTTTCTGAATTGGTATGTCTAGGTGGGACCTGAGAATTCACATTTCTCATGAGTTCCTAGATGATGCTGCTGATGATGATGGTGATGATGATGATGATGATGATGATGATGATGGTGATGATGATGATGATGCTGATGATGCTGCTGATGATGATGATGCTGATGATGATGATGCTGATGATGATGATGATGATGATGATGATGCTGGCCCCATGACTAACATTAGGAACCACTATATTAGGACCATGTTCTGCAACGATGCATTAGATACTGGATTTTATTTCACCTGGTTAGTGTTGGTCCCCATCTGAGTGAGTCTAGATATTAGAGACTTCACAACTCTGCTTGAATGCATACTCAGCTGTAACAGGTGTCTAAGACATGATAAAAAACACAGGAAGGCTTCAGAATTGATTTGAATAAGATTGAAGTCTTTGAAAACCAAAACATGGTTAATTTTGGAGTATTCCCAATCAGTTTGGAATCTATGAGCTAATTATTTCAAAACCTATTCTCCACATCAAATTGTTTACTTTTTGCTTTGAGCACCCTCTGGATACACCATGTTTTCACTCATGCTGTCATCCCACCTATTATAAAATGCCTCCTACCCTGCTCTCGGTTCAAACAAGCCTGATCTAAGTCCTAGGTCAAATCCCAACTCCTTTATGAAACCTTTGGTAAAGCAATTTATGAAGGTCTATAAACCTTCTTTGAGATCCAATTGCCTTTATTATCAAGACAATTCATTTGGAGTGACCCAGTGGATTGTTTTTGCCCCAGATTGCTGGATAAACCTTGTATGGTTATGTAAGTTCTTACAGGAATATGTTTGACCTTGTCAAATAGACTGTAAGCTTTCTTCGAGCAGAGATTAAGACTACCATGTAGTTGGTGTTTAATATGTACTTATTTGAAATTGAAGGCACAATTTCTATAAAACTAAGTTTCTACTCTCTCAAATATATATAAAACAATTAATGTGTACTGAGCACTAATAATATACCAGGAGCTTGACCCACCTCACTGACACCCTGTAATAACTGTATGGGGTTGAAAACATTGTTATCCTTATACCGATGAGAAAACAATGGCTTAAAGAGGTGAATGACTTGCCCAAGGCCACACATCCAAGAAAGGGAGAGTTGGGATTGAATCCTAGTCGGACCTCAGAGCCTGTATCTTACCCTTTGCAGTATTATTGAGCCATAATCTTTTTCTTTCTCTCTCATTCTCAGCAGCCCAGACCCTCAGCTAGCTGGGCTACACAGTATGAAACTAGCTTTTCTTCTCTGTCCCAAACTCATTGGAAACCACAGAAACCACATGAAAAATGGAGTCTGACCACCTCTCATCTATGGATCTCAGACTTCTCCTTCTGTAATGATTCACCATCAAGGGTTATGGAAGCCACAGCAGCAATAAAAGACTCTTGTATTGATCCACTTTGAAATTATAGAGGAAAACAAATTACCCTGAGGTTCTTTATTGGCATTGAGTGTTAGGTCCAGACAGATTCCAGAACAATTTAGCTTTTAAGATTTAATTCAAAAGTCCCTTGCAAACTATGGATACAGGAAAATGAATCATTTCATATTAGGGGATGGGGCGATAATGATGATAAATGCCTTTTTGAAAGCTTTGTGTTCCAACCATAAGCCCTTCTCTAATAGTTCTTCGGAGCTGATTAGAAGCTTAAAAAGCCCCATTTTGGTCAAGAGCTGGTAATTCCTAGTTTCCCTTTGGTGGAAATAATTGGTCTGATAATATCCAAATAATATTTATTAATTAAATAATATTCATTTTATGTGATTGTACTATGTACATGTTAATTGGATGCTGAATAATCAGTTTTACTATCTTCATTATGTAAGTAATGCATAAATCCAATTTTGTTTAAGAGTTTCAGATAATATGTACTATGCAGGAGAAAAATAGAAAGTCTTTCTTCAACATCCTTCTCCCACCTGCCTCAGCCATCCTGTTCCAGGTGTAGCCACAGCCGGTAGATGAGTATGGATCCTTAATTCTCCTTGCTGTACACACACAAGTACGTATATGAATGTACATAAACAAATAACTTTTTCCATAAATGAGAACACACTGTAAGTTTTTTCCTGTGACCTTTTTTCCACTTGACATGTTGAGGAAGTCTTTTCATTTTAATTTGATACAATGCCTCTATTTCATTCTTTGTAAGGTTTATTTACCATATTTGAATTAACATGGCAAATAAATGTCTAAACGTCTAAAATGTACCTGAGATTTTGTTTTTACTCAGGTGTAGTGAGGCCATAGATCAGGAGACAACTGCCATTGAAAAGAGAGTGTGTTACGTACAGTTCCCAAGAGGAAGGGGCACGCCACACCATGCCACACTGTTACTGGTGGCAAATCCATGCAGGTCTGCAGTAGGTCTTTTTTCCTGTATAGGTCTCCAGTAGGCCTTGCCTCCTAGGAGGAAAGAATTCGACCGAGAGGCATAAGGGAGAGGGAGAGACGGAGGCAAGTTTTAGAGCAGGAGTGAAACTTTATTAAAAAGCTTTAGAGTGGAATGCAAAGAAAGTAAAGTACATTTAGAAGAGGGCCAAGCGGGTGACTTGAGAGATCACGTGCGTGGTTTGACCTTTTGACTTAGGGTTTGACTTGGTATACTCCCAAGGTCTTGTGTTCCTTCTCCCCTGATTCTTCCCTTGGGGTGGGCTGCCCGCATGCACAGTGCCCTGCTAGCACTTGGAAGGAGAGCCTGCTCAGTGTGTTTACTGGAGTTGTACGCATGCTCACTTGAGGCGTTCTTCCCTTACCAGCCGAATGTCCTAGGAGATCATATACCAGTTAAACTCCACCATTTTGCCTCTTAGTGTGCATGTGTGAGCCCATTCACCCAACTCCTGAGATCTTATCTGGAAGTTACTGATCACCAGTTTCAGGTTTTCCCTATCTATTGGGAGACTGCCTTTGCCTAGTAGCAGCTGTTATTATTTTAGAGAGAGAGTTAACAACCACCTGACCATCACTTGATGGTCACCTGACATTCCTGGTTTTGGCAGGGGCTCTCTTGCCCTGTTTATGTCCAACTAGCTACCTACAGTAACAAAACCACACAGGGCCAACGGGGGAGTTACCAGGGTCAGTCAGGAGGCAGTAGGAGTGGGGAAAAACATAGGCAAGATAGTTTTCATGGTAAGGAAAGGGTAAGGTGAAGTAGGCAAGCTAAGCAGGTTTAGGATTGAATAGTTTGAATAATTTTGGTGGGCTCTGGGCTATAGGGGTGGCCCCTAGTTTTCCAGTATCTGGTCCTCAAATGATTTAGAGCAGGGGTAACATTGGCTTGGTGTATGAGAATTAGATAAAGGAGGTGGTTGCAGTTATGGCTGGTTTGCATATGAAAGGCATGCTCTCGGGGAAGTTGTCTGTTACCTCTAGGAATTAGCTTACTATGGGAGGGGGAGCCCTTCCCTGCATTCACAATGCCCCAAGATGTCGAAGCGTCATAAAATATGGAAAAATAAAAAACATGATCAATACAAACATTTTTCCATTTGCCAAACATTTTACTGTTTCCAGTGTGTTATGATTCTGACCACCTAATATTGTGAAGAGCAAGCCAGACAATGGATATGAAAAGACTCTACCAGTGGAAAAGTGATATACACATGTATGAGATGTTAGCATCATCTATAGTCTATTGTTGAATATGTTATAGCTATAATGTTTTCTATATTATCATATTTTATATGTTTGTCTATGTAGTTATTAAGATGTGGATAAGAGTTTATATCTGAGTTAGCTTTAGGTAGAGTTGTAAAGAAAAATGCCTTACTTTAATTTTATCTCCACAATGATGCTATTGGCTAGCTCTTATACCCACTTTATAGAAAAACAAACGAAGGCTTTGAAAAGTTCAGGATTGCCAAGGTCTCTCAGTTCCTAAGACAAAACACCGATATGGTTTTTAACTTGGGTTTTTCTGGCCTTCAAGTTCTTTCTATGCATTTCTGACCCTTCCTAGTTTCAACACCCTCCCTCCTCTTTCTCCACATCTAGGAGCTAACTGTCCCATATCAATGAGTCTGTAAGTCAACACTGCTTTCAGCCTCTGGTCTTGGTAGCTAAAAGAATACCTAATACCCATCCTGTTGACGAGAGCCCCCGGGACAGAGGTCCTTATTAGATTTTACAATATCCCTCCCCAGGGCTGGAGTCACCCTGAAGCCCAGTCTGTTCCTGGGATCTCATGGCTTGCCTGGAGACTCCCCATGTGTGGACTGCCTCCTGGATTCCCTTCCAAGATTCTGGACAAGTTTCCACCCCCACTCAGAATCCCAGGTGCCTGCTGCTTGCTTGTTCCATGACTCATTTTTTTTTGCTCTGCCCTTTGCATACTCTCCATTGCCTGCCAGGCTGGGTTTTTCCCTCAGCATCTGCAGTTGCTCGGTCACCTGGTGTCATTCTCATTCCAGGCCGATTAGGCTGTGCCTGGCTGTGTCTCTAGTGGTAATACTTTTAATGAGCTCTCTGGTTTTCTGCATTTCCCTCTCCCCCGGGGGTCCACCACCTAAGATGTCAGGTGGGCAGCCTGGTTCCCCATTCTCCCCTTTTAAAACATCACTTACCTGTGTCCTACTGCCTCAGAGATGCTTCTGTCTTCAGTGATCTTGAGAAAAACAATTACGATAATGATAGCCACCATTTATTGATCACCTACTATGATGTAGTCAATAGAGGAGGAGGCACTTTCCTTTTATATCTCATTTGCTCTCACAAGTTTTTCAGGTGTGTATTATTAGTCTCATTTCTACTAGAAAGGCACTGTGCCTTAGAGAGGCCACCCAGCCTGTGCAAGGTCACACCGACTAGCTAGACTTCCCTTTCATCGCTAGGAGAAGAAAAGTTACCAGTCAGCTCTAGCTGACTCTGAAGACCTTATTCTTCCCACTACTCTACGCCTCCTTAAATAGATGCACTAACTTCTGCTCATGATGGGCTGATACGTTCACACATAAGCATCTGAATGGTATTCAAGCTGGAGGATAAAAACTAGGACAGTCACAATTCCCATCAGGGGAGCTTGCCAGGATCTATACTGTCAGGCAAGCGGACTTGTGCACCTCTCAAATTATCCTTTTACTCTTCGCTGAGAAAACTAGCTTTGGGCATCCTGTGAATTGAACCCCCATCTGGGCTCTAAGGGCTGTTAAAAGATGTTGCACAAGTAAAGCAAGTGAGGGTCTCCAGCAGCCCAGAGAAAGAAGAAGCAGAAGGAAGGTATAAAGGCATTGAGCTGGGCACCATAGGACTTGAACTCTATTCTTGTCTCTGCTTGTAACTGATATTTAAAAAGTGGGGACTAGCCAGCGAAGGCATCTCTTGTTGCGAATCCTGTTCACTGAGTGTCACTGCCTGGAGTGTAGTACTAGGAAGATGCCCTGGCCACATGTGGGCCCAGTGGTGAATCTGTGGATATGGGCAGTGTGAGAATGCTGTAAGGGCCAGGGATGGAAAGACTCTAGGTAGCTGAAAGAATTCCAGCTGTAACATTCAAGCTCCAACATTTGGAAACTGTGGTTCTTCCCATCATCTTCTTGGACACTCATAGGGGATTCCAGGAGCCATCACAATTGAGAAATGGTGTGATTTTCTTCTACACTGACCTCTCCCAGGACTCTGAGAAAATGGCATACAATTTAGCTAGTTAGCTCTGTTGAATTCTGCTAAGTGGTCCCCTAAGAGGAGCACTGTGGACTAGCACTTGAAGACCTAAAAGGTTTAAAGTCTTTAAATTCTTGAGGGCACAATCCATGTTCCAATTTCTTTTGCCTTCAACCATTGCCAGCACCATACCAAGTGCATACTACACAGGCCAGATACAAAATCATTTCTTTCACGGGAGAGACAAAAGCCCTGGAAATGCTGAGGGGTTTTCCCCTCCCTGTTGCCGATATTGTTAGCTAGAAGTTGAAGACCATTTCATAGCCCGAGATATTTTTGCTTAGTCTTCCCTCTAGCCTTTTAGATGTTCTTTTCCTAGCACGCATTTGCCCTTTGGCCCTTGTTCGTATCTGTCATTGACTTTGGGACCCTTTTCCCATCATAGAGCAGGTTCTTTTTGCAATGGGATGGGGGCCCCTTTGCCCTCTATAACCTCATATGACATTCAAAGCCCATGATATAGCAAAACACAGGGGAGTTGCTTTGCTGTGACTGACTCTGCCAACCCAGGGACCCTCCAGGAGAATTCAACAGAGCAGGAGC
Source organism: Homo sapiens (assembly GCF_000001405.40). Classification (NCBI taxonomy): domain Eukaryota; kingdom Metazoa; phylum Chordata; class Mammalia; order Primates; family Hominidae; genus Homo; species Homo sapiens. The sequence goes on along the minus strand of NC_000003.12, from coordinate 3,613,867 downwards.
TACATAGGGAAGCCAACCTGCAAGTTATTAATATAAAGCCCTTACCACTCTTTCCGTCTAAATCTGTGCCTTATTTTCAGAACCTTGTCACTTTTTATTCCAGCCCCTTCTTCTGGGTTTTGTATCTGTGAATTTGCATTCCAGGCAAATGTTCCATTTATGGTAAAAAAAAAAAAAAAAAAAAAAAAAAAAAAAAAAAAAAAAAGCGCAGACAGCATGAGTTAGCACTACCATCCCTTCTTCATGACACAGAGATGGCAGTTCTGTATTGGGCTTCTCTCTTTGGCTTTGTCCAAGACTCCTTCTCTCACTGCTGCCACCAATGGTTATCTATACTTTCCTTAATGAATTAGGGCTCTTGGGACCTCAAGAGAGATGAAATCGCAATGCTGCGTATTTAGCAGGAGCACTAGTAAGAGTTGTGGTGTCAGGAGCTGCCCAATAAGAATTCTTTGTTGGACCCATCCTAAATAACCTGGGAGGACCTGCAGGTGATAAATAGGTCCAGGCTTTTGGGATGATAGTGCACTTAAGATGCCCCTGGTCTTTAGCTCAGGGACAAGTTCACAGACACTGTAACACTTTATGGCCTTAAGCTCTTTGCAAAACTCCGTGCATTTCTATGTCGAGTTTTTTAGTGGCCCGTCATTTTTCTCCTCCTTATCCTAATTTTTATCATCAGAATTTGATTTCTTGGAGGCTTCTCTTATGCCTGTGAGTTATTGGAAACCTTCTCCACTGTGTCCTTTCTATGTCTGTCCTTCTGTTCTCTGTGGGATCCACTTTACAGTGTCTTCTATGCATTGTTTTCCTCTGCCCTCTGCATCCTCACCAACCTAAAAATTGTCCACTCCGTCTACTGTCCACTAGTCATGGTGGGGGTTGACCTGGAAAAAAGCCTGCAGTGGGATCGGTAGCTGCGTCCCCTGTCCTCTTTGGCAGGTCATTTCCTTTCTCTAAACTTTTTTTCTCTTTTGTAGAATAAGAGGATTGAACTAGATAATCTCTACTTTTCTGTCCCATGCTATAGTTTTGTGATTCTAATTGATTCATAAGTAATAATATCTGAAATTTATTGAATGCTTAATGAATGCCACTCATGGGGCTACATACCTTTTTAATAAGTAAATGAAATATATACAAACTGCATAACGTCTTCTAGGATTATGATAATAATAACGGCAATAGTAGCAGACATTTCTTGGCTGCTTCCCATGTGTCAGACACAATGTTAAACCCTGTGTATTATTTTGTTTAAATACAATAATTCTTTATGGGCTTTATTATTGCACTCATTTTACAGATAAAGAAATGGAAACTCAGAGAGGTTGAAATAGTTCATTCAAGGTCACCCAGCCTGCAAGTGAGGATGTGGGAATTTGAATTACAGGTAATTTTACTTCAGAAGCTGAGATCTTCTCTGAGTTACATTTAACTTCTAGTAGATATTCCCATAATGAGTGACAATGTTGGCCTTTCATTACTATGACTAAATATATTTCAGGAACATGTATCAGGAGGACCTTGCTGCAGGGAAGACCCTGCTGCATGTTTGTAAACTATATTAATATTAATAATTCTGCAAGGTAAGACTAAGTCACAGTGAGGAAATTCAGTTCTGAGCAAAGAAAAAGCAAACCTAGGAGGAGGCCTCCCAGAAGCTTATGGAGACAAGGAGGCAATAATTGAAATTAAGAAGATTATAGGCCCTGTGGGTGCTGGTGACCCTGAGCCACTCAGCAGGGAGCCACGAGGGCTGACATTTCCATGGTCCGTGAAATCATATGACAATTAGTGAATTTACCCGGTCCTTTGACTTGGGAGGAGGTAATGTGGCCCAAAGTCAGTTTACTCTGAGATTCAATGTAATTAGAACACCTCAGAATCCAATTTTTGATTAAAAATTGTCAAAATAAAATATTCCTGAGTCAGGCATGGAAATTAGAGAGGCAGTTACTTAAGTCAACTCAGTAAACTTTTGAGCACCATCCATTCCCAGGTTGTTTAGGAGCTCATGCTGTCAGGCTGAGTAATTTGGATTGAATCCTTTCACTCACTGACTATATTTATCAAAATCTTAATGTGTCACATCTGTTACCTTGATATTTCCAACTCAGAATATGTACACAAGAAGTGAATCACTACAGGAGTTTTGTAGTGGGGACTAAGAAAAAGTAGACAAGATGCTTTCGAATTTAAGATGCATGAATTTCACAGAAAACAGTAGATTAAAAATGCAACTTAATTCTATGAGGGCACCTTCACAAGCTACTTCTCCAGCTACAGACAGCACATCTGCTGATGGCCTGGGCATCTCCCCATCTTCTGCCACAAACAAAACCCCTTTATTATAGATTAGGTCGCAGTGTCTTGTTGTTTGCAGAACATTCTAAAAGCAATACTTCGCCTGAGCGCATTCGTCCCCGAATGCACCCCTCAGTTGCTTGTCTAACACTTTTTTACCAAAGATATCATCAGTGGAGATACTGAGTTATTGTATATTCAACTTTGCAGTTTGAAATTTAGCTCATCCTTTTGGTTTCTGCTCTGGTTTCTCCTCTGCAAGAGATGAATTCCTGACCACCCTCTTTAATGTGGACCTCTCCTCCAATCTACTTCTGCTTTGTCGCTGCGTTTTATTTCCTTTTTGACTGTGTTTGAATTTTTTTTTTTTTTTTACTTCTTTGATCACTTGGATATTTTTCTGCCACACCCTGTGTTCTGTAAACTCTCAGAGGGCAGCAACCTCATCTGCCTCTTCAACTACTGTTTTCCTGGAACCTAGCATAGTGCCTGAAACAGTAAGTAAATATTTGTCGAATCAATGAATTAGTGGAGATGCATTCGATCATAAGTCACATTTTTACTGTGCCAAGTGTTAAGGACACCAAGTTTCTGAAACACATTCCTAGTTCACAAGGGCCTAACAGTCTATCTGGGCAATGACACACAACCTAAGTTACACTGGGTTGATTTGTATTAGTATTTAAGTGCTATATGAATATTACATTGAATAAACACTCCAATCATTGATTCATTCAGCCAACATCTGTTGACATCTACAGTGTGCCAGGCATTTTGTTTGATGCTGTTATGCAAAGATGAGTAAGTCATAGTTTCTGCCTTTGGAGAGGTGAGAGTCTAGGGGGAGAGAGTGGCATGTAATGAAATGATTTCTCTGGCAGCATTTGTTTAGTCTGTTCAATGTATAAAAATTGAGAGTCAACTATGTGCTTGGTGGAAGATGCATTTGAGGGGATCTAATAGGGACAAGGAAACCACCAAGTGAGTACTGCAATAACCCACACCAGACATAATGGACTGAATGAAGGTGGCTATAATAAGGACAGACAGGAGAGGAAGGAGACATAAATATGAAGGAAGCAAAATTAATCTGAGTTGATTAGATTTGGAGATGGAGGGGGAGGAGAGACTAGATTAAGTTACCTAAGGCACATCTTCATGGAAGAGAAAGGACGTAAATTACTCCTTGAAGGCAGGATTGGATTTGAACCATGGTAAACATTCTAGGTTTGTGGCCTGGCATGCTTCTGTCATGTTTAGATATAGAGAGTAGTTTGTTTAACTGGAATGAAGAGTTCATTTGGGGGACTGATGACAGATAATAGTAGAGATGGTAGGGTGGTATATTTATGACTTTGGGCTTGGAATCAGGATGCTAGGGTACAAGTCTCAACATCACCCTATCTTATGATCTTGGGCAAATCATTATAACTCTCTAAACTTTAGTATCTTCTTCAGTAAAATAGAAATAATAATAGCATCTGTCTCACAGGGAAGGCTGGATACATATCACTATAGGGTCATGACCAGCATCTCTTCTAATTATGGGGCAATGCTAAGGAACTGTTGAATGGTTTAGCTATGAACCTGGCACTGGTAGGCAGGATTTGGGTGGCAGAGTCCAGGGGCAGGGAGCCCATGACTGGATATGGGCATGGAAAGACAAAGGCAGCCAAAAGGGATGAATCCCTTATAACTAGGTAGGCACTGGATATGTGAAGTGAGGTCAACAATGCCTTCAGAATTTCCAGCTAGTGATGGAGTTTTGCATTGGTTATCAGGAAGACTGGACATTAATGCAATAACCACAGAAGGGCAAGTGAGGTCAGAAATCTATACCGGGATCCCTGGGAAAATTTTTAAATCATCACCTAGAAGAAGAAGGTGTTAGAGTTGATGTTGAGTGGATTTCATTGGGTTTCTGTTCTTTCTCAGTCTTGTGCTTTTATCTTCTGATATGCCTCCCTTGCTTTATTTAAAAATATATATTATTGTGGGAGGGTAAAATACACACAGCATAAAATTCACCATTTTAATCATCTTAAAGTATGCAATTCAGTGACATCCAGAACATTCATAAGGTTGGGCTCTCATTTTTGCTATCTAGTTTCAGAATATTTTCAATGTCCCAAAAGGAAACCCTGTGCCCATTAAACAAGCTCTCCCCATTCCCCCTTCTCCTAGTCTCTGGCAGCCATTAATCTGCTTTCTGTTTCTATGGATTTGCCATTCTAGATATTTCATGTAAATGGAATCATACATTTACATGATACATTTATGACTGACTTCTTTTACTTAGCATAACGTTTTGAAGGTTTATACATGTTGTAGCGTGTATCAGCACTTCATTCCTTTTTACAACTGAATACTATTCCATTTTATGGATATACCACATTGTGTTTATCCTTTCAGTTGTTAGTGGACAACATTTGGGTTATTTCCATCTTTTGACTATTGTGAATAATGGTGCTATGATATTTGTGTACAAGTATTTGTTCGAATATCTGTTTCCAATTCTTTTGGGAGTTGAATTACAGGGTCATTAGGTAATTTATGTTTAACTTATTGAGCAACTGACAAGCTATTTTCTACAGTGGCTGCACCATTTTATATTCCCATCACCTTGTTCTACATTTAGTGGATGAAGTGTTCAAAAAGATGAGCATAGTCCATGTAGCCAAGTCTGATTGCAGTGGCGGTTCATGTCAATAGTCTGTCATTCTCCCTCAACCCCTAAAAGGCACTGAGTGGAGAAATAAGAGAGCAGCAATAATAACAAAAGAAAAAACCCTCTCAAATCAAGAGCTAGTTAAATTTAGAAAAAATATTTTTTAAATGGTACCAAATTATATACAAAAAATAGACTATTAACAATACATAAAATAATTGTGTCTGTTCTTGGTTAGTGGCATTATAGACAATTTTTTTTTCTTATCTTCTTCCAAATTCTTTAAAGCAAACATGTTGCACTTTGTAACAGAAACTCCATAGATGTTGTAGAACCGCAGTCCCCAGATATTTCGGCAGCAGGGACCAGTTTCGTGAAAGACAATTTTTCCACAGACCTGGGGAGGGGGATGGTTTCAGGATGCTTCAAGTGCATTACATTTATTGTGCACTTTATTTTTATTATTGTTATATTGTAATATTTAATGAAATGATTATACAACTCACCATAATGTAGAATCAGTGGGAGCCCTGAGCTTGTTTTCCTCCAGCTAGATGGACTCGTCTGGTGGTGATGGGAGACAGTGACAGATCATCAAGCATTAGATTCTCATAAGAAGCATGCAACCTAGACCCCTCGCACGTGCAGTTTACAATACACTTTGCACTCTTATGAATGTCTAATGCTGCTGCTGTTCTGACAGGAGGTGGAGCTCAGGTGGTAATGTGAGAGATTGGGAGTGGCCGTAAATACAGATGAAGCTTTGCTTGTTCAGTGCTCACCTCCTGCTATGTGGCCTGGTTTCTAACAGGCCACAGACCAGTACTGGTCCGTGGCCCAGGAACTGGGGACCCCTGTTGTAGAAAATATCAATATACATTTTTTGTTTTTGCTTCTTAAAGCTTACAGTTTTTTTAAAGTGCTACCTTTATTTTCTCTTTGAAGATTAATACATTCAAATTACACAGTTAATGTTATTGTAGAGTCCAATGTGAAATCTGTGCATTTAATATGGATATGGAAAGTATAGAATTCCAGTGGCTGATTTTATCCAGCTGGGAATATGTTCCCTTCAAGCTTGGGAGGGGTCACCCATCAAACAGAATTGAACAGAAAAACTAAGCATCCATCTTAAAAAGAAGACAAGGACTCACTAGCACTGCAACTCAGCTTCTGTGAGACTTCAGCTTTGGCCTTATCATCCCTCATTTCCCATTAAATAATTTCCTGTATTTCATAGCAATCCCAGGCTGTCTGCCTTTTGACCTTGGCTTCCTGAGGCTGCTGAAGTTGTGTGAAGATTCTGTTCATTTTGGGTCTCTAGTGAATTAGGACGTGATTCTATTCAGTTCATGCAACAAATGCCCATTGAGTGTTTCTGACTTTTTGGGCACTGTTGCAGGCACAGCAGGACTTATATTCATAACATTTAATAAGTGGTAAGGTCTGGGTACCAACCACCCTGGTACTAGAAGGTTGTCACAGAGGGTTTCCAGTGTGCTAGCCATTATTACCTTTAGTTGCTAGATCATAAGGATAACTGGAATATTCCAGAAGGTTAGGTAGCAGGGGCACTGAGGAGAAGTCCCAGGGTTACTGAAGCAATGATTTACCAATCGATACAAAATTCTTTCAATATCATATCATCCCATATGGCCCTATCAGGCCAACTAGTTGAAAACTTTTGGATAACTTGCTGCTGCCTGCCTAGCATTACCTTAACTCAACAATTCTTCTCTCCAGAGGCCCCTTAAAATTCTTTCTCTGATCAACAGGGTCCTACACAGTACACTCTTTGCTCTCTGCTTTCCAGCCACACTGGGTTTCTCTTATGTCCTGAATTTGCCAATTTTCCTCCCTCTAAAGGGCAGTAGTGCCTCTTGTACTTACATTCTGAATGCTCTTGGTTGACTCCTATTCTTTCTTCAGATCTCAGCTCAATAGTGGCTTCCTCAGGGAAGCCTTCCCAGACCTATCACTGAGGCAGGTTTCTTGGCTACATACTTCCCTAGAACCTTTTTCCTTCAACCGTCTTTCTACATTTTCAGTTTTGCATTCATGAGTGTGAATATTACAGAATTGAAAGGTCTGTGTCTGTTTTGCTCACCCCTGCGTCCTCTTCCACCTGGCACAGAGCATGGCCTGATGCTGGGAAATGAAAAAAAGAAAGAAAAAAAAATAAACAAGGATGGAAGGTGAAATGGGGAGTGTGGAAGGATGCTCTTCCTTCCCTTGCTGTAATCAGTCTTCCTCCTGCATCTGAGCAGGAACGTGGGGAAAACTGGGTAGGGGACTTGTCGGGTGGCATTTTGCAGTGTCATTTTATCTTCTGAGCGTAATTGCAAGAAAAGTGAATCCAACTTTAGCTGAAACATTCCAAAACAGTTTCTCTAGCCAAATGATGACTGATTTCTCAAATTGGCAACATTATCACAAACATGAAAAGGGGCTGCCCAGAACATAAGCACCTGTGCCTGCCTGTGCTCTGAAGAATTTGGTGAACAGATAAAGCGCCAAGATTGAGCAGAGTGTTTGGGGTGTGGGAGTGCATGTGAAGGTGATGTGAAGGTAATCAACAAGACATTGAGACTTGAGGACTACAATTTGTGGCTGATGAGTACGGGCTTGGCCTTCCACAATAATGAGGTTTCCTGGTAATTGTTTAATTTTATACTTGGTTTGGATACACAAACACACACACACACACACACACGCATGAATTTATGCTTTGGTGTCTCAAAATGGGCAATGAGAGGCCATAGGACTGTGTTCATGCTTATTTCTTTTTCCGTCTGTTAGCTTAGGATATTAATGTTTCTGTGGGAATTGTTACCGTGGTTGTTCCATGAGCATTTGCAAATTTGTACAGATATTCCTCCTTGATATTTCTTTAGTCTCTAACATTAGCGTCAGCACAAACAGTTGGAATAGTCAATATTACCCATCTGAGTGGAACAGTTGGGATGATATATGAACGTCTCTGGAGATTTTATTTAATGCATTACATTTTCAGTCCTAGAGGATATTTCAGAAAGGCATGGAGTGTATGGAGAGACATCTAAATGTAAAGAAGACCAAGTGTGAGTCACCTTGATTGAAATATGAATTCTGTTTGGGAGAAGGAGTATCTTATAGAGAAGGCACCTATAGATATAACCTTCTAGCTGACTTTGACCACTTTGAGAAAGACTGTGCTGAAATCTATGCTTGGAAATTTCTTCATCAGGACTTGAAAGCAATTGCTTAAGAAAGCCATGTTATCCCTCATGCTTCAGTTGGTTCTCAGAAAAAAAAAATTGAGAATGAAAATATACATAATGAATAGATTAACTGCTTAGCAATTGGGTTACATTGCCACGCTAACGCAGTGGGGCCCAACTAATCTCTTAGGAGGCAAGTTTCTTAAATACAGTGTTAGACCAACTGGAAAATTAACTAGGGTGTTGTCTGGAAAGATCTCATTTTCATCCTAAAACTTGCCAAGTAGAAATGAAAGAGGTGGCCAACAACTCATTTTTCAAAGCGTGTCAGCTGTTGCTGTACTTTTTCATGTAAATTATCTTTCCCAGGGAATGAAGAATTGAAAGGGTTTCTTAGGCATTAAAAACAAAACAGAACAAAACAAAAAATGCTGAGACATTAAACAAGACAGTGGTTAGCTCAAATGACAACTTCTCTAAATAACCTACCTTAATCCTTCTGGCCAAAATAATTCTCTCATTTAGTTTTCTTAACAGTTAGTTTTCTCTCTCTCCAATCTAATTCAAACTGATTTAGTTAAAAACAAAAGTCGGGGGTAGAGGTATTGCCACATACAACTGAAAATCTTAGGAGTGATGGTTCAGGCACAGTTGGAGTCAGGGGATCAAAAGATATCAGCATTATTTATTCAGTTTTATGTGCTCAATCTCTCACTGTTTTCCTCTGAACTGATACATTCTCAAGGTTTCCTCTCGTTGTAACACGATAGCTATCAGAAGCTATAGGCTTATGTTTTAGCCTCTCAACAACTTCCTTAGAAAGAGACTTTTCTTTCCTAATAACTCCAACAAAACTCCTAGAATTTAATTCCATCAGCTTGACTTGGGTCACATGCCTATTGCTGAACTAATGACCATGGCCAAAATGAATAGAATGCTGTGATTGTGGAGAGCTGAACCATACTCCACTCTTGGGATCTGGGAGATAGAGTCAACAATCCTTGGACCAAAAGCAGAGGAGGTATTGTTCCCTAAGGGAGAGTTAAGGTGCTCTTTTCAGAAGTAGAAATGGACACTAAACAGATGAGAGAGAGAGCAAGAGTATGTGTATGTGTGTGTGTGTATGTATATGTGTGTGTGTGTGTGTGTGAGAGAGAGAGAGAGAGAGAGAGAGAGAGAGAGAGGCGCTGTGATAGACTGCATTCCTGAGCCCTTCCTGTATCCATTAACTTTTCCATGAGACTGCAGCTCCTCCTATCAGAAGGTGGAGGATATTGCCCCACTCCTTGATTCTGAATTATTCGGTCATATGACTTGCTCTGGCCAATGAGATTTAGCAGACAGAATGCAAGCTGAGACTTGGAAAAGCACTTACGTGATTGGGCTCCCTCTTGCACCTGTGCTACCACTATGAGTAGTATGTACCTGGACTATGTCACTGGTCCCAGAGGAGAAAGAGAGACATGTGGAGGTAAGGTGTTCTCAGTCAAGCTCCACTCAGAGTAGAGGTCCCAGTTGGCTAAGACACATGAATGGATCCAGTCAAGATCAGTTGACTCATTTGTCACCCATGAAACATAGTAATTGATAGCCATTATTTAAAGTCACAGTGCTTTAGGGGAGTTTGTTAGGTAGTTATAGCTAACTGATAGATTTCTTGCCTCTGTAATATCTCCTATAGGGTTGATAATCAACAAGTATATACTAATTCTGATGTACCAGTGACTGTAAAATTGAATCAATTAGTAAATAGTCTCTTTCCTAAACACCCTGAGTGACCCAGAACCCTGGCCCCACTCCCAGCCCCATTGAATCTCCCTATGATCCAACAACTGAAAGAGTAATGCCTGGAATGCCAGGGGTCCTCCAACACCCTAATGCAGTTCTATAGAGAAATCCATTCTGATTGGTCAGTGCCCATGCCTTACATTTGTTAAAAATTCTGAATATAATTTCTGGTCATTCATGGACCTGACTCGTCACTCCATTAGGTTCTTAGCTTCCTGAGGTTAGTCTCAACATCTGGATCATCCTGAACACTTTTGGGCCATGCACCATGAATATTTGTTGAATGAATCCTGGATAGAAATATGTACTGAAGGAAATAATATGGTCTAGTGCGGTCATCAAAAAAGTTGAAGTCATTTGCGGCATGAGTTTAAGTGTCCAGGGAGTTAATTGGCAATGACTCATTGAATGTCAGAGGGGAGAGAATCCCTTCAGGGCATTTACGTATGTTCTCTTTTAGAATAAAAATGTTAGGGCTTATTTGAATTTTATTTATCAATACACCAAAAACTCAGTCATGCTTTTATTTTTTATTTATTTATTTTTTATTTTATTTTATTTTTGAGACAGGTTCTCACTCTGTCGCCCAGGCTGGAGTGCAGTGGTGTAGTCATAGCTCACTGCAGCCTCAACCTCTCAGGCTCAAGGGACCCTCCCACCTCAGCCGCCTGAGTAGTGGGACTACCGGCATATGCCATCACACCTGGCTAATTTTTTTTTTTTTTTTTTTTGGTAAAAAGGGGACTTTGCAATTTTTCCCAGGCTGGTCTCGAACTCCTGGTCTCAAGCAACCTGCCTACCTTGGCCTCCCGAAGTTCTGGGACTACAGACGTGAGCCACCACGCCTGGCCTCAGTCATGTCTTAAACAGAATTACCATCTTTCCCCTCTCTTTTGGCCTCCATCAAATTAATTGCCATAACTCTTCATTCCATGTTACCAAATATCTCCCAATTATTCATGCTCAAACACTTGAAATCTGTCTTCATGCACTGTGCTAGGAGTTCTGTCCTCACTGACCCGGGAGCACAGCTTCTGCCCAGAAGCAGCGACAAGTCTACTTTGGAGACCATTTTGACTTTGATTTCTTTCCTGCCCTGTTGTCTAATCTGCTACCAGACAGCCGACCTGCCACTCCTTCCTCCACAGGGTCTCAAATCTGTTCCTTCCTTTACATTCTTAATGCCCCCCCATTTGAGAGAGGCTGTGGTCACAGTGTAAACTGACTTGCATTGGATCCTTTGTGTTAAGGCAGGCTCCCCTAAACTTCTGCAGGAGCCACTTGGTTTCCTCTTCAGACTTCCACAGCTTGTAGATTCCCAGTCAGGAGGGTAGAAGGAGGTAGAGATTAATTCTGAAAACAAAATCCCCAAATGGGAGTACTGTATGGGTTGATTACTCCAACTTCTCCCAAGCATGGATGTCCAGGAGGGCTCTGGGCTTGCTCCAAGTTGTTTGAGATAACGAGATTTCTCTTCCCCAGCACCACACTTCTAGTGTTCCCACCAACCTCCTCTGCTACCATCTCAGAACTGGCCTCTCCTTTCTTGTTCTTACAAATGAAGCTTCTTGGCAAGAGTCACAGAGTACTTGTTGAAATTACGCACCTGCCACCCATTCTTTGGGCATGTGGCTTAGCTTATCTGAGATGTGGTTTATTTATCTTTAAAATGGGGGTAGGAGGGTGTAATAGTGAAGTTTAAATGACATAATTTATGTAATACACCTGGTATAGTGTTCGCATATAACAGGTTCTCTACTAAACTATTATCGTTATCCTTATCCCTACCATCTCTCCTTTTTATTAAGGCTTTCTATTTTGGCTAGAGAAAGTTGATTCAGTTTCTCTTTACTCTGGCCGAATATAGACTTAAATTTTTTTTTAACAGTAACAGTCTCCACACTTCTGTTAAAATATGCAATCCAAACCTGGCATTTTCTTAAATGTAATTTTCAATGTTACTCTGCCCGAGTGGTGGGAATGTTAGTTTGGGGCAGAGAACCTCAGCATCACTCTACAAATCACACTGCAGGCACTTCTTGCTGGTTGTGCATGCCTTGCCTCTAGTCGTACAAACCAGCTCTTGGACAATACTGTTATTCTTGGCCCAAACAGAAAACATTGGCACAAAAGAGTTGGAAGGAACCTGGAAGGTCATCTAGATTCTAGTCCATCACCCTACTGATGTTTGATTTTCTCTTAGATCCCCCAGTGCAAAAATTTGTCTTGCTCTTCTTGAGCACGGTGTTTTGAAGCATAAAGTCCATCCTTTGTCAGCTTTGACAGCTGTGAGCCATTCTTCTGTACTGAGAGTCCAAATCGACCCTCCTTTAACTTCCCTTCTTCTGCAAAGAACTCTTTCAATATAGATTGCAGAACTAGTGCGAGAACAGCTTTTCAACTACAATGTGGTGCTCCCATTCAAACCTTAGTTCTGAGATCAAATACACGGGAAAAGAACGGGCTTAACTATCATCAGTTATTCTAACGTGAACAATGATTTAGATGTTGGAAAATTATCAAATGAAAATTACAGCCAGGAAAAAAAAATCTCTAAATTGCTATCCACACTGAAATTCATGACTTTGGGATAGATATTGAGCTCAAATAGTCCCCAGTAGGAATATTTTCTGCTGCTTCCATTTTCCAAAGTTTCTTTTCTTCTTTTGCAGCAACATGACACAGCTCATCCTTGGCTTCCTCCAGGGAATGTGGCAAGCAGTGTTCATGTGGATGTGTCTGTCCTTGACACCAGGCTTCCAGAAAGTGTGAATGCAGCCATTGTTCTGAACAACACAGAATTCCTTGGAGTGTCTGGGAGGGGCAGGTAGAGAATTGTTGTAGAATTTGTTCATGTGGGAGTTGGGAGGCTGGAGAACTTTGAGCAGGGAGAGTTAAAACTGAGGTTAAAGTGAAGAGCCCTTTCTGAATATCGCATGGGAGCCCTGCTGATCTCAGTGGTGGCCAGATCATCTCAAACTAAGCCACGCCTCACCTTTGACTCTCTGTGTCCACAAGGCTGGTGTCTTGAGCCAAAAAGCCTAGTTGGTCTGAAATTTGGTAAACATGAGGCCATCCTTATCCATCTTTAGCAGTTCATGCTGGGTCCATCTGTGCCTTTTAACAGCACGCAGTTTACAGTGGAAAAGATGGATGTGTCTTAGTCCTAGAGGAACTTAGCTCTTTCTTTTTATGGGGTTTGTGTTTGATTTTCCTGTTGTTTTGTTTGTGCTTTTGATTTGTTTCCACCAGGTCAGCCTTAGGCCAAATTAGAAAGCTCGGGAGTAATGATACCTTACTTATACGTTGTACTTCATAAATGTTACAGTGTTTCTGCCCTTATGACTTGATTTTACTGGGCATTCACAAACCAAGGAGGCCAAGGCGGGTGCTACCTCGCTGCAGATTGTAGAAGAGCTGGCTGTTGCCCAGAGAGGCTAAGCAGTCGACCAAATAACACAAAGTAGATTAAGTGGAAGAGTGAGCACTAGAACCCAGGGATTCTGTCTTCTCATCCTGGGCTCTTTCCCCTTGGCTCCATCCTCAAACACTGCCCCCTTTTTGTTTCTAGTCCCAAGCATTCCCAACACACCCCAACCCCCGTTGTGCAGAGCCCCTGTCACTGAGGTCAGTCCGAACTACCAAGGCAAGCAGGTTCTGGATCTTTCCCTGAGCTTTTTCTCTATCACAAGTTCATACCAATTTAGAATTTCTTTAAGGCCTATTCTCTGCTATTAAATGATTTCAAAATATATAGGTAGATATATAAACAAATGTTTCTAGAAATAGGTCATGGGCTAATGAGTAAAATAGGCTACAGATGCAAATGCCTTAGGGACCAGGCAGGAAGTGCTAATGAGTGAGATAGGCTCGGTGACAACACTAGGAAGCGGTGAGAACTATGGCAAAATAGGGAGCTGTGCCTGGTCAAATGGAGTAGCCACTACTCAGCTTTGGCTCCTTGTGTCATGGGAGGAGGCAGAACTGAAGTTTTCAGATATTTCCATATGTTCTTTCCTCCAGGAAAACTGAAAGGCTGGACTTTAGTGTGTTCTTTTCCTATGCTGTTGACCCTTGAAAAACATGGGTTTCAACTGCATGCGTCCATTTATATGTGGATTTTTTTTCAATAAATACATTGGGAAAGTTTTTGGAGATTTGCAACAATTTGAAAAACCTCGCCCAGATGAACTGCATAGTCTAGAAATATGGAAAAAGTTAGGGAAATGTTAGGTATGTCATGAATGGATAAAATATATGTATGTACTAGTATGTTTTATCATTTAATACCATAAAATATGCACAAATCTATTATAAAACTTAAAATTTATCAAAACGTATTCGCACAAACACAGATCATGTGTAGTGCCATTTTCAGTTGAAAGAAATATAAACATATTAAAGATGCAAAGATGCAGTATTAAATTACAAGGCATAAAGTTAACTGTAGTACACACTCTACTACTGTCATAATTTTGTAGCCACTCCTGTTGCTATAGTGGTGAGCCATGTGATGCAGATCATCTCAATGTGAGCAGTCTCTCTCTCCAGTACATTTCATATCGCAGTAAAAAATGATCTCCCTTGGTTATCCCATATCTTTCATCGTGTTTAGTGCAAACCATAAGCCTTGAATAACACAATGGGATTCACACAAAAGGCCACTAGTGATACTGGAAACAGATGCAAGAGGCAGAGAAAAGTCATGACATTATGAGAAAATGTTTAATTGCTTGAAATGTACAATAGATTGAGGTTTGCAGCTGTGGCTGTCCACCATTTCAGACAGACAATTCATCTTGTAAACAGATGATATAAACTCCTGGGATTAACAAATACAGTACAGTAGTGTAAATGTATTTTCTCTTCCTTATGATTTCTTAATCACATTTTCTTTTCTATAGCTAACTTTATTGTAAGAATACAGTATGTAATACATAAAACATACAAAATAAGTGTTAACTGACTGTTTATGTTATTGGAAAGGCCTCTGGTCAACACTGGCTATTTGTAGTTAAGTTTTGAGAGAGTCAAAAGTAATAAGCGAATTTCAACTGCACAGGGCTCAAAGCCCCTAACCCCCACATTATTCAAGGGTCAACTGTATTTTAAAACATTGGGTAGACTTAACAAAAGCCCTGTGTGTGATTTGGCATGTCGCTGGCTGGTTTGTGTCCTCTGACCTGGGGAGACAGGAGAGGAAGGCCCTTTGCGCTTGGCATCCCTCAGGTACGAGTAGAGTAACAGCTAGCCTGGACACCATAGTTTGAGAGGTATGTAGACCAACTGGAACAACTTGGAGACAAGGGACCATGGTGTCGAGGAGACTCAGACACTTATGAGGAAAGGTGATGGAACTGGAGACATTTACTCTGAATGAGAGAATACTTGATGAGCTGTTATAGGGAAGATGCTAGAAAATTATTCTGCGCAGTCCGTAGGGTCCTTTCTCTTGTTATATCACCCACTACATTTTGGAAGCCAGGCTTGTCCCTTCCTTCTGTCCATCCTCCCCACCCCCCAACCCCCATTTTAAAAAAATTGTACTTTATGCACTCAGGACACATGGATTTAATTTTTTAAAGGTTAATTTCCTAGGGCGGTGTACGTAAAGATTATTTATAAAGGGCCAGATAGTAAATGTTTTAGGTCTCTGTTGCTCAATCGTTTTTTGTTGTTGTTATCTTAGTTTTTGTTTTTACAACTCTTTACTAATGTGAAAACCACTGTTAGCTTCTGGGCCTTATAAAAACAGATCCCAAGCCAGCTTTTATAAGTTGCTGACCCCTGCCCTAGACTGAGACCGGCTAAGTAGTTTAACAAATCAATTGGAGCATTTAAAAAATTCTCCTAAAACAGCAATACTATGTCCCACATAGTATCAATGTTCTACAAATATCAATAGGTGTTATAAATAAGAAAATTTTGGGGTCAAATACTTTTGCGAAACATCAGCTTATGCAAAGTTAAAAATTGTTTTCCCCTCAGAACTTTTAATATGCTAATCTGAATTAGGAATTTCTAAGAAAGACCGTTTCCAAAACTGACCATGGGGCTTTCTTCTGAGGAGCATGTGTATATATACACACACATATATATATACACACACACACATACACACACACACACACACACACACACACACACACACACACACATATATATATTTGTGGTTTTTTTTTGATTCGGAGTCTCGCTGTCTCCCAGGCTGGAGGGCGGTGGCGCCATCTCGGCTCACTGCAAGCTCCGCCTCCCGGGTTCCCGCCATTCTCCTGCCTCAGCCTCCCGAGTAGCTGGTACTACAGGCGCCCGCCACCACGCCCGGCTAATTTTTGTATTTTTAGTAGAGACGGGGTTTCACCGTGTTAGCCAGGATGGTCTCGATCTCCTGACCTTGTGATCCGCCCGCCTCGGCCTCCCAAAGTGCTGGGATTACAGGCGTGAGCCACCGTGCCCGGCCTAAGGAGCATATTAATATTTCTCTGGATATTTGCTTGCGAAATGCTGTCCAAAGTGAAACTATAGTTGAAAACCAAGCCAAAATAAAACAACAACAAAACCTGTTTCGGTTCCTAATTCACCTTTATCCAAGCCACTGTACCGGTGCTAAGTATGGAAAATATGTCTGTTTAGAACCTTTCACATTCTAGAAGGCCAGAGAGGTGCAATTAATATTCTTTGGAGGGAAAGGGCAGCCAGCTGAGTGGGAAGGAAGTGGGGAGATGTTTGGCTTACTTTCCACCTAAGGATGTTTTCTATGAAGTGAATTCCTAAATGCTTTAAATTACTCTGTTACTCCCCATTAATCTATGAAGCCCACACAACAACCAATGGTCAATTACTTGACCATTTTTATTAAAAACAGTTACCTGAAACTTTGTCTGTTTGCTACTAAATGTTCATTTCCTTGAAGAAAAATATCGACTTAAAATGTATAGGCTTGGTTCTGAGCTTTGCAAGGCAAAAGAAGACAAAACCTTGCCCCCATTTAAAAAATCGATACATAATAATTGTACGTATTTATGGGACACTTGATATTTTGATACACGCACACAATGTGTAGTGATAAAATCAGAGTATTTAGGATACCCATCACCTCAAACATGTATCATTTTTTCGTGTTGAGAACACTTCAGATCTTTTCTAGCTATTTTGAAGTAGGCAATGCACTGCTGTTTCCTATAGTCACCCTGCTGTGATGGATACTAGAACTTACACTTTCCATCTAACTGTTTGTTTGTACCTATTGACCACGCTCTCTTCATCCCTCTTCCCAGCCTGAAGAAGAGAAGGAGGCGGCTGCATATGTGATGCGTATGTGATACATATAAGACACTAGACCTGGATCCCACCCTGAAATAAGTCATTCTGCACTTGGGGACAGCTGTGAACAGTTCTGCAGTGTCCTGGCTGCACTTTGAGCCAGGTGCATCTGCGTTGGAGCCCATTTCTACCTCTTGGCCACTGCTTATACCCAGGCAGCTTATTTAAACTTATTTGATTTCCAGTTTACTCATCTCTAAAGTGGAAAGAGTAAAATGCATCCAACAAAGCTTTTTGCAGTGTTTAGAGCGTATGTACGTAAACTATTTTGGCAGTCATAGGTACTCAATAACTAGTAGCTATTACAAGTGTAACAAGGCCATACGAGACACCCAGGGATAGGCAAGTCACCACTGCCCCAGTTTCTCAGGTCAGCTTGGAACTTTCTGCTCCATCACCCCTAACATGAGACTTTCTGCCTTTGCAGCTACAAGACAACTGCTCCCCCTTTAGCCTTGTGGCTATGATCCAAGCAGGACCAAGAGAGATGGTTGAAGGGAAAATCATCCATGCCAGCTTAGGTTGTCTACTTTTTATCAGGAAATCAATAGCTGTCCCTGAAAGCCCACACAGTTTATTCTGTTTATACAGTAGTCCCCCCTTATTCATAGGGGATACATTCCAAGACCCCCAGAGGTTGCCTGAAACCATGGATAGTTCCAAACTCTATGTTTTTTCTTATACATGCATACCTATGATAAAGTTTAGTTTATAAATTAGGCTTAGTAAGAGATTAACAACAATGACTAATAATAAAATAAAACAATTATAACAATATGCGGCATTACTACTCTTACATTTGGGGCCATTTTTAAGTAAAATAAGAGTTCGTTAAAGGCAAGCACTGTGATACCACGCCAGTGGATCTGATCATCTATATGGCTCCTAAGTGATTAACAGGCGGGTGACATCTACAGCATGGATCTGCTGGACAAAGAAACGATTCACATCCCAGGTGCGATGGAGCAGGACAGTATGAGATTTTGTTATGCTACTCAGAATGGCACACAATCTAAAACTTACGGATTGTATATTTCTTAAATTTTCTATTTAATATTTTAAGACCACCGTTGACCCTAGGTAACTGAAACAGCAAAAAGCAAAACTGCGGATAAGGAGGACTACTGTATATCCTTGGCCGAAACTGGATCAAAAAATAACTCCTAGCAGCAAGGGAGTCTGGAGAGGTGAGTATTTTACAAAGGCAAAGTGCCACCTGAACAAAACTGGGAGTAAAAAAAATGAAATAATGAAAAGGAGAAAATGGATAGGATCACCAGGTAAAAAGCAGAATCATCCCCGCAATCCCCCCACCCCAGGGATTTCACATCCTCCATATTTTGGCCAGCTGGCTCCAGTTTGTACTCCAAGGTACAAAGAAGCTGAACTGGTTCTTCCTGTCTTTGCCACTAGAGAAAATGATGATGACGGCTCTCATGGACTGAGCATTTACTACTCCATGCCAGGTTCTCATTTAAGTACTTTACATGTATCATCTCATTTAATCCCCAAAACAGCATCAGGAGCTAGGTACTATTATTATCCTCCGTTTACAGATGAGGGTCTTGCTGTGCTGAGAGGTTCAGTCACTTGCCCCAAGCCATACAGCTACTAAAAGATGGAATTAAGTTTCCTTCCCAGGTTGTTTGAATCCAAAGCTCAAACTCTTAAGCACTATTCCATATTGCCTCTTTAAAAAATCAGTAATTTGGCTGGGTGCAACAGCACATGCCTGTAATCCCAGAACTTTGGGAGGCCAAGACAGGAGGATTGCTTGAGCCCAGGAGTTCAAGGCTACAGTGAGCTATGACTGCACCACTGCACTCCAGCCTGGGTGACAGAGTGAGACCCTGTCTCTACAAAAAAAAAAAAGAAAGTAATTTATATTAATGGTTAATTGATTTTGACAACAAAGCACAGGAAATTTAACTGGAAAAATGATAGTCTTTTGAATAAATAGAGCTGGGACAATATGGTATACAAATTCATAGCAATGAATTTAGACCTTTACCTCATACCACACCCAAAACTTAAATCAAAATGGATCAGGCCTAAATGTAAGAACTAAAACTAAAACTTTTAGAAGAAAATCTTTGTGACTTGGGTTAGGCAAAGACTACTTAGATACAATATCAAAAATATGATCCATTAAAGAAATTGATAAATCAAATGATTAAAATGAAAAAAAATGTGTGTCAAAGGATACAATTAAAAAGTGAAGACATAGTACAGACTTGAAGAAAATATTTGCGAAGAATATAGATGATAAATAACTTGTACCCATAATATATGAAAACATCTTACAATTCAATAATAATACAAACATGCTGATTAAAAATGAACAAAAGATTTGAATAGACATTTCATTATAGAAAAGATGCAAATGAATTATAGGCATATGAAAAGGTGCTCAACGTCATTATTCACTGGGGAAAAGCAAATTATGACCACAAAGAAATTCTACTGCACGCCCACTGCGATGACTTTAATTAAAAAGACAGAAAATAACATATGTTGGTAAAGATATGGAGAAATTGGATCTCTTCACATTCCTGGAATATAAAGTACTACAGCCACACCAGAAAACAGTTCAACAGTTTCTTAAAAAATTAAACATATGCTTACCATTTGACATGGCAATTCCTTACCTAGATAACTGGAGAATTGAAAAACCTATCTTCATACAAAGGCTTGTACACAAAAATTCATAGCAGCATTATTTATAATAGCCAAGAAGTAAAAACATACCAAATGTCTATTTTCTAAAGAAAATGTGCTTTAGAAAATACGCATCCATACAATAGAATACCATTCAGAATTAAATACTGATAGACGCTACAACATGGATGGACCTCAAAATTGTTAAGCCAAGTGAAAGAAGCCAGATGCAAAACACTACACAGTGTCTACATGATTTTAGGTGAAAAGCCTAGGAAAGGCAAATCTATAAACAGAAAGCAGATGATTGGTTGCCTAGGCAGAGTGGGGATTGACAGCAAATGGCTGCGGAGAATCATTTTGAGGGTGATGAAATGTTCTGAAACTAGATTTTGATGATATTTGCACAACTCTGAAAAATTACCCAAAATCATTAAATCATATACTTGAATTGGTGAATGTTATATTATGTAAATTGTACATTAATAAAGCTATTTTCAAAAAGTGGTCCAAAAAGAAGATGGAGGTTGTAGTCCAGATATCCTGCTGTACTTTGTTTTACTAATGGATTTTGAATGAAACACATACAATTGAGCAATTCCCAACAGGACCTAGGCTGATTTCAGTGCTAAATTTTGTTGTGCTTCTTGTTGTTGTTGAACTGTTATTTTTAAGGTAATAGTTCAAGAGTACACGTGCAGGTTTGTTACATAGGTAAACTTGTGTCTTGGGGGTTTGTTATACAGATTATTTCATTACTCAGGTATTAAGTCTAGTACCTATTATTTATTTCTCATGATTATCTCCCCCTCCTACCCTCCACCCTCCGATAGGCCCCAGTGTGTGTCGTTCACCTTCATGTGTTCATATGTCCTCATCATTTAGCTAATTATTACTGAGAACATGCAGTATTTGGTTTTCTGTTCCTGCATAAATTTGCTAAGGATAGTGGCCTCCAGCTCCATCCATGTCCCTGGAAAGGACATGATCTCATTCTCTTTTATGGCTGTATTCCATGGTGTATATGTACCACATTTTCTTTATCCAGTCTATCGTGTATATGTACCACATTTTCTTGATCCAGTCCATCATTGATGGATGTTTAGGTTGATTCCATGTCTTTGCTATTGTGAATAGTGCTGCAATGAACATACACATGTATGTGTCTTTATAATAGAATGGTTCATATTCCTTTGGGTATATACCCAGTAATGGGATTGCGTGGTCGAATAGTATTTCTGTGTTTAGGTCTTTGAGGTATTGCCACACTGTCTTTCACAATGGTTGAATGAATTTACATTCCCACCAACAGCATAAAAGTATTCCTTTTTCTCTACAACCTCACTGCATCTGTTATTTTTTGACTTTTTAATAATGGCCAATCTGACTGATGTGAGACGGTATCGCATTGTGGTTTTGATTTGCATTTCTCTAGTAATCAGTGATTTTGAGCTTTTTTTCATATAATTGTTGGCTGTATGTATGTCTTCTTTAGAGAAGTGTCTGTTCATGTCCTTTGCCCACTTTTTAATGGGTTTTTTTCTTGTAAATTTGTTTAAGTTCCTTATAGGTACTAGATATTAGACCTTTGCTGGATGCATAGTTTACAGAAATTTTCTCCCATTCTGTAAGTTGTCTGTTTCCTCTGTTGGTAGTTTCTTTTGCTGTGCAGAAGCTCTTTAGTTTAATTAGATCCCATTTGTCAATTTTTGCTTTTGTTGCAATTGCTTTCGGCATCTTCGTCATTAAATCTTTGCCCATTCCTGTGTCCTGAATGGTGCAGCATAGGTTGTCTTCCAGGGTTTTCATAGTTTGGTGTTTTACACTTAAGTCTTCATTCTATCTTGAGTTAATTTTTGCATATGGTGTAAGGAAGGGGTCCAATTTCAGTCTTCTGCATATGGCTAGCCAGTTATTCCAGGACTATTTATTGAATAGGGAATCCTTTCCCCATTGCTTGTTTTGGTTGGGTTTGTTGAAGATCAGATAGTTACAGGTGTGCAGTCTTATTTTTGGTTTTCTTTTATATTCCGTTGGTCTATATGTCTATTTTTGTACCAGTACCATGCTGTTTTGGTTACTCTAGCCCTGCAATATAGTTTGAAGTTGGGTAGTATGCTGCTTACAGCTTTGTTCGTTTTGCCTTGGATTGCCTTGGATATTCAGGCTCTTTTTTTGATTCCATATGAATTTTAAAATAGTTTTTTCTAGTTCTGTGAAGAATCTCAATGGTAGTTTAATAGGAATATCATTGAATCTATAAATCGCTTTAAGCAGTATGGCCATTTTGGCAATATCGATCCTTCCTATCCATGAGCATGGAATGTTTGCCATTTGTTTGTGTCATCTCTGATTTCTTTGAGCAGTGGTTTATAATTCTCCTTGTAGAGATCTTTCACCTCCCTAGTTAGCTGTATTTCTAGGTATTTTATTCTTTTTGTGGCAATTGTGAATGGGAGTTTGTTCCTGATTTGGCTCTTGGCTTGACTGTTGTTGGTGTGTAGGAATGCTAATGACTTTTGCACATTGATTTCATATCCTGAGACTTTGCTGAAGTCGTTTATCAGCTTAAGAAGCTTTGGGCTGAGACTATGGGGTTTTCTTCATACAGGATCATGTCATCTGCAAACAGGGATAGTTTGACTTCCTCTACTCCCATTCAGATGACATTTATTTCTTTCTCTTGCCTGATTGCTCTGGCCAGGACATCCAATACAATGTTGAATAGAAGTGGTGAAAGAGGGGATCCTTGTCTTACACCGGTTTCAAGTGGAATGCTTCCATCAATGATAATTTTGAATTAATATTCTGCATTCACTCATTAAGAGCATTTCCTTGACTAAGATTTACGTTACTCAGGCTTCCGATCATTCAAGAAGTGTATTCCAAATTAATAAGGATTAGCCAGTCTTAAAAGATTACTGCTGAGTTTATCCAACATTTGCATCTTCTACAAATTCTCTGTGCAATGGAATCAGGATTAACATGCAGTAGAGATCCTTGGGTTGGCCCTTGAGCTTGTCAAAGTCCCTTGATGGCTAAACCATCTCTTTTTGGAGTGGTCATTTGTCTCTTTGTCATGAAACCTTGTGTTAAATTTGTTTTGTATAGGACTGGGCAAAATGCTAAAATGTACATTCTAGATGCTGGTCTAATACAATTTAGAAAGATTTTCACAATTGAAACAGATCATGAAACCATCGAAATTTTGTATTTCTGTCAAATTGGAGCTTCACCACCATCTTCTTTGAGTAAAAGCTGGAACATTTACAACTTTGAAGTGTTTGGAAAATATACTTATGATGTTCCACTTGTAAAAACCTTTATAGGCCTAGTTGACATACATTCTCAGCATGTAGCGTTTCTCTAACTGACTTTTTAAAATGAAAATATGACACTATACTTTTAAAAAAATCTAGCCTGTGACACATTTTTTTCTGGACCCCTAATTTGTCTGAAAAGAATGATATTGCTTACAAAAATCACACATTCTGCCCAAATGCCAAAAAAAGATGAGACTTTTTATTTTTAATGGCAGGGGCCCTGCCTACATGGTTCCCAGCCTCTGGAAGCAATTTACATGGCACCAGGCCATTTGTCCTTCACTTCAATTATATGTAAGAGATAAATGCTTTAGAATTTTCAAGAGTTTGAGCAGGTAGCAATTCATGAACTAGGTAGCTCCAGACTGTGACCAGTTTGGGGCTCTGATGAAGGGAATGAAAGGAAGGATTTTTTACAGGGTGACTACAGGAGCAAGGCAAAGAAATTATTTGGTTGGGTAAAGTGGAGCAGTAGCTTTATTTGGATCGTTCTAGTGTAAAGTCCCTCATTAGAGGTTAGTTGGTGGTTTCTGATCGGCTAAGCTTAAGTTTCATTTTGTATTTTATGCTGAATTGGGTTTTGGTTTGCTTATGCAGGAACCCAGAGTGCTGGAGCCACCTCACTCTAATGACCTCCCAACTAATTATTTTAACACAATGTTAGAGCCTCATATGGTGTCAGAGGTAGAAGGGACCTCAGAGGATATATAGCCCAACCCCCTCAGTTTGCAGCTGAAGGAACTAATGCCCAGAGAGGTTTTGTAACTTGTCTCATCCAAAACCACATAGCCAGTTGGTGGTTACTAGCCTAGTGCTTGCTTGACTACAGTGCACTGTGAACATCACAGAACTTCAGAGTCTCAAGGGGCCTTCGAGGCAATGCTATCCAGTAACATGTTTTCACAGACAGGCAGCTGAACACAGAGATGTAAAATGACTTCTGTAAGGAGGTCCCAGAGCTCTTTTCCCCTTCGATAGAATCATTTTTGGATGCTGGTGTTCTGCAACATTCTTAGGAATCAAATTCGTAGGGTACAATTCTATTAGTTGCAAGTTATGTTTAGTATCCTGCAACTGTAGCGGGATACAGACAGGGAAGATGAGTGAAATTGTTTTAGTCTGTGTAAGGGACCATGTAGAATAGATGATGATGCTTGTTGGTAAGAAAAGATTGAGGAGCAAGTACATTTTATTTTTATTGTGAATGTAATTTATAAATTAATTCACCTTAACATGTGTTTCAGGCTTATTTTATAAAGTCCTTTTCTGGTTTTAGAATGCTTTCACATTTATTATTACCTTTTCAGGCCATACATAATAGCACCATGATATCCAATTTAACAGATAAAACTGTGGAGTGATAGAAAGTGTGGTTGGATTGCCCAAGACCACACTGCCATTAACTAAACAGGGAAGTATTTAAGCCTTCTCATCCTAGAACATGTATGCTCTTTCCAATCCATTTTACTACCTTTTAGAATTTTGTTTGTTTGTTTTTTGTTTTGCTTTTTTTTTTGAGACGGAGTCTCACTCTTTCGCCCAGGCCGGACTGCAGTGGCGCGATCTCGGCTCACTGCAAGCTCTGCCTCCCGGGTTCACGCCATTCTCCTGCTTCAGCCTCCTGAGTAGCTGGGACTACAGGCGCCCGCCACCACACCCGGCTAATTTTTTGTATTTTTAGTAGAGACATGGTTTCACCGTGTTAGCCAGGATGGTCTCGATCTCCTGACCTCATGATCCGCCCGCCTCGGCCTCCCAAAGTGCTGGGACTACAGGCGTGAGCCACCGCGCCCGGCCACTACCTTTTAGAATTTAACAATATTTTTGTCCTATGTTTTTTAGTTTTCTGATAAAACATATAATTTATCACAGGCCGTATCTACAAGCAGGCTAGTATGAGAAAATTTAATAAAGCACAGGGGCTGTTGTTAACACTATGTTTTTAAAATTTTCCAAGTCCATATCATTGTTAGAATAATTTAAGCTTACATTATTTTTCTCTTGAAGCCCAGAGGAACTCACTAGAAGTATTCCATACTTTAAGAAGGCAAGATATTTACAAAGTTGAAACTGCAAAGCAAATGAATTAGAAGTAATTATTCTTTTTGTGTGCATCCACTTTACAAAAGACTTACCAAAAGAATCCTGTAATAATGCACAAATGTTCTTTATGCATTTTAAATAGAATTCAGTTGACCAAAAAATTTAGTCATCTTGCAATCAACTTTTCCAAGAAATTCATCTCCTGTTCTTTGTTGACTATATTTTCTCATCTCTTGAAAATTTCTTTTTAGTAACCTTTGAACAGTAAGATTGGCCTCATCTTCTGTTTGCAAAATTAGTAAAGAGCAATGGATTCCATAGGGGTCAAGGAAAAAACTCAATTTTTTTTAACTTGAATATACAACAACTAGAGCTAACTCAGAATTCCTGAGTGATAGATTATTTTCTACTCTGTGGTTATTGAAGTTTCACCTGTTCTCATAGTTGCAGCTCAGAAAGCAGGTTCAGGTGGCTTTCAATTTAGGTGAAGAGTAAAGAACTTCATCCCTGAATTCTGGAATTTCACAGTTTGGAATGTTTACAAAAGCATTATTTGAGTTATTTTTTTTTTAGTCTGACAATAAAAGCATTTTTATTGCAATTATGTTTCTGGTCCAAGATGAAACTTTTCTTTTAAAAGTTCCAAACGAAGACATTTTGGGAGCTTTTTTCTGGAGGGTGGGGTAGGCGTGGGGGTGGGGCTGGGCATTTATGAGTTGTAAGAAAAGAGGTTGGTGGAGAACAGATGGCCTCCTCCAACCATACATATTCATGAGTGCATTTATTTCATTATGTCATCCCCTGGGAAACCCTATACTTCAGCTTTTATAAGTTCGAATGCCGTCAAATTGAGCAGTCAGAAGGCCCTCTGTCAAAAACTGTGTTGCTGAAAAATTTGAAGAAAAGTATGTGAAAGCCTTCACTTCACGCTTTTGTCTTGACTTTTTACCGCTGAAACAACTGTTATTTCGAGAGCCAAGACTAGAGTGTCATTGAGCATAATAAATGTTAAGTGTTGATAGCTGAGCTGACACGTTCCATTAATCAGATGGTGGTGTGTTATGTTTAGAGTATTGCCAAGCACATTGTTTGCTAATGTCGTATGAAACATGAGATGAAAACATGTCTGTGTGTCTGTTGGAGCATCTTCAAAGTTGATTCCAGGCCCTCTCCATTTGCAGAAGGGGAATGGGTCATCCGACGGGTTGAAAAATGTTCATTATTAAATTCCCTGTGTGTCTAATCATTTGGCAGGAAGTTCTCTCTTATGTGCTTCATGCAATCTTTTCCACTGGACCAAGAAAGAGCAGCACAGGTTTTTTTCCCCCTTTCCTGCTGAGTGAGCTCCTGCTAGTGATTAATGAAGGCATCTAAATAGCCTTTGGTTTAAATGATGTTATCACTGTCTCCATTTAACTCCACATGTCTTTACCTCAAACAGGAATAAGACTGCTTCTGTCTTTTCCCATTGTTGCCTGGCCATGAGGAACTGTTGATGTATCATGATTTGTTTTACAGATCTGTCAAGATCATCACTCATGCACTTCTCTTGTTCTCTGCTCATAGATTCTATGGAAATTGAGGCATGCATGAAGCTGCCCACTTGGGTTAAGCACATCATTCATTTTCTTAAAAATCTTTAAGATAATAATCCTGATAGGCTTAATAATAACAATAACAGTAACAATAACGTCACCTAACATTTATTAAGCACTTATGATATAACAGGCACGATATTAAACATTTTACAGAAATCCTTGTGATGTTGATACTATTAGTATCTAATTTTTCAATCAAGGACACTAAGGTTTGAAGAAGTTGGGTAGCTGTTGTGTATTGTGTCAAAAAATGTGAGAGGCTTTTAAAGAAAGTGTTATTTAATTCTTGTGATCTCTCAATAGCAGTAAGAGACCCAAGAATTATGAGAAGCTGACAGGTCCCATGGAGTCCAGGCCTCTGCAGATTTTTCACCAACGAAAGTTGTGTGCAGATGAAGCAAACTGGGCATTGTAACTATGAGAAAGAAGAGGAAGCTCTTTGTCAGAAAAGAGAACAAAGTAGAGAACAGAGAGAAACATGCCGTGAGATAGGGGTGAGGGGTGAACAGAGAAAGGAGTTGGCTAGATCTCTGATTGTTTCACAATTTTTACCTGCATTTCTCAGAAGCGCCAACTGCAGTTCATTTCCAGGTGTAATTAATATTTTTACATTAACCTTCCTTGGGCCTTAGGCAGCTTCAGTGGGTTTCTCTTTCCTTGCAGCCGAAAAGTCTGGACTTGGAAATAATGGAGCTAAGATGCAACCCTTGCTTTCAGACCCCAAATCAAAGCCTGCACTCGCTCTATTACACCATCCTCTATTACACGTTGGAAGAAAAAGGGCCCAGTGAACATGGCCATAGAGCAGACAGATCTTTTTAGATCTCTAAAGTTTAAGACACACACACACAAAAATCAATAAATGGGGAGGCTGGAGAGGCAATGACTTCTGGTGGCATGACAATAAATCTAAATAATAGGTCATGCAAGTCTAGGACTACCTTTATTAAAATATATTTGCTTGTTTTTAAAAAGGTTAGAAAGTGAAAAATGCTTATTAAAAGTTACTATTATAATGAAAGTTTACTGCAGGGATGTGTACAGTAAAAGCTAAAAGCCCTTCCTCTTGTTTGCCCAGACTCCGGTCCACAGAGATTACCACTATGCACGTTTTAGTATGTGCCCCTCTAGGACTTTTCTGTGGATGGACTGGATATGTGCCCATGATGGGGCTGTGTTCAGAATCTTCGTGCCACTCGTACTTGCTTCTTCTTGATCGGTAATCATATCATGGACACTCTGCCATGTGAATACACACAGATTTGTGCAATTCTATTCACATCTATATGACACATTCCAGGGAATAAGTGCACCAATTCTCTGTTGGTGGGCATTCGATCATCTCCAAATTTCTGCTGTTACATGTCAGACTTCAATGGATAGAAACAATTCTCTTTGAAGTGCTTCATTTGCTCATTTTAGGCTGTATTTCAAAAGCACTATTAGGAAGTTTAAAAATGTAATCATCCACCCTTAAGATCCTAGGGGCAGGTAAGTATGACAGGTATTCACAGTTTAAGCATCACCTAAAAACTGGTTTTGATGACATGTATTAAGGTCCCACAATCCTAAGCCATTAATCAGAATTCTTCTGGGCTTTGTGTAATTCAGGGGTGGATAGGGTGAATATCCATTGCCATTGCCATTTCTTTTGTTTATCTAAAAAAGATCTTAAAACATTAAAAAATAATAATAACTAGCACTCGGGGGAAATTTGGGCTTGCTCTCCAAGTAATTCATCCCTGACTGCTGTGAAAACCAACTAATAAGCAAGTATGTAGTGATCACCTCTGTATCCAGTACAGATACAGGAAAATATTTACGATATTTTCATTATGCTTTAGGTAGAACCTGTAGAGCAGGCATGAATGGACCTACTGTAATCAGATGTGTGCCACCAATGTGTTAGGACTTAGTATGTGTGATTTCAGAAGCAGAGTAGATGTACAAAGCACAGAGAATATAACAATATTGAGAATATTAGAAAACTCCTGGTAATGTTTTATAAAATATGGGACTTTTCCTTCCTAAGCACGCAAAATACATCCTGTCAAAAGCTGCGTGTTTATAAATATTTCCTGCCTTCCAAAGCCATGGTAGATAAAGGAATCTTGAAAATTAGAGAAGCGATATGATAGCTCTCTCAATACTACTTTATTAAGTGTCAATTGTGTGAAGACTCAATTTTTAAACTTTAGATGATGCCAATACTAATAAAACACAGTCCTTACCTGGAAGGAACTTAAAGTTAATGTTGCATAATAAATAACCAGAGTACACACATCATTTTTAGCTTAAAAAAGTAGAAAGTATTGTTAAAAGCCAATTCATTTTCATGTCTTTATCAATTTTCCTTTAAAAGTGTAACCAGTTCTGTACGATGTTCCTAAGAGTGCTTTTCTGTGCCCATTTTCACCCAGTCCAAGGAGTTTGTTTTGTTTTGTGGCTGGATGGGTACTTAGGACTAGACTTTTATTATGATGAATAATTATAGCTATTGTTTTTTGAGGGCTTGCTTGGTAGCCAGCACCATGCTAAAAGCTTTAAGTGGAACTTAAAAATTCTCCCAGCAGGCCCTTGCTGGGAGATTTTAACAAATGTGGAATCTGACAGCTTCTTAGTGGCCAACCCAGGGTCTTAGGCCAGGCCTAACTCCAACGCCCCTGCTGTGTTCCCACTGTGTTGATGTTTATCCACTTCCAGTCATTCTCATGCCACCTTCGAGATGCTTGCCTTATCTCCATGCCACCAAAATAGTACTTTCTTCATGTCTTTTCTAAATCATCTTACTAGTCATACCTGTTATGTATCCTAAGCATTTGGGGTCATAAAAGTTTGGAGTTTAGTGTACTAGTTATATATTTTCTCCTATAGGTAATCAAATAAATAGATAAGCATTAAAGTAAAAAAGCTTGCCCATGCATCACCTGTAATTATTTAATTTTATTACCAGTGGTACATGCACCACCCTTGGGAAACCCTGTCCCATGTAATACCATTTTCAGGTTTTTCTTCTTTGTATCATTATATTTTCTCTGGATACATGTTCATTAGAGATATTCACCTCCTTGTAAAGAAAGGAGGTCTGTAAATCAGATTTGCATTTTAATCACCATGAAAACAAATTTGTGCATGGAGGAGGCACTCAGTCCACAGAGGCTAACCTTGCACAAACCGAATATAACAGGAAATACGTTTTTTGAGATAATCCTAACAAATATAACTTGACAATTAAAGTTGTCAGCTGTCTGAACATACCAGAATTTGCCCTTGGCAACAAAGTCTTGCCATGTAGGGTATTTTATCATTCAATTATTCTGGCTTTCTTTAAAAAGGTAACTTAAAAAATAAAAAATAATAGGAGAAAAGTCTTATGTTTCACCATTTGGACTGTTAAATCATGCCGTTTATTCTAGTTCATTCCATTATTATTAACATTAGCATTATGGAAAGTCAACAGAATACATTGTTCCAAAAATGTTTGAGGGTTTTATTCATTTTGAACACTCAGAGCCACGCATGTTACAGAGCAATATATCTAATCAAAAGAGGCAACGGCTCTAGAGAGGTTATTATTGGGCTGCTTATAATCAACTAATTTTTGGCTTTATAACTTACATAGAGAGATTACTTGGGAAAATAATAATATATAAAGCTGCCCTTTCAGAAAATTAACCTCCAAGACCATGCAAAAGACAAAAATTAAAATTAACTGAAGAGGGGCCCAGAAAAAAAATTATAACATTTTGAACTTCTCCCAATTAGGACAAAGTCCTCATTGCTTATTCTGAACAGGGAAGCCCATTAATTTGTACAATGCAGGTGGAATATAAAACATTAATTTCCTTTGGTTGCTGGAACTTTAGAAAAGTGCAAAAACCTTCATTAATTGTCTCAACATCCCAAGAGGTAGGTAAGTATTATTAAGTTTATTTTCTCAATAATTTGGAAATTGAAGCAAAATGTTAAATTGCTTGGCTCTATTTTCAAATTTTCCACTTCGGCTCTGACTAAGGCAGGTGGGCAGTATCTGAATTCAAGACCTGAGACCTTGCAGCTCAGGACCTCAAGGCATCAAAAATAATGACATAGTATCTCCAGGAGGTATCAGGAGCAATGTAGGAGGACTGCACAGCTCTGTGCTCAGTGTACCCAGTTTTGTGCTTTGGAGAAAGGACAAGAAGAACTGGTCTCTTTCCAAAACAAGCCTATCTCCAAAGGGAGCACAGCATAATGGTACAGACATAACCTTGCTATATGCTTGGCAGTACATACATTTGTCTTGGAGAGAGGAGTAGTAGTTGGAAAACTTAAGATAAAAGATCTGGGGTTGTCGATGGCTTCTGATGTGTTGATGTCAAGGCAAGTGTTTTCTGCGCCATGACTTCATGTTAGTCCTATACTGGAGGACGCTTTTTTTTGGTGAGGGTGTAGGGCACCAGGAGAGCCTCCTGGGCATTATGAATGTGCAGTAACAGACCCGAGAACAGACCGTGTTCTTTCTTTTGAATTCTGAATTTGTGATTGGACACTTAGACACTAAGGCATTTCCTCATAAGAAGATATTTTATAATGAAACAAGCCCTATACTTAGAGATATGAAGAAGGCATCAAGAAATGCAAGGTTATTTTTATTGTTTATTTGTTTCATGGAGGAAATCATGGAATACAGTGAAGCTGTTTCTTTCCATTTGAGCAGACTACAGTGAACCAATCTGAGACCTGGATCTCAGTTTTCTATTGCTGTTTCATGAGAAAATACGTTATACTGCTTAGGCAGGTGGATTCTGGAGTCAGCAACTTGGGTTAGACTCTTGGCCTGCCACGTTTTAGTTGCATAGAATCATGGGCAAGTTAGTTCATTTTTTAAACCTTCAGTTTCATCATCTGTAAAATGAGAGTAATAATCTTACCTGCTTCACAGATAAAGATGAAATAAGTGTAAGATATTCTGTACATTTTATCTATTATTAATGCTGTCATTAGATTTGGTGTCCAGTGAAACAGAATTTCCAGCTCGTCACAATCAATAGTGGCAAGAGAGAAACTGGAAGAGAAATAGAAAATTGTCCCTGCCTGTCATAAGTAAGGAAAAAGGAATGCCACCTACTTTTACATCAGCAGCTCTGTTGCTTAGTGATTTACAGTGGGTGACAAAAATACATTGTTGGAACATATTTTGCCAGTCTGCGAATTAATCTTTTCACAGTCCACAAGGAGGGTGAGTTTTACACATGTTCACCCCAGCCAGCAGGTGATTCACCTTCTGATCTAACAGGATAGTCTGCTTCTAGGATATAAAGGAAAAGTAGCAACGCATTTGACCAACACAATAACAAATGCACAGAACTTAGCACAGTGCCAGGCATTAAGGAAGTACTAAGGAAATGTTTGTTCTTTTTCTTTCCTCCCTCTTATTTCTTGTTTGAACCCTTGATAAAGTCATGTTCTATACTCCTTCTGTTCCTATCTGGAGATCATTTACTCACAGCTAGATCCCCACATTGTGAGTTTCTTTGAGAGCATCACATCATGTTGTATTAATTAATTATACCACCTCCCATCCCCAACCGCTTAGTATGGCGCTTGCATGCAACAGGTGCTCAAGAAATGTTAAACGTATGGTTGAAAGTAAGTAAATGTTGTTAGGGTTGGAGGATTACTTCCTTTGTTCACTATTATGTTTCATTAAAATAATATAATTTCCTTGTTTGAGAAAGACTGCCTGAAGATTTTTCAGAGGGGACCTATTTTGGTGGCGTTGCAAAACTTGATAGAATGGCATTGCATGTTAGGCCACCACACGTATTCCTCCTGGCACCTTATTGTGTTGCTTTGCCACTTTGGAGTGAAATTTGGTCCATCAAACAGCTTGTAGCTTCACTAGAACAGCTCTTGACTTGATCGCAAAATCAAAACTCTTGAAGGGGCAGTTCACTCCAATGATTTCTCCATGACTATATTGTCAGTGGGGATTTGTAATTGTAGCCACTGCTCCAAATTTCTATGAGCATTTTGAAATGATTAGAATGACCGTTCATTGAGAAGACAATATATAATTATTTTCTTTTGATCTTTTAGCAGCTTCTTGCAAGGAGAGCAAGAAGAAGGAATAAATTGCCCCTGTGTCCATTTGGATAGGAGCCCATTTCAGGGAGATTTGGGAGATGTGGCTCCAACTTTGGCTCTTATTTTAGCCATTTAGAAGCATTTCCACTTGAGTCATTGAAGGGCTTTTAGAGAGTTAAAGCATTCCAGCAGCTATGAATTCTTAATAAAATACAAAATTTGACTTTTAGTTTGAGGTATTATTATTCATGCTGGGAAATGAGAGTGAATAGTGAGGAAGAAGCAGAACAAAAGTTTTTTGGAAGGTTAAAATTGCAATTCTTTCTCTTCCATCTCTCTCTCTGTCTCTCTCTCTCTCCTTCCTCTTTCGACTTCCCCCATAATTCAGTAAAGCAGCTGGGAAATAAAATCAAGCCCAATATGTTTTTCAATCTTTTCTCAAGTCTTCACTATTTAATTTTTACGAGTCATTTATAAAAACCTCATTTTAAAAGACGTTATTTCTCCTCTTGTAAAATACGAAGGACCGTGGTTTGCAGTTTTGTGGCAGTCCAGAAGCAACAGGGTGGGTGCTTGCCGGGCTGCCATTGACATCTGCAGTGGATAAATCAATGCAGTGAAGCAACAACCCACCAAGAAAAACTGAGCATCATCTGAAGTCTTCTTTATGAACAGCAGTATCCCCA
Organism: Homo sapiens; assembly: GCF_000001405.40. Classification (NCBI taxonomy): domain Eukaryota; kingdom Metazoa; phylum Chordata; class Mammalia; order Primates; family Hominidae; genus Homo; species Homo sapiens. Next base: position 3,580,207 of record NC_000003.12, on the reverse strand, counting down.
CGGTACCTCGGCAACTGAGATCAGATGTGACTTCATTGAGGAGATGGCGCATTCCCCCATCCTTAATGGAAAAAATGGGCTTTACATAGCATGTAAATCACACTAGCTCTCTCTAAAATCATATCGATGTAACCAAATTTGGTACTAATCTCCTTTTTAATATGTTTTTAAAAGCAGCAAGGGAATTCAAATCCAGATGCCAAAATCAATTCCTGTCATTCCACAGGACTGTTAAAAGATTTCATTCCAAAATCATATTTCTTTTTATTGAAGCCTGACATTTGAGGCTATGAAATTGTTTACTCTTGATTTTTCAAAAATCAGTTTACTGGCATGTTTTGACGGATGCTGTATAATCATATCCTCTATCACCAGGTATTGTTCATGCCTTTCAAATTTGATTTTGATCTACTTTGCGTACATGAACTATCAAATAAAAGCCAGTCATCTTGCAATAAAAATTCAGTCCCATGTGCAGGACAACTTTCTAGTTCTCACTACTGGTTCCCTGTTGGCAACAGCACAGCAAAAGGTGATCATAAAAAGTGGATTGGAGGTGAAAATGCTTGACGGTGAGGAAGAAGGTCACCAGCGTGGTCACTCATGTGTCTCAGGGGAATGCCTGAAAAGAGGAGGAGAAAATCAGGGAGCCGGATACTACAATGTTAGGTGGCTTTAAGGAGTCTAGAAAATATTAATGATATGAAAAGAAAAGAAAGAGGGTGATATAATTGAGTGGTGTGGGCTTCAATGGATGGAAGGCAGAAACGCTACCCAGAGATGTCCGTGGCCTGAAACCCAGAACCTGGGAATATGTTACACAACAGGGCAAAAGGAACCTTGCAGATCCAATGAAGGTTCAGGGGCTTATAATAAGTTTAGCCTGGATTATCCAGGTGGGTTCAATTTAGTCATATCAAAGTCCTTAAAAGCACAGAACTTTCTGCAGCTGGAAACAAGAAAGATGAGGCCGATTGGCCCACTTTCCTGACTCTAAAGATGAAGGAGGCCACAAGCCAGGGAATGTGGAGGCCTCTGGAAGCTGAGAATGACCCCTGGCCATCAGCCAGCCAGAAAATAAGGACTTCAGTTCTATAGCCACATTGAATAAATTCTGCCAATGACCTAAATGAGCCTGGAAGCAGAATCTCTTCCAGGCTAAGACTTTTTAATTTTGGGCTTGTCAGGCCCAAAGCAGATAAACAAATCTGACACCCCCATCCCACCACTACCCGGGACGTCTGGGCTACAGAGCTGTGAGGTAATACATGCGTGCTGTCATGAGTTGCTAAATTGTGGTTAATCTGTTATTGCAGCAATAGAAACCAATACAAAAGACAATGAGGGTGTTGCAGGAGAGCTGATGAACTCAAAGCTGGAATGACTGGGGAGACAGCACTGTGAAGCCTCTGCACTTGCAGTACGTAGTTCAAATCCCAGCTGTGACACTTAGTTAGGTGATGGCACTTAGGAGACCCCACTTTGATAAAGCTTGATTTCCTCCACAACCTGGAAGTAATAACAGCATCTTCCTCGCTAGCGGGGATGAGGCTTTAATAAGGTACTGGAAGTGTACATGCCTAACAGGCACAGAGTTGCTCCTTTAGTATGTTTTACTAAAACGTCACGCAGTAGTCGCTTGTCCTTGAAATCCAAGGGCAGGTGCCAGGGAGCAGACTTTACTTGAGGGGAGTTATGAAGTAGCATCGTCAAGAGGAAAGCCAAGTTCCAAACAAGGCCTGGAGATGGAGAAAATGCACTCAGAAAAGGGTATGGGGCAAGTGTGAGCCAAGTGTGAATCACAGCAGCCTTCTTGGCTGCGAGTGTGCATAACGATCACCCAGAGATCTGCGCACAGGAAAGATTCGGACTCTGCAGGTGGGTTGGTGCCTGAGACTCTGCCTTTCCTACAAGTTTCCAAGCGGTGCAGGTGCTGCTGGTCCACAGACCACAGTTTCAGTAGCAAGGAATCAGAGCATGTGAGAGAAGCGGCACTGTCTGTCGTGATGTGGCTGGACGGTGAGATAAGAGAGGAAAGGAAGGGAGAGCAAGCAGGACGGACATTTGTGTGGCCATCAGGAGCAGGCCTGAATGAGCAGGCTCCAGTCAGCTACATTCTGCTGAGAGGGCCTCCCTTGTCGGCGAAGCCTGTTCCCACGGGTGGGAGTGGCCCACTCGGGCGCAGGAATGAGGGCCTGTGTGTGGTCAGCACTGCCAGGCAGAGCACTTCTGAGGCTTTGTGCTTCCCTGTGGCTAAGCGTGTGCAGCAGGTCCTGTGGAAAAGTCAAACCCAGCTGGCTTCTCCACGCCGCAGAGTTGAGGTGGACATCGGAACCCAGACAGGTAGGACACTTTTGATAATCTTCTTACATATAAAGGCCTTGGCGATGTATTACTGAAGCCTCCCTTTATTCCTTTCCAATCTTTTCATTTTCAAAGTGCTTTCACGTCTCTAACACCTTCTCACAGGCCTTTAAAAAATTAAACTATAAAGGTGTTCACATGCAAACTATAGATATGATGCTTTGCGTTGTGGTCTGAAATTACATAGGTAAGCACATCTGCTGTCCCTGAGGCCTTAGAACACTGGGTGTGGAATCTTCTCTCCTCCCTCTTTTTGTCGTCTTTTAATAAGGGAGTGTTGTGCTGGTTACAAACTCAGAGGATAACCTTTGTGGGGAAGGATCTTGAGCTTTGCAGGTGTGGCATGGCCTCCACTCTGAAAAGCCAGAATCCAATCCCAAATGCTGGGTTTAGAGACAGGTGCCTGAGACTCTGGCCACAGGAATGTGTATGGTTCTAGCAACAGTGCTGGGTGTACCTAGCAGGTGCTGGGTACTGTCTGGAGCTGAGGAGGGGTCTGAGGGGAAGGATCAGCTAGACCAGAAAAATGACCTCTGCCTTCAGGGAAGGTGCCATTCAGTTGGAATGGTGAAGAGCAAACACCTGGAAGTGATTTAGGGCTGTTGACCAGGGTTCTTGTCATTTGAAAATAGATGATAGCAGAAAAAAGAGAAGGAGATGCAAAGGTATGAGCAGAGTGGAGTGGCTTCCTTATGAAAGTGGCTGGCTAGTGCTTATGTCTCTGGTTTTACAGATTGTTTTTATTCAGGTAATATTGAATCAATCTTAAAAGAACTTAAGAAGAAGAATAACTCATCACCATGCTGGGCGCCGTATTTTCTATTTTTCTCTATGGTGTTTCCCAGTCTTTATTCGTATCTATACCATTTGCTCTCATGGCGGTCTCATGTATCTATTCTGTTTGTAAAATTTTAATATGACATCATTTTTATGACACTTCAGTCTCTGCATCATTTCTAATTATTTTATTATATTCTGTCATGTAATTATGTAAACTCTTTGTCTTTTACTTAAAGTACTCATTATTTTGATTATACAATACTGTTGCAATGAACATCTTTTTTATTTGGGCATTTTCTTTTCTTTTTAGTTATTCAGATAAATTCCCCAGCATTGAATTACTGGATCCAAGAGAGAGACATTTTTAAGGATATAAAATCACATTTCTAAAGAATTGATCTAATAAAAAAATGCTGCTAGTAATATACCTATTTTTCCTGTTTACTCAGTTTGAGTTATAGAATTAAATCATACTTCTCTGCTATTGTTTTGATATAAATAATATTGGTTAAACATTTCATTATGTCGCTCTTCTATTTGCATTTTTTCTTGAAAGGATGTCTGTTCATAGTCTTTCTGCATTTATCTGTTAGAGTCTTGGTGATGGGTATTTTTAAAGTTGCATTTATTCATTTGATACAAATTCGGTGCCTGCTCTATGTGAGGTATAGTACTAGATGCCAGAGACACACCAGGGGAGAGTATAGCCCTGTTTCATTCCTTAGTCCCTTGCCCCTCTCCTATCCAAATTCATTTTCTTAGTATTACTTAATAGCCTCACTTGTTAGGGCTTTTTCCTCTTTCCCAAGTGAATTTTAGAATCGTAGTAAGTGCTATTTCAAAAGAACTTTATACATGCTAAACATACACATACATACATACATACATATCTAGGATGTTGGTTCTATTTCCTGAAGATGGATTTTGATTGATATCACAATATATCTGTATGCCTCAATTTATCCAAAACTTCTTTTATATGTTTTTATATATTGCCAGATTGTATGGAGGTTTTGTTTTTAATTTTTGGAGAAAACTCTATATTGTTTTCCATAATGGATCTGCCAATTTACATTTCCACCAGCTGTGGGCAAGGGTTGCTTCTGGCAGTTTGTCAGTGATGTTTTGCTTTTCAAATATTATAATAGTGTCATCTCTGCTTGATTTTTTTTCTCTATGTGTATTCACTTTTTCTTTGATATTATATTAGTTAGAACTTGGGACATAAGGTAGATAGCAGAGGTCATGTATGTCTTGGTCCTATTTCTGATCCCCAAAATAGGATCAAAACATTGGTAAAATTAGTTCCATGAGTGGGGCTTTGCTATATTTTCTCTGTGTGACTCTTGGTTTGAAATGTTCTATGTAATATGTATCTTTTTATTTCTAGTTTACAATACTTTATTAAGAATAGATATTACAGTGTCACAACTCTTTCAGTAATATTTTACATAAGTACTTAAGGCTTCTAGAAATTTAACATTGATATACAGTCATGTGCTGCATAATTGTGTTTTGGTCAACAATGGACTGCATATATGCATGTATGATGGTGGTTCTATAGATTACACTGGAGCTGAAAAATTCCTATTACCTAGTGATCTCTTAGCTTTCATAACATCATAGTGCGATGCATTATGTATTTGTGTTTGTGGTGATGCTGGTATAAACAAACTTGTGATGCCAGTCATATAAAAGCCCAGCCCACACCATTATGTATAGCACATGGTATTTGATAATAATAAATGACTATGTTACTGGTTTATGTATTTACCATACTTTTTACTGTTATTTTAGCATGTACTCCTTCTCCTTACATAAAAAATAATAACTGTAAAACAGCCTCAGGCCGATCCTTCGGAGGTATTCCAGATGAAGGCATTGTTATCTTAGGAGATGACAGCTCCATGCATGTTATTGCTTCTGAAGAACTTCCAGTGGGACAAGATGTGGAGGTGGAAGACAGGGATATTGATTATTCTGACCCTGTGTAGGCCTAGGCTAATGTGTGTTTGTTTTTAACAAAGTTTAAAAAGTTAAAACTGGAAAAATAGCTTGTAGAATAAGGTTATAAAGAAAGAAAATATTTTTGTACAACCATGCGATGTATGTTTTAAGCTGTTTTACACAAGAGTCAAAAAGTTAAAAAGTTAAAATATAAATTTATAAGCTTTGTTATAAAGTAAAAATATTACAGTCAGCTAAAGTTGTTATTGAGAGGATTTCAAAATAAATTTAGTGTAGCCTAAGTGTACAGTGTTTAGGAAGTCAACAGTAATCACAGTAATGTACTAGGCTTTCACATTTACTCACCATTCCCTTATACCCAGAAAAATTTCCAGTCCTGTAAACTCCATTCATGGTACAGGTGGACCATATTTTATCTCTTATGCAGTATTTTTACTGTACATTTCCTATGTCTAAATGCACAAATACTTACCATCGTGTTACGATTGCTGGTAGTTTTCAGTACAGTAACATCTTGTACAGGTTTGTAGCCGAGGAACCATAGGCTATACCATAGCCTAGGTATGTAGTAGGCTATACCATCTAGGTTTGTGTAAATACTCTCTATGATGCTCTCACAATGATGAAATCGCCTAAGGACACATTTCTCAGAATGTATCCCCAACTCTAATCAACCCATGACTGTAATATGTTATAGTAATAAGTTTTTCCTATGTTGATTTGTGTGCATAGAATACATTGTTATAAAATATTATTATTTTTGTAGTGCTAAATTCTATCTTCAGGCATTTTATTAGTGACTTGTAGATATGAATCTATCAGAGCAGTGTAGTTTTTGTGTTACCAGGTTTTAGAGAAAACATGAAAAACCTGTGGGTGGGATACCACCTTCCTGATGTTTTTCCTCTCCTGGGTTAACAAATGAAACTGTGTGACCCTCTTAGGCAGCAAGTAACAGTAGCCCTGCCCTAACTGGTGTCAGCTGACTGCTGTCAAAAGGGAAGAAAACATGTGTCTGCAAATTTTCTTGTTAAAAATCCTTCTTGCTTTAAAGTGTGCTTGGATTTTTAGAAACTGCTGGTAGAGGAGAGAATCATGCCTCTCAGTTTTGCTGTCCCAGGGTGGAAATAAAAGAGATTAGACAACCCTCTATCCCTTTTTGTAGGTTCTCACTCACTTCCCCGTGAGGGTGATGAATATGTTCACTTTCCTGATCATGGTGATGACTTCATGGGTGAATACATATTTTAAAATACATCAAATGATACACATTGCCTCTGTGCGGTCTAGTGTATGTCAATTAGACTTCAATCAAGCTGTTAAAATAACCTTGGTTTTTAAAGGAAGAAGTCATGTGGGCTGAAAAGGGGAAAAAGGCAGTCTTTCTATGTGGGAGAGAAGGGGACCCCAGGTGGGAGGGGGTATTAACAAAACCTTTTTAAACATTTCAGTGATTCTTCATTCTCTTATAGTGAATCATATCTGTATGGTCCATTTTCTATATAATATTTCTTGTGAGATGTGAAGCATGTGATTAATTTGAGGTTTGTTTTGGGGGTAGAGTGTAAAATGGAACTCTTACAGGAAATACTTTGTGTAAACAATTCTTACGCTGCTGCAATGCAGAGCAAAATGACAGTAAAAGCACAACTAAGTAAAATGTATGTTAACACTTTTATATGTTCATTACTGTAGATGTTTTTATCAGTTTTAAGACTGAATCACACAGTTACTGACCAATTGCATGCTATAATCCTCAGGAATGCAATGCATGAGTGAATTTATTAAGGTACTCCTAGGGGTTTAAGCGATTTAATGAAAAATGAACTTTTAAGGAAAAAGATGGCAGGTAATAAATATGAGATACTTCCCACCTGCTTCTGATATATAACGCAGTGGATGTTCCATTCACTTATGCTAAAGATGGATCACTATAACCACGCCAGCAGGAAACTTTAGCTGAATTCTGTAAACGGCAATCAAAGTAGGCCGAGGTCACCTGAAATTACTCTCAAAGATGATCTTGTCTCAAGTGAAATTTTAAAGTGGGGAGGGATTTGGAATTTTAAAGAGGAGAGGCTTGTAAATACAATGAGGTTAGGCTACAAGAAAGTTCTGGGGGACTAATCTACTTGTTTATTCAAATAAAGTGAAAATTAAGAATTTTGTCTTTGTTTACAATGCTACTGCTCAAAAGGTGGATTTGGTGCATTCCTTTTTTTATGTCCTGGGGTTTATTGCTTTCGACACTTCTACTTGTATAATTTCATGCCTCCAAGTCATGGAAAAATAGTGGCTAAGGAAGGACCTCAATTACCCTGTCCTGATGTGGATTATGGAAAATGTATTCATTCAACCGACAAATAGTTCAGTGCTTACAGTGTCCCAGGCACCAAATTAGTAACTGATAAGGCAACTGTTTGCAAGAAAGACAAGGTGTATACCCTCAAGGTTATAATTCTACCTGGGCAGATGGATGTTAGGCATTGGGAAATTGATAAGGATAAATGCCATGAAGGACATAAAAAGAGGAGGGTGATGGGACTACTGGAGGGGAGAAACTCTTCCTCCCAAGAGCTAGGAGGGTCCTGAGATGGGGAGAGCCTCACCTCTGCCTCTCAACCTGGGCATCAACTTTAAACAGATTGCCAGCAAGAACAAAAGCCATGGGTCTGGACCCCCTCTCCCACAGGGTGACATCCTAAAGCGGTGGTTCTCAAACTTGGTTGAATTTGGCAATGACTTAGGGAGTTTGGAAAAAAACAACTGATACCTGATTCCCAACCCCAGGGGTTCTTGTTTAATTGGTATGGAGAGCTGCCTGGAGAGGTTGAAAAGCTCCCCAGGTGTCGCTCATGTACAGCACGGTTGCAGAACTCTCAAGCAGTGGTTCTCAAACTTCCCTGGGTGCCTAAATCGCCTGGAGGTCTTGTTAAGACAGTGATTTGTGAACGTCCCAGCAGTGTTCGTGAATCAGTACATCTGGGGGTCAGGGGTTGAGGTTGAGAATTTACCCTTATAACGAGCTCACAGGTAATGCTGGTGGTGACCCAACGACCACATTTTAAGAACTATTCTATGATCCTTTACTATGTACTTAATCTGCACATCGAAATAGCATTTTAAGTGTTCCATTAGTAAAAATATGGTTTTATACTTCTCCCAGGTTAATGGGAAAAATGTTCTAGTGAATCTACCCATTTGGGGAAATTGAGCCAAATTCAAGCAAATTAAATATTACCCAACATAATCGATGTCCAGACAATTTATCTTGCATTTCGTAGATCAAGTCTTTCAAGAGCCCCAATTATGTAATTATGTGGGAACAGTTGAAAAAAATATTTGTTATTGTATCGTCATACCTCGGAGACATCACAGGGTTGGTTCTAGACTAGTACAATAAAGTCAATATTACCATAAAATGAGTCATGTGAATTTTGGTTTCCCAGCATATATAAAAGTTATGTTTATACTATACTGTAGCCTATTAAGTGTGCAGTAGCATTATGCCTAAAGTAACAATGTACGTATCTTAATTAAAAATACCTTATTGCTAAAAAATCTTCGGAGGCCTTAGCAAGTCATAATCTTTTGACTGGTGAAGGGTCTTGCCTCCATGTTGATGGCTGCTGACTGATCAGGGTGGAGGTTGCTGGAGGTTGGGGTGGGTGTGGCAATTTCTTAAAATAAGACACCACCGAAGTTTACTGCAGCAGTGGGCTCTTTTCACAAAGGAGTTATCGGTAGCATGTGATGCTGCTGGATAGCTTTTAACCCATGGTAGAAGTGTTATCAAAACTGGAGTCAATCCTCTCAAACCCTGCCACTATTAACTAAACTTGTGTAATGTTCTAGTTTGTTGTCATTTCAACAACATTCACAGCATCTTCAGCAGGAGTAGCTTCCACCTCAAGAAACCACTTTCCTTGATCATTCATAAGAAGCCACTCTTCATTCAGTTTTATTCTGACATTATAGCAATTTAGTCACATCTTCAGTCTCTGCTTCCAATTTTAGTTTTTTATTTCCACCTCATCTGCAATTACTTCCTCCACTGAAGTCTCAAACCCCTTGAAGTCATCTATGAGGATTAGAATCTATTTCTTTCAAACTTTTGTTAATGTTGATATTTTGACCTCCTCTCATGAATCATGAATGTTGTTAATGGCATTTAGAGTGGCGAATCCTTTCCAGAAGGTTTTCAGTTTACTTTGCAGAGATCCATCAGGGGAATCACTATGTATGGCAGCTATTGCCTTATGAAATATATGTCTTAAATATCAAGACTTTAGAATTGAAATGACTCCTTCATCCATAGATTGCTGAATGGATGTTGTGTTAGAAGGCATGAAAACAACATTCATCACCTAGTACATCTCCATCAGAGCTCTAGCATGACCAGGTACATTGTCAATGGGCAGTAATATTTTGAAAGAAATCTTTTTTTTCTGAGCAATAAATCTCAACAGTGGGCTTAAAATATTAAGTAAACCATGCCATAAACAGATGTCTGTCATCTAGACATTGTTTTTGCATTTATAGAGCATGGGCAGAGCAGATTTAGCAAATTAGCCCTAGGATTTTTGGAATGGCCAAGGAGCATTGGCCTCAACTTAAAGTCACCAGCTGCATTAACCCCTAACCAGAGGGTCATCCTGTTCTTTGAAGCTAGGCATTGAATTCTCCTTTCTAGCCATGTAAGTCTCAGATGGCATCTTCTTCCAATATACAGCTGTTTCATCTACATTGAAAATCTGTTGTTTAGTATAGCTACTTTTGTCAATTATCTTAGCTAGATCTTCTGGATAATTGGCTGCAGCTTTTCCATCAGCACTTGCTGCTTTACCTTGCACTTTCATGTTACGGAAACAGCTTATTTCCTTAAACCTCATGAACCAACTTCTGCCAGCTTCCAGTTTTTCTTCTGAAATTTCCTTACCTCTCTCAGCCTTCATAGTTTTGAAGACAGTTGGAGACTTGCTGTGGAATAAGCTTTGGCATAAGGGAATGTTGTAACTGGTTTGATCTTCTTATTCTTTCCTAGCTTTTGAGTTAAAGTGAGACATGTGACTCTTTCTTTCACTTGAACACATAGAGGGCATTGGAAGGTTTTTAATTGGCCCAATTTTAATTCTGTGGGTCTTGGGGAGTAGGGAGACCTGAGGGGAGGGAGAGAGACGGGGGAATAGCTGGACAGTGGAACAGTGAGTGAGGACATACACAATATTTATCTGTTAAGTTTGTTGTCTTATGTGAGCGTGATTCATGGCATCCCAAAACAATTACAATAGTAACTTCAAAGAACACTGATCACAGATCATCATAACATATAATAATGAAAACATTTGAAATATTGCAAGAATTACCAAAATGTGACACAGAGCCATGAAGTGAGCACATGCTGTTGGAAAACTGGCACTGATAGGCTTGCTTCGTGCAAAGCTGCCACAGACCTTCAACTTGTTAAAAAAAAAAAAAACCACAATATCTGTAAAGTGCAATAAAAAGAAGTGGAATAAAATGAGGTGTGTGTCTCATAAACTTCACTGGCAAGTTCCAGTCTTAAAATCTTGTTGCTATCTTTCTCTATGCTCCTATAACAGAATATGAGATTGGGTAATTTATAAAGAACAACAATTTATTTTCTCACAGTTCTTGGTTGAGAAGTCCGAGATCAAGTTCAGTTGCCTAGTGAGGACTACATCCTCTAGAGGGGAGGATCACTATGTCCTTACATGGCAGGGATGGATGGGCAAGAGACAGAACACTGCAAGAGACTTTTTTTTTTTTTTTTTTTTTTGAGACGGAGTCTCACTCTGTCACCCAGGCTGGAGTGCAGTGGTGTGATCTCGGCTCACTGTAATCTCCACCTCCCAGGTTCAAGTGATTCTCCTGCCTCAGCCTCCTGAGTAGCCGGGATCACTGGCATGCACCACCATGCCTGGCTAACTTTTATATTTTTAGTAGAGATGGGGTTTCATCATGTCGATCAGGCTGGTCTTTGAACACCTGACCTCGTGATCCACCCACCTCGGCCTCCCAAAGTGCTGGAATTACAGGCATGAGCAACTGCACCCAGCCAAGAAACCTCTTTTATAAGGACCTTAATCCCGTTTAAGAAGCCCTCATGACCTCACTATCTCTTCATGGCCCCACCTCTTAAAACTATCACATTGGCAACACCAGAATTTTGTGGGGGGGAGGGCACACATTGAAATCATAGCAATTATACTGATGAGAGATGCCCCCAAAAGCTGTCCATAAGTGGTCAAGCACAATATCTTCAGGTTCTGGTAGCCATTCTATGTGCAATTTCAAGAGCTAGATTGAAGGGGGTCTCTATTGTCATCAACCTCTGTTGACTCAAAGGAATTGTTCAATGAAGAGAGATGGTAAAGGGTAAAGGCCTTATTTTACCAGGAATGCTACAAATTTTTTATAAATTTACATAAAGGGTCTGGTTCCTGCAGTGAGAATACATGTCAAACTAGTTTGTGGGTATCAAGAAATCAAAAGTGGCCACTCTGGGGGAATACCTGTAGTCTGTCACTGCCATTGATATCAGCTTAATCTGTCTTCAAGGAATTGGCTTGTCTTGTTCATTATGATATGCTGTTGGGGCTAAGGCCACTGGCTGCCTTGACCTCTAAAGTGTATTTTCTCCTCAGTCACTGCACATTAACTTTCTGGTTCTTTGGGTTTGTGCATGTTCTTCCTCACACACACACTCACAAGAACAACAAAAAGTGGGCTCGCCTCAAAAGCAATTGCAACAAAAGCAAAAATTGACAAGTAGGACCTAATTGAACTCAAGAGCTTCTGCACATCAGAAGAGACTATCAACATAATAAGGAGAAAACCTACAGGGTGGGAGAAGATACTCGCAAACTATGTATCCAACAAGGAACCAATATCCAGAATCTATAAGGAACATAACAACTGAACAAGCACAAAACAAATAGCCCCTTTAAAAATAAATAAAATACATGAATAGACACTTCTCAGAAGAAGACATACAATCTGCCAATAAACATGGAAAAATGCCCCACATCACTAATCATCAAGGAAATGCAAATCAAAACTACAAAGAGATACCATCTCACATCAGTCAGAAGAGCTATCATTAAAAAGTCAAACAGTGGATACTGGTGAGGCTGAGGAGAAACGGGAATGCATATACACTGTTGGTGATAGTGTTCAGCCACGTAGAAAGCAGTTTGCAGATTTCTCAAAGAACTTAGAACTACTCTTTGACCCAGCAATCCCATTACTGAGTATATATCCTAAATAAAATAAGTTGCTTTACCAAAAACACACATGCATTTGCATGTTTATCACAGCAATATTCATAGTAGTGAAGACATGCCATTAACCTAGACGCCCATCAATGGTGGACTGGATAAAGAAGATGTGCTACCTATACACATGGAATATTACACAGCCATAAAAAAGAACAATATGTCCTTTGAAGCAACATGGATACAGCTGGAGGCCATTATTCTAAGCAAATTAACATGGGAACAGAAAACCAAATGCTGCATGTTCTCACTTAGAAGTGAGAGCTAAACATTGTGTACTCATGGACATAAAGATGGAAACAATAGAAACTGGGAAATACTGGAGTAGGGAGGGAGGAGGAAGGGTAAGGGCTGAAAAACTGTACGGTACTGTGTTCAGTACCGGGGTGACAAGATCGGTTGTACTCCAAACCTCAGAATCTTGCAATATGCTCAGGTGACAAACTTGCACATGTAACCCCTGAACCTAAAAAGCTAAAATCATTAAACAGAAAAGTGAGCTGGCATGGAAAACAGTATTTTGCCAATTGTGCAAGAATTTGACTAAGCCTTGCAAGGCAACATAGCAGAGTGATTTTTTATTCTCCAACTTCATAAGAAATGACACATTTATTTCTCTAAACTAGTTTGCAACTCCTCTGAGTGCCTAGTTTGCCTGGCTGTTGGGAAATTTAGTCTCAATCATGATTGAGGCTCCATGTCTCTTGGAGCTGTCTAAAGGTCCCAAAATCTTATATTTTCCACCTTGGAGAGTCTCTCTGGTATCAGTTATTCTTTATAAGCCTCTATTCCTTAACTGTCTTCACCCTATCAAAAAGAATTCCTTTCATTTCGTGGGGGAAACCTTTCTTCCCTCCTCACATCTATCCTCTTTCCCTAGGCATTCAGCTCTTTCTTCTTCCCCTCTAATCCCTTAAAGTTAACATAATCACACTCAGCATTTTTTTTTTTTTTTTTGAGAACAAAAGCAAAATGCTACTTTCACCCAGCAATACACATGCCCCTCAGGGAAAAGGATAAAAATGCTAAACTGTCCTCTTATAGTGGAGCAGAGGAAAAAATACAGAAAGAGCAAAATAACAAATTAATAATTAAAAAGTATCCTATTAGAAGTATAAAAATTCTAAACTGTTGTTTCCCCTGAATCTTCTGGCAAAATCAAACCTCTGATGAACTGTGCTATGTGTTTAATTTAACTTTACATACTTTTGGTATTCCAAATTATTCCCTGGGGCACATATATTCCAGCTGGAGAAACGGGGTTATAAATCTCATTTGATTCTTCATAACCTACGGATTGGGAGCCATTATCTCTCTTTTATAGATGGTAAAACTGAGGCTCAAATAATTTGAGATTTACCCTTGGTTAGTGATGATTCATTCAGCAAATCCTTTGAGTACCTGTGATGTGCCAGACACTGCTCTAGGGGCAGGGGATACATTTGTGAAGAAGAACAGTCCTGCCCACTTCTCCTACTGTAATTGGTATGGGAGTAGGCAGGGGAGATTAATATCATAAAGTAAATTTAGAAAGAATTTCAAGGGGCCGGGCGCTGTGGCTCACGCCTGTAATCCTAGCACTTTGGGAGGCCGAGGCGGGTGGATCACAAGGTCGGGAGATCGAGACCATCCTGGCTAACACGGTGAAACCCCGTCTCTACTAAAAATGCAAAAAATGAGCCAGGCATGGTGGTGGGCGCCTGTAGTCCCACCTACTCAGGAGGCTGAGGCAGGAGAATGGCGTGAACCCAGAAGGTGGAGCTTGCAGTGAGCCGAGATCGCGCCACTGCACTCCAGCCTGGGTGATGGAGCGAGACTCCATCTCAGAAAAAAAAAAAAAAAAAAGACAAAAAAGAAAGGATTTCAGATTATGGCAATAGAAACAGCTAAGTCCTTTGAGTTCTCACTGTATTCCCATAACAGGTATAAGTGCTTAACACACACGCGATCATCTAATCCTTGCAAGAACTTTGTCCAGTAGGAAATGTTACATTATTTCTGATGAGAAAACTAAGGGAGGTAGAGAGATGTTAAGGGACTTGTATACAATAAGCAAGAAATTCAATCCCAGACACCCACGAATAACTGATGTGATACTATGAAGAAAACAAAAGATCACAAGATGGGGTGTGCGATAGAGGGAAGCTATTTTTATAAGGAGGTTGTCATCATCTCTCTGGAGTTACACGTGCGTTTAAGCCAAAATGGGTAGGAGACATGTACACATTTAGGAAGAGATATATTTTCTGTGCAAAGGCCCTGTGGCTGGATAAGACCAGTTTAGAAATTCTTATCTATTGGAGCCTAAATTCAGTGATCTCTCTGCTTTATAAATGTAAAATCACTAACTGTGGGGCCTCTAGCAAATAAAACCCAAAGCCTTGGTGACAGGAGGACAGCTTTGGCCAACAAAATTTTTAACCCATTTGCTGAGCATTCAGCTCGAGCAGGTTTTATGATTTTTCATAACAGCCTCATTTTACTCTTAGCTTGGTTAGCCAGCTGAAGGCTCCAGAGCTATTTAGAAGTTCACATTTTCTCTCAGTTATTAGTTTCATAAACATGGGCCAATTCTTACTTTTCTGATCCTTTTCTAGCTCTTAGTTTTGCATCAAAATGATATTTTGGAAACAGCTATTATTTCTATTGCATTGCTGGAGCTTTTTCTTTTCTGTTTTAGGAAGTTTGGGGAAAAGATTTTTTAATTTTCCTGCCTGGACTTATTCTGCTTAGCTAAAGTTGTCAGCAGCTGCCTTTGTGAGGAGTCTTTCAAGTGTACTGACACGATGATGGGTGGATGGTCTCCTTTCTAGACTGAAGATTCATGGTTGGCTCTGTTTCTGAAAGCACAGGGATGAGAGATCTCCCAACCTGGTTAGGTGCTCCCAAAAGTTATTTTGGTTCCAAGACTGAGCATTGGCATCAGAGGACTGGGTCATACTACTTACTAAATTGTCTATTCCTTAGTTAAACAGAAATACCTATTTCCTAGACATGCCAAGTAATTGAAGTCTATTCAATGATTTCTTCATTCAACAGTGTATGATGAGAAGAGCAGTACATAATGTCTCTCTGAGCCATGTTGCTAGCTCTGCCTTGAGCCAGCAAGGTGACTATCAATAAATGAACTTGTATTTCTGAATCTCAGTTTCCACATTTGTAAAATGAAGCTTAATGTCAAAGGAAGGGTGATATGTATCTGGTACTAGTTCCGTTTCTCTGGAGAACCCTGACTAAAAAAGATTTTGGTACCAAAAATGATTCTAGAGAAACAGAATTTTATAGATAAGTTTTTCTGAATTGATTCTGGTGTTTTTGGAATTGGCTCTTTAATCTGATTAGATTTAAAGATGCCAATGATTCCATTTCCGGTAATAGAAAAATGATATCCCATGGCCTTAACTTTTACAGAGATAAGTAAAATATTCTTAATCCTAATCAATCACTTAAAAGAAGCAAGTAGCTATATGACCCCATATAATACTTTTCAACATTTTTGGAAAATAAATGAAACAGTGACACTGGTTGATTACTGCTAATGTCACTAGAAAAAGTGGTGACAGATAAAGATGAGCTCAGGAATTTGAATTTCCAGTTTAAGTGCTGCATAAAAGACCTAAGATCTTCTATGTGTGTCCTGAAGGAGATGGTTTTCTCCTGTATCCACAGGGCTGAAATTGCTGAAAATCTAATGCAGAACTTCATCCTGCAACTGGCTTAATTACAGTATAAGTTAACTCACAGCCTGACAGGGTGTTGACTGTTTAAAGTGAGGGCATTGATGGGAAATAATGGGTTCCCATAAGCTGAAATGGGTACATGTGGGAAGAATGTGATCAAACTAGGGACATAAAGCCCCTCAGTTCTTTACCGGTGCTGTCAAAGACAGAAATTATCAAGAAAGAGCGTTGGCCGGTTGTATTCTGTACCACTAAGTATAGGAGGGATGTTTTCAAAGGGTCTGTTGAATTTATTGAGAAATCATCAAGAAAAATTTTGAAATAATTTTAAATGGAGTGATGAGGGCAGCATGACAAGGGATTCTCCACCCCAGGCAGAATATCCCTCCCCACCGCCAGCAGAAGTGGCCCTAATCCCAGTTGTATAGCCTTTCTAACTTGCCTGAGGAGGTTTACCCTGCATTGCCTGAGAAAACTCTCTCCTCAGGAATCTGCCATGCAAGACAATACTGATTCTCCTCAGGACCTGCCTTTCTTTGGTTCCAGACCTGTACTAGACTTAAGTCCCAGCAGGCCCCTAAAAGTGAGATACAATGTGTGACCCACAAGGAGGTGCATTCATTCCCACTATTTTACTTCTCTGGAGTATCCTGAGTAATAAACACACTAAAGGCTGGCCCAGCCTGGAAGCAAAGCAAGTATAAGGAGCCAGCAGGTAGCCATCCCCCAAGTTCACGTTGTTGCTCAATCTTGTGGTTCTACCACTCTAGTGTCAAGGAATAATCCTTCTAGGGTCATTCTTCTAGGAAGACCACATCTTTCTATAAGACAAAACAAACCCAAGAGAAGGAGACCAAGAGCTCGGAATATTTCCCAATGTTGAGACTCTCCTAGTCCCTAAGTCTTCTCAGATCTAAACAACTCCAAAGCAGAAGTACAGCTTTCTAATCTTGCCACAGGAGAACAAGAGAGCAGGGCTGGGCAAGCTCAATTGGTTTGTTACTCCAACCTCATGAATGAAAATGCCCCAAAAGACTTTCCCCCACCAAAGCTTATGAGCAAGGAAACGCATTCTCCCCTGGACCCTCTAAAATAAAACACAGCCCTGCCAGCACTTTGGATTTAGCCTGGTGAGATTCATACTAACTTCTGATGTATAGAACTGTAAGATTATAAACTGTTTCTGCCAAAGCTCTATACCCGAGAAATTATAGCCTAATGAATATCTTTGAAGTTCATTAATCATTGATAGTTGTCCTCCTTAGTGTAGAATAAGTGATGCAAAATAGGAATGGAAAAGAGCTGTGTGTTACAATAGAAAACAAATGGGTCCAACTATGTGATTTCTAAGGCACTGTCTATTTAACAATTTGTGAATCTCAGTCTAAGAGTCTAGGGCCCTCAACATGTGAAGGAGTGGGAACCCTGCTCTTTTCGCAGTGGTCAATGTAAGCCTCATAAGGTACTCATCTTTATTTCCTTTAGTTTGTTTCAAGGCAAGGTAAGTTTAACTTCAATGTACTGGACAAAATTGAAACTTAAAGGACAGATACATACTAATATCCTATGTTTTAATCTAATCTGAATCGATAGCTTTGCATTAGTCTCAGCATCTAGAATATATATATACATATACTATATGGCCTATGTATAGATTGTCCATCTCTCCCTCTCCGTGTGTGTGTGTGTGTGTGTGTGTGTGTGTGTGTGTGTGTGTGTGTGTATATATATATATATATATATACACACACACACATATACATATACTATTCTTCCAGAATTATAGTTTTTAAACATTCATTTCCTACTTCAAAATCAATAATGACAAGGCATTTGCTGGAAACTCTGGAACACTTTGTTGAGTAAAACAAGAAAATGGAAATGCAAATAAAGTTAACTTCAGGTTCAAATATAGTTCATATATTTCTCCTTACCAACAAATTTCCAAAGTCATTGGAAATATTTTGATGAAAGCTTTTAGTGTTCACAAATAATGTTATATCTAAAAGTGCATTTCTCCTGATAATGCTAATATACATATGGCATAAAAATAGGTTGTAGAGATCTAGCTGAATGTAGCTTTTTATAAACTCCCACATTTATTCTATTTTTATTGCACTTCTGCCTAGACTGAAATAGGATAGATCTGACCTTGACCTGAGACACATCTGTACTGCAAATCCTAGAGTTTCCACAAGGACTATTTGACTAGCTCTTGTAAATTAAGGGCCTTTTACTGCCAGTGGTAATGAAGTCTCCCTGTCTTAAAGTCTCCTTTTTCCCTAGAGGGTCCTCTAATCCAATGCAAGTACTACCTTAGTATTATTCTCATAATCCAGGTTACAACAGATCTACCAGCCATTGCTGGCTTTGCATGTTCAAGAAGGGGTAACAAGCCAAGACACATAGGCAACTTCTGCAAGCTGGGAATGGACCTCAGTTGTCAGTCATTAAGAAGATAGAGACCCCAGTCCTACATTGAAAGGAAATGAATTCTGCCTATAACCTAAATGAGCAAGGAAACAGATTCTCCCCTAGACCCTCTAAAATGAAACACAGCCCTGCCAGCCTGTTGGTTTTAGCCTGGTGAGAGTCATACCAACTTCTGATCTACAGAACTATGAGATTGTAAATTTGTATTGTTTTAAGCCACTAAGTATATGGTGGTCTGTTACAGCAGCACAGGAAAACTAATACATCCAGAGGAGGAAAAGTCAAAATACTTGCTTAATGGTTCAGAAAGGAAATGATAGCAATATAAGTGTGGCAAGACATCATGTGACATGCGACTAAATTTCCTCTCTTTATTAGAGTTATGGAAAGTAATAGAGAAGGCAGATTGAAGAACTGATGCATGGATGAGATTTTTGATACTAAGCCCCAACCTGTGCTCTGAATTCCACAGACAAAACTGTGCTGATGTACTCTTTCCTTCTGTCCCTTTGGAGCTGGGTAAACATTCCCTTCCTTTGTGTCTACTTAACCGTGCTGAGCCAAACCCAAGTAGTATTTCTTAAATAGTGTCAGCAGCAATTTTGCCTTTGGGAAATAATTCTTTGAAGCTGTAGTTTGCTTCTAACAGCATTTCTGGAGAACAGAAGACATCATCATTTAAATGTCACCACTTTCGAGTAGACTCGAAGAGGTTATAAACCCTAGCCCAAAGAATAACAATTCAAGGCAAAATTAGAGCATAAGTTTTATATATATATATATATGGTCCATTTCATGCTGATTCGAAAGAAAAGTATTCAGGGTTTCTGCAGTTTGTTTTAGATTTAACAGAAAAGCTTCATCTGTTAGTTCACAGTGCAGGCTGTTATCTGATCACTGGTGCCATTGACATCACTCTGTAGGCATTTTGGTTATTTCTGGAAATAGCAGCAGCAGGAAAGACTGTTAAGCCCTAAAGAGAATTAAGTCTTGGAATGGAAAATTTAGTTCAGTCCTTAGTGACAGGCTTCCTCTCAAAGCTGTTTGAAGATGAAGCTCTCACTTATAAATAAACAACTTGGAATCTTCTCCCACCTTGACTTATTTTCCATGAGAGACTTCAACTGCACACTCTCTCTAAGGGGATAATCAAACCAACTGCTGGGATCCAAGCTGTCAGTTTGTTCTTCAGAGTATCTGAATGCTGAATGGCTGCCCTCTCCTCATGAGGGAAGCTGATTGGCCCAGGAAGAGTGTGGAATGAAGGGGCATTGTGGTAATTACCTCCCTGCAATGGCAGAACACAGGATGCCTGTGGTCCATGACTCCATATTGTTTGCTGAGGCCTATATTTCAGGACAAGATAGAGATAGGTCGTTTCTCTATGCTGTGACAGGCCGGCAAAGCAGAGTCATAATTATTTAACAAACATAGTGTCTATGAAAAATAAAATATCACAAAATCTGTAGGGAACTCAGAAGTTTTCAAGTTCAACCCCAATGCAAGGAAGAAGGCTCTTCAGGCTATTCCCTGAAGACGAGATTGAACCTCACAGCTATAGAGACTGACCACCCCTCATGGAAGCCTGGCCACCTTTCAGAAAGCTGCATTTGTTAGAAATGGAATTTTCATGTTGACCTGAATGTGGATCTTTGTCATCTTTTCCCTGGTGGTTCTGCAGTCTATGGCCACATAGAACAAGTCCAGACTTGTCTACAGTAGAATTCTCAAGCTCTGCAGGGTTCTTAAATATGAAGTTGTTCAAACCAATTATTTTACAGGCAAGAAAACTAGGGTCAAAGAATAGTCATTGTTTTGCTCACAGTCAGAGCTTTATGGTGGCCATTACAAACCCAAGTTGCCCAGCGCCCTGAGTGTTCCCCCTCTATACTCTGCCCAAGAAAAGAACCTAAGTCAAAGGGCTGTTCTGTTAGAGGGAAAAACGAGTGTGGGAATGAAAAAATCCTGGGTTCTAATTATGGTGTTGGAACTTATTATGTATTTGACTTTGTGTGTTTTTCTTAACTTTTCTTATCCTCAAGTTTTTTAATTAAGAAAAACGAGACTTCCCCTGAAGAAGAAATGAGGTAATCATGTTAAAAAGCACCTAATCCAGTGCCTGAATTGGAATAAACATAAACATATTTTAAAGTTCTTGTTAAAATCTTTCAGCAAATGTTTTATGAGTTCTTTCTAGGTTCTGGGCACTGATACAGATGCTGGGTGTATTGAAGTGAACCAAAACATGTTCGGTCCCTGCCTTCATGGGGAGGGAGAAAATGAACAAATATACACATGTATCTAAGTCATATTTTAATAAGTGCCCTGAAGAAACACAGCAAAGCTTGGGGGGTAGAGTTAAAAGGTGCTCTTTTCTTTTAATAATTTTAATTTTAAGTTCTGGGGTACATATGTAGGATGTGCAGGTTTGTTACGTGGGTAAATGTGTGCCATGGTGGTTTGCTGCACCTGTCAACCCATCACCTAGGTAATAAGCCCAGCTTGCATTAGATATTTTTCCCAATGCTCTCCCTCCCCCAACCCCACTCCTGACAGGCCCCAGTATGTGTTGCTCCCCTCCCTGTGTCCATGTGTTCTCATTGTTCAGCTCCCACTTACAAGTGAGAACACGCAGTATTTGGTTTTCTGTTCCTGCCTTAGTTTGCTGAGGATAATGGCTTCCAGCTCCATCCATGTTCCTGCACAAGACATGATCTCATTCCTTTTTATGGCTGCATAATATTCTATGGTGTATATGTACCACATTTTCCTTATCCAGTCTATCATTGATGGGCATTTTTGTTGATTCCATGTATTTGCTATTGTGAATAGTGCCACAATGAACATACGCATGCATGTATCTTTGTAATAGAATTATTTCTATTTCTTTGGGTATATACCCAGTAACAGGATTGCTGGGTCAAATGGTATTTCTCCTTCTAGATCTTTGAGGAATCACCACGCTGTGTTCCATAGTGGTTGAACTAATTCACCTTCCCACTGATCATCAGAGAAATGCAAATAGAAACCAGAATGAGATACCATCTCATGCCAGTGAGAATGGTGATTATTAAAAAGGCAAGAAACAACAGATGCTGGTGAGGTTGCAGAGAAAAAGGTGCTCTTTTCTGTAGAGAGGTTAGGGAAAGCATCTTGGGGAATGGGTATCTGAGGAATCACCTGGGCGCAAGGTCAGGTTTTGGACCATGTGAACATCTGGGAAAGAATATTCTAGGACAAGAGATGTAAAAAGCAGAGATCCTGAGACAAAGGTCCTACTTGAAGCACATCATGGGTAACAGGGAGACCAGTGTGGCTGAGCAGAGAGGGTTGGGGGAGTGGTTAGAGGTGAAAGAGGGATAGCCAGGGACTAGATCTTGTAGGACCCTTATGGGTCATGGTAAGAGCTTTCGGTGTTCTTGATGTGGTTGTTTCTTTAACTAAATGTGACCTCATATGATGTATGTTTTAAAACAGTAGTTGTCAATCCTGCCTGCACAATGAAATTACACGGGGATTTTTTTTTAAATGACTAGTGTTCAGCTTTATTTCCAGGAAGTTAAATTTAAATGGTCTGGGGTGAGGCTAAGCATCTGTGTGTTATGGAAGCAGTCCTCGAAATTCTAATGGGTAGATAGAAGAAGCACTGTTACAGAAGGTATCAGTGGCTAATAGGATAAGAAATGTATATGATGAGCTAATGAGTTCCATCGTATGCCGAGGTAAGTGCAGCCCCAATGCTGGGGTGATGTCAGTGCCGTCAGATAGCCGGTAGGGATGAATGAGCCAAGAGAGCTTTCAAGTCTTGATCAAGAATTAGGAAAATCTTAACAAAGAAAAGGGATTTTCTTATTCCCTGGCCTGGCCCTGCAGACTTTTTTTCTGAGGTGTAATAAGGAAAATGGTAAAAATGACCAGAATACCAGGAAGACAGAATGGATCCATAAGAATGAGCATCTAAAATTCTATTTCTAAAATCGTTTTAACTACAAAGAATTGCCTTGTGCTCCACTCTGTAGTTGATGAAGGTGGTTAATTTAGGTTCCAAGTTGGTCTTTAGTTAACTCATAACTATGATTTCCAGTGTCTTAAATACTCGTAACAAAACTTATATGAGTAAGATATCAGTTACCCTTATATTTTATCCAGTCTGCATTCTTTTAAGCATATGTTTTAGCAGTTAAAAATTATCTAGTCAAAAGTGTTGTAGTTGTTCATTGGTTCCCAACTACGGACAATTTTGCTCTACTTGGTATATCTGGCAATGTCTGGAGACGTTTTTGGTTTTTACATATCTGGGATCTAGTGTGTAGAGATTAGAGATGGCCCCAAATGTCAATAGTGAAAAGGTTGAGAAGCCCTGCTTTTGAAGGTCATTGTCCCCTAGCTTGGGGGATAGGGAAATCCAGTTCTACATTTCCTGCTACTTAACTGTGTAATACTCCTTAGACAATACGTCATTCCTCTGTAAACCCAGAAGGATCTTCATTTGAAAATAAGCTGCTGCATTAGGTTCAATACAATGCAACAAACATAAGTGTCTATTATGCACTTGTCACTATGCTAAGCTGAAACATAGAAACATTCCTTCCCCTTTAGGAGTGATCTATGAGAGTTATAATCAGCTGTAGCCATGATAATCCTATATAGCAAGGCACATCAAATTTTCTGACTTAAATTGTTATCATCCTAACTCATAAATTTGCAGATTGACTGGGGTTCAGCTGATCTAGCCTTGACATGTCTGTGTTCTAGGTAGGATCCAGTTCTGATGCTCAATGTGATTTTCATCCTTCTTGGGCCACTGGGTAACACAAGGGGGAATCCGCTCATGGTGAGGGCAGAAAGTGCAAATGAGTGGGTAGAAACATTCAATAACCATTAATGTCTGAGCCCAAAACTGTGTCACTGTCCCTTTCACCTACATTCTTTTGACCAAAGCATGCCATGTGGTTAAGACTAGAATCAAAGAGGTGGATTCTGCCTCTAGGGGGAAAAATGGAAAATCATGTCAAGGGACATGAACATAGGAAAGGTGAGAATAAGGAACAATAATGCTTTCTATATGTAGAGACCTTCCAACTCTAATATGTAATAGTTTTAAGACTATATTCTTGTCTTTGCATGTTTCAAGATATTCTTTTAAGTTGAATTCAATGGTGCAGCTTCATTTAAAGTTCTTAAGAAATCCAGTTTGGCTTCCAAGATTCACCTAAACTTCCTTTGCAACTATTTCCATCAATAGGGTGACCTAGACAGTTGGATGTCTCCAACTGTGTTTAGCTTGATGTATTTCTTCCACCATAGACCCTTGCTACAGAAAGGGGTAGAACTTGATTGCTGCAGAAGATAATTTATGATACTCTGGCAGTGGAAGAAAAAGAAACAGATGGCCGGCATCATCGATGCCTTCCAGTGTGTCAGCTGAGTGATACGTCAGAAGTTCTTTCTCCTCAGTGGGTAATGGCCTCCTTCCAGCTACTGCTCCTAGAATTTGAGCACTAGCAAACATTGTATATTGTAAATGATTCTTTAAAGAACTTTGAAAAACCCACTAATAATATGATTAGGGACTGGATGCTTTACAAGCTTTATCTACTTGCCTAATTGACAACCCTAAAAATAAGTACTCAGATGTAATTTTAAAATATGTATGGGTGTAAATGTGTGTGTTTATAAATGCATGGAATATTTGTAGAGGAGAACTCATGAATTAGGTAACAGGCATTGTGCCAGGGAGAAGCATTTTGTGGCTATCAGTGGAGGGAAGAATAATGTGTTTCACTGGATACTCTTGTACCACATATATTTTGTATCATGAATATATAATATGTATTCAAAATATTTAAATAAAATGAAAGATGGCACTAGCATTCACATTTTACAATTGAGGGAGCTTACCTATTCAGAGTCTGTAAGCTATATTCGTAGAAAAATGGCAGAGCTGGGTTTGAATGCAGGTCTCTGGAACTCTAAAAACTTAATTTTACGAAAACTTCCTGCAAAATTATGTCTCAGAGTTTTCTGGAAGTAAATAACTGTGCATTCATTGGCCCTGCTGTTCAGGAGACAGTCATGCATTTTCATCAATAATGTCTCCATTAGCTTGATCATGAAGTTTCTGCATGCCAGGGTTTCTATTTGATGGTCTCTATGAAGCCCATTAAGCAGGTCAGCTTATCATGATCTCCAGTCTGAGCATAGATTTATCAAGGCGTAAGAGTGACCACAGTACATGAAGTCATCTACTAAGAGAAGCTGAGAAGTCCAGTTTGCTAACTCTTTTGTTTTTATCCTTTTTGCCTATTAAAACAACTAGTAATAACATTATCCATCAATATTGATCACTTACGTCTTCTAGGAATAATAATCCTGAAAAACTGTTCTAAGCCCAGTCAATGTCTGAAGGCTCTAGTTTTTCTGACAGTAGAAAATGAGCATCCAGGAACTCAAAAGTAAAATATTAAGGGAGAAAGTTATCCAGAGTTCGTGAACTGATTTTGCACCAAATATCCATGTAATCCAGTTTTCCCAGGAGCACAGTAGATGAGAATTGATTGAGGAGTAAATTAAGCCTTAGAAATGGATGCTATTTATTCTCCTGAGAACATTTTCACTGCTTTGGAGCAGACATTTATAAAGTCAGTTATCCTTCCCAGTAGTTGCTGATTGGTTTTTAAGAGGAAACCCTATCAACATTTGGAGCTGTTCTTTGGCCCATTGTAGGTTTGGGGCATTTTGTTGTCATTATTTTTTATTTTAATACATCTGTATGGAGAAGAGAGAACATGATACCATGGAAGAAAATCCATCATCTGAGAATTAGGCTACTGGGACTTGAGTCCTCTCTCTTCATCCAAGTTGCAGTGTGACCCTAATTAAGTATGTCTCCGCTCTTTGGTACTCAGATTCCTAGGTCTAAGAAGAGTCAGACCACATGCTCTCTAAGATCTCTGATTCCATGTGTGATAATGTTACCAATTTTTTTTCCAGGACTCAGAAACCAAAGAGCCTCAGTTTCTCATCTGAGGCAGTCTAAATAAAATCATCAAATGGTTCAAGTTTTCTTTGGTAGGATTTTATTTCCCTGCTCTGTGTGTATCGTCCCTTTACTTGCCTCCTCCTAGGTATCTATGACAAAGGTTCTTTATATCAGCATGCTACCAGCTAGGGCAGGAATGTACAGGGAGAAGAACAACAGATTTGGAGTCAGTCAGGAGCTGGTTTTATTTCCTGCTCTTTCATGAGCTGTATGATCTTAAAAGAGTCACTCAACTTCATCAGCAGGATGACAGTGATGACCTAGATAATCTCTATCATTTCTTCTAGACTCTAAAATAACTATTCTAAGCCTTCCTAAAGTGTCTGTGTACAATGTTGCTTTCTTCAAACCTCTTACCCAAAGTAGGTAATTTTACAGAGTGCACTTTTTTCTCTTGATTTCTATTTATATCAAATGATAAAGAAAGGAAACCCACCCCCACAGTTCCCTCACCTTGACATGTTAACTGTTTTCATTATCTCATTTGAACTTGTAGTTCTTGTCTACATGCGTGGATTCAGGTTTTGGTTGGACTAGGAATTTCATTCACTGTAATATGTAGTGGAAAAATAAATTTTTGTTTAAGACTTCATAACTAGCCTTGTCAAATCAGTGTATAGGCATCTAGTTTGTTTTAACAGGGCATTAGTTAGAATGCCCTGGAGACCCTAAACCAGGCTGGCTCACAAATAAAGTGTCCATTATGTAATATACTGAGTTGAATATGGTACAGTGGAGAAGTTCTCAAATAGTGGCATTCCATCATCTTCATACATAGGTAAGTGGTGTCAAACCCCTGGAGAATCTTATTAGGGTAGTCATTCTGCTGTATGATATGTTTTCCTATAGTTTCTTATTAAAAGAGTTTTGTATCATGTAACAACAAGTAAACTTGCCGTCCTGGAATAGCTCCATTGCTTAAGTGGCTCAAGGCACTCTGGGCATACTACCCCATGTCCTTCTGCTATGATAACTCCAGGTGGAAACACAGGTAGTCTTGGCCCCAAAGAGAAAAGGGCTGAAGCTCTGAGAAACTAGCCAGAAGCCTGTTGGGAAAGTCATTTACGTCTTTGTGAGTTAGTACCAGATGATAAAACGAAGCGATGGTCTTTAATGAAGCCCTTGAATATGCATGCTTGTCCACCTGAAGCTTTGAATCAGCTTCCAGAAGTCATTCATCTCTGAAGATTCTTTTAAGCCAGAATCCTTGCCATGTTCATATGCAGGAATTATTCCCATACCTTTGAAGTTGAGTTTTCAAAAATAAAAGACATATCTTAGGACTAATTGATATTTCCACAAATGAATCAGAGCATTGAGGATATGTATGCTGATTCCGAAATTGTAGAAGCACGGTGATTTCCGGAATGTAGTTCAGGAGATTTGGGACTGAAAACAGTGTTTTAACTCCTAGATATTTCTCAGCATTTTCCAGAAACCCTAAGTAATTATCTATCTTCTGTTGGAAGATGCAACATTGATGGCCCTGGATTTGAGAATTATCTTATTTGAAAACTTAAGTTTTTGAAAAATATGCACATTTCAGATCTTTTTTTAAAATGCCAGAATGTTTTTCAGGACTTTCTTCCATTCTGTTGTAAGGGGAAAACCACAAAACACAAAAGAATTAGGCATTCCAATCATATGAGAAGAAAATCTGTCAGTGTTAATCTACTAAGGTCATGCTACCTACTTACCATGAGTAATGGTAAAGGCATATTTTCAATTAGCAACAAGTGCCAGAGCCGGGCCTTAAACTTGGATCCTGCTGGCTCCACAGCTGACTGCCCACACAACCACGGGGAAAGCAGAGAACTGCTCCAAGGTTGCTTTTCTCAAATGTAAAATGCGGATCACAACAAAATGCACCTGACAGGGTAATGCTGAGATTCAATAAGATGACACTTTTAGCACTTAGTATTTGACCTGCAAAATATTATAAGCAAATGTTAATTGTATTATTATGTAACTATAAGGAAGGGAACTAATAGTTTTTAATGATAAAAGTAATGTATACTCTTCAAAAATTCAAAAGCACGAATAAAAATTTTAAATGTTAGAAGCTAGGTAATCTACTTTCAGGAATTTTTTGCATGTAAAATATATTTGCATATGTAATATATATGTAAACTTGCAAATAGATATGTGTGATATATGTGTATAGAGATGACAAAAAGGTTTTACATCATTCTGTAACTACTTTCTTGCTTTAATTAAAAGATACATACATACATTCTTTTAGACCAGGACCACAGATTTACTCTGTAATACTTCCCAGTATCCCATTTTACAAATATGTTTTATTTTCCAATCTCTGTTTGATGAATATATAGATTGTTGTCTTGTTTGCAATATTATAAATAAAACTACTTTTAGTAAGTAGTTTTAGTCTATATATCATTTATACTTGTGTAAGTTATTCCATCAGACTGAGCCATAGGAAAGGAATTCATGGATCCAGGCATTATGCCCATGTTTTAAAAAAGTGTTAGCACATTCATCAAATTGCCTTCTAAAAATGTTTGTACTTAATTATTAACAATTGGGGGGGGCCCTATTTTTCCACATACTCCCAAACAACAACTTTTAGACTATTTTTAATCAACTATTAATAAAATGAGTATTTTTATATGTAAATTTGAATCTATTGACAATGAAAAATAAAAAAACAATTAAAAATTGGGCAAAAGAGAATTCTGGAAAGATGGCAGAATAGGAAGCACTGGGCAATTGTCTCCCTTGCCCAGGCAATAATTGCAGTGGCAGAATCCGTCTGATGGTGTAACTATTTTGGAATTCTGAAGTCTATTGAAAGCTTGCAATTTCTAGGGGAAGGCTTGGGAAATAAAGTGTAGTTAATTTCAATTGATTTTAGTCCTTAGAATGGTAACAGTTATGCATCTCTCACCCCCTTGACAGGCAGTCTGCACATATTTTTGGAGTAATTTGTACACAGCTCATAAGAGACAGGGTGTACAAAGAAAGGCCTTATCTTCCAAATATCAGTGTTCTGATTGCTCATTATTGCTTTTAATCGCAGAGGTGCAGACAGAGAGGTGGGAGGCCATGGTTGTTGCAACTCCTCCTATTGTTGCAAGCCCTTCCCTTCTATCTGAAGTGACTCACAGAGGATTTAAAAGACCAGCATCACATTTTTCCTCTCTTTATTTTTCTTTTCCCCCATTTTGGGAGCAAGACATTAAAGAGTAAGACAATTAGAAATAAATGCATATACAGGGAAGATTAGAAAGTGATCTTGCATGCCCCAGGAAAGGCACAGGCTCAGAAAAGACCTGAGCAGACCTGAGTTTACACCTTAGGCTGATGCTTGGCACAGAGAAAGTCTGCAACAATCAAAAATAAATAAATAAATAAGCAAAAACAAAAACAGCAACCCTAAGGAAAGGGGAGACTGATTTCCAGAGTTACTATTATTAGATCCAAATGTCCATTTTTTTAACAAAAAATTATGAGTCATATAAAAAAACCAGAAAAGTATGGCACACTGAAAACAAAAATCAACAGAAATTGTCTCTGAAAAAGATGTGATAGAAGCTCTGCTAGAAAAAAACTTTAAAACAGCTGTCTTACAGATCATCAGACAAATAAAGGAAGATGTGGAGAAAGTCAAGAAAATAGTTTATGAACGAGATGAAAATATTAATAGAGAGAACCTAAAAAGAAACCAAATTGAAGTTTTGGAGCTGAAAAGTATAATAGCCAAAATAAAAAATTTATTGGAGAGATTCAAAGGCAGATTTTGCAGCCAAAATAAAGGATCAGCAGAATCAAAGCTAGGACAATGGAAATCTTCAAGTCTGAAGAACAGAAAAGAGATTGAAGAAAAGTGAACAGAGCTTAAGAGACATGTGGGGCATGCATTGTGGGAGTCCTGGGAGAAGAGAAAGGAGTAGAGAGAATATCTAAAGTAATAATGGCTGAAAACATCCCAAATTTGATGAAAGACATGAATATAAACATCCAAGAAGCTTAATGAACTCCACATAAGATGAACTCAAGGAGACCCACAGAAATACGATACAATCAAACTTTCAAAAAACAAAGAGAATCTTGAAAGCCACAAGAGAGAATCAAGATTTCACATACAAGAGATCCACAATAAGATTAGCAGAAAATTTCTCATTAGAAACTTTGGACATCAGAAGATAGTGAGCTTATATATTCAAAGTGCTAAAAGAAAAAACTATTAACCAAGATTACTATATCTAGAAAAACTGTCCTTCAGAAGTAAGAGAAAAATTAAGATATTCTCATATAAGCAAAAGCTGAGACAGTTGTTACCATGAGACCTGCCCTATAAGAAATTCTCAAGGGAGACTTCAAGGTGAAATGAAAGAATATTAGACAATAACTAGAGATTGTATAAAGAAGAAAAGATCTCAGTAAAGGTAAATACACAGGATTATATTATTGTGCCATTTATATGTAACTCCCTTTTGTTTTCTACATGATTTAGGAGACTAATACTTTTTTAAAATTATGAAATGTAAAAGCTAGTAACTTTGTTGTGTAAGTCCACATTTTGTTTTCTACATGATTTAAGAAACTAGTGCATTAAAAGAATTATTGTTATATTTTAGAGCATACATATATAGAGAGAGGGGCATAATTTTGTGACGACAACCAAAAGGGTGGGGATAGAAATACAAAGGAGCAGAGTTTTTTACGCTATGAAGTCAAGCTGGTTACAAATTCAAAGTGTGTTAAAACTTCAGAATGTTAAATGTAATATCCATATTTGCCACAAAAATAGCTATAGAATATGCACAAAAGGAAGTGAAATCAAAACATTTCACTGCAGTCAACTAAAAAGAAGAGAGTAATGTGGGAAATGAGGGACAAAAAAAGCTATAGGGCATATAGAAAACAAATACAATGACAGGTAAGCCCTTTCTTATCAGTAATTACTTTAAATGTAAATGGACTAAAGCTTCCAAACAAAAGACAGAGATTAGAAGACTGAATTAAAACACACAATACAACTACGTGATGTCTATAAGAGATGGACTTTAGATCCAAAGACACAAATAAATTGAAAGTAAAAGGATGAAAAAAAATACTCCATGCAAATAGTAATCAAAAGGAGCAGGGGTAACTATATTAATACCAAACAAAATTTAAGAAGATGAGACAACATTATATATTAATAAAATTTCAATACAGCAAGAAGCTATGGCAATTATAAATATTTGCCCACATAATGAGAGATCATCTAAATTTATGAAGTAAAGACTGACAAAATGGAAGGGTAATATAGATAATTGTACAGTATTAGTTGGAAACTTTAATGCTGTGCTTTCAATAATGGATAGAAAAGCCAGAGAGAAGATGCATATGGAGAGTACTTAAACAGGACAGTATACCACCTCGATCTAAGAGACCTAAAAACAACACTCTGCCCAACAACAACATACACACTCTTCTCAAGTGCACATGGGACATTTTCCAGGATAGACAATGTATTAGGCCAATGTATTAATAAATTAAGTCTCAAAGATTTTAAAATATATTAAAGCATATAGAAATTAAAGAGTTAACTCTTAAACAACAAATGGATCAAAGAAGAAATCACAAGGAAAATTAGCAAATACTTAGAATGAAAAATTCTTTGTAAATTAGGATTAAAGAGGAACTTCCTTAATTGATAAAGAACATCTACAAAACCCACATTTCACATCACGCTTAGTAGTGAGAAACTAGATGCCTTCCCACTAACATCTAAGAACAAGACAAGAATGTCCCTTTTCACCACTTCTATTTAACATCATATTGAAGGTCCTGGCTAATACAATAAAACAAGAAAAGGGAATAAAATATATAAAGATTGGAAAGGAAGAAATAAAACTGTTTTTGTTTGCAGATGACTTGATTGTTTATATAGAATGAAAGAATCAACCAGAAAACTCCTGGGATGAAAAAGTGACTATAGCAAGGTTTC
This sequence comes from Homo sapiens, assembly GCF_000001405.40. NCBI lineage: Eukaryota > Metazoa > Chordata > Mammalia > Primates > Hominidae > Homo > Homo sapiens. The sequence continues at coordinate 3,548,683 of NC_000003.12, read as the reverse complement.
AGTATACAAGGTTAATAAATATCATTTGCTTCCTTATATGCCAGCATGAAGCAATTGGGATTTGAAATTAAAAGCACAACACCATTTACATTAGTGCCAAAATAAAATTATATATAAATCTAGCAAAATATGTACAAGATTTGTATGAGGAAAACTAAAAGAAAACTGAAAGACATCAGAAAAGAACTAAATAGATAGTCTATGTTCATGGATAGAAAATATTAAGATGTCAGTTTTTCCTAACTTGATCTATAGATTCAACATAATCCCAATAAGAATCTTAGCAAGTTATTTTGTGGATACTGACAAAATGATTTTAAAGTTTATATGTGGAGGAGAAAGACCCAGAATACTCAACACAAAATTGAGGAACAACAAAAATTAGAGAGCTGATACTGACTTCAAAACTTACTATAAAATGTAGTAATCAAGACAGTAAGGTATTGGTGAAAGAATAGACACATAGATTAATGGAATAAAAGCACAGAAATACAGTTTTGATCTTTGACAAAAGATGAAAGGTAATTTAAAAAGAAAGGGTAGATTTTTCAACCAATGATGCTGGAACAACTGGATATCCACTTGCAAATAAAGGTGTATGAACATTCATACATATGGACATATGTTTTCATTTCTCTTGGATACCTACATATATTTTCTGGGTCATACTGTAGGTGTATGTCAACTTCTTAACAAACTGCCAAACTAACCACCATGGTTTAATTTCGAAATAATTGTGCTAAGTGAAAGGAACCAGAGAAAAGAATGCATATGTTATGATTTCATTTACAGAAATTTTTGAGAATCCAAACTGACCCATAATGGCAGAAGACAGATCAGTATTTGAGAAAGGAGAAAGATTACAAAGAGGCACAAAATCTGGGGGTGTGTTTGATATGTTCATTGTATTGATTGTGGTAATGGTTCCATAGGTGTAGAAAATATATATATATCAAATCGCACACTTCAAATATGTACAATTTACTGTACGTCAAATATATCTCAAAGTTGTTTCAGCATAATAAAACATTTGCTTTCAAATTAACATTACAAGTTATTAAACATCTAAGAGCAAGTGTAACAATAAATAAATATCTAAGAGCAAATGTAAAATAAATAAATATCTAACAGCAAATGTAACAATAAATGTGCAATGCCAAGATTACAAAGTTTTTTTTGAAGGACATAGATCTGAATTAATTGAAAAAAAAATAGCACAATAGCATATCTTTTCATATATAGATTCAGCATTTTTGAATTTAAATTCTTTCAATTAATATATTAATTCAAATAATCAAATTTTTCTCTTTTTTTCCATGGTTGTTGGAGAAATTGACAAATTGATTTTAAACTTCATCTGGAAAAGCAAATTTGAAACTCTATCCAAGTAAGTTTTGAAAGAGAAAAATAATGATGAGGGGGTTGTCTTCTCTCAAAACATATTTTCACTGTGCAGTAATCAAAACTGTGTGATATAGAAATAGAAATTGAAGAAAGACCCATAGAAATATGAGAATTCAGGATGCCAAATTTAAGTTGACTTTTAAAATAAATAGCTTTCTATTTGGAGTGCTTAGCTATAGAGTATGGAAATGGTAGTTTTTGAGTTTAAGAGACTTTAGTTTTTAGTTTACAACTTTCAGTACTTTTTTTATAATAAATATGGATTACTTTTAAAATACACATAAATACAAAGTAAAAAAGACCAAACTCAAGCTAAGCCACCAGATTAATTATTGTTATTTTAAGGATTGCTAATGAAGGAAATGCTACAATTTTCCTGTGACACCCTTTTCAGATTTCCAAAAAGTGGGTTATAAAAGCAGAGCAATCCTTTCAGACAAAAAGAAATATAATCTAGTGTAAGTTCTAATACCCGTTTGTTTTAGGTTAAAAAAAGTGTTCTATAGATCTTTATTTATCTTCTATCATTGAGTTTCCAGATTGTGGGTAAGTCTTTAAAATCTAGGTAAAGGCTGAAAAACACTAATTTCTATCTAAGCACCAGAAAAGAAGTCTATAAATAGAATTTTGCATGACTGTGGGGTTTTATATAAAAAACCTTCATAACTATGGATGATAATATGCAGAAAAAAAGAAATTTCATTAGCCAATTATAATTACATTGGTCATCATATTAAATAAAATGTCTTATATCACATCAAATATATATACATAAATACATATGTGCATATATTTCTACATATTAGCAGATCTTAAAAAGAGTGCTGTGGATCTATATACATTGCCATGGGAGGATTTTTGAGGTATAATATTGGGTGACAGAAATAAATAACAGAATTGTAAGTATAGTGTGATCCAATTTGTTAAAGTGGAAATCATATATGCACACGTGTGTGTAGTATTGTAATTAAATGTATTTAAACACACATAAAAATACTTTAGGAGATGTGTTCAGAATTCCTTTGAGAGAGTGACCAAAACTTTTTTTCTCTTTTGTTGAATTATTTGAAGTTTTTGCAACAAATGTACTTTACTTTTGTAACTTAAAACTTTGAATCAAAAATTTAGTGGGGGAAGTGGATGCTTATTAATGGATGTTGGAATAAATTGGCTTGCATTTAGAAAAGCAGATTTGATTAATACTTCATACCACATAGAAAAATAAATTCCTCTGGAATAATATTTACTGAGTATTTAATTCTGTGACAGGGACTATGCTAGGATTTTTCTTCGTACTCATTTAAACAACTAAGAGAATGTGCAGTACGGTGCATTCCATTTATAAGAAGAGCTGGGATTTTACATATGGAAGAGCTGGCATTTTAATGCACATGGTCCTTTCTGTTCCTCTCTTTCTACTTCAGTGTTGGCTGAAATTTCTACGCATGTCAGAAAAGGATAAAGTAGTTTTAGATAAAATATGATGCATCCTGTTGGTTTTTTTTTTAATTGGCCCAGGAAAAATTCTTAAACTTCCTTAGAAAAGATAAGAAAGAGAAAAATCAAACTTATACTCTATATCCTCATATTGTCATTTCACTGCTGGAGTGCAGTGTATTTCAAATAGTATGGGATTCAGTGACAGAAGGATTCTGATTACCATAATCTCTGAGTGGGAGATCTAAATTTGACTCTGACATTGAAGCCTTCAATCATCACGTTATGACATGAAATCAGAATGCAGTGTCATGCAGCGTTCTGTAAATAATCCTGTAGTTACATCTTCTAGGCTTTTCTAAACTACAACTGTTTTCCCATGTGGCAACTTGTACTAGCTGGCATCCTCAAGTTATTTCCCTTTTATTATAAAAGTACTGTGTGCTCATTGTTAAGTGTTTTCTTTCATATGTATGGTTAATATCCACTTCCAAAGTATAGAAACTTTTTAATGTCTATCTCTCCTGTTAGTAAAAATCTAGGATGGCAAGGATTATGCCTATTTGTTTATCACTATAGCCACAACTGGGCTTATGGTAGCTTTTCTTTTCTTTCTTTTTCTTTTCCTTTCTCTTTTTTTTTTTTTTTTTTTTTTTTGAGACAGTCTGGCTGGCTCTGTCGCCCAGGCTGGAGGGCGGTGGCGCCATCTCTGCTCACTGCAAGCTCCGCCCGCCGGGTTCCCGCCATTCTCCTGCCTCAGCCTCCCGAGTAGCTGGGACTGTAGGCGCCCGCCACCACGCCTGGATAATTTTTGTATTTTTAGTAGAGACGGGGTTTCACCGTGTTAGCCAGGATGGTCTCGATCTCCTGACCTCATGATCCGCCCGCCTCGGCCTCCCGAAGTGCTGGGATTACAGGCGGGAGCCACCGCGCTCAGCCAGTAGTTTTTCAATAAACATTTAAATGACACTTTTTTTTTTTGCTTTGTTTTCTATTCTAGAAATATACCAATTTTAACATAGTCAATAAGAAATAGTTCAATCACGGCCGGGCGCGGTGGCTCACGCCTGTAATCCCAGCACTTCGGGAGGCCGAGGCGGGCGGATCACGAGGTCAGGAGATCGAGACCATCCTGGCTAACACGGTGAAACCCCGTCTCTACTAAAAATACAAAAAAATTAGCCGGGCGCGGTGGCGGGCGCCTGTAGTCCCAGGTACTCGGGAGGCTGAGGCGGGAAAATGGCGGGAACCCGGGGGGCGGAGCTTGCAGTGAGCCAAGATGGCGCCACCGCCCTCCAGCCTGGGTGACGGAGCGAGACTCTGTCTCAAAGAAAAAAAAGAAAGAAATAGTTTAATCACATTTATTGTATTATCTTCATTATCTCTGAATATTTAGCCCTCGTGTGAAACAGTTGATACCAAGAAACTCATCTACTTTCTCTGTTTTGCCTTCTGTTGCATAGTTAATACTTTCCCTGTCAGTTTTGAGAATTGTATATTCAATTAAGAGATTAGAAGGGCGTCAGGGAAACAGAACTATGAATCGGAAGATGTGATTATCTCTATACGCTGCCAACCAGCCATGTGACCTTGATGGTAAGTTCCATGAGGGTAGGTTCTCAATTTTATTCACAATCTACTCAATATTTGCCCATCACATAGTAGTAAATTGGCAATTGTTCAATTGTGTATTGGCCTTAAAAAGAAAACTAAAAGTCAATAGCACCTCACATTTTTAACCTAAAAGTGGCATAGTTCTTAATACCGTACTCAAATCACGTAGATATAATGGTCATTGAAGTAATGAATAAGTAAAAAGCCTCTGAAAGGGGATAAAGTTTGTAAGAACCTATCTAAGCATGCTTGAGGACTATCTAACTCCCTGTACCCCATAGCCAAAGCAGCAGGCATTTCTATAGAGTACTTAGAGCTGTGCCCCAGAATGTGAATCTCACTGTGGGTACCACATCTTGCCTTCCATTTTGAGCCACCTAAACTCAGATTTTGTGAGCCACCTTCTTTCATGAAGTCTATATCACCTTGCCTTGGGCCTTTAGATTAACTACACTTGCCCAGTTCTCCTTATCAGTTTAATTTCCTTTCCTCTCTCCAACTCCACCCTGTTCAACTAATTTTCTCTGACAGCACCCTGTCTCTTGTTGACTTTCTCAGCCTGTCCTTCCTTACACCTGCACCCAGGCCAGGGTCCTAGACTCTCACACAATATAATAAATTATTATACTGGGTCTTTCACCAAACCTCCGGGCTGCCATGCTTCAAATCTATGTCAGTGAGAAGACGTTCCACAGAGGACAATATAAAGAACAGCATCAATTCTGCTGGACCTCCCTTTCAGTACTGGAGCCAGCAGTACCTGGCTATTCAACCAACACACATGGCAACTCACAGGGCGCTGTGGTGTTTATGCAGATCAGAAACATCCGATGGACCCGAAGCTTGAGCATCCATCCACTCCCGGGGTAGGACTCAAAATATTTACTTACCTCTGAATGCTTTCTGGACTCTACTTTTTCTGGCGTGGTTACATCTTTGCCTCTAAAGAAATCATGCAAGGTTTGAAATAAGGAGATGTTGAAGATTTTACCTTTCACTTTAGTCGAGTGCCTTCATTTAATTTTAAGGTTAAAAGATGAAGTTATTATTCTTTGTTGGGCAGCAACTTTATTAAAATCTTTACTAAACGTTTTAGTATAGATTCCAATTCTGTGTGCCACAGCAACTTAAAAGCATTCCCTAAAGTGTTTTGCCTTTTTTAAATGAATGCCTTGTCTGAGCCTTCATTTTATCATCTGTGAAATGAGGATACAGATGGCAGCTGACATTTACAGAGGGTTTGCTATGCCCCATCCTTGCTTAGCAATTTACAACAAAAGTAGCTCTAGTCAAATGAGAAGGTCCTTCCCCAGGAGGTCATTACTGTCCCCATGGCTCTGAAGGGACAGGGAGGACACTGGCTGAGGTTCAGGATTCTGCTTACCTACTTAACAATATATCAAGTCTCTTGACATGTAGAGCAAAGATAGATAGTCTTTGAGTAGCAAAGGTTGACTCTGAGAGAAACAAGGGCAATAGGAGAGTTAGGGAGAGCAGTGGTTATTTTCCATTTAATATTGTGTTAGGGAACTTATTCTCCTCCCTCATCTTTGTTCTAAAGCAGGTTGCCAGTCTTCCATGTCCTCCAAACACTCATCTTTGTGCAAAAGTAAACATTTGAAGGGACATAAAATACACAGCTATTTTCCTGCAGCACCAGTATGGATGGGGTGAAAGCATAGGACTCACATTTATTAGACTTATCCGGTTTGATCTGAACCAGAAGCTACAACTGACCAGATCTATTTGTTGCCTTTTTTCTTCTCGAACGCATATGAGCCTTTATCTTTTATTAAAGATGGAAATCTCTCCTGGAAGTAAATCAAATGCAGTATTAGCCTTGTCATCCTGGACTTTGTAGGTTTTCTCAAGGCTTTGAAGTAAAGGTGCAAATCAACACACTGACTATAGTCGGATCTACCCCTGAAAGCTATTTCCTGGAGAAAGTCACATCATACATACAGGCAAGAGCATGATGGTCACACAACACACACAGTAATATCAAGGGATACACAATTCTCACACTGCAGTTATTGTTTTGTGGTTGATCATCATTCCGAATGATATACCTTGTTTTATGAACAGCCCTTCAATAATAATATTTATTATGAATGGTTCATTACAATTATTTCTGGTCCATAATATCTAGCCCTCTACAAAGGTATGATAGTGAGGTGAATAGTGTCTCTCCCAAAATTTATGTCCATCCAGAACCTCAGAATGTGACCTGATTTGGAAATGGAGTTTTTGCAAATATAACTAGTTAATCGAAGATGAGATCAAACTGGATTAGGGCAGGCCTTAAATCCAATGACTGGCGAATATATAAAGAGAGGGAGAGGACACACAGAGATACACGTGGAAGGGAATCCAGAGATACACGTGGAAGGGAATCCAGAGATTGGAGGAATGCAACAGGTCAAGGAATGCCACATATTGCTGGGAGCCACCAGAAGCTAGGAAGAGACAAGGATGAATGCTTCTCTACAGCCTTCAGTAGGAGCATAGCCCTGCCAACACCTTGATTTCAGACTTTCAAACTCCAGAAACTATGGGACAATGAATTTAGATGTTAATGGTAATTTTTTTATGGCAGTTCTAGAAAGCTAATATAGATGTCAAGTGTCTCCCTGAATTGAATTTGAGTGTGAACCTGGTTCCCTCAATTATAAACTAGAGTCCTTGAGTAAGTCACACTTCCTCTCAAAATTTACAGCCTCATCTATAAAACTGAGACAATGATACTGACCTCAGGTTGCTGTAAATATTAAGTGACATGATACATGAAAAGCTCTTAGTAAAATGCTAGGCATGAGAGCAGTACTGAATACAGCAATAGTAGCAGCCGCAGTTGCTGTTATTGTTCAGTGTGACAATAAAGCCAGTGCAAAAAGACCAGATATTGTAGTTAATCATCTTGTAGAATGAAAGTGAGTCTTATACCTCCCCTATAAACTTAAAACCTTTTACTTGAGTGATATAAAAAACAAAAAATGAAAGCAGGTCTTTGTTACCCTAACATGTTGGTAATCTGAACCACTTGCCATGATCCATCTCAAACTCTGAATTCACACTTGCTTTCCGATCCCGGCTGTATGTACTTGATATTCATTCTTGTTCTTATGATCTTCATTGGTCTCTGACCTTCAGCACAATTTATATAGCTTTGACCTTTAGCTTCCCAAGTTTACTATGATGAGATGCTGACTTTGGTATTCCCATTTCCTAGCACGTTGCTCTCTAGAGCTTCATATCAACAGCAGGTGGTAGAGAAAAATCCAGAAAGGCAATTAGAGTATGATTATCTGAGGGCTTAGGCAATAGAAAATTAGGTAACAGCTCAAGGAGGCAGCAGCTGTGGAGGCAGGCTACAAAGAAAGTGATTGTAGGTTTGTTTTTTGGTCAACTGTTACTAGTAGACAGTTGCTTTAAAGTGTTCCTGATCCCTTTGGCTTTAGATAAACCTAAGACCAAGTGGAAAGAAAAATGGATAAATATATGTGACATGAATGACATATTTAGATGTCACTTTATAATATAATGCAGTTTGTAGAATCTTAGTGCTTCAGTGGACTCTAGAAATCGCATAGCCCAGAAATTCTTTAATCAAAGTTAAGAATGCTTTCTATACTATAATGCTTACTACGTACACACGCAAAATTAAACATACAGTTTTTCATAGACTGCCTGAACTCAGGGACCAGACATCACATAAAGAACCCCTGACTAGACCCCAATATTGGTGTGTTTAAATGAGGTAACGTAAGTCTAGGCAGGACGCATAATCTGTCCAGGATAATGTAAAGTGTAAGTGACAATGCCAAGACCAGAACCTGAAATTCCTAAATGCTGGCTCTGCAGGACATTGATAGACAAAGAAAAAAAAATGATCTTGATGTTAGTCAGGAGATTAACCTGAATGAGCCAGAGAAGCAATTTTGGGTGATAAGGGGAGGACGTTTAAGCCTTTGGTTCATAAATGGGCAGTGATGCAGTGAAAAGTTGGCTTGGCAGATCTTAAAGGAATGCTTATAGTCCTTGCAGACCAGTGGAGATCACCAGTTAGTGCATCAAGAATACTTACAACTGAATGACCCCGTTTGAATTCCTGTGCAATCTTAGGCATAAGAATTTAGTTTGTTGGGAGAAAGTTGTATTTTGAAAAAAAAAAAAAAATGGTTCCTCATTTCGATTTTCTCATTAGTTTCCTGAGTATCTTTAAGCAAATCATCTAACCAAGTCACCAGCATGGCACATGTATACATAGGTAACTTACCTGCACATTGTGCACATGTACCCTAAAACTTAAAGTATAATAATAATAGAAAAGAGGTTTTACTGGGGGAAGCTTAAGGCGCCTCCTCGCTTGAAAATGTAAAGACCAGATGATTCGTTTACTGCGATTTAAAGAGATCTGAAGCTTTGCTTTTATTTGTTTGCTGATGCACATGAGGACTGTTCAGTCCAGGAGACACTGGTTTCTGCAGTAAATGTAATGTCAACTGGGCTGCATTTCTCCCATTACTGGAGCTTGCTTTCCAGAACTGTGAGTAATGTCACATGGCTGTTTGTATATGCACAGCAAGACGCTTCCAACAGTTTCATCTTGGGAGTGTGATACTCAGTGTCCTACAAGGACTTGTAAAAGAAGGATTGCTGAAATATTAGATCATCAATGGTTCAGTATTTACCTAGTAAAATTGAAAAAGAACATCAAGATGATCTATAGTCACTTCGCTCCAAGGTACAAATGTCATATTGGAAGAAAATCCATTATTGTGATAAATTTTATCAGTTTCCCATGGGGGGACGCTCTGTTAGGTGAGTGTGGACCCGGATAGTGGCTCCTACAGGAAGTCAAAGGGGAGTTGTTGGCTCATCATTTGATATTAATGAGGCATCTGCTTCATAAGATACTACGCAGAAAGGAAACATATTACCTGAATTCTCCCACTATGAGATTTCTCTATGATGGCCTAGCAGCAGCACAGACTTAGTGCAGCCCTGAAAGCAATGGCATAAGGGAGGAATTTGTCATATTTGTTTTCATATAAATATATTTGGGAGTAGCTCCCAATACAGTTTTCCAGTACATGAAGGAATGATGAAAAAAGAGGTGTTTTATTTTAAATTGAAGACAGCATGGCACAGGATTTTCCATTTCAGTGTGCAAGATGTACATTAGATCTTGTACCTATTTTATTATACCTTTTACCTATTTAATTATAAAGTTTATGACTGCAGAACATCTGCAGAACTATGTTCTTTGGAGCTTTTTACATATTATACTGACCCGTAAAACTGGGATTGGTGGAACAATGGTATTGACATTATAACAAATCAGGTGATGAAAAACATGGCTTATGAACATGGCTATGTGAAGCTTATGATTCAGTATTTGCAATATAAAGGTTTTTCGTTTGTTTGTTTTTAAAATTGTCTGACCACGCTATATATATAAACATGAAGACAATTGGAAGTTGACTACATTCTGATCTTTCTTTTTGCTGCTTCAATGCAGATTAGGTCTATGAGTTACCAACCCAGGGGAGACTGGAAGTGGATTCCAGTCTGGATTTTGTTTCCATGGTAACTCATCAGCAACCATAGCTTGTTCTACTTCTTTTTCTAGCTGTTTAACTGACTTAGGTATGTATTTTAGTGTAATGAAAAAGACATGACTATTTGTAGGAGTTACGCCAAGTGCAGAGAATCTGAGGAGTAAGAAAAGGTTGATTTCCCAAGGGAAGCGGTTATTAGAAACAGGGTTTTTTAAAATGCTAATCTTGCCAATATTGGTAGATTCAGAAAAACCCGGGTATGACTAGATTGTCATTTAGCCAGATAATGCAAGCATGTCTACATCTCATCTACTGCTGATCAGTGGTCCTCACAAGTTCCCTGAAAGAGAGGAAGGGACTGAAGGCCCTCCAGCCAGCCAAGAGTTCCTGATCAGAGTTTAGGTCCCAAACTAACACAAGGGGCTGAAGAGCGGCACCATGTGTGGGTGGTCTATTACTTCCTAAGCAGCTTCAGAAGAAACAATGGAGAGGACGTCACAGTCTATATCACAGCCCTGGCCCCAGACCATGGGTCAGACCTTAGCACTCTACTGAGAGAGACGGTGAGGTAATTACTCGCCTAGTAATTTATCGAGACAAAGAAAGTGAGAAGGTGTGGTTCTGAGACTTGGTGGTGAGTTGCAAGGTAGGAAAGAGGGTCTCCATGAGAGACGACCTGGCCTTAGGCTGGTTCATCATTCTAGAAGAAAGGACAGAAATAAAAGAAAAGCTTGCCATACACATCTGTGCTAAGGTTTTGATCTCTCATGACTCCTCCCACCCGTGAAAAGACACTGTCTGAACCCAAGAATCTGAACCATGAGTGGGGAGAAAAAAGGAACCTGAATACTTTCCTCTAGAAGCAAATAAGAATAAACCGTCAACTCCCATTTTCCTCTTTCCAGCTTGCCATTATAACTACCCATTGTCAAATTAGCCATCCCGAGGAGGAGCCCACTGACTCGGAGACACCCTGAATGTTGAAGCCCAGCGGGACATTGGAAATCGTCAGGCCCCCTATGCGTTTATGCCCCAGCAGTAACTTGCTTAGTGTCACAGGGCAGTGGCAAAACCAGGACTGGGGCTCCGGTGCCCATCCCCGGGGCCTGTTGCCCACACATGGCTGTCCCCACTCTACTTCTGTGGTTTCATGGGCTCTTTCTTGCCACACATTCCCCATCATGTTCACTTGTTTGTTTTAATGTGGCTGTTTTCTGGGCTCTGAAGCTAGCTTGGCTAAAATGTTATTATTTGTTTGACACCCTAGATTCTGTTCAATGTAGGACTTCCATGTTGTTACTGTGATTGAATTCATTCTTTATTTTAAGTGTATGAGGTAAACAAAAATCAGAATTAATGGCCCAAAGGACCCTGTTTAATATGTATTTATACAATAAGATGATAGCACCTTATTGCTGTGAAGGGGCAAAGAATGTAATTAAGCCTATGTCACCTTCGAGGATAACTCTCTACTGATCTCTCATTTGGCAAATCAAGTATTTGCGCTGAGAAAATCTTCCTGGTGCCACTTACAGAGCTCTCATCTTTCCTCTGTGTTCTCACAATACTGGGCTCAAAAGCAATTAGAGCATTTGCCACATTGTTATAATCCTCTGCTTCTATGTCAACTGGCCATGCCTTTCCCTGGAATGCTTTCCCACTCTAGTGGGGACAAAACAGATCCTCTTAACAGTGCAGTGCAAGACCCTTAGCTTGGCTTTGCTCACCTCCCTGGCTTCATCTAGTGCCACTGCCTTTCCCACAGCACACTGGCCCCACTGGCTTGTTGTTTCTCTCATGACCTCTTTTCTTTTTGTAGCACTTATGTTAATTTATTTTACATTGATTTCTGTGATTATTTATTGATGCTGAAGGAGAGACAGGGTAATTCTTGAAATATGATTCCCAGCCATTTGGGTCAGGATGTTCCCTTGATGGCAAGAGCACAGATGGAAGAGGAGGTGTGTGCAGAGGTGCAGACAGGAGCCTGAGAGAATCCTGTCTGATGGCTTATTTTGTCTGTGATTTGCAAGCCTTAGAGAGGGCCATGGGGAGTGGGAAACATGATAGAATATCTACCTACGTGTGGCTCAGCTTCTGTATTCAAATAAAGATAATGAGAGGACTTCATTCATAGGATTCTGTGAGGATGAAGTGAAGATTTTATCCGAAAGCTCTCAGAAAGGTGATTGGCACATCGGCAGCACTAAGAACACATTAGCAGTCATGGATGTTAGTCCACACTGCACCATTTTGTAAGCTCCCTGCTATTTTGCAGACTTTGGTCAAAGTGAAATATTTCATGGGGGTTCGGGCCGTAAGAAACATCCTGTCTAACCACCTGACCACAAGGCAGACAAAGGCCCAACTAAAGACAGAGGCCCAACTAAAGAGACATCCCTATCACACCCTGCTGGGCAAAGGTCCAAGGAACACCACTATCATATTCTATGGAAACAAGGGCCAAAACTGCCTCCTCATGAGAACATCTTATCAATATCCTGCCAAGCAGCAAGCCATACTGCCTAGACCCCTCCCACACATACCTGTAAGTACCCCAGCCTGTAAGTGGTGGTGGGCTCTGGCGTTAAGCTGGTCCCCCAATACTGCAGGCGTCTGCAATATACCTGTCTTGCTGTTTGAGCAGCCTTCTCTCTGTTTGTGTGTCTTTCTTTAACCCTTGCCTTCCCTTAAAAAATAAAAAAAAATTTTAAAAAAGCCTAACAGTGGAGGGGGAGGGAGCACAGTTCTGTATGATACTTTATATCGTATGGGTTGAATTGGGGTTCCCTAAAATGTGAATATTGAAGTCCTAACCCCCACTGCCCCAGGATGTGACCTTGTTGGGAAATGGTGACATTGCGGATTTAATCAGTTAAGTTAGGATCAGGTCATGCTGGAGTAGGGTGAGCCCCTAATTCAACATGACTGGTGTCCTTATAAAAAGTGAAATTTAGACCTATTCACTCACACAGAGAGAAGGGCACATGAAGATAAAGGCAGATATTAGGGTGATACATTATCTACAAACCAAGGAACACCAAGTTTGTTAGCAAACCACTAGAAGCAAGGAGAGAGGTATGAGACAGATCCTCCCTCATAGCCCTTCGAAGGAACCACTGCTGCCTATAGCTTGATCTTGGACTTCTAGCCTCCATAACTGTAAATTTCTGTTGTTCAAGTACCCAGTTTGTGGTACTTTCTAATGGCAGCCATGGCAAACTAATATAGTGTATAACAACAGAGGCTGTGGAGAATAATTGGCTTGATTTGGTGGTTTCATCATTTAGTAGCTGTAGAACAATAGGTAAGTTATTTAACTGTCTTCTCTCATCAGTGAAGGTGGGAGAACAGTAGCAATCTCACAACACGTAGTGAGTGCTTATTCTGGGCACTATTCTCTTATATCTCAGAGTATTTAATGTCATGCTACATCCTGGGTACTAATCTGTTCTCTCATATGTTCTATACAAGCCCTGAAGTAGATGCTAATATTATCCTTAGTTTGTGGCTGCAGAAGCAAGAATAGAAGGTTAAAAGCAGGTGGCCAGCGTGGGGTTTAGAGCAGGTTATCTAGCTTTAGAGCCTACCCTAAACCATGCCACTCCCCTGCTCCCTGGTGCCACCTCACAGGTATGCTAGAAAGATAAAATGAGATGATGCTTAGGAAGAACATAGAACGGTGCCTGGAATGTTGCATGCGTGCATTAAGAGATTAGCTATCTTATTTAAGGAGAATGAGGAAGGGATGTAGCAGTTGTTGTGGGTAACAGGACAGCCTTCTCACCAGGAAAAAATGAAGAGATAACTGGCCAGTGACAGGTGTCCACTTGAGGATAAACAGTTTGGTCGCATAATTTTTCTCTGGCAATGCTTATATTTTAGAAAGCGTTTAGTTTCTGTATGAGCATGATGGTATGAGACAGCAATTCCCTTCTTTTTCTTCTGGATAGCATACTAAAGCAAAAAGATGAATGCAAACATAAAATAAAATAAAAAATCAAAAACAACAAACTAGTAACTCCTTTTGTGGTGAAAGTAGGTGATAGATACAATGTGCTGAGTAAGAAGTATGTAAGAGATGCCCAAGTGGCTAAGGTCTTCACAGGAGCCAAATGGGTGAAATGCAACATACCTTCATCAGGAAGGTGAGAGTCATGGAAGGATGGAGAATGAAAAGCAAAATAGAACAGGGAGAAAAGAACACATATGCTGGACATAACAGCTGAGAGTCAAAGTCATGCTTAAGATATTTGACACATTTTGCAATGTATGATTTTTAAGACATTCAAAAAATGGGAATAAATTCATTCTTGGCATTATAAAACTATGCTTTTCTCAACTCAAAAGCCAGCATCAAACAATAGGACAGCACTAGACTCGTTTCTAACTAAAGGTAGGAACAAAATAAGGAAGCCCTTCTCATCACTTTTATTTAACACTTATTGAAAATAAAATTAAGAGAGAGGAAGATGTTGTATCTTAACAAATTTTAAAAGGAGGTGGTAAGGTGAATTTTATGGTATGTGAATTACAACTAAATAAAGCTGTTACCAAAAAAGGAGGTAGCAAAACAATTACTCTTTTGTAGATGATATGGATAATAACACATACCTAGAAAATTTAGGAGTAACTCAAATATTAAGCTAACAAATGTTCTGCTAAAAACTAGAGGGCAATTATTATGCAGATATCAGTAGCTTTTATATATACAAACAGCAAGCAAAGGAGGCATTCCACACTGGAAGTAGGAAAGTTGCAATAGAAGAGATGGACTACGCAATACAACTGGTAAAATCAAGTGCTAGTCCAGAAAGCAAAAAAGAAGAAGTTGAATCTATCTCATACACCATATACCAAGAAAAATCTCAAATGCATTGATTTAAGTGAGGAAAAATGGAATTATGAAATCGCTGGAAGAAAACACACAAGAACTACATTATAACCTAAGAGTAGAGGAGGTCTTATTAAATATTTCTTAAAATCTAGAAGCTTTAAAAGATTGATGAATTCAACCACATACATTTTTTAAAAAGGACTTGCATAGCAAAAATCAACATAAGAAAAGTCAAAATACAAATGACTAGGAAAACATTTTGTAATTTACTTGTGAATAAAGACTAATTTATATGTCAGACACTTATGGAATATTGAGGGTTATTATCAGTGACTAAAACTGACAAAAGCTCTGCTTTCTTGTACCTTACATTCTAATTTGTTTACAACTTGTGCCTTCCTTATCTATGAGGACCTCTAGAAATCGATCAGAATATGACCAACAACTTAATAGAAAAGTCAGAAAAAAGATGAACAGTTTGAGCACGGCAAAGAAAGTACAATAAATTAAGCACACAATGGCTCTTGACCAATGACACAAAAAATATCAACTCTACTCATAAGAGAAATATAATTAAAACTATACTCGTGCCATTTTTCACCTATCAAAGCAACAAAATCTGAAAGCTTAACACAATCTGCTGGTGAAGCTCTGGAGAATAGGCTTACATACATTCTGTCTAGGAATCTGAACTGATACAACCTCTGTTTGAAGGCAATTTGGAATATCTATTGAAAATATAAAAGCAAAGACCATTTGAGCCAAGTATTTTCCTTTGAGAAATTTAGACTCAGATATTTTTACAGGTAATAAATGTCATATATATAATGCATTCTATTGAAGTGCCTTTTGTTATAGAAAAGGTTAGGATCAATCTAGGTGTCCCTTGATAGGGGATTAAAGTATGGTACATCTATCCCAGAGATCAGCAAACCATAGCCTGGGTTCAGCCTGGGTTTGTATGACCCACCAGCTGAGAATGGCTTCTGCATTTTAAAAAGCTAAAAAAAAATCAGAAGGATAATATTTTGTGACACACAAGAATTATATGAAATTTTGATTCCAGTGTTAATAAAGTTTTGTTGAAACACAGCCATGTTTCTTTGTTTACATATTGTCTGTGGCTGCTTTTGAGCAATTGAATTGAGTAGTTGTGACAGAGGCCACATGTGCTACTCTTACTGCTTCACACTGCTGCTCAGCTTGCTAAAAAATGCAAGGATACAGTTAGAACTTGAAAATGTTTTGAGTACCATACAGCTAATAGAATTTCATGACCTAAATACAACAATCAAAATTGTAAACCTCCGTATATGCAAGCAACATTTTTATTTGGAGGTAATATTTACATATTCAGGACCGAAGACTTCTGGAAAAAATAAAGGAACATTCTATATGTATGCAACTTTTTTTTTTTTAAAGATGGCAGAAAAATAAGGGTGTTGTTTTTTTTTTTAAATGAGACAGGGTATCACTCTGTCACCCAGGCTAGAGTGCAATGGAGCAATCATGGCTCATAGCAGCCTCCCCATCCCAGACTCAAGGAATCCTCCATCTCAGCCTCCCAAATAGCTGGGACTATAGGCATGCACCACTATGCTCGGGTAATTTTTTAATTATTTCGAAGAGACAGGGTCCCACTGTACTGTCCAGACTGGTCTCAAACTCCTGAGCTCAAGTGATCCCCTGCTGCCTCAGCCTCCCAAAGTGCTGGGATTACAGGCATGAGCCACCATACCTGACCCTGAAAATAATTTTTTATAATGTGATCATTTTCTAGAACAACAAAAATCCGAGGATAAAATATTATTTTGCTAAAATGTGTATTTTTGTATTACCATTTCAGACATATATATACACACTTACTAGAGAATGGGGAATTTGAGATATTCAGCTGGCTGGAGGGAGACTGCTGGACACTTTACAATGAATGCACACACTAATTCTTACAATTCAAAAGCTTAAAGAACATTTTTCACAGTGCTGAGTTGTATAGCACACGTTTATATTTGTTACAAACCGAAATTTTTGCCGTTTTCCACCAAAATAAGCATAAGCTCCAGCACTTGCTACCATGGCATTTTCAATGCACTTTTCAGCCGTCATCAGCATTTGCTATTTTCTTTTCACTCTGTGGTTTTCATGGAAACCACTCCTACTCTCTTCTGAGTCATGCATGTCTGCCTTTCAGGTGTAACTCAATTAACACCCTGCTAATTTATCAGTGGATTGGATAATTATTAAGTAATTTTGATCAAAAATATTCCCATCATCTCTCATGTAAGCACTGCCACCAGAACTACTTATTGGTCTCAGCATGTCAGTTTCTCTATGTGCTTGCTCTTAAGATTTAATACACTGGTGGGAAAAAAAAATGAACAGGGTGCTTAATGAATCAAAACATACTCAAATTGAATAATTAGAAATTCCCAGTTAATTACTAGGAAAGAAAATAATTAAATTATGATTCAGCTTTTACATGGATTAATGGCCTGAATGCTGAGCTGGGTCCTTTCAATCATTTTTCCATGAAAAGGCAGCACGGACATTGAGAGATATAATTTTCCCTTTTTTATCATTTGCAAACTATATTATTGTGTTTTATGCCTCGATTGCTTATATAAACAATTTTGTATAATGTTAATTGGCTTTGGAAATGAAAGCTCAGCTTATGACTATACTTAAGAAGCATTGAGAATTTCTGAGTAAATATTCAGGTTAAGATTTATAGGCATCAGCCGGGCTTGGTAGCTCACACCTGTAATCCCAGCATAAAAATACAAAAATTAGCCGGGCGTGGTGGCACGTGCCTGTAGTCCCAGCTACTTGGGAGGCTGAGGCAGGAGAATCGCTTGAACCAGGGAGACAGAGATTGTAGTGAGCTGAGATCACGCTGCTTCACTCCAGCCCGGGTGACAGAGCGAGACTTCACCTCAAAAACAAACAAACAAACAAACAAAAACAACAATAAAAAAGTTATGTTTGTTTCAAATAGAAGATAGGAAAGAAGTTTTATTAATTTAAACGTAGAACATGAAGTAAGACAGCAAAATCTATCCATCTTATTTTTTAATCTTGCTTTGCGGTTATTTCGTAATAAATGATTAAAGGAAGAAAGGGAGGAAAAAAAGGTAGATGGATTAGAAGCTTCTCCGCTGACATTAAGATGGTTGAGGGGCAAGAAATTCTCAGGACTCTAGACCAGGGCCAGGCTCAAAAATGAATTGAAGAGTTTGTCTTCTCTATTATGGAATATAGAGATATATCACAGACGCTCCAAGTCCCAGCATTAGGAAGTTATTTTTTAAATAAGCTTGCTCTCTGTCAGCCATTCTCTTTAAAGTGTTAACATTTCCAGAAGACAGATTACCTTTTTGTTGTCAAAATGGGTGACTGTGGTGGGAATGCTGGCCACGTAGGTGAAGAAAACTACAAAGGGGAGAAGACAGGAGTGGGGAGCATTGATAAGGAACTCCATGTATGTAGTTCTGATAATATTCACCTCCATTCTTGGGTCTCTTGAAGTCCACCAACAAGGTGGATGATCTCCATGAGCTAGTATGGGCTATCTTCTGGGAGTCATTCTCAAACTTGGGCATGCATCAGAATCACCTAGAGGGATCTATACACCTCCCTTCTAGAGTTTCTGATGCAACAGGTCGAGGATGATGACCAAGATTCTGCATTTCCCTGAAGTTCCCAGGTGATGCTGAGGCTGCTAGTTTGGAGCCCACGCTTTGAGAACCACTGTTAAGTAGGTGACGGGCATGCATATTTGTGGAAGAGAGGGAGGGATCCACATTCTACTGAGAAAATCAAGGCTTGTTGCTGAAATCTTACAAGCCCTGAGATTTTTTTTTTCCCTGCATGAAGGGCGAATTTAAGAAAAATGGGGAAGTTGTGTTTGAGAGAATATTAGTACCTTGTGGAAATATTTATACTTTACCAGTGGGAGTCAAATATGTACTTAATGTACATATTACATTGTTTTCTGCCCATTTAGCTGGCTGGTTGCAAAAGGACTTTTATATTCCTGCTGGTGAGTACCATCAAAACGTGCTCCTCCCTCATTTCACTACTCAAATGTCAATCTGTGGGTGAAAAGATGAAGTTTAGTAATGGACTAACAGTTATCATGTGTTAAGTATTTTTTTCGTCCTGTAAATAGGTCTTAGAAAGCTTGGTGTGTCAACTCTGTTGGCTCTGAAGGCTTTGCTGAGTGGGACATCAGGATGGCTTCCTAGAAGAGGTGAAACTGGAATTTTGAAATTGTGTAGAGATTAGTCTAGCAATTGGTTCTCAACATTTGGTGTGAATTAGAATTACCTAGTGCAACAATAAAAAATACAGAGGCCCAGGCTCCATGAAGTAAGATGGGGCTTAGGTGTATCTCTTTTTACCAAGTTCCTCAAGCGAGTCTAATGTACAACAAGGTTTAAAAATCTCTAGTTTAGAGCTATGCTACTCAAGCTATTTGTGGAGAAAACTAGATTTAAAAAATTCTAATCATCATAGTCAATACTTTTGCAAAAAAGGAATAAAATTAATCACTAGAAAAAATGAAATTTCAAAGCACATATTAAACATAAGCCCCAGGAGATGACAGACTATGACCCTGCCAGAGGGCTCCCACCACAGAAAACAACTATAAAACCTGGAGGATTGAAGAGTGAACAGAAGCAGATAGATTCTGGTAGGGAGTATGTAGTCAGAAGAGGGAAAGAGCAAACTACCTCTGCAGTAAGTTCCTAATTTTTGTGGCTTTTACTCTTAAGCTAAGTATAGTTAATTCAAGCACACAGTGGTAGTGACTCTTCCCACAGTGAGGACACTGGTGGGAAAATCTTCAAAATACCCCTGTACAAAACTCAGAAACTAAATGGTTGTTTTGGGGATCATTCTAACTTTTCATGAGTCTTGATTGCAGTAGAGGCTACATGACTGTATCTAGCTACCAAAATTCATCAAACTATATACCTAAAATAAGTGTACATATTATTATATCTGAATTATACCCCAAGAAAGCTAGTAAAATCTATAGAATAAAATCAATAAAAGAATACACTTTTAAAAATGAACACAAGAATACATTAAATTTCATGGAAGTAAGAAAATAGTGAATAAATTGAATAGTTTTTCAGGAAATACAAATTAATTTTATTTCCCAAGTTGCAAAGAGAATAAAATGTCAACATGAGAAGGTATCTCTAACATTCTAATTTTTATAGTTTGAGTAACTGAATGCTGGAATTCTGGCTAATTGATCAATATTGTGATAACAGCTAAGGGGATATTTGGCTTAATTTTCAGGGTTTTCCAGAGTTGATCAATGTAGATTATATGGATATCCATAATTCATTATTACTGTCAATAAAATTAATAATAAAAATATAAAACATATTATTATATTCAAAGACATAAGATTACATGATCAAATTTTTATCAAAATTTTGAATTGCTTACTTCCAATCTCTGTCTCTATCTCACTGAGGACTAATAACACACCCTTCACAGACATACCCAGATCAGTGGAGTGCACTTGGAGTATCTCCCTTTAGAGGAATGGAATTAACCAGTTGTCCCAAGGGTCACCAACAATGAATTAACAACTTCTGTTTGGGGGCATTGCAAGTAATTCACTATATTTGGCTTATATCCATTTTGTGGCAATAAAGCAAGGTAACAACTTTTATAATGTATTCGATTAATTGTTTAAGAACATATTTGACTCCATTACTGAACGGTAAGTTGCTTAAAGCAGACCCATAACCTATGCAACTCTCTCTGGAAGAGCCTAGCACAGTCTTATAAATAGTAGCCACTCAATATAATATTTGTAGAACTTAATGTTTGTTGAAAGAACACCAGCTGTGTTTTAGTTCTTTATACCACCACTGATGAAACTGACTTATAATTAAAGCAAAGTAATATTTTTGACATAACTGAAGATTTTGATGAAGACATACTGAGAGTTAAAGTTCTGACATTATCACAAAACTATAGCAAGTGAAGCAAACCTTATTTGACAATACATGTGAACTCTTTGATATTATAAGATGATTAAATATAAAATTGAATACTAGGGGCAATTGACACAGTATATTTCACTCAGTATCATGAATAAGAAACCAAGACTATGTCAAACAATAAGCTATAAAGATAAGTTATGTAACTCTTTAACATAGTAGTAAATTCTTGCCAACTAACCAGATATTTTGCTGCTTGGAACATTTCCATGCCTCAGATTCCTCTTTTATTCAGAAGATATACTTCAGGAATGTACACTAAGAAGATCAATACAGAATATAATTCAGATAGAATTAAATCAAATGTGGAAATTGAAGGAACATTCAAGGTAAGTCTGGAAATTCGCATGTTGGCAACCATCTTATAACTAGGATGTAACTCTGATAATATCTTGTAATGTTGATCATGGCTTATATTTCATTATTTAAAGTGACCTTAATAATCTTTGGCAATATAATATTTTATTGATTCTATTTGGTATTGGGAAGCGACCATGAGGACCATAGTCAGAATGGAATTGGTAAATGGTGAGGCACCTTGAGGCTAACCAGAAAAGGTTTTCTGAGAATAGGGAAGTCATGGAAGAAAATAAGAGATGGTCCCAATGGAGAGGTGTGGAAAGGCCAGAGACAGACAAAGGTAGTATAAAGGCATACAAAGTAAGCTTTAGAGGCACTGTGGGCAGAAGTCATCAGAACAGCAGTTCTGAGTTACACAGAGACCCAGGAGCAGACATATTCTTCATTTCTTCAGTTCTTGATAAACATCCCAGCTCTGCTTACCAGTTTGTATGACTTTGAGCAAATTGCTTAGTATCTCTGTGCCTTAGTTTCATCACCTATAAGATATACTTTTGAAGGTGAGGATTAAATAGGTTAATACCTGTGCAAAACTTGGAAGAGTGTCTGGCTTATGATACCCACTGAATGTTAGCTTCCTGCACTGGAAATGTTTGTTTTAATTTCATTTTATTATCATTGGGCACCTATTAGATGATAGGTGCCCATTCACTGAACAAGTAAAATGAATAGACACTCGTGTCCTTAAATTTTTTGCCAGTTGGTATAAAGGAAATAAATAGGATGCCGGGAAAGAAGAGGTGTATAAATTCATCTAGGAGCTCACCTGGAAGAGAACAACCTCCTTTCTCCAGCCATAAATGTGGGGAAACTATAGAGAAAAAATGGATATTTAGATGTTTAATTAAAAGATAATAGAGACTTTTGTGAGAGGAAAGAGGTCATGCTCCATACAAGTTAGGACCAGAAAAATTAGGACAAGCTGGTTTATGAGGATGGGAAAACAGGATCCTCACTATGACTAGGCCATTACCTCCTCCCAAGAATATATCCACTTTCTGCAAGCCCACCCTCCCCAGTGTCTGCCCA
Organism: Homo sapiens; assembly: GCF_000001405.40. Classification (NCBI taxonomy): domain Eukaryota; kingdom Metazoa; phylum Chordata; class Mammalia; order Primates; family Hominidae; genus Homo; species Homo sapiens. Next base: position 3,526,415 of record NC_000003.12, on the reverse strand, counting down.
TTTTTTTGTTGCTCTTTGGTGCCTTCAGGTAATTTTGTTCATGGCTTATCATTTTTCTCTGTCATCTCATAGAAACTATGCCACTGTAATGGGAAGCAAAATCTGAGGATAACATTGCTTTATGGTATCAGTTTCAATTAATCTGGAAAACTGTGATATTGAAATAAGATTTCCCTTGTTACGTTATTATTCAGGTTACTCAGGATAGAATAAATGCTCTATGTGTCCTTGAATCCAGCCCCATCAAGAACAAAATGAAAGAGCAATACATAGGTAGTGATAATGCATTTGACTATACTTCTACTACTTTCCAAATTTATGATTTACTTTCATGTTATTGATCACATTTTTTCATATAGCAATTACAACAAAATCTAGTATTATAGTGAATATGGTATGTAATGTGGCATTAGCACAAACTTCAGCAGCCAAGAACAATTTGAAATAGTTTAGCATCCATTACTCTGTTTTTATTAAAGAAAATGCATCTTTTAAGATTTGTTGAGTTTAAAGTGCCACCTTAAGAAAATAAGCTCTTAAGATATTCATTGGTTTACTCAGACATGTAGTAAAGAAATTTACTTAAATAAGTGAAGGAAATAAGAAAATAATTTCTGTGTTCACCTGATTAAATCAGTGATCCTATATCATTGGCATACAGCAGGGGAGCCTCCAATCTGAAGTTAGTTTAGAGGTTGCCGTTTTCTGGAAAATCCAATCGTCCTGCTACTTGGCACTGCTCACACTGATGAGAGCTGAACTCTGAAAATAGCAAGAATTGGAAATCTTATGTTACAACTGTAAAGTTTCCCTGAATCTCCACCATCGTTCTGTATGAAGCTTAGGGACTAAATAATTGGTTTAGAGGTCATTGTACCTTTTCTTGACTTTTTAAAAATAAATTAGTGCCTAATCCTAGAACAAAGTCCAAGACAATGCTGCTTTTCCATAGTTTACTTGATACCATAAATTGCTTCTGGAACAAGGTAGAATAGAAAATATGAAAAAAAACACATATTTCTGCTCTACAGTATATGAGGATATTTGGTCCCACTGAACTAGCAAAATAAATGAGACTATGACAATGAGGAAATTGAAGCTATTTCTTTTATTTTAAGCAAATGCCTTTTGAGTGAGTTTGAACCTTTTGTCTTGTTTTTCATCTTAATGTAATATGGTATGTCCTTCAGACTGATTATTTCAAAACTGCACAAATAGATCTGTAATAAGAATGTCATTACAAAAACTGTATTGCAATCTGGATAATTTTTAGCCTCTGGGTCTCAATTCTCACTAGATTAATGACTCCATATTGATTTTTTTAGTGTGTGTCACCATAGTTAAAACATGATAATCTGCTGTTATATCGATCATCTTTCTTCATTAAGGTTGGCAAATTACTTTCCAGACAAGTTATAGAAAGATGTTTTCAGTATCTTAATATAAATTCTGAAATCATAAGACAGTGCTAAATAAGATTCGAAGTTTTCACAAAGAAATTTTGGCTGTCATTTTTTTCTTGTTTATTCACAGAGCTTCCAAATTAAATGCTTTTATCAAAAGACTTTTGGGGGAGGGTGCCATCTTCATGATATTGCCCCTTTTAAAAAGATACCAAAACCCAAAATGAACAGGTTCCTGTTGGGGAGGTAGTTACCAAACTACACAATTAAAGTAGTTGATTAAAAGTTACATTTACTATTTAATAGTTAATTCAATGATTATGAGGTATCAACAAGCAGGCCAGAGCCTGTCCATCATGGAGGGAGGAATGCATAATCCAAGTTACCTTTGTTCAAACCTGGCTCTATCACTAACTGAATGACAGTGGACAACTCCCCCCAACCTACCTGTGCCTTTATTTATTCATCTATGAAATGGTGTTTATATTAATATTACCCACCACATAGGACCATTGTGAGGATTAAACAAATTAATATATGTGAAGAGCATAAAATATGGCAACAGTCAATAAATGTTGGCTTTTATTTATTAGAGGCAAGTCCAGAAGACAGCTATATAAAAATATTCTTTTAAGGGTCAGTTACCTTTACAAAGATTAAGCTTAGAAAGCTGCACTGTGAATTATTTCTAAACTTGAGCCAGAACTAACCAGAAGTCAAAATGCTTCATTTCATCTGGGTCAAAAAAAACAAAACAAAATGAAACTCTAAAACAAATTATCACACAGGTTTCTCTATATTATCATGGCTGGATTTTTTCTGTTTACTTTCTTAATTCCTGTAGAATCTCCTTAGTTTTGACTGGGAGAGTCAACATATAGATACTTTTGGGGAAATTGAACTTTTTTCTTTGTGTCTTTTTCTTTAATCCATTCATATATTCTGGAAAATGAAAGACAATAAACCTAGGTAGCTCAAATAGACTGTGGTTTGAAGCACTGATTTTAAAATTGTCATATGGGATTCAAGGAACAACATTGTACTTTGAAAAAAAAATCTATTCTTTTAAAGAACAATTTGATCAATGGATAAAAGACAAAAGTGATAAAAAGGAATTTTGAAGTTTCACCTGAAAGGATCTTCAATTGTTTAATGTTTTAAAAAGAAGGGACTGTGCAGGTTAAATTAGGAACTGAGGAGAGAAAGACCAAGAATCTCTATTGATGCAATTAACTCTTCCTGTATTAGCTGGATTTCTCTAGGGCTACTTCATTATTTGACATCCACATCACTTATGTATTCAATGTGTACTGTGTGTTTTCATGCTCGTCAATATATTCATTTGTTCTCAAGTATATAGTGAAAGAGTTTGTTGTAGAAAACCACGGATGAGCTGTGGAGCCTGAAAGTTTTCAGTTATGCTTCTGATTCTGAGACATATTAGTTTAGTCATTTAGCTCCAATTTCTTCACCTATAATTTGAAGAAACTGATACCTACCTCTCCCCAGATGGGAAGTATAAATGAAATAATACATGGACAGTGCACATGTCTCATGCAGAGTAGGCACTCCAATTTAGTATCATTATTTTACTCCATTACACCAAAAATTGCAAACTTTTCCTGTGAAGTGCCAGATGGGAAATGTTTTAGGATTCCTGGGTCATGTGATCTCTGTTGTAACTACACGTCTCTATTGTTATAGAGTGACAGCAACCGTAGACAATGTGTGAACAAATTGGTTCACATACTTATGTGTCTCAACAAAACTTTATTAATACACATTGAATTTTAAATTTTGTATCATTTTCACGTGTCATGGGATATTATTCTACTTTTGTTTTTTTAATCATTTGAAATTTGAAAATCATTCTTAGCTCACAGGCAGTATAAAAATATGGAAAGCTACCATTTGCCAAACCCTGCATCACCCTGAAAATTATAAGAGAACTACATGATGAAATTGAGAAGGGTTATAAGCATAGCATACTTTTTGACACTGAGGAAACTGAAGAATGCATACTGGGGAATAATGAGAAATAAGACCAGATTAGAGAGATCTATGGAGACAGATGGGTTTTTTGGATTAAATGTGTAGGAAATAGGAAGCTACTGAAAGCTTCGAGTTAAGGGTCTTCTGTATGATATTTGGGAGAGATGGGCCTGGCCCTTGGCAACAGAAGTAACAGCAAAGTAAACCCATTAAATAGCTGCTACTATTGTTGGGGTATGAAGTAGTGAACAATGGGAACAGAATAGCAGAGATAAACCAGAAAAACATTTTGAGGATGAGGTAAGTCTCTTTAATTGGGAGGCTGAGGCAGAAGGATCTCTTGAGCCCAGAAATTTGAGGCTGCACTGCAGTGAGCTATGACTGTACCACTGCACTCCAGCCGGGGCAACAGAATAATACCCTGTCTCTAAAAAAAAAAAAGAAAAGAAAAGAAAAAGAAACAAACAAACAAAAAAAGACTCTTAAGGTGACAGACTATCTTTTTGCTTTTATTTTCCTCCAAAAGGTGGTATATGAGAGATACTCAATTATTACTGCCTTTCCACGCACTGATCATTTAACAGTCTACGTGGGTAAGGAGTAACTATTGTACAGGCTAAAGCCGAAGCCTCCTTTCAATCAAAAGCATTTATTCATTTCTTCAATGAGTAAATATTCAGCATCTCTAGCATGTCCAGCATTTTGCTAAGTCCCGAGGATGCAAATAAATATATATAGTCATGTGCTGCATAACTACATTTCAGTCAACAAACGACTATATATATGATAGTCCCATAAAATTATAATGGAACTGAACAATTCCTATTGCTTACTGTAACATGATGATGATCTTGAGCCTATGTCAGCCTAGGCTAAAGAATGTGTGTGTGTGTGTGTGTGTGTGTGTGTGTGTGTGTGTGTGTGTCTTAGTTTTTAACAAACAAGCTTAAAAATAAATAATTTTTAAATGAACAAAAGCTTATAGAATAAGAATAGAAAGAAAAAAGATATTTTTGCACAGCTGTACAATGTGTTTTTAAGCTGTGTTATTACAAAAATCAAAGTTTTTAAAAATTTAAAGTTTATAAAAATGTTACTGTAAGCTAATTTATTATTGTAAAAAGAAAATCTCCCTAAAAAATTTAGCGTAACCTTACTGTACAGTGTTTATAGAGTCTGTGATAGTGTAAAAGTTCTAGGTCTTCACATTCACTCACTACTCACTCACTGACTCAGCCAGAGTAACTTCCAGTTCTGTAAGCTTCATCCATTGTAAATGCCCTATACAGGTATATAGTTTTTTATATTTTATACTGTATTTTTACTGTACCTTTTATATGTTTAGATACACAAATACTCACCATTGTATTACAATTGCCTGCAGTATTCAGTACAGTAGCGTGTTGTACAGGTTTGTAGCCTAGGAGCCATAAGCTGTACCATACAGCCTAGGTGTGTAGTAGGCTATACCATCTAGGTTTGTGTAAGTACACTCCATGATGCTCTTACAACAACGAAATTGCCTAAGGATGCATTTCTCAGAACATCTCCTTGTTGTTAGCTGACACATAGCTATAGAGTATATGTCCTGTAAAGGCCTCTCTCTTAATGGTTAAGGGTCTTGGCCCCAGAGTCTGACCAACCTGGGTTAGAATCTCAGCTCTCTCTGTCTCAAGCCATGCAAACAAGGACAAATAAACCTCTCAAAGGCTCACTTTGCTCTACTCGAGTACAAAGATAATAGTAATGCCGTTTAGCTCATACATTAGAAGCTTGAACAAGATGTTGGGCAAAGGAGTGGGGAAGTGGGTGAGAAGGCCTTATATGGTCTGGAATGGGAGGACAGGCTTCCCAGAAGACACCCAGGCACTTTTCAAAGAGGAAGAATGGAAGAAACCAGGAAGCCCAGCCGAGGGGCAGGGTGGAAAGTGCTCTCGGTGAAGCAAAGACCTCAAATGCTAGATTTGCTATTTAGACAATTAAAGATATTTGCACATTTGTATACCGTAAAAATAAAATGTTAAAGTTCTACATTGGGTTGAATAAATTATGCAGAACTGATTTCTTTAAAAGTTCACAAAGTCAGAATTACTTCAGTTTGAAAAAATAAAGCAGTGCCTCATAAATTTTTATTTCCACTAGGGTTTCAAAAAGTCTATTATAACAAGTCTACAGGTAATAGACCGCTTGCTAGAGCAGTGCTGTGATAAAATGGCATCTTTAAGATAGCATCCCCTTTATCTTTCTCCAAAAATATTGGTAATTTTACCAAAATATCGATGAAACAGATTTCATCTCAGATTTCTATCAGTATTAAATAACACATTGAAACTCACTGAATATTGACATCTGTATTTCAGTATAAAGTCTCTGTAGTGCTCTCAGACATGGAGGGCAGATTTCAAATATCGTAATCATACACTGTAGCATTAGAATCTTATCAGAAGCTGTTTCTGAAATACTGTGTCCTCTTTCTCTCCAAATTAATGGCAGCGTGCGGATGAATTGCTACAGACACAAACAAGCCTGGGTTCAAATCTAAACTCTGTCTCGTATAAGCTTAGATATTGAGCAAGTCATTTGAACTACTTAACAATCAGTTTCTTCTTATACAAAATGTAGGTAACTATACAGTGCCTAGCTTATGGGGCTATTATGAAGGTTCAAGACATTGTATATGAAATGCAGACAGGGCACAGCTACTAGTTCATAGTATGTTTTCTCTAAATGGTGAGCATTGCTGTCATTGTCATCATCAACATCATCATTTACTATGTGTAATAATCTAACTTTGCCACTTTTTTTTTTTTTTTTTGAGATGGAGTCTCTCTCTGTCACCCAGGCTGGAGTGCAGTGGCGCGATCTCAGCTCACTGCTGCCTCTGCCTCCCGGGTTCAAGCAATTCCCCTGCCTCAGCCTCCTGAGTAGCTGGGACTACAGGCACACACCACGCCCAGCTAATTTTTGTATTTTTAGTAGAGACGGGGTTTCACCATTTTGGGCAGGGTGGTCTTGATCTCTTGACCTCGTGATCTGCCCACCTCAGCCTCCCAAAGTGATGGGATTACAGGCGTGAACCATCGCACCTTGCCCCAACTTTGCCACTTTCTTGCTCAGATTTTAACATTGAATCAGGTCACCTAGGCCACTGGGGACTGAGTTAGAGAATTATAATTTACAGATTCCCCAACACACATATTGCCCTTAAGTATTTTCTCAATCTCCAATCATCTTGTCTGATACTTAAATGGTAGTGAAAGAGGGAATGAGCAAACAAAATGTCATTTTTTTCTTTCAAGCTGCCAAGTAAGTTGTCTTAAAAATGATCATGTTACATCTAGGTTCCTATAAATATCCCCTTGTTATGCATAAAGAAATTCAAAGGATAGGTAAGAACCAGCATGGTTATTTTGCTTTTCTAGTCTTCTAAATTAGAGCCTCCATGTTCTAGCATTTTATGGTTTGAAACTAAGGACCTTTACCCTAGACAAAAACTTTGCAGCAGCTCCTGAAATAGCTTCCTAGTACATCTCTACCCCATCATCTCCCCTCCCTCTGCCAATCCATCCCACACACGCCTGCCAGAATAATCTTCCATAAATATTCTTTTCTTTGTATCTAATCCTTGTTCTAGAATCAACAGTGCCTCCCTGTTACTCTCTATCTTAACTTGGCCTTCCAATGTCATCATCGGCTTTTCTTTTTCCTTTCTCTCTTACTTTATGTACAATTATTCCTTCATGAAACAAATCAGTTCTAGACAAGTCAATGAATTTGCCATGACCGGGAAACTTCTTCAACCTGCACTGCCCCATGCCTTTATAACTGTGATAACATTTCCTTAGCCTAGAACCAGAATCTGTTTGTTTTTGCTATCTTCTATAAAATGAGTCAGAACTCATACCCCCAAAGCCATTTTTTTGGCTCCTGCACCTTGTCCTCATTGTTTTCACAGCTGAATCTTTTGATATTTTCATAAAAGGTCCTCACTGAAATTTAAGTTAATTAATTAATCCTTCACCTGGTATATTGGTGTGAGGTTTTGGAGGTGAGGAATCTATGCATCTTAGTTAATTTCAGCTTCACATTCTAAATATTTAATACCATCACTTAGTCCCAGGAGACTTCAACGGATGTGTATTAGAAAGAAGAGAGGCAAATTGATAGAGTTAAATGTCTTTTTATTGGCAAGTCAATGCCAGAATCAGGACTAGTGGCACAGCTACAATTGCTGAACTTCTAAGTTAGCTCCTTAGAGTCTTACTTTTTATGTAAAATTCCATTATGCCCACAGTAAGCTCTGGGAAGCTGTGTGGTCTCATAAATAATTCCGTTCAGCCTTCTACTATGTACATGTTGGTTCTGATAATAGAACTGAATCCTGCCTAGCCTCTCCTCTTTGTCTTCTCCCATACACACACTCCAAGAATGGAGCCTTCTGTGAACACTAGTTCCTAACTTGGATACCAGAACATGCAACTTGTGCTTGATACTGTCCTCCCACATTGACCGCCACATTGCTAGATCCTAGACCTTGGTCCCAGTCAGCTAACTGGAGTCGCGACTGGATTCCCTGCTTTCTTGTCCTATACTCATTGACAGAAAAGGACCTTTTGCATTATTATTAGCACTGTCTTCCCAAAGTAATGAACCTTTGAGAAGTCAAAAGCAAAATAATTCAGAGATGACGACACTGAAAATAAGACAGGCTTTATTTGCCTGTTGGTTTAGTAGTGTATTTCTAAACCTGACTAATTTTTATAATGATCTAGTAAATTGTTCAGCTCCATTTAAAAGGTGTACCACATCAGCAAAATGTCTAGGAGATATAGATTCCTCGTCATTGTTTCATCAATAAGGACCTTCTACTTTATGAGACTTTGAAAGAATATTTGGCCCTGAACTCTTAGTTCTTGTTCCAAGAAACCCATTTCCCCTTGATTTTTAAAATTCCAACTTGGTGGTTGTAGCCTTTCTCCTATAAGGTAGGTGAGAAACCATTCATTCATTCAACAAATACTTACTGCGCACCTACTATGTGTAGAATTGTGAAGAACTTTATTAACCTCACTAGGAAAAATTCCTATTTGGGTCTAAACCAGAAGACCAACAGCTATTTAAAGGTCTTTTATTATGTTTAATTATTGTGATATCACTAACCATGGTTTTGGACTCTGGTAACTCCTACAGACAAGTTAGTTAGTTCCCCTAACCATAATCCTTCTTTCCCAAGTGGATCTCCAGCAAGTCCTGGTTTCCTATTGTATTAGACCACTTTTGTGTTGCTATAAAGAAATAATGGAGGCTGGATAATTTATAAAGAAAACAAGCTTAATTGGCTGTGGTTCTTCCAGTTATAGAGGAAGCCTGATGTCGTCATCTGCTTCTGGTGAAGCCCTCAGGAAGCTTACAGTCACACCAGAAGTTAAAGACAGAGCAGGCGTCTCACATGGCGAGGACAGGAGGAAGAGAGAGAGTGGAGAGGTGCCACATATTTTTAAACAACCAGATCTTACATGAACTCACTGATCACCAAAGAGATGGTGCTAAGCTATTCACGAGGGATCTACCCCCATGATCTAAATGTCTCCCACCAGGCCCCACCTCCAACAGTGGGGATTGCATTTCAATATCACAGCTGGAGGGGACAGTTACACAAACTATACCACCCACCCACACTCCAATGCCACCGTGTTGTATTAAGACTAATAACCCACAACGACTTCTTTGCTGACTTTCTGATCTCAAACTACTTCATGTTTCCAAATCACAGAACCATAAAATTTCAGCCCTGGAAGTTCCGCCCCTTGGACAGTCTCAGAAATTGATATCCAGCGACAGGTGATGAGTTGGCCAAAGCCCAAAAACCTGCTAAATTCTCATGTTTTACATGTTCCTTTGTCAAACATCAGATAATTATTTCCTGAATATAAGGTAGGAATACTTGTTTTTAGAAGGCATGATAAAAATTGTTAAGGCATTTCAAGTACAGTTGTTTAAAATGTAGCTAAGAAATACTAAGTTCATTAACTGAAATGTTATACTTAATGGAGAGCATCATATATTTTATCAAATATTGTGTTGATTCAAATATTTAGATCACAGAGGCATTTTTAGGAGAAGCGTGAAAAAGCTTTGTGGCTGCTGATGAATATCCACAGAAATATTCACTCATCAGATACTTATTGGGTGCCTGCTTCGTGCCAAGCAAGGTTCTAAGCGCCGAACTGGTAGCATTGTAACAACTGGCTTTGGATTCAGGCAGAACCAGGTACAAATCCCAACTCTCTGGCTGTGTGCTTCTGAGCAAGTTTCTTTAACTTCAAATTTCTCATCCAGTAAGATGAGGATAACAGTAATTTACCTCCTAGATCTGGAGATTCATGCATGCAGAACACTTAGAATCATCCCAGGCATTTAATAAAATATTCAAATGGTAGCTCTAAAAAATGTGCATACCAATAGGAAGTTGAAGGCACAGTATTCAAGTCATTGTTGGAAGATTTTTGCCATTTCAAAATTGGCTCAAATTTGTGTCAGGCAGGCACATTCCATTTTACAACACTGCTTGCATCTGTTAGAAATCAACAAATTGTGATGTGTTCTTTTGAAAGTATTCTCAGGTTGGTATATGGGCAAATATTTTGCCAGTGCACCCAGGCAACAAGCTTCCTAAGTGCCAGCATTATGCTTTGGGTTCCTTTGGTTTTTTTTTATTTGTTTGGGGGGAATTTTTTGCAGTTGGCACTTAATCCTTGTTTCTTTTCCAACTAGCCATCTACAGTAAATTAATTCCCTAACAATTCTCTAATAATTCCCAGCTTTTCAATAGAAAGCTAGATGACCTTCAAACACAGATACAAGATGACTCTAACAAGAAATGGTAGGGAACCACTTGAATTATTTCTAAACTTGGACAGAAAGGCATTCCTGAAGGAAAATCCATTTTAAAGTTACATGCTTAATCTCTAGTGAGCCAATGTAAGTTTCCCCAAGCCATGTATATTCTGTGCTGACTGCTTTTCATGTGGGAATTTAATGTGCAGTCACACAGTAAACAGAATGTCAGTTCCCGTACACTGCTTTGGCATTATGAATGCTGTCGTGTTTGCAGTGAAAAAAATTAGCAAAGTGTGAGATTGGAATTTAATTGTGATAAGATACTCTCTCAAAAAATCACTTCACAGTGGAGGGTACACAAGAAGGTTCCCTCCTCCACTTGGCTCTAATTAATCACAATGACAAACTGTCAGCAGATGCTTGTCTTTGTAAGCCATTTAATACATGTGCTTATCCTGGCTGCCACAGGTAGGGTAAATCACTTTGGGATCTGGTAAAAAGGTGAAGGGTCAGGTATGCTCTGTGTCTTACAGCTGATCCAGAAGCAGGAGATGAAATGCTTTTGATTGTGTTTCTGCCTGAAGTGTGTCATTACCTGACTGGAATTGGAAACTTAGCCCTGAGCAGCAATTTTTAAGAAGTTCCTCATATCAAGAGCCTAAAGTAAAACTTGAAGTCCGGTGACCAACATAGATGTTTAATTTGAAATATTGGTGGTATTGCTCCTAAGGCAACAATAAGACTTTTTAACTTAATTTAATTTTAAGTTCCGGGACACATGTGCGGGACGTGCAGGTTTGTTAGATAGGTAATTGTGTGCCGTGGTGGTTTGCTGCATCTACCAACCCATCACCCAGATATTAAGTCCTGCATGCATTAGCTATTTAGCCTGATGCTCTTCCTCCCCACGAACAACAAGACTTTTAATTTGTTGAAAAAGAAATGTAGATCCAAAGTTTGAGTTTCTGTTTAAAAAATAGAGAACTTGCATAATGGGACCTGCATTTTCCTATGACATCAAGTGCCACAAGCTGAGTAGCATTTGTGTCCTGGCATTCCAGTCTTTACCACATACAACTGTGCGTCTGATCTTGATGCTGTGCCACTTGCTATCCATCTGTGAACCTGCATTAATTTTTTTATTTAAAGTGAAAACTCTATCCATGTCTTTAAAAGAAGTTTCAGGCCAGGCGTGGTGGCTCACATCTATAATCCCAGCACTTTGGGAGGCCTAGGCAGGTGGATCACCTGAGGTCAGGAGTTCGATACCAGCCTGGCCAACATGGTGAAACCCCATCTCTACTAAAAATACAAAAATTAGCCAGGTGTGGTGGTAGGCGTCTGTAATCCCAGGTACTTGGGAGGCTGAGGCAGGAGAATCACTTGAACCCAGGAGGCGGAGGTTGCAGTGAGCCAAGACTGTGCCACTGCACTCCAGCCTGGGCAACAAGAGTGAAACTCTGTCTCAAAAAAAAAAAAAAAAAAACCAGTTTCATAAAACACATAGACCCAAAGAGTTGCATGTTTCGGAAACAATGGAAGAGTATATATATATGTATGTATATATATTCATTAAAATAAATAACTTTCCTAGGTGTTTAAAGAGCAAAGCGTACATGTGTCAAAATTTATATCAGCCTGTTTGGCTTATTTTTCTTCCGTGTCATTGTATAATGAATCCCTGGTGTAATTTTTCTTTGCTTTTGCGTTTTTGATTACTTGACTAAAATGTATTATTCTGATATTATGCAGAAAGCTATGTAGAGATGATAAGTTAACAGTAGAAATCCTCAGGGTTTTATTCTCTGCTGTTTTCTTACTATTCTATTTAGAACCCTGAGAAATCTCATCCACTCTTACAGGCTCAGCTGCTGACTCCTGATGGCTCCTAAATCCTACCCACTTTTTTCTTCTAGATTCTGATTGCCTTCTTGACATGTCCACCCTAATGTCCCACTGCCTCTGATTCAGTGTGTCCAAAACAAGCCTTCTCTTTATAAGTCTCTCATCAACACAAGTCACTAATCTCCCACAGGGTCCCTACCTTAATGAATGAGGTTATCTTCTACCAGTTGCCTAAGCCAGAAGACTAAGTCTCTTTCTTGACTTCTCCATCTCCTATTACATCCAGAAAGTTACTAAAATACATAGATTTTAGTAACTGTGGAAAATTCTTCAAAATTACTTCTTCAGTATCTCTGGAATTCATCCCACTTTTTCCAGCTTCAAAATCACTGAGTTAACACCTTTATTTCCCATGTATGCTCTATAGCAGTCACCTAAACAATATTGCCCTTTCTGGTACATTTTCTTTACTGCAACTTGAGTGATCTTGCTAAAATGCACAGCAAATATCCTTGATTCCCAGGTTTTTCTTTGCTTATTAAGTTGTAAGATGAATCTAAACCCCGTGCAGTGATACCTGAGGGTCATTGTTACGTGCTCCCTGTCTGCCTCTCCTGTCCCATCTTTCAATATTCTGTCCCAGGTACCTTCATTTGTACTGTACTAAATGGCATGCCTTTACCCATGCATGCTGTGATTTCTGTAGCCTTCCCTAATTGAAAATCCTTGTCCCCTACTCTTCACCTGGCTAATTCTTCTGTGTCCTTCCAAATTCAGCTGAAATGTTAACTTTTCCAGGGGGTTTCCTGACTCCCACCTCAACACAAAAACCCTGGGCAGAGTTAGCTCTTTTCCCTTTTTGGTCTCACAGTACTGTGTACTGGATCATAGGTACTCTGGAATTGACTCTGTTCTCCTTTGTCCCCACTTTTATCACTGGATTGAGTGTTCATTAGAGACAGGTCCCCTGCTTTATTTGTCCTGGAGAGCCCAATGCCTAACACAGCTGGCACACAGTAAGTGCTCAGTAACATTATGTTGAATGAATGAATGAATCATCCAGTCAATTCAGTGAATCAACTAGGAATGTTGGCAGTGAAAATATAAAAGGTGAAATTTAAGATTCACTATTTTCCATTCAATAAATATTTATTGAAATTTTCCAGTGTTTTAAATATCTCATACAGGCCTGCTGCCTATCAGTATTTATCATGTTTCTTTTAGCAGCCTCCTAAAAAATTTGAACATTTTGTTAAAAGGAGTTGGGGGTGTGAATCTTGCTAGTAAGGTCCCTTTGATGTCTGTGGCCACAAAAAGAATCCCTGACTCTAACCAGTTATATCATACTTGAATTACAAAAGATGTCTTTGACCTACTTAGTTGAAAGATGCTTTTTCTTCTTCCTTCTTATTCTTTTCTTGTAAACTTGCTTTATTTTTAAATTTCACATTTTAGATACAGGAGATACATTTACATATTTGTTACATGGGAATATTGCGTGATGCTAAGGTTTGGAGTTCAGATCCCATCACCCTGGTAGTTAGCATAACACTCAATAGACAGTTTTTAAACCTACCCCCTCACCCCATCCTCTAGTAGTTTACAGTGTCTATTATTGTCATATTGTCCATGGGTGCTCAGTGTTTAGCTCTTACTTATAAGTGAGAACTTGTGTTATCTGTTTTTTTGTTGTTGTTGTTGTTAATTTGTGTTAGGACTGTGGCCTCCAGCTCTATCCATGTTGCTGCAAAGATCATGATTTTATTCTTTTTTATGGCTACAAAGTATTCCATGGTGTATATGTACATTTTCTTTATCCAGTCTACCATTGATGGGCATCTGGGTTGATTATATGTCTTTGTTGTGAATAGTGCAGTGATGAACAAACAAATGCATGTGGCTTTTTGGTAGAATGATTTGTTTTCTTCATTTAAGAATGATTCATTTTCTTAATTGAGAAATTCGTTTTGAGAGGTTAGGAACGTACTAGAGGGCAGAATAAAAACAAACCAGAGGAATAGGCGAACTCCAATAAGATACATTCCAGCATAGACTTCTGACTGTGAGTCTTTAACACCAACTACCAAATATGGGATGAGGGAGAAATACTGCATCAAAGTGCTAGAGTATATAAAAAAGTTCCATGGTCTCTACTTGACAATGAACTCCAAAGCTGTCATCTGAGTGATGTGGCTACACAAGATGGTCATGCGTTCTTGGATTACTTGGAGATAAGCATGGTTTGTGAAATGAGAAAGAGAAAATATCATTCATTACTGTTCTAGAGAGGGGAAGAGTAGTCCTCACACCAGAGCTGGGCTTCTGAAGTAGATTTTGTGCAAGAGAACTTAAAAATGAAATACAGACCAACAAGAGCGCTTCAGAGAAGTGGGCCAGCAAGACATGAACGTTAAAACTTATTTTAGGAGGAATAATTGAAGGAAGGAAAGATGCTTAAGCTAAGAAAAAGGGAGACTAAGGGGCACATGATGATTGATGAATATGTGGAAGTTAGAGAGGGACAGAAAGTTCCTTCTATAGCAGGAGCCAAATAATATCTCTCTGTGTCCGTGTTAAACAAAAGCTTTCTGCTCTGAGCAATTTCACCAATTTCTTTACAAAAGGGCCCCAGTCTTCTTATGCAAATTGATGTCCTTACACACTAATGACCCATGTGGTATACCATGGAGGATTGTGAGGGGGCCACCTCCATAGCAGGATATAAGGCCCTCTTTATCTAGTTTCACTTTTCAGTTATACTACCGAGGATGAATCTTTTTTTTAAAAAAATGGATCTCTCCAAGGCATGTCACACAGGCAGAAAAATGGAGTTGGGGGAGAGATAGCTTCTGGTACCCCCATTACATGATTACAAAGATTGAATGAATGGTCTTGGAAAGCGATGAGTTTCCACTCCTAGGAAGAATCCTGAAGAGGTTTGGCTGGAACACCTCAGGCATGGTTCAAGCATCAGCATTGGTGAGACCCGGACTCGTAAGATCCCTTTGGTCTACAAAACATGCCAAAGCCTAGCATGAATGAGGCACTGCTCCTGGAAAAACACAGACCATATTCCCTGAATAACATCAGCTCATATGAGAAAAAAATGTCTTTTCCTATTTCTAGAATAGGGAATCATATTTTTACCAGCTTATTGTTTTAATTTTCACCATTCCGTAGGATTAAGGTGACTATTATTTTAATATAGGAGGTGGTATAGTGTAGCAGTTAAAGGATGGAGTGTAATAGCTAGGTGTAAAGTCAGACAAGCCTGGGATTGAATTCTGCCTGCACTAAAGCACATAGCTGTAATAGATTAACATGCCTAAACCTCAGATCCCTCGTCCATAAAATGGGCAATAGCCACCACATGTGGTTGCTGTGAGGATTAAATGAAATAATGCATAATATACACTAAGCAATATACCTACATCCAGCTGGCACTCCATAAAAGCTGCTACTACCATGACTGTAATAGTAATAAGAATACTTTTTAGTAATGTTAATATCACTAAGACTCTTGACTTGCCTCTGTGTCTTTCACTTACTCCGCGTTTCTTCAAGGTCCCCAGCTCAGTGGTTTATTTATTTAATTTAGAGACAGTGCTCTTACATAGGATCCTCCACAGAGAACAAGGCTCGTGCACACGCTCGATGGTGCCAGAAATAAACAAGAAAATGCATTTATCTGTATAGTTTTTGAAATTAAAAATGACATTTATGAGTTCCCTAGTAGAAAAATAAATTTCATCTGTTTTAGTAAGGAAAAGTAGGATAAGAAACTGCTTTTTGGTAGAGGTAAGAGACGTGGGGAACAGGGATTTCAACTTTATTTTTTAATCATAAACGCATACAGTTAGATATTAAACATGACTTTGCAGATGGGAAGTAGGACAAAAAACAAATCTCAGTATTTCTTACTGGATTGCTATGACAATGCATGATCAGCAGCTTCTGTCAACATACCTTAAGACATAAGAATGAGAACTCCCAGCTATAATTAAAAATGTAATATTTAGAGTGCTGGTGTGGGGTACAGGAGGGTTGGATAGCTGCCTAATTTATAAGCTTTCGGGCCGCTAAGCTGAGAATGGGGAATGCAGTCGTCTTGTTTGAAGCTGGTATTCCATTCAAGTAGTAAGCATGACTTCTGGTGATATGCTATCTCCAAGAATCAGCTAATTACTGTTTTCAAACAGAACCCATACGTTATTTGATTAGCAAGCACAATCACTTTCTTGATCACAAGTAGCAATATTCATGCATTTTTGAAAGTACAAGCTTGGAAGTCTTGAATAGCTTGATTTTCTTGTTTTACTATTTTTTTTTACAATGACAGTCGATAACCCAGATGCATCTGTCTTATGCCTTGTCTTACCTCGTCTAATAACTCCCCCTTCTCTCCCCACCCCCTGAGACTGCCTCAAAAGGATATACTGTGCTGTGTTGCTTCCCAAGAGCTTGTCAGAGGGAACAGTTTTGTCATTTGAAGAATGTGTTCACGATGCCGTGACAGATTTGCCAGCATCCTTCCAGCACAGTGCCTTAGATATGATATATTCGGAATACCCTTTCCTTTTCCAGATCCTCCCCCACCACCATCCCTTATTCTAAAATTCTCATTTACCTAGAGGATTACTGAACCTGAAAACTTTGGTGCAGTAAGCGACCTTGGGTGAACATTGAATCCTTTAGTTCACAGCCTTTAAAAAAAATAGAAAACTAAGTTTTATATGGAAATGTCTTGGTACTGCTATATAAGCAGACTGTTTAAGACATTTAAAAATAATCCTGGAGCTAAAAAGAGTCAAACCTTATAAGCAAAAGGCTTCTGAAGACACATCTATTTCTAATAACTTCTATAATTTCTACATTCTCAATTAAAAACATATTACTCTTTGACACTTCTTTGCATTAAACCTATGAATGGAAGTTAAAAAAGATGTCATTTACCATTATAAGAAGGTCAACAATTCACAAATGTCAATGCTTAGTATCAAGTCTCCATTTGAAGATGGAGATCTGTTGCAATGACAGGTTTGTTCAGGCTTTGCTCTTCCCATACCTCCCCTTGATCATGCTATGACCACTTGCCATGTGTGCACAGACCCAGGCTGGGGTCTGTGGACTCAGTCCAGCCCTCTGTGTCCTATATCTATGCTGTGGCTAACAAACAGGCCTTCCATTTCTAGTTGACCGTCTTTATTGAGGAAAGCCTCAGTAAACACAGGAGAAGTTCCACTCTATTGGGAGTAGCTCTAAGTATTGGAATGATTTATCTTATTTTAAACAAAATTCTAGCTCCTTGCAATTTCTTTGGAGTTGTACACAGTACTTGGTTATCTTTTCCACATTAGCATCTACTCCATGATAATCTATCATCAAGGGAGTACTTACCAAGTGATAGGTGAATTTCTATCAAAAGTCTCATTCTAACCATGCCACTACTCTACAAGGTATGTATGTTGATTCCTATGTTGCATAAGGTGATTCTAAGACTGATAGTGTTTAAGTAATGTGCCCAGTATTATCCCTTGAGTAGCTGTGGAGTCAAAATTCAAACCTATGCTTGTATGGATTCTGAGATTGTTCAACTAATGCAGAGTGTTCATCTGAGATCTGTGGTAAACTTAGGGATGCGCAAAAGGGCTTCAGGGATCCACAGAGTCCCTGAAATAGAAACCCAAATTTGGTTTGTATATGGATTTTATGGTAAAAGCAATCACAGCCCTCCCTCATCAGAATTTCAATTAGGTATATAACCTCAACAATATCATATAAAATATTAAATAAGATACACATATTTTACATTTTTCCCTTCTATTTTACTCAGTCATATTACATAAAAATGCTATATCCCTCTTCATGTATGTTAATTAGTTGTGCCTTCCTCATTCTGTATATTTTTTTCCTCTCCTTCTTAAGCCCAAGTGTAGGACTTGTTACCTATTCGTACTATATTTAATTTTGTTAAGTTCAAGCTATTGGGATTCTGATTCTGCTATCTAGTGCTTTTATTACTCATTTTTCTGCTTTGTGTATTCTGTCAATGTATATTATAAAACTAAAAACCAAATTAAAAATGAACAGCTTTCAACGATTTTGGACTATGGGATATTATTGAACTCCAAGAATCCAGAATACAGGTTATAATTCATTCTCTCTCTCTCTCTCTCTCTCTCTTTCTTTCTCTCAGGCTTCTGGCAAAATTATCCTTGAAATAATTTCTTGAAGATTTAAACCTCCATAGGTCTGTTTCATCAAGGGTGATGTGAGTATACCACTACCAGCATCTCCAGGCTGGGCTGAGACAGAAGGGCATCTCAGACAGCCAAACAATTTGAAAGTATCCCAACAAGTTGGTGTTCTTTAAATAGTTGTTTAACATTTATTTAGTAGACACCAAAATAAGTGACTTCTCTATTGATAGGGTATATACATTTTCTGTTCTTTTTTTTTTAACTTGTTTATTAAATTGAATTATTTATTGTTCAGGATTTTTTTTAAAAAAATAACCCATAGCATCAGTCACTCGTAAGCACAAAAAAAACCCAGTAACTTTCATAGGGTAAATGTGTTACATTTTGTTTAAAATATATCTCCAAAATCTAATTTTCTAAATTTCGAGTTGATAAATCATTTTCTACCTTTCACCATTCTTGTTCGCACTTCCATTTTATGATTAAGTTTTTGAAACCAGAACATATATTGGGGGCATATTCCAAGGACTGAAATTTAGATAATGAAATAAATCACTCATTTTTAATTAAAAAAAAAATTTCGCCATTCCTTACTTCTGTTTTAGAACATCAACTGTCAGCTGGCCTGTCTCAAGGCTGCTGGAGCAGCCCGTAATTGCAACATGCAATTCGCAATTATTCTTTCAGAAATAACTCTATAGAGTAAGTTCAGCACCGGGAGAAATGTTTTCCCAATTTTTATTTGAACATGTTGCCTACTTTTGCCAATTAATTTAGTAGTCTCATGTGGAAACTGAATTAACTAGCACTGTATCAGTTCGTTCTCACACTGCTATGAAGAATACTGGAGACTGGGTAATTTATGAAGGAAAGATGTTTAATTGACTCACAGTTCTGCATGGCTGGGGAGTCCTCAGAAAACTTACATTCATGGCGGAAGGCGTCTATTCACAGGGTGGCACAAGAAACGAGTGTCAGCAGGGAAAATGCCAAACGCTTATAAAACCATCAGATCTCGTGAGAACCCGCTCACGATCATAGAACAGCATGGGGAAACCGCGCCTATGATTCAATTACCTCCCACCAGGTCCCTCCCACGACATGTGGGGATTATGGGATTATAATTTAAGATAAGATTTGGGTGGGGACACAGCCAAACCATATCAAGCACCATATTTACACTTTATTTTAGGAATGTTTTAATGTGCTTTATGAACTGATGTGCCAGGCAGTGGTCCAGCTGTCTTTCCCTTAATTTAGCTCTATAGACAAGAATACAGTAAAGATTAAATAAATATAGCTGTCAGACACTCCAGGAAAGTAGTAACTGCAGACAATAACCAGAAAGGAGGAGAACCGGTTTGACTAGACTAATTTGACTAAATCCTTAGTTTCTTTGGAGGGAAGAAACAAATGTGATTCATCACATCCCCGACTTTGGACTGTTTTTCTAATTTAATAGCATTCCAGCGGGAGTTTGGGAGTGGAAGTTTGGGTGTACATTTTGAATAAAATCTTATCAATTTACCCATAAATGATCCTAATACAGTTCCTTTCGGGGAGCTGTTAGACATAAACAGCTTTCTTCCCTCTACGATTTCAGTAATGACAAAGGCCAAACATCAAGACCTCTCTCTGCCATACTTAAGAGTTTAAATATAACCCTGAAAGATTTTAAGTATGACAGGATGTGATTAGGAAAATGACAATGAAGAAATTTTGTTGGAAAAAGAAGGTTCTAAGGGCTGGGAGACCAGCTCCTGGGCCCAGCAATTATCCAGATGAAAACAAGAGGGATTTGAACTAAGACAACAATGCAGATAGAGTTAACCCCTGTAGAAAACTCCTGTGACTTCTCTCAATTAATGTTTCAGCCTGCACACTCATTCCAGTAAGAATCACAGATTAGGACATAAACGGTGAGGATAATAGGAGAAAACTTTAAGTCATGCTTCAATCTGGTAAAAAGACGCACTACTTTTCTGACTGAGGAATGAGGAATAAAAGGATACTTCACTCCAGTTACCTTCCCTAGGAAGTCACCACACTCCTTGATCTGACCCCTATCCCCGGCAATGGCAGCAGAAGCCCATCACCATCATATATCAGCCTCCAAGCCAATAACTGGCCTGCAGAAATAATAACTGTACTCCCATGCACCTGAGCCCACAGGGAGAAAACTCATTTTAATTCTGCCATGGTTTAATGATATTTAAATGGCTCAAATGGTTTTTATAAATGAATATATTACAAGGCTTATGTTCAAGAATCAGCAATAAGCCATAATGGACTTTACAGTTTATTAGTTCCATAAATGTCACCTTGTTATTAACAACACAGGTAAAGCAACTTTACGAAATATTCTATTATCATCCATTGAGTGAAGCATCAAATTTGTTGAGCTGGAGTTTCAGGCATTCTCATTTCACCCTTGTAATTCAACTTTATATTGAGGCTCACAGGTATCACCAACATGATTTTTAAGACCCTTTAAAATTCTATTTTCTTGTAAAGATAAAATTTCTAAATTAAACGTAGAGACTTACTCTTGAGAAAGGTGGCACCACCAGATGGAAGTGTGGAAACTGCATACAGAAGCCAGGTGTGTGTGACCAGCATTTGCTCTTCACAGGTGTCTTTTGGGAGCCACGATTTGCTGCCCCCTTCCAAGAATGTGAAACAGCCACATTCCATTGCATTTCAGTTATTGTAATAAGGCCAAGGGAGAGATTGTGTGTCATCTTGCCATTCTTTGTCTCCTTTTTCAAAATTTGTGAAACCAGGTCATAGTTAGATGAACACTGAATTATCTCCAGCATATGGTGGTTTTGCAAAACCTTAAACATCATATTAGAAAAGTTGTCAGCTTTGGTTAGTGAGAGACCTTACTTTGGGAGACTTATTAATAGACATTTGGAAAGTGAAGGTGTCAAAATTGTCCATACTTTAATTTCAAGAACACACTGAAACTTATGGTAGAGTGATGAAATTCCCTACCGAATGCCCTACTGTCTATATGTTTGTTTGCTTGTTAAGAAGGTAACTCTAGAAACAAATATAGCAGAAACCCATGACTTAGCTTTCTCATGAGCTTTATCTAGCCACTAGTCTTGGAATAAGCATTGGACACATCTGTGTCCAGCATCACGGCCTTTGCCTTCTTCATGGCCCCACTGCCACCCCACTACTTGCCAAGTCAGGCAGTCATTATTCACTCTTTCACTCAACAAAGATATGTTTATAAGTACTAGATCCCAGGCATTGTCTCAGGAACTGGGCTGGGTCTGTGAGTAAGTGAAAGTTCCAGTTCCACAAGGGAGACATATATCTTTAAAAAATTACAAAAATGATTGCAATTGTAATGAGAATTACAAGAAAAAAATTACAGGCTGAGCTACAGTAATAGGGTCCCAAATTGACCAGGGGAGGAAGGGAAGGCTTCCCAA
The DNA here is from genome assembly GCF_000001405.40 of Homo sapiens. NCBI lineage: Eukaryota > Metazoa > Chordata > Mammalia > Primates > Hominidae > Homo > Homo sapiens. Next base: position 3,504,689 of record NC_000003.12, on the reverse strand, counting down.
GGAAGTAATTAACTGTTGCTTAAAGGCCAAAAGAAAGTTGGATAAATAAGAGTTGATTTAAAAAGAATCTTCAGTTTTCCACCAGGAAAATAAATGATCCTAATACAAAAGAAAGGAGGGGTCGGGGCATTGATTGACTAAGAGGCAGTACAAGCATGTAAGCAGTAGAAATAGTGTGTGTCAGGTGCCCAGGTGAAGAATTTTGATAGTTAGAGGAATAAGGAAATGTAGAGAAGCCAAGCATAGAGAATAATGCAGGAGGAAGCAGGGGAGCTCAAGATCTAGCCCTTTCCTACTCCTCTTCACTGTTATTAAGGCTAAGAATTTTTTGACCACCTTCATCAGAGCAATGGATAATCATTAAAGAGTTTAAGCAAGGAAGTGACATAATCAGTTTTGCATCTGCCACAAAGAATACCACTTAGATTCCTGCAGGACTGTGAAAATTGCTCTATGGATTGTAGAGCTTCAGAGTAACCTGTAATAAGTTTCTCTTTAGGGCTATTGAATGATTTACTTTCAGCCTGCCATGATTTCTATTGGAAACCAGTTAAGTAGATGGTTAGTTATGCTCATGTCTGTTTAATCAGGCAGTGGTAAATAACCCAGGCATTGCATACATATCCGTAAGGGAGTTTTTCTTTTGTTTGTTTTATTGCCAGTGGAGGTAGGGTAAAGGGTTGGGAACATCTCAGAATGTGGGATGCTGTGTTCATGATACCTATGACCATTTGGTCATTGGCCCACAGCTGTGACAGCAGAGGGACTCTTGGAGAGGAGCCTCTGCCGAAGACCTAGATAAGGGAGTCTGAGCTTTTCTAGGGGTAATTGTTTTGCTTTTGTTGTTTCCCAGGCAGAGACCCCTACCCTCACACTATCTCTTTCTCTGCCTGGTGAGTCTTTGCTCAAACCGGCTGTTTCTCAGATTTTAGCTGAACATTTATCATCAAAGTTACTGAGATTAAAGCTCACTTATAACTCCCAGCCATCAACTGCACCTCCTTGAGGCCATATGTTTGGGCAAGATGCTTGAAGATGAGCCATGTGCTGCAATGGCCACATGCACTGAAGAGCGCCACTGGGGGATTATTGGAATGCAAACTTCTGAACTCAGACGGACTCCTCTGGCCATCTGGTTGCAATTTTAGTGTCTGGGCTCTGAATGTATTTATTCCTATATATTTGAGTTGACTTGAAATAACCCATTTTTTTAAAGGGAGCCAGAAAAATGTCAATGCGTATACTTGGTTTGATTATTTCATCTCTTTAATTCAACTAACTTATAAAAGAATATGACTGTATTCCTATCTCCAGAATATAAATATCAGATTGTTTTTAAGCCTCTCAGAAAAAGATGAAATTTTTGCTTATTATTTATTAAGGCTAATGTAAATCTGTGTGAATAGTCTCGACTCATCCTGATTTTTAAGTTCAATGATGTTTGGCTTAAGTATAAAAAGTTATTTATTTACTAGATTTTATTTTTGTTATTAATATGGACTAGATTGTGTTGGAATATTTTGAGAAAGGGATTTCTTTCTTGGTGTATCCCATAGACCATCTTTTAAAATCTCTTCCTGTCGGCACATATTCTTGGGGATGCAGATGGTTTCGTGAGTTGAAACAGGGTAGGTTTGAAGGTTGAATCTTAAATTGTTCTGCTCTCCACTGTATGCTGGGGAAACCTGGTGAACATGGAAATCAAACCCCTCTGTCTACCCACTTTCCAAAGCCTCTTCTCAGATTCAGCCAAGAATAGATGTTGAGCCCGGCCTGCCTTCCTTTTTATCTCCCGCTCCTCTCCTGACATTTCTGGTGGCCACACATAGAACAAGTAGTGGAGATAGAAGGCAGAGGAGGTGGTGATATAATCTAATACTTTTGAAGAATTACCATGTGCCAGGCGCTGTCCTAAGTACTTTATGTGCATTAAATTAATTTATTTCTCATAAAAACTTAAGAGTTAGTTAGGTACCTCTATTATCCACACTCTACAGATGCGGACGATGAAGAGTTTCCAGGAGGGGATTAAGAAGTCCTTTCACTTATTTCCTGCTTTTCTAACCCCCTTCCCATGAAACTGTCAAGGAGAATTTCCTCCCATGGAACACATATCACAGGAATAAACACAAGCTGAGTTTTCACTGGCCTTCGTGGGAGACAAAGTTTTTGTTCTCACCTCCGTCCCTCCAGGAAGCCTTTCGCAGCTGTCCTGGCAACATTTGTACCCCGTTAGTTAGACAATCTGATTCCGTCCATGTTAGGATTTGTGTTCACTACATTAAATGTTTTTCTCTCCATTGTAAAATTTATTTCAGGTTTATTTTTAATTTATTGTAAAATTATATAAAGATAAAAGATGTTCATAATACCATCCTCAGGTGTGATAAAAAGTAATTCTTTCATTTATACAATTTTTAAGTGGTCATTTATTAAGCAACTTTCCTTGCTAGACCATAAATTTACTTGGTGCACAAATCAGGTAACAGCTGTCCTGGACTGCCCAGGCCTGAGGGGCTTCCTGGGACTCTGGACTTGCAGTGCTAAAACCAATAGTCCTGGGAAAAAGGGGAGGAATTGTGTGCACTCTTTGCAGGAACCAGGTTGGCTTAGGTTTAGTCTTACATCACCACCACTGGCAAACTGCTTGATGTTTAGTAAGTGCCTCATAAATGCTAAATGAATATAATAAATGGGTAGTAGGCTCTGTCCTAGAGCCTAAGGGTAGAAATATTTAAATCCAGCAGAAGGCGTTTTAGATGGAAGGAATAGCATGATTCTGAAGGTGGTTATCCTTAGTATAAGGTTAGGTAAGTACAGAAAAGCCTATGCAGATGGGGAGTTAACAGAGTAAAAGGGAAGCTTATGCTTGGGACATTAGAAAGATGTAGGTGATCTGGATCATGGAGTGTATTAGTCCATTTTCACGCTGCTGATAAAGACATACCCGAGACTGGGAAGAAAAATAGCTTTAATAGACTCACAGTTCCACGTGGCTGGGGAGGACTCACAATCATGGCAGAAGGTGAAAGGCACTTCTTACATGGTAGTGGCAAGAGAGAATGAGGAAGAAGTGAAAGTGGAAACCCGTTATAAAACCATCAGATCTCATGAGACTTATTTACTACCAGGAAAACAGTATGGGGGAAACCGCTCTCATGATTCAATTATCCCCTACTGGGTCCCTCCCACAATATGTGAGAATTATGGGAGTACAATTCAAGATGAGATTTGGGTGAGGACACAGAGCCAAACCATATCATGGAGGTCCTTTTATTTAATAATTAGTTTTTATTTTGTATAACAAGTGGCAACTTGAGAATTTTATGCAGGGGCATAATATGGTCATATGTCCACAAGCCTAGCTTTTGTAGACAGGATGGCTGGTACGATAGGAGAGGGGAGAGAGAAGAATGAACATGATGGAGGGAGGGAACAAGATCAATTGGGAGGCTATTGCAATATTGCAGGCAGAAGATGCTAAGAGCCTTAACTAGGTTAGTAAAGACAATGACGAAGAGAGAAAGGGCCAACGAGAGGAAGGCGTTGGTCTGAGAACCAGGTGGGCGATGAAATTAACTAAACTTGCTCAACTACTGACCATATGGGATAGAATGGAGTGAAGTTTCTGGGGTAACTCCCAGGTTTCTCTCTTGAATGGGTAGGTATATGGTGGCACCATTCACTGAGAAAAAGAATGAGGATGAGGAGAAGGTTTGGAGAGAAGATGAACTTCTGTCCATTTGGAACTGATTGGGTTTGAGCTGACTGTGCCACATTCAGATCAAGATGTTCAATGGGATATATCTGAATCATCAAAGCCTATAAAGCTATGTTCCATACATGAAACATTTTGCTCTGAAATGACAATAGCTATTGATGTTTATTTCCTGATTATAAAAATATATAGCTTTTCAATGAGAAATATTTATAATGTTCTAGAAGTATCAAAATAATAAAATGAACATAACAAAGAATCCTACCTTAATATCAATAAATAATCACTATTAATTTTTTGGTGAACACTATCACAGATTGATTCACCCATCCGTCTCTTCATTCATCCCTCTGCCCACCTCTCTGAGGTGATGGGAAATTTTCTTAACTTCTCTCTGTGCCTAAGTTTCCTCATTCGTCATGGTAATTTGGTATTTACCTATAGAGTGAGTACTAAATGAGTTCATGAATGTGAAGCACTCAGAAAAATGCCTGGCCCATAGGGGGGTGCCATCTAAGTGCTAGCTACTATAATATTCCATCTTTTCAAAATAAATTGGTTATAAATAAACACAGTTTTATAACTTGCTTTGTTATGCTTTCTTGTTATTCAATGCTTACTAACTCTTAGTTAATAAAAATATCTTTCTACCCAATTCCTTAACACTTCAGTCTAGAACTGGTTTTCCCCACCAAAAATCAAAACAAAGCAAAAATGAAAACAGACCACAAATGAAAAACCACCACCACCACAAAACACGTAATTAGATCAGTAACTGAAAATGCTTTTAATTAATCTTCAACCTGTAGGGACAGTGGCAAGAGGCAATTCATTACATATAGACCGTTTTGTGTAGTGATTTATAAAAGAAATAAGCAAAAAGAGTTTAGCGTTTTTTGCCTTTTTCAGTGTCCTTTGCTCATCTGTCTCCACATTAACAATTCTTGTAACCTTTACGGTTTCATCGATCAACGGTCAGGTGAGGTTTCTGCTTCTCATCCTGGCAGCCTCCACATGGCGCCAGTTTTCATTCATCTTCACTGTATGCTGTTAAGACCTAGATTTTGTTTCTGTGACTAAATAGGGGAACTTATGTCTTTAACCCAAACCATTTCTTTTTATTTTTCAAAAAGAAAAAAAAGTCCGAATGAGTGTAATCCTTTATCAGAGGACTTGAAAAATCTGTTTTTCTCAGGTCTGAGAGTAAGGGCAAAGATAATTTTGTCACTGTATTGGAATTCTAACAAATTCTTCTGTCACCCTCTAGAAGGGGCTCCGTTGGAAAGAAAAAGTAGTGTTATGATAACCTTTAGAAAGTCAAGTGATTGAAGTGCAGACATTCTAAGACAAAATAGAACCTCTAAAATATAGGATGTGAGTAAAGCAATTTTTAAATTATGTGGTGAGGAGGGGAAACACATTAGCATTTCTTTTATGCATTAGATGTATCTTTTAGGCATGCTGTTCCTTCTCTTGACTGGGGAATACCTCTTTTACCAAAATTTATATTGATACTTTGCATTTATATAGCATGTTCCATGCCCAGAGCATTTCAGTAGCATTAAGTGTAAATGGCATGCTTAGAAGCTGGGTAACTGAATATTCTGATACCACAGATGGACAAGCACCAGTGCACAGAGCTATATTACCCTGGAGTTCTTAGTCACTGTGAGAAACTAAAATGGGAACTCTGAGTAGTTTTCCATGTTAAAAAAAACAGTTGATCTGCCCTAAAAGTTGAGATTATTTCTGATGGCTCAGCATTTAGTCTTCTGGAAGCAGTAGCCTGAAATTTTCAAGACTTCTACTCTCTGTCCTCATGTTTTGGATGAGGCTGAACCCCTGGCTTTACGGGTGAGAATATGGCCCAAGTGTGGCTACTTGGTGTAGTTGATCTTCCTGATGACTCTACTGAGAAAATCCCAGAAAAATGTTTATAACCATGGTTTGAACTGTTGGAGCTTCTCTTGCCACTGAGGTTGCTGAGAAAATATGCTACGTGTCTGGTGCTGCAGGGCACAAGCAGTGAAGAAAATTCTAAATGAAACCGGTACAGAGGTAAGCAGAGGCAAGAGAAAAAGTGGAAAGTCCTGAGGCTGTTGACTCCTGGATCAAACTATACCTGAAGACAGGACCCTGGAGTTTAGTCACACAAGCCACTAAATTATCTGTATTTCACCTAAAAACTGTGAGTGAGCTGAAAGGATTCTTATATAAAGTTATTAGAATATTTAAAACTTGATCTTTTAGTTTAGAACAGAAAATAATCCTTAATCAAAGCTTTTGTACCCTGATGTGTATTTCAAGTAAGTATCAAAAGTTATTTAAAAGATAAATTCTGTGGAATAAATAACAGAGGAAAAAGAAATAATGAAGTGGAAAATTTCTTATTGTTTTCTGAAAAACACATAAAAAGTCTAAAGTATATTTTTATATTGTTAGATATTTTTTCAGAATTAATTTTGAAAGCTATTTTAATTATGTCGTTTTCAGTGATAGAACATATTAATTGTTCTGATGTCAGAACTGGATCTTCTAATGCTTATTTTATCATAGTTTTTTTTTCATAAGTACCCTTCAGATAGACTGTTATTTTATAAATTAGTGATGTAAGTTCATGTATTGCTTAGTTATAGGCAGGTATTTGGCAGAAATAATCCAAATATCTGTGCTGTAAAGGTCAAAGATGGACAGGGATAAAGAATGAGCTCTGATTGCTTCCATGTGTAAACGCCTCCCTGGATGAAGGTGTTTCTGGGTTGTCTATCAGTGTCTCCCAAGAAACCTAGGAGAGATGGAAAGTTCATGTTTCTCATTCATCCTATAAATTATAAGCCTTCTTAGGATGATAATTGGCCTTGAATAACATGAAAAGTGTAATAAATGTGTTTCCCATCTCAGTCATTGAATGATTTTTATCTTTCCAGTACTTGACTTTCAAACAAGGTTTTATCATTGTCAAGGTAGGCAGAATAGGATGAAAGATCATAACCTTTAGAATAGTAACTGGAAGTGGCGTGGAGTGGATTAGAAGGGAGTTAGAGAGAAGATTTCTCTATAGGTTTACCCGTGGCCAGGCCAGAGGGGTGGTGGTGGCTGCACAGGAAGAGGAGGTGGGGGACTAACACAATTACCACTGTTTGGGTGCTGATTACATACATGCAAGATGTTGACATCTCATTCCAGCCTCATAGCAAATCCATGAGGAATATATAGGTATGGTCCATCCTCTGTATCATTGGGTCCTGCATCCTGTACTCAACCAACTGCAGGTTTGGGGGAAAAAAATTTGCACCTGTACTCAACATGTCCAGGCTTTTTACAAAAATCATTATTCCCTAAACAAGATAGTATAACAACTATTTACATAGCACTTATATTTTATTAGGTATTATAAGTTTTCCAGAAATTAAAGTATACAGAAGAATATGTGTAGTTTGCATGCAAATACTATGTCATTTTATATAAGGGACTTGCGCACCCTTGGATTTTGGTATCCATGGGAGATCCTGGAACCAATCCCCCACAGATACCACAGGATGACTATACTTCATTAACCCTGTTTTACAGGTGAAAAAACTGAGACTTGGCAAGTTTCAGTTCATAACTTTTAGTTCATAGTCGTAAGTAATTTGTGCTCCAGTTCATGCTGTGAGTATGTGGCTGAGCTGGTATCAAATACCTACCTGCCTCCCTGTGTTCTTCTCCCCCCCACTTTTTTTTTCCTCTGAGACTGAGTCTTGCTCTGTTGCCCAGGCTGGAGTCCAGTGGTGCTATCTCAGCTCACTGCAACCTCCACTTCCCATGTTCAAGCGATTCTCCTGCCTCAGCCTCCCGAGTAGCTGAGATTACAGGGGCATGCCACCACTCCTAATTTTTTTTTTTTTTTTTTTTGTATTTTTAGTAGAGACAGGGTTTCACCATGTTGGCCAGGCTAGTCTCAAACTCCTGACCTCAAGTGATCCTCCTGCCTTGGCTTCCCAAAGTGCTGGGATTACATGAGTAAGCCATCACAGCCGTCCGTGCCTGCCTGTGTTCTTAACCATTCTGTGCTACAGCCTGTTATCTGTTCAAGGAAATATAATAGCACCGTCACCACTAAAAGAATGGGGACGGTGGCATTATAAACTAAATAGCTCATTTACCAACCTGAATGAGGAAGAATTAAGAAAACCAGAAATCTGTATATTCTTGTCACAACTGTAGTAATTGATGCTCCCTTTTCATTCAAACCAGATTTCTTGTGCCCCTTTTGAGTCAGCACATCACGGACGGATGAGAGGAGACAGATGGTCATGGGAGCAGGACCTCAGAGCAGACGGCACGCATTCAGGACAGCGATCATTTAGAGGGTCTTTGGCAAATCATTTCAGCTCTGCAAGCCTCGCTGTTTTTATCTGTAAAATGGCTCTTTTTGTTCTAACAATTTGTGCTTTAATATAGTGGTGCTGTAATGAGCATACTGAGTTTTCCTTTTTTTTCTGGATCTTCGAAGATGAGCTTTACTAATTTTATGTCTGATTCAAAGTAGTAATTTAACTGAACCAACTGGTCCTCTGGATCCAGTGTCTGCAGCTGCTGTCTATGCTGATTAGTTACTGCTCAGCTGTACCACTTGTAAATATTTACTGTGTTGTATATAAATATCACTCCTCATCTTTTTTTTTAAAAAAATCCCTTATTTCTGGCCTTTCAGTTATTGCTTTTTATTGTGATAAAATATAAAACCTAAAACTTACCATTTAATTTTTTAAAAGAATTTTATTGTGACAGCAACACTTAACATGAAATCTGTGATTTTAAATTTTAAGTGTACAATACAGTATTGTTGACTATAGGCACAATTTTGCACAGCAGATCTCTAGAAATTATTTACTTTGTTTAACTGAAACTTTTTGCTCATTAATTAACAACTATCTTCTCCCTCACCACCTAGCCCCTGGCAACCTTCATTCAACCCTTTGATTCTGTGAATTTGACTATTTTGAATGCCTCATGTAAGCAGAATCATGGAATATTTGTCTTTCTGTTCCTGGCTTATTTCACTTAGCATAATGTCATCAAGATTCATCCATGGTGTTGTGAATGGCAGAACTTCCTTACTATTTAAGGATGAATAAATTCTGTCATGTGCATATATCACATTTTCTTTAATCACATGTTGAAGGACATTTAGGTTATTTCTGTATCTTGGCTGTTGTGGATAGTGCTGCAGTCAACATGGGAGTGCTGATATCTCTTTAAGATCTTGATTTCCTTTCCTTTGGATACATACTCACAAGTGGGATTGCTGGATCATATGGCAGTTCTATTTTTAAATTTTTGAGGAACCTCCATATTGTTTTCCATAGGAGGTGAAATCATTTTATATTCTCACCAGTAGTGTGCCAAGTGTTGTTGAGGATGTGGAGCAGTTGGAATCATTTTTACCATTGTAAGTGTACAATTCAGTGGCATTAATGAAAAAGATATGAATAGCATCATATTGTACAACCATCATTGCTATTCAAATCTTTTTAATTACTCCAAACAGAAACTCTGTACCCATTAAGTAGTAATTTCCCATTACCCTACCCCCAAAACCTGCTAATATCTACTCTGTTTTCTGTCTCTATGAATTTTCCCAGCATAGGTATTTCATATGAGTGAATTTATACAATATTTGTCCTTTGGTGTCCTTTGGTGTCCTTAGCATAATGTTTTCCAGGCTCATCCTTGTGATAGCGTATATTAGAATTAAATTTCTTTTTAAGAGTGGATGATATACCATTGTGTGTATATACCATATTTTGTTTATCCATTCATCTGTTGATGAACACTTGGGTTGTTTCCCCCTTTCATCTATTACGAATAGTGCCGCTATGACCATGACTGTACATGTATCTGTTTGAGTCCCTGTTTTCAATGATTTGGAGTATATACTTGAGTGAAATAACTGGGTCATATGGTAATTTTATTTTTTATTATTTTGTTTCATTTTTTGAGACAGGGTTTGTCTCTCTTGCCAAGGATGGAGTGCAGTGGCTCCTTGGCTCAGGGCAACACCCGCCTCCCAGGCTCAAGCAAACCTCCCGCCTTAGCCTCCTGAGTAGCTGGGACTAGAGACACGCCACCATGCCTGGCTAATTTTTGTATGTTTTATAAAGAAAGGGTTTTGCTACGTTGCCCAGGCTGGTCTCAAACTCCTGAACTCAAGCAATACGCCCTCCTTGGCCTCCCAAAGTGCTGGGATTACAGGTGTGAGCCACTGTGTCCGGCCTGGAAATTTTAACTTTTTGAGGAACTGCTACATAATTTTCCACAGCAGCTACACAATTCCACGTTCTTACCAGAAATGTACTATGGTTCTAATTTCTTCATATCCTTGCCAACACTTGTTCTCTTTTTTTAATTATAGACATCATAGAAGGTATGGTATCTCATTATGGTTTTGATTTGCATTTCCTTAATGACGAATAATGCTGAGCATCTTTTCAAGTGATTATTGGTAATTTGTGTATCTTCCTTAGGGAAATGTCTACTCAAGTCCTTTGCCCACTTTTTTGTTGATACATAATTTTTATACATGTTTCTGGATACATGTAATACTTGATTATATTCATAGACTATGTAATGATCAAGTCAGGTTATTCACGGTGTCCATCACTTGAGTGTTTATCATTTCTTTCTTGGAAACATTTCAAGTGCTCTCTTCTAGCTAATTTTAAATATGTGATACATTTTTAATTATAGTCTCGCTACTCTGCTATCAAATATTAAGAAGTATTCCTTCTATCTAACTGTATGTTTGTAGCCCTTAACCAACCTTTATTTACCCCCTCCTGCTTACACACATACTCACATATCCTTCTCAATCTCTGGTATTTCTCATTCTATTCTCTACCTCCATGAGATCAACATTTTTTAGCTCCCACATATGAGAAACAACATGGGATGTTTGCCTTTCTGTGCCTGACTGACTTATTTCACTTAACAGTTACATCCGTGTTGCTGCAAATGTCATGATTTCACTTTTTTTTTTTTTTTTGGCTGAATAGTATCCCGTTGTGTGTATATATATATACACACACACACCACATTTTCTTTACCCATTAGCCTGCTGATGGACACTTAGGTTGATTCCATACTTTTGCTGTGTGAATAGTGCTGCATGTGAATAAACATGGGAATGCAGTCATCCCTTTGATAGACTGATTTGTTTTCCTTTGGATAAACAATAGTTGGACTGCTGGATCATATGGTATTTCTATTTTTAGTTTTTTTTTTGATAACTCTCCATACTGGATTCCATGGTGGTTGTACTAATTTCCATTCCCACCAGCAGTGTATAAATTCCCTTTTTTCTGCATCTTCACCAAGATTTGTTATTTTTTGTCATTTTAATATTAGCCATTCTAACTGGGGTAAGATGATATCTAATTGTATACGATTGTTTTGATTTGCATTTTCCTGATGATTAGTGATGGTGAACATTTTTTCATATACCTTTTGTCTATCTGTATGTCTTCTTTTGATAAATGTCTATTATTTCCTTTGCCTACTTTTTAATGGAATTATTTGTTCTTTTACTGTTGAGTTGATAGAGTTCTGTGTATATTCTGGATATTAGTCCCTCATTAGATGATCTGTTTGCAAATATTTTCTCCCATTCAGTGTTTTTTTCTTCAGTGTTTATTGTTCCTTTTGTTGTGCAGAAGCTTTTTAATTTAATATAGTCCTATTTTTCTATCTTTGTTTTTGTTGCCTGTGCTTTTGAGGTATTAGCCATAAAATCTTTGACTAGATGAATGTCCCAAAGTGTTTCCTCTATGTTCTCTTCCAGTAATTGTATAGTTTTAGATTGTACGTTTAAGTCTTTAACTGTCTTGTGTTGATTTTTTAAAATGTAGTGATAGGTAGGAGTCCAGTTTCATTCTTCTGCATATGAATATTCATTTTTCCCAGAACATTTACTGAAGAGGGTATTCTTTCACCAATATATGCTGTTGGTGCCTTTGTAAAAAATCAGTTGATTGTAAATACGTGGCTGTATTTCTGAGTTCTCTATTCTGTTCCATTGGTCTATGTGTCTGTTTTTATGCTAATACCACATTGTTTGGGTTACTACAGACTTGTAATATATTTTGTAGTCAAGTAGTGTGACACCTCCAGCTTTGTTCATTTTGCTCAGGATTGTTTTGGCTCTTCAAGCTGTTTTTTTGGTTCCATATGAATTTTATGATTTTTTCTCTATTTCTATGAAAATGACTTTGTATTTTGTTACGGATTGCATTGACTCTTTGAGACTCAAATTGAATATTTGAGTCTTCATTAGTTTCTTTCATCAGTGTTTTGTAGTTTTCCATGTAGAGGTTTTTCACCTCCTTGGTTAAATTTACTCCTGGGTATTTCATGGTTTTTGTAGCTGTTGTAAATGAGACTGTCTTCTTGATTTTTTTTCTCAGCTAGTTCATTATTGTATAAATGCTATTTTTTGTATGTTGGTTTTGTATTCTGCAACTTTACTGAATCTATTTATCAGATCTAAGAGTTTTTTTGGTAAAGTCTTCAGGTTTTTCTAGATATAAGATCATCTCATCTGCAAAGAGGGACAATTTGAATTCCTCCTTTCCAATTTGGATGCCTTTTATTTCTTTCTCTCACCTTATTGCTCTGGCTAGGACTTCCAGTATTATGTTTAATAGGAGTGGTTGTGTGTCCTAACATATGGTCTATCCTAACATGTTGTCTATTCTGGAGAGTGTTCCATGTGCTGATGAGAAGAATGTGTATTCTGTAGAGGTCGGATGAAATGCTCTTAAATATCTGTAAGGTCCATTTGGTCTAATGTGCATTTTAATGCTTCTTTGTTAATTTTCTGTCTAATGATGGGAGTTGGGTGTTCAAGCTCCCAACTATTATTATATTGGAGTTGATCTCTCCCTTTAGATCCAATAACATATGCTCAATATATGTGGATACTCCAGTATTGTGTTCATATAGATTTAGAATTGTTATATCCTCTTGCTGAATTCATCCCTTTATGATTACATAATGCCTTTCTTTTTTTCTTTTTACTGTTGTTGGCTTAAAGTCTGATTTATCTGAGACAACTATAGGAACTCCTGCTTGCTTTTGGTTTCTATTGGCATGGAATATCTTTTTCCATCCCTTTACTTTCGTTCTATATGTGTCTTTACAGGTGAGATAAGTTTCTTGTAGGTAGCATGTAGTTGGGTCATGTTTTTTTTAATCTATTCAGCCAGTCTATATCTTTTAAGAGGAAAGTTAGATTAATGCATTTATATTTAAGAGATTATTGATATGTGTTTATTTTTGTCATTTTTATTAATTGATTTGGGGGACATATTCTTTGTTCCTTTCTTTCTCTCTTACTGTTTATTGTTTTGGTTTGGTGGTTTTCTGTAGTGGTAACATTTGTGTTCTTTCCCTTCCTTATTTGTATGTTAGCTTTACCAGTGGGTTTTCTATTTTCCTGTGTATTCATTATAGTAGATATAGTTCTTTTGCTTCCAGGTATAGAATTCCATTAAGCATTTCTTGGAGGGCCAGTCTAGTGGTGACAAATTCCCACAGCTTTTGCTTGTCTGAGGAATACTTTATTCCTCCTTAATTTACAGAAGGATAACTTTGCTGGATATAATCTACTGGTTGGCAGGTGTTTTTTTTTTTTTTTTTTCTTTTGACAGTTTAAATATATCACCCTATTCTCTCCTGTGGTTTCTGCTGAAAAATTCACTGCTAGTCTGTGGGACTATCTTTATAAGTGACTAGATGCTTTTCTCTTGCTCTTTTTAGAATTATCTCTTTGTCCTTGACTTTTGGCAGTTTGAGTTTAATGTGTTATGCAGAAGATCTTTTAGCATAGTATCTGTTTGAGATCTCTGAGCTTTCCATATCTAGATGTCTAAATCTGTTGATAGACTTGGGAAGTTTTCAGATACTATTTAATTTGTTTTGTTATCCCTTTCATTTTCTCTTTACCTTCTGGAACACTGAAAATCTGAATATTTGGTCACTTTATGGTGTTCACCTATATCATGTAGGCTTTGTTCATTCTTTTTTATTTTTTCATTATTCTTTTTTTTCTGATGGGATTATTTCAAAAGACCTGTCTTCAAGTTCTGAAACTCTTTCATCTGCTTGATCTATTTTATTGCTGAAGATTTCTAATGTATTGTATAATTAATTGAATATATTCTTTAGTTCCAGAATTTCCATTTAGCTCTTTTATCTCTTGGATAAATTTCTTATTCATATCCTAAACTGTTTTTCTGATTTCTTTGTATGGTTTATCTGAGTTCTCTTATATCTCACTGAGCTTATTTAATATCATGATTTTGAATTGTATATCCAGGATTTCATACATTTCTTTCTTATTGGACTCTTCTACTGGAAAACCATCATGTTCCTTTGAAAGTGTCATATTTATTTTAATTTTTTATGTTTCTTGTGTTCTTATAGTTATATCTGAACATCTGGTATAATTATCACTTCTTCCAAATTTTGAATTTGCTTTTGTATGGGAGGAGTTTTCTCTGAATATTTGTTTATGGTGTTAGTTGAGTAGGACACTTTAGTTTTGATTCTGCATGCATGCAATATAGTATAGTCTTTGAATGATGCCTTTGGCTGTAAACAGTATCAGTGGTATCTGTGATTTCTTCAGTGGCTTAGGGTGCAGTTGTTAATGAAGGCTGTGGTCAAGTTTTACTGGGGATGGAGACATCAGGTGGACATGTCCTTGGGCCCCAGTGGTGGCAGTGGCAGTCCAAGCATGCCTGTCCTTGGGCCTCCAAGTTGCTCACTTACATGCCAATAGTAACAACAATGGGCTGGGTGAGTGTGTGGGTCCTCAGTTCCCTGGTAGGTGAGCATGTCATGAAGAATGGCAGTTGCAATGATGAGACAAACCTCTGGCTCCAAAGTAATTCTCACTGGTGTTGGTGGTGGCCACAACAGGCTGAGCAGGACAATCACCATGCCTGCAGATGGTGGATGCAAGTGGGTGTCAGCTCTACTGGTAGTAGCGGGTTGCGTGGGCCAACCTCAGGTCCCTGGGAAGAGTGCTTAGGTGCCAACATTGATGGACTGGGCTCAGTGGTCATCAGGTCCCAAGATGGCATGCCTGGGCACTGGGGGAGGGTGAGCTGGACGGGGCAGATCTGTCTTTGGGCCCCCCAATGGTGTGTGCAAGGGAGTTTGTCCTCAGGGCATGTGAAAATGCATATGACTTTTGCTTTTGGGGGTAGCAAGGTCTTTGCCAATGGCACCTACTTCAACCCTGGAGGCAGCAGCCAGCCATGCAGTGTCTGTGGTCAGGGAATATCAATCGGGCTCCATAAATATAAAGATATAGGGGCTGTTGAGCCCCTGGGCAGGATGCAGTCTGGTGTGGGATGGATTGTCAAAATGGTGCCTTGCTGTAGCTGCTAGGGGTTGGAGGTGTGTGGGACCCGCATGAGCTGCCTCTCTCTGGAGCAATGCCTTCACACAGTCTCCAGGAAGCTCCTTATCTTAGTTTGAGGGCCCACAAAGGTCTAAGGGCTTTCCCATAACTAGGATATAGGAGTTTACTGTGGAAATGTGGACTGCTGGGGGTCCTCACTTATCCTTTCTCCATATAGGAGAGCATCTCCAGGCACCCAGCTAATCCCTGAGCAGGCTGTCTTACTTCCCTCTTTTTCCTTGCTTTAGGTGTTTCCTGCTACTACTCTGTTGAATTCCAGTGTTTTCTGTTAGATAATCTATGCAAAGTGTCATTATCTACTCACCGTTTTGTTTCTTCTTTATGGAGGAAGCTGGTACCAGGTGCTTCTAGTCAGTCATCTTGAAGCCCCTCCCCTTTGCCCACTTTTTAATTAGTTTATCTCTTTGTTGTTGCATTACATTCTTTATATATGCTGGGTATTAAACCTTATCACATGTATGATTTACCAATATTTTCTCCCAATCAGTGGGTTATCTTTTCACTTTCTTGATAATGTCCTTTGATATAAAAAGTTTTTAATACTAACGAGATATAACATCTATTTTTTTCTTTTGTCTTTAATGCTTTTGGTGGCATATCTAAGAATCCATTGCCAAAAATTATTAACATTTAGCTCTATGTCTTTTTATAAGGGGTTTAGCTCTTATATTTAGGTCATTGATACACTCTGACTTGGTTTATATATAACTTAAAGGGGCTATACAAAAATTATATTGAGGTAGAGGCTGAATTGCATTTTCTGACAAGGTGAAATTCATTTTTCCCAGCATCATGTTTTGAAGAAACTCATCTTTACCCATTGAATGAGCTTGGTACCTTTGTTGAAAATAAAATTGGGCATATTTCTGAACTGTCAATTTATAACGTTGGTCTCTACGCCTACCCTATGCCAGTAGTGTATTGTTTTCATTATTGTAGCTATGTATCATTGATTTTTTTAAATTGTAGTAAATATGCCTACTATAATTCTTTTGCCACCCCATCTCATTTTTTTTACTTCTAATCTATGAATTTAAGACACTAATCAATCAAGTTTATTATACCTGCATATTACTAAAGTTTTGGAGCCTCCTTTAAGGAACAAATTGGATTTGGTACACTGGCTTTGTGACATATGGCATAGGCCAGTGACCTATTCTCTTTTTTTCTCTCTCACAACAGAACCTCAGATAATATATTAGTTAAAAACAGAAGTGTTCAGGTTGAAGGGCAGGAAGGTAAAATTACACAGACCCAGTCTCTGCTGTATCTACATGCTCTAAAAGCTATTAGGGCAGAAGTGACATTATTTGAAAACTGTTAGCATCAATATATTTTTAGTTTATTTTTCTATTACATTTTGTATGGTTGTAGTTTTCTAAAATTCACTCTCCAGATAAACTAAGTATTATGCTAACTTAAAAAAGTGCATTGTTATTGATTTTTTGCTATATTACTAGATTTAGGGGGAAAATGTTTACACATGTATTTATGTATAATTACGATCTGGGATTTAAATGTCCCACAGAGTTGCCTTTTACTGAATTCTTTTACTCAAACATCTAAAAATAGCAAGGAATTCATATTTGACTCTGCAACCAATCTCAACACATGGGTCGCCCTGAGCATTGTGTGTTAAGTAAGAATACACACAATCTAACATATAGCCATGACTGCTCTCAAGTTCACCCTTCCTGAGGATGTGCACTCTAAGTGTCACTGGATATACAAGATGACAGATCAAACTAGTGGTTTGTGCTATTGGGCAGTAGAACCAAAAATTTCAGTTGTTTCAAATAATGTTATGGTATCCTCCATAAATTCACTAAGGTGACCCTGGAGTGTTGATAGGAATTTACTTTAGCCTCACTTATTGTCACTTAGCAGAGTAAATGAGAACTGATGACTCTTCAAACACTAATAGTAAACTACAGTTATGGTGAACACAAATGCCTCATTATGTCTAGTCAAGGTCTATTTCCCTTTTATAGAGCTAACTGGTAGAAAGCAGTGTTTTTAATTTATGAATGAATATGCACAGGAATCTTAGCTATCCTATTTACATAAAATTGATAGACAATTAATCTTCAGTAAAATACCAACAACAGGTTTAGAAAATGCAAACCATGGCTAAAATAAAAAAGGTGGTCAGAAATATCAAACGTCTTTAGACACCAAAATGCCCCTTTATTAGCCTTTTATTATCTCACTGGTAAACGTGCAAAACTGGTAATAGTTTAATGAGATTATAAAACATACATGCACTTGGGTTAAATAAATTAGTAAATCATTAATGTTGGTTAGTTAAACACTAGAAAAGGCATTTAAATGTTTGGAGTGTAAAAAAGGCAATCTTTAGGGGGTTTGTAAATACAGCTTGAACTTTGCTTGAAATTTATATTGTTAGGTCAACATAATTTAAAAGGGATTTGTCCACGAAAGTGAGGCATGAGAGAACTTTTGCAGGTGATATAAAAGTTTACTATCTTGATTGGTAGGTAGGGTAAATAATTATATGCATTTATGGAAATGCATTAAATTGTATATTTAAATTTGTGTATATTACCGTATGTCTGTCTCTCTCTAGATACACAGTGTCCATATCTATTTACACACACACATACTCAAAGATGAAAAGATAGACTCCTGAAAATATTCATGGAGACAGCCATCCGTGTAGCCAGATTTGTCTTCACATAATTTTGGTACACAGGTCAATAAATTTCCTTATATATAAATCAATTTGAATTTTGTCTTTGTTACTCAAAAGAATCCTAATGTAGATTTCTATTTGAAATCTTTTTGCTGCACCTTTGTATTTAATGTTTGGTAAATCTTGTCTTTCAGAGAATTGAGTTGTCTCTCTTTGCACCAATAAATACTCTACTCTCAGTATTTTTCATGCACTTAGGCTCACTGGACTACTCATAAAATCCTAAATTTTGGAATGGTGTTAAAGCTCTCTCTTCATGCCATTCCATCAGGAGGCAAACCTTAAAGCTACCAGTAGTGATGTCTTTTTCCATGTAATTGGAAACATACTACGATGCCAAATACATAAGTTACTTTTTCCAAAAAGAATGAAAGCTCATTCTTGCCAGTGTTACCACATTTCATTTTTTTTTTTTGGAATTGCTCTTACCCTAGGGGCAAAAAGGACAACAAAGAGTTATAAACTGTGTACAGGAAAAGCAATCAGCAGGAACTCAATCTTATACTTCAATCAATTCCCCTAAGCACAGCGTCTTTTGTACTTAGGCTTGGGCTTGTAAGGAAAAGAACAAATGATTACAGTTTCCTTGGCTTCAGAATATTAGTAATGCCAACGCAGAAGCAAGATTTAGCTTAACTGAATTTGAATATATAATATTTGATTTCTACCCAGAGGAATCAAACTGAATTTTAACAAATACTGACTAATAAGCATAGGCTAGATAATTTTTGCTCTTACAACTCAGAAGGAGTGTGATTATTAACCATAGTTTTATAGACTTCAGAGCACCTGAAGGCAGGAAATATGTCCAGTTTGTCCAGAGTAAGCATCAAGCATCACTTGTTAACTGATTCTGTCTGAGAAGTTAAGTAATCCCCTGAAGGTCAGGGTATAGCAGAGACTGTAAAAGATCCCTCTGTATCTGTACCTGTTAAGGTTTAACATTTAAAAATCAGTGGAGATTGTCTTTGGCCCTAGCCAAGCTCCTCTTTCTTTCTCTTTTTCCATATTTAGGTGCATTCTCTCTCAGATCGAAGGCTTGAAGATTTAGTTGTTGCTGTAGTCCAAAGTCAGTCTAGGCCACTGGAGACAGGTTGAAGCAGCAGATGACTGTGATATTAGCCAGGTGAAATAAAGTTAATAGCCAGAAAAGTTTGGCAATAGAAAACAAATGGTTGCGATCAGAAAGCACTAATGATTTTGAGAAATGAAGAAGCCCTCAGGATAGAGAAGTAATTAAGATGAACCAAAAATTATAGCCATACAGTAAAAAGGTCAGACCAAATAGGAAGTAGGAACATTGTCTCTAAAGTCAGAAAATCTGGGATCACATCCTAGTTCTTCTACTTGAAGTTAAGTGGCATTTGACAAATTACTCAGTTCTCTTGTCTGTAAAGCGTGGACTGTATACCTCCCACTGTTTTGGAGATTGAACAATCCATGTAAGGTGATCTGTAGACTGCCTGGCACATTGTAGGCACTGAGTAAATTTTTGATGATGATCATGACGATGCTTGGATATGTGAATTCATAAGTAGCTAACAATAGCGAAGGAAACAATGACTTGCAAGGCACTGGATCAGCTTTAAAAGGGTCCCCACTTTGGGCCTACTAGCTTCTTAAGTAATCGGTGTGCAAAAGAGACCCTTGGAAATCCATCTGATATGCTTTTTTTCATGTCCATAAATCCTAAGAACCCACAGATTCCCCAAAATGCTCCCTAAGCTATTGACCTATTCAATTTTGCTCCCCCTGAAGTATGGACTGTTCTGTCCTCTTTATCCACGTCAAAATGATTATCCTCTCAATGCAGATATGCCACTAGGTGGTGGGGATAGCATTATCTCACTAAATTGATTAGCTCACAGATAAGAATATTTAAGCATTATCTCACTAAATTGATTAGCTCACAGATAAGAATATTTAATCATTCATATCTTCTGTTTATTTTAGAAGATATAATTTTATCTGAATATTCTCATATATTTTGAGTGTTAGTGAAATAGAGCGAAGTAATAAGTTCCAGAGAGCATGGGGAGATGTTTTAGTGAGGGAGATTGAAGTCACATTCCATGGATTTACAGCCAACTGGGCTTTAGTAACTTTCATTTCTGAATGTTCTAGGCAAGCAGCTGAATGTATTTGTATTACAATCACCCTCCCAAATTATTATAATGTATGAGGCATCTTTATACACAGCCAGTCAAATCTAGTTAATTATTATATAAGTTAATTTGTTATTGTAAGGTTTTACAGCCCTTTGTAAGGCAAGAGTGAAAGTGGCTTTAAAAAGTAAGTAATCCAAGACCAGCCTGGGCAACATGGTGAAACCCCGTCTCTACAAAACATACAAAAATTAGCTAGGCATGGTGGCATGCACCTGTAGTCCCAGCTACTCAGGAGGTTGAGGTGAGAGAATGGCTTGAGCCCAGGAGGTTGAGGCTGCGATGAGCTGTGATTGTGCCACTGTACTCCAGCCTGATCAACAGAGTGAGACCTTGTCTCAAAAAAAAAAAAAGAAAAAAAGTTATTAAGTAATCCTCTTTTGGTGACTAGCTTACCATCTAACTTAATCTGATACTGCTCTAGAACTAACACTGCACCTGCTTAACTAGACATGTTAATCATCCATCTTGATCACTGCATAAAGTTAGTTGTACTGTGCATGAACAGGATCAAGGGTTTAAGCTGCAAGTACTCAATATTTGGCTTTACATTTCAGCTACTGGCCTTCAACACCACGGAGAGAGGTGAGACCATTCTAGGTAATTATTTTTTCCTTCTCCATCCTTTCAGAATTGTTGCTTACATGTAACTTGGGCACACACTCTGTATGTTGTAAGGTATTTGTTGTGTAAAGTGACCTATTTGATCTGCTTATTTTCTTCTTTTGAAAATAGTTTCCCTATTTTCTTGATAGCACATTTGTTCTTTGCACTTTCAAAGAATCCTTTAGAAGTATAGTTAAAGGTGCCTGTCAAGACAAAGATAGTTGAATGTATTCCCGTTTTCCTTTTTCAAGGATCCAGAATTGCTTCCTTTTCTAGACTTAATGTAGAAATTATACAGCTGAGGTTTTTTTTTTTAAGTCCTCCACATCAAATCATCACCACAGAAGATGCAAAAGAAACTTCTAAATCTGCCCTGAATATTTGACAATTTTCATGAATATTTCTAATGACTCTTTGCTGGGAAGGAATTTTCCTCCTATAAATTCCGATAATAATTGGTTCACATATCTTTCATAAAATGTATTAATAGCTTACATTTGTATTGAAAACCCTTGACATTTAAGAATTTAATATAAGTGGTTTTGACTGTTTGCAGATGACCCTGATAGTCCATGGTATGCTTTGATTTCAAATTTTGCTGAAGCACACATTCAAATTGAGCACACAGACAAGCTGATGTGTGGGAACAAATCATGTAGCTAATGGGTAATTCTAGCTCACTGCCTGACACCCACATCTCAATGCACTTTTATTATTCTCTCTTCACTGAATATATGGTAATTCCTCTATAGTGATTGAAACTTTTCCTTCTTTGTGGAAAATGGCCATAAATCAGAGACAACTTTTCAATAGGATTTTAAAGGTTAGCAGACATTGTGAGGATATGCAGAAATGAAACCAAAATAAAACATGATTCCAGAGGAATTCAGGAATCTGTACAAAACTAGCACTCACAAAGTAACAATTTCTGAAGATCAAGACATACTCATCCAGAATTGTAAAAGTTTAATTCAAGAAAAAAAGGCAAGTTTCAACTCTAACAGCAACTCTGACTGATTTTTGAGGCTGTGCATTTACTATGTTACATCTTAGGTTATAGTTATATGTATGTTTTTCTTGCATTTTTCTCTATCGCTACACAAAAAATAAATTGCAAAATAAATGTGGAAGATATTGTCAGTTGCTTTTACAACATTCATATTTATTACTCCTACTTCCTAACAGAACCGCAAACTTTATCCAGTCTTCCCCTAAACGTACGTATTTTTTTGGCTTGGGTAGGGGATATTGATTATTCTTTTTTTTAATTTTTATTTATTATTATTATACTTTAAGTTTTAGGGTACATGTGCACAATGTGCAGGTTAGTTACATATGTATACATGTGCCATGCTGGTGCGCTGCACCCACTAACTCGTCATCTAGCATTAGGTATATCTCCCAATGCTATCCCTCCCCCCTCCCCCCACCCCACAACAGTCCCCAGAGTGTGATGTTCCCCTTCCTGTGTCCATGTGTTCTCATTGTTCCATTCCCACCTATGAGTGAGAATATGCGGTGTTTGGTTTTTTGTTCTTGCGATAGTTTACTGAGAATGATGATTTCCAATTTCATCCATGTCCCTACAAAAGACATGAACTCATCATTTTTTATGGCTGCATAGTATTCCATGGTGTATATGTGCCACATTTTCTTAATCCAGTCTATCATTGTTGGACATTTGGGTTGGTTCCAAGTCTTTGCTATTGTGAATAATGCTGCAATAAACATACGTGTGCATGTGTCTTTATAGCAGCATGATTTATAGTCCTTTGGGTATATACCCAGTAATGGGATGGCTGGGTCAAATAGTATTTCTAGTTCTAGATCCCTGAGGAATCACCACACTGACTTCCACAATGGTTGAACTAGTTTACAGTCCCACCAACAGTGTAAAAGTGTTCCTATTTCTCCACATCCTCTCCAGCACCTGTTGTTTCCTGACATTATAATGATCGCCATTCTAACTGGTGTGAGATGGTATCTCATTGTGGTTTTGATTTGCATTTCTCTGATGGCCAGTGATGGTGAGCATTTTTTCATGTGTTTTTTGGCTGCATAAATGTCTTCTTTTGACAAGTGTCTGTTCATGTCCTTTGCCCACTTTTTGATGGGTTTGTTTGTTTTTTTCTTGTAAATTTGTTGGTGTTCATTGTAGATTCTGGATATTAGCCGTTTGTCAGACGAGTAGGTTGCGAAAATTTTCTCCCATTTTGTAGGTTGCCTGTTCACTCTGATGGTAGTTTCTTTTGCTGTGCAGAAGCTCTTTAGTTTAATTAGATCCCATTTGTCAAGTTTGGCTTTGTTGCCATTGCTTTTGGTGTTTTAGACATGAAGTCCTTGCCCCTGCCTTTGTCCTGAATGGTATTGCCTAGGTTTTCTTCTAGGGTTTTTATGGTTTTAGGTCTAACATTTAAGTCTTTAATCCATCTTGAATTGATTGTTGTATAAGATATAAGGAAGGGATCCAGTTTCAGCTTTCTGCATATGGCTAGCCAGTTTTCCCAGCACCATTTATTAAATAGGGAATCCTTTCCTCATTGCTTGTTTTTCTCAGGTTTGTCAAAGATCAGATAGTTGTAGATATGTGGCGTTATTTCTGAGGGCTCTGTTCTGTTCCATTGATCTATATCTCTGTTTTGGTACCAGTACCATGCTGTTTTGGTTACTGTAGCCTTGTAGTATAGTTTGAAGTCAGGTAGTGTGATGCTTCCAGCTTTGTTCTTTTGGCTTAGGATTGACTTGGCAATGCGGGCTCTTTTTTGGTTCCATATGAACTTTAAAGTAGTTTTTTCCAATTCTGTGAAGAAAGGCATTGGTAGCTCGATGGGGATGGCATTGAATCTGTAAATTACCTTGGGCAGTATGGCCATTTTCACGATATTGATTCTTCCTACCCATGGGCATGGAATGTTCTTCCATTTGTTTGTCTCCTCTTTTATTTCCTTGAGCAGTGGTTTGTAGTTCTCCTTGAAGAGATCCTTCACATCCCTTGTAAGTGGGGTTCCTAGGTATTTATTCTCTTTGAAGCAATTGTGAATGGGAGTTCACTCATGATTTGGCTCTCTGTTTGTCTGTTATTGGTGTATAAGAATGCTTGTGATTTTTGTATATTGATTTTGTATCCGGAGACTTTGCTGAAGTTGCTTATCAGCTTAAGGAGATTTTGGGCTGAGACAATGGGGTTTTCTAGATATACAATCATGTCGTCTGCAAACAGGGACAATTTGACTTCCTCTTTTCCTAATTGAATACCCTTTATTTCCTTCTCCTGCCTGATTGCCCTGGCCAGAACTTCCAACACTATGTTGAATAGGAGTGGTGAGAGAGAGCATCCCTGTCTTGTGCCAGTTTTCAAAGGGAATGCTTCCAGTTTTTGCCCATTCAGTATGATATTGGCTGTGGGTTTGTCATAGATAGCTCTTATTATTTTGAGATACATCCCATCAATACCTAATTTATTGAGAGTTTTTAGCATGAAGCGTTGTTAAATTTCGTCAAAGGCCTTTTCTGCATCTATTGAGATAATCATGTGGTTTTTGTCTTTGGCTCTGTTTTTATGCTGGATTACATTTATTGATTTGTGTATATTGCACCAGCCTCGCATCCCAGGGATGAAGCCCACTTGATCATGGTGGATAAGCTTTTTGATGTGCTGCTGGATTCGGTTTGCCAGTATTTTATTGAGGATTTTTGCATCAATGTTCATCAGGGATATTGGTCTAAAATTCTCTTTTTTAGTTGTGTCTCTCCCCGGCTTTGGTATCAGGATGATTCTGGCCTCATAAAATGAGTTAGGGAGGATTCCCTCTTTTTCTATTGATTGGAATAGTTTCAGAAGGAATGGTACCAGCTCCTCCTTGTACCTCTGGTAGAATTCGGCTGTTACTCCATCTGGTCCTGGATATTGATTATTCTGAGCCAGTCTCTGGCATTCATTCTGGAATCTATTCTCAGTCCAGTGCATCCATTAAAATGGCCTCATGAAACCAAAAAGAGAGGCTTATACTCTGTAACCAGGGTAAAGTTTTTCTACCTACTTTTGTGGTTCTAGTTTTCTTTCCACTCACCTTCTCTCCCTCCCTTTCTCCCCTGAATTCCACCTTTCTTGTTTACACTTTCACTCACACATACTAGATATCAGTAGGATAGCTCATAGTCCTAAGTGTCACTGACAGCCACCTTGTAACCAAAAAATGAACCTGCTTTAGGGTAGATCTGCTGTTGAGGATATCAGGGTGAACAGTAGAATTATATCTTTAGTGCTTTAATTGAGACACCTAAATCGTACCCAAAATATGTTCTTTCTAGATTGTACTTATGGGAAATGGGAAATGTATTTTTCTTTTGAATTTATTTGAGCCAGTATAGTATATTCTTTTTCTAGAAGACAAAAGTTTCCTGACTAGGATTCTCACCAAAAAGTAGGAATTTTATAGTTTTCATCATTGGAGCCCCGGTAGTCCCTGGTACAGTGTTTTGAGTGCAAAAGTATGCACGTATAAAATCTCTATAAATCTTGATCTAGGTATGTCCATTTCTTTATGAATAAACTTAACACCTTTTCCACCAAACCTTTGATGAATCTCCTTGCTAACAACCTCTGCCCCCACCCAATTCACCGGGCACCTTACAATAATCTTCTTGACCACTCCTCAAAAGTATCAAGCATATTTTGGAATCTATTAGCCTTGGATTTTATAAACAAAGCCTCACGAAGATAAGCTTAGCCAAAACTTAGTTGCAAATGTAAAACCAACCTCAAAAAATTATTTGTCTGTGTAGTGAGTGACACCTTAAGTTTTAATTTTTCACTGGGTTTTGTTCATGCAATACCCAGGAAACCTATAAATCTGTTTAGTTCAATTAAACAACTAATTAATTCACCAGAGAAAAACAGTAAAACCACTTATTTGATTGGATTGACCAGTCAGTTCAATTGAAATTGCAAATCTATCACTTCCATCGGGATAAAATTGGCTAGACATTTTTATTTTCCTGATAAAAAACAAAAAGGAGAGGATTTTACAAAATTGACTCAATCAGTCAATTATTATGATGTTTCAGAGATGCAGTCTTATTCAGCATTTGAACACTAGTGCTATTGCTTTTAGGCAGAGTAAAACTGAAAGTTTTTAAAGTTCCAGATGGATAAAAGGAAGAGAATGGACTTGAAGAGAAAATGGCTAGGACCTTTTTATAATTGTTGGAATGATAGCTTCTTACACATTCAAGAAGGTTGTTGAAACAGACTTTTTTATTAATAAAAGGGAGAGGACAGTGCCATGATCCATTTTCAGACCACATTAGGGAAGGTTTTACCCAGAGAAACCCAAGAGGAACTAATATTAATACAACAGATAATCAAGGAGGAAATCCAGAAGCCAGAGAAATAATTCTGATCATCACACCTGCAGCATGAGGTAAGCTTCAAAAAGGCAATCCTGTTTTCAGGAGGCAAAAAAATCATACAAGAGATTCAGAAAAGCTATTGAGTAAAGATGCTTTCAACAATAAAGTCATATGAAAGGCTCATCTATATGACATTTAAAGGTGTATCCAGATGTTTCCCCACTCTTTTCTAATGTTTAACTTTCTTCTTATTCAAAATCTCACCTTTCTTAAATTCTCTTTTCAAATGTTTCCATCTCTTCTTCCCTCTTCTCCTCTACTGCCTCTGATGAAGAGGTATTTCTCTTGCATTCCAAACCTAATCCCTTATCTTTCGTTCATTTCAGTCTTTTCCAGGGATTTCAAACTCAGAAGTTTTCATAAACCAGATAAATAAACAAATGGCCTGGCGGAAGACATGAGGGATTTGTGGGGACAGTAAGAAAATAAAAGGTGTATGCCTCACATAAAAATATTCAGATTTGAATATTTCTGGGCTGACTAAACATGCATGTCTTCTGGCTATATTGGGCTCAGTGGTCAGCAGTTTGTGATTTCTGCTTTCTCAAATTTGAAAGGTTCTTTCTCTCCTTCTGTCTCTTACTGCCCACAGGACTTTCTTCAAATAAAATCATTCTTCAACCTGCTCTTCACTGCACAGCATCTCCCTTTCATGGCCATGTATGTTCTCATGGTTCTTGCATTCACAGTACCTCTTTTTCTTTAAATTTTTACAGCATAATTAATTTGAAAAATAAATTTAATTTTGAAATATTTAGAACATACAGAAAAGCACTAAAAACAATATAACTTATTCCCATGTCCCTATTGTACACATTTAACATATGCTAATGTTTTTCCAAGTTTAATTCCTATAAAGTTTTTCCTTTAGAAATAAAAAGTTCAACCCCCATTTTTCTTTTTCCCATCTTAGAGATAACTACTAACTTGAAGTCCATGTGTATCATTACTATGGGTTTTCAAAAATCTTTACCTTGTATATATATCGTCATAAACAACATATGGTGATATTGTATGTTTTTATCATTTAGATATACATTTTCTTGTTGAATATATCCTTTTGAAACTTGCACAATTGTGTCTTTCACATTTATAATTATCATATACAGTTCTTCAGTGAATATCTTTGTTTACTACTCTTTGTTCCCACATGTGGCAAAATCTCCAAAGTATAGTTCTTGAGCTGGAGAGTTTCAAACTTTTTAAACTCACCTGGATGTCCGCTGTATACAAAAACTTTACATTTGTTATATCTTTACCAACACTTGATGTTTCCAGACTTTTTAAATTTTGCCAATTTAATGGATGTTAAATTGTATCTCAGTGTTCTAATTTGCATTTTCTCACTAATAGTTCAATTGAGCCAGTCTTCAAATGTACTATTTGCCATTCAAGTTTCTTTTTTCATGAATTACATGCCCATAGCCTTTTTTTTCTATTGGGTTATTCATTTTTTGTTGTTGTTTTTATTTATCCATCTTTATATATCACACTCTGCCATTAACTAGCATCATTAGCCTTGGAAAAGTCACTTAATGTCTCTGTGATTAAATCACTTCCTTTGAAAAGTGGGAAGAATAACAGTACCCACAAATTTGTTGTAAAGAATACATGAGTTTTTATGTCAGGCACTTGAAACAGTCTGGCATGTACAAAGCATTATATATTTTGCTGCCATCTTGTAATTTTATTATTATTAAACCTTAGTTCTCTCACAGTGTTACAAGTAATTTGCCTAGTCAGCAGCTTATAACTTGACTGTGTTTATGATGTATTTTTTCATACACAAAATTTTCATTTTGGTATAGACAAACGATGATGTTCTCCTTGACGGTTTGCACTTTTTGTGCCTTAAGTAAGTGTGCCCCAGCCTAATAGAAAATAAGTATCTTATTGGGGGTTTTTTTGGTAAATTCTTTGCATTTGCCACTTCTAATTTTAATCCATCTGGAAATCGTGAAAATGTGTGGATCTAGTTGTATTATTTTCCACCTAAAGAGCAGATGTCCCTGGCCTCTTCTATTGAATGAGTCTTCCTTTCTCACTGATTTGCTCTACCTCCCTCCTCTGTCAGATTTCATGTTCCCAATTATATTTGGGATTATTCTAAGTCTCTCCATTTTGTGCCATTGATCTATTGGTCTATTCTTACACTTTTCAGCCCTTGATCCTGACAATTTTCTGACTTGTGAGTCTTCAAAAGCTTTTCAGTTGACAGTTTTTGAAACTCTTTTGCTTTCCAAGGGATAATATCACCTTCGTTTATGAGTATA
This sequence comes from Homo sapiens, assembly GCF_000001405.40. Classification (NCBI taxonomy): domain Eukaryota; kingdom Metazoa; phylum Chordata; class Mammalia; order Primates; family Hominidae; genus Homo; species Homo sapiens. Next base: position 3,476,332 of record NC_000003.12, on the reverse strand, counting down.
GCTTCCGTGAAGCTATAATGATTGATGTCTTGAGTATTTCTAATCTTATCTTGCCCCTTTTAAAGGCTCAAATATCTGGTGAAAAAAATTAAAATGTTAAAATATATAGTGTATAGTGTGCATGTGATAAGTCGTTATTTCAGAGCCTATTAGTTGCCTAGGACAAGTAAAATAATATAACTACTTTTGGTATTAGAAATTAAATATCTTGAAATGACTATGTTCCTTTTCTTGTTCTGAGTAAATGGCACCAATACATTTCACAACATCATTTATTGTGTTGCATTCCTATTCCTTTCTGGATATAAAAGACTATATTATGGTTCACAGATTTGAATCTACAGTGGATTGATTTGTTGCCGTGGACTTTAAAAATCCATTAAGAATGGAGTCAGAAACAGTGAATTAATTTGAAATTCTTTGTAGCTGTGGATGAAGTGAGAAAAGTATTTATAAAACTATTAATCATACTTCAAAATATACTTGAAAATGAATTGGAAGACAGATGTAATAACTGTATTTTCCTTTTGTTATCCCCTTAGAAGTCACAGCCCTTTGGAAAGTCTTAGTTAAGTGTTGCTGAATATTACTTGTTTTTTCCCATTTCTTTTATTTTGATAAGTATGGCTTGTCGTGGAGCCACCTGTGCCACTTAAAGAAGTACATTGTTACCTAATACATTCGGTTTGTACCTAGTTTAAATGAATATAAAAATAAAAAGGCTATAAGTCTTGGAATCATATATAAGGTCAAACATAATTCATATAACAACAAAAACCTCCTGAAATCACAGCCCCTGTTAATTAATGAAGTTAACTATATTCCAGCCATTCTTCAATTCCTCAAACTATAGTTACAAGGCTGTTTTCAAGATAACAAAAAGTTTTAAAGTGATAGTTGATATTTGGCTGAAGTAAAAACAAGGGAACTGTGATGATTGTCTAGGAAAATAAATTATGCCACATAAGTACTTTTCTTTATTTTTTGGTTTAACACATGAGTGATTTTTTTGGAACATTATTGTTGGTTCTGTTTCCTGATAGGCAAGCTTGAATTCAGTAGACCATATAGAAGTTCAAATAGCATTTTAAACATGGTAATTCAAAATTTAGCACCTATTCCTAATTTCAAAAAAAGAATCAAAGCTAATTAGGAAAGGAAGGAAGCTTCCTAAATATGATAGAATGTTGAATAGAAACCAAGAATGAACATCTTACTAAATGGCATTCCTATTCAAATCAGGAATATGACTAGTAGGGTCACTTAGCATTATTATCCAACATCATTTGGAAGTCCTAGTTAATAAATTAAGAGAAACATAGCATAAGTGATACATATAATTTGAGGGAAAACATTTATTATTATTATTATTATTAGCAGATGATATATACTTCCATAATAAGGAACTTCTTAAAACTAATAAGAGAATTCAGTAAAGTAGCTAGATACAAGATAAATACCACAAAAAGCAATAATTTTCTTTTATACGAGCAACAACCAATTAGAAATTGGAATGGAAGGAAATCATTCATCATAGACAAATTAAGGGACCTAAAGTAAATAAAAAAATGCAAGACCTAGTTGAAAGAAAAGCATAAAATTTGATAGAGGAGCACTAAATAAGACTCAAATAAATGGTAATATATACTCTGAAATCATAATATTACACATATATCACTCCTTTTTAAATTAATGTGTGAATTTACCATAAATACTTGGCAAAAAAATGCATGCATGAATGTGTCAACACCTGATGTAAAGTAGACTTCACAAAATTGAAAGCTTATATTCTTCCAACTACAGTGCTTCAACTACAGTCTTTTATGTTGGCATGTGAGCAACTTTGAAAAATGTCATGATCAAAGAAATTTAAATCTGTAGGGAAGCTGTAGTGACAAACATTCAATGTTTTTTAATCGTAAAGAAAGCATCCATTGTAAGCTTTAGCTTTATCTAACAAAAAGAAATATTTAATTTCCTCAAATGATTAGAATAGTAAATGCTTGAAATAAGTAGCTATAAATTAATTTTCTTCCATAAGGGAATAGAACATAGATAGTATGTTGAATTAATCTGTAGGGTTTTCCCCTGTATTTGACTTTATATTTTTAGTTAAAATTTCTGTTCCCAAAACTAGGATAACCTTATAACTGCCTGGTGACAAATTCCTTGGTATCTTTCACAGCACCTGGAATAGTATGCCTACACAGTAAGTATTTAATAAACGCCCTTGGGATAAATTAATCTAGTGTAAGTAAATAGTGTAAAGGGAAAGTGTGGCTTCTTTTGTGGTGTTTATCTTGCATCTAGCTACTTCAATAAATTCTCTTATTATGGAACAATTGTTCTCGAATACCAATGTCTAAAATAGTGAGTGAAATATTCAATGTTGCTGTGGTCACTCACCTTAATCAGGATGACTCTTCACTCAAAATTTGGTTCAGATGTTAAGACAAATGATAGCACACATGCACCAAGAGAGCATGAAAAGGTTTATTAATCACATAATGAGGCTTTCTGGGAAGAGCAGGGAAGGCCTCCAGGCAGGTCTGAATATGGCTTGAGAAGAAGGAAGAAAAACTAGTTTGGAGTTTGATGGAGGCTAGAGGGGGCTCAGAGAGAGCTCCCTCATAAGGGCTAGGACTTGGGTGGTTTGAACTTCCCACTGGTGCTAAAGGTACACCCAATTTTCCCATCAGCTTGCCTAGATACACCCAGGATTTTTTTAAATCAACCTAGTGCACCTGGACTTTCTTGTTATCTTGCCCAGATAAGGAGCAAGGGGAAGAGAAGAACAGGGGGTGCTTGAAATCTGTCAACAGTCAGACAACAAAAATGGAGTTAGACTCTTTACTTTTTATTACAAATGCATTTTTTATAATTTGAAAATGTGGAATTTCACACGTGCAGCTGTCTATTCATTGTGATATGTCCTGTAGGACATTAAAAGACATTGCCCTTTACATTATTGTGAAGGCATGGGTCTAGAACATAAATTGATGGTTTGGCCAAGTAGAAAAAACTCACGATTTCCAGGTAGATTTTACCAGTTAGCCAGTCTACTCTTTTTACTGTGGGAAACATTTAACAACTCTGAGATTCAGTTTTCCTGTCAAGAAATGGATGATGTCTTTACTTCATAGTGAGGACTAAACTAGCCAATATATGTAAAACACTTAGCACACAGTATAGCACATAGTACATACTCAAATAAATGACATTTAAATGTTATTGTTATTACTATTACTATTCAGAGAAGATGCAGAAAGTAACATAGGTATAAAGAGAACACTATCTGAATAAATAGAAGAGAAAGTCTCATATTGTAAAAATGTCAGTGCTTCTCAAATTAATATATATATTGAATGCCTTTCCAATCAGAATCCCAATTCATTTTGGAAAGGATAAACAAAATTATTGAGAAATTGTAATATAGAATAAACATGAGAATTGCAAAGAAAATGTGAAAAACAATAACTGATACAAAGTTGCCTACAAAATGTCCAATATGCAGCTAGTAAGATTAAAACAGTATGAGCCTAACACATTAACTAAAACACAGTGGAATGGACCAGGGGGATTTTGAACCCAGATTTCAATATAATTTGTTTCCTTTGTAATCCTTTGTATCTCGTTCTATACATTTAAAAATATTATAATAAGGAATGCTCTATAGACTTCATCAGTCTGTCAAGGGATACTTAGCACGATAAAGTTAAATTAAAAAGTTTAAGAGCCCTCTAGAAACACCAAGTAGAAAGTAATGAAGAAATTAGCAGTCTAAAGCTGCATGACAAATTACCTCAAAGCTTCATGGCCTAAAACATGAATGTTTATTATCCCACTGTTTCTGTGGGCTGCTTCTATAGGTGTGGCTTAGGGTCACTCACAAGGCTGAAGTTTTACCTCCAGCGTAGGCTGGGGAAGGATCCCCTTCCAGTTCACTCCAGTAGTTGTTAGTAAGACTCAGGTCCTCCGAGGCTCTTGGAGTGAACTCAGGCCTCACTTCTTCCCTGCCTGTTGACACAAATTGTCACATTGGGGGAAAATTTTTATACGCTTGTAACATGTAAAACATTAATATCCTTTATATGGGATATATATGATATACGTGTGTGTATCTATATCCTATATATGATATAGACTATATATCTTATATAGTGTATATATAGTATACACGTATATATGTAGTATATACATATATAGTATACACATATATACCCTATATATCACATAACATATCTATCATATATATCACATGATATCATATATAGTATGTATGATATGTGTGTAAGTTTCACCTTAATAAGTAATGCTGAACTGTTTCCAAAGCATTTGTAATAACTTGCTCACCAACCAGCATTTTAATAGTTCTAGTTGCTCCACACCTCATCAACATGTAGTATTGTCTAAGTTTTGCCAATCTCTAGGTATAAAATTGTTTCTCATTGTAATTTCAATTTGCCTTTTCTAATAACTTGAGATTGAGCAAGTTTTTATGTACTTATGAGCCACTTGTACTTTCTTTTGTATAAAATCCCTATTTATTCTCATTTCTGCATTTTGTTTCTTACCTTTTTTTTACTGATTCTATATTCTGTAGAGTAATCTTTTGTTATATGTGTTACTAGCATATTCTCTTATTAATTGGTCTTTAGGAATATTTGTAAACCAATTTTTTGTTCTAGCCCAATAACATCCATAATTTTTTTTTTTCAGAGCAGGAAATCTTTATATCACATGAAAATGTGATGCCATGAAAATGTTTTGGGTGAAATAATGTTTCAGGCTGAGAGACGAAGAAGTGCAAAAACCTGAGGCAGCTAAAAACAAAGTAATTTTTAAAACCATTTCGCTGCGTAATATGTCATAAAACTTTTTTGTGTGAGTGTGCACAAAAGACCTAAAAGAATTGTTAATGCAGTTTGGTTTTCTCTTAGCATTTTTCTTCTCAATAAACACCTTTGAAATAACCACAGATTAATCATAAAGAAGCCACTATAAGTGCATTTGCTGTAACAGTTTAGGGCTAATCCACCACTTTAGTTCAATACAAGTTACTGAAATCTACTGAGGTGATTGAAATTTGCCATTTATATATTCAAAAAAAAGTGTTAAACCCTAACTCTCTATCAGAGATTCTTTTAGATGATTTAGATAAAATGGAAAACAAACAGGCAAAGTCCCTGTTTCTGCAGAGTGTACATTTATGTGAAGGAGACAAATATTAGACAAACACACAAATAATAATATGCTAATATACATGATTATAAAAGCAATATGTAATATGTAAGTAATTATAAAATATCAGTCATAATATTTGTGGCAGTGTTAGGAATAGATCTCTGGAGAAAAGTTAATGCAGAGTATTGGCTGGGTAGTCAGGGATTGAGGGGAGTGATGTCATGCTATGTTTGGAAAGGGAATCTTCCAGGATGAGGACCCTACACGTACAAAGACCTGGAGACAGTAACATGGATGACATGCTCAGAGAAAGCAAGGTCAGTAAAGAATGGTAGCAAATGAGGCAAAAGGGAGAGAATACAAGAAGAGCATGAGAGCACAGGTCACATAGGGCCTTGATGTTATGTACCTTGTCACTTACTTTGGCTTTATTCTAAGTATGATGGGGAAATTTGGAGAGTTTTGAATTGGAGAATGTTGTGATCTGACATACATTCTGGATGCTGTGTGGAGAATAGGTGGTAGGCGGCAATATTAAGAAGAGATGCAGTACACTAGTTAGAAGGCACTTGCTTTAGTGCAGGAAAAAGATGGTGGCTCCTCGGGCGAGGATGGTAGTGGTGAGATTGTGACTAGTGGGTATCCATTAAGGTGGACCCAGTTGGGCTTACTAATAAATCTGATGTAAGCTGTAAGAGAAAGAGAGGACCAAGGATGAGTCCTAGGTTTTTACACAGAACAACTGATAATGTTGGAACATTTAATAGAACAGAAAATCCTTAAAAACATGCATATTTGGGGGTGGCATGGTAATCAAAGGATCAATATGAGGCATATTAACTTTGAAGTGGTTAATAGCAGGTGAGCAAAGATGCTGAGTAGGAACTGAGTATGAGTATAAAGTTTAGGAGAAAGACAGAGACTAGAGGTCAAATTTGGGATCCATCAGCATATGGATAACGTCTAAAGCTGTGAAACTCAAGGACATTGTAGAGGAAATAAGCATGAATTGAAATAAAGACTAATCTCTGGAGCATTCTCCCATTTATAAATGGGGAAGAAAAGGAGAATCCAGCAGAAGCGAATGAGAAGGAGCAGTCACCATACTGGAAGAAAACAGAACTGCAATTTCATAGTATCCCAGAAGCTAAGGCAGGAAAGTGTTTCAAGGAGGAAGTGACTGCATGAAAGTCAAATGCTGCTGAGAGACTGAGGAAGGCAAGTACTGGAAAATGGTCACCAATTTGGCAATGTGGAAACTCCTGGTGACTTTGATGCACATGAAACTTGACTGGAGTAGGTTGAGGAAAAAATGGATCAGAGGAGGTGACAAAATGGGGACGATAGTATATATAATCATTTATGGGAATTCTACTATATGGAAGCAGAGAGTGTGCACAGTTAGTAGAAGACATGTTTGTAGGATGGGAGGTATTACAGCAAGTCGATGTCCTGATGGGAATGATTGGAATGGGGACTGATAGTACAGAAAAAAAGAATTATGGAGCAGTGATCTTAAGGAGATGAGGCACCAGTGGATCTCATGCACTAGTGGAAGGGCTGCCTGAAGAAAGAACATAAGGAGGTAATGCCTTGCAGTAGGAGGGAAGGTAGACAATATGGCTTGAGAGGCAGGTAGGTTGGTGGATTTGGTAATGACACAGTGAGAAATTTCTCTTTTGACAGCTTGTGGACAAATCTCGCATGATGCTAGAACACTGGGACTAAGGCAGGCCCCAAAACTTAGAGCAGAGACTTAGGAGTATCCATCCACTGGCCCCAGCATCATGTGTTTCCTCTGCACAGGATGCCACCAGTGAGGGCTGCTACCCACCTACAGTGAGGCTCTGCTGCTCTCACATCCAGCTTCTTACTGACCCAGCTCAGAGTCAACCATCAACCACCCTCCTTAGTCGCCACTCCCAAGGCCAACAGGCTTAGCCTCCAGCCTCAGCATGTATCTCCAAGGCCAGATACCACCTGAAATCCTTTGGTATATTGGGGCAATGTCACAGGCGACTGCCTTTCTCCAAATTCACAAATCCCACCACTTCTCTTATCTCCTGATCCATACCTTACGGGCCAGGAAGCTTCCCTCCATGCATTTTAACCTTCATCTTCTATCCTATCTGGAATGCAGAAAAGATAATGCTTATTACTTTGCCTGACCCAAGGGACAGCACCAACTAAAACCTGTCTGAATGGTATCATTTTTAATTTTCTATTTAATTTCTCCTCTATCTTTGTAAAAGCGTAATCTGAGTAAGACACAGGTTAATAAACCTAGGTGGGTGGTCCAAATGGTGGAGATGGAGCAGATCCAGATATCACCTCTAGTTCTGACAGCCTCCAGTATCTACAGCTGCTTCTCTGGGAGCAAGAGTGCTATGTTGTTAAGAGCTGGCAATGTGTGAATTTGCAATTTACATGAAACAGAGGGAGAAAAAGTAGGTCAGCGATGTTCTGTTCCCATTAGAGTGTTAAATCTCTAATATCTGTGCCTTGTTTACCCAGTAGATGGAGAGAGTTTTATCACTTTCTTGGATGCTTCACCCTGTTGTCCATTCATTTATGACATATATCTATGTATAGCTAAGTCCTAGGAGCACCGCTGCTCTCAAGAATCTCACAGTTTACAAAAGTATTTTACCAAATCAGTGACATCATCAGCACTAGTCAGGGGCTTTATGCTGCTTGGACATCTCTCTAGAAATATGCTAACTGGTAGCTTCCACCCAATTCCACCAAGTAGTCAATGGCTGTGTTGCAAATAAGGCCTCAAAACTGCAAGAAATAGAGTGATGCATTATACGCAAGAGAGAAAAAGTGATAATTAACTTGAAATGAAATTAATATTGAGAGTACTAGGAAATCATAAAATTCTGATTTGACCAGTGAAATCCAAAACTCAAGGGCTGATTATAGAGATAAGCTATAATCTTCATGTGTAGTCTAAGGCTATTTCAGTAGCCCTTTTAATCTTGAATCGTTCCCTTCTTATGGCCCCATATTGCTTCACATAATCACATTGCTGAGCCATATGTTTAGCTGTGCGGGAATAGACAAGTGGCTTAACCTTTCTGGTCCAAACCTTAAATTTTTCATCTTTAAAGATGAAAAATAACCTTAAATTTTTAAATTTAAGGTTTTAAATTTAAGTTTTTAATTTTAAATTTAAATTTCATCTTTAAATTTAAAGATGAAAAATGTAAACAACACAAACTAAAGTCTCCCCTATATTATTATGCAAAGCTAAAAATGTCCTTTTTAAAAAAGTAACAAATGCCTTGTGTTTGAATTTGAACTGCATCAGCGTTTCAGTTGATACGGCTAAATGTGCATGTTCAGACACCAGGAAGAGGAATGAGGCTGGCATTTCTAAGTCCAAGCCTTTCCAATCTTCTACTCTCTGTTGATGGAAAATTGCATTCAGAACAGTATCAATCTTAGCCCTCACTCTGGACTGATTACCACAAAAAAGTGCCAGTGTTACCAGGCCTGAGGTTGCAGCCAAGGCAGGGGAGAAAATGTTTCTTGGGATGTTGATCCATATTGCCTGCCAAATGCCTCATGATTTCCAGTTGTACTCCCTAGTCAGCCTTGCTGGACAGGTAAGCATTCCTACAGTAATGTTAATGAAATGTTGTCCAAAGCCAATAGAATAGAGAAGGTTACAGATCACACGTCTCCTCCTAACTGTTCAGATCTTAAGGCACTACATGAGCAACTTTACTAAAATATGCTTGCATATTTGCATTTCTCAAAGAGGAGGAAGTGTTAGAAGGGAAAAACTTTGGGAAACGGCATCAAGAAGGCATTTTTAGAAAGTCAGCAGGAATCTTCTGTAAATATTTCCTCCCTTTTAGGTTTAAGGCAGCAAGGTGCCCCTTGCCTTCTAAAAAAAGAAAAAAAAAATTTCAGGGCCAGGCATGGTGGCTCACACCTGTAATCCCAGCACTTTGGGAGGCCGAGGCGGGTGGATCACAAGGTCAGGAGTTCAAGACCAGCTTGACCAACATGGTGAAACACTGTCTCTACTAAAAATACAAAAATTAGCCGAGTGTGGTGGCTTCACCTGTATTCCCAGCCACTCAGGAGGCTGAGGCAGGAGAATCGCTTGAATCTGGGTTGCAGAGGTTGCAGTGAGTCAAGATCGCACCACTGCACTCCAGCCTGGGTGACAGAGTGAGACTCCGTCTCAAAAAAAAAAAAAAGAAAAATCAGCTGTACTCTCTAACTGGGAAAGTGTTGGCATCTGTCTCCATGGCTTGTCAACATTTAGTATAGCTCCCTTTATTTCTCTGGAGTTAGAAGATCCAATCATGAGTAATGTATGTCACAAGTATCTGAAAGCATTTTTTGCATAATTATATACATAATTGTATAACTATGAATAATTATAGGACTTTTATTTGTTTTGGCCTTATGCTAAGCCACATTGGAAACAAGCTGCTTACACGAGTAAGTGCTGCCTTGCAGGTAATGTCTGAGTTAGCAAAGCCCTTTGTCCTACCAGATAACCACAGCTCTATTGCCCAGTCCCTGAGTATGACATGCCCTTTGTGAGGATGCTAGCTCAAGGAAAAATGGTGATCATGAATCATTATTTTAAAATTCTTGATTTGTTCTTGAACATTGGACTTAACAGATAATTTAATAAATAGAAACAATATTGTTTAAAGATGTGATTTTTAAAAATCCTCCTCCCTCTCATATTTAGAACTGTTTTCCAGAGCTGCATTTTCATAGGGGGATATTGTGGGTCAATTTGGGACTGTGGACAGTCTGGCTATTTTCTTCCCAGAAAGGAATAATTAATTTGCATTCCCAAGAGTAAAATATAGGAAGGCCCATTTCACTCTATTCTCAGCTAAATGTGGAATTATCTTTTCAAAGTCTTTGCCTATTGTGATTGGTTAAAAAAAAAAGTTACTTCATTATAATTTTGATTTATAATTTTGAACGCTAGTGAGGTTGCACCCTTTTTCTTTTGCTTGTTAACTGTCTATTTTGAAATACTTTTCTAATAATTACTATCTAAATCAAATTTATTCGTGGAAGGTTAGTTGTAGGTTGCAGTGACAACAACAACCCCAATATTTTCAGGAAGTAAATTATGGAAGAAACTTTAAGGAACTAACCTAAATATGGAGCTGAGAACAGCTTATTCCTAGATCAAGTCTGGTACACTGCAATGTGCCTTTATTAATGGTAAAGTTGGGAGCTAGAGCCCTTGGTTCCTGATGGGTTTTTTTTCTCATATTTATCTGTTACATAGTTTTGATTTATTTTTGATATTTGTCTAGGCGGTGATGATGTAACTGGGGAGGGAAGACCTGGGAGGAAAAGATCCTTTAATAATTCTTCTAAAACTTTTATTTTAGAAAACCATTCTAGATTAACCCAGAAACTTAAAAAAAAAAAATTAGTAGGTTTTTGGGCAACAGGTTGTGTTTGGTTACATGGATAGCTCTTTAGTAGTGATTTCTAAGCTTTTGGTGCAGCCATCGCCCAAGCAGTGTGCGCTGTACCCAACGTGTAGTCTTTTATCCCTCACCCCCCTCCCAACCTTCCTCCCGAGTCCCCAAAGACCATTGTATCATTTTTATGCCTGCGCATCCTCATAGCTTAACTCCCCAACAGATGTCATTTTCTAAACCTCTAGGTCTACCTGGGCTCTCTTGCATTTGTTAATCAGTGCGTACATTTTACAACAGCAAAAAAATATACCTATTTTCTATTTTCAGGTGAGAGTTAATGATTTGAGGGATGTGTATATAGGTACATAGATATAAGACATACACAAATGTATTTGATGGTGAAAAAGCTGGGAAGGCTGGATACAACTTTCCATTTCATCTCCATTTCATTCTCTTTCATATCCTCTTCTGGTTTCCCCACACAGAGCAGCTGCTCAGGAACTTTTCCCTTTACCAAACCTCTCAGTCAGCACTTTTCTCAAATTCAGATCTCCTGGCTCTCATCTTTTTTCCTCCTGTGCCCGTACTTTCGGCCTCCATTTTCAATTCAGTCTCTCTCTCTATATGTCTCTCTCATCTGGTACCTGCCCCATCCCCCTCCCTTCATTTCCCTCTCCCCTTCCCCCTCTCCCCTTCCCTCTTCCCTCCCCCATCTCCCCTCTTCCCTCCCTTGTCTCCCTTTTCCCCTCCTAATTCTCAGTTTAAAAACCAAGGAACCAGACCAGCAAAAGAAAGAGAGAGAGGGGAAGGGAGGTGGATAAAGAATAAATCTGTTTAGCAAGAAGATGAAAATAAAGAAGGCTGAGTACCTTCACAAGTAAATATTTGAATCTTGTCACCCATTCAAAGTAAAAAAACTATAATAAAAGAGAATTACACATGCTGAAGTTTGTCCACAGATGAAGGTAGACAAACCCCAAGCCAAAAAGTGTAAGATCTGTTTTTGGCTTGGGGCATAAGAAATAAGGAGGAGGAAGAATGTGAAAAAAGTAGTAATAGCAGTTGTAATATTAACCATAATAATAATGATGATGCTGCTCATCATCATAGTAGCAGCAATTGTGTATTTAGCAGTGCCTATATTTCTAGCAGTGAATTGGGCTGATTGTTTAATTTTGTTTCATTTAATTTTCACAGCAGATTTGGTGTGGGGGGAGAAGAAGCTACTGTCATCTCAGTTTAGCAGATGAAGTAACTGAGGCTCCTAGCATTTCTAATTATCGCAAGTTTATGCAACCAAGAAGTAGCAGAGCTGGAATTTGAAACCAAGCTGCCTGATACAGTCTGTGCCCATTCTGTTAAGCAGCCTTGCCTCCTGGAGAGGTGGTAGAAAGGGCTGATAACACCGATGGTTGTTGTTGGTTATGGTTGCTAAGTATCCCATTACACCCTCTTTTGGTAAATTCCCTCTGACCCTTTTCCACTCTTTGTGGTACCTCTGGAGAAGAAGCAGCAAGAAGAGGACCATGCCGACCATGCCTGCCTATTAGAGTAATTGTGCCATAGCACATGATGCAAGTCTGGCCAACCAGTTGTTATTTTCTGGGACCTTCTATTTCTAGATCCTGCAGGTAAAAGTGTGTTTTCTCCTCCAGGGTTACTATGCTGGGATGAGGTAAACCTGGATCTGCTTTGCTCTCCACACTCCCCTTGGCCCCCCAGCCCACCCATAGGCAAAGAAGAATGGCTACAAAGAGACAGAATGAGGCCTATTCATAAGAAAACAGAAAACTGAAAAAACAAAAAACATAGAGCTGCACAAGTCTGGGAAATAATGAGCAGACTGTTACTCCTGAGAGCTAGGTCAACCCCTGGACTTCTGATGTCTAAGCCAGCAATCCCCATGTCTTACTGAAGCACACGGACGTTGGGTTTCTACCACTTACAACCTAGTTTTAACTATGGCAGCCTTAAAGAATGAGAAGGATTTTGAGGGGAAGGATACTTGCAAAAGAGGGAAGAAAAGGAGTAAAGAGAAGACAGCAGAGTGCTCAGGGCCATTCCAGAGAACAAAACACCTTGCTTTAGCATCAGTGTAAGTTGGTGGGGTGGAGGGGTAGGAGTGACAGCTGAAGAAACAAAAGTCAGGGGGTGACACTGGAAGTTGCAAGTTGAGTCCTCAGGAAATGTCACTGTTAATACTGAGTGTGTGAAAATGGAGGTTAGACTAAGACATAACCCAGAGGACTTAGGAATGTTGTTGGAATTCAGTGATGAGCCCATAGCATTTTCATCCACAAAACGCTTTTTTAATGTATTTTGTATTTACATGCCTTTAGAACAGGCACACACAATTTTCAGCAATCCCTAACACTCATCTTTTCACACACAGTCTACCTTCTCCATGTATGGTGTCTACTGTCCCTGGAAAAAACTCAAGATACTACCCCTACTGTCTGCCTTTTCGGTTCCTGTCATTCTAATCTAGCAAAGTTCAACTGCATAACTCTTCCAAGTCCTTTACATCACATGTTTGTTTGCCGGGAGAGTCCTGTCACTCTTGCTCATCAATAGGTTTCATCAAATCATTATGGTTATCATGATCATTTTGGACTGAGGAATGCCCTGTGCTTTCCACACTGTCTTTCTAAATCCCACCCAACCTGGAGAACCTTCCTGAGACCCCAGGTTCACCAGGCACCTCCTCTGATTCCTTCGAAATTTTTTTTCATCAACCTACCCTCCACTGATGGCTGATGAATTGCTCTATAGCTCAAGTTCATATACAAGTTTAGCACTTAGTTAGACTTTATACTTCTTTTTCTTATTTGTTTCATATAAATACTTTCTGTGTATTCCAGGAGATTGTCAACTTCTTAAAGGCAGAGATTATTTCTTAGAATTTGTCATGTCTTTCCATCGTGTCAAGGACACCAGGAGACTCTCCAATAAACTTAGTGGTTTATGATAATGTGTCAAATAATCCACTGTCTCTCAATAAATCACAAGGTTACACATAAATCATTGGGAGGAAATCTATGTCCTTTCATCTTCCAGGGTTTCATCATAATGTTCAGCTATCATGGTAGAATCAAATTTTGGTCAAAGTGCAGCCTGAGACAGAATATTATAGTGAGCACAGGTGGCTTCTAACTTGAATCCAGGTCCTCCAAGTCAGAAAAATGGAATGTTCTCAGCTTCTGAGAATGCAAAAAGCCTTAAAATTTGAGTCAAAGTGGGGCATAACTTTGATCTTGCCTTCTATACTCTATAAGCAGTCTTTATACTTGGCTGTTTAAAGAGAAGAAAATAAGTTTTGATCTAGTAAAATACATCTTCCAAGGACTCCTGGCTGATTTGTTTCTGTGAAAAGCTTTAGAAACTATATTATTTTCCATTTTAATTAACTTTGAAATGAAAAGGAGCCTTAAATAAAACATCTTCCGAATAAAAGTGGAGACTTGGTTCTAGGAAAAGAATCACTTTCCAAGGCACTTGCTCTCTCATTTTTTCCTGTTCACCCATATTCCACTAATTTTTAAGGTCTATCTCGAAACATTCTCTACAGAGTCCTTGCAGCCATGACAAGCTCTGTAAAGCAGGTTAATGGCTGTGACCGTATCTCTCAAGTAGTACAGGACCGCACGTTGGTAGGTTAATTCACATTGTGTTGAAAGTGGCCTAATGGTGGAGTCCTCTCAGAGGTATATTTATACAGATGGTTCAACTTATGATTTTTTCCCTTTACCATGATGCAAGAGTTATATGCATTCAGTAGAAGCCATACTTCAAATTTTGAATTTGGATCTTTTCCTGGACTAGGGATACGTGGTGTGATAACTATCTTGCAGTGCTGGGCAGCCACAGTGAGCTGCAGCTACCAGTTAGCCACATGATCATGAGTGAAAGCAGCCGATACTCTACAGCGTACTGTGTTGCCAGAGTATTTTGCCCATCTATAGGCTAATGTAAATATTCTGAGCACATTTAAGGTAGGCTCAGCTAAGCTCTGATATTTGGTAGGTTAGATGCATTAAATGCATTTTTTACTTACTATAAGTTTATCAGGTTGTAAGTCCATCATAAGTTGAGGAGCATCTGTTTTATAAATGGAGGGTTCCTCCAGAGGAATCACACGTTGAAATTTCAGGCACTGTTGTACTGGCATGGAAAAGACATTTTTTGGAAAAAAATAGCCTCGTGACACTCTTTGAGAAGCACGTGGTACATCATTACTTTGCAGAGCGTCACTGGCGTCCCATTCACAGAGCCTTGAGGGCTGGTGGCCAGAAAGCAAGCAGGGCTTAGCATCTGTGGAAAAGTCGCCCCACATTTCACTGAGTCCATGCACTTGTATGCGGCCCTCAAACTTTTGACTGCAAGGACAGAAATAGGACTGTAACTTCCAGACATCTGCAGGTCCTTGCCTGGAGGAAGTGAAGCTTACAGCTCCTAAGCCTATAATAAGCTTTTTACCTTAAAGTGTTTCCTTCTGCCCTCCAGCTATTTTAACAAGGACTACCATTTCACACACCGTTGTCCCAAAAATGTGATAGTGTTGGTCCTGCATTTAGATGGGAAGCTCATAAGTCCATAATGGATTCCCATATTAAAACATTTGCTTCACTAGTCTGGTGATGGCAGTCCCCATCATCATGTCACATACCGTTGTCTTGGAAACATGATGGTATTTGTAGAGCTTCATTGCATCTACTCTGAGCCCCAGTCCTGCACTCCATCTAATAGGACATGGGTGAGATTGTCTGTACTTTCACTAAGAGTTGACTTATAATGGATTTTTAAAAACACTGCTTGACTGTGTCTACAGAAAAGCCCTCTAATGCTCTTACAAGGCTGGTGTTCCTGATCCTCCCATGTCCTCTGAGGTTAATGATCAATTTGCACAAGATCTTTGGAAGGCATCGGGCACTTCTTTTTTTTTTTTTTTCTTCTGAGACAGAGTCTTGTTCTGTCACCCACACTGGAGTGCAGTGGTGCAGTCTTGGCTCACTGCATCCTCCGCCTCCTAGGTTCAAGCAATTCTCCTGCCTCAGCCTCCTACCATGCCTAGCTTTTTCTTTTTTTTTTATTAGAGCTGGCGTTTCTCCATGTTGGCCAGGCTGATCTCGAACTCCTGACCTCAAGTGATCCGCTTGCCTTGGCCTTCCAAAGTGCTGGGATTACAGGAGTGAGCCACCACGCCTGGCCAAAATTCACTTACTTCACACAAACTAGGATGAGGAATGTCTAGTTTATGGCAATCGTGCATAATCTGATATTCCTCTGTAGATAAGTGACTGTCTAGAGTCTTTTCATCATAACAGTTTGTTGCTGAATTCCTACTATATAACCAGCAGTTCACATTTAATCCCCTCAACAAACCCAAGAGGAAAGTAATAATATCCCAAGCCTATCTAGTTAGTAAGGTCATTCTTTTAGAACTGAGATTTAATCCCAGGAGTGAGTCGAAAGTCTTTCTATCGTATTACATGGCCTATAGCCATTTATGTTCTTTTAAAGCACCAATTCCTTCCAGAATAGAATCTAAAAGAAAATCACGTCAAGGAAGTGCCACCTAAACAATGGTAGAGGAAATAACCTTGAAATGGCCGTCAAAAAAACCTGCTTTTACTCCCAACTGGCTGTGTCATCTTAGACTTGTCGTTTAACCTCTCAGAATCAATTTCCTCAGCTAGGCCTGTTTTCCCTTTTATAAAATGGATGATTTGGATTAGATAATTTTTAAGTTTGCTTCAGCCTCTGTGAGGTTTTGTGATTCTATGAAGTGGTTTTTAGTTTACTCTCTAAGGCATATTTTTTAACTCCTTGGATCCCTAAGAGATGGTGTTGAGTTTGAACTCCTTTCCCATATTACACTAGGGGTTTCTTCTGCCCCATTTGCCCTTGCTGGCCCAGAGCCTCAGTTCTTGACTCTGGGGGAGCCCACCCCAACCCCCACCCCCAAGGTCTGGTGTGTTGGATACCACATGACCGGTTATCTGCTTCAGGAACCCTTCTTCTGTTGCATTAGTCTTCATCAATACTTCAGCTCCCAGTTGGGCAGCCTCAGGCCCAGGATCAAGGGGAAAGTGAAGAGAAAGTCTTTTCACAGTGATCTGACCTCAGTGGGTAGCATGTGCAGTTTCTGCATTCTGCCTCACTCTCTTCAATCCATATTGACCTCAAATACACCAGGTTAAGCACCTGCCTCAGGGCCCTTGCACATACTATGCACACTGCCTACAATGATCTCTCCAGGTAGATCTCTTCCTTCAGGTCTTAACTCAAATATCTCATTGAGACCTGCTTTGGCCATCCTATCTAAAACTCTAAACTGTCTCCTTTCCACCACCATTCCTCCAATATTCTCACCCTTCCCTTACTTTTCTATAGTATGTTACACATACGCGCGCGCGCACACACACACACACACACACACGTGCCTTTTGTATATAAAGATTTTTATATATAAAGACACATATAATATGAAGACATATATACAAAGCCATATATATACTAACATACTATAGACTTAGTATATGTATTAGTGTGTATGTATACACACATACACACACACACATAAAGCCTCCTATATTGCATTTATATTGCATACTGTATATTTTAGGTAATTTTTCATTGCTCATCTCTCCTATAAGTATGCAAGAAGTTCCATGAAAGCATGTATTCTTGTGTGTTTTGTTTACCATCTTCCTCCAGTGCCCAGAGCAATGCTTGGCCCATTGTAAATATCTAGTAAATATTTTTAAACGGAATGCCCAGGAAACAGTGGCTGTGGAGTCCTGTCACCTTTTCCTTAAAAAATATCCTACTTCCCCAAGGTATCCTAAAGAAAAATAAATGTTTATAAACACAAATTTTCTCACTATTACCTATGACATATGAATAAAAGCATCTTTAATAAACTTTGCGATTTTTAGATTTCTTTTAATTTAAACATAAGAATAGCATCCTTGTGAAGCAAATACCATTGATGACAAGTTCCCTGGCCCCTTTTCCAACCAGACTGCAGCCTCTGTGCTCTCTTCTATAGAAATTCTGAAGCTGCCACTGTGAAATAGTATTTGTTTTCTGTTTTATACTTAACCTTGAGAGGAGAAAGGGGAATTGAAGAAAGAAGAAAAAAACCCTATACTGCCACTATAATACTAACAATGGAGTGAAATAGTGTGTGAAACCCAGTTACATTTATGTGAGTAATTCATTGAAAGAACTTTTTTTTTTTTTTTTTTTTTTTTGAGACGGAGTCTGGCTCTGTCGCCCAGGCTGGAGTGCAGTGGCGGGATCTCGGCTCACTGCAAGCTCCGCCTCCCGGGTTCCCGCCATTCTCCTGCCTCAGCCTCCGGAGTAGCTGGGACTACAGGTGCCCGCTACCGCGCCCGGCTAATTTTTTGTATTTTTAGTAGAGACGGGGTTTCACCGTTTTAGCCGGGATGGTCTCGATCTCCCGACCTCGTGATCTGCCCGCCTCGGCCTCCCAAAGTGCTGGGACTACAGGCGTGAGCCACTGCGCCCGGCCTGAAAGAACTTAATTCAAGCAAAAACCTAACCCATTGTTTTTCTTATTTGTCTCTTTAAATTGTTTGCAAGGTCGTTTCTACCCAACTTTGAGAAAGTGTCTCTATTCTCAGATCACTAAGTGCTCAGCATTCAATAAAAAATGGTCTTGGTAAACTTCTCACAGTGTGAGCTCCAAATCATCCTCGTTCCAAGTGAGAAATTATCTTTTGAAAAATGAAAGATAAGAGACCTATGGGTTATATAAATTTTTCAAAAGCTTTAGATAGATGATAAAAATGGTCAGATCATATTTGTCCTTGGTAGGAGGTCCCCTCCCCAATTAAAGTATGAAATCAGAATTACTACCCCAAATCTTAAACCAAGTTTTAAGAATAAAATGACCATTATATTTTCTAAAAAAAATCATTAGAGTTCTACAGAAATTAAATCATTAATGTTTACCAACTTTACCAGATAATATATAAAAATTCCCCCCCAACACACACACACACACACACACACACACACACACACACAAACACTAACTGATACACTTCATCATTTGATCTAATACAGAGTAAATAGGTTTATTAGAAGGGCTTTCTGTTATATAAATGGCTCTAAAATCTTGGTGGTTTAACATAGCAAAATTTATCAATTGCTCACTCACATCACTCTCCAACGTAGTTCTCAGGGTACAGGGAAAAGGCTCTTCTCCACAGAGTGACTCAGGAGCCCAGCTTGTCCCCCTTGTGACACAGATATGTTAAAAATGTAGCTGCACTCATGCCTGTAATCCCATCACTTTGGGAGGCCGAGGTGGGTGGATCACAAGGTCAAGAGATCGAGACCACCCTGGTCAACATGGTGAAACCCCCTCTCTACTAAAAATACAAAATATTAGCTAGGCATGATGGCATGTGCCTATAGTCCCAGCTACTCATGAGGTTGAGGCAGGAGAATTGCTTGAACCCAGGAGGTGGAGGTTGCAGTGAGCCGAGATCACGCTACTGCACTCCAGCCTGGCAACAGAGCAAGACTCGGTCTCAAAACAAAACAAAAACAAAAACAAACAAAAAAATGTAGCTGCAAAGTCACCAAGGAAGACGAAGAGAGAAGCGGATCATGCATAGAAATAATTTACGGTTCACACCTTGGGGAGCAAACATTCTACTGGCCAAAACCTAGTCACATGGCCCCCACCTCACCATTAAGAGTGAGAATAAAGCTGGCTTCTTTGATTCTGACAGAAAGAGAAATGGGCCCTTGTACTCACTATAGTGGGTTCTGCAAAAAACGTGTTTGTGTTCGTATAGTTGTATAGTTCTGAAGTTTTGAATGTGGCATTGCCACAGAAGCCCACAAAGCAGCTTCCCTAAATCTCTTTTAACACTTCAGATGGCCTAATGCTCAGATAAGAGAAAATGCTACATTTACTATTTTGTTGTCTTAGCACAGGTCATAGTGCTAGGAAGAAACAACATTGAGTAAAAGAAAAATGGTTGGATTGAGAATCAAAATCATAGATTGTGCTGTTTTTAGCCGAGCGTTCTTTGTTGAGTTGTAAGCCTGGGGAGATTATCAAGTCCCTGGCCCATAAATATAGCCCCATTTCTCCTGACTGCGGATATGGGCCTGTTTCCATTTTCTGATAATATTAATACTTATAAAGCAGGTCTTTGACATTTTGGGTAAGGATTTTATCTAAATACCAGATAAAACAAAATATTCCTCTGCTTAAACTTCTCAGAGTATTTCACTGATCTGGGAGTAACCTGTGTGATCAAATGAAACTGGCTCCGTTCTCAGCCCCTGCTGAGCCCTGAGGAATCTCTCCTTGAATTCTTCTGGAGGTTCTTCCAGGAGCCTTAGGGAGGTAGTTCCCTCACATACATGTACTGACTGGTACTCTGCTATACTCAAGAGGGACCCACTGCAGATCCCCACAGTTCTCTCTCTGTACAGCTCTCTCCTCTTCAGTATGCTGCCTTGAGAACTCTAGTTATCTTGGTCTCCCTGAAATCTCAGCTCCATGTCCTTAACCCAGGATGTCCAGCAAGCTCTCCCTGGTTTTCCCCATGTTGTGTTGCAGACTGGAAAATCTCACAGGCAGTAAGGTAACATAATCATAGGGCTCACCTCATTTTTTTCCTGCCTTTCAGAGATTATTGTCCTTCATTGCTTGATGTTCAGGGTCTCAAAAACCACCTTCATGCATTTTATCCAGTTTTTAAAATTGTTTCAGCAGGAGAGTAAACGCAGTCCCTGTTATTCCCATCTTGGGAGGAAGCAGAAGTTTTCCAGTATTATTTAACTACACTAGCTAGTTTTCTACCCTTTCAGAATATAGGGGATTTTATTTCTGCATAATAGTATTACTTTATAAACCTGCCTATATTGTCTTCTCCCTGGCAGACTCATTATTTTTATTGACTTTTCCACTTATCAAATTCTCAATTTGAAACCACAACATGTCAAAGCACTTACATTCTCTTAGCTTTGTTTTTCTTTTTAAGAAGCAATGGCTATCATTTCTCAACATATCCTCTAGGTAGTAACACATCTTTTGAAAAGATTTGTTGGAATAGCCCAATAAACATTTACGCTCCCAAATACACTGGAAGGAAAAGATGATGCAGAAAGTCCTCTCGCTTACGGACTCCCCACGTGCAAGTGCACTGGCCTAACATAGTTAATTCTCTTTTCAGTTTGAGCATGGAGAAGGGGTCAGAAATAGCCTCACAGGCTTTTCTGAGCCAGAAAAAGGTACAACTCACTTGAGAATGTGATCTATTAGGAGTGCTTTTTGCCTGCATCACTGACCGTTTGGCTGTTCACACTGGGAAATGTGTTCCTGATGCCGACAGCCTGGCAGACAGACCATCTTGATCAAAGACCTAGTCACAACATTTAATGCTTTCTGGAAGCAACCTGAGACAGTACCAACAGAGTCCCAGATTCTCATGAAAGACAGATCCCTGGTCCTTGAGTATTTTGAACAAATCTTAGAAAACACGATCATGGCAAATTATATTCAATGAATTCGTTTTTCTAACATAAAATTTTAATTTTGGCCATTTGAACCTGATCTTTAGATTCAAAGTGGTTTCCTACCTGCTGAATCAAAACTTCTCTGGGCACATGTAGCCTACTTAGGAATCTGTTTTGGTAAGTTGGTTCCTAGATTGGTAACCTGGGAGACATGCCAGTTACAGACATGTCTCTCCATAAAGAATTTGAGTCAATGTTTTATAGTGGAATAATCTGAACATCTATCAAATATTAGCTCTTTGGTGCAAATGTAAAATGCTTTGGCATACACTCGTTTTGCAAACAGACTTTCTGGAAATGTTCCTATGATCTACAGGATGGTGTATTTACCCAAGGATTCCTACATCTGAACCCAAATCTATCATCTTTTCCAACATGTTTAGGAGAATCCAAGAGAAGCTAAAACTCACCTTTGCTGTCAAAAATATAAAATCCTTTGACTGTTTTTGTCTGTTCAGTCCTCCCTTCTTCCCCTCTTCTTCTTAAAAAAAAAAAAAAGGCCCCCATCCATAGGCGAGAACAAGACTGGTCACCTGTTATACCCATATACCAATTTCACTGAGAGAGGATTGGTTTCAAGATGGTGATATGGTTTGGATCAGTGTCCCCACCCAAATCTCATGTTGAATTGTAATCCCTAGTGTTGGAGGTGGGGCCTGGTAGGAGGTGATTTGATCATGGGGATGGGTTCTCATGGTTTAACACCATCCCTCTTGGTGCTGTCATTGCATAGTGAGTTCTC
The DNA here is from genome assembly GCF_000001405.40 of Homo sapiens. Lineage (NCBI taxonomy): Eukaryota > Metazoa > Chordata > Mammalia > Primates > Hominidae > Homo > Homo sapiens. The sequence goes on along the minus strand of NC_000003.12, from coordinate 3,454,417 downwards.
ATGAGATCTCGTTGTTTAAAAGTGTATGGCTCCTTCCCACTTTATCTCTTCCTCCTGCTCTGGCCATGTGAAGTGTTGACTTCCCCCTCTGCCTTCTGCCATGATTGTAAGTTTCCTGAATCCTCCCTAGAAGCCATGCAGATGTTGCCATGTTTCCTTGTACAGCCTGCAGAATTAAACCTCTTTTCTTTATAAATTACCTAGCCTCAGGTATTTATTTATAGCAGTGCAAGAACAGACTAATACAGATGGGCACATGACCCAAGCTAGGCTAATGAAAGTCCTTCCTCAGTTCTCTTCTAAAAGGAATTGTCAGGAAAGAGTCTTTTCTTCTCTGGGCAGAACTTTATTAGGATACCCCTTTATGTAAGGCGAAGGAGGGTGTTTATGGACTGAGGCAATAAAGCTGCCACGCGGAAGAAGGAGGAAAAGAGATGGAGAGAAGTGTACCAATGGTGTCTGAGTCCTTGTTTCCAACCTTTGTCCTTCTGGAAGTCTGGGAATCCGGACCAACATATTACTGTATTTTACACTATTTGACATTGAGTTTTTGTCATTTGACTGTATATTAGAGTGCTAATACAAGAAGATACTGAAATAAAAACTAGTTTTTATTCTGATTAAAGACATCATTAATAATTTTAAATAATTTTCAAGCAGAGGAAAAGCTGTTTATTAGTTAAACTTAAGAGATTTGGTATTCTAACAAGAGAGATGGTTAAACAGGTTTTAGGACTTTTTGTGAAAAATAAATGAAACACATGAAAAATGAAAAAAAGCCAAATATAATCTTTTCCTTATTAATAAAAGACAAAACAAAAACACTAATGTCAAATAACTTTTTATAATCTCATCCATGCCATTTTATATGTTTTTGGTGAAAGTCCTAACATTGCATAAAACGTAAGAAAAACTGTTAAGAGAAATTCTCTTTGCCAGAGGTGAAAATAAAAATGAAATGAAGAGCCATAGAATGTCAAAGCTCTAAAAGAGAAGAAACAAGCTCTCTGTGCAGTTGAAGTTCACATCTGTAAGATGCTGAAGCAGTTTTCAGGGTTGCACTTCCGAATTTCATTCCTTCCTTCCTTGCATGGCTCTGCAGTCCTACCAGACCCATCTATTCCCACTACAAGTCTCAGCTTGGATGGAGCCTTTCCTGGGCCTTTATGATTGCTTTCCCTAACTCCTAGGCATCATTGATGCTGATTTGATACTTATGATTAGCTTTAAAGTAAGAATATTGTTTAGTTTTCCTATTATAAAAGCATGCCAAAAAACACTTAGAAAATAAAAAGGATCATCCATAGTCTCACATCCCAGTAATAACTGTTAAGGGTGTGGTGTATTTCCTTGAATATTTTTGTGACCATTTGATGTAATGGGAATCTTACTACACAAAAGTGTGCATCTACTTTTTGCTCAGAACATTGAAACAAAAGTATTTTCTTATATTACTCTTAGCTCTTCATACCCATATTTTATTTACTGGCTGAAAGATAGTACTGAATATTTAGAGATTTCTCTCTTTATGAGTACAAATGATAACATAGTCATCTATGTGCATAAACTTTTTCTGGTAATAATACTTAAAAGTTTATATGTAAACTTTTAGAAATAGAATTGACATGGAGGAATGCTTCATGACATCAAATTTCTTCTAGATAATAGAAATTATCAAGAGAACAGAGTAAAATGAAATAATTATTTTTAAAAAACTATTAGAAGAAAACGTCTGAGATTTAAAAAAAGAACAGGAAAGGTTTTTTTTTTTTAAATATTGACCAAGCTTTCCAAATGCTAAATAAAGAAATGTATCCTTATTTTGGTAGAATTTCTGAATGGTCTTACGGACAGGAAGAAAATGGTCTTATAGACAGGAAAAACATCAATGTGGCATCAGACTTCTAGCATTTAGTGTTTCGGGGAATGCAATATTAGAAGACTTTTCAGTGAATGATGTTTAGAAAATTAGCTTTTTATTTAAAAAACATAACCAAAAAATTCTAAATTGGTTAAAAAAATTAACTAAGTAGTAGAAGATCATCTCAAAGAGGGGTTTTATTTTGGGGGAAGGTCAGGAAATTATAAAGAATGATTTAACTCTGCAAAAGTTATAAACTTTTATATGGCAAAAAAAAAATCCCACCACAAAAGTCACAAAAATAAAAACACATATTTATAAGATATGTGATTGGCAGAAAGTTAATATCATTAATATATAAGAAGATTATATAAATCAATAAAAATGAAACCCCATCCCAAAAGAAAAATGGACAAAATATAAATACTGACAGTTGAGATAGAGAAATAACCTATAATATATATATATATATAAAGATATATACAAATAAATGTCCTTTAAGAGAGAAAAAGATATCTTTAGCCATCTGTTCAGTAACTATCTTTTAAAGTGATATGGGCAGGGTAGTATTTCTCAGACTTGTGCAAATGGAGATTCCTAGACTCAATCCATTTTGATTACTGTCTAGTAGGCTGGCTGTAAAACCCAGTGATGTGCATGCATCACCATCTAAGGCAGGCAGTCCTGAAAACACTTCTAGAAACATTGGCCTAGAGATTTTAATAGTGAAGAGAATAGGCCCTCACTGTTAATTTTTGGTGAGGTTGTAATTTTTTATAATTTTCTTTGAGGAATGTCTGGCAATATGCATAAAATCTTTTAATGTGCCTACCTTTTAATCCAGCAATGCTACTTCAAATTTTAGGAAAATATTTGTTGTACATTTAAGGAAATTATCTGGTAATCATGTCAATAATATATATAATAGGGTATTGGTCAGGACGTTATTTATATTAGCACAAATCTCAAAATACCCTAAAGGTCTAGAAGTAGATTGATTGTATTAAGGTACATTCACCTACTAGAATACTAAGCTGCCATATAAGGAATGATGTATATCTGCATTAAATAATTTATTTCTGCATTGCAGAAAAAAACATGAGGTGCTAAATATGTGTATATTGGAGTGGGGCAATATAGGATAGTATATGTGGTTTCATTCCAAGTGTGTATATATATTTAAACATACACAAAAGTTGGCCAGGCACAGTGGCTTATGCCTGTAATCCCAGCACTTTGGAAGGCCAAGGCTGGTGGATCTCTTGAGCTCATGAGTTCAAGACCAGCCTGGACAACATGGTGAAACCCTGTCTCTACAAAAAAATACAAAAATTAGCAGGGAGTAGTGGTGCATGCCTGCAGTCCCAGCTACTCGGGAGGCTGAGGTGGGAGAATGGCTTAAGCCCAGGTGACAGAGGTTATAGTTAGCTGAGATTGTGCCATTGCACTCCTGCCTGGGCAATAGAACCAGACCTTGTCTCAAAAAAAAAAAAAATACACAAAAGTCTGAAAAGTTATACACAATACTTAAAAATGATTCTCTCAGGATTTTTATGTCTATTTTATATGCTTGAATATTATATGGTTTTTTTAAGTGTCTGTATGTGTAGTGAATAAGCAATAAAAATACTTATTTTCTTTCAAGTTGTTCTGTTCAAAGAAAAAGTAACCCTAGACTCTATTTATGGTTGAGAAGAAACATTTTGCGTGGTTAAAGAGTACGGATAGACTTATCTCAGGTAGAGACAGGTTAAATTTATGAGGAATGACGTAAGCCTGCTTCAGTGGATAGAGTGGGATTGGACAGACTATATTAAAAAACAAGTACCTCACAAATAATTTGATTCTTCTAGAGATAAGCTGCTTCAATCAGATTTTTTGACTAAATTTAGAGTGTCTCAGAGGAGAAAATATTCCATTGACTAGAATTGTAAAGCTTAAACCAAGTTTGTCGGAGGTGAAATTAGAACATGTATTACCAGGAAATACCTTCGCAGAAGAGAAGTTTCTCTGTGACTCTCATAAAAAGAACATCATAATAAAGCAAAATTAAACATTGATAATCTTTGTGAAAAAAAAGGCTACACAGTGAGATGTAGAAAATGTATTAAAATTAAAAAAAGACTGCAGCAGATTTCATTAAAAGCTACAGCTCTAAGTTCAAGAGCAGAAAATGTCTTTAGCTTTTAAAATTTAATTTGGTTTATTCTGAAAGAAATAATTAAAATGTAATGTGAAATCACTAACTTTCATTTTCTTAAAGTCAAACAGCAAGATGGCTCGAGGGAAAAACCAGGGCCGAGAGGCAAATATTGGATAAAAAATGATTCCTAAGGGCTTACAAACTCATAAAAATTAACCTTTCTTGGGAATTAGTATGTAACTCCCATTGCAAAGATGAGCAGTGTTTAATTTAAAATGGCAACTAAATAGACAGAATAACATGCTTATTGGCAATGTATATTACTATTCATTATAGGTCTCCACAGTACAGTTGCGGCAGTAAGATCCCATTTAATTGCAAGTAACAGATACTCAATTCAAACTAAGTTAAAAAAGAGGGGAGAAGAATTTACTGTTTCATGTGAGAAGGAAATTCAAGAGGCAGAGCTTGTGGCTTACGGCAGTTGCGTTCAGGTACTCAAACAACATCTTCAGAATTCTCTCTCTTTCCTTTGACTCTGCCTTCCCCTGGTTTTATTCTCACATGGGCTTTATCCATGGGGAGGAATCCTGGCCAGCAGTAGTTGCAACCTGCATTATTTCTCCAGCTTAGCATCCCAACAGTAAGGTTCTTGCCCAACAGCTTTAGCCAAACATCTCAGGAAAGGCTCTCATTGGCCCATCTGAGTATCTTGTCCAATCCTGAGTTAGCAAAGTTGGGGCCATATGAATGACAGCTCCCACCAGGCAGAAAAGGCAAAGTTCCCCAAATGAAAACTTGCTCGATCTTCTGAAAGTAACAGTTCTCTATATCTATCAATCAACCTTTTTGTCTTAAGGAATTCTACCACATACTAGGCAGTCTGCTAAGAACCATATGAAAACAGAAAAGTGTGTTAGACAAAGTTCAGGCATTTGCACCTTAATATTAAGGTTAACAAATACACGTGAGAAAGATGCAGATAAGAAGTGCAAAAGGAGTTGAGAGCTTCTTTGAGGAGGTAAGATTTGAACCAGACCTTGAAGCATGAACAGTGCTTGAAGAGGCAGAATAGAGTGGAGAAAGGCAAAAACTTCTGGGAGGTTACAGAAAATATTTTTAATGGGTTCGGTTAACAGAGTTTTGACCATTGAGTAGTCTCATTGACCGTTGAGTAGTTAACAAAGTTTTGACCATTGAGTAATTCTTGAGTTCTTGGGTTGTTTATTCCTTTTAACCCACTTATTTCACTTTCAGGAATCCTTCCAAAAAAGAATACAAAATTCAAACAACTGTTTGCACACTTATTGCAGTACTATTTACATTTTGAGAAATTAGAAAATCTAGAACGGCCAATAAAAGGGAAATGTGTTAATTATATTACATTTATATACAAGTGTATGCAATTATTGGAAAATCTTTTACAAAAAAAACCCTCTTGAAATGTTAAACTGATCATTGACATGTTACTTACAAAAGCAGTATGCAAAATTTTGAAAAACTGAGGTTTTTCAAATGAGTTGTAAACATAACTAAGTGGGCGGGTGGGTGGATATATATATGTGTGCAGAGAGAGACAGAATGAAAAGATCAGAAAGCAGAGAGAAAATGGAAGGAAATAATTAACAGTAGTAATAATTATTCATTATTTCCACAACCATTTACCAAGCTTCTATTTGGCCCGCATGGTGAGCATAGTGGTTGGCACTAGAGGTCAAAAGAACAACAGTGTCATAAGGGAAGCGAGAAAGAAAAGGAGAAATTAGAAAGCTGACCAGAGTACATACAGTTGAGGAGAAATTCACATGCACAGTTTACATGGTGCAAAGAAATTAGTTAAGGGCAAAGCTGGCCTAGCCTGGGAGATCAGGACAGCCTTCTCTGAGGAAGAGATGATTAAGTTGAGAATTAAAGGCAGAGTAGAGAATTAAAGGCAAGTGGGAAAGAGGGTGGGAGGTAGTAGGACCAAGATTATGAGGTCCAAGGTAAAAACTAAGGAAGAACAAGGCACTTGACAAGAATTGAAACAAGGCCTTGTGCCTGGAGACTTAGGCAGTGAACCATGGAAGATGAAGCAAGAAATATGGATGGGTCAAACCAAGGAAAGCCCAATATGGACACTAGGTAGGGGGTTCAGTAGAGTCTTGGTGTATTTTTCCCCTCTTTTTCATATGTTTCACTATATTTCACAATTCTGACATTGAGTATATATGCTTCTATAATTAGGGGGAAAATAAGTAATTTGGAAGACAGGATGGGGAAAGAACCATGAGTGAGACTGTGTGAGCAACTTTATCTCACAGGACTTTGGGCTCTTTTCTGTAGGGTGTGAGGACAGGATGTTGACTTCCAAAAGTCCTTTTGACTCTGCCACCTTCTTGTTTTGTGAACACCAGAAATGAAGGCAGTACCCATGCTCGGGAGCCATCTTCCGAGCCTGCCTCTGTCTCTGGTCTCATTGCTTTTCCTGTGTGAATGGCTGAGTATTTCTTTCTCACTTGAGTGTACTTTGTTCTGAGAAGGGAGCCTCTTTGGCTGCTTAAAGAATTAGTCATCCAGGCAAACCTGGAGTTGGGTGAAAAGGGAACAAAGGGGAAAAACCTACTAAGCAGTAATTATTGAGTAACTTCTATCTAAAAACTATTCTAAATAGCAAGGCAAGTTAGAGATTTATCTCTATTTGATGATGATTTATCAGGCATGAAGTAAGGCAACCAGGTGAAGATAAAAACCTGTAAATGAAAGTTGCAGGTAGCAAGAGCAGATCATGAATGATCATGGGCTTCAGAATCAGAACGGAGTGGCTATATCACTCCAGCTGTATCAAAATGAGGCTATTGTAGCTTTGTGAGCTCCCGTTTATCTTTTTTTTTTTAGGTGGAGTCTAGCTCTGTCACCCAGGCTGGAGTGTAGTGTCATGATCTCAGCTCACTGCAACCTCCACCTCCTGGGTTCATGCAATTCTCTTGCCTCAGCCTCCCAAGTAGCTGGGATTGCAGGCATGTGCCACCATGCCCAGCTAATTTTTGTATTTTTGGTAGAGACTGGGTTTCACCATGTTGGCCAGTATGGTCTCGAGCTCCTGAGCTCAAGTGATCCATCTGCCTTGGCCTCCCAAAGTGCTGGTATTACAGGCATGAGCCACCCTCCCCAGCCCCTTCTGTCTTCATTTGAATGCCTTGTCACCTCAGAGGGGATTAAATTAGATAATACATACTGAAATATTTGACTCTTAATGGATATTTAGTAAATGGCAGTGCCCCTCCCAGGAGACTTCAGAGGGGCCCAGGAGCTGGAAGGAAGTAAAGAAAGGTTTCATGGATATATTGGCACTTGAATGGGCCCTTTAAAGTTTGGGTAAATGTTGAGAAGGCTCCAGAGGAGGGTGGAAGATACTGTCAACAAGGGTGGGAAGAAGGTGGAAAAGAAAAAGGCGAGGTAGGAGAGGGAGCAAATAATCAGAGAACCTTTATGAGGTTCTTTATGAGGGCAGATGGTGCAGAGTGAACATTTAGTTCTTCACAGGGTGGTAGGAAGTGAGATTCAGGATTCCACACGAGGTTTGGACCACGAACTTCCAAAGGGGATGCCGCTGTGGTGGGAAGATCTAGTCCCTCCCTTTACACTCTTGTTTTTTCCTTTTCTTGGCCAAGGGGCGACTTCCATAGACCTTCCAGAGAGGCTCCTCTCCTCTCCTTTCCATTTCCATTGAGCAGCATCTTAAGTTGCATGATGCCTGGCATGAAGTAAGCGTCCCCCATGTATTTGTTAAGTTGAACTGAAATCAAAGTTGAACATATTTGTTGACTGAAAAAATTACAAACTCATTTAAAGAATTCTTAACTCATATTCCTCTACTCGTTGGTGCTTGCATATTTAATTCCTCACTTTCTGGAAGCATTTCTGTATTTATGGAAGAGAACAGGACTAAAGAACGATGTGTTTAGCATGTTCCTTTCATAGAGAGCCTTCCAGAAAATTTTAATAGACAGGAAAATGTATTAAGTCTGCATACTTTTGGCAGAATTACTTGGCATTAATTTCTTTTCAGGCAGCTTCTCCATATTGTGACATGACATAGCATTTTGTGAAATGATTCTTTCACCATCTTGCTTTAGATTGCATTTGGTAACTATGGAACATCGTGACTATTCCCACACGGGTATCCATGGAGTGACAGTAGCTTCCACTGAATTTACTTGAAGTAGCATCATAGAATATAATCATAGTATATCCTAAGGTTTTTTTTTTCCAACCCAAACTTTTTAAAAATTACTTTTGAAGACATCATCTGCCACATTGACGTAGGCATAGTATGTGAAGCAGGCTGTGTGTACAAGTGCCTCTAAAATATCTTCGGTCTTAACTTTCAAGGGCTTTCCAAAATCCTCAAAACCTGAAATAAATCTCTATTTGTTCTACTGTGGCCAGAAGAGGGCCTGAAGCAGAACTCTCTCTAGATTGTTTTTTTCTTTGTCTTCTTTTTCCCTTTCCCTATACTAGCATGAGTATCCTAAGCTCTTGAACCTGGTAGAAATATATGTTAATCTTTTCCTTCTCACTGTGCTAGGGTCAATGAGAGGCTTAGACCGCAAAGTAATAAAGAAATCTGAATTCCCTGAGATGACTTAGCTCAGGGGTGGGGTTCTCTTCAGAGATTTGAGAATGTAGAATATAAAGAAAGAGAACAGCAGAAAAGGAGCAGAGAGTTTGTTGGTGGGAAGTAGTATTAATTGTAAGTACCACCCCTCAAAAAAATCCAAATATAATGAAGCTTGTTCTCTTTAAAGGAAAGAGTGAACTTGTATATTTTTTTTTAAAGTCTATTGTTACTCCCAAAGTGACAAAATTATAGTGATAGAGAATCAGACCTTGGTTGCCAGAGGTTAGGGTTGAGGGTATGGTGCAACTCTTAAGGGGTAACACGAGAGAGATGCCTGGTGATGACAGGACAATTCTGTATCCTGAGTGGGGCCATGTCTACTAGAATCTACATACATGATAAAAATTCCATAGAGCTATACATCAGGAAGGAAAAAGTACATGTAGAAGCTGGTAAAATCTGAATTACAATCTCTATTTGAATTCATAGAATTGTACCAATGTTGATTTCTTGGTGTTAACTTACTATAGTCCTGTGAGATAATATCATTGAGAAAGCAAGGTGAAAGAAACATGAGAACTTCTTGTGAGTCAAACTATTTCAAAATATGTATTTTTTTAATCCCGTGATTTTTCCATGATAGAAATATAAAGCTCTGTTGTTACCTCAAATTTCTTATAAGCAAACCGAGCCCAGGTGCAGATGTGAGCTGTTTGGGATCCCTTAGAGAGAGCCTACATCCGTGACCACATCGAATGAGTTCATCTGATTCTTTTTGTATCTCAGGAGGCTGGCCTATGATATCAGTAGAACTGACTGTGATCATGAAATTTTCTCCACCGCCAAGGGTTGGGGATGGGACACTAGAGAAGAAGTGGCTGCTCTCGTTTAGTAGAGGAAGAGAATACTTTTTTGTGTATCTTTGCTAGGAGACCCAGGATTGACAACTCTACTGCTATTTTAGAGACCTTACATGACTTGGTTCCTAGTCGATAAATTATGCACACTCTAGTTTGCTCTATGTTTTACACAAAGCAGTGAGCAAGACCATTAAGCAAGATTTGCCAAAGGCCCTGTTGAGTTTCTTCTGTTCTGTTCCATTGTGTGGCCAGTGCCTGGTAAGCAGAAGGGATTTTATAAATATTCAAGAGTGATACGGAGTGGAAGCTCCCTGAGGTCTGGGACTTTGCCTCATATACTTCAGAATCACCAGCACTTATAAATGAATCTGGTACATACAACAAACTCATAAACATGTTTTACAGGAAGAAATGTATTCTGTTCCTCAGATACTATTAACAGGACACTTTTTATTCTGCCTTTGGAATGGGCCTATGAGAAACTGGTATTTATTTCAGGATAACCAAAAAGAAGTCACAGAAATCAGCCAACAATCAATGATTAAGTCATGGCTGTGATTTTCCCTAAAATTTGGGGATAACTATTAGATATGATAATTAAAATGTAGGGAAAAAAAAAAACTTGAAACTGTGCATACTGTATGATGGTTCCTGAATCCCAAAGGAAAATGCAAGTCTAATCTTCACAGGGGTTCCCCTGATTCCTCTCATTCTTTAACTTCCGTGTCTCAAGATTTATCCTTCTTTGATATCCTTTTCCATTCTCTCCTTTCCCAGAATCCTCAAATTACAACCTCTGAAAGCAATATCTCTGTGGCTTTATTTTTCAGGGAAAGATGCCTCCTTTTTTCTAACAAATCAACACCATATTGAGGGACCTCGTCTCTCTCGTCGAAAACAGTCCTCCAGGTGTTGTGCTAAGCAAGAGAGCTGCCCCCCTCTGGGATGTGTACTGCCTCTTTTGTGTAATTCAGAGCAGATCAGACAGAAGGTATTTCACGTGTGGAACAACATGGAAACGATGAAGTGGCAAAAAAACAAGCCTGGTGTGCTTCAGGGATAAGAAAGCAGAGTTGATTGAGGGGAGATTACTTTGTGGAGAAAAATGGCAATGAAGTTTCTCGGGTAGAGTTGGGTTAGAATACACAGCAAAAGAGAACAGGATCCGTGTGGTAATGGAGACCAATAGAGAGTGGATAAAAGAAGAGCACACTTGACATCCCATGAGGCTCTGCCTGGTCTGACCCCTCCCTCTTTCCAGCTTCACCTCCCACAATGCCCTCTGCTCTCTGCTCAAGCAACACCAGGCTTTTTTCAGTTCCTCTTATTTGTCAGGTTATTCCCTCTACATTTTTTTATCTAGTTATTTCTTTTTTATTGTGATATAATTCGTATTCCATAAAAGTCACCCTATCAAAATTTAAATTGAATGTTTAGTGCACTTATTAATTTGCACAATTATCCCTATTATCTAATTTCAGAACGTTTTATCACCTCAAAAAGAAACCTGTACCAATTAGTAGTCATGTATTTAAATTCTTTTTATGGCAGAATACTATTCTGTTGTGTGGATCTACCATACGTTGTTCATTCCTCAGTTGATTTTTTAGTTATTAGGAGTAATGCTCCTGTGAACACACGTGTACAAGTTTTTGTGTGAACATGTTTTAAACTCCCTGGGGAACGTCTAGTTAACTCTTACTCATTCTTTGGATCTGGGCTCAAGCCTTCCTTTCCTCATAGAAATCTCCGATACAAGGTACTGCCTCGCTCTTTCCAATTAATAATATGCCCTGTGGTGCTATATGACTTTCCTTCAGGTACCTATCACAGGTGTGATTTACATTATTTGGTGGATATATAATCAATACCAGTAAATGTTTGCTCAATTAATTCAAAAGGTCCAAGTCTGGAAACATGGATTTGCCCCATTTTACAGCCTCTTATTCACATAAAATCTTAAGTCTAATGGCTTCTCCAAAAGATAGTAACAGTTCACCACAAAATAAATACCAGTGTAGAGAGATCACTTGCCTGAGCCCATCTGTAAGCTTGAGCTGCTCAAAGAGCTTTACCCATTTTTTGCAGGTGTTAAAATGTTTTATGTAACTAAGAAGAAAAAAGCTTATAAGTGGGGAAAAATAATAACCTACATAATGCTTCCCACACTACTGAACTTATTTGAAAAAAATGGATAATTAAATGCTCTTACAGTGTGTTCTTGACAAAGGCATTTGTAGCAACAACACATTGTAACTTTCAGCATTTGCAATTCTCTTGTAATTGAAACAAAACCACCAGGAAAAATTAACCCTTGAAAAAAATAACAATTTTTTTTCTGTAAATTTTATGTCTTGAGTGAGTTCTACATTATACAACTGAGCAGTCAAAACTCCTCCCTAAATACTCTGAATGTAAAATTAGCAGCAGATAAAACCTTTTGCCTTCTAAGTTGAATCCTATCATAGCCTGACTTACTGATCATATAAAAGAACTAATTAATTTTTTTAATATTAAAAAGTATCCTGTGCCAGACACAGTGGCTCATGCCTGTAATCTAGAATTTTGGTAGGCTGACGTGGGAGGATTGCTTGAGTCCAGGAGTTTAAGCAGCCTGGGCAACATAGTGAAACCCCATCTCTAAAAAATAAAATAAAATTAGCCAGACATGGTGAGACATGCCTGTAGTCCCAGCTACTTGGGAGGCCGAGGTGGGAGGATCACTTGAGCCCAGGAGGTTGAGGCTACAGTGAGCTGAGATTGTGCCACTGTACTCCAGCCTGGGCAACAGAGTAAGACCCTGTCCAAAAAAAAAAAAAAAAAAAGAAGTAACCCATACATCAAGTATGCTTTAGTAACTTTAGGAAACTTTTCTTTTCCTATAAATTATTTCAGTGTGTGTATGGATATGTACATTATGTGTGTGTGTGCATGTGTATTGAAGTGTGTTTGTTTTGTTTTTTGTTATTACCTCTCCTTCATACCTCTTTGTACCTGTCCTGTTGAGGCAGCCACACTTGTCTGAAACCACAAATTCTCATACTTTTCAATGCTTACTACACATGACAGCTAACATTTTCTTTAGAAACACATTCCTTGGGAATATTTCAATTTTGCTAAAACTTTTTGCATTGTTTTGAATATTTTATTCTCAAATGATTGCAAATCCACAGGAAGTTTCAAAAATACCAATACAGTTTTTCCAATTGTGTCTATTATGTTAAAAGACACATAATATGAAATTTACCATCTGAACCATTTTTAAGTGTACAGCTTAGTAGTATTAAATACATTCTTAATGTTAGGGAACCATCACCACCATCCATCTTCAGGACTCTTTTCATCTTTTAAAGCTGAAACTCTATACCTATTAAAAAATAATTCCACATTTATTCCTCCCTACAGCCCCTTTTTGTCTCAATGTTTTTTGCTTTTTGCTTTTTGAGACAGAGTCTTGCTCTGTTGCCCAGGCTGGAGTGCAGTGGCAGGGTCAGAGCTTACTGCAGCTTCGACCTCCCAGACTCAAGTGACCTTCCCACTTTAGCCTCCTGAGTAGCTGGGACTACAGGCACAGGCCAGCACACCCAGCTAATTTTTGTATTTTTGTAAAGACAGGGTTTCACCAAGTTGCCTGTCCTGAGCTCAGGTGATCCACCCACCTCGGCCTCCCAGCATGCTAGGATTACAGGCGTGAGCCACAGTGCGTGGCGTGTGTCTGATTTTGACTGCTCCAAGGACCTCATGTAAATGGAACAATACAGTACTTGGCTTTTGGTAACTGGCTAATTTCATTTAGCATGATATCTTCAAGGTTCATTCATGTTGTAGCATATGTCAGAATTTCCTTCCCTTTTAAGGCTAAATAGTATTTTATTGTAGGTATAGACCATATTTTGCTTATCCATTCATCTGTTGATGGACACTTGGGTTTCTTCCATGTTTTAGCTATTGTGAGTAATACTGCTATGATCACGGCTATGCAAATATCTCTTCAAGAGCCCATTTTTCATTCTGTTGGAAGAAGTGGAATTGCTGACCATATGGTAATTATATTTTTATTTTTTTGAGGAACCATCACACTGTTTTCCACACTGGCTGTACCAGTTTATATTCCCACCGAGATTGCACAAGAATTCCAATTTCTCTACATCCTCACTAACACTTGTTACTTTATTTATTTATATATAGTAGCCATCCTAATGAGTATGAGATAACATTTCATTGTAGTTTAAATTTTTGTTTTCCTAATGATTAGTGATGTTGAACATCTTGTTTTGTTCTTATTGGCCATTAGTATATGTTTTTTGGAGAAATGTCTATTAAGTCCTTTGCGTATTTTGACTTGGGTTTTTTGTTGCTGTTGAGTTTTAAGAGTTTTCTGTATATTCTGGATATTAATCCCTTATCAGATGTGAATAGCAATATACTTTTTGGGGTTTTTTTTCAGTTTCTTTTGAATAATAGTTTATTTTTAATCAAAGTTTTGATTTTAAAATTTAACATTTTTGAGGTAATTTAAGACAACATTTTTGCTAAAGATGTATTCATAATTTTTCATGCATTTGGAAAATATTTATGAAGCATCTACTCTGTGCCAGGTACTTTTTAAGATTATTTTAGATATAAATAGTGATCAGTTAAACATCTGCTGCAAGCCCTACCAAATTGCTGTTGCTTCGGGGTAGAGTTAACTGGTTGTTAATACCAATCCTGTGAGCTGTTTACGTAGTATCATTTTCTTTTTAATGATGAAAAAATAAGGCTCTGGGTAGCTGAGAGGCATGCCCACATTTTCTACATAATCTGGGACAGATCCAGGAAGAGGACTTGGATGTTCTGACTTCCAAGTCAAAATTCCTACCACAATTGAGACCCTTATCTCTGCAAACATTCTTTTTTATCCAAATAAAGAATGGAAGAAGATTTAAAGGTGAATATTTTCCTGATTATGAGAAACAAACAAAAAACCTCCCTCTGTTTTCAAGACTTTTTTAGGCTCATTAGTTAAATAAAACAAATGGGAGACCAATTAAAAGCTATGTTGATCTATTTCTTAAAGAAGGGTCTATTTCAGACAATGTTTTTTACCTAGTCCTGGATAGATAGTTATATATGCTGAGTATATGGACATAACACACAGATTTAATCCAGTTTGAATTTTGTGTACATTTAATTATTTTTCCAGGACTTTTACTCTTTTAGACTGGCCTACCACCAGTGATTTGGGAATCAGTAATGCTTTGTACCTTTCAGAAAAATTGAGCGCCTCACTTGGTTTGCCCTTTTATTTGACATTAAGAAATCGGTGGACATAAGAATAAGGCTAAGGCAAATGGATTCATCCGATGATAGGGCAAAGTAGTGGACTGCAGAATAAGAAAGTCCCAGCAGAAAGGCTGAGTTGCAGCCTGCTCACCAGAGCGAGACATTTTCTGTTCAACTTTGGAGATTTAATAATAGCTTTAGGATGGTCACTACTGGTTGCGTGGCTGAAATGCTCTGGCCTGGGAGCTGTGGGGAATTTACAAAGTCATGAGCTTGATGGGTGAGAATCTTAATAGAAATTGAAATTTGACTCTGTCAGAGGTTGAATTGTGTCCCCTCAAAAAAGATATGCTGGTGTCCTAACCTCCAATACCTCGGGATGTGACTTTAGCGGGAGATAGGGTCTTTACAGAAGAAATCAAGTTAAGATGATGCCAGGGTATTCCCTAACTCAGTGGGACTGACGTCCTTATAGAAAGGGGAAATTTGAACACAAAGACAGCCTACATATACAGGGGGAATGCCATGTGAGTGTGAAGACAGTTTGGAACAGATATTTCCTTCACAGTCCTCAAAAGGAACTCACCCTGCTGACCCTCAGGTTCAGCTTTCTAGCCTCCAGAATTATAAGACAATAAATTTCTGCTGCTTAAGCTACTCAGATTGTGGCACATTATTACGGCAGTCCTGGAAAACTAATACAGGCTCATGCTCCTTGCTGCCTTTTATCAGATAATCCACCAGTAAGCATAAATTTAATGAGACCGTGTTGTGTGAATACCTCTGGGATAGCGCTAAAGAATTGAAAAGCACAATTCTTACTGCTCAAGAACTTTACAATCTAGTTAAGTACAAAAGACATAATCCTAGGAAACTCAAAGTAACAACACAAGATAATATTTGATTAAGCAAATGAAGTAGAACTGTATATCAGTGTCTCTCAACCCTGAATAAAACAAAATTCCCTTTTTTGGTACATTTTTTACAGCTTCATTAAGAAAATCACATACCATAAAATTCACCCATTTAAAATGTACAGGATACAAGTTCTTGGCTTGCAAAAGGAAAAACTAAGGTGAACAGGTTAGTAGTTTACAGTATACTCTGTACAGCTTTTAGCATAGTGTAGACTGCACTATGACAGATGGTATAATATAGATTTGTTATAGCACAAATGACAGATTTGTGTAACCGTAACCATTGTCTAATTCCAAAACACTTCCATCACCTCAAAAAGAAACCCCATACCATTAACAGTCACTCTCCATTCTTAACCTTGCACCAGCCCCGGGCAACCACTAATCTACTTTCTGTCACTATAGATTTGCCTATTGCGAGCATTTCACATAGATGAAATCCTACAACATACGACCTTTCGTGACTGACTTTTCACTTAGCATAATGTTTCAAAGTTCATCCATGTTGTAGCGCACATCAGTACTTCATTCCCTTTTATTGCTATAGGGGAGGGAAAATTTTACCTCTACCCTTTTAGGATTTTTGGCTGGACATGAGAATTAAATTGACATCAGACAGATAAACAAGAGAAAAGCACTTACATACGTTTTATGTGACACAAGAGACCTTATAAGGAAATGAAGACCCAAAGAACTGGCAAAACCTAGATGCTTTTACGCTAGGTGTAACAAAGACAGGCAATGGTAGAAAAGTGGCTAAGCCATACAGGGAGGCTAAAGGAAGATAAGAATTATTTTTAACAAGGCCCACGTGCACAGAACTCTTTCTGCTGTAACTCCCTGTCAAAGAATGCTTTGCTTTCTGCTGGTACAGTGAGGACATCTTTCACACAGGAGTTTCTATGGCCTGTTTTCAGGAAGAAAGGAGTAGATCAGAATGCCTTTCTTGCATCTGCTGTTTCTCAAGTGCCTTTAGCTCAAAATAATCTTTATGTCAAAAAGGCATATTATGGCATATTATGGGGTGCCACTCTTCATTGCCAAATAATATTTCATCACATGACTATACCACATTTTATGTATCCATTCGTCATTTTATGGACATTTAGGTTGTTTCCACATATAGGCTATTGTGAATAATGCTGCTGTGAACATTTGTGTACACATATTTGTGTGGTGCCTTCAGTTCTCTTGGATAGATACCTAGGAGTGAAACTGCTAGATTATAAGGGTACTGTAACTCTATATTAAGCATTTTAGAAGAAAAAAGTATTACTTCCTCCTACTGTTGTTTGTTATGTTTATTATAATCTTTACTTAAATACATTCAAACATCAGATCCATCCTGTCTAAAATAGACCTTCTCCCCACAATCTCTCAAACACACAATCCTATTTAATCTTCTTCACAGCATTTATCACCTTCTGAAATTTGCTTGCTTACTTCTTTATGTATTCCTATCACTAGATATTTATTTATTATTACCCACTGCACATTCCTTACTAGAATATGAGCTAGGTCAAAAATCTTGTCTGTCTTGTTCATTTTTCTATTCTCAGTACATATCATTGTGCCTGGCACGAAGTAAGTGCTCAATAAATAGTTAACACAGAATAAGGAATTAAAATAAAAACTTCATCTGAATACCTTAAGTATCCTAGGGTTTCTTGAATTCCAGTTTGAGAAACTCTTGCATGGATAGGATGTCCTATGTAAGAGGTTCCCTCAAAATGAAGGCTAGAAGCTCATGGGAGAAATGGAACTTGAACTGAACCATAGATTTCAAACAAAGAACAGCATGACCAAAAGGTAAAGATGTCAGGGTCCACTGAGAGTATTCAGAGTCTCACTATTGCAGCTTTTATAAAATGGGTTATTGATTAATCCATATTCATAATATGGATTATTGATTAGATCTCTTTGTGCGGCATATCACAGAATCTAAAGTCGAATTTACTTAGCAAAAAAAAGCATGTATTGACTCACATAACTATGATGTACAGGATTAAATAAATCTCAAAGTCAACTGGATACAGAAACCTATATGGCATCCTCAGGGTTTTGACTCTTTTTCTGTCTCTCAACTCTCCTCATCTCTATGTGTTTACTTTGTTCTCTAGCAGGTTAGTTTCATCTGTAGGGTGATGTGGTGTCTGATCAACTCAAGCCTATGTCATCATGACTGATGATTCAAAAGGAAGACAAAGTCTCTTTCTTCAAGCACCCATACAGCAAGTCTCAGAGAAACTTGCAACTGATGCTCTCTAAGTCCCGTGCCTATCCCAACCACCAAGTACGATAGAGTTCTGATTGGCTGGGGCTGGATCACACTGGAGAGGGAGCATATCTTTCATGCCACATGGCCAAAAGGCTTTCTCTACACCCAAACGAGATGAAAGAGATTCCCTATTGAAAAGAGGCATTCTGGTCTCAGAAGAAGGGTGGATGGTGCTGAAAAGACTGACAATAACAACAACCGTAATAACAGAATAATTCTACAGTAAAATAGGCATACAAAACTTTTCTGGGACACAGAAACTAGACTTTTTAGACCAAGAGAGGACGACATTTATATGCATGACTGTGCTAGAAAACCCTTCCTTACAATTTCTCTTTTAAAACAGACATATTTCTAAAATCCAGCAGCAAGGTTTCTTTTTGAAGATGAAAAACCCTGCATATGGGCTGCAAACTTATGATTAACTGAGCGTAGGATTTGGTAAAGAGTTCTATATTCATTTTGTCTACACATTTTTTAAAAATGTGAGTCTCCCTAAAAGGATTCATTTTCATCGCTCTGAGCCCTTAACACAGAAACATTCGTTTCTCATGGGAAGAGTTCACAATTGCTTCTCCATGTCACATCCATCTGAGCGTCACTCTCTGGGG
The DNA here is from genome assembly GCF_000001405.40 of Homo sapiens. Classification (NCBI taxonomy): domain Eukaryota; kingdom Metazoa; phylum Chordata; class Mammalia; order Primates; family Hominidae; genus Homo; species Homo sapiens. The sequence continues at coordinate 3,435,879 of NC_000003.12, read as the reverse complement.
CAAACTGGCATCTGAGAATCTAGAGAAACTTTCCACCGTGTCTGTCTATTTTAAGTTGTTTGTTTTTCTTTGAGAACCCAAACAAGAAATACCATTAGTGGGAGCACCAATTATGAAGCCCCAGTGAAGAAAAAGGGATTCAATAAAATAATAGTCATTCTGAACATTTACTTCCATTAGACCACTGTCTCTCCAAACTGTGTTCTTTAATTGAGGTCAAATAAGAGATCTGTTGTTTTAGTTAGCCCAATGAGCAGGATTAATAAAAAATAAAAAGTAGATAAACAAGACCTGAATACTTTTTTGAATGGCTGATCATAGAATTCAGTGTCTTTACTGGTAAGTAAGAGGACAATGCTTTGACTATGGATCGGTCTCCTTCTTTATAAAAAAAAATGCACTCATTAAATCATTCACAAAATATATAAAGAGCACTGCCACACTTCTCATACCAAGGAATGGGCACAGAATATATTTTTTAATTACTCAGACTGTGTCTCAGGGAGTACACCAATAGGAAAGAAAACTGACAAGAGAAAAATTAAGTCAAAAGTAGAACTTCTAAAAGTGTTTTAATAAAGGTATAGGCAGGCTTATACAGGAGACAGGAACATACAAAATCAAAGCAATAAACCTCAAAGAGGAAGACAGGATAAATCTTGGCTAAGTGGGTGGCATTTAAGCTGGAATTTAAAGGATGCATGCATTCATAGCAGGCAAATGAGTGAAGGTGTTCTCTTCTTCACTGTTCTGTTTATTCATTCGTTCTTGGTTGTTCTTAACTCATTCGGTACAGTGTGCCCTTACAATGGAGAGTGGTGTTCATTACAGAACATTTCCAATCCAACAGTACATGTGATCTGTGCTACATGTTATTATCATTAATGATAGTTTATAGAATGATACATGTTATTATCATTCTAGAAACTAATTATTTTACTTTTTTCAAAACTAGGTATAGCAACCCAGGACTTAACAAAATGTAAAATTCTCCACCTCTGACACTTATGGACTTGTTCTATCTCCTCTACTTGGCTCTGTCTACACAGGCTTTTTCTCTCCTGCTTGTTTGAAGTGACTTAAGAAGTCAATACACAGTACATCTTCTGGTGATGAAAATATTGTGTTGTGTTCCTTACGATTCAGTTGCTTGCATGTGCACGATGGAGTCCGCTGCATTTCTAAGGTCACAGTAACTGGCAGGTGGAAGAAGTTCCGTGCTATCAACTTTGAGGAAGGCTCTGGCTGCCTTCCTGCTCGACAGAGCAGTGAGAGGGATGAAATCTGCGTAAACTGACAGTGGGATGCATAACAAACAGCCCGAGCCATCAAACTGTATTATTTTTAACCAACATGCATTATTCCCCCTGAAAAGTAAAATCTCCTCTTCGTATTTTTCTTTCCCCAGAGAGTGCATTTTCTTCTTTGGAAATGGCTCCTTTACCTCTCCTAGGCACTCAGTGCCGGCGGTTACTGTCCTAAATGATGGATGGGCTCACTCCCCAGCGGCTCTTCTCTGCCTCTTGTCAGTGGCACTAGACAAGCTGGCAAAGCTCTCCTGGTCTGTAGGGCTCTCTGAGACCTGTCACTGCCTCCTCTCAGCTGGGCTGGAGTAAATCCTCTTAAATCTATTGACCTGGCCTCAGCCTTCCTCTCTCTCAAGTAGTTATTTCTCCTTTGCCTCTCTTATTTCCCTGCAGATTCGATTTCTCATGAAAGTATTGGGTGCTGACTTTGGGCCAGTTGCTGTCTGCATGTGACGGACAGCTTACCAGAATGGTAGGTTTCCGTAGATGGCTCAATTAAAGTGAGCATTCTATTCCTCAGTGGAGCTGTGATCCATAAAGGGATTGTGTTCTAAATCCTTACATTAAAAAAAAGAAGCATTTTGAGTCAAAATTAACTTTGAAAATCTTACATTGGAGATCAACATACCATTCTCAGTAGGTTCAACATAACCAGATTTTCCTCCAGGGTTGGAACAGATTGCTATTTCTTCATTTGGACATGAGATGAATTAATTTGTTTTTTATTTTAGTAGCCATTGTGTAAAATCACACTTAGCAGGGCAAGAACCTCATGCAAGAGAAGCAATGGGGAATGAAACTCAGCTGCAATATCAGCCTATGGCTGCTTCAGCACTCATGGTCACCTAGGACATGCGCTTGTTTACCAGAATGGCCACTAAAGTGACCCACACTAATCAACCTCTCTCCCCATCCCTCCTTTCTTCTCCCTCCTTCTCTAGCCTCCTCTCCCTTCCACCCTATCCCTCCATATGTTTTCTTCTGTTTCTTCTCCCTCTCTTCTTCTCCCTCTTCTGCATTTTGCCCACCTCTTTCTTCACTCTTTGCTGCTAAAACACTTGATTGATAAACTTGAAGTAGGTTGTTAAACAATCCCAGGGTACAATTTGTCTACCATGCCCTGTTGCCCTGGGTTTAATTAAGTTTGACAAATGTTGGCTGTGCATCTTGAGTGCAGGGGGCCTTTCCTTTCAGCATAGCCTCATATCCTGCTCCTTCAAAACTCAGGCAGAAAGACACCTTTTCTCCATTTCAATATCTCCAACTGCTTCAGATTTGCCCCACCCTTCCATCCCTTAGGATTTGGCTAGCCCATGTATGATAGGTGCTTCCAGAACTTCAGTTCCAAATATGATGTTCTGCAGGCTACAATAACAATGTCCTCTTTAATTTTTTTCCAACTCGATCTTTCCAGTCCTAATTCCTTCATCACTGGAAAAGTGCCTTGCTCCTTCCTTCTAGTCAGAACTTCATCTCACACATCTTTCTTCTGCCCAAAATGCTCTTTTCCTTCTGCCTATCTAAATGATATTCATTTCTTAAGGATCACCTTCAGTACTAGTCACTTCTATCAAGCTTTCTCTGACCTAACTATTGATTCCTCTACTCACCTTCCCCAATACTTGAAGTCTATATTCAGCACTTAGTGATAATTCAATGATGTTGTTTATTCAATAAGGCCCTCATATGTCCATGGTCCAGATGTGTTTAACAAATATGTTTCTTCTGCCTGCATCATGTTTTTAAATTTTTAAAATTAGTACTCATTGTTATAAAACGAAAAATTTTTATATCTAAATTCTGATTTCCTGCTTCTTTTCTCTGCTAAAAAAGGAAGATTTGCAACACTGGACCTGCATTTCCCCCTAGCAGAAATCAGCTGCAACAGAATGATGGCTGCCCTTCTTCCCACTCACTCAGCTGAGGCACAGGCTGTCCTGTACCAAGAGTCACATCCAACTCCCTTTATTCATTTATAGTATCGGCCCCCCACTATGTAAAGCCCTTATAATACAATGTCTGGCAGTAACTGCAGCTCTGTTCATAGTCCTTACTATGATGTATCTCACATTTGTTACTGATTCATTTCTTATCTTCCAACTAGACTGTGACTTCCTTGAGAATAGGGGCCATATGTGAGGAGACAATCAGAGACTGTTTTTCTGGGGAAAACTCATGGGGATTGGTAAGAGATTTTCTAATAGGCAAATAATGTTACTTGAGCCTTTTATTTGTGAAACAAGAATAAGGGAGGTGAACATGCCCCTGAGTAGAGGGATTTAGGAACCCTAGTTGCCAAAACAAGGAAAACAGCAGATCAGTGTGGCATTCTTTCCCAAAACAAAAAGCCTAGAAATTTAAATGAATGAATGTGTCTTAAGTCAGACCCACTTCTATTCTATTTCAGTCATTTAATCAAGGAAGAGTAAGGTAGCACCTCTGATATGGCATTTATTGTGCAGAATCCTAGAGATTCAAGGATGCTTAAGACAAGAAGTCCTTAGGATTGTACTAAAAGTTTATCAGGGAAAGAAAAAATACCCCAGAAATTATTTTTCAGGTTTATTAAAATATCCCTTTTGTTTATGTTGTTTATTCTTGTCTCCCTGGTTACTACCAGAAAAACGTACTTCAAAATTAGAAGAAGCTAAACAAGACGATATAGAAGCAAGTGAAGAAGCTCACAATTTCAGGGCTAAAATTCACACCAGGAATCACTAAGTACACAGTCCTTATTTGCAGATAAGGAAACTGAGGCTGTGTGTGGCAATGTGCCACTCACATCTCCCACTAAGGGGATCATAATTGACACATCCCCAGCTGGTGTCCCCTGGACCCGCCCCCAAGTTCACACCAAGTTCATTCCTCCCCCAGGCTGCTCCTAGCAATGACAGCTGCAGGAGGTGATGCTAGTGGGGGTCTATTCCTCCACTATCTGGCCTAACCGTCAGCCTGGCCTAACCTTTCTTATAACCCAGGTGCAATTCTCTTTCCTTCCCGCAATGCTTTCATGGATGTCAGACCTGCATTGCAGTCTGATGTCACTCAACAGCCACTCCTGCTTCCTCCCCTTTAACCTTCAGAGGCATTTCCCCATTCAATTTCTTGCACATCTAACCCAGTCTTAGTGTCTACTTCTTGGAAAAACCAAATTAACACATTATGTAAGTATAAGTGATAGTTGAGGTCATAATTGAAAATGAAGGAGGAATAAGCTAGTTGAAGGATTGGGGATGGGAGGTGCATTAATGATAGAGAGATCAGCATGTGCAAAGGCTCCTGGGTGAGTAGGAGCATCACTCCTTTAGGAAAACTAAAGGCCACAGTGGCAGGAACTCAGAGAGTAGGCTAGGTAGTATTAAGTGACATTATGCTCAAGTAATGTCACTTGAGCATGTTCACACAGCTGGTGAGTACCACAGCTGGTGCCTGGACCCAATATACTTGACACCCAATCTAGTGTTCTTTCCATTAAACCTCTGTCCTGCCATGATCCTAGACAGAGAAACTCCTGGATGGAGAAAATGATGTCGCAGGAGGGAAAAAGGAATGCCTAGACTAGGAGCTGCTATTCTTAGGAGAAAAGTGGATCCTGGAAAAGAGCCTAGACCAGAAACATCTCCTAGGTTTTGAACTAGCACGTGGTCCATGTGTATTGCTGACCGTATCTTATTACTTTTCTGGGAAAAAGCCAAGTGTGGTGGGAATAGTACTAACTTTAGAGACACAAAGACCTGGATTCAAATTCCAACTGCCATTTATGAATGATAGTTGAGGTCATAATTGAAAATTCAGGAGGAATAAACTAGTTGAAGGATTGGGGATGGGAGGTGCATTAATGGTAGAGAGATCAGCATGTGCAAAGGCTCATGGGTGAGTAGGAGCATCAATCCTTTAGGAAAACTAAAGGCCACAGTGGCAGGAGCTCAGAGAGTAGGGTGAAAGTGGCATAAGATAAGACCAAAAGAGTAGGCCAACGTGTGGGGCCTCATGGGGTACGATATGAACTATGTTTCCAACAACAATTGCAGAACATTGTAGGGGTTTAAACAAGTGTGTAGGGTTCAGGGAAGGCAAAAGGATGAGATTTTACACTTGAACCTATCACTGTAGGTCTAGTGAAAACAGCTGGAGAGGGCCAGCGTGGATGCGGGGACACTTAGGAGACACAGGCAAAGGAAGATGGTGGCTTGATCTTGGGTGATGAAGACCAAAGGAAGTGGGTTGATTGAAAAGAAGGTTGGGAATTTAAATCGACAAGATTTGTTGATTGATGGGATCTGGGAGGGGCAAGGTAGACTCCTAGGTTCAGGACTGGTGTGACTCCATTTCCTGTTTCATTTGGTCTTGTGCTGCAACTGTAATAAGTACCCATTGACTACTTGCTGTTTGATGGAGAACAGAAGCTAGAGGTGTTCGTCCCACCAATCCTGGAAAGAGGAGCGACTCCAATTTGCCTCACCTCACAGAGCTGGCACAGAAGGAAGAAGCAGGTGTGTGCCCCAGACAGAAGTGATTTTTTTGGCAAGGGAAGACACTAAACTGGGGCTTCAGATCCATCTCGCTGACCTTATACAATATGTTCTCCTGAGCAGAAGGGAAGAAATAAGGTCGTGGAATAAAGGCCAGACATGATGTAATGACAAACGTCTTCAGTTATCAGTTCTACTCTGGCTAAATGGCAATAATCAGCAAGTAAATTTGAAAAGCAAAGAACAATTTCTCTTTTATCACAGTCCTGTGTCTGAAACCTGGCTTAACCACAAGCCAAATTTTTTATTAAGCTATGATGTCTGTTGAATGCCTACTCTGTGTTCCTGGTACTGCGAATTTATGACATTGAGCGTTTCTTGGGAGATAGACAGTGATCAAATATTCATACAAATAATATATAATTGCAAAGTGAGATGAGTGCTGGGAAGAAAAGATGTATGCTACTATAAAAACATCTAAGGGAATTTTTGGTTCAGACTGTGGGGCCAGGAATCTGAGCTTTAAAGAACAAGTTGGCACTGATCAGGGGAAAGGGACAGAGGATGCCTTATGGACAAGCATTTGAGGAGGAGGGAACAGCCTAAGCCGACTGCGTGGCATGTATTGTTAGGACTTGCTTTTCCAGTGCTCCTCCCCTTGCTCCAGGGAATCTTCCCATTAGAATGGCAGTGCAGTGAGGGTAGGGTAAGATAGTAGGAAGCTGTAAGTGAACTACTGTGCAGGATCAAGGCTACAAACAGTAGCTTCAACAGTAGCAAAACATCTCCATGCTTAATGAGAACACCATTGTGCCTTGGGTAGTAGCTCAGCAAGGACTGAAATTATGACTTTTTTTTTTTTTTTTGAGAAAATATCTGGCTCTGTCACCCAGGCTGGAGCACAGTGGCACTATTATGGCTCACTACAACCTCTGCCTCCTAGGCTCAAGCCATCCTCCCACCTCAGCCTCCCGAGCAGTTGGGATTACAGGTGTGCACCACCATGCCTGGCTAATTGTTTTTTGCTTTTTTGTTTTTTGGTAGAGACAGTGTTTCACCATGTTACCCAGGTTGGTCTCAAACTCCCTGGGCTCAAACAATCTACCCACCTCAGCCTCCCAAAGTGCTTGGATTATAGGAGTGAGCCACAGCACCCAGCCTGACTTATTTTCTTAAGAGGGCACAACATGGGTGACATGAATGTTAATAATGAATAAAAGAAAATGTCACCACCTTCATTCTGTAGCCTAAGGTAACAAAGATATTTTCCCACCATGCTGTAAGCTTCCTGAGGGAGACTACGTCTCTTTGATACCTGATTCCCGGTCACCTAGCAAAATGTCTGACTTGTCTGTTAGGAAATATTAAGTATTTCTATTTGAATTTATATTACTGAATTTTTATTACTATTTTAGGATGTGTGAAATTAATTGAAAATATATATTCTAAGGCTTCTAGAAGTCACTTCTCAAGTCCTTTGGGGTTTATTCTCTTTTTGGGGATTATAGTAGATATCCAGGTCTTGGATCATTTATTCAACAAATGGTTATTGAGCATTTGATATATGTCAGATACTATGCAAGGCATGTGGATATAATGTAACAACTGAGACTGGAATGTGGATAAGTAATTGTAATAAAATCTGGTGTGTCTTAACACACAAAGAAAGCAGAAGATAAAGTTTCAAATTAGAGGTAGTCATTACTTTTTGTGATTTCAATATGCCTAAATTTTAATTACCAAGGTCTAGTTGAGTAAGTCCCCCAGGAGCATGGATCAAATTGCAGTTACCTGAGTCTATCAACTGTAACTGTATAAAGTACAAAAATACATTTTTAAAAATCACAGAACACAGCCGGGCACAGTGGCTTACACCTGTAATCCCAGCATTTTGGGAGGCCAAGGTGGGTGGATCCCCTGAGGTCAGGAGTTTGAGACCAACCTGGCCAACATGGTGAAACCCCATCTCTACTAAAAATACAAAAATTAGCCAGGTGTGGTGGTGGGCACCTGTAACCCCAGCTACTCAGGAGGCTGAGGCAGGAGAACCGCTTGAACCTGGGAGGTGGAGGTTGCAGTGAGCCGAGATTGCGCCACTGTACTCCAGCCTGGGCAACAGATCAAGACTCTGTCTCAAAAATAAATACATTAATTAATTAATTAATTAAAAAATAAAAATAAAAATCACAGAACAGTTGTAATTTTTCCCGTGAATGTGCAGGTTCAGTTTGCGTTCTCATTTTTATAGGCCGGCACTACTTTGCAAAGCAAGGCGTACCTGTACTTTGGTTTGTTTTTATTATAAACTTTTATATTGATGTGTCAAATATACAGGAAAATGCACACACAAATCATAAATGTACAACTTGATGAATGGTCACAAAGTAAACACTTTTGTGTGATCCTGCCGGCATGAAGCAGAACATTACGTACATCCCAGAAATCTCCCTTGTGGTCCCTCCCCAGTGGTAATTCCTATCTTGATTTCTAACAGCATAGATTAGTTTTGTCTGGTTTTGAAATTAATGTAAATAGAATCACTCAGTAGATACTGTTTTGTGTCTTTCTGCCACTCAACATATTTGTGAGAGTTGGCCACATTGTTTTCTTTGGCAGTAGTTCATTTTTATTAGTGTTCAAAATCCCATTGTGCAAATTTGCCATAATTTTAAAAATCCATTCTACTGTTGATGAACATTTATGCTGTTTCCTGCTTGGGGCTATTATAAATAATGCTGGATTAAACACTCTAATACATCTCCTTTGGTACACATGTTCACACATTTATTTGATTATGTACTTAAGAGTGAGATACGTAGGTTATAGGTTAGGCACATGTTCATCTTTTAATGAATACTGCAATTGGTTTTCCAAGGTCATTGTACCAATTTTTACTCCCATCCAAAATACACAATTGCTCCATATTCTCAACAACATTTTATATAGTTAAGAGGTGTTTTGGTCACTTGTTTTGTTTTCAAATGTCATTCTGGTGCATTTATACTGATAAGTCATTGTGGTTTTGTTTGCATTTCTCAATGACTAATAAAATTGAGAACTTTAAAAAATATACTTGCTGGCCACGTGTATGTCATCTTCTGAAAAGTGTCTGTTCATGCCCTTTGCCCAGTTTTTACTGGGGTTGTTTCATTAGAGAAATGCAAATCAAAACCACAATGAGAGACCGACCATCTCACACCAGTCAGAATGGCTGTTATTAAAAAGTCAAAAAGTAATATACTGGCAAGTTTGTGGAGAAAAGAGACTGCTTATACACTGTTGCTGGGAGTGTAAATTAGTTCAACCATTGTAGAAAGTAGTGTGGCAATTCCTCAAAGAGCTAAAAACACAACTGCCATTTGACCCAGCTATCCCATCATGGGGTATATACCCAAAAGAATATAAATCACTCTGTCATAAAGACACATGCATGCAAATGTTCATTGCAGCACTATTCACAGTAGCAAAGACATGAAATCAACCTAGATGTCCATCAATGACAGACTGGATAAAGAAAATGTGGTACATAAATACCATGGAATACTATGCAGCCATAATAAAGAATGAGATCATATTTTTGTGGGTACATGGATGATGCTGGAGGCCATTATCTTTAGCAAACTAATGCAGGAAAAGAAAACCAAATACCACATATTCCCACTTCTATGTGGGAGCTAAATGATGGAAATGCATGGACACATGGAGGGGAACAACACACATTAGGGCCTATTGGAGGGTGGTAGGTGGGAGGAGGGAGAGGGTCAGAAGAAATAACTATTGGGTACTGGGATTAGTACCCGGGTAACAAAATAATCTGTACACTTAACCCTCATTACACGAGTTTACCTGTATAACAAATGCACATGAACTTCTGAACCTAAAATACAAGTTTTTTTAAAATTGAGTACTTTTAAACTTATTTATTGGTTATTTGCATATACTTTTCTGTAAAGTAACTTTCTATATATTTTGTCTTTTTAAATTAGGTTATCTGTCTTTTTCTTACATACTTATTGGAGTTCTTTTATGGACAGAAGTTCTTTATTGATAATTTTCATTTTTCTTTTCTAACATAAATAAGGCTTATTTTATCACTCTACTGTACATGACTTGTATCTTACAGTTTTTTTAATATTTGGTTTTTTATTATCACCCAGTTCAAAATATTCTCTAATTAGTACTGTGACTTCTTGTTTTACACTTTGGCTTACAAGTAGAAGGCTTAACTACCAAACCTTTAGGGAGTTCCTCAGTATCTATATTACTGATTCCTAATTTAATTCTACTCTGGTCAGAGGAAATACACTCTACAGTTTGAGTTCTTTGAAATGCATTGATATTTGCCTTATGCCCAACAATATTGTCAATTTTGGCATATGTTTAACACTAAAATAATGCATATTCTGCTGTTTGTTCTTTGTTTTGTTTTGTTTTATTTTAGCAATAATCTGGCCGGGAGTCATGGCTGATGCCTGTTATCCCAGTACTTTGGGAGGCCGAGGCAGGCAGATCACCTGAAGTCAGGAGTTTAAGACCAGCCTGGCCAACATGGCAAAACCCCATCTCTACTAAGAATACAAAAATTAGCTGGGCTTGGTGGTGCATACCTGTAATTCTAGCTACTCAGGAGGCTGAGGCACAAGAATTGCTTGAGGCAGATGTTGTAGAGAGCCAAGATCATGCCACTGCACTCCAGCCTGGGTGACAGAGCGAGACTTCATCTTAAAAAAAAGCAATAATCTGTATAACATTTAGATCAGTTTGTTGTGTTACTTAAGTATTTTATACCTTACTTATCTGGGGATTGTTTGTCTTATTAGGTACCAATGAAAGTATGTTAAATTCTCCCACCATGGTTGTGCTTTTTCTTCTTCTTCTTTGTTCCATCAATTTTGGCTCATCATTTTGAGGATGTTTTGTTAGGCGCCTACAGATCTGTAATTCTTAGAGTTTCCTAGTGGATAGACATTCTTATCATTATAAATGCTTCTCTTTGTCCCCAGTAATGCTGCTTCTTGTAAAGTCTGCTTTGTAATTAGTATTGCTATAGCACTTATTTTTTAGTATAGCTTTTTCTAAATTACGTGTTATTTTATTGCCATATTTTATTTTCAACCTTTTTGTATCTTTGTATTTCAGGCATGCTCTTGTACCCACCATAGGGTTGAATTTTTGAAATCCAGTCAGGCCCTCTTGTCTCTAATTTAGAGCATTTATTCTATTTACCTTTAATGTCACTACTGAAGTATTTAAGTGTAGTCTCTTTGTTTTCCATTTGTCACACCAATTGTGCTACATTTTCTTTCCTTTCTGGCCTTTTATATAAAGTATTTTTTTATATTAACTTTTACTTCGTTTCTCCCTCTGGCTGTTTAGTCATAAATAGTTTTATTCTTCTTTTTGTGGTCACTCTAAATATCACAACACTCATAAAATTAATAGTTTTACCATTTATCACATTACACAAGAGTGTCTTACCCTCTCTAAACCTTTTTGTTTTTCACTGTGGCAAAATACACTTCCTCCTCACCTTTTGTACTATTGTTTTAAATATAGTCAATTCTACATATATTCTAGACCCCATAAGACATTGTACTTAGGGTTTTATTATACAGGCAACATTTCTTAGATTGATCCGCATATATGTCCTTCCTGTTGCTCTTCATTTCCTTCTAAGAAAGGAAGAGCTTTGTGCTTCCTTCTGAGAAAGTTTCCTTCTCCTGGAAGAATTCCCCTTAGCAATTCCTCTAGTGCAGGCCTGGTAGTGACAAATGCCTGGAAGTGTTATTTGCCTAAGAGTGTTTTTTTTCACTTTCATTTTTTGGGTATGGTTTTCTATGTTGATAGAATTTTTCTTTAAGCATTTTAAAAATGTCATTCCACTGCCTTTCAGCTTCTATTGTTTCTGTTGAGAAGTCAAATACTATTGTTACTGTTCCTTCTTTGAAGATTATACTTAGCTTTTTTCCTAGCTTCCTTCAAGATTTTTTTCTCTTTGGTTTTAAGCAGCTTTACTATGATATGCTTATGTATTTATCTTGTTTTGGGTTCCTGGCCATTCTTGAATCTATGCAGTTTCTAGCATTTCTTAATGTATTTTGTCTATTTGGGGAAATTCTCAGTCATTACCTTTTCACATATTATTTCTGCCTCATTCTCTCTCCTTTCCTATTATAATCCTAAAAACACATGTTAGATGTTTTCATTGTCTTCTGTATACCTCTTATGTTCTTTCCTGTATTCTCTATCTTTATTCTCTGTGTTTCAGTCTAGGCATTTTTATCTTACCTATCTTCTAGTTCACTAACCATTATCTTCTTATATCTAATCTCTTGTTAAACTTATGCTTTGAGATCTTAATTTCTGTATTTTTTTTTCTTTTGAGACACAGCTCACTCTGTCACCCAGGCTGGAGTACAGTGGTGCAATCTCAGCTCACTGCAACCTCCGCCTCCGGGATTCAAGTGATTCTCCCACCTCAGCCTCCCAAGTAGCTGGGATTACAGGCACCTACCACCACCCTGCTAATTTTTGTATTTTTAGAAGAGATGGGGTTTCACCATGTTGGCCAGGCTGGTCTCAAACTCCTGACCTCAGATGATCCACCCACCTCGGCCTCCCAGAGTGCTAGGATTACAGGCATGAGCCAGCCCACCCGGCCAGTTTCTGTAATTTTTAACTGTAAATTTTTACTTGATTCCTGTTCAGTTTTTAATCTCAACATTTCTGATTTTGTTCTTTATGTTTGTAAACAGGTATTTTCCCCTGGTATGACTACTTATTTTGAATAAATATTGAATAGTGGTAAAGGCAATTTGAGGCATTTTTGTGATTTTATATTTTTCCAGAGGAGAAGTAAGAAAGAGTCATAGAGCAAATATCAAAGCTAAGGAACTTTCAGGAAAATATCTCAGTAAAAATGAAGATAAGAGTGTGATTCTAAAATGATTTTTTAAGAAGACAGAAAAATGTAAGGTGGGACCTCAAACACTCTTAAACAAAGCCTTATAAGGGTCTTAAGAAAAAAACCTCATAGATGCTTTCTGCTAAATAATCACAATCAGGCTCCTATGAATATTTATTTTATTATTTCATGCTGGTCCCACAGGGGTCTGGGGTAGAGAAAGATAATTATTTCAAAGATATTTGTGAGGTTGGCTTTTAATAGATGGGTTTGTAAATTTATATGCAGGAAAGCCATTATGTTTTTAAAGAAATTATATCAACTTGTTTTGAAAAGGACAAAGGTAGATTAATAGAGGCAGAAAGTAGAGTAAGAATGATACTCGGTTGCAAACACAGGCAATTTCTCCTGGAAAGGGAAAGATGACTGAGAAGGTGAACCAAGAATCCAGAAGGAAAGTTAAGATTCCTGGAAAATAACGGAAACTTAGTTAAGAAGCTGAAGCATGTATCTGGTTGGATTCAAATGTGCTATGGGCCAGAAATTGCTTCTACCTCCTGTTTTCCTCTTTTTTAAATAGAAATACGTTTAGAGGTTATCCTATGCCCATCCACACTCATATGTGGGGCAGAGAGCAAATAATTTATTTCTTTAGCTCATAGGTCTTCAAATTAAGAGGACTCACACTCAAGGAATAATACATAAGGACTCTCATCCACACTAGACCTAGTTTAGATGACAAGGTCCTGGACTTTAAGTTGATGTCACAATAAGAGGAGACTTTGGGGATGTAGGATGAAGATAAGAGTGTATTTTGCAAGTGGAAGGAATATAAAGAATTTGTATCCAGAGGGAAGACTGTTTACTTCAAAGTCAAGAATTATTTGATAATCTTTCCATTGAATGGTAGGTTCTATATCTTCTCCCTTTGAATCTGGGAAGGTTTGTGAGTACTTAAACGAACAGATTTTGAAAGAGGTGGCACTATGTGAGCTCTGTGGATAGGCCAGAAAAGGCTATGCTCCTCCCACCTGGTCCTGTTGGGACACTTACTCCAGGAGAAGCTAACTGCCATCTAAGAAGTTTGACTACTTTAATCTCACTATGCTGGAGAGGCCCATATAGATGCTGTGGTCAACAGTTTAAGCTAAGGCTCCCAGTCAACAGTAAGCATCAACCCCTGGCTATGTGGGCACACTATCTTGAATATACAGTCCAGTTGATCTAGTCCAATTTGTGGGTCTAGTCTCTGCCAACATCTGATTCCAGCCATGTGAGAAACTCTAGAGTATCCCTTCTGAGCGCTTCCTGAATTTCTGACCCACGAAATGGTAAGCAAAAACTTTTGAATGGGTTTTAAGTCACTACGTTTTGAGATCATTTATTATGCAGCCGTAGTAACCATTCACTAGGTGTGGGACCAGGAATCTATATTTTAACAAACATCTGTAAATGATAGTTTTACCTTTAAAAAGTTTTTACAGCAGGGTGTCATGTGCACTGAATTGAGTTTTTTCCGCTTCTCCTTACCACCCTAGTAGAGATGGCCAGAGAACAAAGAAATCAAACCAACCTCTGTTTCTAGAAGTAAAACACAAACAATCCAATACCTGAATAAGGAATAATGTCATGGCTAATGGGGAATCAACCCCAGACTTGCCTCAATTCTTTGATTTAATGTTCTGGGAAGAGATTGTTTTCTCCCATAGGCTGTATCCCATGATGTTAGCTCAAAATACGTGGAGCAAAAAAATGTTACTTCATTCTTTTTTCACTCCTGCTGCTTCCTTGGGCCAATGAGAGGGAAGAAACTAGGGTTTGAGTCATTCATTATCCAAAAGCTCTGCTGTGCCTGTCTCTGAGGAAAAGGCATGTATGAATGGGATTTAGCATTAAAATGGTCTTTCACATACATGAGAAGCTCAGTTATATTAGCATTTGCATGCAGAAAACTCAGTATTTTTCTAATGCTTTATAATCACATGTTGGTTATTTACAATCATTTGAATTGTGCGGTACAATCACTCATTAGTTCTTGCTAATGAACCTGCACACCTGATAACTTTTAGCCCCAATCCTCATTGCTCTTATTTGCTTTCTGCTGGTCATTAAAGATAATAGGGATACACAGAAAAAAGAGTATGTTTGTCAGAGAGAGAGAGACCAAATGCAGGTGGTGATGAGATTTGAGTTATGCACCTGGGCTCATTCATCTCCTTCCCTTTGGACTTTAAGGGGAAAAAATATTGTAAAGTCTTGAAGGTAGTGTTTCTTTTCTAAATCTCTAATTATCTGATCTAGTGCTGGTTTTCCTGAATGATAGAAAAGGAAACAAGATGGGTAACTGTGGATGCTAACAATATCTATTATCTTCAACGTGATGTCCTTACAGGGAGTAATTTGCTATATTTAACTTTCCATCTCGACAGAGTTGAGTAAGACTCTGTCTACCAAGCTGCTTAAGTGCTCAGCAAACAACTTAGGTTCCTTTAATAACAATGATCATTTAATTTAACAACTCAGGCATAGTTCCATTGGGTTTTCATTTTTCTTTTCCTTTTTTTCTTCCCTCCCAAGACATTTAGGCTGTCATGATCCTACAGAATGATATAGAATTGGACACATAAATTAAAGGTATGCATTGATGGAGGAATAACATTTTTAACCCGTCCACATTTTTAGGAACAACCATTTACTATCTACTATTTGACCCTGAAAATAATTAAACATCATCTTGTAAGGTAATTTCTTTGAAATTGCTCCTCTGTGTTTACATTCGAAACAGTGTAACAGATGAGAAACAAAGGTCAGGTAATAATGCCAATTGTAGAATTTCTTTTTAAAAATTTATCTTTCATTTTTCTTATTGTTAAGTAGTGTCCTACATAGTTAAAGCATTAAGTTGAGAAATAACTGGCTTTGCTAATTAGTTATTAAACAATAACAAGAGGAGAATTTCAGCTTTGGGGAATTTTTTCCTTCTCTTAACTTGTCATTTTTCTGTAATAAAGTTATTTGTCCACAATTTTCAGATCATGGAGCTACTTAGTGTACATAGTGGATTCCAAGAAACATCAAAAATCTGCCCAAATGTGTGAAGGTATTTTGAAAAAAAACCTTATTTGCTCTTCTTCCCAACTGAGCGTTTTGGTCTGCACCTGTAAATATCTATTTGGATCTTGCACAAAAATAGAGAAAATGAGATAATAATTATGTTTTTTATAGACTAATTAAAATATTAGAAAAGAACTCCACATTCACAGAAGGGTTTGATAGGTGGAAAATGACCATAAGAAGATTGTAAAGAAAGGGAAATTGGATCAGTGATAAATAGTAACACTACCTGATTCTAGACCCATGGTACATGGTAGCATAGGGTAGGAGAAAGCCTCCTGGACTGGGAATCAGGATACCTGACTCTACCTAAGTCTAATTGAGTGGCTTTGGACAAAGCACTCCAACTCCCTGAACTTTGGAATCCTTATTATAAAACTATCAATTTGAACAATATGGTCTGTTCAGTAGATTCTTGTAATGCTGATCCTAAGAAATGAAAATTTAGCTACATAATTATTTTATTTGCAGGACATTTTATAAATACTTACAGAGAAAGCAACTGGTATAATTTGGATAACCAGATTGAGGCCAGCTGAAAATGAAACCTTAAGGATGTGACTAACCAATCTATTGTAATGGGCAGTAATTTTCTATTCATCTCTTGATTACCTTTGGCTAGAAATGAAAGCCAAGCTCACTGCCATGATTAAGATAGAGACAGGATTTCATTCATTGTTATGACCTAATAACGAATGTCATAACAAAGTATACAGCTTTTTCCTTGTCTGTTCATCTGTTGATGGAGATTTAGGTTGATTCCGTATATTAGCTATTTTGACTAGTGCTGCAATAAACATGGTGGTGGTACAGGTATTCCTTTGACATTCTGATTCTCTTTACTCTAGAGAAATACCCAGTAGTGGGATTCCTGGATTTTATGGTAGCTCTGTTTTTAATGTTTTGAGGAAACTTCATACTTTTCTCCATAATGGTTGCATTAATTTACATTCCCACCAACAGCATATAAGAGTTCCCTTTTCTTCTCATACTCACCAGCATTTGTAATTTTTTGGTTTTTTGATGATAGCCATTCTAACTTGGGTGAGTTACGATCTTGTAGTTTTGATTTGCATTTCCCTGGTGATTAGTGATGTTGAACATTTTTTCATATATTTGCCAGCCATTTGGATGTTGTCTTTTGAGAAATATCTGTTCAGTTCCTTTGCCCACTTTTTAATTGCATTATTTGTATTTTCACTGTTTTGTTGTTTGAGTCCTTTGTATTTTCTGGATATTAGTCCCCTGTCAGATGAAGAGTTTGCAAATGTTTTCTCCCATTCTACAGGTTGTCTCTTCACTTTGTTGATTGTTTTCATTGAAAAAAGAGGGTAAAATTGTGAGTATTAGAAGCTGGGAATGGTAGGAGGGAGAGGAGAGTGGAGAGAAGTTGGTTAACAGTTACGAAATTACACCTAGATATAAGAAATGAGTTCTGGTGTTTTACAGCACTCTAGAGTGAATATGGTTAAAGTATAATTCCTTGTATATATTCAAAAAGATAGAAGATTTTGAATGTTGACAGTACAAAAAATGGTAAATATTTGAGGTGATGGATATGCTAATTACCCTGATTTGATCATTACATATGGTATACATGTATGAAAATAGTATTCTGTAGCCCACAAATACGTATAATTATTATGTGTCAACTAAAAAGGGAAAACATAAATACATTTTTAAAAAGAGATAGGGACACTTGGTAAACAGGTTGTTGTGGGAGCTGCTATAGTTACCTATCTAATAAATCTATATAGTATAACTGTACATACTTAGGCTCCTCGAAGTTTAGAACTTAGAAAATAGACATATAGAATGTAATTGATACTTCTGATGAAAATACGCCTATATAAGAATCAATAGTATAAGAAAATATATTTATAAAGGGAATATTTACATTAAGAAAACAAGCTTTTTATGTACTTTATCTATTTGCTTAGCCATAATGATAAGCCATTTTTGACTATAACTTTTTTCAATGTGTTCAAATAGAATAGAAGTTCTGCTGAAACAGGTACCATAATTGTTTTGTTCATTGGTGCATCCTCAGCACCTAGAGAAATGCTTGACTTGCATTAATATATTGGGAAAGATTAATTCTGCATTTCTTCTTTAACATTACAATTCAAATTTATTAAAATAATAACATAGTAAAAATTAGAGTTTTATATAGGTATTAAAGTGAAAAAAAAAACTTATCTAACCCGCATCCATAATTCATGGAAAATAGGACTCTTAGCACTTTTATGTCTTTCTATAAAAATTGTATGCAAATATCAGCATGTGTGCATACACACAATACATATATGTGTGTTTATATGCTTCTATATGTGTATACTGCTATACAGCTATTTATATCCTGTTTAAAAATAGCATTCATGTAGTTACACTTTGCTTTCATGTCTTAGAGCACTTTCCATAAGAGTATATAAGATCTAACCTATCCTTTGTGATGGTGGCAGAGAAATCCAATAGCATGGGTATACTATAATACAGCAGTCCCCAACCTTTTTGGTACCAGAGACCGGTTTTGTGGAAGACAATTTTTCCTTGGATGTGGCGGGGGTGGGGGGGTGTGGAGTAGGAGGACGAGGGTCTGGTGGGGAATGGTTTTGGGATGATTCAAGTGTATTACATTTTTGAGCACTTTATTTCTATTATTATTACATTGGAATAGATAATGAAATAATTATAAAACTCACCATAATGTAGAATCAGTGGAAACCCTGAGCTTGTTTTCCTGCAACTATACAGTCCCATCTGGGGGTAATGGGAGACAGCGACAGATCATCAAGCATTAGATTCTCATTAGGAGCGCGCAACCTACATCTCTCTCATGCGCAGTTCATAACAGGGTTTGCTCTCCTATGAGAATCTAATGCTACCTCTGATCTGACAGGAGGCAGAGCTTAGGTGTAAGGCAAAGGATGGGGAACAGCTGTAAATACCAATGAAGCTTTGTTCCTGCGCATGCCACTCGCCTCCTGCTGTGCAACCCGTTTCCTAACGGGCCATGGAAGGGTACCATTGAAAGCTGGGGACTCCTGCTCTAATGTATTTAAATATTTCAGACCCATTAAGTTTCTGAATTAACAGAAAACTGGAAATATTGTACTAAATATCTTTATATAGTTATATTCGTAAATATGAGGATATATTTCTAGCAGTGAACTTTTTGAGTCAAATGATATAAATTTAAAATTGTGTTAGATATTGTTGAAGTACCCAGAAAAAAATGCCCAGACAATTGTTAAATTGTCCAAAAAAGTGTCAACAATTTATACTGTCTGAAAATGCCAATTTCTTTTTTTAAAAAAACAACACATTTTTATTTCAATTGGTTTTTGAGGAACAGGTGGTGCTTGGTTACATGGATAAGTTTTTTAGTGGTGATTTCTGAGATTTTGGTGCACGCATCACCCAAGCAGTGTACACTGAACCCAATGTGTAGTCTTTTATCCCTCACCCACCTCCTGCCCTTTCCCTCAAGTCCCTGAAGTCCATTGTATCATTCTTAAGCCTTTGCATCCTCATAGCTTAGTTCCCACTTATAAGTGAGAACATATAATGTTTGGTTTTCTATTCCTGAGTTACTTCACTTAAAATAATGTCTCCAATTCCATCCAGGTTGCTGCAATTGCCATTATTTCGTTTCTTTTTATGGCTGAGTAGTAGTCCATGATATATATACACCACATTTTCTTTATCCAGTTATTAATTGATGGGCATTTAGGCTGGTTCCATATTTTTGCAAGTGCAAATTGTGCTGCTATAAACATGCATGTGCAAGTACCTTTTTCATATGATAACTTCTTTTCCTCTGGGTAGATACCCAGTAGTGGGATTGTTGGATCAAATGGTAGATCTACTTTTAGTCTTTTAAGGATTCTCCACACTGTTTTCCATAGTGGTTGTACTAGTTTACATTCCCACCAACAGTGTAAAAGTGTCCCCTTTTAACTACATCCATGCCAACACCTGTTTTTTTTATAGTTACTTTTGCAGGAGTAAGGTGGTATTGCATTGTAGTTTTGATTTGCAGTTCCCTAATAATTAGTCATGTTGAGTATTTTTTGTATGTTTGTTGGCCATTTGTATATCTTCTTTTAAGAATTGTGTATTTATGGCCTTTGCCCACTTTTTGATGAAATTGTTTTTTTTTCTTGCTGATTTGTTTGTGTTCCTTGTAGATTCTGGATATTAGTACATAATCGTATGTATATATTGCAAAGGTTTTCTCCTATTCTGTGGGTTGTCTGTTTACTCTGCTTATTGTGTCTTTTGCTCTGCAGAAGCTTTTCAGTTTAATTAAGTCCCATCTGTTTATCTTTGTGTTTGTTGCATTTGCTTTTGGGTTCTTGGTTATGAAGTATTTGCCCAAGCCAGTGTCTAGAAGGGTTTCTCTTATGTGATCTTCTAGGATTTTTACAGTTTCAGATCTTCGATTTAAGTCTTTGATCCATCTTGAGTTGATTTTTGTGTAAGGTGGGCGATGAGGATCCAGCTTTATTCTTCTACATGTGGCTTGCCAGTTATCCCAGCACCATTTGTTGAATAGAGTGTTCTTTTGCCAGTTTACTTTTTTGTTTGCTTTGTCGAAGATCACTTAGCTGTTAAGTTTTGGCTTTATTTCTGGGTTCTCTATTCTGTTCCACTGGTATATGTGTCCATTTTTATACCCATACTGTGCTGTTTAGATAACTATGGCATTATTGTATAGTTTGAAGTCCAGTAATGTGATGTCTCCAGATTTGCTTTTTGTTGCTCAGTCTTGCTTTGGTTATGCAGGCTCTTTTTGGTTCCCTATGAATTTTAAGATTGTTTTTTGTAGTCCTGTGAAGAATGATAGTGGTATTTTGATGGGAATTGCACTGAATTTGTAGATTGCTTTGGGGAGTATGGTCATTTTCACAATATTGATTCTACCCATCCATGAGCAAGGGATGTGTTTCCATTTGTTAGTGTCATCTATAATTTCTTTCAGGTGTGTTTTGTAGTTTTCTTTCAGAGGTCTTTCACTTCCTTGGTTAGGTATATTCCTAAGTGTCTTTTTTTTTTTTTTTTTTTTTTTTTGCAGCTATTGTAAACGGGATTCAGTTCTTTATTTGATTCTCAGCTTGGTTGCTGTTAGTGTATAGCAGAACTACTAATTTGTGTACATTAATTTTGTGTCCTAAAACTTTGCTGAATTTATTTATCATTTATTTCTAGGCACTCTTTGGATGAGTCTTTAGGGTTTTCTAGGTATACAATCATAACATGGGCAAACAGTGACAGTTTGACTTCCTCTTTACTAATTCGGATGTCCTTTCTTTCTCTTGTCGGCTTGCTGTGGCTAGAACTTCCAGTATTGTGTTGAATAGAAGGGGTGAAAGTGGGCATCCTTGACTTGTTCCAGTTCTCACAGGGAATGCTTTCAACTTTTCCCCATTCAGTATTATATTGGCTATGGGTTTGTCACAGATGACGTAGATATTTGTTATGTCGTTTCCTAGTTTTGGTATTAGGGTGATACTGTCTTCATAAATGATTTAGAGAGGATTCCCTCTTTCTCTGTATTTTGGAATAGTGTCAATAGGATTTGTACCAATTCTTCTTTGAATGTCTGATAGAATTTAGCTGTGAATTGCTCTGGTCCTGAACTTTTTTTTTTTTGTAGGCCATTTTTTAATTACCACTTCAATCTCACTGCTTATTATTGGTTTGTTCACAGTTTCTATTTTTTCCTAGTTTAATCTAGGAGGCTTGTATATTTCCATGAATTTATCCATCTCTTCTAGGTTTTCTAGTTTATGCATGTAAAGGTGTTCATAGTACCCTTGAATGATCTTGTGTATTTCTGTGGTATCTGTTGCAATATCTCTCATTTCATTTCTAACTGATCTTATCTGGATCATCTCTCTTCTTTTCTTGGTTAATCTCACTAGTGGTTTATCAATGTTATTTGTCTTTTCAGAGAACCAGCTTTTTGTTTCATTTATCTTTTGTGGTTTTTTGTTTGTTTGTTTGTTTGTTTGAGTTTCATTTAATTCTGCTCTGATCTTTGTTATTTCTTTTCTTCTGTTGGGGTTGAGTTTGATTTGTTCTTGTTTCTCTAGTTCCTTGAGGTGTGACTTTAGGTTGTCTATTTGTGCACTTTCAGGCTATTTGATGTAGGCATTCAATGCTATGAATTTTCCTCTTACCACCACTTTTGCTGTATCCCTGAGGTTTTGATAGTTCACTATTGTCGTTCAGTTCAAAGAATTTTTTAACTTCCATCTTTATTTCATTGTTGACCCAAAGATCACTGAGGAGCAGGTTATTTAATTTCCATGTATTTGCATGATTTTGAGGGTTCCTTTTGGACTTGATTTCCAGTTTTATTCCACTGCGGTCTGAGAGTACTTGATATAATTTCGAATTTCTTAAATTTACTGAAACTTGGTTTGTTGACTATCATATGGTCTATCTTGGAGAATGTTACATGTGCTGATAAATAAAATGCATATTATGCAGTTCTTGGGTAGAATGTCCTGTAAATATCTGTTAAGTCCATGTGTTCTAGGGTATAGTTTAAGTCCACTGTTTCTTTGTTGACTTTCTGTGGTTTATTGTTTGTTTTTTACTTTAAGTTCTGAGGTACATGTGCAGAACATGCCGGTTTGTTACATAGGTAAACACGTGCCATGGTGGTTTGCTGCACCCATCAACCTGTCATCTACATTAAGTATTTCTCCTAATGCTATCCCTCTCCTAGCCCCCCACCCCCTGACAGGCCACAGTGTGTGATGTTCTCCTCCTTGTTTCCATGTGTTCTCATTGTTCAACTCCCACTCATGAGTGAGAACATGTGGTGTTTGGTTTTCTGTTCTTGTGTTAGTTTGCTGAGAATGATGGTTTCCAGCTTCATCCATGTCCCTGCAAAGGACATGAACTCATAATTTTTTATGGCTGCATAGTATTCCATGGTATATATGTGCCACATTTTCTTTATCCATTCTGTCATTGATGGGCATTTGGGATGGTTCCAAGTCTTTGCTATTGTGAACAGTGCTGCAATAAACACACTTGTGCATGTGTCTTTATAGTAGAATGATTTGTAATCCTTTGGGTATATACCCAGTAATGGGATTGCTGGGTCAAATGGCATTTCTAGTTCTAGATCCTTGAGGAATCACCACACTGTCTTCCACAATGGTTGAACTAATTTACACTCCCACCAACAGTGTAAAACTGTTCCTATTTCTCTGCATCCTCTCCAGCATTTGTTGTTTCCCGACTTTTTAATGATCACCATTGTAACTGGCATGAGATAGTATCTCATTATGGTTTTGATTTGCATGTCTCTAGTGACCAGTCACGATGAGGTTTTTTTCATATGTTTGTTGGCTGCATAAATGTCTTCTTTTGAGAGGTGTCTGTTCATATCCTTTGCCCACTTTTTGATGAAGTTGTTTGTTTTTTTCTTGTAAATTTGTTTAAGTTTTTATAGATTCTGGATATTAGCCCTTTGTCAGAAGGATAGACTGCAAAAATTTTCTCCCATTGTGTAGGTTGCCTGTTCACTCTGATGATAGTTTGTTTTGCTGTGCAGAAGCTCTTTAGTTTAATTATATCCCATTTGTCAATTTTGGCTTTTGTTGCCATTGCTTTTGGTGTTTTAGTCATGAAGTCTTTGCCCATGCCTATGTCTTGAATGGTATTGCCTAGGTTTTCTTCTAGGGTTTTTATGGTTTTAGGTCTTATGTTTAAGACTTTAATCCAACTTGAGTTAATTTTTGTATAAGGTGTAAGGAAGGAATCCAGTTTCAGTTTTCTGCATATGGCTAGCCAGTTTTCCCAACACCATTTATTAAATAGGGAATCCTTTCCCCATTGCTTGTTTTTGCCAGGTTTGCAAAGATCAGATGATTGTACATATGTGGTATTATTTCTGACGCCTCTGTTCTGTTCCATTGATCTATATGTCTGTTTTGGTACCAGTACCATGCTGTTTTTGTTACTGTACCATTATAGTATAGTTTGAAGTCAGGTAGCATGATGCCTACAGCATTGTTCTGTTTGCTTAGGATTGTCTTAGCTATGCAGGCTCTTTTTTGGTTCCATGTGAACTTTAGTTTTTTCCAATTCTGTGAAGAAAGTCAATGGTAGGTTGATGGGGATAGCATTGAATCTATAAATTACTTTGGGCAGTATGGCCATTTCCATGATATTGATTCTTCCTATCCATGAGCATGGAATGTTTTTCCATTTGTTTGTGTCCTCTCTTATTTCCTTGAGCAATGGTTTGTAGTTCTCCTTGAAGAGGTCCTTCACATCCCTTGTAAGTTTTATTCCTAGGTGTTTTATTCTCTTTGTAGCAATTGTGAATGGGAGTTCACTCATGATTTGGCTCTGTTTGTATGTTATTGGTGTACAGGAATGCTTGTGATTTTTGCACATTGATTTTGTATCCTAAGATATTGCTGAAGTTGCTTATCAGCTTAAGGAGATTTGGGGCTGAGACAATGGGGTTTTCTAAATATATAATCATGTCTTCTGCAAACAGAGACAGTTTGACTTCCTCTTTTCCTATTTGAATACCCTTTATTTCTTTCTCTTGCCTGATTGCCCTGGCCAGATCTTCCCATACTGTGTTGAATAGGAGTGGTGAGAGAGGGCATCCTTGTCTTGTGCTGGTTTTCAAAGGGAATGCTTCCAGTTTTTGCCCATTCAATATGATATTGGCTGCGGGTTTGTCATAAATACCTCTTATTACTTTGAGATACGTTCCATCAATACCTAGTTTATTGAGAGTTTTTAGCATGAAGGGCTGTTGAATTTTGTTGAAGGACTTTTCTGCATCTATTGAGATAATCATGTGGTTTTTGTCATTGGTTCTGTTTATGTAATGGATTACATTTGTTGATTTGTATATGTTGAACCAGCCGTGCTCCCAGGGATGAAGCCGACTTGATCATGTTGGATAAGCTTTTTGTTGTGCTGCTCGATTCGGTATGCCAGTATTTTATTGAGGATTTTTGCGTCGATATTCATCAGGGATATTGGCCTGAAATTTTCTTTTTGTTGTTGTTGTGTCTCTTGCAGGCTTTGGTGTCAGGATGATGCTGGCCTCATCAAATGAGTTAGGGAGAATTCCCTCTTTTTCTGTTGTTTGGAATAGTTTCAGAAGGAATGGTACCAGCTCCTCTTTGTACCTCTGCTAGAATTCAGCTGTGAATCCTTCTGGTCCTGGACGTTTTTTGATTGGTAGGCTATTAATTACTGCCTCAATTTCAGAACTTGTAATTGGTCTATTCAGGGATTGGACTTCTTCCCGGTTTAGACTTGGGAGGGTGTATGTGTCCAGGAATTTATCCATTTCTTCTAGATTTTCTAGTTTATTTGCGTAGAGGTGTTTGTAGTATTCTCTGGTGGTAGTTTGTATTTCCGTGGGATCGGTGGTGATATCCCCTTTATCATTTTTTATTGCATCTACTTGATTCTTCTCTCTTTTATTTTTTATTAGTCTGGCTAGCAGTCTATGTATTTTGTTGATCTTTTCAAAAAACCAACTCCTGGATTCATTGACTTTTCGAAAGGTTTTTCATGTCTCTATCTCCTTCAGTTCTACTCTGGTCTTAGTTATTTCTTGTCTTCTGCTAGCTTTTGAATGTGTTTGCTCTTGCTTCTCTAGTTCTTTTAATTGTGATGTTAGGATGTCAATTTTAGATCTTTCCGGCTTTCTCTTGTGGGCACTTAGTGCTATAAATTTCCCCCTAAACAGTGCTTTAAATGTGTTCCAGAGATTCTGGTACATTATATCTTTGTTCTCATTGGTTTCAAAGAACATCTTTATTTCTGCCTTCATTTCGTTATTTACCCAGTAGTACTATTCAGGAGCAGGTTGTTCAGTTTCCATGTACTTGTGTGGTTTTGGGTGAGTTTCTTTATCCTGAGTTCTAATTTGATTGCACTGTGGTCTGAGAGACTGTTACAATTTCCTTTCTTTTGCATTTGCTGAGGATTGTTTTACTTCCAATTATGTGGTCAGTTTTAGAATAAGTGCGATGTGGTGCTGAGAAGAATGTATATTCTGTTGATTTGGGGTGGAGAGTTCTGTAGATGTCTATTAGGTCCGCTTGGTCCAGAGCTGAGCTCAAGTCCTGGATATCCTTGTTAATTTTCTGTCTCGTTGATCTGTCTAAAAATATTGACAGTGGAGTGTTAAAGTCTCCCACTATTATTGTGTGGGAGTCTAAGTCTCTTTATAAGTCTCTAAGGACTTGCTTTATGAATCTGGGTGCTCCTGTATTGGGTGCATATGTATTTAGGATAGTTAGCTCTTCTTGTGGCACTGATCCCTTTACCATTATGTAGTGCTCTTCTTTGTCTCTTTTGATCTTTGCTGGTTTAAAGTCTGTTTTATCAGAGACTAAGATTGCAACCCCTGCTTTTTTTGCTTTCCATTTGGTTGATAAATATTTCTCCATCCCTTTATATTGACCCTATGTGTGTCTTTGCACATGAGATGGGTCTCCTGAATACAGCACACCAATGGGTCTTGATCCTTCATCCAATTTCCAGTCTGTATCTTTTAACTGGGGCATTTAGCCCATTTATATTTAAGATTAATATTGTTATGTGTAAATTTGATCTTGTCATTATTTTGCTAGCTGGTTATTTGCCTGTTAGTTGATGCAGATTCTTCGTAGTGTCAATGGTCTTTACAATTTGGTATGTTTTTGCAGTGGCTGATACCAGTTGTTCCTTTCCATGTTTAGTGCTTCCTTCAGGAGCAGTTTTTCTCTGGCTGTCCTTAACATTTTTTCCTCCATTCAACCTTGGTGAATCTGACAATTGTGTTTCTTGGGGTTGCTCTTCTTGAGGAGTATCTGTGGTGTTCTCTGTATTTCCTGAATTTGAATGTTGTCCTGTCTTGCTAGGTTGGGAAAGTTCTCCTGGATAATATCCTGAAGAGTGTTTTCCTACTTGGTTCCATTCTCTGTCACTTTCAGGTGCACCAGTCAAATGTAGGTTTGGTCTTTTCACATAGTCCCATATTTCTTGGAGGCTCTGTTCATTCCTTTTCATTCTTTTTTCTCTAATCTTGTCTTCACACGTTATTTAATTAAGTTGATCTTCAATCTCTGATATCCTTTCTTCCTCTTGATTGATTTGGCTAGTGATACTTGTGTATGTTTCACAAAGTTCTCGTGCTGTATTTTTCAGCTCCATCAGGTCATTTGTGTTCTTCTCTAAACTGATTATTCTAGTTAGCAATTCCTCTAACCTGTTTTCAAGGTACTTAGCTTCCTTGCACTGGGTTAGAACATGCTCCTTTAGCTCGGAGGAGTTTGTTATTACCCACCTTCTGAAGCCTACTTCTGTCAATTCATCAAACTCATTCTTCATCTAGTTTTGTTCTTTTCCTGGTATGGAGTTGTGATCCTTTGGAGGAGAAGACGCATTCTGGTTTTTGCTATTTTCAGCCTTTTTATGCTGGTTTCTCCCCATCTTTGTGGCTTTATTTACCTTTGGTCTTCGACGTTAGTGACCTTTGGATGGGGTCTCTGAGTAGATGTCTTTTTTGTTGATGTTGATTTTATTCTTTTCTGTTTGTTAGTTTTCCTTCTAACAGGCCCCTCTACTGCAGGTCTGCTGTAGTTTGCTGAAGGTCCACTGAAGACGCTGTTTTCCCGGGTATCACCAGTGGAGGCTGCAGAACAGCAAAGATTGCTGCCTGTTTCTTCCTCTGGAAGTTTTGTCCCAGAGGGGCACCCACCAAATGCCAGCCAGAGCTTTCCTGTATGAGATGTCTGTCGGCCCCTACTAGGAGGTGTCTCCCAGTCAGGATACATGGGGGTCAGGGACCCACTTGAGGAGGCAGTCAGTTCCTTATCAGAGCTTGAATGCTGTGCTGGGCGATCCGCTGCTCTCTTCAGAGCTGTCAGGCAGGGATATTTATGTCTGCTGAAGCTGTGCCCACAGCCGCCCTTTCCCCCAGGTGCTATGACCCTGGGAGATGGGGGTCTTATCTATAAGCCCCTGACTGGGGCTGCTGCCTTTTTTTCAGAGATGCCCTGCCCAGAGAGGAGGAATCTAGAGAGGCAGTCTGGCCACAAATGCCTTGCTGAGCTGTGGTGGGCTCCACCCAGTTCAAACTTCCAGGCGGCTTTGTTTACACTGTGAGGGGAAAACCGCCTACTCAAGCCTCAGCAATGGTGGATGCCCCTTCCCCCCACCAAGCTCAAGTGTCACAGGTCAACCTCAGATTGCTGTGCTGGCAGCGAGAATTTCAAGCCATACATCTCAGCTTGCTGGGCTCCGTGGGGGTGGGACCTGCTGAGCCAGACCACTTGGCTCCCTGGCTTCAGCCCCCTTTCCAAGGGAGTGAACCATTCCAGGTGCCACTGGGTTATGAAAAAAAATTCCCACAGCTGGTTCAGTGTCTGCCCAAACGGCCACCCAGTTTTGTGCTTGAAACCCAGGGCCCTGGTGGTGTAGGCACCAGAGGGAATCTCCTGGTCTGCGGGTTGCAAAGACTGTGGGGAAAGTGCAGTATCTGGATCACAGTGCACCATTCACAGTCCCTCACGACTTCCCTTGGCTAGGGGCGGGAGTTCCCTGACCCAGTCCCAGTGAGTTTTACTGGGTACCTCAGTTGGAAATGCAGAAATCACCCACCTTCTGCATCAATCTCACTGGGAACTGTAGACCAGAGCTGTTCCTATTTGGCCATCTTGCCAACAATCCCTGACTTTCTGTTTTAATGACCTGTCTAGTGCTGTCAGTGGAGTATTGAAGTCTCCCACTATTATTGTGTTGCTGTCTATCTCATTTCTTAGAGCCGGTAGTAATTGTTTTATAGATTTGGGACCTCCAGTGTTCAGTTCATATATATTTATGATTGTGATCTTTTCCTTTGGGACTAGTCTTTTTATCATTATATAATGTCCCTGTTTGTCTTTTTTAACTGTTGTTGCTTTAAAGTCTGTTTTGTCTGATATAAGAGTAGCTACTCCTGCTCACTTTTGGTGTCCATTTGCCTGGAATACCTTTTTCCATCTTTTTACCTGAAGCTTATGTGAGTCCTTATGTGTTGAAGACAGCAGATATTTGATTGGTGAATTCTTATCCATTCTGACATTCTGTTTCCTTTAAGTAGAGCATTTAGGCCACTTACATTCAACATTAGTACTGAGAAGTGAGGTACTATTCCATTCGTCATGCTAATTGTTGCCTGAATACGTCGGGTTTTTTGGTAGTGACGAATCCTCTCAGAATTTGTTTGTCTGGAAAAAAAAAAAACAACTATCTTTCCTTCATTTATGAAGCTTAGTTTCACTGGATACAAAATTCTTGGTTGATAATTGTTCTGTTTAGGAAAGCTAAAGATAGGACCCTAATCCCTTCTAGCTTGTAGGGTTTCTTTTGTTAATCTGATGAGTTTTTCTTTATAGATTACCTGATGCTTTTGCTTCACAGCTGTTAAGATTCTTCCCTTCATCTCGACTTCATGATGACTATGTGCTTAGGTGATGATCCTTTTGCAATAAATTTCCCAGGCATTCTTTGAGCTTCTTTTATTTGGACGTCTAGATCTTTAGCGAGATTGGGGAAGTTTTCCTTGATTATTCCCTCAAATATGTTTTCCAAACTTTTAGATTTCTCTTTTTCCTCGGGAACACCAGTTATTTTTAGGTTTGCTCATTTAACATAATCCCAAACTTCTTGGAGGCTTTGTTCATTTTTAAATTCTTTTTTCTTTCTCTGTGGATTGGGTTAATTCAAAGCATTTTTTCAAGTTCTGAAGTTATTTCTTTTACTTGTTTGATTCTATTGCTAAGATTTTCCAGTGTTATTTTGCATTTCTTTAAGTGTGTCCTTCAATTCCAGAAGTTGTGATTTTTTTTACTTATGCTATTTATTTCTCTGGAGATTTTCCATATCTATATCCTGTATCTTTTTTTTTTTCTTTAAGTTGGTATTCACCTTTCTCTGGTGCCTCTTTGAGTAGCCTAATAATCCACCTCCTGAATTCTTTTTCTGGCAATTCAGAGATTTCTTCTTGGTTTGGATCCATTGCTGGTGAGCTAGTGTGATCTTTTTGGGGTATTAAAGAACCTTGTTTTGTCATATTACCAGAAATGTTTTTCTGGTTCCTTCTCATTTGGCTAAACTATGTCACAGGGAGGATCTGGGGCTCAAGGGATATTGCTCAGATTCTTTTGTCCCATGGGGTGCTCCTTTGATGTGGTGCTCTCCCCCTTCCCCTATGGATGGGGCTTCCTGAGAGCTGAACTGCAGTGATTATTTCTCTTCTGGGTCTAGTCACTCAGCAGAGCTGTTGTGCTCCAGGCTGGTACTGAGGAGTGTCTGCAGAGAGTGCTCTGATGTGATCCATCTTCAGGTCTCTCAGCTGTGGATACCAGCACCTACTGTGGTGAAGGTAGCAGGGGAGTAAAGTGGACTGTCCGAGGGTCCTTGGTTGTAGTTTTGTTTAGTGCACTGGTTTTGTGTTGGTTGGCCTCTAGCCAGGAGGTAGAGCTTTCAAGAGAGCATCAGCTGAGGTAGTATAGGAAGGGTTCAAACTTGCCCTAGGGTCGCCTGGATAAGTATTCAGGTTTCTCAGGTGGTCTTTGGGGCCATACAGTTCCCAAGAGATTAGGTCCTTTATCTTCGGCTTTCAGGCAGCTAGAGTAAGACCATCAGGTTGTGGTAGGATTAGGCATGTCTGAGCTCAGACTCTCTGTGCGGAGCTTGCTGCAGCTACTGTGGGAGATGGAGGTGTGTTTCTCAGGCCACTGGAGTTATGTTTGAGAGGGATTATGGGCACCTCGTGGAACAAAAGAATCTGTCTTCTGCTGCGTCATAGAGATTACCAGGGAAGTGGGGGAAAGCCAGCAGTGACAGGTCTCACCCAGCTCCCACACAGCCCGAAAGGCCAGTCTCACTCCCACCATGCCCCTACAACAGCACCAAGTTTATTTCCAGGCAGCCAGTGAGCAGGGCTAAGAACCTGCCCCAGGCTCCAAGCGCCTCCACAGGGAAAGCTAGCAGGAATTTCAGTTTGGGTGCCTTTCTGCCTGCCACAGTTTCTGTACTTGTGTCTGTACTCCCTGTTCACCCCCTCCCCCAGATTCTGTCCAGGAAAGTTTGCATTCAAGTGAAATTGTTACAAAGTTCACCTGAAAGTTTCCTTCTCCCTGTGGTCTTTTCCCAATTCCACTGGCCCTCCCCAAGGACCCCTGTGAGACAAAGTCAGGAATGGCTTCCCTGGGGACTGAGAGTGCTATTTCACTGTCTAAACGTTTGTCTCAGCTCCAGGAAAGGTCAAATCCTTCTTTTGTGATCTGGACCTTCAGTTTCCCCAGTGAGGACGTGTGTTCAGAGGTGGATGTTCCCCCTCTTATACTTTGGGCACTCACCATCTTTCGGCTGTCTCACGGTGCCTTTGGTGGCAAACTGCTTCCTTCAAAGGGTCTGTGGATTCTCTCAGCTTTCCTGGTATGTTCCTGTGGAAGTTCTTGGAGCAAAAGTTAGCAACGCGAGTCTCCACATGCTGCTCTGTCTGTCCGAGTTGGTGCTGCAAATTAGTCCTGCTCCCTATCTGCCATTTTTCTCAGTGTTAACTGAAAATGTCTATTTCTTTTCAGCTTTATCAACTCTGGAATTCATCAGCATTTGAATATTTGCTAGTCTGATATTTAAAAGGAATAACTTATACAAATTTCTGAAGTTGTGAGTTTGTTTCTGTTGGTTTGTTGTTACCCTTTTCTCCCCTACTTCTTTATCGTGGTGGCTTGTTTCCCTATAGGCTTATTTGAACATGTTGGCAATAGAAAATTATTTGTGAGCATTCTTTGTGTTGTAGATTAAAGTGTTTTCATCCACAGAGCCTTTGTGTTACTACTTTTAGGTACCAATGGGCACTTATTGTCAGGGACTACATTTACCTAAACTCTTCATGAAGTTTGCAGGACTACAAAGGTGATGTGAATTTTTGCCACATAGTAGCTTGTTGGTCTACCTGTAGCCTTGAATTTTGCGGGGAGTGGTTTCTGCACAATAAATACTCCTTTCCCTATCCGCTTGTTCAAGGCAACTTTCCTTTAAGTCAGCTGGGGGGGTATTTATACAGGTTTACTTCAATTCACTTTTACCTGAGTGAATTTCCCTTGGGGAACTTGAACTTATTACACTGAGCTGTGATCACTGTACTGTCAATCCTGGAAGACTGTCACAGCCTGCGCTCTATTGCTCTCATTTGACAAAAGCCATCAGACTAAAATGGTTTTAGTGCTCTTC
The DNA here is from genome assembly GCF_000001405.40 of Homo sapiens. Classification (NCBI taxonomy): domain Eukaryota; kingdom Metazoa; phylum Chordata; class Mammalia; order Primates; family Hominidae; genus Homo; species Homo sapiens. Next base: position 3,403,810 of record NC_000003.12, on the reverse strand, counting down.
TCACCTCCTTGGATTCATGCCTTTTACTTTCTTCAGACCTAGTTTCCAGTTTTCAAATTCTCTTCACTTGCTACCTCACTGCCACATGCTCAGCTTCCTGTCGTTGGTATGCTCCTGCCTCTGTGGGTACCTTCACCCCCACAACACATATTTTGCCTTCCACCACTGTTTCTGCTGCTTCTACCCCCTCTTTATTTGCGGTAATTATTTTTGCTTGGTAGTTTTCTAATAACTTTTCCTATTTAATAAACACTAAAATGCTTATAAACAACGTATTTATACTGTTAATTTTCATATATGAGATCTTTGATATTTTTAAAAATATACCATCTGTTGTTTCTGCTGAGAAAAAGTATAACATTGAGTTATTTTTCATTTTTTAAATTATGTGTGAGATTGACCATATTTTTATTAATTCATTGGCTGTAGTCTTTTTCAATGACATCCCATTTTTAAGTTTCTCATTTGTTCATTGGGTTGTTTTCCTTTTTAATATATTTTTTAAATTTATTTTTTATTTTGTGTATTTATGGTGTACAGGATGATGTTTTGATATATATATGAAATGATTACTGTAGTCATGCAAATTAATATATCTAGCACTTCACATAGTCACCCTCTGCCCATTTTTAAGCCAGGTTATTTGGGGTTATTTTGCTACTGAGTTATGTGAGTTTTATTTATATATTTTGGATATAAATACCTTATCAATTATATGGTTTGAAAGTATTGTTTTCCATTCTGTAGGCTGCCTTTTCATTTTGTTGATTGTTTCCTTTGCTGTGCAGAAGCTTTTTAATTGGATACAGTCCCACTTGTTTATTTTTGCTTTTGTTGCCTGTGGGTTTTTAAATTATTGATTTCTAGTTTTATACCACTATTGTTGGAAAATATACTTGAGTTGATTTCAATCTTATTCAGTTTCTTAAGACTTGTTTTATGTTCTAACTTGTGATTTATCTTGGAATATGTTTTATAGGCACTTGAGAAAACTATGTATTCTGCTGCCATTGGATTAAATGTTCTGTATATATGTCTGCAAGGTCCGTTTAGTCAAAAGTGTGCTTAAGTCAAATTTTTCATTTTTGATTTTCTATCTGGATGAACTGCCCATTGCTGAAAGTGGGGCACTGACATCGCCTACTATTATTATATTGCCCTATATTCCCCCCTTTAGATCTATAAACGTATGCTTTGTATATTTCAGTGTTTTCATGTTGCCTGCATATACATTGACAGTTGTTATGTCTTCTTGATGAATTGACTCCTTCTTTGTCTCTTGTGGCACTTTTTGTTGTAAAGTATATTTTTTCAGATATTAGTGTAGCTACTCCTGCTCTTTTTTGGTTTCTATTTATATGTAATCTCTTTTTCCATCCCTTCTCTTTCAGTCTATGTATGTCCTTACAGGTGAAATTAGCTTTGTAGGCAGAATATAGTTGGGTTTTGTTTTGTTATTTACCTAGCTACTCTGTGTCTTTAGATTAGCATACTTAGTCCATTTACATTTAAAGTAATAATTGATAGGTAAAGATATATACTATCGCCATCTTACTAATTTTTTGGTTGCTTTTGTAGATCCTTTGTTTCTTTCTTCCTCTCCTGCTGTCTTCCTTTGTGATTTGGTGATTTTCTGTAGTGGTATGCTTTTATTCCTTTTTTTTTTTTTTTTTACTTTTGTATATGCTATAGGTTTTTGCTTTGTGGTTACCATGGTGCTTATGCAAAACATCTTTTGGCTACACAAGACCATTTTAAGCTGATAACAACTCTGACTGCATACAAAGTGCCTGCACTTTTACTGCTCCTCCCCAATTTTACATCTTTGATTTCACAGTTTACATCTTTTTATATTGTGTATACATTCACAAGTTAATATTAACAGTTAATTTTAATGCTTTTGTCTTATGTCTTTTAACCTTTATACTAGAGTTAAAAGTGATTTACATACCACCATGGCAGTACTAGAGTATTTTGAATTTCACTAAATGTTTACTGGTGAGAAAACATACTTTCATATGTTTTCATATTACTTACCAGTGGTCTTTCATTTCACCTTCAATAATTTTCTTTAGCATTTCTTGTAAAGCAAGTCTGGTGGTGATTAATTTCCTCAGCTTCTGTTTGCCTGGGAAAGTCTTTATCCCTCTTTTCTAAAGCACAGGTTTTCTGGGTCAAGTATTCTTGGCTGGCAGTTTTTTTCTTTTAACACTTTAAATAAATCAGTCAAGGGGGCAGAAAAGATGGCCAACTAGACATAGCCAGAAAGAGCTTTGTCCACTGATAGACTAGACCATCAAGAAGACTGGCACATTTTTAAGCAGATCTTCATAAGGCATTGAGAGTGGATGAGGGGAGGACACAGACTCTGGCATAAAGCAAGAGGAAGCTGAGAACCTTGCACAGGGTTGTCAACCACCAAGACTCGTTGCTGGCCCCAAGTGGCTCCTGGGAAAGGGGCGAGTTAAATATGCATGGAATGGCCCACTTTTGCCACAAGCTCTGGAAGCCTGGCTGCAGGATACCCCATGTTCCCCATGGACACGTGAGCTAGCACAGAAAACTGTTTGGAGAGTTGCCAGAGAGAGGACTCCAGCCTGTACAGAATCCAAGTGTTTGCTATGGAAATGGCTATAATGGAGCGTGGCCAGGGATGCCCATCCCCCAAGGCTCATCACGTTCCTCTAGGTGGCATTGTCCTTTATTGACTGTTGGACCTCAACAGAACAGGGCTATCTTGCCTCTGAGATGGGGCCAGTCCGATTTGGATGCACCCTGTCTGCTGGCCTCTCCCAAGGTTCCTGCCTGTCTGCACTTGCTTGTAAGGAAGCCTCAGGTGTCCAACCAGGACACTTCCCAGTGGCCACTGTCATAACTCTTTTGTTGGCAGACACCCCCCCAACCCACCAACTGTCAGAGAGTTTCTCCAAATAAGCCCCCACTGGCAAGCACCCACCCTTGGCTTCCCACAACTGCTTTGCTTGTGCAAACCCACCCACCCACTCTCCCCACTCCCCCACATCTTTGCCAGATTACACTCAACTGCAGTCTTCCCCCAATGCTTCACTGGTGTGTGTCCATGTGTGGACCTCACCACCCAACCACAATCAGTGTGTGTACATGCAAACATCACCACCACTGTCCTGCCCTTGTGGGCATGTGCATGTATGGAACCCACAACCCCACTGCCATTGGCATGAATACATGCATTTAAAATCCACCACCCCACTGCCACTGCTGCTGCCAATATGTGTGCGTACCCAACTACATGACCATCTTGCCAACACTGGTACATGCACACAGACTCCATCATGCTGCCACCCCACTCCTGACATGCATGCATGGACCACACCACACTGCTGCCGCCAGCACACATGTGCGTGCAAACCATGCTGCACTGCTAGTGCATGTATACATACCCTGCCACACCACTGCCCTACCACCACTGGTGTATGCATGTGGACCCTGCTGCTACTGCTACAATGAAACACTTTGGCTGGAACTCCCCCAGACCCTACCCTGGAATGTTATTACCAGTTGATTAAGAACACCTTAGCCCCTGCAGCACAGCACGTGTTTAACCTAAAGGGACTAGCAAATAAAGCTGTGGGCTGGCTCCCAGAGTTCTAAGCTAAGCTTTGCACCCTGAAATCATCCAGAAACAAAGCCAGTCAACTGAACCCAACTTATACCACAATCAAACTCTGAATAGCATCACAGAATATAAAAGCAAAAAGCCCCATCCAAAGAACAGCAACTTCAAAGATTAAAAGAACATCAGCCTACACAAATGAAAAAGTATCAGCACAAGAAAAATGGCAATTAAAAAAGCCAGAGTGTTTTCTTAGCTCCAAACAACCAGAGTAGCTCCCTAGCAATGATTCTTAACCAGGCTGAAATGGCTGAAATGAAAGACATAGAATTCAGAATCTAGATGGCAACAGAGATCATCAATATTCAGGAGAAAGTTGAAACCTGATCCAAGGAATCTAAGGAATCCAGTAGTACAATACAAAAGCTGAAAGATGAAGTATCCATTTTAAGTAAACTAAAATGATCCTGATTAAGCTGAAAGACTCACTACAAGAACTTCATAATACAATTGGAAGTATTAACAGCAGAATCGACCAAGCAGAGGAAAGAATATCAGAGCTTGAAAACTGGTTCTTTGAATCAACCCAGTTACACAAAAATAAAGAAAAAAGAATGTAAAAAATGAATAAATCCTCTAAGAAATATGGAATTATGTAAAGAGACCAAAACTACAACACATTGGTGTCCCTGAAACAGAGGGAGAGAGAGCAAGCAACTTGGAAAACATATTTGTCAATGAAAATTTTCCCAACCTCACTAGAGACGTCAACATTAAAATTCAGGAAATTCAGAGAACCCCTGCAGGATACTATAAAAGATGACCATACTACAGTTAAGCCCTCAATGGTGTCAAAAAATATGAAAGCAAAAGCCCCATCCAAAGAACAGCAACTTCAAAGATTATAGGTACATCAGCAGACCTGTACCCAGGTTTCTTTCACATTCACCTTGGAGAATCTGATGACTACGTGTCTTAGGGATGTATTTGAACAAAGATACAACGTACTAGAATCTGTGGGCCATCCCCAAGACACATAGGTATCAGATTCTCCAAAGTGAACATGAAAGATAAAATATTAAAGGCAACTAGAGAGAAGGAACAGGTCATCTAAGAAAGGGGAACCCAGTCAGGCTAACAGAAGACCTTTCAGCAGAAACAGCCAAAAGAGATTGGGGGCCTATATTCAACATTCTTAAAGAAATCCCAACCAAGAATTTCATACTCAGCCAAACTAAGCTTCATAAGTAAAGGAGAAATAAGATCCTTTTTGGAAAACCAAATGCTAAGGGAATTCCTTACCACTACACCTGCCTTACAAGAGGTCCTTAAGGGAATGCTAAACATGGAAAGGAAAGACCATTACTAGTCACCACAAAAACACACTCAGTTACATAGACCATTGTCACTATGAACCAACTACAAAATCCAGTCTGCATAACAGCCAGCTGACAACACGATGAGACAATCAAATCCTCACATATCAATATCAACCTTTGAATGTAAATGCGTTTAACACCGCACTTAAAATGCACCGAGTGGCAAGTTGGATAAAGAAGCAAGACCCAGTTGTATGCTGTCTTCAAGAAACCAGTCTCACATGCAATGACACCCACAGAATGAAAATAAAGCGACAGAGAAAGATCTATCAAGAAAACTTAAAAAGAGAGAGAGAGAGAGCAAGCATAGTTTGCAATTCTTAATTCAGACAAAATAGACTTTAAACCAACAATGATCAAAAAGGACAAAGAATAGTGTTACATAATGATAAAGGGTTCAATTCAACAAAAAGACTTAACTCTTCTAAATATATATGCACCCAACACTGGAGAATCTAGATTCATAAAACAATTTCTTAGAGACCAATGAAGAGACTTAAATAACCACACAATGATAATAAACATGAACACCTCACTGACAATATTAAAGAGATCATTGAGGCAGAAAACTGACAAAGATATTCAAGACCTAAATTTGACAGTTGACCAAATAGACCTAACAGATATATTTAGAACACTCCACCCAATAACATCAGAATATACATTCTTCTCATTGGCACATACTCTAAGATTGGCCACATGCACAGACATAAAGCAATTCTCAACAAATTTATAAAAAATGAAATTATACCAACCACACTCTTGGACCACTGTATGATAGAAATAGAAGTAACTAGGCCAAGGCAGGCGGATCACAAGGTCAGGAGCTCGAGACCATCTTGGCCAACATGTTGAAACCCTGTCTGTACTAAAATACAGAAAATTAGCTGGACATGGTGATGTGTGCCTACAGTCCCAGCTACTCAGGAGGCTGAGGCAGAGGAATCACTTGAACCCAGGAGGTGGAGATTGCAGTGAGCCGAGAACCTGCCACTGCACTCCAGCCTGGCTACAGAGAGAGACTCCGTCAAAATAAATAAATAAATAAATAACTACCAAGAAGATCTCTCAAATTACACCATACAATTACATGGAAATTAATGTCCTCCTGAATGACCTTTGGGTAAACAATGAAGTTAAGGCGAAAGCAAGAAATTTCTTGAAACCAATGAAAACAAAGATACAACACACCAGAATTTCTGAAACACAGCAAAATCAATGCTAAGAGGAAAGTTATAGCACTGAATGCTCACATGAAAGAGTTAGAAAGATTTCAAATTAACAACATAACATCACACTTTGAGGAACCAGAAAAACAAAAGCAAACCAACCCAAAAGCTAGCAAAAGAAAATAACCAATCTCAGAAATAAACTAAATGAAATGGAGACATGAAAAACCATACAAAAGATCAGTGAAGAAAAGTTGATTCTTTAAATAAATAAATAAGATTGATAGACTGCAAGCTAGGCTAGTAAAGAAAAAGGAGAAAATCCAAAACAACACAATCAGAAATGAAAAGGGGAACATTACCGCTGACTTCACAGTAATACAAAAATCCCTCAGAGTCTATTACAAACACCTCTATGCACACAAACTAGAAAATCTAGAACAAACGGATAAATTCCTAAAACATGCAGCCTCCCAAGATTGAGTTAGAGAAATTGAAACCCTGAACAGACCAATGAGTTCTGAAATTTAATCAATAATAAAAAAAAAAACCTACCCACCAGAAAAAGCCCAGGACCAGACAGATTCACAGCCAAAATCTACCAGATGTATAAAGAAAAGCTGGTACCAATCCTACTGAAGCCATTCCAAAAAGTTGAGGAGGAGAGATTCCTCCATAACTCATTCTGTGAGGCTAGTGTCATTCTGATACCAAAACCTGGCAGAGACACAATAAAAAAAGAAAACTTCAGGACAAAAACCCTGATGAACTTAGATGCAAAAATCCTCAACAAGATACCAGCAAACCAAATCCAGCAGCATATTGAAAAGCTAATCCACCACAATCATGTAGGCTTTATCCCTGGGATGCAAGGTTGGTTCAACATATGCAGATCAATAAATGTGATTCAGCACACAAGCAGAACTAAAAACAAAAACCACACGATCATCTCAATAGACACAGAAAAGGCTTTCAATAAAATCCAACATTACTTCATGTTAAAAACTCTCAACTAACTAGGCACTGAGGTAACAAACCTCAAAATAATAAGAGCTGTCCATGACAAACCCACACCTAATGTCATTCTAAATAGGTAAAAGCTGGAACCATTTTCCTTGAGAACTGGAACAAGACAAGGATGCCCACTCTTAGCACTCCTATTCAATACAGTACTGGAAGTCATAGTTAGAGCAATCACACAAGAAAAGAAATAAAATGCATCCAAATAGGAAGAGAGGAAGTCAAACTATCTGTTTGCAGATAATATAATTTTATTCCTAGAAAAACCCCATAGTCTCTGCCCAAAGGTTCCTAGAGCTGATAAACAACTTCAGTAAAGTTTCAGGATACAAAATCAATGTACAAAAATCAGTAGCATTTCTATACACCAATAACATCCAAGCTATGAGCCACATCAGGAATGAAATTCCACTCACAATAGCCACAAAAAGAATTAAATACCTAGGAATACAGCTAACTGGGAGGTGGTGAAGGATATCAGCAATGAGAATTACAAAACACTGCTGAAAGATATCAAAGGTGACACAAACAAATGGAAAAATATTCCATGCTCATAGATAGGAAGAATCAATAGTGTCAAAATGGCCATACTGCCTGAAGCAATTTACATATTAAATGCTATTCCTATCAAACTACCAATGACATTTTTCACAGAATTAGAAGAAAAACCATTCCAAAATTCATAAGAAAATAAAAAAGAGCCCAAATAGCCAAAGAAATTTGAAGCAAAAAGAACAAAACCAGAGGCATCATGCTACCTGACTTGAAACTACAAACTATACTACAAGGCTACAGTAACCAAAATAGCATGGTGTTAGTACAAAAACAGACACATAGACCAATGGAGGAGGTTAGAGAACCCAGAAATAAAGCTGCACATCTACAACCATCTGATCTTCAATGAAGCTGATAATAACAAGCAGTGGGGAAAGGATGCCCTGTTCAGTAAACGATGCTGCAATAACTGGCTAGCCAGATGCAGAAGAATGAGATTGGACCCCTTCCTTTCACCACATATAAAAATCAACTCAAGATGGATTAAAGATGTAAATGTAAAAACTAAAAACCCTGGAAGAAAACCTAGAAAATATCATTCTGGACATAGGCCCAGGCAAAGATTTTATGATGAAGACTCCAAAAGCGATTGCAACAAAAACAAACATTGACAAGTGGGACCTAATTAAACTAGGTCACAGCAAACGAAACTATCAGCAGAGTAAGTAGACAACGTGCAGAAAGGGAGAAAATATTTGCAAACTATGCATCTGACAAAGGTCTAATATCTAGAAACTATAAGGAACTTAAATCAATAAGCAAAAACCCCATTAAATACCTAGGAATACAGCAAACTGTATTTTAAACAACCCCATTTTAAAATAAGCAAAGAACATGAACAGACACTTCTCAAAATAAGATATACACATGACAAACAAGCATATGAAAAAATGTTAAACTCACTAATCATTACAGAAATGCAAAGCAAAACCATAATGAGATACATGTCGCACCATTCAGAATGGCCATTATTAAAAATTCAAAAAATAACAGATGCTGGCAAGGTTGAAGAGAAAAAGGAATGCTTATATACTGTTAGTGGGAATGTAAACTAATTCAGCCACTGTAGAAAGCAGTTTGGACATTTCTCAAATAACTTAAAACAGAGCTACCATTTGACCCAGGAATCCCATTACCAGGTATATATACAAAGGAATATTAATTGTTCTACCATAAAGATACATGCACGTGAATGTTCATCACAACACTATTCATGATAGCAAAGACATGGAGTCAACCTAAATGCCCATCAATGGTGGACTGGATAAAGAAAATGTGATACATATACACCATGGAATACTATGAAGCCATAGAAAAGAACAAAATCATGTCCCTTGCAGCAACATGGAAGTAGCTAGAGGCCATTATCCTAAGCAAATTAATGCAGAAACAAAAAACTAAATACTGCATGTTTTCACTTTTAAGTGGGAGCTAAACATTTAGTATATATGGACACAAAGAAAGGAACAATAGACTCCAGGGCCTACTTGAGGGTGGAGGGTGGGAGGAGGGTAAAGATATAACAAATTACCTATTGGGTACTATGCTTCTTACTTGGGTAATGAAACAATCTGTACACCAAACTCCCACAACATGCAATTTACCCATGTAAAAAATCTGCATATGTACTCCCTGAACCTAAAATAGAAGTTGAAAAAAAACAACTAATCTATAAAATTTTTGAATGGTGGGGAAATATATATGTAAAATTCCACTCTCTCCAGGCAAGATTTTTTCTGAGACATTTGATAGCCTTATTAGGGTTCCCTTGTATGCGATATCCTTATTTTCTCTTGCCTCTTTCAAAATTAATTGTGTCTTTGATTTTTGACATATTGATTATAAAGTCTCTTGGTGTAAACTTCTTTGGACTGACTTTGAATGGAGACCTTTGAACTTCATGTACCTGGATGGTCATATGTTTCTCATACTTGGGAAGTCTGCAGCCATTATTTCCTTAAATAAGCTTTCTGTCCTGTTCTGTCTCTCTTGTCCTTCTCTAACTATTATTATGCAAATGTCCTTCTCTAACTATTATTATGCAAATCTATGGAGTTCCATAGATCTGATTCCGTAAACTTTCTTCGTCCCTTTTTATTTAAAAAAATGTTTTTCTCTGCTGACTGGACTATTTCAAATAATCTGTCCTTGAATTCACTTCTTCTTTCTTCTGCTTGATCTAGCCTGCTATTGAAGCTCTCTATTGCGTTTTGTAGTTGTACTTCATAATTCAGTCATTGTGTTTATCGGATCTAAAACTTCTGCTTTCTCTTTGTTTAGCTTTTCATTTTGTTCTTGTATTGTTTTCCTGGTTTCATTAACATATTTGTCTGTGTTCCCTTGTAACTCAGTGAGCTTCTTTGGAATAATTATTTTGAATTCTTTGACAGGCCTTCTGTTGACCTCCATTCCTTTACGGTCAGTTCCTGGAATTTTTGTTCCTTTGATGTTGACACATTTTTCTGATTCCTCACACTTTTCTCATTCCTGATTATTGTAGTCTTGTGAAGATATCTGCATATTTGAAGTCATCCCGTCTTTCAGACTTTATGGATGGGCTCTAGTTAAAAAAAAAAAAAAAAAAGGATGGGGGTTCATGTGCAAGGGATGGAAAGGGTGTGCACTGTGGCATCAGGTCTAGTGATTCTGGGCACCTCATGTTGGGGCATGCTGCTGCTCCAAGTCTGTGGTTGGGGAGGCACCCAGTATCTCATCAGCTTAGGCAGCTGGGGTTTGTGATATAAGCTACTATGTGATCCCTGGTGGCAAGAGCTGTGGGAGGTCCACAGTGGCAGTGAGGACTGCTCTAGTCCTTAGTGGCTCCTCTTGGTCCAGCGGCAGGGGGCCAAGGTAAGTAATGGTGTGGTCAAGGGGCTGTGATGGGAGGGCCAGGCCATTTGATGTCATATGTGTAAGTAGCTGCACTGTAACCCTGAGCTGGGGTGCCTGTGGTGGCAGTAGCTGGGGTGGCTTCAAGGAGAGAGGAGTGATGGTCCTCTGAGCTAGAGTGTTCACTGTGACAACAGCAGAGGTGGCCCCAGGGAGGAAGAGGTGGGAGGAAGAGGGATTGTGCCTCAGGTACCTGGTGACTGTGAAGGAAAAACTGCAAGGCCCTCAGTGGTGAAGGCTATAGGAAGTCTGTTGTGGCTGTGCTAGCTATTGTTTACCTCTTTAGCAAAAGCTGCTGGGATCCTCTGTGGGGCAAGCAGATGGGGTCTGCAACAGCAAACATTGCAGGGTTCCTAGTGGAGAAAGCGACAGAGGGGTACATGATAACTGTAAGTGTTGTTGGGATATGCAGCAGAGACATGTACCAGAGTCCTGTATAGAGTAGAATAATAGCAACTGTGGTGACTCTCACAACATAGCTGATACCAGTAAGCCCACATTGCTCTTCTTTGTTCCTAGACTTTTCCATATGTCCCAGGTTTGCCATTTTCCCCAGCGATCTGGGTAGGGTGATTTGGCCAGTTCCTGAAAGGCTGGGGAAGCTGCTTATTCATCCTCCCCTTCCTTTGTCTGTGAGAGGGACTTGCTAGCCAGAGATCACTCTCCATGCTGAGCAGTGCCAGCACTGGGGATGGGGTGATGCAGGCAAAATGAAACTGTTCTTTCTTCACTTTTTGTGTAATTATTCTTGAGTTTTTTATTCTACTGTATTACTACATCTTTTGGACTCCTGAGCCCTTCCAGAGTTATTAACCTTCATGAATGGCTGCCAAATTATTGCTCTCTGTGGGAGGAATGAAGGCTGTGATCTCCTACTCTGCCATCTTCCTTTGCCTTTTTCTTATTAATTTGTAAGAATTCTTTATGTATTAAAAGGAAATTGGTCCTTTATCTGTCCTGCCAGTTTGTCATTAGTCCTTTTAACTTACTCTAATTTTTACCACAAAATTTTTTAAAAGTTAAATACAACAAATATTCTGCCCTAAGAATTAATTCATTAATCATCAAATTTTTGAAGTGCCAACTATATGTCAATTACTATCCTAGGTGCTTAGGATACCTCAGTGGACAAAAAGGACAAATATCCCTGCGCTCATGGAGCTTGATTCAAATGAAAAAGAGGGCATTAGCACTACGCATGATGAGTACCTGTAAAAAAACTTTATGTGGTATAATAGAAAGTAACCGTTATGGAGGACAGGGAAGGTAGACTAATGGGAATTGGGGGTGCAGAGTTGGGTGTCATGGTAAAAGTAGGTCATAGTATTAAATAGGGAGGTCAGGATAGTCATTGAGAAAGTAAGACTTGAGCAGAAACCTGAAGAGTGTGGGGAAATTTACCAAGTGGACATCTAAGGGAGTTGCATTTTACTTAAAAGGAGGGCCTGGGCAAATGACCCACAGCTGCCTGGCAGGCCACAGGAATACCAAGCAGGGAGTGTTACTGGAGCCACATTAGCTAGAAGGATAGTTATAGGAAATGGAGTCAAAAAGGTATGGGGATGGGGGAGATCAAATATTACCCAGGACTTCTGTGTAATGACTTTATTCTGAGTGAAATAGGGGGTCTACATTTTAGACAGCTCCATCAGGAATAGAATAGGGGAAAATGTAGGGGAATAAAGATAGAAACTAGAGACAGGTAAGCGACCATTGCAATCATCTCTCCAGTGGATTAGAACAGGATGATAACAAGGAGAGGAACAGGCAGGTTCTAGATATATTTTGATCATATAGGTAGTGTGATTTCTTGATCAGTTAATTGTGGGGTATGAGGAGAAAAGAGACATCAGGAATGGCTCCATGATTTTGTCCTTAACATCCTGGTAGTTATTAACTACCAGGATGGAGTTATAATCAACTGAGATGGTGAAAGGATGCAGGTAGGGCAGGTGCTGGGGGTGATATGAGAGTTTCATTTTGGATAGGCTGTTTCAGCTGTCTGTTAACCTTATAGTCAGGAGAGGTACCACCTATGCAGTTAGATTTATGAGTTTAAAGATTAAAAGAATAGTTTGGGCTGGAAAAATAACTTTTGTAATAGTCTGGCTGTGGAAAATTATACTTTAAAGTCCATAAACTGGGTAATCACTAAGAAAGTAAATGTTGATAATATGCTAGCTGGAACCTGAGTACTCCGGTATTGGGAGGCTAAGGAGAAGTTGAGGAAATAACAAAGGAGACTGAGCAAAACAGTGTGTGAGATGGGATAAAAACCAAGAACGTAGACTGCCTGTAAACAACGTGTAGTGTACCAGAGAGGAGAGTGATTAGCCCTGTCAAATGCTGATAATAGATCAAGATGAGGACTGACACTTGTCTGTGAGATTTGGCAACGTGAAGGTCATTGGTGACCTTGAGAAGAGGAGTTTAAATTGAATGGTGAAGGCAAAAGCCTGATTGAAGTGGGTTTAAGAGAAAACAAGAGAAGAAATGGAAATGACAAGCGTAAACAGTTATTTCAAGAGGTTTTTGCTGCAGGAAAGCATAGAAATAGAGAAATCACTGGCCTGGCAAAGGAAGTGGGATTGAGAGGGTTCTTTATGAAGATGGAAAAAAAATCACAGCATTTTAAAATGCTGATGGGGAATATCTGGTAGAGAGGGAGAAAATGATACTGTGAGAAAGGGAGAGGGAAGAATTACTGGATTAATGTTTGAATAGTCAGGAAGAGAGGGGTTCATGTTGAGTAACGTGGTATGGTAGTTCACCTGAGTAATGTAGAGGCAGATGCTCAAAAGTGGGGAGTGTGGTTTGGAGAGTCTGGAATTTCTCTTCTGATCACTTTGTTTTTTCTCAGTGAACTCTAGTTTCACTATAGGAAAGGTCTTCAACTCAGAGTAAAGTTGGTGGAACAAGTGTTGAAGGTTTGAGAATGGAGGAGAAGGTATAAAATAGTGCTTCAGAGAGGGAGAGAGTACATGCATTAGGGAAAAGGACCCTTCAAAATGGTGACCTGAAACCACACAAAGACAAGAGAGGCATGCAGAACCTAAGAGTATGTCGCTTAAACATTGTAAGAGACCTAAAGAGAAGCAAAATCCAGATGAAGGAGTGAAGAGTGTCAGATACTGGCTTTTTGAACTAGCACAGCCTAATCATAACTTGAAAATTCAGTACTAGATGACTTGAATCTTAGGGATGAGAGCATGGATTGATATTTCCTATTGGCCTTAAGATTTTCAAATTGAGCTTCCTTATTATCCTAAGAAAAATTGCACTGAGTCTCTTCAACCCCAGGTCACCCAAATTTTTGGCCAATATTTATTGTTAGTCAACTGGAATGATGTATCCTGAAAATTCTTTGGTTAAGACCATCCCCAAATAATTTGGATTGTCCCACTGCCTTTTTTTTTTTTCCGACACAGAGTCTTGCTGTGTCACCTAGGCTGGAATGCAGTGGCGCTATCTTGGCTCACTGCAACCTCTGCCTCCCAGGTTCAAGCAATTCTCCTGCCTCAGCCTCCCAAGTAGCTGGGATTACAGGCACCCACCACCACACCCTGCTAATTTTTATATTTTTATAGAGATGGGGTTTCACCATGTTGGCCAGGCTAGTCTCAAACTCCTGACCTCATGATCCGCCCACCTCGGGCTCCCAGAGTGCTGGGGTTACAGGCATGAGCCACCGCGCCCAGCCCCATTGCTTCCTTAGTAAGAAAGTCTATTTTAACTCCAAATAAGTGTAAAATTAAATACAGAGATGATGAAGTAAATATAACATATATCAGTGATGCTTTTGTTTTAAGGACTTACCTGAATGAATCTGACTTAGTAGAGTCACAAACTAGCTTGTGGTTCCCATAAATGCTTAGCTGAATCATCCTTTGATGGGGAATTGTTATTCTAAGTGGAAATGTTAGTAAGATAATCTGAAACATTGTCAGTAGCATATGACTTTCAACACTTAAAAGTTTAACTTACTACAATTACAAGGCTTATTTAAGTACCCATGAAGGTTTCATACGCTAATAAGACTTTTGAGATTCTAAAAATCCAGTTGGATTTATCAAATTTATAAATGTAGCTTAAAATGTTAAGAAGTTTGTTTGTAAGCAAAAACCTCCTTAAGTGTACTTGATTAGATAATAGACTAATAGGACTACATTTAAATGATCTTAAAAGCTTCAGGAAGCACTAGGTATTTCAATTTGTACCTAAAATAAATTGAGACAGATTAGATAAACAAAGTGTTGTACATGTATACCATGGAATACTATTCAGCCATAAAAAAGAACAAAATCATGTATTTGGCAGAAACATGGTTGGAGCTGGAGGCCATTATCTTTAGCAAACTAATACAGGAACAGAAAACCAAATACCACAAGTTCTCACTTATAAGTGGGAAGTAAATGATAAGAACTTACGAACACAAAGAAGGAAACATCAGACATTGGGGTTAGTTGAAGGTGGAGGGTGGGAGGAGGGAGAGCAGAAAAGGTGACTATTGGGTACTGGGCTTAATTCCTGGGTGATAAAATAATTTGTACAACAAACCCCCGTGACATGAGTTTACCTGTGTAACAAACCTTCACCTGTACCCCTGAACCTAAAATAAAAGTAAAAATAAATTAAAAAAATGAATTGAATACAGTTTTTAAAATCATTTATTTTGGACACCATATTTGCTTTCAAGGTCGTCTCAAAATCCTCATTGACATTTTTATTTATGGTTTATGACTATTTCTCTGACATCTTCTGGGTTCCAAGGAATATTTTGAAATAAAATCAGTGAGTGACACGATATATTTTTCCATTTAGTCAATCAATGATTATACCACTATCTTTTCACACCATATTTGAACTTTAATCGTGTACTAAATTTCCGGGTGTGTTTGTCCATTTCTTGACTCTCTGTTTGCTCTTATTGTTCAGCCTGTTTCTTCCATTGTACATAATTATTTTAATTATTCTCATTGCATAATGTCATATTCTCTCATAGCTTGAAGTCATATCATTTTGTTTATTTTATAGAATTTTTCTGACTATTCTCAAATGTTTATTTTTAGATGATCTTGAGTATCATTTTGTTAATATAAAAATACTTAAATGGTAATATTTTAATTTGAAGAACATTGAATTTGTATTTTGTTACAAACATATACTTAAATCAGAAATAGCGGTTTTACTGTGTCAATTGGTTCTTGAATACTTATTGAGATGATCGTGTTTTTTCCTCTTTTGACCTGTTAATGTAATGAACTATATTAATTAAGTTCTTTAAGTAGAAATAATCTTGTATTCCTGAGATAAACTCTACTTGATTGAGAATCCTTATTGTTTAAATGTATTGCTGAATTATATTTGCTAATAGTTGGAGATTTTCTAAATTATATTTATTGTTATGGGTCTGTTAACTTATTTGCCTTTCTTGGGGTTAATGTTGCATGTTGTATTTTATCAGAAAATTATTTAGCCAAATATTATTATTTGCTTGGAAATTTAAAAAATTCTCTTTATTTGTATTATGTGGTAGGGTGTTTCCCCTCTCTTCATTTGTGCCTATTAATGCTGTCTCCTGTTTTAAATTCTTAGTGTACCCAGTGGCATATCTCGTCATCATTCCTGGCTGGTCATTGATCTTTGTTTCAACTCTATTTCAGTTATCTTCCTCTTTGGTTTCTTCCTGTAACTTATTTTTATTTGTTCATAACTTTTTAACTTTTGCTTTCTTAAGTTTAGTTTGTGGGTTTTTTTCCTGAGCTTTTCATACCAAAAAAGCCCAAATCATTTATTTCAGTCTCTCGTTTGTTGTATTTGTCTGTGATTTCTTTTTTCACTGAGCATAGCCTTATTTGTATTCATAGGTTTTATCTTTATCATCATTGTTTTATAGATAGTCTTTGATTATATTTCAATTTCTCCATTCAATCAAGAGTTAAGTGAGAATTTCTCGCATTTTCCAGTGGTTGGTTGGCAATACTTTATTCTAAATAAAAAAATATATAATTAATCCTTTGCCAATGTATGCTTTTTAGTTCTAATATATCAATGAATATTGTAACATACATTAAAATCTTGTGGAATTCATAGCACTAGATTTCTTTATGTCTACATGATACCAACACGAATGTGATTAAATAAAAAGTTTAGAAGTAAACATATTTTTCCCACCTGAGCAACATACCCTGAATTAAAATGTATGCATGTGAATTGGCTCTTACTCTTTAGAATTTCAGTTTCATTTTTCAGTGAAAATACAGAGTATGGCTCTAACGTATTTGAAGAAAAAATACATATATATTATCAGGCACAGGGTAAATCTGGAGATTATACATAGCAGAGCTTTGGACCACTTTGTCAGAAAAACAAAACTTCAAACTTTCATAGCCCTGGAAAGAGTAGAAAATTAATCAGATAGCCTGATCCTATTAAACTCTGATTTCTAGACCCACTACCAATTCTTCGCACTTACCTCCTAGTTTGCTACCTCCTAACTACTATATTAAAGCACAGAAAATGAGAAGAAAAAAAATAAGTTCCTATTTTTCTACCACCCACAGATAATAATTTTAACATTTTTAAAGATTCAATTAATATTGTATGTATAAAATTCTTAATGAAAAGGAATAATCCCTTAAATCTTTTTCTGTTTCTTCTTTTCAAATCTAGTTATCTTCTTCCTAGATGCTCACAGCCATCATCTTTCCCAATTAGAAAAAAAAAAAAATTGTGACAGGTGTTTTCATTCCCCTGGGACTTTAAGAAGACAAGATGTACTTAATGCCTACATATTCTACAGATAGATGGAAAAAGGAAATCTTTCCTTTCTGATCATTAGCTCAGTGCCCTGTGTTGAGTTCTCTGGGCCTTGGGAAGGGCATGTGCTCCTGCAGAGAGGGGAGCTGCAAAGGCAGAAAATCAAGAAAACATTAAAGGACTAAAATATTTTCACTGAGATTCTTTCACTTGGAATAACAGTCAATAATAATTTTGACATTTTTATCCAAGCTCCAATATCCCTTCTAACACTACTAAAATTAAAAGCAAATTTTAGTAATGAGGGCTATTGAACAATGCTTCTGCACAGCCAAAGAGATAAATTTGAAAATAGTGGAACTATTCCACAGTGACCAAGTGTTGCAAAAGCGATGTGTGATTTCTTGGAAATCAGGGTTAAGTCACAGAAAAACTGTACTATACCAACGGGAATCCTAACAAGACTTTGTCTCATGTGTCTAAAGCACTATTATCTGCTTAATATAGCCAGAAATTTTGATCAGCTCAGGTTGGCAAAAAATAACAACAACAGCAAAAAAACCTCTGCTTGTCTGGACTTGTATTTGATCAATGAATAGAATGAAATGAAAAGGCTGCTTGCAAAAAAGAATATTCCTTAATATTGGCTAGTATTTAGTCAAATTGTGTCCCTTCAACCCCCAGAAACAATTGCAGAATCTTTTCTGGAGGTCAGAGAAGTAAATAGGTAAGAAAGCCCTTTTTGCGTAGCTAATTCCACGTTTTGGAGAAGGACAGAGCCCATCGAAGAAGAGAAGAGTGGCAATGACGGTGATCTTGGTGACAGTGATGGTGATAGCTCTTACTATATCCTAGACATCATGCTAAGTTTTTCATCCTAAATATCTCATTAAGTTGCACAGTACTAGGTGTGTTCTGCCTGAAGGGCAAAGCAGATGACATATAACTCAATATCACACAGTAGCAATGTATAAAATACTGACTAGATACAAAGGATAAATATTCTCATAATACAAACTAGAAGAAAGGCATAATACCTTTAACACTGCATCTTCCATAGGGGTCATAAGTCAGTGATGCTAGCCATTACCCAAAG
This sequence comes from Homo sapiens, assembly GCF_000001405.40. Lineage (NCBI taxonomy): Eukaryota > Metazoa > Chordata > Mammalia > Primates > Hominidae > Homo > Homo sapiens. The sequence goes on along the minus strand of NC_000003.12, from coordinate 3,385,351 downwards.
TTGAGAGGCACGTATTCATGGCCGCCACAGAGACTAGATGCGGAGATCAGCTTCACCTTGGTATTTGCCACAGACTAAAGGACAGTGCAATGTACTCATGTAGTCATTCACTCATTCTCTCATTCATTCACCAAACATTTATAGTACATGTGTGTGCAAGATACTATGCCAATTTCATAGGAGATTTAAACACAAATCTAATACTGGCACAAATAGATGTAAAACTGCAGCTTGACAAGTGCTATGGAAAAAAGTTTCACAGTGAAAATAACAGTGTGTAACAGAAATATCTAACCTAGTTATACAGTTAAGGAAGGCTCTCCTGAGGAAATTACACTTGAGCTGAGGTCTGAAGAATAAGTAGGTGTTAACTAAGCAAAGAAAGGACAATCAAAGGGTAGCATGACCAGAGGCCCTGTGGTGAGAAGAAGGAAGACATCAATGAACGGTGTGGGAAACCTTGAGTTCAGTGTGGAAGAAGTTGAGTGGTAGCCATCTTTGAGACACACAAGGTAATAGAGTCTAGATATTAGGAGAGCTCAGAGACTGCAGTTATGACTTTGTGAATCATCTGCAAATTTGAAGTAACAGATGCCACAAAACCAAATAAAGCCAGTTCACTGCATATATGCATACGCACATACGCACACGCACATACGCACACATAAACACACACACAAATGCTTTAAACCTTTTTTTTTTTTTTTTTTTTCTCTGAGGCGGAGTCTCGCTCTGTCGCCCAGGCTGGAGTGCGGTGGCGCCATCTCGGCTCACTGCAAGCTCCGCCCCCCGGGTTCCCGCCATTCTCCCGCCTCAGCCTCCCGAGTAGCTGGGACTACAGGCGCCCGCCACCACGCCTGGATAATTTTTGTATTTTTAGTAGAGACGGGGTTTCACCGTGTTAGCCAGGATGGTCTCAATCGCCTGACCTCGTGATCCGCCCGCCTCGGCCTCCCAAAGTGCTGGGATGACAGGCGTGAGCCACTGCGCCCGGCCATGCTTTAAACCTCTTACCCTGTCTTTGGGTGGAGGCAGCTCCAGACTTCACCTAGTTCCAGCTTGTTAGATATGAAAATAATATGGAATTTTTTTCAGCTATTATTTTCTGGAGCTCAAGGTATCAGATATCTCTTTGCTTTGCAGACATTTTTTGAATACTTTTCATGGTGAAGAAAATATTCTCGAGGTTTAAAAATAGTTTTTTGTCAGTTTACGATTCTATTTCTACCAGGGAATTTACAATAACCATTTAGAAATTTTCTCTGTAGTCAAGACAATGGGAAAAAATAACTGTCAAATGAAGAATATTATATTCAAAAAGTTGGTAGCCAACTTTTCACTTGAGGGTCTCGGTTCTCCCAAATTTAGATTTTGTTCTGAAATTTCCTGTACTGAGTTCAAACATGTAATCTCATTCTGGAGGCTAAATAAAATGTGAATGGTGACTACTTGCATTTTGATAAATTGTTCCTATGTAGGGACTTCATAATGGAAGTCACTGTCACCATTTTAATGTATTAAGGGACGGCTATGTGCAGATGGTATACATAGTCATTTCCTGGGTGTACAGGAGCCTGGGGTAAGCTGATTTATGATTTAATGATTTTTATCAGAATGAAATAAACATTTGATCTTTGGATTTGATCACCTTCTATCTGCAGCTGCGCCTCAACTAGCAATTACTTCCTCCTGGGCTCTTTGCCCGGGCAAATGGGGTTTGTCCTTGTTTCACATCTCACTGACTTCCCGGATAATAGACATGGTAACTGTTTGAACTATTGCTTCTTCTGGATTCCATAGCTTTAAAAATTTAAGAAAGGGGATTTTTCTCCTATCATTTTTCCCCATCACAATAAAATACTTCCTCTAATAATACACTTTGGGGGCTAATTTCCTTACCATAAAAACTTAAAAGCAACCTTTTGAGAACTCTTCTTTACAATAGAATACAACCTAGTGTAACACTATTTAAAAAGAAAAATACAAGATCAAGATGGTGAGGCAACACTCACATCTGTTTATTCACCTCCTCCTTATTGATATTATTTCAGTAGGCTTCCTCTGTATGGTTGAAACCAATCATACTCTCCACCTCCTAAGCACATTTTGCTTAAGGCAGAAACCAAAAGAATTTTCTTACTCTTTTCTTATTTCTTCCATGACTTCTTTGTATTTACTGCTCAATAATTTAAAACACATCATTTCTATTTTACAGTGTACCATTTTGTCCTTCTGTGATTGTTTCAATGTAACTGTGAAGAAAATAGGGCCTGTGACTCAACATTTTTCATATGTATGTGGTGGTTTCTGATTTCAAATGCAACACATTCAACAGATTTTGTTTTGCAGATGGAAAAGTTAATCAGATACATGCAGTATTTGTCTTCTCTATCCATGTTTGCTAAAGCCTATCCCTATTCTGAATGGCATATTTTTTCTACCTACCTCATTAAAAAGATAACATAATTAAAATGGTTAACTACCCAATAACAACAGATAAATTTGTTGCCAGCTTAAATCTTATATGTAGTTATCTGGTAAAAATGACTCTATTTACCAAATCTTATTAGTCATCTGATAAAATGGCTCTAACTGCTCTCCTTGTCTATAAGTGTTTAGTAGATTAAAACCTGGGATCTTTAATCCAAAAAAATTAAAACTGCCCCTGATTGTTATATTGAGGTGCCATCTGTCATTCCAGGTGTTTTCCTGGTTTTTCAGAGCTGAGAAGTGAGCTGTCTTCCAACTCACCTGCATAGGTGGAAGTCTTCCCAGATGCTGTGCTTGAATCTCTAATTTGATATATTTACAAGACTTGCAGAGGCTGTGAGCTGTGTGAATACATTGCACATAAGAACTACAGATGTTTTAAAGGTATGCAAGGTGGGATATAGTTGTCTCCAACCTAGTGATTTTCATATCCCAACAGGTCAAAGGAAAAGCACATTAAGAGATCCAAAGAAGTATTTCAAGAATTAAAAAAGCTAGATCTCCAATCAATAAATATTTGATTATTGCTGATGTGTTTTAGCTTAGTAAAAAGCTGAGGAATGTTGTATTAAAATGAGTAAAGGGGGAAAGGCCTAATAGGTAACATTTTATTTAGAGGTCTTATTTAAGACAAAAGTTTGAAATTTCAGATTCAAGTACTCCATTATTTTAATATTATAGTATACATACACACACACACACGTGGGAAAGTACACATCATAAGTGTGCAGCTCAATGAATGTTCACAAAGTGAATGTATCCACTGAGTCCCCTCCTGCCCCCTTCCAGTTACTATTCCCAGACTTAAGGTTGACCCCATCTGGACTTCTAATATTTGGTTTATTTTTGTAGGGGGAGGGGGGATTTTTTAAACTATTTATTGAATTATAACATGTATATAATGGTATACAAATGATAAAGGTATAACTCATATTTTCACAAACTGAACACATTTATAAAACCAGATCAAGAAACAAAATGTTACTGGCATCCCAGAAGCCATTTTGTACCTCTTGCAAACATTGCTTCCCACCAAGGCTAACCATTTCTGACTTCCACGACTCTAGTTTAGTTTTTCTTATTTTTGTACCCTGCATAAACTGAATCAGGTGGTATGCACTCTCATGTCTGACATCTTTCACTGGACATTACACATGTGAGATTCATCCATATTACCACACATAGTTCTATAACAGTTTATTCTCCTGCAATGTGGACATGCTGCAGTTTATGTGCCCATTTATCACTAGTGGGCATTTGGGTTATTACAAATTGTGAAAACTCCATCTTTAACCTTTCTCTCAGGTTAATATGAGTTTTATTTCTGTGCATGTTCTGATAAGAAAAGACCTTTTACTTGCCCTTAAAATGCTCTTGTCATACTCACGGCTGCTGTTTGTCCTCTGAAAAGTATATCAAAGCCTTCACTCCCCAGTTATAAAAAGATTGGGTCTTCTGATGTTAGGGTCTGAGAGGAACTCCAAGTATTTAACAGGGCATTTAATTGATAAATCATCAAAGGATTGTAACATTTTACAGCAATTAACTTAACTCATTTGTTGATTCAGTTGAATTTAGAATATATTCAGAAAACATCTTTAACTTCTCAATTATTGCCTTCAGTAATTGAATCTTTCTCCTCTACTCTTTAACTGCATAGTTTTCTCACAAGCAGGTTTTTTTTTTTTAACGGAGTCTCACTCTGTCACCCAGGCTGGAGTGCAGTGGCTCAATCTCGGCTCAAAGCAACCTCTGCCACTAGGTTCAAGCGATTCTCCTGCCTCAGCCTCCCAAATAGCTGGGATTACAGGTGCCTGCCACCATGCCCAGCAAATTTTCTTTGTAGTTTTAGTAGAGTCGGAGTTTCACCATCTTGGCCAGGCTGGTCTTGAACCCCTGACCTCGTGATCCACCTGCCTTGGCCTCCCAAAGGTATTGTTTTAAAAACCTGCTCTGCCCTAAATCAAAACTTCAGTCTCTCAATTAAACCCTCTCGCCTCCCACTAGCTCAGCTTCACTCCTTTGTTCAGAAACAATGGTAAGAAGGAAGGCTCGATCTGTTCTTTCATGTTCCTTGCTCCCCAAGGCTCCTTTTGTGGCTCTGGATCTTCGAAGGTTGGTTTAATGGAGAATTTGGAAAGGGGAAAGGAAGAGACAAAGAGTGAAAGAATGATAAAAGGAAAAGAGGTAAAGGCTTTCTTAGTTGGTTGTGTTATAGTTCTCTCTGAATTGTCAAATAGTCTTTGTCATGGCAACCACCAAATTCTGGATCTTTTGTGGGGTACATAGTGGGTTATTTGGATCCCAGTGGGGACTTCTGATTCAAGTAATATATTCTCCAGCTGATCTTTGGAAGCATCCCTTCTTGGGGTTTCTATTCCTCTGGGGTCCCCTCACCTTGGCAGGCTCTCTTGCTTAATATTCTTTCAGCATGGTGGGGCTTACCTTGCGCTCAAGAATTTACTCTCTTGTGCCCCTCCAAACCATGGGAATATCCTTACTGAACACTCTTTTTTCTTCCGATACGATGGAAAGCTCCAGTCAGTGAGTATGATGCCCTTGTCACAAGTGCTTCAAATACTTTAGGAAGGAAATGGTAGGAAATATCTCCCTCCCCTCTTTGTCTTCCTCACATGAATTTATTTCAAATAATCCCTTCTATTAATCTCTGGCCTTTTTTTATTCCCCAGCTTGAAAGGGGTTGTAGTCACTAGACTGGTTTTGCTGTCTTTTGTTAATATCTCATAAGGAAGTATCAGACATCTCTCTTTAGAATGTGTGTTTATCATCCATTGATCTCAGTTTTGAAGCCTTAGCCAAAATGTTGAAGTACTAGGAAAAGACCTAGTTAACGCTGTTATTGAAGAGCAGAGACAGGTTCAAATTGGGCTTACTTACAGAATACCTACACTACCTGGAACCACCAAAAATACTTTTAGGGACTAAGATGGGACTAGATAGCTGGTTAACGTGGTAAAAATTCTTTATACCCAACAACTGTTGAGTAGGCCACATGGAGAATACAAAACATTTAAACTCTAAAAGCTCTTGAGCAAGCTTGAAAGGCAGGATTTGCATTCTTAAAACTATTAGCACATCATAATTGTGCTGTATAAAAGGGAAGATGAAATGGTACAGGTAAACCATTATCCAGAAGTTCAGCTGAACACAGGGAAGCATTAGCCATTCCTCCTTCTCATTACTGAGGAGCTGCTGCTTTGTGCCATGCATATTGTCTCAAATGTCCAAACCAGCTGACTGGGAGCCATCCCCCATCAGGGCAATGCAGTATTCTCTATTGAAACATCAAGAACAAGCAGCAACACAAGAGGAGAACCATAATATTGAGTATGTGGAAGAGAACTTTTTTGTTTTTCTGATTTAGTATGTCCTACATAGGATTGCTCCTTTTGAACTGTATCAGACTTTGAAGCTGGTCTCCCTCAAACTTTTTCATTAAAGAATCTCTGCGAGTGGAGAAGTATAAATGATTGATTACCTCTCAAAGTTCTAGAGGCTTAGCTTGCAGTAGGCTCTCACAAATTTTAAACATCTTTGACAGTTTCTATTTTATTTTCAAACATCATATGAACTTCACACTTCAGCTACAATGTATCTCTGATGGCTTGAACATTTGTCCTTTCCAAAACTCATGTTGAAATTTAATTCCTAATGTGGCAGTATTGAGAGGGGGGACCTTGGAGAGATGATTGGGTCATGAGAGCTCTGCCCTCATTAATGGATTAATCCGTTCATGGATTCATGGATTAATGGGTTATCATGCGAGTGGGACTGGGGGCTTTATAAGAAGAGGGAGAGACCTGAGCTAGCATACTCAGACCTCTCACCATACACTGCCACCTCAGCACTCTGCAGAGTCCCCACCAGCAAGAAGACCCTCACCAGATGTAGCCTCTTGGACTTCTTGGACTTCTCAGCCTCGGAGCTTGCTTCTCAAGCCCCCATGGACTTGGACCTTGGACTTCTCAGCCTTCATAACTATTAGAAATAAATTCATTTTCTGTATAAATTAACCAGTTTCAGGTATTCAATTATGAGCAACAGAAAATGGACTAAGATAGTATCTCTTTGTTTTAATTTAAAAAAATACAATGACTTAAATTATTTACCATCAAATAAGGCTGTATCTGTGTATATTATACCCCCAGGTATACTACTATATACCCTAAGGATTATACTTCAATTTGAGAAGATAAATGTTACTATCTTGAGTTAAACATTAGTTTCTAAGCTTCTTTTAAATTTAAATGACACTTCATGAGAGTTATGAAAGTTCTTGGCTTTTAAAAGTTAGCAAAGAAGCCTCAGTCTTTATATCGTACTGAGAAACACATTTTATAATAAGGGGTATAAATATGAATATGTCATGAAGAACAGTATCAATAACACTTGACAGTTTAATGAACCAGAATTTTCACAACATAGCCATATATCCTAGTCCTCGTAAAACATATCTCCTATTTCTTATCTTGTAACCCCGTTAAATAGAGGAGGATTTAAGATCTCCACTTAAGAGAGAAGGAAACTGATGTTTACAGTGGTTAAGTGACTTGCCTGTGCTTACAATTGATAACTCACTAGCCTGTAAGCTCCATGAGGGCTGGGACCTTGTCTATTTTGTATACAGTTTTATCTTCGCCCTCCAGCACAATGCCTGGCAAATATTAAGAACTCAATAAATGACTAATAATTTAATCTCCAGACTTCTAGCTGTAGCTTTCTTTCCCTATACAGCGTACTGAATAATTCTTCCCAGAAGGATACAGCAGAAAGAAGACCAATTGAAGAACCAAAGCAAAAATCTGTCCTCTTTTCCAATTTTCTAAGGACTAGCTCTGAAATCCTGTATCAGGAAAGGAAACAAAACTATAACATTCATTTTCTCTTCTAGAGCTGAGATTTTTTTTGTAGCTGAATTTGTCACACTTTTTTTTAAGTGACATCCCTTACCAAAGACATAATACTTAAAAGTACAGGTGCTAAGGTAGACATGAAAATGAATGACCTCATGGATTTTTTGGTGTTTCTAAACAACTTGCTGTGAAAGAAGGGCATTCCATATGGTGAACTCAAATGCCCCTACACCAGGGTCAGCCTTCATGGTAAACAGTAAAAGGTCTGGATTGCCTTGTTAAAACTGAACTAAGCAACAAACTCTTAGAGACTTAGAAAATCAGCACAGATGTTCTTCCATGTCCCAGAGTTGTCACTGCCGTTCAGTACCATTACTGTAGCTTAATGACATGGGAGCGTGGGGTCCTGAGGAAGTCAATAAAAGAGCATATGAAGAAAATGATAAAAAGAGATCCATGAGCAGAAGGAAATGAGTTTATTCTTACCATGGAGTAGATGAAATTAAACAATTTTGCTCCTGAACACTGAACAGATGATCATATATTGTCTCCTCTCCATTGAGTGGGGAAAAAAGGCATCACTTTCACTTCTTGGTTTATACCATGATGGAAACCATAATCATTGCAAACTGAACAGTGAAGACTATATCTAGTTGAGAAGAGTATTAGGGACCTATGGAAATCCATTTATGCATTCCCGTTGGGTACTACCAAGCATCCAATCATATTACAGTTTCACAGACCACATCATAATTCAGGGAGTCTCGGATTCAAAAGCAGAAGACCTGCGTTTTTCAGATCCTCATTCTGCCTCTCACTAACTACTGGGACCTCTGGCATATCACTTAAAATCTCTAAATCTCTCCTTTCTGCAATTTGTGTCTATGGGAAAAATAAACCTGACTTCTCATGCCATTTTGAAGATTTCAATGGGAAAATAGAAAAGAAAGCTGTTTGTAAACTGTAAAGCACTCTATAACTCTCAGATGGTATTATTGTGACTGTCTCCTCTCCTATTATTACCCACTTCAGACGGAAGCATTAAAGAGGCAAGGGCGGGAAGGAGGAGGTATGACATAAAGCCATTTCTGCCCAGGTATGATTTTGCCTTGCATCAGGAACATTTTTGTAGACAGATAAATAAAATTGCCCTTATCTGATGTACAAGGTAAGTACAATTTTATTTTACTTATTTGTCTACAAAATGTGAGGTGCCTTGCATGCTTCGTCTCATTTCATCCTCTCAACTTTATAAAACCCATTTTCTTATGAAGAAATGAGACTTAAAGAGGTTACATTATTCACCCATGGCCACACATCCCTTAGGAGAGAGCTGGAATTTAAATCCAGTCACCTGACTCCAGAGACCTCTCCGTGAGGTGCTACAGGGTATGCACCTATGGCAATAGGTTGCATAGATCTAATGCTACAATTTTTAAAACTTTTCTACGGTGAAATATATATACACCAACAATACATTAAAATGCATAACCTAATGAATTATTGCAAAGGAAAAACTCATCACCTCAAGAAAAACACATCAAGAAGTACAGCACTGCCACCTCCCAGAAGCTCTTTGTTTTCCGACTCTTACTCTCCCCAAAGACAATCACTATCCTTGCTTTTACAGCAATTGTCTTAATGGCTTCACCATGCAAGTTTGCAATCACTAAACACTGTAGCTTAGGTTTACTTATATTTTAATTTTACGTAACTGGAGTAATATAGTATACATATAGCATACAATTTTTTGGTCTGACTTCTTTTGATCATGTTTATGAGATTTCATTTTTTTTTACCACTTTGTGGCTTGTTTCGGTTTTTTTAACTTTCAAAAATGGTGTCTTTTGAGGAATAGAATCTCTTAATTTTAATACAGTTAAATGGCTTATCAACATTTCCCTTTTAACAGGAATTTATCAACATTTCCTTTTCAGTTAGTGCTTTTGTGTTCTTATTAAAAAATCGTTCCCGTTTCTGAAATCATGAAGATAGTCACCTAAATTATCTTCTGAAACATTGTTTTACCTTTCATATTTATCACAACAATCCACTCTAATTGTTTTATGTGTATGATAATGGGCTAGAGGTCAAGGGTTTTTTTCCCCCCACATTGTATCCAGTTTTCTTAGCACTACCAATTGAACAGATCATCTTTCCTCATTACTCCAAAGTGCTACCTTTATCACAAATCACGTGTCTTTATATGCACTGGTATGTTTCTGAGCTTTCTCTTCTCTTCCATTAGTCTATACATCTATCCTTACATCTGTCCCCTCCCTTTTAGTTGACTATCATCTTATAAGAAGTCTTGGTTTTCTTTAAGATGATGTTGGTTACTCCTGGCCTTTTGAATTTTCATATACACTTCAGAATAAGCTTGTCAAGTTTTACAATAAAACGTTTGAGATTCTTATTGAGATTATATAGAATTTAGAGATCAATTTGAGAATAATTGGTATCTTTACAAAATTGAGTATTCGAATCTGTGAACCTGGTATATCTTTCTCTCCATTGGTGAGGGGCAGGGAAGTGTGGGTTTCATTAATTTCCATTAGTAATGTTTTGTAATTTTCTACTTTTACCTTCTTCCTAAATAATCCAAGTGCCTTGAAGTACTTTTACATCTTTATACTTTCCTAACTTATGTACTTTTATTGTCATATATTTTTATTGTTTGTTTATTTTAAATCACACAATAAAATGTTTAAACAGCTTATATTTATTTGGATTTGTTCATGTCTTATCAGTTTTCTTAGATTTCATTCTATGTCTCTCATCTTCATGCAAGGATATCCTGACAGAAAAAGACTCTTGTGTATTTACTTTACTGAAGGTCTGCTGTTAACAAATTATCTCAGTTTTTATTCACCTGAAACTCTCTTTCATTCTGAAGTCTATTTTTACTGAGTATACAATTACAGGTTTTTTTCTCAGCACTTGGCAGATATTTGTATTTTAGCTTCCTATGTTTTTCTGCTGAGAAGTCAGTTATCAATACAACTGTCATTCTTCTGAACATAATCTGTCCTATATTTTCTGGGTGCTTTTAAGTTATTTTCTTTCCTCATTTTTTGTAATGGCTCAGTATATTTCTTTTAATGTTTTCTTCTTGAGTTTTTCTATCTGTAAATCGATGTATTTCATAAGTTTGAGGATATTCTTAGCTGGATATTATCAAATTGTTGCCTTCTACCCTCTTTTTATGTCTCATTTTTGAAGCTATAGTTAAATGTATATCAGACTTTTGGACCGAATCTTCTGTCTCTTAACCTCTCTTCTGTATTTTGTATCTTTTTGTCTCCCAGTTGCTTCATAATAAGTATTTCCTTCTGATTTGCCTTTTATTTCACTAATTCTCTCTTCATTGAAGTCTAATCTATGAAATATTTCCACTGAATTATTAATTTCAGTAGTTTTTCATTCTAGAATTTTTATTTGATTTTTTAATATTATCTCAGTCATATATTTTAGTTCCTTTAAATAGCAAGAAGAGTTATTTTAAAGTCCAGCTCCAGTATCTGAAGACTGTGGATTGCCTTGTTTTCCTTTTTGTTTTTCTCTCCCTGATGATTCTCTTTCATGCCATCTCATTTGCTTGTATGTCTTCTTTTCTTTGATTGTGTGTCAGACATTATTTCTAAGAATTTTAGCCTTGTGGTGTAGGGTGATGTTATGTTCCTCTAAAGAAGATTCATATTTTTATCTGCCACATGCGTTGGAGCTTTGGTAATCTGAGGTTAATTTAGTTTTAAAAGTGATTATTTTTCTGGGTTATCCAGATATCTCCTACCTCAGATCAGTCTATATGAGAAATGTATTACTTCCAATTTACTTTTCCTATTAGCATACAGCCACGTAGGGCCTCAATGCAAATTGCAGGGAGTTTATGATGACCTTTTCCTTGAGCAAGCCCAGAACTTTTATCCCTCTCTATAAACTTTCAGAAGTACTGCTCAGCCACATAGCTTTCTCTTCCAGAATGGCAAACTCTAGACACTATGTCTTTGAGTACTGTCTTCTCCTAGGTCTTGGCCCAGTAATTCTTCCCTTTATTATCATTGTAATATCCTTATTTTATTTTTCTTTTTTTCCAGCTTTAATGATTATCCTCTTCAAAACATTTGGTCCATATCACCCTATCAACAACTGTCGGAAGTAAAGGCCCTATTCCCGACTTCTCATAGCAAGCCCCAATGTTACTGGAAGGAGTTCAGTTAGATGATATTTTTACATTTTCTGATATTCAGGTTAAAAAGCTATTTGGTTCTGTCCAAAAAGAGAAATTTTGGGACCATCTTGTAGCTTTGGAATTTAGGGTTCCAGATTCAATAAATGCAATTAGTGAAATTTTTTCTGTATTAGTGAAATTACTTTTATTATAAAAGAAACACAATTAAAACTGATATTTTTGCCAAGCATGGTGGCAAAAATACATATTTTTTAAGTGAAAAGATTCCGTTAGTTCTCTTAATCCAGAGGGATACTGGCTTCAGGTGGGCTTCTTCCAGGGGCTCTAAAGATCCCATCAGGGCTCATTTCAGTCCATCTGTCATTGCCGTCTTCTGACATGCTGACTTCATTCTCAAGTTATCTGTGGTAGCCCTTGGAGGCTACATATTTATATCCTCCCCATTTTGAGGCCACCACAATATATCCAAGCATCCCAGAAACTCTTGTTATATTTCACTGGCTCTGCTGGATCATTAGTTCATGGAGAATTCATGGTTCAACAGAATTCCCCAGTGCGACCTGGGGAATCAGATGCTGTGATGCAGCACATTTAAGTTAAAGGTTCCAACCCTGAAAAGGGGTGTGGTTCCCAACCAGAAGTGCAAGATTTTAAGGTGGTAGAGGACATGCCTTGTTGAGAAAAATCAGAAAGCTGTTTTTGGTAGAAAGGGAATGAATTCTGGATAAAAGAAAACAAACGTCCACTACAACAGCCAAATGGAAATGAATGTTGTCATTTCCCTCTGTAGCTTCTGTGTCTCCCAGTTGCTTTGAAAGCATTTGGTTGTTTAATTTATTATGCTGTCATAAGTGCACAAAGGGCTCTCTTTGCATCTCAGGTGTGTTTGAGGTTAATCTGTTTTACCTATTAGTTTTGAAAGATCCTTAAGACTGTTGTGCATTTGGGAAGTGGGAAAGTGCAAAGATATGCCACAAGTTTAGAGGAGCACCTTCATCTAAACACAGTATGCCACCTTCATGAGTGTCCTGTGGGATGAAAAGGTTGGAACGGAAAGCAAGTTTAGGTAGGCACTTTAGGATCCTGCCTCAGAAAAAGGCCTGGTGTTATCTGTCCTGAAACTCAATGAAAATGAATTGATGAGCAGACAATAGCTAGTGTGCCCAGCTGATTGATCTATGCAGCCCCGAACATCCCCAAGCTGTTTGGCAGCAAGTCGTTTTTCTTCTGTCCTTTCCTTATTAATTCAGGCTATGATAAATGGCCTTGCTGACAGCCCACTACAATGAAAATAAAATCCTTGTCAGGGAGTCTTCCGTCTTCCTAGAAGCTAAGAAAAACTTGTCCAGTTTTTCTTGCAGTGGAATTTTCTCACACAATCATAGTGGTGATGTGTGAGTGTGACAGTGTATGTGTATATCCTGCTGAACGCTATGAGGTCACTTCAAGGCAAAAAGCACAAAAGTTAATTAAAAATAGACCTCTTGCAAACAGAAGCCACCCAGCTATACTTCATGTGTGTTATAAGCAGCCCTGAGAAAATGTACAACTCTCAGAAACACCTTGAGTTTAAACCATACAAGGGAGAAGAAGGAAATTAATGGATACTTTTCCCATAGGGTCTCATAAAAGAAAGTAACAATTGAGAAGTGGAGAAAGAAGGGATGTAAACACTCATTATCCATTGTTGGGGAGATTTCACACCAATCACTTCACCCTTCCCTAGCTTCTTACACACCTCTCTCTCTCTCCTGATCTGTATTGTGTGGCACCTCATGACACACTGCAGGCAGAAAGCTGACATGCATTTAGTGAGATCTCTTCTTTATCAACAAGAGTTTACATGTTCCAACATTGCTGGAAACAGGATGATCCATAAAGAGATCTGGTATCAGTAGAGTTAGAAGAGTCTCTGGAAACTGTCGGTCGAGGGGACTGAGACAAGCAGGGTGGCAGGTGCTGTTTGCAAGTGATTATCTCACAGATATATTCACACATGTGTCCAAGGGTAAGCATAGTTTTTTTTTGGCAGGATTGTTTATAATCGAAAAAGCTGGGGAGCAGCCTATATGGCTGGCAGTAGGTAAAAATAAGATCGTTCTACTTAATCAAATAAACATTACAAAGAAAAAGGAATCTCCAAATGTCTCACCAGCAACAATTTTCAGAAAAGTCACAAAAGAGTATATGTGCTTCAATTTATAATCTGTTAAAATAGGGGAGATGATAAATAGGTAGGTAGGTAGATAGATGATAGATAGATAGATAGATAGATAGATAGATAGATAGATAGATACACACATATAAACACATATATCTGCTTGTATATATCAGAAAATTTCTGGAGGGAGTAAGCAAGATATGTAAAACTGGTTGTCTCTAGGGAAAGACAATGGTAGTCTTTGAATAATTGGAAAATCACTTGTAGGTATTTTGTACAGTTTGAATTTTGTTTTTACCATTGCATGTATTATGTTTCCATTAGAATCTAATATAATTCTCTTTAATGTTCTGATTCCCAATCTAGTGTTGCGGTTTGCTCATCTGCCTTCTAAAGGGGAATACAAAAAGGGTGTGGTTATAACCTAAGATCTTTTTGAGACAGTCACTCCAGGTACTCCTTGTCATGCTGACAACTTTTCGGTTGATGCTGGGCAGAAGGCTTACATCTCTCATCAGTGATACACAGAACATATGGCACAGTATAGCCCACTAGTTCTCAAGCAGAATCACCTGTAGGTGTCAAACAGATTCCTGAGTGCCACCTCCAGAATCCACAAGTAGATCTGGTGTGAGGCCTATGAATATATATATTTATATATATTATATATGTAATATATATTATATATATAATATATGTAAATATATATATTATATATAATATATGTAATATATTATATATAATATATATTATATATAATATATGTAATATATTATATATAATATATATTATATAAGCATACATAATATATATTATATATTATACATATAATATATATTATATATTATACATATAATATATGATATATAATTATATGTATTATATATAATATATAATATATTAGATATTATATAACATATATTAGATATAATATATATAATATATTATATATTAGATATTATATAACATATATAATGTATATATTATATATATAAAATATCTAATATATAATATATGCTTATATAATATATACCCGTGTATATAATATACGGGTATATATTATACAGGTATATAATATATGCATGTATTATATATATGTGTATATATAATACATATAATATATAATATACGTGCATATATAATATACGCATATTATATATAACATATGCATAATATATATAATATGTGCGTATATTATATATAATATATATGCTTATATATAATATACAATATATTATATATTGTATATAATATATATTATATATTGTATATTATATATAAGCATATATACATATATACCCATATATACATATAAACACACATGTATACATATATATACACATATATACATATATACACACATATATGTATATATATATATAATGGAATACTACTCAGCCATAAAAAGGAATGAAATAATGGCATTCACAGCAACCTGGATGGAATTGGAGACCGTTATTGTAAATGAAATAACTCAGGGATAAAAACCAAACATTGTATGTTCTCACTCATAAATGAGAGCTAAGCTATGAGGATGCAAAGGCATAAGAATACTACAATAGACTTTGGGGACTCGGGGAAAGGATGGAAGTGGGGTGAGGCATAGAAGACTACACATTGGGTACAGTGTATACTTCTTGGGTGATGGGTGCAGCAAAATCTCAGAAATCATCACTAAAGAACTTATTCATATAACCAAACAGCACCTGTTTCCGAAAAACCTATTAAAATAATAAAAATAAATAAATCTTTAAAAATAAATAAAACAATTATTGGGGGTAGAGTGGGAGTTATTTTAAACAGGGTAGACAAAGAAGGCCTTTCCAAAGTGGTGATATTTAAGTTTAGAGCTGAGGATTAGAAGGAGCCTGTGTGTGTTTGTTTTATACTTACAGATACATACACACATATTCATGTATAAACTTTTTAGTTGCAGAAGTGAAATCATATTTTTCTGTGGCACTCCTTATAGGTTTATCTTTTTAAAAAAAAAAACTGGTCTTTATTTGTCAGACTAGAGTATGAGGAAATTGGTATTTTTGAGTTCTTGATAACTATGAATCTTTTTGAGATCCAGTTTAAGAATAATTTAAAATTTATATACCTTTTCATCAAACAATCCTATTTATAATAATTTATCTTACAGATATAGTGACAAAGTACATGAAGATTCATATGTTAGACTAGCATAAATCTGTGAACAACCTAATTGATCCAACTGACGAGAGACTAGTTAAATACATGAATACAATGGAATACTAGGTAACTATTTAAAAGAATAAGATCTACGTATGAGAAAATATCCAAGTTATATTATTAATAAAGCAAGTTGCAGAAAAGTAACGAAATAAAGACATGAGATATCAGAGCCTGTTTGGGAATGATGCATTACAAAGGGAGGCATTGAAGGTGGAGTAGAGAAGGAGATGAGCAAGGGAGTGGAGTGCTGGAGAGAGCCCAAGGGCTGAGATCCAGGGCCTGAGCAGAGGATTGGATTTTGATGAGAAGAGCCACACTTCCTTCAACAGTAGGGTCCAGATATAGGCAGATGAGAGTTTGGTGTGGAGAGGTTAAAAAATACCCTCATCAATGAAGTATGGCAAGATGTATTAGACGAAAATAAATGGAAAAATGAGATTTTTGCAGAAGAAAAACTGGAGGGAAAGTGGAAAAGCAAACGTTCCTATTGAAGAGGCAGCCGATGTCACAGAAAAGCAGAGAAAAGCCGTGGCAAAGCTCTCGCCCAGGGCATAGTGGCCTTGCGGGTAAGTCACTTACCTTGCTTTGGGTCTGAATTTCTTCATGTATAGACTGGTGAGAATACTCACTTTCCTTTGTGGGTTTGTGTGAGACTTGGATAGAATAAATGTGGTGATAAATTGCAAATTGTGAAGCCCTGTATAAACATGTGTGACTTCATCTTTTTTTCTTTAACGTGCAAAATAGAGATAGTAGTTGTACCTACTGTGGCAGTTTGGTACTGAAGATTAAATAAAATGAAATAGCACCACATAATGAAAGCCTTCTTCCTGGTTCATAGTAAGTTCTCATAAGGGTTAGCTATTCATTTCGTTTTCTTGTTTATTTAATGTGGTCTGTTAAGTATCAGTGTCAGTGAGCCGCCTGCCCTCAGTTGTAATAACTGTCAGTGTAGCCTGAAAATGGATGAGAAAGGCACACTTGCAATGTTCATTCATTCACACACTTCCACCAGGCTGACACTGAGCCAAACAAATGACAAGAATTTCAGTGGTGGAAGGCACTTAGCAATTATCACGTCCAAACCCTATCCTTTACAAAAAAATTAATAAAGGACCCAAGACTCAGGTTCTCAGAGTGTCAGAAAGTCACACATAATAGGGCCTAGACTCCCAGCCCAGACCTCTTTCCACTCTCCCTATGATTCCTCCCCACTTTGCCTTGTCACACAGCCACTGGGATCACATTCACAGGGCAGTGCTCATTTGAAATGTGGTTTAGACCACCATGGAAAGAATGGCATGTTTTGCTTTAAAAAGAACAAAGCTGTTTAAGGTAAATGGTATAATAAGAAACCAACATAAACAGCACGGAAGATTCCAATAGATGCAAATTGCATGTTAGAAAAGCTCTAATCAGCTCAAAGGAATATTCTTGGGAAACCAATTCTGAGGTTTACTGTAGCCTTGCAGATAGGCAGTATTAACCACAACCAGCCCCGTCTGAATCTCAGGCAGATCAAGTGCTACTCACAAGACTGAGACTCTGCCATTCCTCTCCTGGGGACCTTGTGTGTCCTCCCTTCAGTTCCCATTCTATTTCTTCCTGTTTGTGTGAACTTAGTGAAAACCACTACTATTTATTGAGCAATTACTCTATGTCAGGTGCTGAGCTAAGTATTGGAAATACATTCTCTTTGATCCTCATAAGAACCCTATATAGAACTAATTGTCTTTCTGTGTGTGTGTGTGTGCGTGCATGCGTGTGTAGAACTCAATAGGTCCCCAATTAGAGAGTCAAATAGCCAGGAAATGTACTATTCTACTGCTCCACGTCATTTAACATTGTCTTGTCTTATTTTGATCATCTGCAAAATGAGGACATTGGCATAGATAACTGCTGAGTTTGCTTCCAAGTCTCCTTTCTGTGAGTCTGTGATATGAAAGTTAACCAAGTTTGAAACAGGACCGCAAATTTACGCACACTACCAATAGGATGCATGGAGAAAAAATAAAAAAATATATCTATACACACACACACACACACACACACACACACACACATATACACATATGTATATCAAAAAACATATATGTATATATTTGAGACAGAGTCTCATTCTATTGTCCAGGCTGGATGTGGTGGCACAATCATGACACACTACAACCTTAAACTCCTGAGCTCAAAGGATCCTCCTGCCTTGGCCTCCTGAGTAGCTAGGATTACAGGCATGTGCTATGTTGCCTAGTTATGTTTTTCTATTATTTGTAGAGACAGAGTTTCACTATATTGGCCAGGCTAATCTTCAACTTTTGGCTTCAAGTGATCATCCTGCTTTGGTCTCCCAAAATGCTGTGATTACAGGTACTAGCCACCGTGCCTGCGGAAAAAATATTCTTTAGTTTTGTCTTTAATTTGTCTTCCTCAAGGGCTCCCACTTAAACTTTTGATTCAGTCTATGACCTAATGCAACATAATCATAGAAAGAATTCTTCAGGTGATGTACAACCTCTGAGTCTTCTCTTTCTCCCCTTGTTTTCCCCTTAAATGGTGTCTGGAGGAGTCAGGTGGAGGTTTTACTTGGCCTAGAGGATTTATGGATAAGGGATTCTCTGCCCTACCTGGTCTCTGCAGCCATGTCTCTAGGCTACCTGGACAGTGCTCACCTTATTCGTATTTGTGGCAGCTAGTAGAGGTACTCTCTCTCAGCTTGGGCAGGGCCCAGTAGCCCTCTGTGGCTGAGCCAGCAGTGCTGTGGCTCTTTCTGGCACTGTGAAATACCTCTTCCCTTCCCATCACCATGATCTGGGCGAGACTCCAATTTAGCGCAGGCCAGGGCAACCACTCTGCAAATGACTATGACAGGGTTGCCCTGATACCATTATAGACACTGCGTGACAAGTGCCCCAGTCAGACTCTTGTCTCCTTCTGGAACCGCTTGGCCTGAGCCAAGTGTAGCCTGGGAGAGCTGAACATCATATCTCCCACTCCTAAGCTAAGTGCCAGCTCTGATGTGGCCTCTCCAGGCCAAAGTGGTTCCTCAATCATCTGTTTCCTGTGCACTTAAACTTTTCTTATGCAGCCAACAAATGAAATGTATAATTATGGTGAATTTTATCTTAAATGTTCCAGCGCTGTGTAAAAATGTAGTAAGATTTCAACTTGAAATCCCAACTGTATATCAGTTACTCAATTACACATTTCGTAGTGAAATGATAAGGCTAACTTAAGACAAATTCTCTTAAATATTACAATTATAATTTTATACAATATAAATTGTATTTATTACAATTTTATAAAATATAAAATTATATAAAGTACCAAATGTACAGGCTCCTTAATTCAAAATGATTACTACTTGGTTCTTATAAACATTTCTACACTTAACTAGAAATCTTTCCAGGGTTGAAATAAATGTGCCCTCTAAGGAAACTCTAATATTATCCCATGACTTTGGGGAGTTACTGGAAGTAGCCTAGTGCTGAGAGATTCCAGCTTAGCCAACTCACTGAGTTCTGTGGACAACCCTGCTGGGATGCACAAAACACTATTTATAACTTCTCCATCAATCATTCCATAAATCAAAAGGGAGTGTGGACAGATAGCCTACATGCCTGGATTCAGTTTGTACCGTACCTGATGCTTCTTTAACAAAGAAGTTTGGAGTTCGCCCAAGCTGATAACCTCACTCATGGGTTTCAGCATTTCTCTAGTATTTCTTGGGTTGGTATTTCCGTCTAACGCAATAGACCATACACAAGATAGAATAATACATTCTCTCATAGTCTTAGGACCATGCAGTTCTCTTGGACATGAAAATGACACCTGGGTGATTTTGGCTATCTTGCATGTCTCTGCCTGACCATTTGGTCACGGTTTGAAGGGCCCTAGGCAGGTACCCTCTGCCCCAAACCACAACTTCTCCTTGTAATTCTTCCAAATGCTGTTATACTTTCTACCTCTATATCCTTCCCTCACTGTTCTTCCTCACCTAGGAGGCCCCTCTCACTCTTTCTCATCAATAGTTAACAGACAGGTTTCATGAGAATCATTCAGGAAACTTTTAAAACATAGATTCTGATCTGGTGAGTCTAGACTCAGACACAATTTTCTTTTTAAGATCCCTAGTTGTGCTTTGGGAACCAATGATCTATATAGGCCCAATTAATGCCCAACTTCCATCTGTACAGAGCAACAGAAAATGGCCCTAGTCTGGGAATGAAAATATCTGATTTCTAGTACTAAATTTCCCAAGTTATCTGCTGTGTAACCTCAGATTTTCAGGCATATATTTCTACAGGAATTCTTATTAGCATTTATTGAGCATTTACTATGTGCCAGGCCTTGTAATAAGAGTTTATATACGTTGTCACATGTAGTCATTGCAGCAACACTGTCAGCACTCTCCCTTTTAATTCCATTTTACAGGTGAGGAAACTGGAACTTAGAGAGATTAAATAAATTAGCCTAAGGTTAATTCCATAGCTAGTTGGAAATGGTCTTGTATAAATTCAAACCCAAGTCTGCTGACTTTGCAGTGTTTGGTCTGGACCAGTTATCAACTACTTCCCATGAGTCTATGAAATATAATTTACTGGGCAGTTTGGGAGAAATACATGTTGAACCATCAGGACCCATTGCAACTGAGCTACATTTTTAGAAATATAATAATTCTGTTCAGGATTTGGAATTGCTATGGAAACTATAGGTAGAAGACTAGTTTTTGTGCTTTAAGGTTAATCAGGTCATCTTTGATATTTGGCTCCACAAGGCTCAGAGGGTAACAGAAATAGTCATTTTAGGCTTTTGAGCTCAGGAATGTATAGGAAGCCCAACGAGGAATCACACTAACAAGGGAACAGCAAGTGCTGCCCCCCAGCCCTGCCCTAGAGCGTCACGGTACATTGTACATCAGTTTGTGTAATTGAGGACATGTAAGATGCAGAGAGAGCCGAGGATAGCAAGATTCATTTAGTAAAATGCCCCGACAGTTTTCCAGCTGAGCTGCAGTGACTTTCTTTTCCTTTCCACTCGTTAGGGCAGGCTATAAACTGATGGGCGTGGGATGGCTTAATTCCTGCCTGCACCCAATTGAATTTTAATCACATTTCTCTGTTTACTTGCTGTTCATTTTGCAATGAAATAAGGTGTCCCTCTTCACACTGTAGCACTTGAAAGGGAAGAAATTATTTGGCAGGACAGAGATGTGCTTTAGTTTGCAGAAAATGGTAGCAGACTTGGGAATGGTTCCGCCTCATTTTATAGACAAAGATAAGAGATTCCACACAGTTTCTATTGTGGCTTTGGGAACTGTGCTTACAGAGATAAAACAAGACCATATATTACACTGCAACTTGGTAATTATGGCAGCAGCTCCCCAGCACCTGTGGGATCTCCAAAGGTAAGGTGAGTCAACCCACTGGGAACAGGTTGAGGAGAATTTGTCTCTTCATTTTCCACTTAGGACATAACTCAAGTCATGGGCAGCTGGATGCTTGTGTAAAAATAAAAACCAAAATTCTTGGGTCAGAGTAGGTTAAGACCAGCTCACTGTTGCCTATTGCAAGAACAACAATGTACATGGACCCTGTCCTGCTTATCTCGGGACGTTAAGTGAAGTTTACACTCAGGGTATGTCTTTCCCTCAGTGATGCTAATTCCTGTGCAGGCAGAAGAAAAACATGACAACACTTGGGGTCTGGAAGAGAAGTAGAGAATCAGAACAAAATCGTGCCTGCAAAAACATTCCAATGGAAAAAAAGTCACACCATTAAAATGTTTTAGAAGAACTGACCTTCCTAACCACTGAGAATTGTATTTCATGCAGGGTGATCTTCAAAGCATTCATTGTTAGTTCACACGTTTGAGTTATAGGAGCAGCTTCTGGGAATCCATTTTTTCCACTTCTCCTCGGGAAGGGATACTGAGATCTGAGAAGATGCTGGCCTTGAGTGAAGCCCAAAGGACAGAGGCCCTTACACATGGCCCTGCCAACTCACATGGACAGCTCTTCCAGGAGAGCAAGTTATCTCCAAAGCTCTAGATTGAGACGATTTCAGGTACCTGCTCTGGCTAGAACTCATGACTACTGTTTTCAGTCTCTCCATTCCTTTGTCTTCTCTTGGGAATGGTGTAGGTCTCCTTTCAAGTCTTCAAAATGTAAAGTGTCTCCAGCTATATCATTTCCTTAGAAAATGAGGCCAGCCCTTCCAAGTCTATCCTTCAGAAGGAGGCCACTTCTGTAATTATAAGTTGCTTTTGACCTTTTTACGGAATACCATTATCAGTGACCCTAAGGTAAGGTTGATATTACATAGTGACTTTTGCATGGTTTTTCTGGTCCCTTACTTGTTGAATAGTGAGTTTAAAAAGGGAAAGCAAAGTCCATCCCCTCTTTAGCAGGCCACCCCCCATTAAACCAGGCGGTAGTCAAGACTCCAGGTAACAGATGAGAAAGAGGAAAATGCAGTGAGCACTGTGTGTGAAATACCTGGGTACAAATACAGCCCTCTGTTTAATTTGCTGGAGAAAATTGGACCAGCCATCTGATTTCTCTGAGTCCCTATTTCCCAGTCTATGAAATGGAATAAAAATGATACTCCCTCCCTATCTGCCTTAGAGCAATAATAGAAAACTAAAACATAATTAACTATTGTGTTCTCTCTCTCTCTCTCTCTCTTTCTCTTTCTCTGTCTCCCTACCTCCCTCTCATTTTAAAACTCAGAGTACAGTTGGCAGGGAGAAAGGCAAGCATGTTACCTTCTGGATTCATTTAAGAAGGACTTTGATGTGTGAGCAGGATTTAGGGAGGAGTCTTTTTTGGTATTGATGACCAGGGCATAGAATTCCTAAACACCTCTCTCTACTCCAAAACTGAGGGTACTTGTGTTTGGAGGTTAAGGATTAATCCCCCCCAAAAAAAGCATTGTCTAGTAATAGTCAAAATTGCTACAGTGCTAAGACCTTTGTTAAATTGATGAGTAATAATACTAAAAATAATGTTGGTAATAATAAGAAAATTAAGCACTTAAAACTTTATAATGGAAGAAGCATGAAGATCTGACTTAGACTTAGATACTAACTAATGGAGCCTTTACCATGTATCCAGGACTAGGATAATAGATTTGTTTGCAATATTTTATTTAATTCTTATTATAACAAGATAAATGGTTACCATAGCCATGGCACCTCCTATCATTGGAGGATATTTATGGTATTTTTGCCCATGGTATATCAGGATGGTCTGTGTACCCAGTGGAAAATGAAAGGAGTGATGGTATGTGACTTCCAAGGCTATGTCATAAAAGGCACTCTGACTCCCATCTTGCTCTTCCTTGGATCACTTAAGCGCCTACGAGGAGCCTACAAAAAAATTACAAACACCGTTGACAAATTGTGGCTGATTTTCAATAACTTCTAACTGTTCCTATTGACAAGAAATGTATTTAAGCTTTTATAGAATTATAAACTATAGCTATTTTCAGCAATTGGAAGGGGGGTACCCAAAGCATACTCATATCATACACTTTTCATCTGCACAGTTTTTGCAAATTCATTGACAACTGCACTTTTAGTCTCCTCTGCAATGCTTTCTTGGAAGGGCTCACTCTGGTCTTAATATCTAATGTAAACCTCTGAGTCTTGAATAAGATCAGAAATATTAGATTGTCTACATTCCTGTTCTCTCTTGTCTGCTTCTCCCTTCTTGTTAGGGCCATGTCTCATCCTTTTATCATAATAATTTACTCAGAAATTTCTAAGCTCTAGAGATCTAATGCGTACCAAACAGAGGAATCAAATATTAGTCTGTGAAAAGAAATGTTAGTGTTTTAATTTATAGTGAACATCCAGTAAAGAAAACATGATATTTCATTCTCTAGGCACACCCTTACCTTTATGAGCTTACCTGGTATATGCTTCACGGAACAAAACAAACTTTTCTTTTTTGCTTTGTTTTGTTTTATGATCTAAAGGAATATTTTACTGAGTCATGCAAAATCTTTCTAGTTATCCTCCCATCTTTTACCCTTGGACAGAGCTTGTTAACACCTTATACATTTTAACTCGGTAAGGTCAGTTTCAGAACAACCAAGTAAAGCACAACTTCCTGTATACTACCTGGAAACCAGTCAGCGTAACCTGGAGATCTGCCTTTGTTACCTTGATTAGTGTGGGAGACACTGAAGGCTTCTCAAGACCATATTCACAAGTGTTCTTCTTCCTCCCATAGGTGGCTAATCTCATTCATTTATGTTTGGTTCTTACTAGTTGCAGTTGAAGAGGGTAACCATTTTATGGTCTGTTTCTCAAATTTAGAAGCTAAAAGGGATCTTTGTGACACCCCATCCTCAACTGATTGCATAAAGAATTATCGTGTTTGCTGCCAACTCATCTCAATATAGTCCAACAGGAATCAGTTGTACACTGGTTTTCATGAGAACCCCAAAATTTTAACCAAACCTCAACTTTCATCTGGATAGGAAAAGCAGCCACCTATAGTAGCACAATCACTCTAAGATCCTACTGCCCAACCTACATATTGCCTTAAATCCTTATTGTACCAGCAATTTTTATTGAGTATCTTTGTATCGGGCACTATGCTAGTTGTTTTACATACATAATTACAGTTAATCTTCATAAAATCTTCTGTAAGATGAGTATGAAGATCTGTATTTTTTCACTTGAGAACACTGAGGACCAGAAAGATCAAGACATGTCCACAGTCACAATGATAGAAAAATAATACAATTAAAAGAGTCTCTGTAGCCCTGATGTCAACAACTGGGTTCTTTTCACCACTCCAAAAACCTACCTCACTTTCCTGGGACTTTATTGAACATTTTTATCAGGTTAAGAAACTAATCTTAGAAGAGGTAATTAACTGCAAATTAACAATAACCTCCCATATAGGTGTGACATGACGTATATTATACAGTCTTCTCCTGCACAGAAAGGCATCATCAAAACAGTAGCCCTGAGAGGTAGAATTATTGCCATTTTGCAAATGACACTTAGGCTAAGTGTGAGGGACCATGTGTCTTTTTTCCAAGGTAGGTCAATTGACTAAGCCAAGTCTTATGTTCATTTTTCATTATCATCCTTCACCTCCTATTTTCAATTTAAAAATGAAATACAGGCCAGGTAAATACGATTGAGAAAAAGACAAAGAAGAATTTAGATGCAAAGGCTATTTCCTGAGCATACTGAAAAGCACATGTTATGAAATAACCACATGAGAATACAGGGTTCTGGGTCAGGGGAGCCAAGAGAGTTGGGGAGACAACTGTTCACTATGAAACAAGTCATGCATGTTGGGGAGAAGGCAAAATTCTTTGCATACATTTCTTAATTCTTACAACTCTTTGAAGCAGATATAATTTTTCTCGATTTATAAGATTAAAAAAAAAAAGGTTTGCATAGTTTAAGTAACATGTCCTTCCCTAAGTTTATAGATTTTTAAGATGAAAGCCAGGATTTGAACCCAGGTCTCTCTGAGTCTAGAGCTCTTGCTCCTTTTACCACAGCCTTAGAAGAAGAGAAAAACTGGACAGACCACCAACTTCTCAATTTCACCATAAATTGTTTCTAAATAGAAATACTTCATCACTTCTTGAAAGCCCACAGTCAAAGTAAGACTTCTTCCTCTTACACTGTAAGCATACTTTCAGAAAGTCTGCTTGAAAAGGTAAGGAAGAAAGAAAGAGAAAAGTTGCAAAACTTTGTAGTAACAGAACAGTTGCAACAGTACTCCTTCCTATTCTTTCAAGGGAAAATCAAGAATTTTGTTCAATGCATTTGAAGCTACTTTTGTACATCAAGAGCCCCTTCAATTCTGCTTCAAAAAGAGGATGTCTCCTTTTTTTATCACATTAGTAGAATCAGATCCTGATGACAGATCTCTTCAGATCTTTAGTTTCTACTTCCTGAACCATACACAAGGTGATTCTGAAAGCATTCCAA
Source organism: Homo sapiens (assembly GCF_000001405.40). NCBI lineage: Eukaryota > Metazoa > Chordata > Mammalia > Primates > Hominidae > Homo > Homo sapiens. The sequence continues at coordinate 3,359,475 of NC_000003.12, read as the reverse complement.
GTAGAAGTCTCCATTGCACCTCAAATACAAGAGGAGCAGATTTAGAATTTTATTCAATTAACCTCTCAAGATTAGAAAATGAGGGCCTATTGATGGAAAACTGGATCTGCCTGTGCATCAGTAATAATGTTTGGTTGTTTCATCTATCAGATTTTTCCATGGTTGTTACATAGCAATGGAACTTACCGTTAATTAGGATATACTCTAGTTTTTGTAATTAATGCTAATATATTAATATAGTGTACTATTAAGTACAACATAAACTTGATTCTCTTTTATATACCTGGGGAAGTGAAAATATTTAGCCAACTTATTGATTTGCTAAATTGGACATTTTCTAAAAACGTATTTGAATGATTTGTGTTGTATTGACACGTTTAGGGCCTGAATGTATGACAGACGGATAGACGGATGAAAAGGGAGAAAATGACATTTGTTGAGCACATTTTATATCTCAAACACTCTTCTTAGCATTTCACATTTTTCTCATTGAATCGGTGCATTTATTGATAGCCAGAACCCTAGGCTGTAGCTCACAAGTAAGGCTCTATTTGAGATATACATCCCAAATAATATTTCCCCTCAGAATGTGAAATGAAGTGTTTGTGGTGCTTTATCACTGCAATTTTCAAACATGTTAATGTCACTCCCAAAAGAATACTCTTTAAGAAGTCACATTTTGCATTTATTATAATTTATATTTTTATAATGCCTCTGGAAATATACAGCTAGATTCTAACATCCCCAGTGACTCCCCCACTGCAATTAGGAAAGAAGAAGCCAATGGAGTATGTGCGTGTGTGTATTCATGTTCAGTGAATTGCTCTGTGTGGTTTCCAGCAAATTAAGATGTCTATTTCCTCATACAATTAGATAAAAATAATCATATCCTTGGGCTTATTTTTGGAGGAAATGGATAATATCAAAGTCATTTTGTCAAAAGTTGGCTCTGTCAAGGTTGCAGTAATATGCAGAGAAGGAGGTGCCTATTACTATTATGATTGCTGTTACAAATTTAGATATAACAACAAAATAATACATGTTATCATTTATTGAACACACTAAAACTAAGGCTCTTTTGCACCCATTATTTCATGTTATACAAAAATAAAGCTTACGTCTAAGAGATTAAATGATTTGCCTAATGTCACATATACAGGAGAAAGAGAGAAAAAAGAAAGAATAATCCCAACATCCTAATCTTGGACTTTGGAGTCAGGAATATTTTAGGTGAAAGCAACTGAAAATCCAACTCAAAGTGGCTTATGTAAAAATTAGGATTTATTGGTTTATGCAATTGAAAAGTCACAGATAATTATGCCTTTAGATGAGGCTGTATCCAGCAGCTCAAATGGTGTCTTACTCCTCCCTCACTCTCCCCATCTCTCCATCTCCTGGCTCTGCTCCCTTCTCTATTGTCATCTCCAGCACAAAAGAATACCAGCAGGATCTCTAGGCTTAAATTTTATCAACTAAGTAATCCAGCAGAAACAGCTTTCCGTCTCTCCCAATGATTCCAATCAAAAGTCTCAGAACTGAATATCATTGGCTTTCCTTGGTTCACATCCCCATCCCTCAACCAATCACTGGACTAGAAATGGGATCGTCTGATTGGCCAGGCTTGGGTCATGAATCCAGCTGATCCTATGGGTTGAAGCAGCACCACCAAGCCAAACGGAGTAAGATTGGGAGAGGGTGTTTTCCCGAAAGACAAATGATGTTGTTTCATCAGAAGGGGAAATGGATGCTGACACAGATCCCAAGTGTCTACTATACCTACTTAGACAAAGAAACTCCTCTCATTCAGACTTGAGATGTCAGGCCTCAGTGCCATTCATGAAATTGGGTGTCTCAGTCACATTCGCCTTAAAGTAACCATCACAATAGGTTATCTAACTTACTGTTTTAGAAAATTATTGAAAAGCTTTCATATGGCAAAATGTACAACTGGAAAGCATTTAATTATATAAATGGACTATTTTCCAAAAGAAAGCTTCCAGAATCATGAGTAGGAAAGGATGAGGACTGAAGTTAAAGTAGTTCCCATCAGTGAATAAACCAAAAATTATAATTACAATGAGTCCCTGGCTAGTCCTAAATATATGTAGTCCTAATATAGTCCTAAAATATTGAACAGTAAAGATTCAAGTCACATTCAAATCTAAACCAACACAAGGTCAGGATTTATTTAAAGGGTGATAAAAAGATAATGTAAAAGATGTTAAAACTTAATCTATTTTAATACCATTTGTTTTCTCTATATTTATTCTCTCTGAACTGGCTCACTCCTGAAACAGCTGCTTCTGGAGTTCATACAGTGCATGGTTAAAAAGGAGAGCATTGGCAGCCACACAAATGACAGAATAATGACTATGTGGAAAAACAGCTGAGTGCTATAATTTACAGATGATATGACCACATCAAAACCAGGGAAATGAGCTCTCTCTGTTTAATAGTCTCCAGACTGCTGTCTCTGGCCATCCATTCTTCTGACTTTACAAGCCAGCTCTGCTGCATTCAACTCTAATCAAAAAGAAATGAAGAGAGAAAGAACCTTGCTGTACTTTTTCATAAACTGCTCTGAGTGTTCTCTAATCTTCTCCACTGGGGAACAAAAGCAATGCCAATATAACCATAGAAAGACTGGCTTTTCTGGCAAAGAAATGTGTGTGTGTGTGTGTGTGTGTGTGTGTGTGTGTGTGTGTGTGTGTGTGTATGGATGATTAACTGACAAGAACCTAATTGCTGGAGTAGTGAACATTAATTACCAAAGACTCTGACATCCTGTGAAAATCAGAGATGAGGCATCTTCCTTCAAAATATCCATGTGTCAGTGCAGTTGTTGGGCTGAAAACCCTACTGTTACTATTTCTTCATTTCCTGCAGGGATTCTATGCATAATTTTTTGTATTTAAAAATCAGAAATTACTTGGTACTTAATACTATTAGAGCTAAGGTAGCTGCCACAAATTCCATTTTTGTTCACTCTCAGCTTTAGAACAGAAAGCTTTCTCTTTGTCCCTCCCAGTGATTTCCAATCATAGGCGATCTTAATATTTCACAGTAGTGTCATTGTAAAACCAGCAAGCCCAGCGGATACTTCTTGGGTGAGATAACCAGTTATTGTATGTATGCTTGAGTTGTATTTTGTGCTTGTCATAAAAGACACTGTTACTTTTCCTCCAAAATTTCAGGAATATTGTTAAGACAAAATCATGTATTTGCCCCTCATCATTTCAATTTAATCCTCACAGAAGTCTTAGGAGGTAAGCACTATTTCATATCTCTCCATTCCACAAACAAGGAAGGAGGAAAGTGAGACTCCCAGAAGTTAATGAATTTGACCTAGGCTACAAAGCAGCAGTGTAGACAGGATTCAAACTCGATTCCTCCCTAAGACAAAGCCTGTATTCTTTCCAGTCTGAATCCCAGCAACTCCTGCTTTCCAGTCACTAACACACTGCATAGCCTCAAATTATCTTCACTCCTCTCTGGATCAAAACCTACCCTCTGGGTTGTTCTTTCACATTTAGACAACAATCACTGCTAACACAGTCTTTAAACAATATACATCTTGTTTATTCCAGGGATACTCATATTTTCACTTTTCTCAGATGTCTAAGCCATTGGTTCCCAGCATGGCTGTGCATGGAAATGACCTGGAGAAGGTTGTTGGGTTTGTTTTCAGTAGAAATTTCTCAGCCTCATTCTTGTGAGATTGCTAACTCAGTCAAGTTAGAGAAGGCTCAATTTTTTTTTAAGCCAGAAGTTATTCTCATGCCTAGGCAGGGTAGAGTATCACTCATTTTAAAAAGATCAGGTTTCATTAGTGGCCTCAGGGACAGCAGCCTATATGCAAAGGAGGTTTGAGGAAGCTGTTGATAGTCTGCAAAACATGCCATTAACAGATGTGCCAGATTTTGATATATTGTCTTAGTCTATTCCAGCTACTATCACAAAATATCATAGATTGAGTGGTTTCTAAACAGCAAGAAATTAATTTATCTCACAGTCCTCGAGGCTGGGAAGTCCAAGATCAAGGTACCAGCAGATTCAGTATCTGGTGAGAACCCCATTTCCTGATTCATAGATGGTGCCTTCTCACTGGCTCTTTACATGGTGGAAGGGGCAAACAAGCTCCCTTGCCTCTTTCATAAAGGCAGTAATCTGATTCATGAGAGATTTTCCTTCATGACCTAGTTATCTCATAAAGATTCCACCTCTGAATACTATGGCATTTGGGATTAAGTTTCAACATATGGATTTTGGAGGATGCAAACATTCAGACCATAGCATTTCACCCCTGGCCTCCCATAGTCGTGTTCTTCTCACAAAGATATGTCCATGTCAAACCCTTACCCCCAAAAAATCCCAACTTGTGCCAGCATCAAGTCTAAATTGGAGTCTCATCTAAATATCATCTAAATCAAACATGGGGTGAGACTCAAGGGAGTTCATTTTGAGGTGCTTTCCTCTCCAGCTATGCACTTGTGAAATTAAACAAGTTGCATGCTTCCAAAATACAATGGTAGGACAGACACTCCCATTTCAAAAGTGAGAAACAGGAAAGAAGGGAGGAGTAACAGATCTTAAACAAGTCCAGGACCCAAGAGGGCAAGCAACATCCAAGAGGGCAAGCAACATCAACTCTAATGGCTCCAGAATAATCTTCTTTGACTTGATGCTCTGCCCTTCAGTCTCCACTGAGGCAGAGGTCCTGCCTCCACAGGTTTACTGGGCAGGGACTGGGCCCTCACGGCTCTGTGTAGCCTTGCTCCCATGGCTTTGGACCCCCACCACAACTTTGCTGGAGACCGCTCATACTGTTGCTCTCATGGGTTGGAGTAGCAAACCTATGGCTCTCCCAGGATGGAACTGACCATTGGTAGCTCTACGAATCTGAGGTATTGGAGGCAACCACAGTTCCACTGGGCATCACCCTCTGCCTGAGTCATGTGTCTGAGGCTCTGGGTACCTCCATCCTTCAAAATCTAGGTGGAGGTACATACCCCCATGACTCATGCCCCCCACCAGCTGGCAATGACACCTCAAATACACTGCCATGGTTTACCATCTGTGCCCTCCAAAGAAGGGGAAGCCACCACAGTCCACAATGCATCTAGAAGCACTGGAGCCAAACCTGGGGCAGCTGAGGAGTGCTGTGCCATAAGCAGGGAGCAGGGCCTTGAAGCAGGACCAGGCAATGAGTGCTGAGGTCCCATGGGTACCCTAATTCCTTCCTTTGAAATTGTTCTGTTCTCAAGGCCCTTGTACTCTGGACCTGTGATGACAGGAACAGCACTAATGATGGGGAAGTACCTTTGGGGTCATTCTTTCAATGTTTTGATGAATAGCAACTGGCCAGTGCATGCTAGTCTCCTTATCAAACAGTTCTTGGCCACACTCTTGGTGTTCTGTCTTGAATATGATTTCTCATTTGTTATAACATGGACAGGCTGAAAATTTTCCAAATCTGTAAGTTTTACTTCCTTTTTGATTAAAAATTTCATCCTTAAATCATTCATGTTTTATTTTACTATAAGCAGTCGAGAGAAGCCATGCCACACCTTCAACACTTTGCTTAGAAATTTCTTTTGCCAAGCCAGGTACAGTAGCACATACCTATAATCTCAGTGCTGTGGGAGGCCAAGATGAGAGGATTGCTTGAAGCCAGCAGTTCAAGACAACTCGGCAACATAGCAGGACCCTGTCTCTACCAAAATAAAAATAAAACAATATGCCAGGTATGGTGGCATGCGCCTGTGTCAGCTATTTGTGAGGGTGAAAGAGGGGGATCAATTGAGCCAAGGAGGTTGAGGTTGCAGTGAGTTATGACTGTGCCACTGCACTCCAGCCTAGACAACAGAGTGAGACCCTGGCTCTTAAAAAAAAAATGAAGAAAAAAATTTTCTTTCACCAAATATTCTATTTCATAGCTCAAAAATTCTACCTTCCACAAAATGCTAGGGCATGAATACAATTGGGCCAAGTTCCTTCTCACTTGGTACCAAGGACAGCCTTGCTTCCAGTTTCCAGTAATATGTTACTCATTTCTGCCCAAGACCTCATCAGAATGGCCTTTCCTGTGTATATTTTTATCAACTTTCTGTTCACAGCCACTGAGATATTCTCTAAGAGTGAGGATTTCTCTATGACTCTCCTCTTCTTCTGAGCCCTCACCAGAATCACTTTTAATAGTCTGTCTATGGCAATGTAGGCTTTTTAAAGCATGTGCTTCGAAACTCTTCCAGCCTCTACCAGTTTCAACCAATCCACATTGTTAGGTGTTTGTTAAAGCAACACCCCTACTTCTTTGTACCAATTTCTGCTTTCATCTGTTCAGGCTGCCATAACAAGATGCTGTAGACTGGGGAGCTTCTAAACAACATAAATTTATTTCTCAGAGTTTTGCAGGCTAAGAAGTCCAAGATCAAGTCACCGGCAGATTGGTGTCCTTTAAGGGCCGGTTTCCTGATTCTGAGATGGTGCCTTCTCACTGTGTCCTCACATGGTGGAAGGAGCAGACAAGCTCCCTCCAGCCTCCTTTATAAGAGCACTATACCGTTCATAAGAGTTCTGCCCTCATGGCCTAATCACCTCCTAAAGGCTCCATGTCCTAATACTAATATTGGCCCTGCCCTGGATAATCCAGGCTAATGTCTCAATTTTAAGGACAGTTTGTTAGCAACCTTAATGCTATCTTCAACCTTAATTCCCTTTTGCCATGCAAGATAACATATTCGTAGGTTCCAGGGATTAGGCTATAGACATCTTTGGGAAGCAGGGTATTATTCTGCCTACTATATTAGTATACAAATCAATAAGACTGAATGAATTCACCTAGGACATGAATTAGCCTAGGACATGAGTATGGGTAAGGAAGAAAAGCAATCCAATGCCTAAAACTGGGGAGTTAAAGGAAACCAGCCAAAGAGATCGAGAAAGAGTAGATGGAGAGAAAGGAGGAAACATAAGAGAAGGTTGTGTTCCAGAAGTCAAATGAGCAAAGTCTTTCAAGGAAAAGATAATGACCTACTGCACTAATGCTACTCATAGGCTCGATAAATGAGGGCTGAGATTAGGCCATTGGGTTTGGCCATGTGAAAGTCACTGGGGACCTGGAAAAAGTGGGTGGAGAGTTCTGTGCAGGTCTGTTTCCTGCCCTGATCACCAACACTGTTCATATTAGTTTGCCAAGCACCTGAATGAAGTTGTCCATTCTTTGTCACCAGTATCTTCCATCTTTATAAACCCTCATTTCCACCAGCCTATTTTTCTTTTCCTCTTCCAACAAACTTCTTTATAGCATTCTCTTTGCTTCCTGGCTTACTCTCTTTTTTTTTTTTTTTTTTTTTTTTTGAGACGGAGTCTAGCTCTGTCGCCCAGGCTGGAGTGCAGTGGCGTGATCTCGGCTCACTGCAAGCTTTGCCTCCCAGGTTCACGCCATTCTCCTGCCTCAGCCTCCCGAGTAGCTGGGACTACAGGCGCCCGCCACCACGCCCGGCTAATTTTTTGTATTTTTAGTAGAGATAGTGTTTCACCGTGTTGGCCAGGGTTGTCTTGATCTCCTGACCTCATGATCCTCCCGCCTCGGCCTCCCAAAGTGCTGGGATTACAGGCGTGAGCCACTGCACCCGGCCTTCTTATTCTCTCTTGTACTCGTTTCAATCAAGCTTTTTTCCCTCCCTCTCCCCGAAAACAAGTTTATGAGTGGAAGATTGCTAAGTGTTTCTAAGATGTTACTAAGAAATACACTGTTGCAAATAAAAATAAGGCTGTCTCTAAGATGGAAAAACCAAGTTGTAAAGAAAAGGGAGTGTTTTGTCTTCTTGTAATGTAGCAAGATAGGAAGTTTTATTCCGATAGATAAAAAATGAAAAACTTAGTGATGAGGCTTTTGCATTTCTTAATGACATATTCCCCACTTGGCAGCTTTTATCCCTGTTGCTTTGCTTGTTAAAGATGTGCAGAAGGAGAGTAGCAGATATTCTGAAAACAGACATATTAGAAAGACATAATCACCTCTCTATGGTTAACACGGAAGGAATAACTTAAATTATTGACTGCTGAGATGTAAGCAAGCTAGAAAGGCCTTTGATGCCAAAAGCCTAAGTCCTGGAACCATGTACCAGACTCCACGGAGTCTGAATTCCAGTGTTTGCTGTGGTCTGTTTGGCTTTCTATTACATCTAAAATGTGTTTTAAATGCTCAAGAGGAAAAATCATGACAAGAAGTTTTGCAAAACTGAGAAGTAGAAAAACCACTTATTTTTAACATCCATCTAAAAATGAGAAAACAAGGAGAATTTTTGCCCAAGACTTTACAGCAATTAAGTGACCATCTTGGGCAAGTTCACAGTGCTGCTCAGAAGCTTGAAACTAAGGCTGTAAAAAGAAGTAGTAGTTGTCTAATTTTCTAAGTCAGCCGCCTAAAAGCTGATAATTAAGAGGAGATAAAATTATGGTCATAAACCATTCTATTAGAAAAAAATGATCAATAGTAATCTAATTGGAAGAAAATGGCAGACATAGTTTGTCGTGGGACTGCAAAATGCCATTCTCTGACTAGAGAAATTAATCACATAGGATAATATACAGCTGGCTACCATACTTGCATTCTAGGATATTCAACAACTTCAAAGTCAGAGGCCTTAACCTTTCCCTCACACCATTTAAAAAAAAAACTTCAAATTAGATCATAGACCTAAATTTACCATGTAAAACCATAAAATTTCCAGAAGAACAAAATAGGAGAAAAATCTTTGTATTTAGGATTAGGCCTAGGTTTTGTTTTTTTTGTTTTTTGTGAGTGTGATAATGTGTGTGTGTGTGTGTGTGTGTGTGTGTGTGTTTTAAGTAAGACTAAAAGGCGTGAAACCTAAAGAAAATATGTTAAACTTTTGCTCTTAACACACTGTAAATGAAAAAGAAAAGCCAGAGACTAGGAGAAAATATTTACAAAGCACATATTTGGTAAAAATCTTGTATCCAGACTATATAAAGAACTCCTAAACTCAATAAGAAGACAAAGAACCCAATAAAAGTAGCAAAAGATTTGAATGTACATTTGTCCATAATAGATAAAGGATTGTAAATAACCCCATGAAAGGAGCTAAATATCATTTGCCATTAAGGAAATGCAAATTAAAACTACAGTGAGATAACTCTATAAGATGAGGAGTAACTGGAACTCTCATTTATTGCTGGTGGGAATGCAAAGTGATACAGCCACTTTGGAAAATAGTTTGGAGGTTTATTATAAAGTAAAACATGCACTTACAATATGACCAACAATTCTACTCCTAGGTATTTACCCGTAAGAAATGAAAACATGTCCACAAGATAACCTGTATGTGAGTGTTTATAGAAGCTATAATAGCCAAAAAATTTTGAAAAAACACAAATGACCATCGACCAGTGTATTATTCTGTTCTCACACTGCTATAACGATACTACCTATGACTGGGGAATTTATAAAGAAAAGAGGTTTCATTGACTCAGTTTCTCATAGCTGGGAGGCCTTGGGAAACTTACAATCATGGCAGAAGGTGAAGGGGAAGCAAGGCACATTTTACAAGGTGTTAGGCGAGACAGAGAGAAGAGGGGAGCACCAGACATTTATCGAACAACCAGATCTAGTGAGAACTCCGTCATTATCACGGGAACAGCATGGGGGAACTGCCCCATGATCCAGTCACCTCCCACCATGTCCGTCCCTCAGCATGTGGGGAGCACAATTTGGATTACAATTCGAGATGAGATTTGGGTGGGGACACAACCAAACCATATCAACTGGCTTAATAAATTGTGGTATGGCTGTACAATGGACTATTACTCAGCAATGAAAAGAAAGCAGCTACTAATACATGCAGTGACATTCTGGAAAAGGCAAAACTATAGGGACAAAACACAGACCAAAGTTGCCAGAGCCTGAGGGTCTCAGGGGTAACTAACTATAAAGCACCAAGGAATTTTGTGGGGTGAGGAAAATGTTCTATATTTTAATTGTAGTGGTGGTTGCATGCCTACACCTTTGCCAAAACTCATCAAACTGTGTACTTAAAAAGGGTGAATTTTGCTAGATGCAAATTATACTTCAAGAAAACTGACTTGAGTCAGAAGGAAGAATGAATTTAAAGTAGAGAAAGGTTAGGCCAGGGAGGTAAAATTGGGTAGAGTTCTAGCTAAGAGAAATGAAATGTAGTAGGTCAGTTTTAAAAAGGTGTTTTCAAGTTACCATCCATGGCCTGCAGTTTAGTCATTTGTCATCTTACATTGGTCAGTTGTCCCATAACATGGTATAAGTGAATATTTTTAATGACTTGCCAACCCCTGAAAGACCCAAGGAGTTTCACATAAAAACCCACACTTTCTGGCTATTTGTTAAAATAGCATGAAGATCTGGTCACAATGGGATGACACTGAGGTATAGCAAAGCCTGGCTGAGTTTAGAAGCTCTAAGCCTGACCTTGTTTGCCCATCTGGCCTCCATAGGCATTTTTGTTTTCCACTGTGGCTTTATCTTAAAACAGCCCAACTAATGCCAATCTCTAAAGGCATTTAGAGATGTTGAGTGGCCAAAGACAGCAAATTTAGCATGTGCAGGCTAAAATGCTAAACCTTTATACCATCAAGATTCTTGAATGCAGATTTTAAGTTTTAAAAATTCAATTTCGTTAGAAAGTATTCAGTTTAGCTATACTTAGGTTAGTGCTTATTTAAAACATGCTTTGAATGATATTTTAATGTTAATGAGGCTTAATCAATGTCAGTGCTGTTATTTTAAGAATTGTAAGAGGAAAAGATGAAAAACTTTTCAGGACATCATTTATCAATGCTGAGAGTGATTCTAGCTTTAGGAAATAAGAACTAGTTGGCAAATTCATCTATAAAATACCTATGAGATTCTGAGAGTAATGGCTATAAGTATGTAAGCAGAGTTTAACCTATATACCTTGCAAAGTCAACATTTTTCAGTGATATTCAAGTTGCAGGTAGACTGGGAGCCGTGGCTCATGCCTGTAAATTCCAGCACCTTAGGAGGCCAAGATGGGAGGATTGCTTGAGGCGAAGGGTTCAAGATCAGCCTGGGCAACATAGTCAGAGCCCATCTCTACAAAATATTTTAAAATTATCTGGGCATGGTAGCATGTGCCCGTAATCCTAGCTTACTCATGAGGCTGAGGTGGGAGGACCACTTGAGCCCAGGAGGTTGAGGCCGCAGGGTGCTATGATCATACCACTGTACTCCAACCTGGGTGACAGATCAAGACCCTGTCTCAAAAAAAAGTCATGATTAGAAGGGGACACTTCATTGAAAACTATAACTCTAAATAATAACAGTTAAAAGATTTGTAAGAAAGATAAAATAAATTTTTACCTGGGTTTTTCTTTTTTCCTCCATATCTTTCACAATAAAAGTTATCTTCTTTACCGATTTAAACTTCGTAAAGTTCAGATGTTTTAATATAGTCTATGTTTATGAGACTAATAACCGGTTACACAGAAAGGCCAATCTGAGTCACCTTGAATCAGTGGAAAAAAGAAGGAAGGAAACCTCCCACCCCCTCATTCCATGTCACAATTTAGAATATTTCCCTGTGGGGCTAGAATGTTCATTTATGGGTAGGACGTTCGAGGGTAACTCCCACTTTTCTTTATCTTGAATCTGAATATGCCTATGGCCATTGTCACTCAGCTCTGTCATCATTAGACCCCCATACAGAAAGGGGATGGAAGTTTTTGAGAAGGCTTAGAGAGCCTTTGGCAAATTTGATTCTATGTCAGTCAAGGTTCTTTGGAGGGGGAGACTAATAGGGTATATGTATATATGAAGGGGAGTTTATTAGGATAATTGACTCACACAGTCACAAGGTAAACTCCCACAATAGGCCGTCTGCAAGTTCAGGAGCAAGGAAGCCAGTGGAGCATCAGTCTGAGTCCCAAAACCTCAAAAGTAGGGAAGCTGACAATGCAGCCTTCAGTCTGTGGCCAAAGGCCCAAGAGCCCCTGGCAAACCACTGGTGTAAGTCCAGGAGTCTAAAAGCTGAAGAACTTGGAGTCTGACGTTTGAGGGCAGGAAGCATTTAGCATGGGAGAAAGATGGAGGCCAGAAGACTCAGCAAGTCTGCTCTTCCATCTTCTCCTGCCTGCTTTATTCCAGCCATGCTGGCAGCTAATCAGATGGTGCCCATCCAGGTTGAGGGTGAGTCTGCCTCTCCCAGTCCACTGACTCAAATGTTAATCTCCTTTGACAACACCCTCGCAGGCACACCCAGGAACAATACTTTGCATCCTTCAGTTCAATGAAGTTGACAATCAAATTAACCATCACAGATTCTGAAGTCCAAAGTTAAACATTATGACTGTTCTCATGAGGAAAAAAAGAAGTGTGTTTGTGTGTGTGTATGTGTGTGTGTGTGTACCCAACCACCTCAATCTTATAATTTTAACCAAGTTATCAAATAAACACTGAAGAGGTTTAATGTCAGGAAATGTCAACCTACCAATGCAAATTCTGCTTTCTGGCTTAAATCCTGCCATTTGTCCCAGAGAGCCAACATACTGTGTGAGTATTACGAGCAGTGTTATTTTCAATAACTGAGTTATTTTCAAGAGACAAACCTAGATGCTCATAATTCAGGCTATCTCCTTTTTTTATTATCTTTCTGACATAGTACAGAGTCACTAGGCTTCACACAAAGATAAATGCATATATGAGACTTGCAATTATTCCTCCATCTCCAGCATTTTATTTATGCTTGTGTACCAGAGCACATATAATTCATATCTGTCAAATGTTGCCAAGAGTCATTTTAAACCCATGAGGTAGGTGAAAGCAGGAAGATACCAAGATTTGTTACTGGGACCGTGTCTGGTTCACAGAAGTCAGTGCCCTTCTCAGTGGATATAGAGCTGCAAACGTGAAGAATAATGATTAATAAAAAAGGTCAGATTCCAAAGCTGCTCCCTTTGGAATGTGTTTGAGCAGTTTAATAAACTGCTCAAAATAAGAGTACATAGGACTTTATTTCACGGTGTGAAAGATTTAGGAAATGAAAAATGCCATTTAAAAGACAGAAGATCCCAGAAAATTAGTACTCTGTCCTCAGAAATCTTTTTCCTGCCCCACTCACCAAAACTACTCATATGGTTTCCCAGACAAATTAATGCAGCCTAAGTTAGCCATTTCTTATTACCAATATTAAGAGGTTAAATTTAGCAATGGGCTTCCATATAGCCAGGCTGACTAGTGCAGACTTGATAAGAAGAGCACGTTTATTTCTTTTAAAGCCCCATGGTGTGAGCTAAATTGTTTTCCCTTCCCTCTTTTCTGTCTTCTTCTCTTCACTCTCTGCTTTTGTAAAGGCTTTCCTTTGCTTAAAATGCCTTTCTCATTCTCCACAGTCTAGAAACTTCCAGAGAGCCTTTTCTAGCCCTTGAGTCTGAGAAATGGATTTACATACTCCATTTCTGGGCTTCTATAGCACTCTGTTCTTACCATACTATATCACAGCAATTGATTAACTTAGCTGTCTGCACCAAAATACTGCAACCCCTTGTAGAACAGTATCCATGTTGCGTTTGACATTGAAGATTGTGCTTCATCCAATGCACAGAGCAAGCACAGAACAGGCTTCTTGAGAATGAAAGAATAAAGCAAAAGCCATTTCAGGAAGGTACTACATAGGTTTTAAGTTTGTTTTAATCCTTTAAACAAAGATCGGTGAAATTGCAGTGTCAGTACTTTTAGCAAAGTAGTTATACCTATACACATTTACAGCTCTTGCAGAAGTTACATTGACATCAGAATAGTACTCCTACCTTGATGTTTCTATTTGTAAAAAAATTAAATTCGACACAAAGGACCTCACAGGAGCTGAATATTTGCAACCTGTACATTCTGATGTTTGAAAAGACATAGCATGTAACTGCTATGAAGCTCTCATTTTCTGCTAAGTTGAAAACATAACCGTATTCCTGAATAGCAGATCAATAGTGCTGGCATAAAAGAAAAGGAGATAAAAATGTTCCTTTGTTTTTATGTTCTCCCCATCCATTCTAACAATCTAAAATACTACTGAGACGTGGGGAGAAATGAAGGGAGTTCTGAGGCTTTTATGCTTGTTGCTCTCCAATTATTTAGGAGGAGGAAAGCTGGGGAGGTGGTCTCTTGATAATCTGTTTCAAGTCTCTACTCCTGAGATGAAAAAGCAATGTACAATGGCATAAACCTTTGTATTTAAGAACAAAATATAAATATCAGGTAATTGTTCTCATAAATGAGCTTTATAGGATTTTAGAATATTCCACCCATACCTGGAGCCAAAAAGTGTAGTCCAGGCATGGTGGCTTACACCTGTAATCCCAGAATTTTGGGAGGCCAAGGCAGGTGGATCGCTGGAGCCCAGGAGCTTATGACCAGCCTGGGCAACATGGCAAGACCTGTCTCTATTTTTACAAAAATTTAAGTGTAGATTTACAGGCAAGACAAGAAAGAAACAGGTGGTGTCAGTCATATGAATGATGGGAGGTGGGTTATCTGAATTGGTGAGTTGGGCAGCTTTTTGTCTGTAAAATGAGAAGGTCAAGCAAGATTATGTTTAAAGAATTCTTTCAGCTATAGAAGTATGTAGCATTGGGATTCTAAATCAGCCATGCTATCAGTAGGAAATGAAAATCATCACATTTGTACAAAACCTTACAAAGGGTTTTCACATCCTTTACCAAATGCAGTCGACTCTTAAGTTTGACTTGATGAAAAGACCCAGGGTTTTATTCTTGAATTATATGTAGATGCAATCCGTTCATTCCTTTATTTGTTCTGCAAATGGTTTCTACTACATGCTGACCATGGCTCTAACAGCTTAGGAAACAAAAGTGAACCTAATACAGGCCCTGTTTTTATAAAGTGTACGGTCTAATAGGACAGACATTTAAAATAATACCATAAAATACAAAGTATAATATACACATTTATATATGTACAGAAATTTTATATATATATATAAATATATGCATATATATAATTATAAGTTGTGAAAATGATACAAAAGGAAGAGTCCGATGAGTAAAAACAGCAAGTTGAAATATTTTAGACAGGGTTGCTGAGGAGGGCCTGAAGGGCTAACATATAAGCTGAGACCTGAATCATGAAAGGTCGCAGCCTGCCAAAGAGCAGGGGAAGAACACTCCAGGTGGGAGGAATGGCGTGAATGAAGACTCTAAGGAGGAAAGAGGGTGGCGAATGGAAATCACTGAATGAAGGCAAATGTGGTTGGAGCAGGATGAGCAAGGGGTAGAGGGGAGAAGAGAGGGTGAGACTCATACAGGTTTTCTAGGCCTCAAGAAAGCGTTTAGATTTTAACCCGAGTATGGTGGGAAAGCATGAACACATTTTACATAGGGAGTGCTATCTCAGTTATTTGCATGACAAACTCGTGGGGCTTCTATTTGGAAAACGGGCTACAATGAGCAAAGGAGGAATGAGGAAAGCAGTTAAGAGAGCTTTTCAATTGTCCAGGCAAAGGATGATGGCATGGCAGCTTAGGCTAGGCAGAGGAGAGGGAGAGAAGGGAGCAGGTCTAGGGTACAAGTTAGAGGCGGAGTCAACAGGACTAGCTGGTGCTCTGGGTGTGGGACATGAGAGAGGAGGAGGAATTCCAGGTGACACCCAGGTTTCTCTCTTGAGCAACTGAGTTGATTGCAGTGCCCTTTACTGAGACAGGAGTGATTGGAGGAGGAATAGATTAAAAATGAGAGGTAGAAACATGTGATTCGGGTTAACTGTGAGCTGCCTGTGAGGCATCCATGTGGACATCTGCTGCAGGTAGTGAGACATACTGGCCCAGGAGCTCATAACAGAAGTCAGACCTGGAGATGAAATAGGCAAGTTGTACACAGGAATAGTATTTAAAGTCACAGAGCAAAAGGATATAGAAAACTATAATGAGGCAAGTGGTTCTGTTCTTTATTGGAAAATTTGGTAAATCAAGATTCTCAGCCCACCTCATTTTTTTTTTCAATTTTTTTTTTTATTGTGGTAGAATACACATAACATAAAATTTACCATCCTAATTTTTTTACAGGAATATCTGAGTAAATTCTTTAATATACTGTTATCATGTCATGTTATGGCCATGAATTTTTTTTCTGATTTTTTTAATTGTGGTAAAATACACATTATGTAAAATGTCCTATCTTAATCATTTTTAAGACTATAGTTCATTGGCATTAAATGCATTCATATTTTCATGCAACCATCACCACCGCTCATCTCCAGAACTCTTCGTCTTGCAAAACTGATCTGATAGACAATGGGAATTCTAAAAAAAAATTTTAAAAACTGAAACTGAAACTCTATACCCATTAAACAGTAATTACCCATTTCTTCCTACCTCCAGCCCCTAGCAACCACTATTCTACTTTCTCTATAATTTTGAGTACTTTAAGTACTTCATATAAGTGGTATCATACAGTATTTGTCTTTTTGTCATAAGCTTATTTCACTTAACATAGTATCTTCAAAGTTCATCACTGTTGTAGCACGTGTCAGTATTCCCTTACTTCTTAAGGCTGAATAATATTCTATTGTATATGTATACCACATTTTGCCCATTCATTCATCTGCCAGTGTACACCTGGTTTGCTTCAACATGTAAGCAATTGTGAATAGTTCATCCCACCTCATTTTTAACCAACTGAATCCCACCACTCATCAGTCTGCCGAGAGATGCTTATTAAACACCTGTTATATGCACAGCACTGTGATGTGAACAAGCCATAAACTTCTGATCTTAACATTAATACTATTTAATATTCTAATATTCTACAGCAAGTCAAAACTTCTGTACTTGGTATTGTCTGAACTGGTTTTGCTTTGCATTTGATTGCTATTCATCAGAATCACTACAACGTTTGAGGAATCAAATTAGATAACACTATTCATCAAGTTATTTTCTGCATGAAACTCAAATTCTTGTTCCTTTGGTATGCTTTTCGAAAATGGCCAAAGTAATGCAAACATAATTTTAAAATATATACATATATAGTACATATTACATTTCAGATGATTCATTCACATTTATCCTTTTTATAGGAAGGGAAGGTGGAAAGAATGTGTATAATCAGCAAATTTTCTCTGAAAGAAACAGTTCCATCACCCACAAATAAAATTTACTGCAAAATTATACATGAAAAATTGTAAGGAGAGTATTCACAATTGAAGCTTTACTGTAGGCGTCTATTGGGGAGAAATGTTAGCTAGAAACCCAATTTCCTTGTACAATAACCACAAAAGCAACAAGCATTTCTAATAAGCAAGATCACAAAGTTGCCACAAGCCATATTTGCAAATTCAGCATATGTTTTCAACTGCAGAGAATGTTTACAGTACAGAAAGGTCAATGTTTTAAGCAATTTAGTGCATGGAGAGAGATTTTACTTTTCAAAGGAGTATATAAACCTTGATATAAGTTGGCATAAAAAGATATTAAATGATTATGGTGACTGGGGAATTTTATTAGGCAATTTTCCCCTTTCTTTTTTGAAAATTGATATTCAAGGTGTCTTTTACTGAGATACTGGTTTACACTGGGAAATCCATACTCAATCCTCATTAGAATGAGTGAGGATTTTATGACAGCATTCGTATAAAAATGACTGTTTTCTATGTCGGAAGGTTGGTCTTCAGAATCCTCCACTTGGCTACAAGTCATGGGCCCATTAATCCCAGACACAGAATTTCTGCATGAAAATATGCTCCATGGCTTCATTTATTGATGACATCATCTAAGTGTTTTCTCCACAAGGTTATAAATGCATTGCTTGGCCATATTGAATATTTGCTGATGGAATGCCTAAGTGAAATATGATAATGTTCTGCTCTTCTCTCCTTGTGATTTCAACACATTTCAAATCAAAGCATTGGCCTATCAGGTCAGCTGGACTGCATTGATCTTTGGTTTTCCTTTCCCTCGGAGACTCAGTGGGGACGGCGTAAGCACTGCAAAAAATCACTTCAGAGGAAGCACTCAGAGTGGGGAAGGAAATGCTTTAAATAATGAATAATGGTGTTGCTGATACTAATTTTAATCATTTGAACAAGAGGATGAATTTTTTTAATGCCATCAACATGTACTTTGAGTTTAAGTTCATAGCTAATGGGACCCAGAAAAATCTGGAAGCAGTCTAATTAGGAGGGTCCCAGGATAAGGAGTTGCAGTGGACCCAAAGGGTCACTCAACTCCATGAATCACCTTTGCTCTCAGTCAACAAGCCATGGAGAAGTTAGCCTCAGACCTGCACATACCTGATGTGATTGATATGTCACCATGTTGCCCAGAGAGAGGATCCCCAAGGACTAGAGTAGAGCACACTTTATTGGATTTTTAAGAGACTAATTATAATACAGCTATGGGGTAACCCCCTTCCTTTATAACATTTTTCCTTTCAGTCCGAGTTTACATAATTCTAGGCAGTAAACATTGTACAGCTTAGCCATCATAGACTAGGTCTGTAACTTCCTAGGCAGGTCCAATCTCCACTAAAATCCCTAAGGATTTGTTTTCTTCATTTTAACCATCTCCTTCCACTCCCTTCTCCCAGTCCTCTTTACAATTCCTCCAGCATTTCCTCCAACTCTGATCCATTTATTAAATGATACATCAACATGTAAAGCTTCACATGTCTAGCGTGTAGGGAGATTGCACTAAATGGAGAACAAATACATGCCCTCGATACGATGGAAGGGCAAGGTTTCTATGGTTACATCTGATACCAAGCTTCTGCTTATGTAAATTGTCTTCTGTGTAAATGTGGAAAAGAAACTGGCCTCTGAGGATACTTAACCAACACTCTCAAAAGACTTCATTCAAAGTCTAATTTTCAGCTGAATAAAACCTCGCCTCCTTTTTCTGTTTTCCCAGTTATCTTTTGAAGTCACTTTGTTTATATTTGAACATTCTCCTTTTTCTAGTCCTCCCGTAGTCCCCTGTGTGAACTGGTGAGATGGGCATGATTGAATCATAACTAGAAGTCATTTTGTATTTGATATGTTACCAAAGTCAACTGACAGTTGAACATTTTTCAGAGATTGTGATGGGCAGGTAGTATATATAGAATGAGTACCCAGGGGTCCAAGCATATAACTTAATGAAGAAAAATGTGGTCATGGTCATCAGAGAATTAAAGGGTTCTCTAATTTCACTACTACTCAAACTGTCAAAAGTCATACCAGATGTCGGGCACGGTGGCTCACGCCTGTAATCCCAGCACTTTGGGAGGTTGAGATGTGTGGATCACATGAGGTCAGGAGTTTGAGACCAGCCTGGCCAATATAGCGAAACCCCGTCTCTACCAAAAATACAAAAAAGTGAGTCAGGCGTAATGGCATGCACCTGTGATCCTAGCTACTCAGGAGACTGAGGCAGGAGAATCACTTGAATCCGGGAAGCGGAGATTGCAGTGAACCGAGATCACGCCACTGCACTCCAGCCTGGATGACAGAGCAAGATTCTGTCTCAAAAAAAAAAAAAAAAAAAAAAAGTCATACCATTCCGTTTGTTCATTTCTATTAAATAATTTTTTTCTCTGTGTTTCCCAGAATTGTAGAAGAGAGACTGCTTGGGAGGGAACACCCTTTAAAAGTGTATTGACCATTCATGAAAAGACACCTTGAAGAGAGTGAGAGGGCAAGCCACAGTGTTTATATATAATCTTCTGTACTGTGTATATCATATATATACGAAAATGAGTTCAAATCCAGAATACATAAAGAATTCCTATAAATGAATCAGAAAAAGCTAGATAACCCAATTGAAAAATGAGAAAAAAAACTTGAACCAGATGTATCAAAGAGAGATTGCCAAATGGCAATAAATATATGAGAAGGTGTTCAGTGTCATTAGTCATCAGGGAAATGCAAATTAAAATCACAATGAGATACTATTACACACACACCAGCATGGTTTAAATAAAAA
Source organism: Homo sapiens (assembly GCF_000001405.40). Lineage (NCBI taxonomy): Eukaryota > Metazoa > Chordata > Mammalia > Primates > Hominidae > Homo > Homo sapiens. Next base: position 3,339,496 of record NC_000003.12, on the reverse strand, counting down.
AAAAAAAAAAAAAAAAAAAAAAAAAAAAAACAACACAGTAGTCCCTTATCCCTGGTTTCACTTTCTGTGGTTTTAGTTATCTGCAGTCAATATCAGCTCAAAAATATTACATAAAATATAACATTTTGAGAAAGGGGGACCACATTTACATAAACTTTTATTACAGCATATTGTTATAATTGTTCTATTTTATTATTAGTTATTGTTGTTAATCTCTTATTCTGCCTAATTTATAAATTAAACTTTATCATAGGTATGTATGTATAGAAAAAAATAGTATAAATACGATTCGGTCCTATCTCTGGTTTAGGCATCTACTAGGGGTCTTGGAATGTATCCCACATAGATAAGAGAGTACCACTCTGCCAGGTGTTAGCATGAACATGAAATAACTGGAACTCTCATGCACTACATCTGGAAGCACATATTGATACACTCTGGGAACACTGTCTGGTACTGTCTATTGAAGCTGAACATAAGCGTGTCCCATGACCCAGCAGTTCTACTCCTGAGTATACACTCAACACAACTGCCTGCAATGGTCACCAAACTACTTGCACTGGAATAATTAAAACTGTGTTACTATCGACAGCCCCAAACTACGAATTGCCCAACTAACTTACTTACTTACTTACTTTCTTTCTTTTTATCATTTATTTATTTATTTATTTATTTTTGGAGTTTTGCTCTTATTGCCCAGGCTGGAGTACAGTAGCATGATCTCGGCTCACTGCAACCTCCATCTCCCAGATTCCAGCGATTCTCCTGCCTCAGCCTCCTGAGTGGCTGGGATTATAGGTGCGCGCTACCACACCCAGCTAATTTTTTTTTATTTGTAGTAGAGACAGGCTTTCATCATGTTGGCCAGGCTGGTCTCGAACTCCTGACCTCAGGTGATCAACTCGCCTCAGCCACCCAAATTGCAGGGATTACAGGTGTGAGCCACTGAGCCCGGCCTCAACTATCTTTCAAACATTGAATGGATAAATAAAGATGTACATTGAAATACTATGGAACAATGTAAACAAACTCCTGATACTTTTATGAATAAATCTCATGAACATAATATTAAGTCAAGCCAGGCACAATTGAATTACTGCATATTTCTAGTTATATAAAGTTGCAGCATAGGCAAACCAATCTATAACATTAGAAGTCAGGATAAGCTTACCCTGTGGATAAGGATAGTCTCTGGGAGGAGATAGAAGTGGGTTTGGGGGATGTTGGTAATAGTTCATTTTTTTGTTCACTTTGGGAATTAAATGCTTACACTCACTTCACTAAGGAAAGAACAGCATCTCTTAACTCTCACTCCTATCAGAGGATTCTAAGAGAAGCTAGTGAGGAACCATGGTGGATCTTTTAAGTTAAAGAAGACTGTCCAGGAGTGTGGAGTGAAACAAATGCCTAGAGTAAAGAGAGTCACTTAACACAAGCAGCCTGTGCTCCCAACACCCCCCAGGTCTTCCTGGCTTTGCGTGACCAGATGGTAGAGGGCCCTGCTGTGCCAGCCCTTAAGTCCAGCCTTGATGGTTTTCTGAAGATTTTCTGATGGTAACTCAGATCAGAGTTGGCTTTGCTTCCACCTCACCCTACTATTCAGTTTCTTGCCACAGACACATCTCACCTTGCCTGTAATACAGTGCATCTGAGATTCAACAATTCTCAGCCACCACTCCCAGCTAGCCAGTCCTGAGAGTGAGGACTGTGCAAAGTGGTTTTGGAAAATGAAAGAATCTGATCGATTTTGGCTAATTTTCAACTTCTCTAGGATGCCAAGCTAAACTTGTCTATGGCAAATCAGGATATCAAGACCTACAATTTTGGCAACTAACTGGCTAAACTTCTGAAAGGCAGGAAGGAGATTGAAATGGCAGTGACTAGAGAAACGGGGATTAAATGAGAAGATAGCAGTCAATGATTCCCCTGACCCAGGAATTCCACCACTAGCTGTAAACTTTACCTTGAATAAATTAGACTCATAGGGTATAACAGAAAACAACTTTATTCTTTTTTATCCCTGTCCCTTCAAGCCTTCTGTGAAAGTGATTCTGAAGGTGTGGTCCCTGGGCCAGCAGCATCAACATCACCTGGAACTTGTGAGAAATGAAGATTCTCAGGCTCTTCTCTATACCTACTGAATCAGACATTGGGTGCAAAGGGGAACACTACAGTCTGTCTTTAAGGAGCCCTCAAGGTAAGTCTGGGGCTTGCTGGAATTTGAGAACTGGCATTTTGTCAACTTCAATCTTCAGTGTATGTGTTAGAAGCAAACAGGCTCGTGGTATAGCTTAGTTTTCTTTAGTTTCAGATGCAGGGGAGAGATATCTAGCAAAGAAAAACAATCAGGACAATTAAGATGTTTCAAAGAGCGTTCAAGGCACCAGAAGGTTGAAAGGACCTTGGGCTGCACATTAATGTCACCAGAGGAGATTTTTTTCTAAATGTTCCTCATCCAGACCTCATCTTCAGAGATTCTGATTTAACTCGTTCTGGGTGAGGTCACTTTATTTTTTTAAAGTGCCTGTCTTAATAGATTCAGGCTGCTATAATAGAACACCATTTGCGGAGTGCCTTATAAACAACAGAAATGTATTTTTTATAGTTCTGGAGGCAGGAAGTCTGAGATCAGGGTGCCAGTGTGACCAGATTCTAGTGAGGGTCTACTTTCCTGTTCATAGATGGTATCTTCTTGTGACCTCACATAGTAGAAGGGGCAAGAGAACTCTCTGGATCTGTTTTATAATGTCACTAATCCCGTTGATGAGGCTGTTGCATTTATGATCTAATTATCTTCCAAAGGCCCCAACTCCTAAAACCATCACAGTGTGGGTTAGATTTCATCATATGAATTTTTCAGGGACACAAATCTTCAGTCTATAGCAGTGTCCCTAACCCTACCAGTAATATACAGCCAGGGTTATGAATCAATAATGTTGATCATGAAAACCCTTATGCCTGCTGATGTGATTATTCTTGTTTTGGAAGAGTTGCTTCCCAGGCCACTGGTTCCAGTATTCAGGTTTATGCTCACCTTCATATCTAGTCAAAATCTTTCTTCCTGTGATTTGGCCCATTTGGATCAAACGGTTTTTAAATATTCATTGATTACCTGCAATGTAACCAGTACGACTATAAAATGGATATCCATCACCTCCCATCTGGCCCATGTGGTTTTCATCTGGTTTTTCAAAAGTATGAAAGAGCTTCTTTGTGTGTAGATGAGTAATTGGGATTCTAGGGTCAATCAGTGCTGAGTTTGTGTGCCAGCCCCCACTCTGATTATGAATGAAGTGATCGTGAGCAAGTAGTTTAGCTTCATCCATCAAAGGAGACTAATGCAGTACCAACTCACAGTACATTGTAATGAAAATTAAACTACCATGCACAGGAAGTTCTTAGCTCAGGACTTGGACACTGGCAAGCTCTCAGTGTACAGTTGCATTACTGACTGCACCTTTCAGGCTTCAATCATGTCCTCACCAGCTGCCCTGGAATTAGACTCTATGAGCTCAGTCCCTAGCCCAGCTCACCCCTACATGCAAGCCCTGTGACCATCATGTTATGCAACCCCTCTAAGCCTCAGACTCTTCACCTGTAAAACTCTCGCCTGATGTGAGAGTTAAATAAGTCCTAGAGATCATTTAGCCCAATGCAAATCATTGTTCAACATAATTTCATAGACTGATAGCACTTTAAAAATCATTTTAGGACAATTATTTAAGACCCTTCTGGATTTCCATCCCTGTGTTAGGCCATTCTTGCATTGCTGTAAAGAATTGCCTGAGACTGGGTAATGTATAAAGACATTTTATTGGCTCACATTTCTGCAGCCTGTACAGGAAGCATGGCGCTGGCATCCACTTGGCTCCTGGGGAGGCCTCAGGCTGCTTTTCCTCGTGGTAGAAGATGAAGTGGGAGCAAGCGGTTCACGTGGAATGCAGACGCAAGAGAGAGGATAGTGCGGAGATGCCACACACTTAAACAGCCAGATGTCACTAGAACTCACAATCATGAGGACAGCACTAAGCTATGAGGGACCTGCCCCATGACCCCACTTCCAACCTTGAGGATTACAATTCAACATGAGATTTGGCAGGGACATATATTCAAACTAGATCAACCCCCTAGATTACCGACCTTCCATTGAGTTAGTATTTGGGTTGGGATTGGGGTTGGAATTAGTATTGAGTTAGTATAAGGATTAATTTAGACATAATTAATTGTGTTTCCAGGGGATTTGGATGCAGGGGGAAGCAAGCTGACTTTACCTCTTGCCAGTTTCCTCAGTCCTGCCTGATGCTTCTCACTTTTTCCTACTGGGCTTTCACCTCCCTTCTCCCTCCAAGATACCTTCTTCCTTTCATAGCCCTGTAACTCTTACTGGCAGTACTGAGAGATGCAGGCCTGGTGAGCAAGTACCTCACCTTCCTTTATCCCTAGACAGACTTGATCTACAATCCACCTCCAGTTGTCCTTCCTTGTCTTCTCACTAAGAACTAAATCCTCCTGATGCTCTGAAAACATGCCACTTCCCTTCAAAGGTGGTTAAACTCTTTCAAACCCACTAAAACCTCCTCCTTCCTAATGGCTTCTAATTTGAGAATGAATACCAGTCATTCTTTTGTCTCCGCTTGGAAACTAAAACATCCTTTAAGCCCATCTGTGAAGCAACCAATTCAATTAAATTTTGAGTTAAGTGCACATGAAGCATAATTGAGAAAAGACAAGAGAAGCTTGCCTTAATAAAGGATAAGGAATTCTCGGTGACTGTAGGACTACATGCGTTGTGATTTTCTCCATTCCAAATGTGCCTGCTATGCATGAGTCACACTGTCTTATGCCACTTTGTGCAAACTGTTGTCAGTGCTTCCAGGCTAATTTCCCTGTATCTGTGCATGAACGACTGTTCAGGATAGTTAATGGGAGTTCCATGTGTTCCCTGATTGGAGAAGCACTGAGGGAAGAATTAAAGGGATTATCCTAAATGCATTCATTAAAAAGATTTGAATGGAGTCAAAAGTCTGGTGGGATTCAAACCAGAGCCAACATTTTTCCTTATTCCCAGATCTTACTAGCAATATATTATGAAACAATGATTTTGCTGGTAATCAACTGCTAACTAATACAGGTTGGTGCTGTCAACTTCTTGGGTTACCATAAAAAACTGTTATGTCTTAGAGCAGTTCTTTCCAGTGGTCCATCCCTCACTAGCCTTCCCAAATTAGTTGGACTTCCTGCGTTTTAAGTTTTGAAGGTCATGCAGCCCAACTCTTAGTAAAGCATGAATTCAGTCTGCAATATCTCCCTACATGAACATCCAGGCCATTCCAGAAACCTGGTAAGGCCAACTCCATTTGAGGTCTTATTAAGGAGTAAAGGCCTCTGGTCTGAGACGTTGAATGCTGATTAAAAACGCAGTGCCTCTTCCCATTCAATAATCAGATCTTTTTGGATCCTTACTTCAACATATCTGTTTCCATTGCCATGTTCCATCTTGCCAAATTCTGAGTCCACTCCAGCCCCAACTTTAATATGAGCCTTCAGTGTCTCTGTGCAATGACCCCTGGATGCTATCCAAACCAGCTTTGGTTCCCTTGGATCCTGTTCTGCCTGCCTCCTGCCCTCCGTCTCTACTTATGTGGAGGAATTAACAGAGCTGATGACGTGTCTGCTCTGTCTCCATTTAAGAGAATCAGTCCCATCACACCTAGCAGGTCAGCTGTGGGATCACTGCAGGCAGGGAATTCACACCCACAGGGGTAGCTGATTATATATTTAAGACCCCTGATTATTAAACTTCCTTTTTAACACTGAGCTGATGCTGCACCTCTCCAGTGAAAAGGTACCATAGTGATTAAGCACAAGGGTTTGGATGTCCTACTGACCTGGGTTCTGATCCTAGCTCCACCACTTCCTTGATAACCAGGCCTTTGCCAAACTGCTCAATATATCCACACCTCAGTTTTCTAGTCTTTAAAATGGAAATGGTAGCAGTAAGCATTTTACAGGGATGTTGTGAATATAAATGAGGATGTCTATAAAGCACTTGGCAGCACCGTGACTGGCATATAGAGTTTCTTACATTTTTTTGTCCTAGCTGTGTTGCTGTTTTTATTCTGCTTATTCCTCTTAATCTTTCTCATTAGAATCATGTAATAAGTCCAAATCTTCCAAATAACAGCATTTTATTTTCTTGAAGACAACCTTCATATACCACCAAAGGATGAGTTTCTTTTATGATGAAGATTTCTAATACTTTATCCATTTCTGTTGTGAAACAGATTTCAATTCCTTCTGTGTAATGTGGAGGATCATAGCATGTGTTATAGACTCAGACAAGGGGAGTTCAAATATAACTTCCACTTCTTATTACCTGCAGGAATTTAAGCAAATCCCGTAGTGTCTCCTTTGATAAAGGTAGTCTAATTTGAGTTGAGGTTTTTTTGAGTGTGGTCATATCCTTCTCTTTCTGACGTTTAACTTACCATCAAAACCCCAAGTCTTTTTCATATATGTGATATATTTTTGCAGTTGGTGTTTATTTTAGGAGATGGTAAAGTCAAATAGGGGGGTGGCAGAGAGGAGGGGTAATCTTACCCTGGGATCCCCTAAAGGGAACAAGAATAGGGGAAAGCCAAGAGAAGCAGGAGACAAAAGAGCCAAAAAGATAGTACAATGTCCTACCTGCCTCTACATAGCAGCAGATATGACTGATTGCCAGATCCTGTAGGTCCACCAGTTTCTGAGAGGCTACAATATAAACAACTGCTTCTCGGGACCATGCGGAAAGGAGATATATTGATCTACTCATGTCAGTTTCCATTTGCAAAGGCTTGCTCTGTGGGACATTGATTCCTCCACACTTCCAAGTTGTATATGCATGGACACTGATATGGTTTGGCTGTGTCCCCACCCAAATCTCAAATTGTTAGTTCCCATAATTCCCACATGTCATGGGAGGGACCCAGTGGGAGGTAATTGGATCATGTGGGCGGGTCTTTCCTGTGCTGTTCTCATGATAGTGAATAAGTCTCAGAAGATCTGATGGTTTTATAAAGGGGAGTTCCCCTGCACAGGCCCTCTTGCCTGCTGCCATGTAAGACGTCTCTTTGCTCTTCTTAGCCTTCTGCCATGATTGTGAGGCCTCCTCAGCCATGTAGAACTGAGTCAATTAAACCTCTTTCCTTTATAAATTACCCAGGTATGTCTTTATTAGCAGTGTCAGACAGACTAATACAGATGCTAACCAGATAATCAAATATCCAACTCCCAGAAGGAAGAAATAGGTGTCTGATACAGGCAAGGCATGGTCAGTTGTGCCCATACGAAGCTGATCAGAAAATGTAAAGTGCTTGTCACATGAAAAGCAGTTAGGACTAGAAAAAATGTCCAGGACTCTGGAGACCAATGAGACGAAGAAGACCCTGCCTATATCAAGGCATATCATGGGTGTTGTTATACTCACGCAATTGATGTTTTTAACCTACATTAGGGCTACACGTGTGCCTATTACATGTCTTCTGACTAATTTTACTCTCCTTCCAACTTCACGATGTTGTGTTGACTCTGTCATTCAGTGTAGTCACCATGCCTAATATACTCATTGCAGTGTTACATCTGGGTCTACGAAACCCTAGAGAAAAAATGTTGAATGAGAAGGGACACTGTCAGGCATTTCACCTTATTGTTTTCCATCAGGTTTCTATAAGTTAATGAAAATTTATCCCTTCATTGAAATTAAAGGAATCTCAACAATCACAAGAATTTCAAAAAATCACCCATTTTACAGTATGGCCCCTCAAACATGCATACATAGCACCAGCTTTAATAAAAGGAAATAGCCATTAAGCTCTTCTAGTATTTAGATGTTCTCTCAAAATTGGCTTATCTTTCGTCCCAAACATATCCAACCTTTGCCTTCCAGTCACATGAACCAACCATTTAGTTGTCTGAAGAAGTTTCATGCAAATACAGCATCAAACTGAGTAGACAATAATTCCTACTTTGTATGACGCAGCTCCTCTATGTTTGATCTAATCACTTTCATGAAGCTTCAGCAGCAAGGATACCAAAATGCATGCAAGGCTTACACACACACTGAAAGACATTTAAGCACATAAGAATCCCCTGATATTTTATATTTATAAACATTTCCATTTAAGTTATACTGATGTATTTATATAAATATTTCTATGTATTAATCCTCTAATTGGCCATTTTTAATAAAATATTAAAAGGATGGAAATATTGGAAATCCTATTTATTGGGACTTTAGAGTAAATATAAATAATAACAAAACTAACTTTATTCACTATATCTCATAATCAATGTATGACTGTTTTGTGTCAGTATTTTTTCTCCTTTTAAGTCAGTTTGAATTAAAATATTGAGAAATGCACCTTCGGCAACAGACATTGTTTAAAAGTTAAAGGTAAAAATACAATATATAAAAATGAGATTTCATCATTATAGCTGATGAATAGTTATATTCCTTTCCAGGAATGAGGAAGTGTCCAGGGTAAGGAAAGTAATAAAGTAAAGAAATAAGAAAGCATTTCCTTACATTCTTCTTGCATACCTTAAATGTAAGTTGCCATGGAGTTCTTCCAGATTAATTTCCCTGATAAGTCATCATGTTATCAAGTTCTAGAACAGCAGGAACATGTCTGCCCAATTGACTCTAAGTGGTACCTAGCCGTCCACAAAAAGTCACTAATAAATCTCTTGAAGACCACAGGCGATGCAGAGACTCAGTCATTTTATTTCAGATCTATCAACATTCGTTCTGTTTGCTTACAATTGACAAAACACTCTTATGTGCATTGCCTCATTTGCTCTTCACAATTTTCTGGTGAGGTAGGCAGGGAAAACATAATCCTTATTTTATGAATGGATAATCATAAAGTTAGTAGAGATTGTATTCAGCAGGCATTTGACTCTAAATAAATAAATAAAGATGAGAATATTTGGGATATTGCAAATGTGGGGAATTTTACAAAAGATATGTAAGTGTATATTGAGATTTTAAGACTGTGAGATTATTTAATTTTATTTTTTGTTGCCTCAAATAGAATAGACAATAGAAGTAAAATACTGAACGTTTTCAGTGTATAACAGTTGTTGTCACCCAGTGAACCACATTTAATGGTGTTGTATATGTACTAGTTGTCTAAAAACAGCATTGGTTAATAGAACATGATCAGGAAAAAATATCATTAAATGGAAGATATTTCTGACACTAGAGAGATTCTAAGATGTCTTGGGGGAAAATAAATCATAAAGATATTACCTCATTTATAAACATGACCTCTCCCTCAACTCTTATGCCAAATGAGATGCTGCTAAATGTTTAACAACCAGCTTCTGGGGGAGAAAAAAAAGCCCTGACTTGAGCATTTGCCAACTTCTGGGGTGTAAATACTCTCACTACGACTGACTTCAAGTTACTAATGGTTTAATAACTGGCTCATAAAACTCCTGCAAATCTGGTAATTGGTTCTCATAAGCTGGTACAAGCTGGCCAGCACACCACCATGTATAGTGGTATAACTGACCACTGAGCATCTCCACGCACAACTGGTAATCGTGTAAGACCTCTTATGCCAAAATCTGAACTCCTGAAACCCCCTGCCTCACAGCCCCCTAACATACGTACCTCTTCTGCCTGTGGTCTTCCCCGGCTCCGTTAATGACAACCCCATCCTTCCAATGGTTCACACCAAAATCCCTGACACCATCCCTGATGCTTTTATCATTCTCCTTTTCAAATCTGTCAGAAAATCTGGTAGGTGCTACCTTCAAAATACATGCAGTGTCCAGTTACCTTTCATAACCTGCTAACATCCAGATCCAAGTCATTACAATATCTTACCTGGTTTATTGAACTAGCCTCTTGTATTTGTCAGAGTAAAGCTCCCTAGAGCTGTAACAGAAAATGGTAAAAAAAAAAAAAAAAAAAAAAAATACCCATGACTCTCAGTGGCCTAGCATGGTAAAAGTTTATTTCTCATTTACGTCACTGTTTATACAGGCCTAGGGGCACTCCTGGGTAGCTCTTCTCTACCTAAGTGATGACTTAGGGACCCACCCTGCTTCCATCATATGCGTCTACTGTTTGAGTTCTTGGCTTCCAGCCCCACAGGCTGAAGGGAGCATATAAAAGCATGAGACCTTTAGGAGCCATATCTGGAAAGAACATATGTCTCTTCCATTCACATTCTGTTGTCTAGTTCAAGACATATGGCTTCACCCAGATACCAAGGGGCTGGAAAATGTAGGCTTCGTGTGTACCTGGGAGGAAAACAAAGCTGTTTTGGTCAACATGTAGCATTGTATGTGTCATACCTCCTAAATAATGTCTCTGTCCCCAACCTTGCCTCCTGTAGTCTATTCTCAACACAGCAGCAGCTAAACTACCTGTTTCATGATCAAACTATAAGTCAAACGATACACTCCTCTGCTCGAAACCACCCAGTACCTTTATAACTCATGCACAGTTAAAAAAAAAAAAAACAAAAAAAACAAGGTCCCTCAGTGGCTGTAGAGACCCTTCATGGCCTGGCTTCTGTTTCTTTTCCAGTCTCATTTCCTATAACTCTCCCCTACACTCATTCTATTCCAACCACGCTGAAATCTTTGCTAGTCCATTGACATGCCAGGCACACTACTACCTCAGCAGCTTTGCACTGGCTCTTACCTTTGTTGGATACCCTTTGCCCAGATATCTACATGGATAACTCCTCCTTCTTCCACAGATATTCCAATATTCCTTCAATGTCACCTTCCTTGGCCACCCTACTTAAAACGTCAATTCTTGCTCAGTTCCCTTCACCCCACCTGTATTCCTTATCCACTTCTCTGCTTTACTTTTCCCTCTAGTACTTAGCACCTTCTAATACATAAATAATTTACTGAATTGTTATTTAATTATTGTCCTCTAATTCTACTAGAATTTTCTTTTAATTTTATTTCTTTCACTGACCACATTTCAAGTGTTCACCCCTAGCAGAATTTAAGGGAGTTCAGTGTATTTTGCTACTGTGATGTCCCAGAACCTAGAACAGTGCCTATAGATAATAGATATTCAATAAATATTTGGTTAATGAGTGAATAAATGATAAGTGAAGTTAAAATATGTTTTCTTATTTAGTGATCCATTTTGAAAATATTAAGTATTGAAGAATTTTTGCCTTTATCAAAAGCCTCACAAATGAAGACAGATGATGTAATTAAAACCCATAATAATAATATAGTGTAGGTATTATCCAAACTACTCTCATTGGATCACATTATTTAATCTTTACAAAATCATAAGGAAATCGATACTATTTTATCCTACTGGGCCAGGTGCAGTGGCTTACACCTACAATCCCAGCACTTTGGGAGGCCAAGGCAGGAGGATCACTTGAGCCCAGCAGTTCAAGACCAGCCTGGGCAATATAGCAAGACAGCATGTCTTAATAAAAAAATTTTAAAAATAGGCTGGGTGCAGTGTAGTCCCAGCACTTTGGGAGGCTGAGGCAGATGGATCACCTGAGGTCAGGAGTTCAAGACCAGCCTGACCAACATGGTGAAACCCCATCTCTACTAAAAATGTAAAAGTTAGCCAGGTGTGGTGGCGCACACCTGTAATCCCAGCTACTTGGGAGGCTAAGGCAGGAGAATCGCTTGAAACTGGGAGGCGGAGGTTGCGGTGAGCTGAGATCATGCCATTGCACTCCAGCCTGGGCAACAGAGCAAGACTCTGTCTCAAAAAAAAAAAAAGTATCCATGCGTAGTGGCACGTGCCTGTGGTCCCAGCTACTTGGAAGGCTGAGGTGGAAGGATCACTTGGGCCTGAGAGGTTGAGGCTTCAGTGAGCAGTGATTCCACCATTGCACTCCAGCCTGGGCAACAGAGCAAGACCTTGTCCCAGAAATAAAAGTTTCCTGAACACAGCAAAAGTCATTTGCCCTGGGGTTATATGTCTAGTAAGAGGAAGAGTGGGGATTTGAATCCATAAAATCTGACCCCAAAGTAAAGCAAGCTAGATATCGAGATTAAAACATTTCTAATGTGTGTTTAGAGGGAGTAAGACTTACTTTAAAGTGAATGTTAAGCCACTAATTAGCTGTGTGACCTTCAGCGCATCTGAACTCCTTTGGATCTTAGGGTTTTTTTCATCTGTAGAGGGGATATTGACACAGATCACTGTAAAAGCCCCTTCTGGCTTAAAAATTAATGAATAAGTATCTTGCCGAGGGCCACGCAAGCAGGGCCACCCCTGAAAGCCCCATCTTCTGAGCTCTCTCAGGGGCTTTTTCTACATATCCTGTGATGTCTGCCATGAGGAATATCTCAGACAGACAGAGGCACCAAGTGGCTGAGTAGCACTCAAAGTGAGTAAATACAAACAGTATCATGACACAAAAGAGATGCAAAAAATGGACGCTACAGCTGATTTTATCTTAAACGTGTTTCCTGTGCGATGACTAGCACATCAACACTTAATGATCCTGTGTCTCAGTTTCCTTAATCATAAAGTGGAGTTGATGAAAGGACTAGGTCCATAATGATTGTAAATAACAAGTGAACTTATACATGTGAGCACCTAAATCATGATAAAGTTATTAAAAGTCTCCTCTGCTCTAACATTTGTTAATCTTACTGCCTGGAGTCAGCAGGTTAGACAGGATCTGAATCCAGGTCAGTATGCCTCCTGGAGTCATTCCCCTCTATTGGCACTCAGTATGAATATATCCCTGTGCAACTGGGAAGAAATGGAAAGAGAACAATGAAAGACAACTGCATTGCTGAGTGTGAACACATGAAGTTTTTGTCCTCTGTAACAATGCTTCTCTAATGTTTTTTTCATTGGATTAAATGAGACAGACCCTACTTTAAGATGTGTAAATATCTAAACGCATGATTATTTCATGGGCTAAATAAATACCAGTAATCTCTTGATGACAATGGACATATTGTAGACAGAACCCATGATATGCATTATTATTTTTTACTTTTGAATTATTATTTTTTTACTTACGAATCCATGCATCATATGCTTGATTTTTTATTGATTTTGCAATAACTACATTTTCCTGAAACTAGGCACCTGATTTCAGAAAACTAAAAAGAAAAAAGGAAATAGAGGTCCTGGAATCTATATTTTTAAAAGTGTTGCAGTTGGAACTATTTTTATCAGCTGACCACACACTCAGATTCAACTCTGCCTATGTATTCTTAGCACTGTATTTCTGGAAACTCTTAAATGATGAACCAAGCATTTGAATATCATGTCTTACTGAGCTCCTGAAGGCTAGGACAGTGTCCCATTAGGCCTTATATCTCCAATAAGTATCATTTGTAAGTGCTTCATAATTATTAAATTGGTGAGAGGTAGAGCGGTAGATGGATGAATGGTTAGATGGACAGATGGATGCTTGTATTGAAGGGTAGGTGGATGCATGCCTGGATGAATGAGTGTGTGGGTAGGTAGATGGACAGATGCATGGATGGACAAATAGACAAAAAAAGGGTAGATGGACAGATGGAAGGCTGTATATAATGAACATTGGACTTGTGGTTGGGAAACCTGGGTTCTAACTTGGAATCTTTAGGTAACTTGCCTCTTCTGTTGGATAAGACCCTTCTCATTTCTAGCCCTCAGTTTCCTCACTTGTAAAATGCCCGCGATTCTATTAGATTTAAAACATAACTGAATATTTGATTCAGCTCCCTCAAGTTGGCCTTTGAACATGCTCCCACCTGAAAAGAAATAATTTTCCTCATGTTTTGTCTCTGTATCTTCCCTCATTTATAAGACAATTCAACTCCAGCCACTGAGATTTAGATAATAAGATGGAATTGATTGCCAGTGACCTTACCAATGAGACCTAATGGCTGATACCAGGAATTCCCTGATGAAAAGGTTTTTATTGTTTTCTGCTGCTGAAGCAGTTGAGCATTTGATCATTTGCCTGAAAGTTCTGGATTCATCTTCAAGGAGTAGGAAGAGATAATGGAGCAGAGATAGGGCACAGTTGTCTCTATGAGCACTGAGTTTGGCCATCATGACTGGGAGACAGTTGGATGTGGCTGTGAAGAAAGCAAGCCCTATTCAGAATTACAAGGCTTCAAACCCTGGCTCAGCCACTCGCTGTGGTTCCTCAGACAAGCAAGTCTAGAATGAGGATAATAATTAAGGCCGGGTGTGATGGCTCATGCCTGTAATCCCAGTGTTTTGGGAGGCCGAGGCAGGCGGATCACCTGAGTTCGGGAGTTTGAGACCAGCCTGACCAACATGGTGAAACCCTGTCTGTACTAAAATACAAAAATTAGCCAGGCATGGTGATGCATGCCTGTAATCCCAGCTACTCAGGAGGCTGAGGTGGGAGAATCGCTTGAATCCGGGAGGCGGAGGTTGTGGTGAGCCGAGATTGCACTACTGCACTCCAGCCTGGGTGACAGAGCGAGACTTCCTCTCAGAAAAAAAAAAAAAAAGAGAGAGAGAGAGAAAAATAATTAAATCTACCTCACAGGATGGTTCCTAGGGTTAAATGGAATAATCCATGTCAAGAACTGAGCATAGTGCCTGGATCATCGGCATTTTTCATTATAAATTGGTTTGGGTATGTATTAGTTTCTGGGGTTTTTTGTTTTGTTTTGTTTGAGATGGAGCATTGCTCTGTTGCCCAGGCTGGAGTGCAGTGGTGCAATCTCAGTGCAACCTCCACCTCCCAGGTTCAAGTGATTCTTGCACTTCAGCCTCCTGAGTAGCTGAAATTACAGGCATGTACCATGACGCCCTGCTAATTTTTGTATTTTTAGCAGAGACAGGATTTCACCATATTGGCCAGACTGGTCTTGAACTACTGACCTCAAGTGATCCACCCACCTTGGCCTCCCAAAGTGCTGGGATTACAAGAGTTGTAGGTATTAGTTTCTTAGGGCTGCTGTTACAAATTACCACAAACTGCGTGGCTTAAAACAACAGAAATGTATCCTCTCACAATTCTGGAGGCTAGAAATCCAAAATCAGTGTGTTGGCAGAGCCACGCTTCCTCTGAAAGCTCTAAGGGGGGACTCTTCCTTGCCTCTCCCTAGCTTCTGGTGGTTGCTAGAAATCCCCAGCATTCTTTGGCTCGTAGTAGCATCACTCCAACTTCTGCCTCTGTCTTCACATAGTGCTATTCTCTGTGTGTATGGCTGTGACATGGCTTACTTATAAGGAAAGCAGTCATTTGATTTAGAGCCCACCTTGATCCAGTATGACTTCATCTTAGCCAATTACATCTGAAAAGACTTACTTCCAGGGAAAGAGATGAGTCACATCCTCAAGTTCTAAACTGACATGAAATTTTGGGGGACTCTATTCAGTCCAGTATAGAAGATTCATAGTCTTGCCCTAACTTCTTCATCTCCTTCCCCACCATGTCTCTACTAGGATGTCCTATCATCCTAGAAACTTCAGTACTATTGGGAGTTTGAAACAGGCAGCATAGGCATCTGCCTACTAACCCTCGGTGCCTCACTTAGCAAAGTTGAAGTAGTCTTCTAACTACCTACAGGGTTTTTTTTTCTGTCTTATAGGATGAAAGAGTGGAAACTAACCCTGAAGCCCCTTCCAGCTAGGTAGCTGTAAAGTGATCTTTTTTGTGCTCCAATTATCTGTGAGTGTTCAGAGGGACACTAATTTGTGTAGTGTTGATCACGTGTGAAAGGAAGAAGATTGCAAATACTAAGTAAGCATTTTCAGTATTTTGATAAATGTGTGAAACTCCTATGGCAGGTGCAAGAGAAAGTGCCAATTAAAAATTAGCTGCCATACACATTTGTAGATTGTGTTGTTGACTCCAGCATTTTACTGTCGCCTATTAAAGTAGGAGTTTGACAGGTAAATTTCCTCTGCTGGATTTTTCTATAGGTCAGAAAACAGTCTCGCACAGCTTTTGAAATCCATCCAAACTGTTTAATGAGTTTTCTCTTGGCTATAGATGCTGTAATTCAACCTGTTTGCTTTGTTAAAGAAGAGTAAATATGACATTAGATGGTGTTTAAGAATCCCACAAATACAAGCTTTCTATGGAAAGACAAGTTAAAGGTCACCTGTTCACTCCAGTCACATTTAAATTTGTGTCCCTATAACATCTTTGTCAATATGTCATTCATGTAATGCGTACCCAGAAGCTCACTTCTCTAGGGAAAGCTCTGACCATCAGAAATTTTTTTCCGTTAACACTTAGGATAAATGGAAAGTGTGTGATTTGGTCATGTAAATAACAGAATCATTTTTAGGCGTTTGAACACCATCTTTAAGAATCCTGGTCTCACCCGATGCAGCTCCAAGATAGTTGCCACTTACACATTCCTTCTCAAGGTGTAAGGTATAAGGTGTGCTGGGATTCCAGTTTGAGACAAGGATTTTACCTGCACTGCTAGCCCTTTTCTCATGCATCGTGAGATCTTCACCAGCCTGTTAATACAAACACTTAACCCTACACCAGATGGTGACTTTAAACCTTCAGATAATTGAGAAGCAGCTTCTCACTAAAAGGCTGCAGAGTCATTTAGAGCAGTGAGTCTCAAATGTGAAAGTGTATATGGAGTACCTGGGATCTTGTTAAATTGCAAATTCTGATTCTGAAGATGGGGCCAGAGATTCTGCGTTTCTAACAAACTGTCATGCAGTAATAATAAGTCATCATAAGAATTTATGGAACATATCTGGATTTGGGTTCCAATCTGAATAAAAATAAAATTCTGTATTTGTATTAGTTTCCTGTGGCTGCTGTAACAGATTATGACAAACTTGTTGGCTTAAAACAACAGAAATTTATGCTTTTACAGTCCTGGAGGCCAGAAGTACGAAATCAGCTTCACTGGGCCAAAATCAAGGCATTCGCAGGGCCAGGCTCCCTCCAGGGGAGCAACGGGAGAATTTGTTCTTGCCTCTTCCAGTTTCTCATGGCTGCTGGTATTTCTCGGCTTGTGGTGACATCACTTTAATTTCTGCCCCCATAGTTATATTAGCTTCTCCTCTTCTGCCTGTCTGAAATCTCTCTTCCTTCCTCGTGTGGGGATTCTTGTGATTATATTTAGGGCTTACCCAGATTATTCTGGATAATCTTCCTATTTCAAGATCCTTAATATCCTTAATTTAATCTCATCTGTGAAGACCCTTTCTGCATATGTTAATATTTATAGGTTGCAGGGATTAGGACCTGATATCCTTGGGGGCCGTTATTTAGCCTACCACGATATTCCTCCTGCAAATTGCAAACTTCTTGGGTGGGTTCCAAATAATGGTACCAGAACTTCAGGTTCAAGTCAGACCTAGAACTCTCTTTCATTGCAGGTAATGGAGGATGTTTTTCTTTCCTGTAATTTCTCGCGCGTTCACACACAGTGCTTCAAAGCAACTTGCTTGTAGATATTCCTTCTTTTATTTTCTTAACAGGGCATTTAGGGACAACATTTCCCAATCTGTTTTGCTTTAATCCGCATAAAGGTATAAAAAGGCAATACCAATAAAATGGATCCTGACATGAAGCCAGGGGGTGCACGTTCCAAGTATATTTTAAGCCCTTAGTAGCCAGCTTCATAGCTGAAGATTGTTGAACAGAAAATTTTAGGAAGGAGGAAACCTATTTCTACATTGACTTTGCAGACAGAACTCCTAAGGGATTAATGTTGGCTCTTATATTGAGTAGCATGCTGTTGAATTTACATCGTTGCATGATGTTTATTTGTTCATTCATTTATTTATCCGTGTATTATTAATTTAGCCACCTTTAGACTAGACACTGTGCTAGGGGCAACAGAAACTACAGAAATGTCAATATATAGTGCTTGCCCCCAGGATGCACATGCAGTATATATTTAAACCAAGGCCAAACAAAAGAGGAAAAAAGCCGTGTAAAGATATTGAGATTTTTTAAATACTTGCTTAAAAATGTTACTCTAACCTGGTACTGCAATTGCTGCCTACTCTGGAAAGTCTGTAAAACCATAATGAGCCCTTCAAAGAGGATCATGCTAATGCGAAACAATCATTGAAACATATGACCATGCAGCATTAATATTAAAATTCTATCTGTAGTTATATAGTTCATGTCTAATTCTCAAATGGCATTGATTTTCTCAACTTTATCAATTATTTGGAATAGGAATAAGTTATGGTCTAATAAAACATACACTATCATATATATCTTGGAAGGCAAGGACTAACAGAAAGAACTTGCAAACAAGTTCTGAGTTCATGCTCATGTGTGTATGTTTTCATAAAACTCTGAGGACATCTTTTCTGCCCTTTACCTTGACTCAGATCTAATTCTTTAAGGTCTGCTAAACTCCAGTTCATTTTGAAAACATGGAGAGTGTAATTTAATCGCCATTTAGCAGCAATTAGCAATCCATCCTTTAAGGGATTCACAGTCCAAGTCCACTCAGTGGATAATTGCAACAATTAACTCCTCGTACTTTTCTGTAGTTTTGGACTAGCGAGCCTTGCTTTCATTAGCAGAAGTCTCGGTTTGATGGAGACCAACCAGTGCCGAATGTTGAAGCAGAGATTTTTTAAAAAATAGATTTTAAGATGACTGTTTTCAACTAACCAGCATCCAAAGGATAACTTTTGATTTTCCTCATGTTGTATAAAATTTCTGTGATGACATAGTAGCTCAGAATTCATTCTTCCTACTGAGAGAGCTGTCCAGGAGTGGGTGCATGTTAGCGCATATAAGCCAAGGGCAATTACATGGTGAGAAACTGAAAACATGAGAAATCTCTCTCTGATGATTTAGTTTGTTTATCCTGGTTTCTAGGCAGAATAAAGTGATATTAGAGGTCTCGAGCATAGTGTAAGCAAAGACAAAGAAATGGATGTAAAATCTTTAGTAGGATTATCTCTGATATGAATTTATTCATTCAAGAAATGAGCATAAATTGAATGATGATGACGATTGCTAGAGAGTAGATAGGTAGGATAGATTATGATAGATATATAGCTGGTAGATGATAAATAGTTGTTATATGGATGGATGGATGGATAGATAGATATTGCTCGTATGCTTACTATGTGCCAGGCACCATACTAAGCTATTCTCATTTTATACTTACAACAACATCATGAAGTTGGTGATGTGCATTTTACACATTAAAAAAAAGGCTTAACAAGTAAATTTCTGAAGAGTTTAAGAAGTGGGGTTCTGGAATTTAAATGTAGGCAATGTGACTCAGGAAGCCAACTTTTCGTTCATTTATTCAGCAGATATTTATTGAGTACCTGTTGTGTGTCAGGAACTATGCTAGACTGCAGATCCAAAAATCAAACCCATAAGTAGATAAGTAATTACAAATCGTAATAGTGTTGGGAAGGGAAAGGACTAGTACTAACATGCAGAAAGAAGGTGGGTGTCTGTGTCATCAGAGTGGTCAGAGAAAGCTTCTGTGAGGATGTGACATTAAAGCTGAGTCCTTAGTCACAAGGAATGAGCCACAAAGAAGACCATTGCAAGCAGAGGGAACAGCTTATACAAAAACTCATGGGCCTGAGGAGGCTTCATGGAGGAGAAGGAGAAATAAATTATCCAAGCCTGGAGAGACTTCTACCAGCAGGGAGGGTTTTGCAGGTGAGCACAGATATTGAACTAAGATGTGGTAGGGCAGAAGGAAAGAAGCAGAATATTTCTATCTACAGCACTATGTCTGGGGCCCTTATTTTATTTTATTTTTATTTTTACTGATACCCACATTACACAGATGTAAGGAGGCCCTTCTCTTGAGCATACAATTCAATTACAGAAGATGCTAAAGGATTTAAAACCCCTTTTAATATTATCAAGTTGCATTGATTTTGTACTTTTTTCCTGCTGGGTGTGGTGGAGGACAAACTGATATAGTTTGGCTGTGTCCCCACCAAAGCTCATCTTACATTCCCATGTGTTGTAGGAGGGACCCGGTGGGATGTAATTCAATCATGGGGGCAAGTCTTTCCCCTGCTGTTCTCATGATAGTAAATAAGTCTCACAAGATCTGATGGTTTTAAAAAGGGAAGTTTCCCTGCCTAGGCTGTCTTCTCTTGTCTGCTGCAATGTGAGACATGTCTTTCACCTTCTGCCATGATTGTGAGGCCTCCCCAGGCACGTGGAACTGTAAATCCATTAAACCTCTTTCTTTTGTAAATTGTCCAGTCTCAAGTGTGTCTTTATCAGCAGCATGAAAATGAACTAATACAGTAAATTGGTACCAGTAGAGTAGGGCGCTGCTGAAGAGAGAATCAAAATGTGGAAGCAGCTTTGGAACTGGGTAACAGGCAGAGGTTGGTACAGTTTGGAGGGCTCTGAGAAGACACGAAAATGTGGGAAAGTTTGGAACTTCCTGGAGACTTCTTGAATGGTTTTGCCCAAAATGTTGATAGCGATATGGACAATAAAGTCCAAGCTGAGGTGATCTCATATGGAAATGAGGAACTTGTTGGGAAGTGGAGCAAAGATGACTCTTGTTATGTTTTAGCAAAGAGATTGGTGGCATTTTGCTCCTGTCCTAGACATTTGTGGAACTTTGAACTTGAGAGAGATGATTTAGGGTATCTGGCAGAATAAATTTCTAAGCAGCAAAGCATTCAAGAGGTGACTTGGGTGCTGTTAAAGGCATTCAGTTGTATAAGGGAAGCAGAGCATAAAAGCCTGGAAAATTTGCAGCCTGACAATGCGATAGAAAAGAAAACCTCATTCTCTGAGGAAAATCCAAGCAAGCCAGCTGTAGAAATTTGAATAAGTAACGAGGAGCCAAATGTTAATCCCCAAGACAATGGGGAAAATGTATCCAGGACACGTCAGAGGTCTTCATGGCAGCCCCTCCCATCACAGGTTTGGAGGTCTAGGAGGAAAAAGTGATCATTAGCCAGGCCCAGGGTCCCTGTGCTGTGTGCAGCCTAGGGACTTGGTGCCCTGCATCCTAGCCACTCCAGCCGTCGCTGAAAGGGGCCAACATAGAGCTCAGGATGTGGCTTCAGAGGATGCAAGCCTCAAGCCTTGGCAGCTTCCATGTGGTATGGAGCCTGCCAGGGCACAGAAGTCAAGAATTGGGGTTTGGGAACCTCCACCTAGATTTCAGAGGTTGTATGGAAATGCCTGGATGTTGAGGCAGAAGTTTGCTGCAGGGGTGGGGTTCTCATGGAGAACCTCTGCTAGGGAAGTGCAGAAGGGAAATGTGGAGTTGGAGCCCCCACACAGAGTCCCTACTGGGGCACTGCCTAGTGGAACTGTGAGAAGAGGACCACCATCCTCCAGACCCCAGAATGGCGGATCCAACTACAGCTTGTATTGTGTGCCTGGAAAAGCCACAGGCACTCAATGCCAGCCTGTGAAAGCAGCTGGGAGGGAGGCTGTGCCCTGCAAAGCCACAGGGGAGTAGCTGCCCAAGACCATGAGAAGCCACCTCTTGCATCAGTGTGACCTGGATGTGAGACATGGACTCAAAGGAGATCATTTGGAGCTTTAAGATTTGACTGTCCTGCTGGATTTTGGACTTGCTGGGGCCTGTAGCCCCTTTATTTTGGCCAATTTCTCCCATTTGGAATGTCTGTATTTACCCAATGCCTGTACCTCATGGTATCTAGGAAGTAACTAACTTGCTTTTGATTTTACACGCTCATAGGCAGAAGGGATTTGCCTTGTCTTGGATAAGACTTTGCACTGTGGCCTTTGAGTTAATGCTGAAATGAGTTAAGACTTTGGGGACTGTTGGGAAGGCATGATTGATTTTGAAATGTGAGGATATGAGATTCAAGAGGGGCCACAGAATGACATGGTTTGGCTGTGTCCCCACCCAAATCTCAATTTGAATTCCCACATGTTGTGGGAGGGACCCAGTAGGATGTAATTGAATCATGAGGGCAGTCTTTCCCCTGCTGTTCTCGTGATAGTGAATAAGTCTCACGAGATCTGATGGCTTTCAAAAGGGGTTTCCCTGCACAATCTGTCTTCTCTTGTCTGCTGCCGTGTGAGACATGCCTTTCACCTTCTGCCATGATTGTGAGGCCTCCCCAGCCACATGGAACTGTAAGTCCATCAACCCTCTTTCTTTTGTGAATTGCCCAGTCTTGGGTATGTCTTTGCCAGCAGTGGGAAAATGGACTAATACACCAACTAAAGCATTTTCTCATTAAACATTTGAGTCATCCACCCCACTGGCCTACATGAAGACTATGGTGGGCAGAACAGGTGATTAGTGATGCAGCCTGAGGTGTGTAGAGGTTAACCTCCAGTACACAAGCCAGGCACCCTGCTATGTCCTAGATGTGCTGAGATGGGAGACCCTTAAGGGGAGCTTTTACTGTGGTGAGTTTAAAAAGTCAAGTAAACAAACAAGAGCTTAGGTCAGAGATCAGCAAACCATGGCAAAGCCCTAAGACCAAATCCAGTCCACACCCCTTTTTGTACAACTGGGAGCTAAGTATGGTTTTTACATTCTTTAAATGGTCAGAAAAACATTTTTAAAAGAATAATATTTCCTGGTCCATGAAAATGATATGAAATTCCAATTTCAGTGCCCATCAATAAAGTTTTATTGAAACACAGCCACACTCATGGCTGCTTTTGAGCTACTGTGGCACAGTTGAGTAGTTGCGACAGAGACTTTATATGGCCTGCACAGTTAAAAATATTTACTTGCTGGCCTTTTATAGAAAACGTTATCTGAGCCCTGGTTTTGGTAGTTGAAGGGGCCATGAGCATATCACAGAGGGGCACATAACTCAGATGCAGGGATAAGGGACGTCTTCCTGCAGCTCAAGTTGCAGCTGGCTCTTTAGCATATGAAGTGAGTTAGATAAGAAGGAGCAGGAAGAACACTCCAGGGATAAGAGAGTAAATGTGTTCCCTTGTTTATGATATAAAGATAGTGGCTCTTGAAAACAGTTTGCCAACCCCAAAGACATGAAGACAAGCAAAGAGAAATAAAGATAAGGACTTTCAGTCCTAATATACTTTCAGTATATAGCAGTGTTGTAACCCAACTATACACTAGTGCCCTTTCACCCACCACACATACACACAATGTTGGTGACATCCTATTGCCAGGCTCAGTTCATTACCAAAGAAATGAGACAGAGAACAAAAGCTATAAAGTCAGAGTTCAGCTCTGGATGCTGGTGAGATCTGGGAAGGTTTCATGTAGGAGGAGAAGGAGGAAGAGATAGGATCTGTCCAGGCATTGTAAAATCTGAACCAGAAAGAGGGCCTCCCAGATCATCAGTACTACCTGAACAAAGACTCATCTTCGAAGTAAGTAGATTTGTTTCCATTAAATTGTCCGGGGGCCCTTCCCTCAAGCATGTGATTCAATAGAAAAGGATTTCAAAGGATTTAAGACGTTCTTAATGTTCTCTGGTTTGCACTGAAATTGCGCTTCTCTGTGTGTGAGTTTGAGGGGAGGCGGCCTTCAAGTAAATTAAACCTAGTCTTGGCATTTTCTCATTAAATGCCTGAGCAGCTCAATCCCACCGGCCTATATAAGGACCACGGTAGACAGAGCAGATGATTAGCAGTTTCAGAACCATCAAAAAGATGCCCACAGTACCTGACTTTTAATTAATAACTATTCTGCATCTAGCCATTTATCTCAAGCATCTGGGGGAACTTGAAAGGTATTTCTCTCCACATAGCTCCAGTATATCAAGGTTGGGGCTGAGCAAAGCTGATATTAAAGTTAATTATGACCTGCAGGAAATTACTGAAAAACCCTCACCTCATTTTCTACTTCTTAAACTTCAAATCACAATTGTAAGTTTGACTTTCAGAACCTTCTGGAATTATAAACAAATATCTTAAAGAGAAAACTACATTTAAGTATTTCTATTTTTCCAAGGGACAGAATTAGGAGCCTCCCAAGCTGAGACAGATCTCAGCTACTGGCTGTATGGAGTTGGATGAGCTTCTTACCTGACCCCTGGGCTTCAGTTTTTCATCTGCAAGATGAAGTTTACCAGAGAATGGGACAAACAGGAGAGAAGTTCCTCTGCTTTTATGCCAGATAATCTTAGATGAATGTATGATGATTTTACAAGGTGCACGGAAAGGACTGTATTGAATTACATCATGAGAAAGTTATTCCCTTCTGATCAACTCTCTTTCCCCAGTTTCTACATTGAGGCAAAGTCTCAGTTTAATGCTGGAATATTATAACACTTGCTAATCTTTCTTTAAAAATAAAAAGAAAAAAACAGGCTTAGACTAAAATATTTCTACATAGAATTTTCAGATTAAGCAAATGAAAGTGCACAATGCAATGAATAACTTGTAAGAGAAGTATGTCCAAATATTGCATGGATCGTACTTATTCTAAAAATGATTGTTGTTTATCTGAAGTTAAACTTTAACTGAGTATCTAGTATTTTATTTGGAAACCCCATTTCTGCAGGCAGTGGTGGCTAACTAAAGTTTTAAGTTATTGTTTTGTTTTCATCATGTTGACTATTTCTTTTTCACATGTGGTAGATAAATGTTCATCAGATATTCATCGCCTTCTCTGTGAGCAAATTATCTTTCCCTACCTCATTGATGCTGGGAGGTGTGTGACTTGCTTTGGCCAATGAAATATGAGTAGACATGATGGGGTGCCAGTTTCAAACCAAAGACAGCCTCTGTTCTTTAATTCTGAGCTCCAAAATAAGATATGTGAGGCAGACCTACAACTTGGAGCCTGGCCAACTAAGTCCAGCTGGATCAGCCAAACTAAGCCAATCTGCAGACCTGTGCATGTGAGAATAAGCACACCTTGTTATAAGGCACTGAGTTTGAGGGTGGCTTAGCAACAAGATTATTTTGAAAATAGTTCAGCCATATACTTCTTGTTTATAGCAAATGACACTAGCTTTTTCATTGTCGGTAATGACAAAAGCTTTTATAAAAATATTTTATTAAAAATTATAAATCTATTTAAATAAAAATATTGTCATATTAGTTTAGGTGTTACATAGATAGTTTAAAATATGTGGAGATTTGAATAGTAGACTGACTTCTGGGGACTGTTTCACTTGATGAAATTCAAGGTCCCTTCCAGCCTAATATTTTAGGCACGTGGGCATAGAAGGAACATGAGATTTGCAGTGTGATATGGATCTTGGCTTTCATTCTGGCTCTGATTCCATCTGCGTGACCTAGGAAGTCACTAAGTGACTGGTACATAATGAGCCTGGGCAAGTCACCTAACTTTTCTCAGTTGCTTCATTTCTAAAATTAGATTGATAATTGTACCAGCCTCAAAAGGCCAGGCATTTTGGAAAACAGTATGGAGTTTTCTCAAAAAATTTAAAATTGGACTACCATGTGATCTGGCCATCACATTTCTGGGTTTACTCTATCCAAAGGAAATGAAATCAGTATGTCAAAGGGATGTCTGCATTCCTGCTGTGAATATATAAAAAGAAAATTCCATAAAGTGCCTGGTAAACATAAAGTACCTTATATTAGCTCCCTTCCCTTTCTCAGTGATTGGCAATGGTACAGATTACAAAGAAGATCAGAGAAATTTCTATAAGGCCCAATCAATAGTTAACATATGTAGAGGAAAAGTGAGGAAGTCATGGGTACATGTTTGCTGAGAAAGACAAAAGAACACAGGACTTTAAAATCTTCTTCTAGTCCTTTCAGTATCCTGTTTCTTTTTTACTTCAGGGATGATGCGGGGAGTCTTCTAATTCCTTAGCAAATAGAAATTGGTTGGGCCAGTTTCTGTCCTACCCAGCCACTTCACAGACCAGCCAGTTCATATTCTTTCTGTCTGTTTTCTTTCTAAGCACACATGACTCACAACGGCATAAATTTAAATTTAGGGGTCCCAGACAGAGGCTTGGATGTCTAGGCCAGAAACTGGGGCCCTTTGTCCTCCAAGTGCTTTAGGGTTGACCTTCGTAGAAACTGGAACTCCAACATCTAGAGGAAACCAGCATTTGGGGCAAGCCACCTAGGAAATGTTAAAGTCTCTGTTGACAAATGACCACAGGCACCTAAGAGAGGGGGCTGAGCAGACACTGTGCCCAACCAAAGACTGAGGGATTATCAAAGGAAGTGCAGGCCCATGTCCTGCTCTTGTCGTCAGGGATGGACTGAGCAGAACTCCTTCAAAATTGATGAAATAAAGAAAAAAGAGAAGATTAACAAAATTAAAAGCCAATTATTTGAAAATATTAATGCAAATAAACAAAATACAGAATGAAATCTAAAAAAGACAAATCTGTGGAAACAAAAAGTTGATTAGTGGCTGCCTGGGGCTAGGAGTGAGAACAGGAGTGACCAGCTGACCCCATCCCTACCCCCAACATGGGATTTTCTGACAGTAGATTGGACTAATGGTTGCACAGCTCTGGAAATTTACTAAAAATTATTGAATGTACACTTAAAACAAGTGAATTTTATGCTATGCAAATTATATCTAAAAGCTATTAAAATATATATGATACAAAATGAAGTAACTATAGATATAATGGACAGTTATAAAAATAGTAAGGATTATTAACAACTATACAGTAATGATTTTGTAAGCATAATTAAAATGGATAAATTCCTGGAAAACTGGCAAATGAAGAAGATGTCTTGAATAGTACAATAGTTCTTTTTAAATGGTAGACAAAGACTAGCCTCTGAAACAGTCCCAGGTCCAGATGTCTTTACAGGTAATTTGTTCAAATTTTCAAGATGCAGTTGATTCCTAACTTACACAAGTTGTCTAAGGAAAAAATACAAAAAAACAAAATCTACCTAGCTTGTTATATGGTGCTAGTGTATTCTTAACTCCAAATATAGATAACAACAAAAGCAGGAAAATATATAGAAATAATAGGCACATTTCATTTGTGAACATAGGTGTAAAAATATATTCACTAACTGAATTGAAGAGTGGATAAAAATATAAATCAGGACTGTGCATAGTAGTACACACCTGTGCTCTCAGCTACGTGGGAGGTCGAAGCAGGAAGATAGCTTGAGCCCAGGAGTTTTAGGCTGCAGTGAGCTATGATTGCACCACTGTACTTCAGCCTGGGCAACAGAGAGAAGTCCTGTCTCTAAAAATAATATATATGTCAAAATCAAGTGGAATATGTTTCAGAAATATAAAATGTAGTTCAACAGCAGAAAAGTCATATGATTATGGCAACTGAAGTGAAAACATTTTTCAAAATGGTTCCTGCAACTTCAGGATTAAGCAAGGAAGTCCCGGAGACTCTCACCCTGATGCATAAGAAGACATGTATGTGGAGGTTCATTGTCAAGATAGCTGGGTAACTGAGGAGCTGGAGACAATGTGGATATTATTTCCACAATAGTGCTGAACATGTCATGGTGGATGCACACCCAGGTGGATGATGCAGCGGAAGAAGCATCAGGGCAACACAGATCTTAAAAACAGAGCAAAAATAGAGTAAGAAACAATAGGGTAGATAACACTGCCATGTATATAAATTAAAACACATGCACACAGAACAACAATGCAATAATCACAAATTTTATGTATGTGAAATAATATATAAAATCAACATCATGCACTTTTTTGAGTTTTTTTTGTTTGTTTGTTTGTTTGTTTTTTTGAGGCAGGGTCTCACTCTGTCACCCAGGCTGGAGTGCAGTGTTGCACTCTCGGCTCACTGCAACCTCTGCCTCCCAGACTCAGATGATCCTCCCACCTCAACCTCCTGAATAGCTGAGACAACAGGTGGCTGCCACCACACCTACCTAATTTTTGTATTTTTTGGAGAGACAGGGTTTCACCGTGTTGCCAAGGCTGGTCTTGAACTCCTGGGGTCAAGCAATCCATTGCCTTGACTTCCCAAAGTGCTGGGATTACAGGTGTGAGCCACTGTGCTCGGCGAACAGAATGCACGTTTAACACACTGAAATGTTGGAGGAGAGGCGTGGGAGCAGCGTGTGGATAGACAGTAAATCAATGAATCAAGCAAACAGCTCAGACAATTGGAGACTATTTACCATGAATTGAAGAGTGCAATTAACTCCTGCACTGGGTCTTACAGAAAAGTGATCTCTTTCTGAAGTTCTTTCTGGGACTGAAGTATTCTTCTCCTGTGCTCTAATACTAGTCACATTGTCTAATATTTGACAAGACTAATTTTGCACATAGATTGACTTGCCCATATTTCAAAATAGTGATTCTCAGGCTGGGATTTTAATAACCAGAATAATTTTTTTAACCTGGATACCAGCAGAGTTGTCTAATGTTTACTTTTCTAAGAAAGGAAAATCTCAAAATCAAAATAAAATGCAGAATTCTCCCAAGAAGCCTTGTTAGCAAAATCACATGGATTGTCTATCTGATCTATCTACTCTGTGTAGAGGTGTGTGTGTGTGTAACACAACCTATTTTTCTTTGGGCTTGAAAGAATATTCTCGTAAACTAGTGCTTCTCAATCTTTTTTCCCCACTATCATCCCCCTTTCCCCAAAAGGTCTTCTAAGATCTTTTTCGGATCACCCCACCCATGCAACGTTAATACCACAGACATACTGTACATCTGTCTGTGTGTCATGGCCCTTTGGGAGGAGCACAAACCATTTTAATATCTGACAATGTTTTCATCCCTCCCCAAGATCCAACTTTCACCCTCGTAGGGGAAAATATGACCCCAAATGAGAATGCATGCTATACACCAAAGCCAGTCTGTGAACCAGGACTTGAAACCCCCTATTTATGCAGTAAGATTCCAAGGACGATTTCCCCTACCTTTGCATGAAATCCCTCCTTCAGCAGTTCATTCTTATTTGTTCATTATCTATTCTTATCCCATTTCTCTTCTAAGTAGCAAATATTTCTGAGACGCAACACGTTAAGAATATAAAACATTATTTTTTAAATTAAAATATACAGAACACCTGCTAAGAACAATATGCTTTGTTCAGCAGTTGGAGAAGGACTGAAAGTTGACTGAGCTGCAGGCTCATGCCTCAGAAGAGTTCAGAACTGGTGGGTCAGGGAATTGGGTACAAGAGAGTGAATAAAGGAATGGAAAGGGAGGTGATCAGTGTGAGCTGGAGGCAGAGGGACCTCGGCTCAGTGTCAAATTGGAATACTATGGTATCATCATGTGCTTAGTTTATTCAGTCTGTCTTCTGGCAAGTGGAGGTAAAAAAGAAGGAAGTAGTAAGGTTGGGTGGGAGAGATGTTTATTCAATCATTCATCCATTCAGCAAATATTTCTTGAGAACACGCCATGTGCTAGGCACTGTGTTAACGATTATGCAGAGGGCCAATGCAGAGCATTGGGGCTTTGCCCTCAAGCCAACATTTCTCCCAGGAAGCAAAGCCAGATCCCAGGAGAGCTAACATTCTAGCAATAAGGAGAGTTCCTCTATTTTGTCAGTCACTACCACACTGGCCCTTGTAACTCTACTCCTGAAACAAGTTTTGTTTCTCTTTTCTCGGCCTGCGCTGTCAGCAACACAGTAATGAGATGGGCACATTGTGTAGCAGCCCAGTCTCCCCTGTGACTGCCTGACAGGGCTTAGAGTCATTTGTCACACCAATAAACAATGAGCTCACAGCCTTAGCAAGGTGGTAATTAAGAAAATTCAAGCATATCTTCATTTACCCCAGTGGAATTCTTCATTCTTGACAGTTTGTGAAATGACGATGTTAAGTAAAGACATCACCAGAATGTTCTTAGCTTATTTGAAAACTCGTTAACTAGAAAATAATGAAGGAAATTTATATACCTAATTGGTGTTTACAATTATGTGAAATGTCTGGATTTTTTTTGTTTTTTTTTCTTTCTCTTATGGTGTTGTTGTTGTTTGTTTGATGCCTTCTAAATTTCAGGAGTTTTTGTTTAGTTTTTATCTTTGATTCTTAAACATTAGGTTTGGTACTGTATAAGATGAGATTTACTTTCTGCAGAGTGTGAAATGCATGTTTATGGAAAGTCTAAACTGTTGGGCTAGGCTTTGCTGAGGAATTTTGCCCTTAATTATTTGCGCAATGCAACTGATCTATAGTGTGAATAATCCCCTGCGAGCCAAGAGACCAAAACAGATGCCCTTTTATCAACTAAGATGGGCCCTAAGATTAAGGACACAAAGTTAACCATGGGGTTGAGGGGTGCAGGCCTGGCTGCCATGGCAAATTTTAAATTTCTACTATAAAAAAAAACATACCCTTGCTAAACTCCCTAACAATAGGAGTGATCAGGCTGACTTACCACCCAGACCACTACAACTCTGATTGGGCAGGAGACCAAGGACCAGCCTCACAAACATTATTTTCTGACAAGTTATTGCAGACCTTAGGCCAGTTTCAGCAGCTTCTAGAGGTTGCACACAAACTGTCCTTGTGTCCTATAGTTCACCTTTTGACATAAGGCACCAAATTCCACTTCATTTTAATGCTGAAACCCCACCCCAAAGTGAACATGGGTTGTATATTACATGCATGTTTACCCAGTCTGAATGTACTCAGCTCCCCCTCATAAATATGTATAGTTTTTCCTTCAAACCTGCTGAATATGTATGATACAGGCCCTGTGAGTCATAAAATTCAACCTCTCCTACCCATTTTCGAAGATAGAACACGTTCAGTCCAAGCTGGAGACTTTCTCTTCCTGGCCTGCAAGCTGATGTCACCAGTAAATGTCTCCTTTCTAGTATTTAGCCATCCTGATGGTCTTTCGGACAATACCCCAAATCCTATTTAATTAGTTTTTTAATACAAGCTGACTAAAAATATTAAAAACAAAATCTGCTTTGCTCAAGTGTTGGATGTCATTCTCTCTGTCCCTTATTATAGATGAAATATGTTTTGTTCAGTATGGTATGTTAGAAAAAAGCCTGTGTAGGAATCAGGACTGAGGCTTAAAGCAGTTCTGTTATTTATTTGTTGGATACCAGTACCAGTCAGTATAGGCTATACTATGCTGCAGTAACAAATGACCTCAAGTCGACAATACCAACACAGGTAGCTTACAACAACAAAGGTTTATTTCTCATTTACATTGCTGAAAGCCAACTGTGGCTGTCCATCCCTTCATCTGTGATCTATCTCAGACACTGCTTGTCATATAGAAAGAGATACAGAACATGGTGGTACCATGTGATGGCTTTTAAAGTCCCTGCCTGAAAGTGACATACATCATGTCTGCTTATATTTCATTGGTCAAAGCAAATAACAAGGCCAAATCCAATGGCAGAGGAGTAAAGAAAATCATTCCACCAAGAAGGGGGAGCAATATCTTGAAGAGTAACAATCTACCAAAGTGGCCTTGCATGAGGCATTGGACTTCGGTTTCTTCTTCTGTAAAATGAGAGGATAGAACTGAGCATCTCTGAAAATCCTATGCTTCTAATAAAGTGTACAGTGTTTATGTAGCTGGGGAGGGCATATAATGGGAAATTCAGGCTGAGATTAAATACTGACTCTGGAAAAAATGTATGAAATGGGTGCCTCTTCTGGACAGTACAATAAAATGCCTATATCACATGGAGTGAAAGAATAGCAATAGTTGTAAGCCATTCAAATGCCATTATTTGAGACATGCTAAAGTCCTCCTCTGCTGAGATAGTTTGGATATTTGACCCCTCCAAATATAATGTTGAGATTTGATGCCCAGTGTTAAAGGTGAGGTCTAGTGGGAGATGTATGGGTCATGGGGGCAGATCCTGCACGAATGGCTTTGTACCATCTTCACGGTGTTGAGTGAATTCTTGCTGTATTAGTTCCCACAAGATGGCTGTTAAAAGGAGCCTGGAAACTTCCCCCTTCTCTCTTTCTTTCTTCTTCTCTTGCCATGGGACACACCTGCTCCCCCTTCCCCTGCCACATGATTGAAAGCTTCCTGAGTCCCTCACCAGAAGCAGATGCTTCCTGTGCTGCCTGCAGAACCATTAACCAAATAAATTTATTTTCTTAATAAGTTAACCAGTCTCAGGCATTCCTTTACAGCAATGTAAAATGGAATAAGACACCTGCCAAACTGGCTGCGGGGCCAGAGATCCCTGTAATTAAAGACACACCGCATCCTCTGCTTCACCAGAAAGCCCCTACAATGATAGACATTGAGACAACCTAGTACTAATGTCACCTTTGCAAAGAGTAGGTCCAAATTGTCAAAAGTGAGAAAGGAATGGGAAAGATCTCAGGCATTTTTGGGGAAGACTCACCCCAAATACACAGTAGGATATGCTCTGGACATCCAGGTGCTATAGAATATTAGAATAAATACTTAAGAAACAGCTGTGATTGAGAGTAAAGGAGAGGAGGTACCAACATTACAAATTAAACTCTGTTTACTCTGTGATTATTCCTAAAGCAGCTGAATTGAATAGTTTTCTTTAACCCCAATTTGACTTTTTCCTATTATGATAAAAATGAAATTTTCTAGCCCTGTGAAATGTGGCCATGTGTTTAACAGAGATAGAACTGAGGCAGCAGAGAAAAGCCACACTACTTCAAGGATTTGTGGACCTGAGGTGGGTTCGGTAGGAAATTTGCTGTATTATTTTGATTCTACTGCAAACTAGTCACTGTCTGCCTTGCACAACATAAGGCAAATTGTATGCAGAATGACTTGAGGCATAAACAAGCAATATTTGGACATGGAAAGCAGATGTTTTAAGCACATTTGTTCAATAATCTCATGCTGTCTTATTCCCTTACACCTTTTGTCACCTGGAAGCTGGCTCAGTAAATATTTTAAGTTGTAAAGGTCAAGGCATTTCCAAACAACCAAGGGCTGGGGACTGGGAGAAAAGAGCCAGATGGAATTACCCAGTTGAGCATCCCTTTGGCCAGCTGTGGCCAGACTGGTCTTTTCTCTTTTGCATTAAGCTGTCTGTTTCTGTAGAGGTGTCTCACAGCCAGCAGACAGGTGGCTGTGATATATGCCCCTGCACTGGAGAGCAGATAGAGCTACAAGAAAAATGAAGAGATTTGCCAGGGCCTTTGTGCAGAATAGAGACCTCAACCAAAGAAAGTGGGAGATGAGCCATTTATCTTCAACCTATCATTGCTACTCCTTTTCCGGGTGTTCTCATGACCTGCCTTTTGAGCTCCGTGTCAGGGCAGTTTATGACTCTGAGGCACCGTCTAGGGCCAGGGCTTCTCAACCTTGCCACTATTGACATTTGGAGCTGGATAATTCTGTGTTGTTGAGGGCTCTCTTATGCCTCACAGAATGCATAGTTGCATCCCTAGTTTCTACCCTCTAGATGCCAGTAGCAACCACTCCACAAGTTCAGACAAGTGAAAATGTCTCCCGCCATTGCCAAATGTCTGTCTCCTTGAGGACAAAGTCACCTCTAGTTGAGAACCACTCATCTAGAGGATGTGATGTGTGAACCACCTGAGCCAGTCGCTTGTTGGCCACAGCAAACCAGTGTGTGGCTTGAAATGATGCACTTCTGCATAGTTCATGTTTAAAAGTATAAAAGAATGATCAAGAGTCTGGCTTTCCCAGGTTAGTAATTACCTCTGTTGTTATTAATTTTCCCAAGCAACCCAGTCAAATGAGTCATTATTATCTCAATCCCTCTGCCATGGCTGATTGATTTTGCTCCCCTATTGTTTCTAATTTCATGTAATGTCTGATTACATAGAGAAGCATTGAATACAATTCTTATGTAAGAGTCATTACAAATAGGCTTATTCCTCAGTTGTAAGTAGGAATGGATAAGGGGTTTTATATCCCTTTATTGAAATAAATGCCTTTCTAGTAGTAAAATGCTCGAACACTACACAAATTGATAGTGTAGTACAAAAAGTCAAAATAAGTCAATACAGGGACCTAATGATTTTTAAATATGTTTAAGATGCATATTTATGATATGCTTTCATTACATTGTATAATTAGAGCATCGGTTCAATGAAAAACGTCCATAAGTGATCAATATAATTCTTCTCATTGGATTTCTAGGGATTTGTCTGTTGGATTTGTATGGTGTTTTCTCCTATCTGAAAATTGATCAAGAGCTTCCTGCCTATCTTGGGGACAAGCTTTGACAGATATAAAATACTGTAAAAGACATGGGCTTTTAGCCCAGTGAAGGTCTAGTCCCTGGCAGTAAATGAGGCATGTGGGTGGCATATTCCCTTGCTCAGTTCCCTGGAGGTTCCGCCACTTATCCATTGCTAGGAAAGCCCCTGGCCATGGTGAGTCTTTGAGCAGATGTTGGTCTGGGGTATTGCAATGCTGACTTTTCACCAAGCACTACGACTATATGATGACTAATACTGGCCGATTCGGGAGGGACAGTGGAGGTGGGTGGAAGGCACAGGAAGAGAAGGAGCCCGTCAACTGCAGCTGGCTACCAGATGGTGTCAAGCCTCAGGGAGATATATCTGGGGCTCTCTTCAGGATTAAGGGTGCTTTTTCCCAGGGTCTGTGCTTTTGGTTTTAAGGGTTGAACCAACAGTTGAGCACTAGGATTTACTATGTCAAAAGAGCTGTGGTGAAACATTTCCTCAATCTATGTAGCCACAGACCTCACCTGGCATAATTATATAGTAATAAGGAGCACAGATTCTGCAGCCAGACTGCCTGGGTTCAAATCCCTGGCTCTGCCCTTTATTAGCTTGCCTTGGGCAAGTTACCTAGCCTCTCTGTGCCTCAGTTTCTTCCTCTGGAAAAAAGATAATGTAATAGTACCTACCTCATAAGATTTTGTAAGGATTAAATGAATCAAAATATATCAAGCGCCCAGAACAGAGCCTAGCACATAACACATGATGTATAATATTGATGGGACTATCTTTAACATGTGCACATCTCTTTTTTTTAAGTAAGTTTAGACTAAAATCCTTCTCCATTGGGTTTTCAGGTTTAGCAAGTGAAATACAGAATGTTCTGTTCAATTTTCACTTCAGGTTTAAAAAAATTTTTATAAATATTCTCCATGCAATATTTGGGAATTCTTTCACCAAAAAAATAAACAGTTAGTACTTCTGTGGTTGCCAGATACTACTCCTTAAAAGAGACAAATGTGTTATACTCCACTTCATTGACATTTTAGATAGTGTATAATGACATATTCTTCAATCATGCCACATGATACTGTTTTCTGACCCTCATTTATAAACTCCCTCCCTCCACCACCCATAACAAACATGCAACTCATCAAATACTCCCAAAGACATACATATTCCCTATCTTCTAGAAAAGCTCAACCCTTCCAGTAGACTTTTTCTCATTAATTCCATCTAACACTCTTGCCTGCTTTCTCTCTCTCTGCAATTTTTATTCTATTTGTTATATTAATTAGCAGGAAGTTAAATGTTTCCTTGAAATGTTTTCTTGATGTCTCCAATGGACTTCCAATGAGTACTTTATGATTTGAAGCAAGAACTATGTTTTGTATTTTCCCATAAGGTCTGCTTCTCAACTCTGCACACAGTAAGTATTCTAAAAAGGCTAATTAATATAATACATGCATATGTTGACACCAATTCCCTATCAGTTCAGTGCATGTTTATTTGATCACATTTAGGTTGCATTGACCTGAAGGGCTTTGAAAAATGTGGCGGGTTGCAGATTATCAGTTGATTTATAGCCCTTTAAAAAGAAATGATTTCGATGTAGTTTTTGGCAAGCGTGGATCACATAAACTATCTTTCTCAAAGTCAGGTTTGCTTTGGGAAAACCTGAGAACATCTGTAATTCACAGCTTAACTCTTGAGTACATTATACTGGCTTATGCCCAAGGTTTATGATGAAATGACAATATTATTTCCCTAGAGACGTTGGTAGTAAAATAAAGTGGATCTCTTAAAGTTGTTTCAGTACAACTTGTGCTCCTTTTAGATAAAAGATCTCTTTGGAAAGCATAAAAGTAATTTTCCCATGCTGTTTCTGGATGACAAAGATTCTGATGTGACCCAGAATGTATTTTCTCAGACTTTACTTATGGACAACAGCGTTCAACACCAACGTATTGTTTTGCAAAGCACTTGCAGCCAGAATGCTAATTAACTCACATAATGCGTCACAGTCTTATTAAATGTCAAATCTGAAATTCTTGTCTTACCTCCTCCCCTTCTTTTAAAATTTTAAAAATCTGACACCCAGAGAGGGGATATAAATTCCAAGGGTCCAACAGCTTGGTAGTATCTGTGTTCCTTTTTCCTTTATGGGAACAATGTGAAGAGAAGAGAAATATATATTAGGGTGTTTCTTTTTTAACCTCTTTAGAAGAAAACACCATAGAAATGGGAGCATCGTTATAACATTTTCCATACAGTCTTTGCAATGGTGTGTGGGCTCTCAAGATTCACAGTAGCTTCAGTGCAATGTTGTGGGTGGTTCCAACTGCCTTTGAACTAGGTGTTGACAGAAAAATAACATAGCACAGCAGGACTCTTCAGGGAGGAGTCTCATGAGGACATGTAGGACATGTTTCCTCAGCACTCGTTCAATTGTAAGTGACAGGATCTAATTCAAATTAGCTCAAGAACAAATGGAAAATGTGTTCCCATAAGTAGGAAATCCAGTATTTGATTCAGACACTCCTGGCTCCAGCGGTTAAAATGATGTCATCCAGACTCCACCTCTCTGTATCTGGATTCGGCTTTGTATTAGTCCGTTCTCATGCTGCTATAAGGACATACCTGAGACTGGGTAATTTATAAAGAAAAGAGGTTTAGTTGACTCACAGTTCCACATGGCTGGGGTGGCCTCAGGAAACTTACAATCATGGTGGAAGGGACCTCTTCACAGGCAGCAGGAGAGAGAAGAAGGGAAGAGTGAAGGGGGAAGCCCCTTATGAAACCATCAGATCTCATGGGAACCCACTCACTATCATGATAATAGTATGGGGGAAACCACGCCCATGGTCCAATCACCTTCCTCCAGATCTCTCCCTTGACACATGGGGATTACAATTCAAGATGAGATTTGGGTGGAGACACAAAGCTAAACCATATCAAGCTTAATTCTCAAATAGACTCTCCCCGTGCCATGATGAGGAGGTGATCAGAGTTCTCAAGTTTATATTGTTCTCATGATTCCAGGGAGACAGAGTATATTTCCTGATAGCAACAGGATAATTTGTAGAGGGTATTCTCCCTGCCCCAGAGTGATGCAGTGACATATCCCTTGACCAACAGCTAACCAGAGGAATGGAGTAATCTGATTGGCCAGGCTTGAGACATGTGTCCAGCATGGAGCTGAAGGGAAGGAAATTCTCCATCCCAGCCACATAGACACTAAGAATTTCCCCAAAAGAATGGAAGTTAGAGGCCAGGCCTAGTGGCTCACACCTGTAATCTCAGCATTTTGGGACACTGAGGCAGGAAGATTGCTTGAGGCTAGGAGTTTGAGACCAGCCTGCACAATATTATGAGACATCATCACTACACAACTTTTTAAAATTAGCTGGGTGTGCTGGCATGCACCTTTAGTCCCAAGTACTTGAGAGGCTGAGGCAGGAGGATCCCTTGAGCCCAGGAGTTTGAGGCTGCAGTGAGCTATGATTACACCACTGCACTCCAGCCTGGGTGACAGAGCAAGAGCAAGATTCAG
Source organism: Homo sapiens (assembly GCF_000001405.40). Taxonomy (NCBI): domain Eukaryota; kingdom Metazoa; phylum Chordata; class Mammalia; order Primates; family Hominidae; genus Homo; species Homo sapiens. The sequence goes on along the minus strand of NC_000003.12, from coordinate 3,302,002 downwards.
TCTCTGAAAAAAAAAGAATGGAACTTACCCAAGCTTCAGACTACAGATGTTCTGTCTGTGGTCTATATATACATTTATTTATATACACACACATCTATAGCTGCTGCACCTATTCCTGAGGGCAGGTTTATTCAATCCTTGGGTTCCACAGCAGAGATAAAGATACTTATGGATACTGTATAGAGTCTTTCCTCATTTCTTTCAAAAGTCCTTAGCTGTTTAAGGATCTCTATTTCTACTTTAACCAAATAGTGAGAAAAAACTGGCTCTGTGTCTCTACTGTTTGTCATATTTATGACCTACAGTTTTTTTTTTCCACTCAGGCAGCTGCAAGGTGCAAGTGATAGTGTATAGTTGTTTCCTTCATGATAAAGAAGGTTGCAGAGTGCTTGGAACCACTGACCTCAGAGCTTCAGAAAGCATGAGAACCGGGATTCTAGAGGGATTACTAATCTTCAGGAGATTGTGGATCTTCAGAGAGTTTTAGAGGCTCAATCATTCATTTATCATTCATTTACTGAGCCAAACTATGTGCCAGGCATGGTTTTAGGTATAGAGCTCAGGTATAAACAGTGAAGACAATGGCCCTGTTCTCATGGAGTTTGCACTCACAATATGGGGAGAAAATAAGTAAAACCAATAGGAAAATATGAAAGAGGTGACAGAGTTACTGAGAGGGAAACTGTAAAAAGAAAGGAAAGAGCTCTCTGGGGAGACTGGCCTTGAACTGACACCTACATGATGAAGGGGATCCATTCATTCAAAGATTTAGGAAAGGAATATTCCTGGCAGAGGGACGGTCAAAGGCTCTGAGGTAGGATGAAGTTTGAGTGACGAGCAATGGAAAGGAGGCTCAGTGAACAAGGAGGAAATTAGGTTAGTGCGGTCATCAGGAGCATATCAAAAAGGATTTCATGGCCTGCTGGGCATGGTGCCTCACATCTGTAATTCCAGTGCTTTGGAAGGCCAAGTCAGGAAGATCACTTGAGGTCAGGAGTGAGTTATGATTATGCCACTCCACTCCAGCCTGGGAGACAGAGCAAGAATTAGCTAGATTTTTGTAATGGGTATAAATGAGAAGGTATCGGAAAGAAGCTTGCGTACAAAGGACGAACTTAATCTGATTTGAGGTTAGGAGAGATCACTCAGGCTATTATATGGCAAATAGATTGTGGCGAGCAGCAGTTTTCAGATCATGATCCCTAGACTAGCAGCAGTGGCATCACCTGGGAATTCTTTAGATGTGCAGTTTCTCAGGCACCATCCAGACCTACCGAATCAGAGACTCTGGCATGGGATCCAGCAATCTGTGCTTTAATAAGCCCCCCAGGAGATTCTGATGCATACTCAAGTTGAGAACCATGGATGATAAAGCATGACAGGAGAGAGCCCCCTTAGGAAGCTTCTGCACTCATCCAAGTGATGGTAGCATAGACTCAGGTGACAGATGTGGGATCAAAACAGATGAATCCGGTACCTATTTGGTAGGAAAAATTGAGAGGACCTGTGAATGGATTGGATGTGAAGATGATAAAGAGAGAGAAGTTACCTCCTGGGTTGTGGTTGGAGTTGCTGCTTTCACATAATCTTTGCTTTCCACATGCCATGAAGTATAGACACAACAGCAAAGACAGGGAAGCCCAAGTTGGAAAGAGGAGAAGGAGCCAGATGACTCAATTATGTGTTGGTTCTGCACTTAGTTCTGTCTCCTTGATAATAGTCACCTGTACTCTCTGAACCTTAGTTTTCTCAGTTCTAAAATGGGATTATATATAACCTATCTCAAAAGATGAACATTAAGACTTAGCATTGACTGTGTGAATAATTAACTACCACATACTGGAAAACATTGTCATTAACATTGTTTATTCTGGGAGGGCTTGGCAGGGACATGAATCTACACACGAATTTTGTGGAACTCCACTACACCACCCCGCTTCGGTGACATCCATGAATCCTTATGCTGACTTCCAATTTATAGATAGCTTTAGTTCCAACAAGATCATATTTCTTTTACTTTGAGGGCTATGTCCACTTAATTTCTATACTTAGAAAACACTGTTTCACAATGGAAAAAAATATTCATATCCCTGTGTAGGATATGAAGATGACTAAAATTGATGTATTTTTCTTGAAGAGTTTACATTCTAATAAGGGAGAGAATGCATATGGGATGTTAGGATGTAAATACATTCTATAGAAGTTCAGAAAAAATAAAGATGTCCAAAGACCACTTCATCCTCCTTAAAACCTGCTTGTAACTTGTTATGTATGACTAACACTCTGGGACTCTTGGTTGCATTCCTTACTTCTGTGAAAGATCCCAAGTCTCAAAAGGGAATGAACAATGTGGAACCTCTTCGGAAGCCCAAAGATTAGCAAGCCTAGTTCTGCATTTTAAAGGGAAGGAGAAAAGCAGGTTCAGTACACCACTGACAAGTGTATTAATAATAATCTCTGGCAATTTTTTCCAGCATACAACATCAAAAGAAACCCAAAACAAATCTGAAAGTTGGCCATTGCCAGAAGGGGGCTATGCCTTAGAAATTTATATTAGATTCACCTAAATCTGGCAGTAAACACTCAGAAATATGATGGGTTTGTTTTCTACTCATTAATTGCACCTGGTGAGTAGTAGTTCCTAGCCAAAATCTAAAGGGCAGTTGGAAGGCAAGGAGGATCTAAAGACCTTTGAGAATAGGATAATGCCATATTTTTGCTTACTGAGGATTCAAGACTACACAAAGCGGGTACCAGCTGTAGATCTCCATGGGAAATTTTGGGAGATCTGGAAAGTCAAGAACATACTATCTCCTGCTTTGAGTAGTCACCTCTAAAAAGATAAATGTCCTTATCTTTTGCAATTACAGAAATCTTACAACTTTTTCCTGTGTCTATCAGTGTCTTTTCATGAATCACAGACATTGCAACAAGCAGGTAGATGGTTTTGGAGCATTAAAAAAGGTAGGAGTAATCACAGGAACCAACAGCCATGCCAGATCAATTGCATTTCCCTTTTTGAAAGGGTTTTCAGAACAAAGCGTAATAAATGTAGGAGACATAGTACGTTGAAGTTTCAGTAAGGCATAGTTATTTTATATGATTACAGATAGATACAGAATATGTAGTAGAGGACCGTAACAATTGCAAGGGTCTGATTTAAAAGTCAGTCTCTAAGGTTGCAGATTGATTGATTTTCACTTGCTTCCAGGCCTGTGCCTTGCGACTTGGTGCAAGGTGATGTATCCATTCTCATAGGGCAAGATGGAGGCTGACTCTGGGGACATGCCAAGTGAGCACCAGGCAAGCACAGGTGAACATCAGTTCAATTCCATCTGTGATATGGAAGATAGATAAGAAAGGGGTCAAATAATATTTGTAAGGAAACACTCAAAGCCAATCCAGAATAAGCCCCAATATGAAGACCAAGAGCATAGTATTAGAGGTACCAGATAGTTATCATAGAGGAAGCAAGATTGAGTAAGAAAGTAAGCCAGACAATAACGCCAAACACAGCTCTCAGCACTCTAGACAGTTTTTAATGGGACTGTATCACATGGCAGGGTTTTTAGGGGCATCTTAAAGGTACTTTAATTGGGGCAGAAAAATCCCAAAGTCAGTAACCAATATATAAATAGTAGGGAGATTGGCCAATCGATCCAGTTTGCCTGGGACTCAGGAAGAGTTCCAGGATATGGGACTTTTCACTCATAAAACCAAGACACGTTGGTCACCCTGATAGTGGAGGGACTCAGAACTATGTCACATGAGGACATATTGGAATTTGTTTCATCAAAAACATAGACATAATATTAACAGTAATAAATAGTGTTTGCTGACACCATTTCACAGGCTACAAAGGACTTTAGATGAATATCCTCATTTAATCTTCACAACCAACCTGTGACTAGCTAGGCATAATTTTTTCTCCATTTTTCATGAAGAGGAAACCAAGGCCTACCAAGGCTAAATAACTGCCCAGTTACACATCTAGTAAGTAGTAGAACCCCAAATTGAACCTAAGTGGTTGGATTCCAGAGCCCACAATCCTAAACCCTTCAGAAGACTTAAGGGAACTCAACAGATGCTTCAATAATTGAAGGGCTGTCATGGAAGAAAGATGGGCTTAATTTATGAAGTGATGGGAGGTTAGAGAGGATGTTATGGAGAGACAGGGTTCAGCGTTTCTAAACTTTCCAGAACGAAATAGTCTGCTCCAGAACAAAAGACATTCTCTGTACTTGGTAGGAATGCTTAGAGAAAGACAGTGTATAATTAGCCTAATCTTAAAATCCCTCCTCACAATAAGATGTTATTGCAAAATTTATTTTTCTAGCAAGGTCAAAATTAGGAAAGCACTCCATACACGCTCACAAAATTAAGTTTAAAAACACAATGGAAAATCAACTTATTTTTACGACAAAACTTATGATTTATTATAAATTCCCATGCTTTCTAAATAAATATTGATATACTACATGCCTCCTTCAGTTCAAATTTGAGTATAAATCATAAAAAGTCCATAATCCAAAACGCTTTATGTGTTTTTACGATCACAGAAGGCTGCCCTGCCTTCCATTCATGATTAATTTTTTTGGATGGCTCCCTCTAGATCTTAGAAAATAATTAAAACTAATGAACAATCCTCAATGGCAGTAAAGCAAGAAGCATATTGTTTCCTGCCTGGGCTCTGAGCTTGATCAAAGGGAAGACTCCCTGAGATGCAGACATTGATGTTTTACACTTCACTTCCTGACCACCCACTGAGACCACATGACAGCTTCAGGGGAAATCATGAATTAATATTTTTTAGTACTTCATAGAATGCTTAGAGTTTGCAAAAAGACAATTAGTCCGTATAACTGCTGATTCCTCAACAGAGAAGGATTCTAAGACACGCCCTTTTTATTTTCTCTTAGCGCTGTCCTGTGTCATGAGTGGGGTAATGTTTTCTTTGAAGCACGTCCCCTCCTCACACGTATCACAAAAACCAGTGTGACAGCTGCAAAGAGAGTAGAAAAAGAAGGCATTCGCAAATTGCCCGTTTGTCATATTTTCCCAGTTTGATGATATGTTTTCAGCAGATATTTTAAAGAACATTTTATTCAGAGGTTTACCCAGTAAAAGACAAGAAGAAAAGCAAAGTTTCAAGTTAAGTCAATTGTTTTGGGCACAGGAAGTTTGGTCTGTGAAGTATTTCTGTAGAAGTTTAGAGGGAAGTAGAAATTTGGGGGAGGATTGATTACTTCCATCCACTTTCTATTGTATATCCTGTAATTTCATCTACAGAAAAACATTTGACTTTTTTGGTTGACCTGGCATTCAATTCAATTTCACTTGACCGGTTAGGCAATTAACAAATCGTGGTCAATCAAAATAGAAGCGTTGTCTTCTTTCATTTTTCTTCTGCAAATGACTTTTAAAAAAATAAATCCTATACATTAAAGATACAGCCAAAGTGAATTAGCTTTTAACATTGGCCACAAAGGGGGTTTAGATGGTAATAATAAAAATATAGTCAATTCTTTTTTTTTAACCTCAACTTTTATTTTAGATATGGGAGTATATCCGCAACTTTGTTACATGGGTATACTGCACACAGGAAGTGAACATAGTACTCAACAGATAATTTTTCAACCCATGCTTCCTTCTTCCCCTGTCTAGTAGGCCACAGTGTCTCCTGTTCTCATGTTTAAGTCCATGTGTATTCAATGTTTAGCTCCAACTTACAAATGAGAACACGTAGTATTTGGTTTTCCGTTCCTGCATTTTGTTCACTTAGGATTATGGCCTCCAGCTCCATTCATGTAGCTGCAAAGGACATGCTTTCATTCTTTTTTATGGCTGTATAGTTTTCCATGGTGTATATGTACCACATTTTCTTTATCCAATCCATTGTGGATGGGCACCTAGGTCGATTCCTTGTCTTTGCTATTATGAACAGGGTGGCAATGAACATACAAGTCCACGTGTTTTTTTGATATAACAATCTATTTTCCTTTGGGCATATACCCAGTAATAGGATTGCTAGGTCAAATGGTAGCCGTTTTAAGTTCTTTGAGAAATCACTAAACTGTCTTCCACAATGGTCACACTAATATACACTCCCACCATCAGTGTATAAGCATTCCTTTTTCTCCACAACCTTGCCAGCATCTGTTGTTTTCTGAGTTTTTAATAAGAAACATTCTGACTGGTGTGAGATAATATCTCATTGTGGTTTTGACTTGCATTTCTCTGATGATTCATGATGAGCATTTTTTCATATGTTTGTAGGCTACTTGCATGTCTTCTTTTGAGAAGTGTCTGTTCATGTCCTTTGCCCATTTCTTAATGAGGTTATTTGTTTTCTGCTGTTTGATAAGTTCCCTATAGGTTCTGGATATTGGACCTTTGTCAAATACATAATTTGCTAATATATTCTCATTCTGTAGGTTGTCTGTTTACTATGTTAGTAGTTTATTTTGCTGTGCAAAACCTCTTTAGTCGAATTAGGTCCCACTTGTGAATTTTTGTTTTTGTTGCAATTGGTTTTGGGAACACAGCCAAAAATTATTTTCCAAGGCCAGTGTCAACGAGGGTAGTTCCTAGGTTTTCTTCTAGGATTTTCATAGTTTGTAATCTTACATTTAAGTCTTTAATCCATCTTGAGTTAATTTTTGTATATGGTGAAAGGTAATGGTCCAGTTTTATCCTTCTGCATATGGGTAACCAGTTATCCTACTATTGTTTATAGATTAGGGGGTCCTTTCCTCATTGCTTATTTTTGTTGGCCTTGTTGAAGGTCAGATGATTGTAAATGTGTGGCTTTATTTCTGAGTTTTCTGCTCTGTTCTTTTAGTCAATGTATCTGTTTTCGTATCAGTGCCATGCCATTTTGGTTATTGTAGCCTTATGGTATGGTTCGGGGTAGTTTGATGTCTCTAACTTCATTCTTTTAGCTTAGAATTGCTTTGGCAATTCAGGCTCTTTTTTTGTTTTCATATGCAGTTTAGAATAGCTTTTTTCTAATTTTGTGAAGAATAACATTGGTAGTTTGATATGGATAGCATTGAATCTGTAAATTGCTTTGGGCGGTATGGGCATTAATCATTTTAATATTGATTCTTCTAATCCATGAGTATAGAATGTTTTTCCATTTATTTTTGTCATCACATTTCTTTTAGCAGTGTTTTGTAATTCCCCTGTAGAGATCTTCCACCCTCTTGGTTAGCTGTATTCCTAGGCATTTCATTTTCTTTGTGGCTTTTGTAATGAGATTGTGTTCTTGATCTGACTCTCAGCCTGGACAATTTTTGATGTGTAGAAATGCTACTGATTTTTGTACATTGACTTTTGTATCCTGAAACCTCACTAAAATCGTTTATCAGTTCTAGTAGAATTTTGGCAGAGCCTTTAGGGTTTTCTAGTTACAGAATCATATCATCAGCAAATAGAGATAGTCAGACTTCTTCTTTTTCCATTTGGATGCCTTTTATTTCTTTCTGTTGTCTGATTGCTCTGGCTAGGACTTGCAGTATTCTGTTGAACAGGAATAGTGAGAGTGGGCATCCTTATCTTGTTTCAGTTCTCACAGGAAATGATTCCAGCTTTTGCCTGTTCAGTATGATGTTGGATGTGGGTTTGTCATAGATGGTTCTTATTATTTTGAGATATGTTCCTTCGATGTCTAGTCTGTTGAGGGTTTTTATTATGAAGGGATATTGGATTTCACCAAAGCTTTTTCTGCATCTATTGAGATAAATTTATGGTTTTTGCTTTTAATTCTGTTTACGTGGTGAATCACATTTATTGGTTAGCACATGTTGAACCAGCCTTGCATCCCAGGAATAAAGCCTACTTTATTGTGATACATTAACATTTTGACATGCTACTGGATTTGGTTTGCTAGTATTTTGTTGAGAATATTTGCATCTGTGTTCATCATAGATATTAGCCTGAAACTTTGTTTTTTTGTTGTTGTTGTTTTGTTTTTTGTTTTTTTGTTTTTTTGGTTTTTTTTTTTGGTGTGTCTCTGCTAGATTTTGGTATTAAGCTGATGTTGGCTTTATAGAATGAGTTAGGAAGGAGCCCCTACTCCTGAATTTTTGGAATACTTTCAGTAGGATTAGCACCAGTTTTTCTTTGTACATCTAGTAGAATTCAGCTGTGAATCCATCTGATCCAGGACTTTTTTTGGCTGATAAGTTTTTTATTACTGTTTCCATTTCAGAGCTCAATATTGGTCTATTCAGGGTTTCAATCTCTTCCTGAATCTATCTTGGGAGATTGTGTGTTTCCAGGAATTTGTCCATTCCTCTATATATTCTAATTTGTGTGCATAGAGTTGTTCAGAGTATTCTCTGAGGATCTTTTGTTTTTCTGTGAGATCAATTGTAATGTCATTTTTGAGTATACTTACTTGGATCTTCTCTTTTTTTTTCTTTGTTAATCTAGCTAGTGGTCTATCAATCTTGTTTATTTTTTCAACAAACCAACTGTTGGTTTCATTGATCTTTTGTATAGAATTTTGCATCTCAGCTTCATTCAGTTCTTCTTTAATTTTTTAGTTATTTCTTTTCTTCTGCTAGTTTTTGGCTGCTTTGTTCTTTTTTCCTACCTCCTTTGGGTGCAAAGTTAGACTGTTAATTTGAGATCTTTCTACATTCTTGATGAAAACATTTAGCACTATAAACTTCCCTCCTAACACTGCTTTAGCAGCATCTCAGAGATTTTAGTATGTTGTGTCCCTATTTTCATTAATTTCACAGAATTTTTCTATTTCTGCCTTAATTTCAATTTTCTCCCAGGAGTTATTTGGGAGTAAGTTGTTTAATTTCCACATATTTGGGTATTTTGAGACATCTTCTTGGTATTATATTCTATTTTTATTGCACTGTGGTCTGAAAGTGTGCTTGGTATGATTTCCATTTTTTTAAGTTACTGAGACTTGCCTTAAGACCAAGCATGGGATCAATCTTAAAATATGTTTCATGTGCAGATGAGAAGAATGTATATTCTGTGGTTGTTGGGTGGAGTGCTCTGTAGATGTCTGTTAGGTCCAGTTGGTCAAGTGTTGAGTTTCTTTGTTAATTTCTTTGTTAATTTTCCTCCTCGATGATCTAACATTGTCTGTTGCATATTAAAGTCTCCCATTATTATTGTGTTCTTGTCTAAATATCTTCATAGGTCAATAAGAACTTGTTTTATGAATCTGGGTGCTCCAATGTTAGGTGCATATATATTCAGGATAGTTGAGTATTCTTGTTGGATTGTACCCTTTATGATTATGTAATGTCCTTCTTTATTCTTCTTCACTTGTATTGCTTTAAAATCTGTTTTATCTGATGTAAGAATGGCAACTCCTGCTCCTTTTTGTTTTCCTTTTGCATAGTAAATCTGTCTCCATTCTTTTACTTGAGCTTGTGAGTGTCACTATGTGAGATGAGTCTCTTTACAGTCAGTTCTTAATTGCTCTGAAGCTGATTACATTTGGGGCCTTCTTGGGACCTTGAATTTCTTCCTTCTTTCATTTTCTGTCTATGTTTATTGGCTCCAAATGGGTAGGAAGAACCCACAGATGCTCCAATAGCACCTGACATATATTGGGGGAACCCGCCCCCAATATTTCAACATAGGTTCTTTCTATTTTCCATAAGTATTGGCCGGCTGAGAAATAAAGAGAGACAGTATAAAGAGAGGAATTTTACAGCTGGGCTGCCAGGGGTGACATCACATATTGGTAGGACCATGATGCCTGCCTGAGTCTCAGACCAGCAAGTATTTATTAAGGGTTTCAAAAGGGGAGGGGCTGTAAGAACAGGGTTTAGGTACAAAGATCACATGCTTCAAAGGGCAAAAAGCAGAACTACTAATAAGGGTCTAACGAAGATCACATGCTTCTGAGAGAACAGGACAAAGGGAAAAAGCAGAACCACTGATAAGGGTGCAACAAAGATCACAGGGCAAAGGGCAAAAACAGAACCACTGATTACGGTCTATGTTCAGTGGTGCATGTATTGTCTTGATAAATATCTTAAACAACACAAAACAGGGTTTGAGAGCAGAGAACCGGTCTGACCACAAATTTACCAGGGCAGAGTTTTCCCAACCCTAGTAAGCCTGAGGGTACTGCAGGAGACCAGGGCTTATCTCAGTCCTTATGTCAACTGCACAAGACAGACATTCCCAGAGGAGCTGTTTATAGACCTCCCCCCAGGAATGTATTTCTTTTCCAGGGTATTAATATTAATATTCCTTGCTAGGAAAATAATTTAGCGATATCTTCCCTACTTGCACATCCATTTATAGGCTCTCTGCAAGAAGAAAAATATGGCTCTTTTTACCCAACCCTGCAGGCAGACAGACCTTATGGTTGTCTTCCCTTGTTCCCTAAACATCGCTGTTATTCTGTTCTTTTTCAAGGTGCACTGATTTCATATTGTTCAAACACATGTTTTACAATCAATCTGTACAGTTAACACAATTATCACAGTGTCCTGAGGTGACGTACATCCTCAGCTTACGAAGATAACAGGATTAAGAGATTAAAGTAAAGACAGACATAAGAAATGATAAAAGTGTTATTTGGGAATTGATAAATGTCCATGAAATCTTCACAATTTATGTTCCTCTGCCGCAGCTCCAGCTGGTCCCTCCGTTCAGGGTCCCTGACTTCCCGCAACAAACATACACAAAAGGACTGGCATAGAAGAGTTACTGGGAGGTGCTAGATTTTGATCATCCAAGCTTGCTCCATTTGCTTGTTGGCACACCAAATTGAAAACTGACAATACAGTTCCAGAACCCTAGGTCAAGAAGCTTCTGTAGATTTACAAGCAGTATTGTCTCTGGGCAAGGAAGTGAAGTGCTGCCTTCAGAATGCTCTCTGTGTCTCCACCTTCTTCTGTCTCTATTCTAGAATCTTGAAACCTCAAGAATGGAAAAGCTTAGCTATTTCCTTCTTCACCCCTCAGGTCAAAGCCTGCTTTCAGAAAAGGATCTGACACCTATAGAATTTCAGACGGGTTTTTTAAATCTCCTTATTTATTGTGGAATAAAAGATGTCACGGTTTGAAAAGGACAGCAAATAGCTGTGAGTTGATGGAGCAAAAATCTTCAGGAATAGAGACATCCAGAGCTTGAAACCACCTCAAGAGTTGAAGTCATATTCTGTACAATACATACCAACTTAGCCTGTATCTAAGATTGTCCCTGACCCTTATATGTAAGAAAGGGCAGAGTTCTTCCCCACGGTCCCTTGACAGAGTCTAGATCAGGGTTCAGCAATCTGTTGTTCAGAGGCCAAATCCAGCCACAGCCTGTTTTCATTTGGCCTGTGAACTAAAGATGGTTTTTACATTTTAAAATGGTTGGAAAAAATCAAGAAAATAATAATATTTTGTGACATCCAAATATGGTGTGATATTCACATTTTATTATCGTAAATAAAGTTTTATAGGAACACAGCCATGTACACTCATTTACGGAATATCCTTGGATGCTTTTGCACTGCAATAGCATCGTTGAGTAATACAATAGACTAAAGAGCCCAAAAGACCTAAAATATTTACTATCTGGCTCTTTAGGAGACAATTTACTGAGGTCTAGGTCAATATTTTTTAAACAGTGTGCTAAAGATCCTGATGGTTCAACAGAGCTCACCTCAAAGTGGGGAAGGGGAAGGATGGCCCTGAGAAAGGGGCCACATGGAAGATGTACCATCTTCATTAAACCGGAATGGTTCTGCTTTTACCTCTTTTATACTTTGGAAATCAAAGGTTGATTTTATAAGAGATTATAAAAAGTTTATAACTGTGGCAAGCCAGGAGTCTTCAAATTGTAAAGCATTCTAGATCTCTTTTTCTAGCACTTTTCCAAATTAAATACTCAGTAGCACACAATATACTTTTGAGGAAATGGGGACCTGCTATCATTATTTCACTGTGAAAGCAGAGGTTTCTAGAGAAGAAAGCTAGCACTGGAGACTTGTCAGGGCCAGGCTAGAGCTAGGGATTCCTTTACCTTCTTTCCCCACTTCCCATCTCAAATCCTCATCTTCACTTCTTCCAAAATCTATTTTTATTTTTCTCTTCTCTTTCTATACTACCTTTCTCAACCTCTATATGTATTTTTTCTTTTCTTTTTTTTAAGACAAGATATCTCTATGTTGTCCAGGTTGAGGTGAAGTGGCATGATCATAGCTCACTGCAGCCTTGAACTCCTGGGTTCAAGTGATCCTTCTGCCTCAGCCTGCCAAGTAGCTGGGACTACAGGCATGAGACACCATGCCTGACCCCTTACTCCTTCTTAAACAAAGCTTACCTATGGCTTTGGTTTGCCATGGCATCCTTATAATTTCTGTTCCACTACTACTTTGCAGATTTGTTTCTGTTTCTCTCCAAGAGAGAAAAACCTAGTGGGTGAAAGGCATGAGTTTTGTAGCCACACTGCCCAGGCTTGAATCTTGGTTTCTATTTACCAACTGAGCAAGTTTTTTAACTTCTCTGTACTTCATGAGTCTAAAGGGGATAATAACAGTACCTATCTCCTAAGGTTATTGTGAAAATTATGTGTGTGTGTGTGTGTGTGTGTGTGTGTGTATAACATATATATAACACATATATAACACATATAATTTTCACAACAATATATAACTATCATATATATATATATATATATATATATATATATATATATATATATGCAATCTTATATATATGTACACAGGCATACATAGAAAATCATTAGAAAAATGCCTGGAATATGGTAAGCATGATGTAGGTGTTGGCTTTCATTAGTATCTGAATGGCTCACTCAAAACATGCCATGGGCCCCTCTTCAACCAAAAAGAGTTTTAGGAATGCTCTCTTGTCAGCTACCACCCATAGATCTGATCAGCATAGTCTAAGTTATAGAACATGGTAGATTGCATTAAAGGTCACAATTCTTTATTTCTCCCTTTATCCACTCACTTTTTTGTGTAATTTTTCAGTATATTCCTATTTGAATAGGATACATTTCCCATGTCTTGATGCTAGGCTTGGTATGTGACTTGCTCTGGCCAATGGAAAGTTTGCTGACATAATAGAAACAGAGGCTTAAAAAGTGCTTGTACAGTTGAGTTTACCCTCTTGATCCTCCGCCATCATGTTGAGAAGGTCATGCCCAAGGTGATCTGCTGATTCTAGGAGGAGGATGAAAAGCATGTGAAGCAGAATCGTCCCCAGCCTAGATGAGCCAACTCCCAGTCAGCCTACAGACTGATGAAAAATAAGATATGATTATTGTTTAATGCTATTGGGTTTTGGGTAGTTTGTTACACAGCATAAATAGGAAAAAAATACTGAGTTGAACCCAGTAACATATTGTATTAGGCCATTTGCATTGCTATAAAGAAATACCTGAGGCTGGGTAATTTATAAAGAAAAGAGGTTTAATTGGCTCATGGTTCTGCAGGCTGTACAAGCATGGCACTGGCATCAGCTTGGGTTCTTGGGAGAACTCAAGGAGCTTTTACTTATGGCAGAAAACAAAGCAGGAGCAGATGTGTCACATGACCAGAGCAGGAGCAAGAGAGAGAAAGTGGTGGGGGAGGTGCCATACTTTACAACAACCAGCTCTCCTGAGAGCTCATTTATTACCATGAGGACAGCACCAAGCCATGAGGCATATCAACTTACTCAATTTTTTAAAATGACACTCAAGTACTATTATGAAACATTTTTTCCTGAATTCATCAAGCTATTCTTTTTCTTGCAAACTGGGTTACTCAGAGATCCTAACTCCAACATTCCTGTTTTTCTCTTCCCATCGACTCTCCTGACCTTGAAAGTTTTTTAGCCTATTTTTTTCCACAAGCTCCACAAATATCTGTAAATGACTGAAAGAAGATGTTTTGCCTTGCCAGTGCAAATTCTCTTTGGGATTCCCTTAAAACTCATCTGCTGTGAAAGGGCACTGCAGGTGGTTTGCATAGCTGCGGACAGTGAAATCAATTTCCAGACTTCCAACTCAGTGAGTTCCCATGGGGGTTGTGGAGAAAAGGAATAACGTTTATCAGAATAAAAGAGCAAGCTGACTTATACATATTTGTAAACTTTAGATTTTTGTTCAAGAGAGAAGTGGAAAGAACAAGACAGATACAGACACACATATATAAACAAGGATAAATTTCAAACCTAAGCCTTCTTTGTAGAAATCCATCTATTGAGTCTGAGACTAGAGAAACAGGACCAAAATAGTGTCTATAAATTGAAAGATAAAATGTTTAGCCTTTGATCCCAGATGTATGCATTTTCCAAATGGCCCAGGCAGTCTGAGATCAGGATACACTTTACAGGCAATTGAAGAGCATAGGAAAAAACAACTTCCTAGAAGAGATATTGACCACTAGACTAGCTGCAAATCCTGGTTCTACTACTTGTCAGTTTGTAACTTTTGGTAAGTCATACAACCTGTCTTCTCATGAGGTTGTGATGAGGATTAAATTAGTTAAACCATTTAAGATACACAGAAGAGTACTGGGCACATAATAAGCACTCTATAAATGTCTGTTGTTATCACCTTCTCTGTTGTTACAGCTATGACTACTACTTTCGGTAACAAAACTCTGAGTTTATTCTGGGAAAACATCCCTTCCTTTAGTTTAGATCCTGTTCTATAAATGCTGACTCCACCCTCCCAGCCTGGCCAATGACAGCCATCATCCTCTGGCCACAGTGATTAATTGAGGTTTGAGCATTGACCCAGTCTAATGAGGTGCAATCTTTAGATTTGATGGCTTTATGAGAGTGAGATGTACTTCCTCTTCCACTGGACATCAATTCATAAGGAAGTAGGTGAGAATGAGGCCCAATACAAAGAGCAAAACCAAGAGATGGAAGGTAGGTCCTGATAACAAAATGTAAAACCATAGATTGAAGTCTTAAAACCCATGGGTTTTTTGTTTAATGAGGCTATACGTGTTCTTTTTTGCTTAAACCAGTTCAAATTGGATTTCACAGGAGAACTTACACACCTTTTAATTGCTTTTACAGAAAATTTCATTGACACTTTGGTGCCCTTTCTTAAATTTTTCATGGAGATTTAGACTATTTCAGGTTAAACTTGAATAAGCAAATGTTAATTAATTTTTTTAAAAAAACAGCAGTCTCATTCAGGTCGAGTTGCCAGAAATTGTCACCTGTGGGGATTTTTCTTTTATTTTGTAGGGGTTTGGAGTGCAGGAGCTTACAGTAGAAATCACCACCTTGCTCTTCTCTTCTGAGTTATGCATTAAACCAAGTTGAATCTAAGTTTTCATGGAATCTAAAAACGGCCAATAAAAGAAAGCAGCTTTGATCTCCCCGCCTCATGAGATTTATTCTGACAGTTTGCAACTCGATGAAATAGATAATGGAAATGCCTTGTCACGATAACTCAGTTTAAATGCATTGTCAGATTAATAGACTCAGTTATCCACCTCACTGAGGACTGTAAGAGGCAAGGTTTGAAATCATCCCTTCTCATAAACATCCCAAAGGATTAAAAGATGTTTCTAAGCAGAAGAAATTGTGAAGCGGGCATATTTTGCCTTGAGTTAGTTATTCCCCAATTCCCCTTTCTGTTCGTGTATTTGGCTTCCTTATCTTTCCTATACTTCCCCTTCTAAAATGGCCTCCTTCCCCCTCTTACACTCTCCCTCCTTATGCCTAAAGAATCTCCATTAGTTAATGGAGATGGTTCTGGAGTTAGTTAATGGCGTTCTGGAAATTGTCACATTTCCCTGGCACCAAGGGTATGCACGTGGTTCAGGCTGGAGCAATCAGAGTCTCACCCCTCCATAGCCACAGTGATTGGACCAGGCTGTGGGTGTGTGAAACAAGGTGAGCCAATCACAATCTTCCTGCAGCAATTTTTTTTTTTTTTTTTTTTTTTTGAAGCTGAAGGGGAGGATCTTTTTGTTCTGTGGTAATAAAGCTTTTAGGGTGTGAGTGCAGAGGTTCCTTCAGACAAAGAGAAAACATGCTGACAGTCAGCAATAGTAAACAGTAACATTGTCACAGGGAGAATTCAAAATGTAGAGGAGTCTCTTGGCAGTATTCAAGGCCTTAGTCCTGGTGATTCCTGAAGCCAGCTGTGCCTCCCTTCCCATGAATTTCTTATACAGGTAAATAATATATCTTCATTACTTGATAAAGAGACTTCCAGTGTCAGCTCTGACATGTGAAGAGCTTAGGAGACAGCATTCCCATCCTCAGAATAAGAAAAAGATAGAAAAACAAAGTCAGTTTTTTTTTTTACTTTCCTTGAAATTCCAGAGGACTACAATTTTGAGGGGCCCTCACTTCCATGAGCATTATCTCCAGGAACACCACCAGGTTTTCATGCTGAAGATCCCAGAAAGATGCTCTTAGAGCTCTTGCAGGAGTAAGGAAAGAGTAGTCATAGTAAAATTTAACCAGAGCTTTCTCCATAACAAAGACCTACTACCTATGGGAAAAGACTTTGCCAGAGCCTTACTCAGTAGATGAAAGAACATTCATTCAATTCATAGCCTCCTCCAGCTTTCCTGCCTCACCTAATAGAGAGGGAACAAAACAACAACAACTTAATGAGGGATAGGGCTTCAAGGAAATAAATTGCGCATGGTGTTGCCAGGGTAAGGGAGCAGGAGGCAGAAGAAAAAAAGCTTTACCACTGGAGAAACACCTGTGAATGTCACAACTCCAAGACTCAGGCCCACTATAACACTGAAAAGACCGTAGAATGCTACCTTTTCCCTACCCTTAACACACACCAACAGGACCCCAGTATAATAACATTAGGTTACAGCTGAAAGAGCTGCAAAATGCAGATTCCATCTGAGGCAGAATACTTGGGGAAGCCCAAAACCTAGAGGGGAGACAAAAACTAGAACACTAGAGAAATTTGAAACCTCTGGCACCTGTAGCTATAGCAAATATGAAATGGAGTCTGGGTAAGCATAGGCACAGAATACATTAAAAAAGAAGAAGAAGAGGAAGAAGGAGAAGGAGAAGGGGAAGGGGAAGAGGAAGAGGAAGAGGAAGAAGAGGAAGAGGAGGAAGAGGAAGAAGAAGAAGAGGAAGAAGAAGAGGAAGAAGAAGAAGAAAAGAAGAAGAAGAAGAAGAAGAAGAAGAAGAAGAAGAAGAAGAAGAAGAAGAAGATGAAGAAGAAGAAGAAAGAAGAAGAAGGAGGAAAGAAAGAAAGAAAGAAAGAAAGAAGAAGACCAACTCCTAGGCTTATAACCATAAATCCTCACACTAAAGGCCTATTTACCTCAAGTTCTACTATCTGATACATGTCTTGATTTCAACAAAAAGTTACAAAGCATGCCAAAGGCAAGAAAAAAGAATGTCTGAAGAGACAAAGCAATAAGCAGAAACAGGTGCAGATATGACATAAATGTAGAAATTATCTGACAGGGTATTTAAAATAACTATGATTAATATGAAACAGGCTTTAATGGAAGAAGTAGACAATGTGCAAGAGCAGATGGTAATGTAGATAGAAACTCCAAGAAATAGCAAAAAGGAAATTCTAGAAAAACATTGTACCAGAAATGAAAAAAATGCCTTCAGATAGGCTCATCAGTGGATTTCATACAATTCAGGAAATAATCTGTGAGCTTAAAGTGAGATCAGTAGAAACTTCCCAAACTGAAAAGAAAAAAGAAAAACAAGGAAC
Organism: Homo sapiens; assembly: GCF_000001405.40. NCBI lineage: Eukaryota > Metazoa > Chordata > Mammalia > Primates > Hominidae > Homo > Homo sapiens. Next base: position 3,284,335 of record NC_000003.12, on the reverse strand, counting down.
ATTCAACAACTGGGGGATAATTTCAAAAGGTGTAACATACATGTAATTGGGATAGTGGAAGGAAAAGAGAGAATAGAAAGGAAGAAATATGTGAATAATGGCTGAGAACTTCCCAAAATTAATGACAGACACCAGACCACAGATCCAGAAAGCTGAGGAAACACCACACAGGATAAATTCCAAAACCTCACTCAGTTATGCAGAAAGCCAAAGGCAAAGAGAAAATCTTGAAAGATTTTCTTAAACAAAATAGCTTACCTATAGAGGAATAAGAATAAGAATTACAGCATGCTTCTCATCAGAAATCATGCAAACAAGAGCATAGAGTGCAATATCTAAAGCAGTGAAAGCAAAAGAAGAAACAAAAGATTTCCACCAACCTAGAGTTTCACATACAGCAAAATTAATTCTTCAGAACTGAAGGAGATATCAAGACTTTCTCAGACAAAAGCTCAGGGAATTTATCACCAGCAGACCTACTCTGCAAGACATATTAAAGTAAATTCTTCAGAAGGAAGGAAAATGATGCGTCAAAAATGTGGATCTTAATAAAGAAAAGCTCCAGAAAAGAAACAAAGATAAAATATTTTATTTTTCTTTCTCTTAATTGATGCAAAAGAGAACTTTTTAAAAAGATATAATAGTAATTAAAAATAGAATTACCATATAACCCAGCAATTCCTCCTCTGAGTATATATCCAAAAGAAATGAAATCACCATCTTGTAAGGATCTTTGTTCTCTCATGTTCATTGCAGCATTATTCACATTAGCCAAGATATGAAAACAACCAAGATGTCCAACCCCAGACAAATGGTTAAAGAAACTGTGATTGTTTATCCATTTGTCAGGGGATGGACATCTAGGTTGTTTCCATATAAAGTTTCCATTGTATATTTCCATGTGCAATCTGTTGTGTGTATTTGTATGTATGTATGCAATAGATTTTCATCCAGCCTTTAAAAAAAGGAGATCCTGTCATTTGCCAAAAATGGATGAACCTGAAGAACACAATGCTAACTGAATGCCAGACACAGAAAAAATATTGCATAATCTCATTTATATGCGTAATATTTTTTAAAGTAAAATATATGGAGAGAATACAACAGTGGTTACCAGAGGAATGGTGGTAGGAAGGAAATGAGGAAATGTAGATCAAAGGATACAAAGTAGCAGATACGTGGGATGAACAAGTCTGAAGATCTAATGTACAACATGAAGACTGTAGTTCATAATGCTGTAATGTACTCAGAATTGTTGTTAAATGAGCAGATTGTAGCTGCTCTTGCCACAGGGAAGGAGAAATGGGTAACTATGTGGGATGATGGTTGTAGCAATTTCTTTCACTATAGTAACCACTTTAATATATATACATATATATCTCTCATAACCTTATATATGTGTATACCTTAAATATACACTATATATATACAATTTATTTTTGAAAAATAAATAAAAGTAACAATCTACTAGTTATTATAGCATGTGGATCAGGGAATGAATGGCAGCGCTGTCACAAAGGACAGGAGGAACTAATTGGGAGTACTCTGTTACATATTGCCTGCACTACACAAGAAGAGTATAGTGTTATCTGAAGGTGAACTTAGATTTAAAATGCGTATTGCATAATGGATATAGTGCTTCATTTTGAAAAAAATGAAAAAAATTCTGTATGGTTACACAGCAATGTGAATGTACTTATTGCTGCTGAATTGTACACCTAAAAATGGTTAAAATTATAAATTTTATGTTATATATGTCTTACCAAAATATTTAAAAGTTTTTTAAAAGTATATTGTAAACTCTAGGGCAACCACTAAGAAATGCTTTTTAAAAGTTAGAATTTACAGCCAGGTGCAGTGGCTCACGCCTGTAATCCCAGCACTTTGGGAGGCCGAGGGGGGCAGATCCCAAGGTCAGAAGATTGAGACCATCCTGGCCAACATGGTGAAACTCCGTCTCTACTAAAAATACAAAAATTAGTTGGGTGTGGTGGCACATGCCTGTAATCCTAGCTACTCAGGAGGCTGAGGCAGGAGAATTGCTTTAACCCGGGAGGCGGAGTTTGCAGTGAGCCCAGATCATGCAGGCTGGAGTGCATGTTATTCCAGTCTGGAATAACAATAACTGCCATTTATTAATTAAATCCTATGTGCAAGGCCTGATATTAATGTTATACTTAGAGTAATTCTCAATCCTCATGACAATGCTATAAAAGCTAAATATTGTCTCAATTAAACAGATGTGTAAATAAATTTTGAGACATTACATTCATTGCCTAAGATAGTAAGCTGAGATCAAATCCAAGTATGTCTTACTCCAAAAGTCATACCATCCTAAATACAATCCTTCTATGAGAACTTCAGATTAAGTGAAGTGTATTAATCACCTACTATGCTCTGGCCCCAGTGTAGATGCTGGAGGTACAGCAGTTATATTCTGTACCTCTTATATATATTTAAGCAGCAGTTATATTCTGTACCTCTTATATATATATAAGCAGCAGTTATATTCTGTACATCTTATATAGATATAAGAATATATATAAGAATATATATTCTTATATTCCTTTTTTTTTTTTTTTTTTTTTTTTTGAGGGAGAATCTCACTCTGTCGCTCAGGCTGGAGTGCACTGGTACAATCTTGGCTCATTACAACCTCTGCCTCCCGGGTTCAGGTGATTCTCCTGCCTCAGCCTCCTGAGTAGCTGGGATTACAGGTGCGTGCCACCACGCCCAGCTATTTTATATTTTTAGTAGAAACAAGGTTTCACCATGTTGGCCAGGCTGGTTTTGAACTTCTGACCTCAAGAGATCCACCCACCTCGGCCTCCCAAAGTGCTGGGATTACAGGTGTGAGCCACTGTGCCCGGCCCCAAGGCTTATATTATAATGGGGTAGGAAATTTATCCTATGAGCAATTTAGGAGAAAGTAATAGCCAGAAGCTCTCAGAAGAGAGACTCTACTCACACTTCATCACTCTTACCTCTTCTCTGGATAGATACCATTTTGTATATGGCACAAACATTTAGGTAAGTTAATATGAGAAAGGAAAAAAAGTTGAATAGTTCATTTGCATGTGGTAACAGGAAATGGAAAGTGCAAACAGCAAAACTGAAGCCTCTCAGCCCTCTACCAAAGCAAAAATGAGCTCTTAATATAGTATCTATTAATAGACAAGTCACAGCCTTTCTGGTACGGGACAACTTGTAGTATTAAATTTTTAGAACTAGTTTAGAGATTCTCAGTCTGCAAAACGGATATGTTCCATCACTAAATTGGAATAATTGCAGGGGTGTTGCAATTTCCAGAAAATATAACTTAATGGATAAAATTTTCACAATTTTAAGCTTTTCTTTGCCAAAATTTTTGAGCCTTTTTTGCACCTGCTACTTCTTGTCTGCTGGTGAGTGCTAGCTGATAACAAATGTAATGAATAAGTATCAAGCAAAAGTTAATGCAAACAGCCAATCACTCTTAATTCAGCAGCATGATTTTTTATGGATGTATGCGTTTGTGGTTATGATTTTATATTGTGACATATAATAGAGCCATATTTTCTGCTTAAAATTATTCCTAAAATTAAATGTATCAATATTTCATGGTGTTCTATGAAGAGTATAACTTCCAAGTGTTCTATGATTATAAGCTTCTTAAAAGATCAAGAAAGTATTGTTTTTGTGAATCATATGTTAGATGTGGAAATCACATCCTCTGGCATATATACCCTGGTAACCCCCAACTTCCGCTCTGTCAAACTGCCAAGAAGGGAGGAAGTTGGACCCCTCATGTCAAATTTCTGGAATGACTCCAAGAGTGGGATCATGAAGGAATATTTGGCCCTCCCAACAGAAGAAGGGCTGCTTGTGCAGATGCTTATTGGCCCATATTCTATAAGTGAGTGGGATACTTGTGCCTTGTCAGGAATGCAACTATGTTGCATTGCCTTCTTCATGTCCTGCCCCCACTCTGTGAAGACACTCTTCCCACTACTTATTTAACTTCTTGCTTCCACATGACAAAGGTAAGAAGCTTAAGTCCAAGGGCCAGTCTACACGTTCAGGTTCATGCTCCAATTTGATTTTACCAAAAAAGCCCCCCATTGGAACTGAGTATTTTCCACAGGACTACCAAGCCCTGACCTTATTTCCCATTCTGCCAATGATTCTTCCTTAGACATAAGCTTCTTGTGTTGACAGCCTGAAAGGAAAGAAGTACCCATGGGGGACTCGGGTCTCTGAATTGTTAACACTACCCAATTACTTTCTTCCCTACCAGAGAAAATCACATGATTATGAGCTAAGTCATGGCCTCCAGCTTCAATGGAGTCATTGGCTAAGTGAAAGAGACCCCCTTCTCTGAAAATGCTCCATTAAATGCTACCAACGAGCTCCTTATTACTCAATTCAATAGGCTCACTAGTCCCCTGTATTATTTGAACTTTATAGGGTATTTAGTGTTATAGACCACCCGGTTTATTAAACCTTCTTCTCCTTTAATTTCCTACACAGCACCATCACTAGAGTTTTCCTACTTTATAACCACCAGCTTTGGTTACTGGCTCCTCATCCACTTAACTACTAGATGTCTGTAACTGGATGTCCACAGGTACTCCAATAAGCATGCCCAAAATGGAATGTATTAACAGATTACTTACGTTCTCTTAAATTCCTCTTCCTCCTGCATTCTTGGTTATGATGATGATGATGATATCAAAGAAGATAATGGAGAGGAAGAAGTAGAAAGCAAATAATGATAAACACACACAGTTCTAAGTGTTTTGTGTATGTTAAATCATTTACCTTTTACATTAATTGTATGAGGTAGGCACTATTACTAGCCTCAATTTACAGAGAGTGAAATGGAGGCAAAGAGAGATTAATTTGTCCAAAGTTACGTAGCTAGCAGTGGCAACATCAGGATTGGAACCTATAGCTCTAAATTCTACCTTGCATATTATTCTCCATCTGTAAAGATAACACCACTACCCATCTAGTTACCTGAGAATGAACCTAGATGCACCCCTCTTTCTTAATGCCCAATCAGCTACCAACAGGGATCTTTACTTACATTCCTAAAAGGGGGGATTGTGAAGAAGGGAGAGAAAGTCCTTTGACCAATGTACTCTTGCTACTGCTATCAAGGTGATCAGACTCAATTTTAAAATGAGCAAATGATCTGAATAAACATTCCTCCAAAGGAAATATATAAATGGCCACAAAGTACATGAAAAGAGGTGAACCTCATTAGCCATCAGGGAAACACATATCAAAACCACAGTGAGATATCATGTCATACCTTCTAGGAGAGCAATAATCAAAATGACGTAAGTACTGACAAGAATGGGGAAAAAGTGGAAGCTTCATACAGTTCAGGTGGGAATAAAAAAATGGTGTAGCTTTGGAAAACAGGATGGCATTTTCTCAAAAAGTTGAAAAAAAGGAGTTACCATATGACCCAGCATTTCCATTCCTAGGTATATACCCAAGGGTAATGCAAACATATGTCCACACAGACATTATACGTGAACATTCATAACAAAATAGCCAAACGGTAGAAACAACCCAAAAGTCTATGAGTGAATGAATTGATAAACAAAATGTGGTATGCCCGTAGAATAGAATATTATTCTGCTGTAAAAAAAGAATGGCTACTGATACTAAATAGATGAACCTTGAAAATATGACATCAAGCAAAAGAAGCCAGTCACAAAAGAACGTATGTTACATGATTCTGTAAACCAAAAAGTATCTGAGACAGGTCTCAATTAATTTAGGAGTTTATTTTGCCAAGGTTGAGGATGCCCTGGGGAAAAAGGAACACAAAACCACAGTAACATCTGTGGTCCATGCTTTTTCCAAAGAGAGATTGGGGACTTCAATATTTGAAGGGGAAAGAGCAGGCAGTAGGAAAAAATGAAGGGGAAAAAAAAAGAGGATGGTAGATAAAAGGGGCAAGCAGTTGCATTCTTTTGAGTCTTTGATCAGCATTCAGTGAGTCCACATTTTACTTTGAAAGGAGAGGGTAGAGAAATAGTTATGCATTTGTCTCATGCTCAGTAAATCTGCATTTTTACATAAGATAAAGTAAACAGAGAGTAGAGGAATCAAATATACATTTGTCTCAGATGAGCAGAGGGATGACTTCCAGTTCAGTCCTTTGTTCCATACCTGTGAGGATAAGCTGTTAATTTACACTGTCAGGGCGAAATTCAACAGAACTGTTTTTGTGTAAAGATCTTGGGGCCCACAAGGAATTTTCCCTTGAGGAAATTGTGAGGGAGGTATACAGCCTTTTGTCTTCATAGCTATCTATTTAGGAACGAAATGGGAGGCAGTTTGGTGATTGAGTTCTCAAGCTTGACTTTTCCCCTTAGCATAGAGAGTTTGGGGTCCCAAGGTTTTTATTTTCCTTTCAGTATTTTATTTATATGAAATTTCAGAATAAAGAAATTCATAGAGACAAAAGGCAGATTAGTGGTTCCCAGGGGCTGAAGGGATGGGCTCCCGGAGGAGGATTGCTAAAGGGCACAGAGTTTCTTTTAGGGGTGGTGAAAATGCTCTAAAAACTGATTCTGTTAGCCCTTGCACAATTCTGTAAATATTATCTATTAAACATCATCGAATCGTATGTGTGCTTTAAATAGGCAGATTATACAGTATGTGAAATATATCTCAATAAAGCTGTTATTTTTTAAAAAATAGAAATGATAGGAAATGGAGACTTCAAATGAAGAGGAGGATACAAATGTTGAGAAAGGGAAAATTTTTCTCCATAATAACCCTTCACTTTTAAAAACAACTTTCTGCCTGTGTCTAAGAGGATGTTGCTATATACAACTGTGCCTGTTATGGCAATGGATGGTGGCATTCTCGCTCCAACATTTAAACACAATTTCCTGCTACACATGGGGGAGAAAATGACCTCTTTGCTGACTTTACCCTAACGTGATTTTTATCACTCTCATAAAAAAATATGCTAATAGTCATTATGTTACATATGCTAGGTACAAAAAGCTAGCATGAGTAGTTCCTAGACATGGGTCTTGGTAGAATACGTTATGGATAATTTTTGTTGATTTCTTTATTGTAATTGCATTTTTTATAACTGTATTCATCAGAACTCTTTTATTTCAACTGACAAAAACCCAAGTCAAAGCAGCTGCATCGAGACATGGAAGAAATAGAATGTATGAGCTTATATACCTGGGGACTCCAGGGGTGGACTTCTTTCCTGGATGCAGAGACTTAGAGTATGAGTGCTCTAGGACACTCTCTCTATATCTGTCTAGGTGCTGACTTCTTTTTATACACTCATCTTGCCCCCTCCTGCCTCAGAGACCCTTTCAACATTGTGAGAAAGATGGCTGTTGATATACGTTTACATCATGTCAGCCAAAAACAAGCACAAGCTGTCTCTGCAACTAATTTGGTAAAGTCTGGGGACAGAATCTGATTGGTCTGACTTTGGTCACATGCCTGTTCCTGAGCCAATCATTGTTCTGAGAGGGAAAAGTATACTCAGACTGGTCCAGCCTGGTTTACATGCCCACTCCAGATGTGTTTGGAGGAGGGAGAGGGTGTTACGATTGACTGTCCCACAAAGACCCCATGTACTGGTGGAGAAGTTTCCCAAGGGAAAGGAGGCAGTGTTATCATAAAGGAGATGGGAATACATGCTGGGCAGAAAAACCACAGCCCATTCCAGTGCCCCTTGTATGTATTAATAGATGCTTTACCTCTGGCTTCTGGGGGAAAGCCAGGCAGAACCTCCCTCCAAGAGAGCTGCCCAGCCTGGACTCCAGTGTCATCTGCCTGGGGCCTACCGTCTTGCATATGCCTGCATTGCTTTTTGACAGTCCACTACCTTTCACCCCATATCTTATCTTTCCCTTCTGGAAACATTTCTCATTACAGGAGAATGGCAGGCACTTGATGAACTGCAAATGCAAATGGGGAACATAATCCATGCTGCCATTCAAGAAAAACTAAATTAGGCAGCACAATACACTCCATCAAACATTTAAAACGGTGCAATCAAATGAAAGGTTTATTATTCCAAAAGCACTAATGATACATCTATACATGTTGCAAATTGTTTTTTGTGCAAGGAGTTTATAATACCAGCTGCTGTGTTGTATGAACTGCTCTCTTTTTTGTCTTTGACCCAGGTATTTCAGTCAAAGATTCATTCTGCTATGAACTCCAATGACTTGCCACCTGCCAAGTTGTCTAGCCAAGCCTTGGAAAGTACATTTAAGAAAAATTGTTTGCCTCGGAAAGTACATTTAAGAAAAATTGTTTAAATCAGGGTTCTTTAGGTCCAAAAAAAGGCTGTCAATCTGATTGAAGAGATATATTTGAATTATCTCCAAGGTCCAGATGTGTAGGAAAATGGCGAGTGCTTATGCCTGTCAGACAGAACTAAATATTGAAATCTTACAAGTTATGCAGAGGTAGTTGTTTTTCAGAAATGAACTCAGTGTCTTTACCACTAACTGTAAAATATAGTACAGAGAACCCAGCTGGTATCAGGAATCAAGGAAAACTATCACACTATAGATATGTTATGTGACAGTGAGAACTGCATGGCAAGTGGTTTTTGAGAGTCTAGTGTTTCTACCCTGTGCTCACAAAGAAGCCGTTTATGACTTAAAAAATGAGGAGTCATTCTGAACTCTCCAACTATCTACAGGCCATAGTGCTTTTTGTAAGAAATGAGGAAACTTAAGAATACTGATCTCCATTACAGAGAACTTTTTACTACCCTTAGTAGCAAAAGACTGAGATTACTTGAGTGGTTTGAGGAAGCTATAAATGCAGGGATTCAGGGACTATACCAGAAGGAAAGATGACCCCCAAAGATGTACAGACATATGATGTCTCCAAATGCAGTAGTGCTAAGGAAAGCTGAACCACTCTGAGGCCTCTACAACTCTTTTTGAGGCAAGTAGTTGGCTCACTTGGGGAGACACCACCCTCCCAATATCTATGAGATTGATCCACCAGAGTAGAACGTGATTCTTCTCCATGTAGAACCTCTAAAACTCCACCTTTAAAGAGTCTTAAAGATACTCCAATGCTCAGATTCCTGGGGATGAGATATTTGGACAAGGGTTATGTAGACTTTATCTGTAGCCAAGAAACTTCCCTTTATAAAGCATTGTTGAGTTATGTAATACTTCCATATGCTGGGTCTTATTTTATCCTGACAAAAACCCTGCAAACTATTTAGTTTGCCCATTTTTAGGTAAACTAAACCTACTGAGATAAAACCCATGAACCAACCTAATAGCAAAACCAAGATTGGCACCATCATTATGTATTCTGAGCCCTCTGCCCTTTCCTATCCTGGCATTTATCTCTGGCTTTAGTTCTACATAGTTGGCCCTCTGGATCTGGGGGTTCCACATCCATGAATTCAACCAACTACTGAAAATATTTGGAACCAAAAAATTTCCACAAACTTACAAAAAGCAAAACTTGAATTTGCCACATGCCAAGTACTATGTTGAATCCATACAAATGAAGTGATGTGTAGATATTGTATTAGGTGTTATAAGTAATCTAGAGATGATTGAAGTATACAGGAGGATGTGTGTAGGTTATATGTAAATACTATATTATTTATGCTAGGGACTTGAGCACTGGTGGGGTGAAGGATCAGGAGGGAAGGTCTTGGAACCAATTCCTCATGGATACTGAGGGATGACTGTATATCCCTTTTCTCTCTTATCTAGTCATTGTCAAATCCTGCCACTTCTCTCTGTTCCCATTAACTCTGCCTCAGTTTGAACTGCTGCCTTTAATCACCAGGATTAAAATATTTGCTTTGCATTAGGCACCCTGTCTGTAGTCTAATCTTGTCCCCTTCATCCTTCGCACCGTAACTAGTGTTATCTTTCAAAAGCCCAAATCCAATTATGTCATTTTCTTTATAGCTCGTGACTCGTGTCCCCTGAGTCAAGTCTAAACTCCTTCAAGATCTAAGAATACCTTGTGCATGTCTCTAACCTCCATCCCTATACCATTACCTACTTCAGCCATATGGAGCTACTCCACTCACTCGCACTTCCAGGAGTTTGCCTGTGTTGTTCTCTCGGCTTGAAATATTCACCTTCTGTCTCCCACTTTCTGCCACCCCTGTAGGACCTACTGTGGGCTCTTTACTTTGGTATCTACTCATCACGGAGTCATTGCTTACACTTTGTCCCGCTTTAGTTGCTTTCCTTCATTTTCTCCGTCTTCGTCTTCTACTGTCCCATTGCATGTAGCATCATCATAACACCACATTCTGTTGAACTTGCCTTTTGCATAAGGTAAGGCAACCTTAGTTTCTGTGACGTAGAAACACAAAAATATTCATGACTACTACAGTATACATTTCTTTTTGGTTTAAACAGCAGTCCATTGAACCTAAGCAGTATAGATGTTCAAGAAGCAGCCTTCTACTTGGGCATTGATAAATCCAGATTCCTTGTATCTTGTGACTGCCATCTTCAACACATAGCTCCCAAGGTCATTTCAGAAGTGGGAAGAAAAGGGTGAAGAAATAAGACATATTTTTTATCCTGGTCAGCTTGAAAGTGACACACATTGCATCATTCATGTTCCATTGGGAAGATTTAGGTATATGGCTACGCTTAGATGCAAGTGGGGTTGAAAAGTATCCCTGGCTGCTTCCTAACTGCAGTGCTACTGTATGGAAAGAGAGTACATTCTTTGGTCAACTGGCCATCTCTGCCATCTTTATGTTTTGTTGGGTTTTTTTTTTTTTTGTCCCTGGTAACTTCAAGTAGGAGCTGTGCCCCTATCTCTATCTCCTAGATTATATTTATGAAATTAGTGAATATATATATGTATATATATATATATAATTTGTCAATATAGTTGACCCTTGAACAACACGGGTTTGAATCCTGCAAGTCTAATTATACATAAGTTTTCTTCTGCCTCTGCCACCCCTGAGACAGCAAGATTGACACCTCTTCTTCCTCCTTCTCAGCCTACTCAATGTGAAGACAATGAGGATGATAGCCTTTGTCATAGTCTCATTCCATTTATTGAGTAGCAAATATATTTTCTCTTTCTTATGATTTTCTTAATAACATTTTCTTTCTTTAGCTTACTTTATTATAAGAATACAGTATATAATGCATATAACATACAAAATATGTGTTAATCTACTGCCTATGTTATCAGTAAGGCTTCCCATCAACAGTAGGTTATTAGTAATTCAATTCTACAGGAGTCAAAAGTTATATATGAATTTTAGACTGCATCGGGGATCAGCGTGCCTAATCTCCATGTTGTTCAAGGGCCAACTGTCGAGACCAGTAATGTTAATATTTTGTGGGTCACAGACACCACTGGAAATATGCCACATCAATATAGATAAATCTATGTACTTTTCTACAAAACAATACAAATCCATAAAATTTGACCTAAAATTTCATGTCTTACATGGTCACAAGACTGATAAACTCATCACCTGTCCTCCAAGAGAATGAAGCAAGGCCCAGACAACAATCGAGCCCAATTACAGAAGCGGTAGGGGCGGTCTTCGAACTCCACGTTAAGAACTGTGGCGTAGGGACACACAGTAGGGTCTGAACAAATTATTTGCACCTTGGTTTGGTTGGGTGGTTTGAATATACTTTTTTTTCCTGGGAAATGCCCCATCAAAGTGGCTACCTCAATTGCCCACTGATTAATTACCCCCTCCTCTGCACTCCCCCAGCATTCTCTACATTCCTCTATTTGTTTCCAATATATTTAGAAGTTGATTTCCAAATTAAGCCGCTTAGCTCATCTCCGTCACCTCAAAGTGCCTAACACACAGTAGGGCACACTAAGCATCTCTTGCACAGAATGAACTGGACCAGTTGAGCGCCAACACTCTACAACACGTGTCTCCAGGCAAATCAGCTCCACATCTACCCTAGAGAGAAAACCCAGCACAGCCCAGGAGTGACAAAGGGGACAGTTACACACCACAGTGACTAATGCCCAGCTAAAGGGGGAGAGCAGGCTCCTTCTGGGAGACAGATGGAAAGCTCCCCTTTTAGCGCTCAACATAAATTCAATCTCACTATCCACCAAAACTGAAGGTTTACATTGAGGTTTTTCTTCCCCCCTCCTTAAAGACAAAAGCCATTTGTTTATGAACTCCGATTGTTAATGAACTCCAATTTCATGACAAATTTTGCTCCGTATTGTGATTATATCACCTAATTTGCTAATTAAACATGCTAATTGCAAGTAGTTACCTCACATAACTACAAGATGCAGAAGTATAATTATGTAATAAAGAGCTTTTATGAAACTTTTGTGGGGAAGCGCTGGCTGAGGAGGCAGCTGCTTCACAAGACCAGGAGCAGCACTCCCTAGGGCCCACTGCATCTGAATTGCCCCTGGATAACAATTATAACCTGGTTCCATGCTCTAGTTTTTCTGTTCTTAAGTCTGAGAAAAGCTCCTTCTGCAACCAAGGGCATGATGACAGAGGCTGTTGGAGGAGGAAGAGGAACCTGTTTATAAACCAAAGGGGTTCTGCTGACCTCCAGCTTGAGACTGGAGCAAGCCAAGACCTTCCATGGGGGGGCTTCCTTACAGGAGTTTGTTTCTAAAACCCACCCACCTCAGCTCCCCATCATTATCCACCCACTGAAAGCAAGTCCCAACGACTCTAGTTTCCTGATCTTTTATGAACAGAATTGCAAGCAAGAAGCAGATCCAAGAGGCAAATGGGAGATTAGTAGAATGAACTTGCCTAATAAAGAACTGGAGGCCAGGCGCAGTGACTCACGCCTGTAATCCCAGCACTTTGGGAGGCCCAGGTGGGTGGATCATTTGAGGTCAGGAGCTTGAGAACAGCCTGACCAACATGGTGAAACCCCGTCTCTACTAAAAATATGAAAATTAGCTGGGTGTGGCAGCATGTGCCTGTAATCCCAGCTGCTCGGGAGGCTGAGGCAGGAGAATCACTTGAACCTGAGAGGTGGAGGTTGCAGTGAGCCGAGATCATGCTACTGTACTCCAGCCTGGGTGACAAAGCAAGACTCAGTCTCAAAAAAAAGGGAATAAAACTAGTGGAAGAAAAGCCATTAAGCTTGGACTTAAGAGTTTGATGATTTGGTATTCAGGGAAATGTAGGAAGGAACTTGGGATAAATGTTGCTGAACGATATGGATGGAGTTCCTTTAATGTTTTCAGGAGGCACAAGTAGGGATGGGGATTTCTTTTCAACACCTCTCTATGCTGAAATTGTGCTTCTTAGAATGTGACTTTGCATAGACTCCGGACCACATGAGGTTCCCACATGTATTTGGCCTATACACAATCATCTTATCTATACTCATTTCGATAAAGCAAATATCTTTTATTTTTCCATTCTTTTTCTCCTCATACATAACCTAATCACTTTAATATATTTATCTAAATACGTGTGTGGGAGGGTATGTATAAATTCTAGCTGCTTTTTCTTTTCTTTTTTTTTTTCCTTTTTTTTTTTTTTTTGAGACAGAGTTTCACTCTTGTTGAGGAGTACAGTGGCACGATCTCAGCTCACTGCAACCTCCACCTTCCAGTTTCAAGTGATTCTCCTGCCTCAGCCTCCTGAGTAGCTGGGATTACAGGCACCTGCCACCACACTCGGCTAATTTTCGTATTTTTAATAGAGACAGGGTTTCACCACGTTGGCTAGGCTGGTCTCAAACTCCTGACCTCGTGATCCACCCACCTCTAGCTGCTTTTTCTATAAGTCTTCATTATTATCACATTTGTTACTTCCGCAATTATGCTTACATTCTGTAAGACCTCAGATTCAAACATTCCTGTTCTCTTGGCTTTTATTCCTTCCACTCACCATCATTACATCTATATAAGTGGATTAAGTGGGTCTTCATATTTCTAATCAGTAGACCAAAGTTCAAGAAAAGTAAACACTTACGCTGAAGCATATAAAAGAAACTGATAGAAAAGTTGAAACTATGTCATGTGAGCTGACTGAACTTCAGCCACTGTAATGTCCCGTTATTTTGTTCCCATTGCTCTCTGCAAGATGCTATGTAATCCTCTCATGAGTTTGTGCATTTAAAATATTATCCATGAGCAGAACTACCAGGTTAGATTGTTTTTCCCATTTCATGTTACATACATAATTGAAGCTACAGCCCAGCAGCCATGAATTAAGTTGCATCATATTAAAGTGACAGTAGAATTCACAGTGGGCCATGGGAGAGGTGTTTAGATAGCACCTTGTCAAGACTTTGTTCCTGTTTCCTTACTCCTGTGGGATAACGGACTAGCTAAGCCTGATGGCTCCCAAGCACACTGGCACGAAAGCACGTTCTCATTTATTTACAACAGGAACTCACAAGCGCAGTTTTTTGCGTTTTTTGTGGTTTTTTTTTTTTTTTTTTGGAGTCAAATACAGCAAAAGCTTCCCAAACCTTCCCATAACCAACAGCACCCAAAGTAACTCAAGGAAACAAAACCACCAACAGCCAACCTGGGCATTGTTGGTGGCACAACCTGACCCGCAACAATTTCTTGAGAGAAATTAAATATGTTTGGAAACGTCATTCCACTTCATATGGCAGAAAGATTTTGAAATGAAGGTTATACAAAAATCAAAGAAAAGATACTCACAGTAGCACGGTTCTTAGCTCACGGAAGGAGATCCATAAAGATTTGTTGAATGAATATTTTTTAAGAAAGTAAGCACTGCAATTGGTGGTCCACAGTTTAAATTTTTCCCTCAAACATTGTGCTTATTGTGATACATACAAATTCCATATATAATTCCATAGGTTACATTTTATTTTCTTTTTCTTTTCTTTTCTTTTTTTTTTTTTTGCGACAGAGTCTTCTCTGTCACCCAGGCTGGAGGGCAGTGGCACCATCTCAGCTCACTGCGACCTCCACCTCCCAGGCTCAAGCAATCTTCCCAGCTCAGCCTCCCTCCCCGGTAGCTGGGACTACAGGCACACAGCACCTCACCTGGCTAATTTCTGTGGTTTTTGTAGAGACAAGTGTTTTGCCATGGTGCCCAGGCTTGTCTCAAACTCCTTGAGCTCAGATGACCCACCTGCCTTGGCCTCCCAAATTGCTGAGATTACAGGCATGAGCCACCATGCCCAATCTTAATTCCATCTATTTCATGAAAGTGGGAAAATGCTTTCTTCAGAGGCCACAGTGTAGAAAACTCTCCTGGGTTTTGATTCTTAAATTCCTTTTTAAAAACTCTTTATTTTAGCCAGGCATGGTTCATGCCTGTAATCCCAGCATTTTGGGAGGTGGAGGTGGGAAGATTGCTTGAGCTCCAGAGTTTGAGACTAGCCTGGAGTTTGATGGAGTTTGAGACACCATCTCTATAAAAAATAAAAACTTAAAATTTAAAAAAAACTCATTATTTTAAGATAATCTTAGAGAAAAGTTACAAAAATAGTACAGAGTTCCCCTATACCCTTTATTTACTCTGTTTCCCTTTATATTAAATACCCCTTCCATAACCATAGATCAATGATCAAACCTGAGAACTACTACTGTTAACTAAACTGCAGAATTATCCCAATTTCACTAGTTTTCCATTAATGTCCTTTTACTGTTCCAGAATCCAATCTAGGATCTCAATTTGCATTTGGTTGTCATGTTTCCTAAGTCTCCTCCCACCTAAGACAATTTCTTCTCTCCTTGTCTTTATGACCTTGGCACTTCTAAAGAGTACTGTTCAGTTATTGTGTCGAAGTCCCTCATTTGTGTTTGTCTGATGTTTTCTCATTGCTATATGGAGGAAATGCATTATTGGAGTGTATACCATGGAGATGATGTGGCTTCTCATTTGTCAAATCAGGGAGTGTATGATATCTACAGGCATTACTGGTGATACTAACCTCCACCACTTCTCTAATGCGGTGTCTTCCATGTTTCTCCACTGTAAAGTTACTATTTTCCCTTTGTCATTACCAAATATTTGGGGAATATCCTTTGAAACTATGAAAATACTACATTTCTGTTTAAACTTTTACTTACAAATTATAGCATCCATCAGGAGAGATTGTTGGCAGTAATTATTAGTGTGTGTTATAATGATGATTTTCTATTTCTTCCATTTCTTGTACATGTATTAATTGGAATTTATCTGTAAAGAAGAGTTATCACTTCTTCCCCATTTATTTGTTCAGTTCATTATTTATATCAGAATGGGCTGGTGAATGTTTTTATTTTATTCTTTAAGTTGTAAGCTAATACTGTCATCATGAGTTTTGTAGGTCAAGCTGTTCTCACTTTAGCCAGTCAGAGCTCTTCCAGGTATCTCTTGTGCCTTTCAAGCATACCCCTATCTTTTTGTTTTGTGTTGATTTGTTTAACATTTCCTTACTGTTTGGCATTCCCAGATGCTCCAGCCTCATTCTGTATTTTCCCCACCCCAGCTCGGGGATCATCCAATTCACCAAAGAGCCCTTGGTTGCTTTTATTTAGAGAATGGTGTTTAGAACGGTGCTACTGAAATGTCACAAATTTATTGTTTTGAATATTGTCTTAGGCAAGTCAATGCTTCAGGCAATCTCCCACCCCAACCACCCACTACCTTCCCATAGAACAGAAGGCACAGACCCTTTGTCCCAAATGTAAGCAGCATATTGATACACAGCCCTGCTTACCAAGAGCAGTATTTTTTTTCAATTCACAATCACTATGACAGGGATAACAAAGGTCACATTGGTTGCCAGTCTTAACCCTGGGGCAGGATCCTGGACTCCCCAGCTGTGGCAGATATCACAGTCTTTTGTTGCTAGGTTATGAAGAGATACTGGGAGAGTACAAGATGCAAGCGGGTCCCATAAAAGAGGTCACAGTAGTTTGAGGCCATGAGGCAGGCACTTGGACTCAGAGCAGTAGCCGTTTCCAACCAGTTGTTTCTATATCTTAAGTATCAATGGAACCATCATAGCAGCTGATTATCACCCTTGCTCTTACTATCTTATAGCGCCAGTCTTCTGCAAATGGGGTCCTAATTCTCATTAATGACACTACAGTCCTGTCATTTTCACCTTCTACCTGGCAGCCAGGACTTGGACTCAGGAGTCCTTTGAATCCCCATTTCTTCCACACATGAGCTGTATCATTCTAGTCAAGTCATTTGACCTCTCTGAGCTTCCATTACCTCAAAAGGGATAATGAGATTACCTACCTCACAGCACTGACTATGTGATGGAATCCATATAAAGCACTCAGAACAGTGCCTGGTGCATGGTAAATGTTCAGCAAGCATTAGCACTATTGCTGTTATGAGTAAGAGGTTTCAATGCAGACCCCGAGAGAGGGTTCTTGGATCTCGCACAAGAAAGAATTTGAGGCAAATCCATAGAGTAAAGTGAAAGCAAGTTTATTAGGAAAGTAAAGGAATAAAAGAATGGCTGTTCCATAGGCAGTGCAGTGGCTTGAGCTGCTGGCCTAAGGATACTTGTAGTTATTTATTGCGTATGTGCTAAAAAAGGGGTGGATTATTCATGAGTTTCACAGGAAAGGCATGGGCAATTCCCAGAACTGAGGGTTCCTCTCCCTTTTAGACCGTATAGGATGATGTTCCCATGGTATTTGTAAACTGTCATGGTGCTGGTAGGAGTGTCTTTTGGCATGCTAATCCATTATAATTAGCGTATAATGAGCAGTGAGGATGACCAGAGGTCACTCTTGTCACCATCTTGGTTTTTGTGGGTTTTGACCAGCTTCTTTACTGCAATCTGTTTTATCAGCAAGGTCTTTATAACTGTATCTTGTGCCAACCTCCTATCCTGTGACTTAGAATGCCTAATCCCCTGGGAATGCAGCCCAGTAGTTCTCAGCCTTAGGCTACCCAGCCCCTATTCAAGATGGAGTCGCTCTGGTTCAAACACGTCTGACCTTTCTGCTACTACTACTACTACAAATAATAAAGATTATAATAAATGTTAGCCATTATTTGATCTATCATTGAGATTTTTTTTCTATCCTCCACAGAACCAGCAAACATCACAGAATTCACTATATTCTCTACAAAAGAAACTTTGGTATTTTGTCAAGATGATACTATAACAATGAAATGGAGAGTTCTACTTCCAGTTATTAATTACCCAAACATATTTCATATAACTAATCAACTTTGCATGGAATGCTAAGATAATGACGTTTTTCTCTGCTCTATCTTTATGAAGCCAGGAACAGTAATTGCACAGAAGAAATCCGATCTCTGTTGGGATGATTAGGTATGTTATTAATTAGTTTTAATGCTGCAAATACCTTGGGCACAATTTTAAGGTTTGTACCATGTGTAATTATACTCCAGAATACTGGAGGCAAAAGTAATCTTAATGATAATTTAGTTCAATAAATTTGTTTTGCAAAAAAGATCATTGAATCCCAGAAAAATAAAGTGACTTTCCCAAGGTTACATACCCAGGTAGTGTGTCTACCTCAGGACCTCCATGCTTTTTTCTTTCAGACACTAAATATCATCCTGCAGATAATTAATTGGTACTTCTCAATCAGAGGTAAAATTTTGTCCTGATGACTCTAAACTTTAGCCAGCTTCTGTGTTGTATCCCATGACTTCCAACTCGCAGCATCCCAACAGGTGAGTTAAGAAAAATTCCTAACAGTGATAACAGTACCCTTTCAGCTTCCAGAAGTGTTAACTCATTTTATAATCACCATAGCCCTGGGATCACCATACTGTAAATGAGAAAGCTTAAGCTCTGGGATCTGGAATTTGGAATAACAAACTCCTCTCTTGGTAATCAAGGAAGACTTCATGGAAGAGGTGGTGTTTGAACTATGACTTAAATAATAAGTAGAATATTACCCATTGGGCCAGAGCAAAAAAGAGGAAGGCGATCCGGGTTAAAAAACAGCAACAACAACAGCGTGAGCAAAAACAAGTAGGATATTAGAATGTTCATTAAGAAACTTCCTCTCCTGCTTTGATTTGATGTATTAAACTCTGCACAGGAGACGTCAAATGACAGGGACATTTTTATTGGTCATGGAATTTCAAGGGCTTATCAAATGCCTAATGAGCGAGGATTGTGCACGTTTTATGGTTACAACTTTAACTAATAGGCAGAATGGGAATTCGAATTTTATCATCCAATGTCCATAAAACAGAATCATGGTACTGTAATTATTAACATAATCATTAAAAACAGTTTAGTTAAATTTAAGAAAACCTAGACACATCAAGACATAGTGTCTTCATCAAAGCAGCTCAAGTCCAGATAAAACAACCCTCCTAAATTGACTGATGCTTTGAAATGAAATCCTTGGAGCGCCAATTACAGCAGTCTCTGAAAAGCGATTATTATCAGCCTCCACTGCTTTTCACCACGCATTCTAATTTAATTACATCTTCTCTGTTTAAAATGTAGTACTGCACTGAAAGATATGGCAGTAGAAAAAAAGAGTTCATGTTAAGAAAAAAGTGTTTTTTATATTGATCTTGCTGTCTCAGGTAGAAGAGGTGGAGGAGGTAGAAGGGGAGGCAGGCACACTTGACATAAGTTTTATTAAAAAAATTACTTATAAATGGCCCCATGCAATTCAAAGCTATCTTATTTAAGGATCAACTGTTTGGTCTTACTGTTTCCAAGAGAGACATGGGATGATGAACTCATTAATTTCAAGTGGTCATTGCTGCAAAATAATTTTTTTAGTGTTGGGGGAATTGTCATCCCTGGATGGAGAGGATCTAGGAGAGAAGAGACAGAGCTTGATCATCTTCAGCATCCGCCCTGCCTGGGCTGCTCAGTGCCTTCCAGGGATCTCCTCCAGTCCAGCTTCCTTATTCCGAGCTAAATCAAGTTTACAGATTTGTTTTATCGATTGTGAATATTTAACAATCGCATTTGGCTTCCAACTCTGTGGATGAAACAGCCATTTACACAACTCATGAATTCTCTTTTCACATCTATAATGCTGGGGAACAAAGTGTATGTGTGCTTCCCTGGCAGAAAACCAAGCCATATTGACTTTTTACAGAAAAGGCTTTTTCCTGTCATTCTCACAGTTCATCGTTTATCTGGAGGCACTAAAATTCCTCTTGTTTCTAAATGTACCATCTCCCTGGATGGTGGTGAAGAATCATTGCATTTTCTGGGTGGAAAGAGTCATTTTGATCATACGCCCACTGTTTTATTTTACAGATGAGGAGATCAGAGGTATAGTTCTTAAGAGGATTCCTCAAGGTCACCAAGATATTAGGCAAAACAGGGACTAGGCTGTAGGTCACCTGTGTTCCAGTTCCACTAAGGCAGGGAATATTCCATGGCAATGAAGCCTATTTGATTCTGAAATCAATATTTGGTATTGACTTATAGAATGAGGTTAATCTTCACCCTACATCACTTTTTTTTAACCTTGGATGGTCACTGCTTCCTAGAGTCTTCATAACACTGTTTCAAATCCACTGTGAATATTCCTTTAAAAAATTTCAATTGTACATCTCTAGACCCTATGTGAGACCTTCTAGATCAGAATGTACCATATACACTAAAGTTTCAAACAGTTGATCCTTAAATAAGATAGCTTTGAATTGCATGGGGCCATTTATAAGTAATTTTTTTAATAAAACTTATGTCAAGTGTGCCTGCCTCCCCTTCTACCTCCTCCACCTCTTCTACCTGAGACAGCAAGATCAACCTCTCCTCTTCCTCCTCCTCCTCGGCCTGCTCAACCTAAAGACAACAAGGATGAAAACCTTTTTGATGATCTACTTCCACTTAATGAATAGTAAATATATTTTCTCTTCCTTATGATTTTCTTAATAACATTGTCTTTATCTTACTTTATTGTAAGAATACAGTATATACTGTATATAACATGTAAAATATGTGATAGTGGACTGTTTTTG
The DNA here is from genome assembly GCF_000001405.40 of Homo sapiens. Lineage (NCBI taxonomy): Eukaryota > Metazoa > Chordata > Mammalia > Primates > Hominidae > Homo > Homo sapiens. Next base: position 3,263,448 of record NC_000003.12, on the reverse strand, counting down.
TTATTAGTAAGTCTTCTAATTCTTTTTTTGTTATTAGTAACCCTTTTGTAGTTAGTAAGACTGAAGCCTGAGACCTAGTCTCTCCCCTCCTACCTGCACTTTGGCCCCTGATTGTTTAGCTGGTGCAGTGGTGCTACCTTCAGGCTTGATGGCATGATAGACATGATACAGTGACCACTACCAAACCCTGAAATGGTGTTGGTTCATAATGGAAATCTGCATGTAGGGTCAGCTACATAAATTGCAGAGCCCAGCACAAAATGAAAATGCATATCCTCCTGTGCAAAAATGATTAAGAATTTCTAGATGGTGATGGCAAAGCATTAAACCACGTACTGAACACTTGCAGTCAACAGAAGGCTATATAAGTAGTTAAGTTTGGAAGGAGTCAAAAGTTATATGCAGATTTTCTAATGTATGGCAGTGGGGTTGGTGCCCCTAATTCCCATATTGTTCATGGGTCAACTGTATTGCTCTTCCCCTATAGCTTTCAGCCTGGGTGGAATAGGTTGAAGGATTATATAGACATCATCGAGGTATCTTTTCTGAACCACACATATTTAGCACTTCTCAAACAGGGAGCGAAGGTAGTAGCTAGGGTACTCTTAAAAAGAATATCCCCCGCTATGAAAACTATTGCTCTAAAGAATACCAGGAACAAAGATACATCAGGTTAAATATTCCACAAGTAGAGTAAATGGGTTCTATGTATTTATTTCCAGCTGCTTGTACTAAAAGCCACAGATATGATAGAATGATTGAAAAAAAAAAGAGCCAATCAATGTAATAAAGATGGCCGGGGAGAAAAAAGCTGTACCAAAAACTGAGGTTAATGAAATTTGCTAAGATAGAGCATGTAGCAACCTCTGAGCTTCGTGGCATCCAATGCAAAAAGGAAGTGCAATATGCCACAGTGCTCTCGCAGTCTAACTGCAATACAAAAGAGTATTGGATTTTTTCCTAAGCATAAAATTCTGAGATATTTTAATGAGAGAATTTATGCACTGAACATCACTGGAGCTGTGTCTGTCCTCACAGCCTTTAGAAAGATACAGAAAGAGGCCAGGAGCAGTGGCTCATGCCTGTAATCCCAGCGCTTTGGGTGGCCGAGGCAGGTGGATCACCTGAGGTCAGGAGTTGGAGACCAGCCTGGCCAACATGGTGAAACCCCGTCTCTACTGAAAATACAAAAATTAGCTGGGCATGGTGGCCCGTCCCTGTAATCCCAGCGACTCTGGAGGTTGAGGCAGGAGAATCGCTTGAACCCAGGAAGCGGAGGTTGCAGTGAACCAAGATCACGCCACTGCACCCCAGGCTGGGCGATGAGTGAGACTCTGTCTCAAAAAAAAAAAAAAAAAGATATAGGAAGATTGTCTGCAGGGTTGTTCCAGCACAGGTCCAGTACATAGGTCAAAGCAGTAGGATTCTGGCCCCTTCATATTCCTTGATCTCATGTTATTGTGCATCATGAGGAAACAAGAAGCAGAAAAGGACACTTAGGAAGGGTAGTACAGCATACCTGGCTTTGCCTGTGTCATGTAGATAAAAATTCTCCGCATAAAACAGTTGCCAGGCACAGGGAATATAGCAGCTCCCACAGCAGCCTCCATGCTGATGATTCCTACAGAGACCCAATCAGGGTAGCTTTGTATTAGACGCATGGCAATTCACCAAGGCCTCACCCATGAACAGGGTCTTAAAGACACAAGCATCCAACCAATCATACACTTTAGATAATTTTAGGGAAATTCAATCTTTACTGCAGTGGCTAACTGCAGCACCCCTTAAATTACCATCTCAAATATGTCAGTGTAAAAACCAAGCTGCTGCTGCCTTTGGCTGAAAATTGTTTGACTTGTTTGTTATTCTGTCAAAATATTTCTTAAAACCTTTCTTAAGGCTATAAAACAAAACAAAATAACTCCTCCAGGTCAGAAGCTCTCCAGAGAGCCATAAAGATAATGTTTTGTTCACCTAAAGGGGGAAAATTATTCAAAACAAAACCTCATAACCTGGCCTATAGGTTTTACCTAACTCCTTTTGAACAGTGCAGTGGAACTCTAAAGTATGGTAAGATTGTCCTTCAAAGGAAGAGGCTATCAAAAGGAATGTGAAGAGTCTAATTTAGTAATATTTTATCGAACAACTAGATTAGGACTCACATAATTTTACTCTTACCATTGCAACTTACTGTGTGTTTTTCAATTTTGTTTTTAAACCCTGGGCCTATGACACCAACAGACATTATCAGGCATATCACTGTATCATCTCCCAGGGAGGAGGTGGCCTCAGGACCAGCAGACAATTTTGTCTGAGCTGCCAAGTGCTCTGGGGAAAGAGAAATGTCATTCCCTCACCAAGGGGATTTCACTGTGGACCATGACTCATGTTGCTAATTGCTCCTATGCCTAATTCTCAGGCCATGCTTGAAATCATTGAACTCAAAGGGGGAACTCCTAAGAGATTATTCCTCTTTTGCAAGTTTGGTACTCAAATTAAAGAATGAAAGTTACAGGTCTCCAGGCCTTTCCTTTCTTTACTGATCTTTACACAGACTTTACTCCTCTGCTGTTCCATCTCAACCAGAGAAGACTGGGGCTCTATGTCAGTCTCGACTTGATACACTGAAGATTTTCCATGAGAAATTCACAACTGAAAGCCAGCACTGAGTTTGGCTACTTTACTCAGGGTTGGACTGAACAAAGAATTGGATGGTTAAATCCAGGAAGCTGTCAGAGCCTTTTGAAGCCTGATGGAAGATGGTGTCTGCATAACATTGAAGACTGAAGCTCGAGACTTAGTCTCTTCCCTCCTATCTTCACTTTGGCCCCTGATTATTTAGCTGGTGCAGTGGTACTACCTTCAAGCTTGATGGCATGATACAGTCACCACTTCCAAGCCCTGAAATGGTGTTGGTTCATAATGGAAATCTGCATGCAGGACCAGCTACATAAATTGCAGAACCCAGCACAAAATGAAAATGCATACCCTCCTGTGCAAAAATGATTAAGAATTTATAGACGGTCATGGCAAAGCATTAAACCAAGTGCTGAACACTTCTAAGCACAGGACCCTGTGACCATGAAGCCAGCCCTATCTGTATGGTTGCTCCCTAGAGACTGAGAAAGTTCTCAGCAGCTTTTTCAACGTAAGACCAGGGTTTTTCTCCTGATCTCATAGACTCTCAGGATGGAGGAGAGCTTGGGGTCAGCAGGTCCTTATCGCTTTTTCGTGACTAACCCTCTTCTACTGCACCCTGCTTTGTGCTCTGCCCCTCATGATTCTAATTTGTAGCCAGGGTTGCAGTTTCTGTTTTAGAGCACTAGCTCCTTAGATCTTCCTGGCCTCCATAGTTGAAGATTCTCTTTTCTTGGGTCAAACATCACTATTGTCTTCAACGATTCATTCTGATACGATTTGAAGTCCCTTTCCTGGGTAATGAGTATTCACCTATGTTTCCTTTATCACGTTGCACCCAGATCAGAGGATAATATTCTTGGTGCTGTCCAGCTCACAGAATTGCCTACTGCCTCAGCCATTGTCCCAGATATGAGTTTTGTACTCTTAAATAACTCATGTCACTTCTCTGAGACCCAAGAATTCTCCCTTAGAAATGAAAGCATTAATAAGGAGGATTCAGTTGACCATTAAAAATCCTTCTGTCATTCTCTCACTCTCCTACAATATTTTAAAGTTATGTAGATGGGTGTAAAATGTTTCCCCAAATCATACAAGAATGTGCAGATTCTCAGAGGCTAAGAGCTCCTAAGATGACACATCCCATAAAATCCTTTTGATGGGACCATTTCTGGAAGAAGTGTAGCCTTGAGCATCTCCTGCCTCCAGTACTAGTGGAAGGGAGAGGGCTCCATCCGAGCACACTTCCCACCTTCTTCACATTGTCTCATAGGGCCAAAAATGCAAATTCCTCCTTTCATTTTGAAGTGGCGGTAACTTCTACCTTATCCCTGCAGGAGAACAGGCTAGAGAGATAGAACACAGGACATCAGGACCACAGAATGGAAAGGGTGGATCCATGAGTCACACAAAAATCAAAGGCAGTGTTTGTCCAAAGATAAAGCTCCTATTTTTAGTATTTTTCCCCAGGCCAGACTAGCTGGTTCCACTTAGACACCAAACAAACAAAAAAAAACTCTGAAACGCTAAATATGATCATCTTATTGTACATTTTACTAAGGAATTCCAGATACAATATTCTATTTAATCTTCACAATATTAACACTGGTCAATATTATTATCTTCTTTTTACGATGAAGCCTGGTACCATTCTCATATGTTGCTTTAAGGATATCATAAAAGGTGTCCGACCAACCCAATAGTATTGTACTTGAAAACACTACATTTATAACAAGAAGAAAGAAAAATAAAATTCATTGAAGTTAGAGGAGTGGGAGAAAATGCTAAGACACTCAGAGAAAGAGAGATAACAATATAAATGGGATGACTACTAAGCACCTTTCTAGTTCTTCAGCGTTCTAACTCAACATTTCCCAAAGTGGTATCCTAAAGAACACTGGTCCACAGGCTATTCATAGATATGCTGAGAACCTAAGTGTTTCATGCTCAAACAGGCTTGAGAGACCAATAAACTAAAACCAGCTAGGTACAGTGGCTCATGCCTGTAATCCTAACACTTTGAGAGGTCGAGGCAGAAGGATCACTTGAGCTCAGGAGTTCGAGACCTGCCTGGGCAACATAGGAAGACCCCCACCTCTACAAAAAGTCAAAAAATTAGCCATGCATGGTGGCGTGCACCTATGGTCCCAGCTACTCGGGAGGCTGAGGTGGGAGGATTGCTTGGGCCCAGGAAGTCAATGCTGCAGTAAGCTATGATCACGCCACTGCACTCTTGCCTGGGGGAAAGAGTAAAACCCTGTCTCAAAAAAAAAAGTAAAACCAGGTACTTTCCTGTATGACTCCTTAGGGTCATGGACTTGTATTCTAAATCTCCTAATGGCAAATATTAGGCATAATTTAGGAAACATTTTTCAAGTTCTTGCAGGCCACTTGCCTGCTTCTTTTTACATCAGGAATCCAGGACCTGTGGTGTAATTGCTGATCCTATTTCCAGATAGCTGATAAAGTATCTCAAAGCACTAACTCTGAGTCATTGCATCTTTGCTGCTCTCCACCCTGAGGAACTTGGTTAAGTAAAACCTGTAAATAATGCAGGAAGAAAAGAACAGCCAGTCACATCTCCATTGGCTAAATCAATGCTATACCCATCCCAATTAAAATGCAACTTCAATCTGATTCAAGGACTTTGTGATCTCATATTTGAAACAAGAATCTCTTCTGGATAAGTAAATGATATTTGGATCTGAGGCAATCGTCATCAGTTCCTTAGGGTAAAAGGCTATTTCCAATGATTTCCATATAATTAGATGTTTAAGGTCTTCTTCCCTCCAACCACCCCACATAAAACCGATGCTCAAACTGAATGTTCATGAAAAATAAATATCAGAAATATGTTTGTATGCAATTTCAAGAATATCTGCTACATGGGCCTCTCATCCTTTTATTCTTGGTTTAAGTAACTTCTCCAAAGTCACTCAAAGCCATTTCTCAAAAACCATCATGGAATTCCAAGTCCTTGGTGTCGGTGAAGGTACTGGGATGGTGCAAAGTGGTAATGGAGCCAGGTGGGAAAGGGTGATTGAGAGCCCTTTATGCTTTCTAGGTGAGGTTGAGTGATGGTCATTAATACGGTGTTACTGGGAAAAATTAAATCAGGCAGACCAAATGGAACAATCCTTTAAACAAGAAGAAATTGTTTGCAGGTGTAAAGAAGCATGAAATAGGATTCTGCTAATGAGTTTTCATTACTAGCTAAATACATAATCAAACAATTTGGGCCCTATTCACAACAGTGAGAAATCAATTATTCATCATAAATCTTAGGGTATGTATTGACCACCTTGGTATGTGTCTAACCTGGTCTATAATGAATGAATATTTCAGTTTGATCAAGGGTATAGTATCATTAGCACATAGGTAATGAAAAAATCAAAAACAGCTGAAAAGTTCTGAGTTTATGAAAATCCAAATAACAGTTGAAAAATTTTCTTCAAGACTTTTCTTAAATAAAAGAAATATTGATCAAGGTGAAAATTAAATGAACTGCTTTTGAGAAATTGCTAGAAGAATTGGACATCTATGTTAGGAAAAATGAACCTGAACCTAGATCGTATACCTATAAAATTTTAACATGAAATGGATCATAGACCCAAATGTAAAACTTCAAACATAAGATTTCCAAAAGAAAACATAGAAGAAAATCTTTGTAACCTTGGGTTAGGCAAAGATGTCTTAGAACACAAAAAGCATAAATCATAAAAGAAAAAAGTGATAAATTGGACTTCATCAAAATTTAAATATTCTAAAAATACTATTAAGAAAATGAAAAGAAAAACAATAGGCTGGGAAAAATATTTTCAAAATACATACCTGATAAACAACTATAGTCCAGATTATACAGAGAACTCTCAAACTCTATAATAAGAAAACAGCCTAATTTTTAAAATGGGTAATAGGCTGAGCATGGTGGCTCATGCCTGTAATCTCAGCACTTTTGGAGGCTGAGATGGGAGGATCGCTTGAGGTCAGGAGTTCAAGACCAGCCTAGCCAACATGGTAAAACCCTGTCTCTACTAAAAGTACAAAAATTAGCTGGGCGTGGTGGTGCATCCCTGTAATCCCAGCTACTCTGGAGGCTGAGGCAGGAGAATAGCTCGAACCCAGGAGGCAGAGGTTGCAGTGAGCCGATCACACCACTGCACTCCAGGCTGGGCGACAGAGTGAGACTCTGTCTCAAAAAATAATAACAAAATAAAATAAAATGGGTAATAGATTTGAACACTTCACCAAAGGAGATATATGATGGCAAAGAAATAAATGAAAAGATGCTCAACATTATTAGTCATTAGAGAAATGCAAATTAAAACCGTAATAGGCACAACCATTAAAATAACTTAATTCTTTAAATTGACAGTAGTATGTGCTGGTGAGGTTTTGAACTCCGGTAGACAGAATAATGCCCCCCCAAAAATGTCCGTATCCTAATCCCCAGGACCTTTGAGTATATTATATTACATGGCAAGGGAGGAATACAGTCACAAAGGAAAATAAATTCGTGAATCATCTGACTTTATTTATTTATTTATTTATTTATTTATTTATTTATTTATTGAGACAGAGTCTTGCTGTATACCCAGGCTGGAGTGCAGTGGAGTGATAGCAGCTCACTGCAACCCCCTCCTCCTGGGCTCGAGCAGTCCTCCAACCCCAGCCTCCCAAGTAGCTGGGACTAGAGGTCCATGCCACCCCACCCAGCTAATTTTTTTTTTTTTTTTTTTTTTTTTTTTTTTTGCTGTGGAGACCGGGTTTTCACCATGTTCCCCCAGGCTAGCTGGTCTTGAACAACTCCCACCTCAGCCTCCCAAAGTGCTGGGATTACGTGCATGTGTCACCGCACCCGGCCCCAGTGTCATCTGACTTTAAAAGAAGGAAATTCTCCTGGATTACGCAAGTATCTGATGTAGTCATAAAGGCCCTTTAAATTTGGAAGGAGGCAGAAGAGTAAGTGTCAGGGTGATGCTGTATAAAAGACTCAACCAGCCATTGCTGAATTTGCAGATAGAAGGGGACACAGGGCAAGGGATGCAGGCAGCCTAAAGAAGCTGGAAAGGCAAGGAAACAGATTCCCCCACAGGCTTTCTAGAAAGGAATGCAGACTGCCCCAACCTTAATTCTAGCCCAGTGAGACCCATTTTGTATATTTGACCTCCAGAGCTATAAGGTAATAAATTTAGGCCACCAAGTTTGTGGCAATTTTTATAACTGCCATAGAAAACAAATACATAAACTAATGGAAACTCTCCAAAATTTCTGATAGGCATGCAAAAGGGTACAGCTACTCTAGAAAAATCCTGACAGTGTCTAATGAAGTTAAAAATACATCCACCATATGACCCAGCAATCCCATTCCTAGATATTTAAACATAAATTCACTGAAATGTTTTTTATGGCTTTTTTCATGATGCATCAACTGGTGAATGAGTAAACTGTGGTACAGTCACATAATGGAATTCTACTCAGCAATATAGAGAGCTGAATTACTGGTCCATGCAACAAGATGGATGATGCTGAAGTGAAATGAAGTAAAGTGAAAAGAAGCCAGACTCAAAAGTCTATAGACTATATGACTCATTTATATGACTTTTTGGAAAAGGCAAACCTAAAGGGACAGAAACCATCAGTGGTTGCCAGGGGCTGGAGTGGGGTGAGAAGATTGACTGCAAAGGGGCATTGTGGAACTTTTTGGGGTGATGGAACCATATCTTGATTGTGGTGGTGGTTCCTTGGTGGTATGCATTTGTCAGAACTCATGGAACTGTACACCAAAACAGGTGAACTAAATTTATGTGTAAGTTTTACCTTAGTAGGCTCAATGATAGGTGATTGATTGATAGATAGATAGATGATAGATAGATAGATAGATGATAGATAGATAGATAGATAGATAGATGATATCCATAAATAAAATTCTCAGCAAACTACCACTTAGAAGTCAGGCTGCACTTGAAGTCAGGGAATCAGAGAAGCCCCATCTATAAATGGCTCCTTTATGCTGTTTTACAATAGTTACTTTTCAGAAAAAAAGAATTTAGAACTGGAAGGAATTTAGGCCAGGAGCAGTGGATCATGCCTGTAGCCCCAGCACTGTGGGAGGCCGAGGCAGGGGGATCCCTTGAGCCCAGGAGTTCGAGACCAGCCTGGCCACCATGGTGAAATCCCCATCTCTACTAAAATTACAAAAATTAGCCAGGCATGGTGGTACATGATTGTAATCCCAGCTACTTGGGAGGCTGAGGACAGGAGGATTGATTGAACCCAAGAAGCAGTGGTTGCAGTGAACCAAAATTATGCCACTGCACTCCAGCCTGGGCCACAGAGTGAGACTCCATCTCTTAAAAAAAAAAAAAAGAGCTGGAAGGAATTTAAAAGATCATTTAGCTCATTGATTTTCAAACCAATTTTAGGTTTCAGAATCCTAAAATTGTTTTGTAGGTAGTGTGTGTGATATGGGTTGGCTATGTCCCCACCCAAATCTCATCTTGAATTACAATTCCCAAAATTGCCATGTGTGGTGGTAGGAACCCAATGGGAGGTGATTGAATTATAGGGGCCAGTCTTTCCTGTGCTGTTCTGACAGTGAATAAGTCTCATGAGATCTGATGGTTCTACACAAGCTCTCTTTGCCTGACGCCATCCATGTAAGACGTGACTTGCTCTTCCATGCCTTTCACCTTTGCCATGATTGTGAGGCCTCCTCAGACATGTGGAACTGTAAGTCCATTAAACCTCTTCCTTTGTAAATTGCCAAGTCTCGAGTATTTATCAGCAGAGTGAAAACAGAGTAATACAGTAAATTGGTACCAGTAAAGTGGGGTACTGCTAAAAAGATACTTGAAAATGTGGAAGCGACTTTGGAACTGGGTAACAGGCAGAGGTTGAAACAGTTTGGAGGGCTCAGAAGAAGACAGGAAAATTTGGGAAAGTTTGGAACTCCCTAGAGACTTGTTGAATGGCTTTGACCAAAATGCTGATAATGATATGGACAATAAAATCCAGGCTGAGGTGGTCTCAGATGGAGATGAAGAACTTGTCGGGAACTGGAGCAAAGGTGACTTTTGTTATGTTTTAGTAAAGAGACTGGTGGCATTTTGTCCCTGACCTAGAGATTTGTGGAAGTTTGAACTTGAGAGAGATGATTTAGGGTATCTGGTGGAAGACATTTCTAAGCAGCAAAGCATTCAAGAGGTGACTTGGGTACTGTTAAAGGCATTCAGTTTTATAAGGGAAGCACAGCATAAAAGTTTGGAAAATTTGCAGCCTGACAATGTGACAAAAAAGAAAAATCCCATTTTCTGAGGAGAAATTCAAGCTGGCTGCAGAAATTTGCATAAGTAACAAGTAGCCAAATGTTAATCCCTAAGACAATGGGGAAAATGTCTCTAGGGCATGTCAGAGGTCTTCAGGCAAGACCCTCCCATCACAGGCCCAGAGGCCTAAGAAGAAAAAATGGTTTTGTGATAATGAATGAGTCTCACAAGATTTGATGGTTTTAAAAAGAGGAGTTCCCCTGTGCAAACTCTTTTTTCACCTACCACCATCCGTGTAAGACATGACTTGTTCCTCCATGCCTTTCAACTTCCACTATGATTGTCAGGCCTCCCCAGCCACGTGGAACTGGAAGTCCAATAAATTTCTTTCTTTTGTAAATTGCCCAGTCTTGGGTATGTCTTTATCAGCAGCATGAAAACGGACTAATACAGTGTGGTAGACACTGTTGCAAGCCCTTTGTATTACCTCTTTTAACCCCCGAAGACATCCCTATGACTACAGTTAATAATAAAAAATAATCAATAATATATCATTAATAATAAGTTTGCAGATATGGAAACTGAGGCTTATATAACTCACATAGCTGGAGTTGTTGAATGGACATTTCAACTCTGTTGATTTGATTCTAAAGCACATTCTTGTAACCATTACATTTTACAGCCTCTTTTCTATGAAATCCCTATGTGATATTCCTTTAAAACAAATATGTGTGGGGCTACTTGGGCTGTGAATGTGTGTGTTTGGGTGTGTGTAGTGGGGGTGGGGGTCTGGATCCTGTTGGTGGTTTCACAATAACAATATAACTTGAATACTACTGATCCAGTCCAACTGATATCATTACATAAGGAAGAATTTGAAGCCCAGAGAGGTCAAGTGACTTGCTCTAGGTCACACATCTGGTTAGTGACTAAGGCACACCTCTTGACTCCAGGTCTGTTACTTCCTCAACATAATGTCAACTTGCAATACAAAGCCCATTTGGAAATGTTAATACAAATATTCCCTTAACGCACCCAAAACAAAAATCAGTAGGAAACTTAACCTGTTAAGTTGGCTTTCCTCTCTTTGTGCCATACTTTACCATTTTAAAAATAAAGATTGTTATATTTAAAGAAACAATGTTGATCTCCCAGAAAAACTGGTTGTAGGCTGGGTGTAGTGGCCCATGACTGTAATTCCAACACTTTGGGAGGCCAAAGCTGGAGGATTGCTTGAGCCCCAGAGTTTGAGACCAGCCTGGGCAGCATAGTGAGACCCTGTATCTACAAAAAATAAAAATTTAAAAATTGGCTGGGTGTGGCAGTTGCGTGCCTATAGTCCTAGCTACCCAGGAGAGTGAAGTGTAAAGACCCCTCTGAAACAGCCAAGTATAAAGGGATCCCTGGAGAACTTCCCACCAGCCCACGCACTGGGAGGAATGCACACTGGGGTGGAGCCACAGAAGTTTGTGCCATTTGCAGGGGTCAGTAGCCTGGCCTCTCCTGTTCCTGGGTGCTAACCTGGGATTCAGTCTGTGAGACAGGAAGCCTATCAGCAGGACTCTCTCTTTGCTGAGAGTCCCTGTTTCCCTTTTTTTTCCTTTTCACCCAATAAACCCTGCCCTTCTCGTCCTTCAAAATGTCGGCGAGCCTAATTTTTCATAGTTATGTGACAAGAACCTGGCTTTTAGCTGAACTATGGAGAGAGTCCTACAACACCTTGAGCCCAAAAGGTAAAAGCTTTTCACCTTTTAGTGTGTGCCATGATTTTGCTACTACACTCTGGCCTGAGTGACAGAGCAAGACCCTGTCATTAATAATAAAATAATAATATAATAAAATCAAAATCAAAACTTTTATTGTAAAATGGTTTTTAAAAAAAAGGCCAAAGTTACCCAAAAGACTTCCTTGACCAGCTGATTCCAAAATCTAGTCTTTGGCCATCTCATGATTATCTGATTCTTTCTAATAGTGTTTGTTACATGTTTTACAATCCAAATAACTTTAATTGAGTTTTATAATGGAGAAACGAATTTAATTTGTATTTCATGGGCAATACTTCCTTGTATTCCTCACTCTGTTCTCAGATACAAATTCTTTCTGTACCCTTGAAACCTGCACTGTACTGGAGTCCCATATCTGTGTTATTTCCACTGAGAACTGCACAGTAAACCTAGCTAGGAACAAAGGTTTGGCTGATCTTCCTGCAAGTAAATTCCGGGAAAATACTATAGTAGTAGATAAAGTAAGGCAGACCAATTTAAAGCTCAATATAGGAAGCTGCTAAAACATGAAGTATGTGAATTTAACTGTGCCTATTCACACATAAGGCAAGAGCAAATGGATCTCTACTTATCTCATTATAGAGAACAGGGATTGTGGCCTTACATAGCTTTCAATAGAAGGTGGGTGTGATCTGGTCTCAGTTCATTAATATGACTCTGATTCTGTTAGTTCTGCTGACTTCTCTTAGATATTCTGGGGTGTAGTCCAGGAGGCATGTCTTTCATTGGGCACTGGCTATATAGTGGGGATATACTCACTTCATTTGCTACATCATTTGTTGAGTGCCTACTATGAGTTGTATACTGTACTCAGTGTTTTACATCTGTTATCTTACTGAACTCTATGTAACATTCCTGGGGTAATCATTGTTATTCATATTTTTGTCCTTTTAACTTTATATTTTGATCTGTTATTCTGATTCTAAAGATGTTGAAGAGAGTAAGTAAATTGCTCAAGCTCACATGTCTACTAAGTGGTAGAGAGAATTTGAGCACAGCTCTGCTGATTTTATATCACAGGCTCTTATTATTTTTTTTTTTTTTTTGGTAGATCGCATCATCTTCAGAGGCAGAAGTGATGGCAGTATAGCACAATCAAACTAAGCTGGCCAAGAATATATCCTTTACCTAAACCTGAATCTTTCTACTCCTTAGAGACCATCCAGTATTTGAATTTTGGTTGGGCTAAGATATTAAAGATTCATTAGTATCCAAAGAATTTGGGAATCAGAAAGAAGCTCAGAACCCATGTGGTCCAACTCCCCTATTTTACAAATTGATTATTTATTCAACTCATGTTTACTGAGAACCTGTTATATGCTGTACAGTGCTGAGGATACAAATTCTCATGCCTTTCAGGAGATTTTAGTGTAGTAGTAGCAAATGACAAGAATAGAGATGCCTTAGAGCCCTGGCAATGTGAGGGTTGGGTGGCAGGGGGCTTAATGGAACACAATGAATAGGCATTCCATGCACATTTTGGAGATTTAGAAAATGTCTTTGTTAAGTACGGGGAAAGATACAAAAGAAATAGAAGATAGCAACTCAAAAGGATTAGAATTAAGGCCCCAGGGATAAAGGGACTTGAATTAAATATCTAAGAACTAGACTGTTTGAATCTAACCTTTCCCTCTTCCCAGCTCCTTGACAGAGGCAAAAGGATGTTGTCATTAGACCCGCGCAGCATTTGCCTTACCAAGAGCCTGGCCAGGGCTGTAAGAATCCGTGTAGCTAGCATGAAGGATCAGGCGAGAAGGAAAAACATATGCAAGCAATTTTTGGTGGATGCTACTGTGGTTTGTGTAGTACAGCCTATATGTGTCATGGAATTCAAGGAAATAAATAGACAAATGGGCAAGGACATGTAGTTGGCTCTTTCGGACTACTCAATACATTTATCACCCATCTAATTTCTTGTGACGACAGAACCCACCTTCTTGACACAGGGTTGGGCACTTGACCCAAGCATGGGTAGTCACCGTGTTACCAGAGTCCAGGGTTCTTTCAGTCTCCCGGGATAGAAATCAAGAGAGATCACCAAACATAGCAGCAAAGATGATTTGAAGTTTATTCCAGCTTGTGCACAAGGTAGCCAGCACTAAGAAATGACAAAGGAGTAGGCTGCTCCCTGAGAACACTGTGTGGGTTAGTTTTATAGGGTCTTTGTATAGAGAAAGGTCACATCAGGGCATGTGTAAGAGGAGTTTTCCTAGTGCCTGTGTAGTGGCTCAACATGCTTCTTCATACATTGTATACAGCATTAATATTTTAAATCTCCACCCTGGGCATTAATTTTAGCATTAAAATGAAGAAGCAGTAACTAGGTTGGAGTTCAAGTCTAGCTGCGCATGCAGGGCTCTGAGGAACCCTAGCCCCCTGAAATAGGAACTTGCAGTAAATGATTTCTTGGATCTCTTGTAACTGATTGGATGAGAGTTACAGAAGATAGAGCTTGAGAAAGGGCATTTATCCTTTCCCTCCAGACCATCTTAAGATAGTAAATAAGCCGGCTTGCCTGTCTCAACAGTACTTCGTTTTCCTAGACACAACTGTTGTCCCAAGCAAAACCAACTACAGTGCTTCTCTGGGATTCACAAACAGAAATTGGAAAAGAGACATTTTCTTACCACTGAGGTTGCTAAACTGGAAGAAGTGAATCTGGTGTGCCAATAGCCATTTTCTTTGCCTCATCAAGAACTTGACTGCTGCATGAATCCAAGCAGAGACCAGCAGAAATGAGAGATGAAGCCCTGTGACTTCATCATCCAGTCCACAAGATGGGTTCCTGTAGTTCTTCTTTCAGTTTTGTGAGCAACTCTGATGTCTCTGCCAGCTGGGTGAGCCAAGATATCCCATTTTTCCTAGTTGGTTGGTTGGTTTCGAACCAGTTTGAGATGGGTAACTGGTCATTACAAAACAGTCCTGACAAACAGGAAATTCACACATAGAAAAAAAAAATCACAAAAGAAGAAATCCAAATAGTCTCTCTCTGTATATGAAAAGTTCTTCCATTCTACTAATTAAAGAAATAGAAGTAAAACAGTAATATTATTAGCTCCCCATCAGACTGAAAAAGAGCAAAAAGTATAACAATGCTCAGGGCTGGTTAGGGTACAGGAAAGGAATTTTCATATACTTTTGGTGGGAGTGTACCTTGAAAAGTAACCTGACCATAGGTATCAAAATGTGAAATGTGCATTCCCTTTAATGTAGCAATTCCTACTCTAGCAAGTGATTCTAAGGAAATCATTGCATAAGCCTATAAAGGTGTGCGTACAAGAATGTTTATCACAGACTTGTTTCTAATAAGAAAAAGTGGAATAAACTTCAATGTCCTTATTTAGGGAACTTTTTTTTAATAATAGTATGATGATAGGGTAGAATTTTCTTCAGTTGTTATTATGATGATTATGGCAGATCCTATGTAGTGATACAGGAAAATGTCTGTAATATACTGTCATGTGATCAAAATAGAATATAGAATAGCAAGTGTAGCAGGATGTATTATTTTATTTAAGATATATGTCTTTACACCTATGCAAAAGCAAAATTGGAAGTCTGGTTATCTCATGGGGACCCAGAATAATGAAAGCAATTTTACTTCTCAAGTTGCTTAAATATTTCACAATATTTTTCCATTATTCTAAATTCATTTTCTTTTGAGAGGTATTATGGATGGAATGCTTGTGTCCCCCCAAAATCCGTGTTGAAACCCTGCCCCCTAATGCGCTGGCATTAAGAAGTGAGGCTTGGGGGAAGTAATTAGGATGAGATGAGACTGTGGGAGTAGAGCCCTCATGAATGGGACTGATGTCCTAATAAGAGTCCCATAAGAGCCTGCTTCATCTCTAAAACATGTGAGGACAAAATGAGAAGGTGCTGCCTATGAACCAGAAAGCAAGTCCTCATCAAACATAGAACTTTTCATAACCTTGTTCTTGGACTTCCTAGCCTCCAGAAGTGTGAAAAACAAACTTTTATTATTTATAAGTCACTCAGTCTATGAAATTTTGTTATAGCAGCCTGTGCTGTTTAATTCAGGGGGAGAGGATATAAGGGAAGCATCAGATCCGTACCCCTGGGAATCATCACATTACGGAAAGAGTAGGCCAGTTAGACTTTGGGTAAGCCTTCCTGGAATGAAGAATAGCTACAGATTGATGGCATGATATGGAAGGAACATGTAACATTTTCATATAGTCCAAAAAATTGGAGCTAACCTAGAAATGGCTTAAATCGCCATGGCTTTTCCTCCTTCTGTGCCAAGCCCACCATCATTAGAAGTAGACCTGTATTCCCAGGTTCTACTACAGCTCTTCACATTTTCATTAATTCATTTCATTGACAGGACTCCATCCTTGGGATTTCTAGAAAGCTGGCGATATTTACTGGGCTACCAGAGAAGTTTCAGGTTGCCACACTTTTTAGTTTGAACCATTTTTGCCTCACTTTTTAGGTTGAACCATTTGAAATGGCTACCACCAAACCACTTTGACCTACAGAAATGAACTATATATGGTTCATTATAACACACACTGATACAGAAATTTATATTCCATATGATGTATGAGATGGTGCCTTCAGCAGCCCATTAGTTAAGAAGTGGCATGTATTTAACCTGACCAGGTATTTGGCTCCCCAAGTTTGAGTGATGTAAAAAGTTGCAGTCACACAGTGGGTACTGTGTACTTTTGCTAACATTGGTTTAAAACCTTTAGTAGAAACTCAGTTGTTCTAGCCATGGGTCTCTCCTCCACTTTATTGCATCTATATTGCAGTGCTCATCCCTCACACTCACCACAAGAAGCTCTTACCATAGGCTTATTGTTTTTACTTCCAAGAACTATTAAACACAAGGCATAACATAAAATCAGACTGTGACGGCTCTCTGAAGCTGAAGGATGCTCTGTCAAAGATGAGAGAGCAAAGCTAAATCAAACAATGACTTGGACCTTTTAGGTGGCCTAAGTTATAAATTGCAAGGCAGCAAAGATAATTGAGAATAATGTAGGAAAAGCTAGAATCAACATAAATCATTTAAAAAGGATAACAAGATATATCAACTGGACCGATTTTGAGGCAGGTTTGAAGTCGAGTATGTTTGGAAGGCACCAAAACAGGTGATTAGATACAATATTCAGCTTAATGCGCAGGAAAAGCAATCGGATGAAGCAAATCAGTTTCCTGGACCCTAATGCAGGGAATGTGGAGGGTTTTATTAAACATCAAATTAAATTTAGATTTATGGCTGCTGTTGATCCATTAGATTTAAACTGACATTATCACACCATTATTTTTTAATTCCTTGCTGTAGATGCTTTATTATACAAACAAAAAATAGACTGGAAGCAAAAGTCAGCACCAATTTCTAAATAATTTTTGCATTTTCTCATAATTATTTCAATCTGTGCCCATTTATTCCCTACATTGATATCACACAGACTGCACTGCTAGTAGAGAACATTATGTTACAGTGTAGATGAGACACAGGGGGAAAGACATTTTTTAACATTGACCTTTTTTCAATAAATGGCCCAAATTATTAACATTAAAAAAAAATCTTTCCATGACTGATGATGCTGGAAGCAATAGAATTTGTCCAGAGAAAGTAGCACTGGGGTGTTGATTTCCTAGGAGGTGGTTTTTAGGAAAGGTGAGATGCATGGAGGCAATAATGCAGCAGCCAGAATGATAGATGTGAGAGTTTTCTGAGAGAAATTGTCATTCCCAAATATGGGGATGAATAGAACTCAGTTGCTTTGTTCCAGGAGATATGTCTGATTCCTAAGTGAGACAAAGCAGTCTCCTCCATTCTTCTGCTTTGCTGAGGAGACCCGGCACAGACGCAACCAGTAGCAGAGTGCAAATGAAGCCAGTATAAGGCAGAACCACACAGAGGGAAGAAGCTGGGATTTTACCCCCTAACAGGAGAAAAGACAGCAGCTAAAAGGAACCTGAAATGTGACTAGGTCATGATGTGCAGCTGTCTGAAGAAACTGGAGAAAAAGAAGTGGCACGTCTACCCAGGAATAAGGTGCCTTCACTGGCCCCACTGCTATGTGAGTTTCCTTTCCAGAGCCATCTACCAGGACTCCATCCTCAGCTCATAACTGGCAGGAATTTCCAATCATTGCATTCTCACCTCTGAATGGGGCAGGTCCACCGAGACACCTTGGAGCATTCCTACATCCTCCATTCCCAGGTGCAGATATCAAATGGGACAGGGCTCCAGTGATGCTGCTCTTATCAGCTTTTGTAGATTTCTTTCTCTCTCTTTCTTTCTTTCTTTCTCTTTCTTTCTTTCTTCCCTTCCTTCTTTTTTTTGTCAGAGTCTCACTCTGTCGCCCAGCCTGGAGTGCAGTGGTGCCATCTCAGCTCTCTGCACCCTCCACCTCCTCGGTTCAAGAAATTCTCCTGCCTCAGCCTCTCGAGTAGCCGGGATTACAGGTGTGCAGCACCACACCTGGCTAATTTGTGTATTTTTAGTAGAGACGCGGTTTCACCATGTTGGCCAGGCTGGTCTCAAACTCCTGACCTCAGGTGATCTGCCCACTTCAGCCTCCCAAAATGCTGGGATTACAGGCGTGAGCCACCACGACTAGCCAGACTTTTGCAGATTTCCTGTACAACCTGGTCCTGCCAGGCTTACATGCCTGGTGCTTCCACGGCTGAACCACCATGGCTTCATGCCTTGGTTCCCTGACCTGTAGTATCTACAAATCCCTTTTGGTTAGCAGGACTTGTAGTCATTACCGTCTCAAGGCTATCTTGTCCTTTTGCCACCTATTGCTCATCAGGGAAATAATTCAATCTTCCTCTGTTCCAAGGGGTAGGAAAAGAGCACCTTCTACCCTGGAATGTTGGAATAAGAAGAGTTTGGGGGGCAGAGGGGTGGAGATTGGTGTTTTTCTTGACCTCTTGCTAATATTGTTAGCATTTAGTAGAAAAGGAGCTTCCAGTCCCTTTCCTCACCCCGTAGCCCCAGCTCAGAAGACCCTAGCATGCCACAGTGAGCCCCCAAATCCCATATTCACAATGGCAGTGTTTGTTTCCCACCGTGCACATGAAATACAAAATGATAAGTTGACTGTTGATGGTACCCAGGGGAGTTTTCAATGGCATAAATACATGCAAGGGACCATTTGAGTAACAGAACTATCCTCTTACATCAAACTTATGAATTTTTGGGTTGTTTAGGGCGAAGCTAAGGTAAAAGAAGTGAGTGTATTTGAAGAACAATAGTACAGGAGGTACAGAGATACAGAGAAAATACTGAAGGGCTGTGCAACTGCCTGGAGGTTAAGGTAACTCTGCTAGAAGATTTTGTGAACAGAGGTGAAACTACCGCAGCAGCTGGCCTGGATGGTTTTATCAGGAGCCTTGTGCCGGGCTAGGTCCTCAATTTCATACACTGCCCTAGAGATTGTCATAACGCCAGGCTGAGCAATCCACAAGCCAGTGTCAGAATGCAAAATATAGATGAGCTCAGGTTGTGCCTGCCAACTAAGAACCCAGACCCCAGCCTTATCCCACCTGATTGGGTAGCTTCTCCTTGGGACCCCAAACATGAAGGTGTTGATGACTGTCCCTCCCAGTGCCATGGCATTGCTGACCTATCCTTCTAGGGATGGCTCCACTGATTGCATCTGGAGAACCTGAGGGGGCAGAAGAAGGAGCTCAAGGGTGAGTTCCACCACCCATCCCCAAGGGGAAATCAATGTAGTTTGGGGATATCAAACTCCATGGAGTCAAAGTGGTGAGAATTCTCTCTATTGGTCTCTATCATAATAAGGACCAACAGTTAGAGTGCTCCTCTGAGTGAGGATCTGTAGAGTAACATGTGAAAATATATTCGTGGATAAACATTGACATGGATACTCAGAAATGTGACTTGCTTTCTTTCTGGTTCTGGTCTCTATTACGATTGCTTGAGCTTTTTTGACTAATAAATGAATAGATACTGAATAATAACAGCAAATACCTATATAGTTAGCATATATCAGTCTCCTTGAGCTGCTGTAACAAATTACCACAAACTTGGCAGCTTATAATAATAGAAACACATTCTGTCACAGTTCTGGACAGCAGAAGTCCCACATCAACCTATCAGTGGGACCACACTCCCTCTGGAGGCTATGTGGGAGAGGCCATTTTTTGCCTCTTCCAGCCTCTGGGTGGCTTTTGGCGTTTCTAGGCATTCCTTGGCTTGTGGCTACGTCTCTCTAAACTCTGCATCCATCTTCCCATCACTTTCCCTTGTGTTTGTCTGTCTTGAAGTCTTCTGCCTGTCTATACGTCCTCTGTCTGTCACTTATAAGGACACATGACTAGATTTAGGGCCCACCCAGGCAATCCAAAGTTAACTCCCTGCCTCAAAATCCTTAATCACATCTGCAGAGACCCATTTTCCAAATAAGATAGCATTCACAGATTTCAGGGAAGATTAGTCAGGGTTCTCCAAAGGAACAGAACCAACAGGATGTGAAGAGATAGATATTGATTTTAAGGATTGGTTCACACAATAGTGAAGGCTTATAGCAAAATCTGAACGGGTAGGCCAGGAAGCTGGAGACCCCAGATCCCTGGGACGAGGGGCACTTTGAGTCCAAAGGCATTCTGCTGGTGATACAGGAGCTAAAAAGAAATTATTTAGGCAGTTAGTGAGGGTAAGAGAGTCCTCAGTAAGGCCTCCCTTTTAACAAAAAGCAGCCCTGAAATCATTTCTTTTATAACAAAAAGCCTGAAAAATCAAGCTGCAGACATAGAAAAGCAAGCTAGAAGCTTGCACAGTGAATGCCAGCAGCTGTGCCAATAAGAAAAGGCTATCTGTGGGCCAGGCATGTTCAACATGGCAGGTTCATCTTCCCTTTTCTTTGTCAACCACATGTATAGTAAGGAACAGAAAACATGGCGCAAGCCAGGTAGAGAACCCATCTGCATAATAAAAGAGTAGAGTGGGATGACCAGCTTCCTCGTACACTACGCAAACCTCATGCCTGGTCCAACCAATCTCTAGGGCCCTATGTAAATCAGACACTACCTCCTCAAGCTCATTTATAAAAGCCTGTGCATTTCACTAGAAAACCAGAAAACCCACTAGGGTGCCCCTCTCTCTGCAGGAGAGAAAGCTATTCTTTTTTCTTTTTTTACTTTCACCTATTAAGGCTCCACTCTGAAACTCACTTCTTGAGTGTCTGTGTCCTTGATTTCCCTGATGTGAAACAAAGAACCTTGTGTATTTACCCCAGACAACAATGCTGCTTCACTGGTAGCATTCTTTCTTATTTAAGGGAAGTCAGTCTTTGATCTATTAAGGCCTTCAGCTGATTGGATGAGGTCCACCCACATTAAGGAAACAATTTAAGAGTTAATCTCGGCCGGGCGCGGTAGCTCAAGCCTATAATCCCAGCACTTTGGGAGGCCGAGGCGGGCAGATCACGAGGTCAGGAGATCCAGACCATCCTGGCTAACAGGGTGAAACCCCGCCTCTACTAAAAATACAAAAAAAAAATTAGCCGGGCGTGGTGGTGGGAGCCTGTAGTCCCAGCTATCCAGGAGGCTGAGGCAGGACAATGGCGTGAACCCAGGAGGCGGAGCTTGCAGTGAGCTGAGATTGGGCCACTGCACTCCAGCCTGGGCGACAGAGCAAGACTCCGTCTCAAAAAAAAAAAAAAGAGTTAATCTCACCCCAAAAACACCTTTACAGAAACATCCAGACTAATGTTTGACCAAATATCTGGGCACCATGGCCCAGCCAAATTGACACACAACCTTGACCATCATACAGGTACTGGATGTGGATGTATTTTGGGGAGCCATTATCAGCCTACCACAGTCAATTAATACATTATAGGCACTGTTTTAAGCTGTTACATGTATTAACTGATTTAATATGTACAATGACTTTGAGAGTAGAATTGCTGTTGTTATCATCATCCCCATTTTACAAATGAGGAAGCTGAAACAGAGAAGATAAGGAATCGGACTAAAGTCGCACCGCTTGTAAATGATAGAGCCAGGATTGGACCAAGCAGTCTAGCTTAATCCAATTAAGTTTGGAAAAAAGGGTCACATTCTGGTAAAACTCCGTCTTTATTGTCTCATGGACAATTCCATTCAATATTTGCTATAGCTGTCTGGATATTTTTGCTTGCTAATTCATTATGTGAGAGTGATCACTACTCTAAGGGTGGGGTAGTTTCTGCAGTAATTTCTTCTTTCTTTTCCTCCTACTGCAGTGATTACCTTACACCCTATTTTGACTTTGTGCAGCTACGTCAGATAATAGCCTCAGTCATTTGACATTTAATAAACATTCACTCAGTGCCTGTCTCATGCTAGACCCGGCTCCAGGCATTTTAGGTGCAGGGAAGAACTCCAAGCTCTATTTCAGTGTTTTCAGCTTCCTCCAAATCCGCATGTTCTATCATTATCTTCCCTTGAGCAGATGCTGAAAACTGGCTCAGAGCTGCTAAGAGGAAGCCTTTCCTCTGACTCAGTTCCAGGGGTTACCTGTAGGCATACGTGAGACTTTGAATATATATCAATCTTGGGGGAAGCTAACAATGTTGTTAAAGCAGATATAATCATCCAGGCTTTTCCTTATCTCAAAACCTGGCTATAGCCAAGATATCCAGCACATCACAAGGATAAGTCAGATGTAAATAAAGACCTGGGGAGGGCTTAAGTAGCTTTATATCATTTCCTTCCAGGCTCTCAGCAGAGCAAAAAGAATCTCCAACTTCTTAAATAGAAATGTTATAAAACCAAAGCGTTTTCATGTCTGTTTCCCTTTTCCTAACCCCCTTCACATCGCTGTTTCAGAAGATCCAGATTTTAATGGCTAAGTAGTTTTGTGTTTTCTATTATGATTAAAGTTTAACAATAATCCTGTTTTATTTCAGTAGGACTTCAGTTTCCTAAGTGCATTCACATGTGTGGTCTTGTTCAGCCTCCCAACAACCTTGCTGGATAGGCCAGGAATGTTGCCTTCTTTTTTTTTTTTTTTTTTTTTGAGACAGAGTCTCGCTCTGTCACCAGGCTGGAGTGCAGTGTACTGCAACCTCTGCTTCCCAGGTTCAAGTGATTCTCCTGCCTCAGCCTCCCAAGTAGCTGGGACTACAGGCCCGTGCCAGCACGCCCAGCTAATTTTTGTATTTTTAGTAGAAATGGGGTTTCACCACGTTGACCAGGATGGTCTCGATCTCTTGACTTCGTGATCCACCCACCTCAGCCTCCCAAAGTGCTGGGATTACAGGCGTGAGCCACCACACCCAGCCGTTGCCTTCTTTGATAAATGAGAAAGCTCACATTCTGAGGAGGGAAGTCCCCAAAGCACACACGCAGTAAGTTGGGCTTTCCCCCTTTAGTCTTTAAATGTCCTGCATGAAGTGAGCACAGTATTAAACACCAGAAAACAGAAGCCCCCTTCCACCTTCTTCTGAACAGTAACAGCAGGCGTCTCTATTATAGAAATGTAAACATTCCTGTGGTCCTTTAGAATAGCTCCACAGTCTCAATGATTTTCAAGTTGAGTAAGTTTTAAGTTCCTTGAATAAAGTTATTGAAAATGACCTAATAAGTTGCATTCAAAAATTTAAGTACCTAATTTCCATCCATTACAACCTATTATACTACAACAAGAGAAACATATATTAAAAGTATTTCTTTACTGCACTTACTTTACATAATGCAGACCTGATGATGGAAACTAAGCTCCTTGGATTAAACTGCTTCAACCTGACCTGATTTATTGGTCCATTTTTAAGTTATAGCTAGCTGCACATGAGTATGAAATGTAACTTTTTGGCCTGAGAAAGTGTGAATGCATATTCTAAACGCAGTGTTTCAAAGTAGTGTTTTACTATTATTTTATTTATGCTAAAAGTTTTCTACATCAAGTTTGATCAGGGTTTCTGGAGCATAGTTCATGATGTATGTGAGTATATCCATCTCTACCCCCACATGTAGAAACTGTTGACAGCTGTTGTGATACCTAGGTTCTTGCCTTCTTAGTTTAAAAGAATTTAAGCAAGAGACACACAGTTAAGGAGATGCAGCATAGAGCAGTTTATTGCAAAGGAGAAAGAATGCTCTGAAAGTTCGGTGCAGAATAGACATTACAACCTGAGAGAGGATTCGGGGCACGCTGCTCCTAAGGATGAGACAGCAAAGACAGGCACTAGGGAGACCCCCTTTGTGGGAGTCTTACATGATGATTCATAGGTGGTTGGGAAGAGGTGTTACTAGTAAGCATGTTCTGGGTGATCCTCTGAGTGCACATGCGCAGTAGCTGTACATACTTGTTCATATGTCACATGTCTCATCAGTATCTTAAATCTCCACCCAGGGTGTGTTTTTTACTATTATAATGAGCAAAGGGTCAGTGTGAGGACCGGACAAATCAAAACGTGCTTGCTCTCTACAGGGGAAGTTTCCCACTGAAGATAGCTTTGCTTGACTGAGCTTGAGTACAATGCGAATGCTGAAGCTTATTGTGTTGACTGTAGGGTTGCCACATCCCAAGATTATGGTCACCACTTTTTTGACTTGCTATCCTGCTTCAACACCTACATACATATGCTGTATGCAGTTAAAAGAATGTCTGTGGTGTCCAGCTGCTTTTTGTGTATCAATCTTAAGCTCTGTGACCTTGGACAAGTTACTTAATCTTTCTAAGAATTAGAGATGAAATAAATAATCTTCTATCTCATGAACCTATTTTGAAGAATAAATTATATAACCACTGGAAAATGATAGATATAATAGCCTGCCCACAGTTAGCACTTAGTACACATTATCTATTGTTATTATTATTCACAGGACAATCTCATTTATGCAAAGTGCCTTAGCAATATAAAGGAGAATATAAAAGAGAGTCAGGGAAGAAAATGGTCTATGTATTACTTTCCTGCCTCTGCTATAACAAATTACCACACATATGATGGCTCAAAACAACATGAATTTACTACCCTACTGTTCTATAGATCAGAAATTAGTTTCACTAGGCTACTATCAAGGTGTTGGCAGGCTTGCATTCTTTACAGAAGCTCTATGGGAAAATCCATTTCCTTGCCTTTTCAAGCTTCTAGAGTGACCCCTTCTTTGAGCTTCAAAACCAGCAATAAATGGATGGTCAAGTTTTCTACTGTATCACCCTGATATTCCTCTTCTATCCCTCTGTCTTTCTCTTATAACAGCAGTCCCCAACCTTTTGAGAACAAGGGACCAGTTTCATGGAAAACAATTTTTCCATGGACTGGGGTTGAGGCAATGATTTCAGGATGATTGAAGCACATTACATTTATTGTGCCCTTTATTTCTATTATTATTACATTGTAATATATAATGAACTAATTATATAACTCACTATAATTTAGAATCAGTGGCAGCCCTGAGCTGCTTTTCCTGCAACTAGATGATCCCATCTGGGGGTGATGGAAGACAGTGACAGATCAGGCATTAGATTTTTATGAGGAGCATGCAACCTAGATCGCTTACTTGCACAGTTTACAGTAGAGTTTGTGCTCCTGTGAGAATCTAATGCCACTGCTGATCTGACAGGAGACAGAGTTTAGATGGTAATGTGAGCAATGAGGAGTGGCTGTAAATACAGATGAAGCTTCACTCAGTTGTGTGCCACTCACCTCCTGCTGTGTGGCCCAGTTCCTAACAGGCCACGGAGCAGTAGCTCTCTGTGGCCCAGGGGGTGGGGATCCCTGTCTTGTAAGGATTCTTGTGATTACATTGGTCTTACCCAGATAATTAGGACTAACCTCAACATTCTTAACTTAATCACATTTGCAAAGCCCACATATTCACAGGTCATGGGGATTCACAGGTCATTCCTTTTGTCATGCAAGCCCACATATTCACAGGTTCTGGGGATTAGAATGTGGACATCTTTGTGGGAGAAACATTATTCAGACTACCACAGTTTATGCCAAATATATGCCATAATAACCACATGAAGGTTCATGGAGTCTGTTCATAGGAGAGTTCTAACTCAGAGCTTTCTGTCTTATTTTGAGGCTATTCCCATAAACTTGATTCTTTATTTCTTTGTAGCCTAGTACCAATTGGAAATAGTCAATTATTTGGTGTTTCAGGATAACGTAAATTTAAAAAATAAGAAGAAGAAATGGTCAATTGTTGTGTGCCTGGGAAAGGCTGGGAAATTAGGAAATTAAGAAAGGCTGGGAAATTCTGCCCACATCCCATTGTCCATTCCTTGGTCACATGCTGCCCACTCCCCAACTCAAGGAAGCATAGAAAATATCAGCTGATGCTCAAGAAAAAAAAATAGTAAACTCCCCCAAACCAGTATCTGTCAATCTGTCACATTTTCTGTCTGTTGTAATAATCCAGTTGGAAAGGAAAGCAGAGGAGAGGCTAAGAGGGTAGAAGTGACTAAAAGGGGATACAGAAGCAACTAAGACAAGCTTTCACATTATAGTTTGCTAAAGGCCCATGAGGAAGAAAGCAAGGGTCTTTAGATGACCTTCGATGCATCTGGCATCAATGACTTAGTCTGGGTTGGTTTGCAGAGCCTTGGACACTGGGCATACTGTTTCCTAAAAGAGCTCAGAACTACTGTACAATGTCCCAGGCTAGATGAGGAGACCAGTGAATAGACCCATGTTCAATGCAAAGAGAACTATTCTTCGGTGCACTGGAAATAATGTAATATCCGAGAGATATCAAATTTATCTTTTCAAACAAGTAAAAGGAATATCCAGCAATACTTTTCACATAAAGGAAAATATTTTGCCTTTTTGCTTTATATAGCTAATTAAAACCAGAAAGACACTAGAGGACTGAAAATTGGCCTCAAAGCACAGGCTGAGTCCAGTGATTGAAATGATCGAGATGAGTTTTCTAGTATATTTCCTTATCACAAAACCTCCCTATTGCTTCTAGAGGCAATAACTTTCCTTCCACTCTTTTGTAATTTGTTTTAGATAGCATTTTGAGTATCAGGTCAACTTTTCTCTGGGTTTGGGGAATCGAGAAACAAAGTTTGAATGCAAAGTTGCCTCCAACTTACTTGGAGTGTCTTGGTAAAGTAAAACAATTGGAGAAGAAGGGAACAAACTGGGCACTCCTAAGGAAAATAAAAACATCAGGCAAGGTTATGAATTTTAAGCCTTGTGTAACCTTTGCAGCATGTCAGAACTTAGAGATCATCATCATCTTCTTCCATACTTTTAAAATGACCATGACAATATATGCTAGCCCACAAGTCCAGTGCTAGAAGAAATTAAGGTACTTGACTGAAGTAGGTTTAAAAAATATTGTTCACTTAAGAGGCATCTAATATCCTAGCTTCTGTGCTTTAAAACATTTTTATTTGGCTTTCATGGGACTTTGAGATTAGAAGAGCCTGGACCCATCAAAACCCAAGAATAAATCAGTCCTCAGTGAAACACCTGGTCATACAAATAAAAACATTTTCCAGCCCTAAAACTGCAGCTTCCAGTTTGAAATGATTAGAGGATATACGTTTCAATTAGAATGAGCCCCTACTGCCAAAGTAAGTTGACTAGATGAGATTAATATTTGTAAAACTCCAGGTGAGCCATTCCTTGGAATCAAAAAATTGCTTTTCTGAAAAATGGATTGTGAAGTACAAACGATATATTAGATATGAAAGTATAAAGTAGCCTAAAATACTACACAAATGCACACTGTAAATGTTTTCAATGGATTTGTTCATACACCACAGAGGTATCCTTGCTATTGTCTCAAGGTGGGCAGGCCTATGCAAACCTATCCTCAGAGTCCAAGGAAGCTAAGAGGCCAAAGAAAGAGGCTGACAAATCCAGTTTCTCAGAAAGAATCATTGAATAGGGACTTACAAACAGAAGCCTTGTCTGGGTCTTAAGCAGTAGCAAGACAAGATGGTAGATCCCCATGCCATTAGCCCCAGACTTGGGGCGTATATGCCATAGGGAAAGAGCATATGTGCTTCAGAAGGGATGCATAGAACAATTGCTTAAGGGTAGGAGTTATGATAAGTACACTCTCTTATACAAGGAACAACAGATAAACTAGAAATCTTGAAGATTTCCAGAACTGGAGTTAATTAGAAATCAACATGGCAGATTAGCATTCAAGATGAAGTTGCTATAGCCTCCACACTCCACCTCCATAATCTAGCTCTGACAATGTCACATGCCGTCCTCTTCCGTGGTGGTGCCTGAGGCTTTAGGGAGGATGATTTACACTGTATAGCTTTAGCAGCAGTGAGTTGGCATTGGAAAACAGATTGGGCCCAGTGGGATTCCAAATGAGGAGGGTTCACAAGCTCTGTTGAATCATTTCTTAGACTTCGGAATACCATGGCTTTGGTTTTCTCAGGAGAAGTAAAACAGTGAGAGATATATAACATTAATAATTTGAATAGTAGAAATATAATGCACACAAAGATTACAATCAAAAGAGAATTTGTATGCCTGAACAAGAGCAACAGAAAAGAACCTGGTCCATTAGGGACCCAACTAAAAGCATCATCAAGAAAATTAAAACCCAGTAGTTCTTTAGAGACTTCTTATAGCCAGGAAATTATTCAGGATTTAAAAACTCAAAAACAATGGCTAGGGCTAGAATCTAATAATTAATGGGTCTACTATAGTTTTCTTCCAAAATGTATTTTTTCTCTTCAGTTTCCCCATTTCTCCCAAGGATAAATTGTAGTAGGGCTAATTTATTTGGAAAATAAATTTTAGTCTCACTTTACTTGGCCTGGTTATTTGCATAAAGCACACAAGAATAGTGATTAGCCATATGGGCTTCCTTTAAGTTG
The DNA here is from genome assembly GCF_000001405.40 of Homo sapiens. Taxonomy (NCBI): domain Eukaryota; kingdom Metazoa; phylum Chordata; class Mammalia; order Primates; family Hominidae; genus Homo; species Homo sapiens. Next base: position 3,234,955 of record NC_000003.12, on the reverse strand, counting down.
ACTTTGCTGGAACTTTCATAAGGAATTTCAGATTAAACTTTTTAAAAGCCTTGAGACTAGAAAGTCAAGCCAAAGATTCACCATGCAATACCTGCATGAACTGGGTGAGTTCCCCACTTCTTGAGTTCCCCAAATATCTTGATGTTCTCGGGCCTATCAAAAAATGGCATTCTTTACTTACCACAGGTCAGGAACCTTGTAAGGGAAACATGTAGACAAGGTACTAGGCCAGTCTTTCCAACAGGCTTTTTATTGGCTCTGTAAAGTCAACATTAATTCCTCAAAGCAGTCTGGTCCTATATGAAAATATGGCATTCCAGTCAAAGCCTTGGTAAAATAACCAGTGTCTCCAATTGTGTCCTGTTACCAAAAAAAAAAAAAAAAAAAAAAAAACCTGATTCTTATTAAATTTATATAAATATATTGCCATAAAATAAGAATACTCATAAATAGTTTCCAAGTTTTGGAGAAATCAGGTAAAGAGAAAAGCAAATTTTGCTCACAAAAGTATGCTTTACCCAGTTTATGTTAAGCTATTAATTGCTCAAAAGAAAAAGTTTTTCTTGACTCTTTTTCAATCAGGGTAGCAGCCTTACAAACAGGATGTTGTCTGTTCACATTGGAATGGCTATCCGCAAACCAAGCAGCTCTTTGTCAGTCAGGTGAGAGCTATTTATTGGGCACTGTAGAATCCAGCATCTCCTCACATAGTCTAGAGTCAGTCATAGGGAAAAAGAGGCTCTCTGCTCATATCTCCTTCTTGCACTGCCCATGAAGCATGGTCCTACATAAGCCATTTATATTTTATTATGGAACTCTTTGGGGCACTTGTATTAGTCAGGGTTCTCTTAGAGGGACAGAACTAATAGGAAAATATATATATATATATGTGTGTGTGTGTGTGTGTGTGTGTGTGTATATATATATATGTATATAGCTGAGTCCCAGACCTGAAGAACTTCGAATTTCATGTTTGAGGGCAGGAAGCATCAGCATGGGAGAAAGATGTAGGCTGGGAGGCTAGGCCATCTTTCCTTTTCATGTTTTTCTGCCTGCTTTATATTTGCTGGCAGCTGATTAGATGGTGCCCATCCAATTAAGGGTGGGTCTGCCTTTCCCAGCCCACTGACTGAAATGTTAATCTCCTTTGGCAGCACCCTCACAGACACACCCAGATCAATACTTTGTATCCTTCAATCCAGTCAAGTTGACACTCAGTATTAACTATCACAGCACTGCTATCCCCATCAGAGTATTTCTCTGACATCACCCTAGACAGCATGGGTATTTCAGGTGCCAAGCTCATGTTATGTCCTCTCGTCATAGGCGTGGCTTCAGTTAATGTCCTATAGCAAGGTAGTAAATTCCCCTCCACTGGAAATTCTCTAGTCCAAAGTCCAATTAGTTGTGGTGAGGAGGGGGCTCACAGGCTTTTGCCATAAACCCCAATGAGTGATCCATAAAGGGATATCAAGTAGATAACTTGTCCCTACCAGCACTCCAGCATCTATCCTACTCTCTGAGGACTCAGGCAGTCTTACTGGTTCCCATTTAGCATGTTCAAGTAATACTGCTTGAAGGGCACATTTACATGCCTTCAGTTCTGCAATACTAGGTAGCGGAAACAGTTCCCAGTCAGACACAATGCCTATTCCCATAAAACATTTAGGTGAAAAAGACACAACTACTTTACATAAAGCCTAAACATTTTAACTTGTATAATCCTATCAGTCTTTACATTCTTACATGCTAGTCCCAGAAACCTTTCCTCTCTACCTCCAGACCATTTTACCCTCCATGGTGAAAAAGGCTGTGGGTTCCCAGCAGAAGGTTGAGCCCAGGCCCCTTGTGTCAATCTTTATCTTGATTGACCTGCCTCAACATTGCCCCAGGCATTTGTGGCTCAGCTTTCTCATTGTAACTTTGCCTTCTGAATTTTTTAAATTTCTCTAATCTGGAGTAAATACAGAAAACTGATTTGGGGCTCTGTAGCAATGGGGGACCAGCAGGGGTTCCCTTTGGCTCACTCAGCCTTCAGTAGTACTGTATTAAGACCTTTGTTTTAACACCTTCAGCTTACATTTTATTCACTTCATGTCTTAATAACCATCTAAAGATTTCCACCCTGCTGAGACTAGTCCCATGACTCTCCCTTTCTTTTTGTGTCTTAGTTTCACCCCATCCGTGTTTTTAAATTTACCCACTTTTTTTTTTTAGCATGCTGATATGAGTTTTATTTTATTTTATTTTATTTTTCTTTTCTTTTTTTCAGACAGGGTCTCACTAACTATGTTGCCCAGGCTGGTCTTGAACTCCTGGACTCAAGTGATCCTCCCACCTCAGCCTCCCAAAGTGCTGAGATTACAGGCATGACCCACTGTGCCTGCCCTAATTTGTCTTATTTTTAAATAACTGTTTAAAATGTTTTACCTTCCTAGGATGAGTTATTTGATTATCCCTCTGCCTTTCCCTATTTAAGATTCAGAGGGGAAAGCTGAGACAGCAAATTTGATAAGACTTCTTGAACTGTTGTTTGATTCTGTAAGCATTTATCATGACTTGGGTAATGGGCATATTCAGCAGGTGAATATCTCTGTTATCATAAAGCCATCATTTTAACATGCTAGTGCATTATAACTAATGTGTAAAGACCTGTGAGTATGACCAGAGGTCACTTTCATTGCCATTTTGGTTTTGGTGGGATTTGGCCGCCTCGTTTGCCACATGCTGTTTTGTCAGCAAGGTCTTTGTGACCTATATCTTGCGCTGACCTCCTAGCTCACCCTGTGACTTAGAATGCGTGACCTTATGGCAATGCAGCCTGGTGGGTCTCAGGCTTATTTCACCCAGCCCCTGTTCATAATGCAGTCACTCTGGTTTGAATGCCTCTGACATTGAGAGTGGCAAGAGAAAGGATAGACAGACAAGGAAAAAGAGAAACAAAAAGAATTCAGTTGACTGAGAAGTTTTACAGAGAGAGCAGAGGCCTTAGAACAAAACATATCTATACATATATAGCCCAAATATTATTTTTAACTAAGTTGACTTTTGACTCTGAGCTCTTTAACAAACATTTTTTCTAACTGTAATTCCTACTGAAGCCATTTTACTTTGCTTCTGCTGCTGGCTAGGCTCCCGTCAACAAATGGGCAGCCCAGAGAAGCAGCCATCTTACTGCAGCAGGGATTCACCGCTCTTCCTTACCACCGTGTGATAGACAGCTCTCAGTAACCAATCACTCTAAACACGCTGGCATTTTCGGCATGTCCCTGTACTTGTGCACAGCCTTCTAAAAAGTGAGCCGTACCACTCCACATACAAAGGGCTGCCACCCTGGGATTTCCCCCACAGATGCTTCACTCTTTTTGCCCACTTCTTAGCCTGTCAGCTCCTGGCTAACTTGCCACATGTTCTGTGGTGGACAAGTAATACGGTTTGAATTTAGATCCCCACCCAAATCTCATGTCACATTATAATCCCCAGTGTTGGAAAAGGGGCCTGGTGGGAGGCGATTGGCTCATGGGGATGGACATCCTCCTTACTGTTCTTATTATAGACAGTGAGTTCTTATAAGGCCTCATTATTTAAAAGTGTCTGGCACCTACCCCGTCACTCTCTTCCTCCTGCTCTGGCCGTGTAAGACCTGCCAGCTTCTGCTTCACCTTCCACCGTGATTGTTTCCTGAGCCCTTGCCAGAAGCAGAAGTCTGTAAAGCCTACAGAACTGTGAGCCAATTAAACCTCTTTTCTTTATAAATTACCCAGTTTCAGGTAGTTTGTGTGAGAACAGACTAACACAGCACCTTCCCTTAAAAGTCTGAGGAAGCTGAGAGGCCAAATAAAGAGGCTGACAAATCCAGTTTCTCATAAACATTTGATAGCGACTTAGATGCAGAAACCATATCTGTGTCTCAGACTATGGTGAGACAAGATGGTGGATCCCCATGCCATTACCCCACAGACCCAGGGCTTATACACCATAGGGAAAGGCCATATGTGTTTCAGAAGGGATGCGTAGGACAATTGCTCAAGGGCAGGATTTACGTTTCCTCTTACACAAGCGACAATTGATAAACGAAATCTTAGAGGCCTTCCCAGAACTAGAGTTAATCAAAAATCAACATGGCAGATTAGCATCCAAGATGGAGTTGCTTTAGTTTCCACAGCTATAGATCAGGTATAGCATGGACTTTGGAATCAGCTGTGGATTCAAATCCACTACTTACTGGATGTGAAAACCTGAGCAAGTCATGTAACTTCCCTGAGCCTTAATTTCCTCTTCTTTTATTGGGAATAATAGGAACCTCACAGAACTACCAGGAAGATTCAATACCAAGGGTCTTCCACAGCACCCAGCATATGGTAGTGCCTTCAGTAAATGTTCGTTTCATTCACTCGTTGCCTCAACACAAGGGATGATGGCTATCATTGAGAAATGCGTGTGCCCTTGATATAAGATTTTGCATGCAACTACCACAAATCTGAACCCATAAATAGGGGTCACCATGTGATCCAGTCTTTGCCTAGCCGAAGCAGGACACTACGACATACCTCCAAGTAAACAAAAGTTTTAGTGACTCAGCAGGGATTTTGCCAACTTTTGTTGGAGAGGATGAACCTTATTAAATAGATCGTTTACCTACCTGACAAGTCTTTGTAACTGAACTTCACAAACTTCTTGAGTCTAAGAAATGAAATTAGAAATGTCAAGGGAAGAAATGGCCTGTGAGTTTTCTACATAGTGATAATTTGAAATAATTCATCATTTTATAAAAACACACAAAGAATTCACTTTTATGAAAAATTGCTAACTAGCCTAGAGAATTGGCCTCAAAGAAAATTCCTAACTAGCCTAGAGACTCGGCCTCGAAGAAAGCCAGACCTTGTTTTTGAAAATTGGTACTTAAAAAAAAATATATATATATATTTTTGACCAGACATAGTGGCTCAAGCCTGTAATCCCAGCATTTTGGGAGGCCAAGGTGGGCAGATCACTTGAGGCCAGGAGTTCAAGATCAGCCTGGCCAACATGGCAAAACCCCTGTCTCTACTAAAAATACAAAAATTAGCCAGGTGTTGAAAGTGGCACACACTTTTAGTCCCAGCTACTCGGGAGGCTGACACAGGAGAATCACTCAACCCCAGGAGGCAGAGGTTGCAGTAAGCTGAGATCATGCCACTGCACTCCAGCCTGGGCGACACTGCAAGACTTCATCTCAAAAAAAAAAACAAAATTTTTTTTTCAAAAGCATTGTTGTGCCAACTATGTTCCAAGCATGCTAACTACTTTACATAAGTTATCTCATGTCATCCATACTGGATAGCTTTACAAAGAGGTACAGCCACTGTCACAGGGACTAGGTCGCAAAGCAGGACTGTTCTGTTCTAGAGGCCATGCCAGCAATGACTATGTAGCAGAACCTACTCAACACACAAGATGTTAACAAACACTCTTTTTGATCAAAAAACCATGAGATAATTCTGATTATGCTCTGACTTCAACATAACAACTTGTGCATGGTGCCTAACTCTTCCCACCCAAACCAGATAAATTCTCAGATAAAGTAGGAAAGTATCTCCCAGAATGGGGGATTGAAACACTGGTTGTTTGAAAATGTTTTTAAGTGGTACATGATATTAAATACCATTGACTAACATGTAACCTCCTGATGGGTTCTTCCTGCCTGCTGCACAAATACAGACCATGGCATTGCAGTAAGGAAACTTTAATTGACACCAGGCCAGCCACACCACACAGGAGATTGTTATTACTCAAATCAATCTCATTGAAGGTTTGTAGGTTTGGGTTTTTTCAAAGGCAGTTTAGGGGAAGGGGTAGGGGTGGCTAGGCAGTGGGTGATTGCTGCTGATTGGTTGGGGATGCAATCATAGGGGTGTGGAAAATGGTCCTCCTGCACTCTAAATTGCTTCTGGGTGGGGCCACAGGAGCAGTGGGTGGGTCCAGGTGGAGCCATCATTGTAGGTGTCAGACATGTAAAAAACCTGAAAAGATATCTCAAAAGGCCAATCTAGAATAGTGATATTGTCTGCAGGAGTAATTGGGAAAGTTGCATATCTTGTGATCAGTCTACACCTTAGCAGAATTTAGGCTTCTCTCCTCCCCCTGGCCTGGTGGTATCTCATTAGCTTCACAAAGGTGGGTGAGTTTTGGAGAAGGGCTATTACTTAAACTATAACCTAAACGTCTTCCAAAGTTGGCTCTGCCTAAGCCCAAGAAAAATTAAGGCAGCTTGAAAGCTAAAGGCAGGAGATGGGTTGGCTAGATCAGATCTCCCCCACTGCCATGATTTTCTCACTGTTATAATTTTTGCAAAAGCCGTTTCAACATAATGAGAAAATCACTCCCTTACATTTTTTATACCCCCATCCTTTGAATACCACAAGGAGAACTTCTCATCCTCCATGTTAGCGTGCCTTCAACACATTGAATACTTTTTAGTCTCTCCAGTTTAATAAATAGAGCACAGACCTTAGGCTATGATGAGACTTCTGCAGCCAATACTATCTAGCTAGAATTTAATACTTTTGCTGTCCGTATATATATTTTTAATTACCTTCTAGTTAATGCTGAGCTTCCATTTATGAGAGTAGATTAAATGTTTCCTTTTAAAATAAATTTATTTCCATTTATAAAGGGAAATAGCTTTAAGAAATATTAAGTAAATAATAGAGCAGGTAGTATATAAATTATCAAAGTTCTTAAAATTAGTACACAATGATGAGAAAACACATCAACAGGGTACTGGGATGACTAAAAATTTGGGAAGTTCTCAGTTGAAATACATTAGAAGAGTCCTTCTAGAAGCCACTAAAAAAGAGTGAATATTACCCTTAAGTAAAAGTCCCAGCCCCAGCAGTACTCAAACAGGAGGGGCAATTTTATATGCCTGGGGGACTCTTGATGATGTCTGGAGCATATTGGTTGTCACTTTCTGGTGTGGGGAGGCAGGATGGAGGTAGGAGTTGTGCTGCCTGCATTTAGTGGTAGAGGCTACAGATGATGCTAAATATACTGCAGTGGACAGGACAACCCCCACAAGAAAGAATTTTCCAGCCCATGATGCCAATAGTGCCAAGCTGTAGAAACCCTGCTGTCTCCTGACTGTAAGTGCTGGAAGCGATCCACAGGCTGACACTCATCTTCTCTGAAGGCCAAGTTCCTATCTGACAAAGTTCATACATCACATTATAATTGGCAATTCTTGTTGGGCAATTTGCCCTTTGGTTGCAATTCCTACTTGTTTTAGACAAATGATTATATTGTAAAGTAGCTTCTATTTTAATTTATAATTCAGAGAGTATCCCAGCAGTGATTTGCAGTTCCGCCCCAGTCCTATTATTACCAGTTGTGAGGGCCTTTTGCTAACTTTTTTAAAATCATTTCATCTTTAAAAAGTGAACCTCATGTGGGTGGATCTGATCCAAGGATTTTGAGGGTTTTAATTTTAACTCTTTAAAATATTTCATTGCAGATTTTCTACAATTTTTTTCTCTTAGTTTATTCTATGCTTTTATTTTTAATCTATATTTTACTTTAAAAATTATTTATAGGCCAGGCGTCGTGGCTCACGGCTATAATCCCAGCATTTTGGAAGGCCAAGTTGGGAGGACTGCTTGAGCCCGGGAGTTCAAGACCAGCCTGGGAACATAGTAAACCCAATTTCTCCAAAAAATGCAAAAATTAGCCAAGCATGGTGGTGTGTGCCTGTAGTTCTAGCTACTCAGGAGGCTGAGGTGGGAGGATAGCTTGCCCCTGGGAGGCAGAGGTTCCAGTTAACCAAGATCACACCATTGCACTCCAGTGTGGGCAACAGAGCCAGATCCTGTCTCAAAAAAAAAAAAAAAAAAAAAAAAAAAATATATATATATATATATATATATATACACACACACACACACACACACACACACGCCTATATATGTATTTCTATAATGACATGCAATTGACCACATGCAATTAAGCAGGTGTGATGTCTGGATTCTGAGCCTCAATTCTTATTGTTGGAGAACGCACAGGCAGTTTGGTCTGAAATTCTACAAACTTTGGTCCATACCTAAAAACTGAATGTTCAGACTAATACATGAGTTTATTTTCTTGTCTTTTTCTCCCAAATATAAACTTCAGAAAGTAAACAGTAGTTTATTGAATACATCTATCACTGAAAAGAGAAAATTAGAGTTTTTCTATAATAAGCTTATGCTGTGTGTGGTAAGTAACACACTCAATGGAGAAGAATCACAAAACACTCAAGCAGAGAAGAATCAGGTAATTAAAGAATATTTGTTTGTTTTTTATCATAGAATTATTTAAGTAAGAGAGGGAAAAGTCTTGGAAGCACAAAAATATTTACTAATAGTTGACTGCTTACAAAATTAGCCCCATTCACAAACTCAGAGACTACTGTCTATGTTAGGTAGCACCTTATTGATTATTTGTCAATTCTGTGCTTCAACAATGAAAAGCAATTGTAGATCCAATAAGTCTTGCCCCCAAAATGCAGGATTTTGTAACACCTATGAAAGAGAGAGAAAGCTGCTCTAATTGAACATAAAACCATTTGACACATAAGGACCTGTAAAGTCAGATGGTTAACAATTAAGAGAAAAATAGACAAGAATGATTGCAAGATAAATGCTTCAGAGGGGAACGAGTTAAGTACCAAAGATGAAAGAGAGGCTCTTGGGAAAATTGATCAAGCCTTCAAACATTTTCATGGAAGTGCCCCTCTTGATTTCCACACTGTGAGAGTCAAACACGAAATAAAAGATATGGTATCTTCTACCACTGAAATTAGTCAGAAAAAAAATATGCTCGTCCAGAATCAATCACTGCTTGATTCATGCTGTGTTCATTCTGACATCTTATGCATAGTTGCGTTTATAACCTAAATGATGGTAAGTTTGGAATCAAATTTTGTAATTTTCTTCCCATTTTTTGAGAGAAAATTCCAATCAAACATTTCGCAATTTGGCATACATTTTTGGTCCCTATTTTAATTGCATTTCTTTTAAGTGGTCTTTTTCCAGTGGAGCATCACTTCCTGTGATGGGACAACTATCACTTCCGGGAATAGAAGCTCATAAAATGATAGAGTTGAATTTTCAGAAGCCATCGTGTTTATCACTCTTTTCCAAATAAAGAAATTAAGACTGAATGAGATCACTACCTGCCTGAAGGTTATAAACAAACTCTATGAAACATTTTAATGGAGTATAAAAATCACAATTTGGCTTATAATAAATAAAATAATTTCTAGACAACAAGGATGATTCTTTTGAAGACGGTGCTTCTAAATTTGAAATCTTTTCTTTTTGTAAGAACCACTACTACTTTTGCCATATTTTTGCCAGTCCCCTTCATGTTTTCAGTAAAAGGGTGAGAGACTAGGATTTGTGAATTCTGTATCTACCACTTCTCTGGAATTGTCATTCTCTGCTCATCCTACAAATCTGTTCCAGCTCAGTGTTTATTTTTATTTTCTCCTTCACTTACTGTAATCTGTGGTGGATCATTATGCAATTAATTTAAATTACCAACATATCATTCTAATAATCATTTTAACTACACTAAAGTGAATATGGTTCTGATTTAGCAGACACTTACTGTCTGGTATAGGAAACCGTGTAAATGTACCTGCTTTGGTCATGCTCCAAGGATGATGACAATATCATGTTCTAACTGTGCTTTTTTCTCCCCATTTCCACCCCACTCAGCATGTCTACCTCTCCAGTTGTCCCAGACTTCTCAAAATGGTGATCCATGACTCAGAAATGGCCTATAACATGTTTTCTTCCCAAACCTATGTGACTTTTAAAAATTTGAATTAGTGGCCAGCTTTGAAAATTGGATTGTTTACATAGAAATCCAGATTTCTGACATCTCTTGGAAAAAAAAAATAGCAGATCTTACAATAATTATTTGCAATCTGCACCAGTCAGCTAAGGCCTGGTAACAACCAAACCCTTTTTGCCCAGCACCCACTTTGAAGTTTGCCTAAGTCCCATCAAGCTCTGTTGTTCCCTGAAAAGATAAAATGTTGATTGTTATTTTGTATTTGTGCTAGTCTTCTTACAGTGTAATTAAGGTGAAATATTTCTTGTATTCATGTCCCTGGAGAAAGTAGGAGAACCAAAAAGACAGGGAGGGCTGTGTGTTTCACAGTAAATGGGAGATAGCCCTCTTACACTCATTTGTTTCACCCAAGGATACTGTGAGTACTACAGTTGGCACTATCTGATTCAGTCTATTGCTTCAATGCCATTTAGTGTCTGTATTAGTCAGGGTTCTCCAGAGAAACAGAACCAATAGGTTATTTTATATATATATATATATATACACATACATACACACACACACACATATATATATACACATATATATATGCACACATATATATATGTACACATATATATATGCACACATATATATGTATATAGTGTGTATATGTATATATCTGTGTGTATGTGTACACATATAGGTACACATATAGGTATATATATGTACCTATATCTCCATCCCTATCTATCTATATGGAGAGGGGGAGGATTTATTATAAGTGATTGGCTCATGTGATTATGGAGGCTAAGAAATCCCAAGAGCTGCTGTCTGCAAGCTGTAAGCTGAGGAAAGCCAGTGGTATAGTTCCAGTCCTGAGTCTGAAGACTTGAGAATTGGAGAGCTGATGGTGTAAGTTCAAGTTCAATCTGAAGACCTGAGAACCAGGAGTGTTGACAGCAGGAAAAGATCGATATCCCTCTAACAGTAAGAGAGAATAAATGAGTCCTCCATTCCTCCATGTATTTGTTCTATTTAGGCCCCCAACAGATTGGATGAGGCTGCCCACATAGGGGAGGGCTAGCTACTGAGTCCACTGTTCAAATGCCAATCTCTTCTAGAAGCACCCTCACAGACACATCAAGAAATTATGTCTGACCAGCTATCTGGGCATCTTGTCGCCCAGTCTAGTCAACATGCAAAATTAACCATCCCAGTTATCTTGTAGTAGGGATGAAGAATATGAATCAATACATGAATTAATGCAGAAAATAGATATGCTTCACCTACCAAGGTGGTGTGTCATCAGGGATATTCCACCAATGTTGGGGAAGTGCACACCACAAATCTTAAAACCAGAAGATTTTCCCCCTAGACTACTGTATATATAATTGTCAGACTGTTTATTTGCAGTCTCATGACCTTAAACCCAGAGAATTTGGGGACCTGCCAGAAATGAAAAGAAGGAAAGGCAACACAAGTATCTCTCTTACATTTAGAGCTTAAGAATTATCCTGGATATATTTACTTATTTTCAACTTCCTTCCCTCCTCCTTTTATATGCTCATCATGAGGAGGCTTCATGCTATCTTAACCTGATTTAAGCTTAAATGGAAACATTTGCCTCTTTGATCATGATAAGAACAAACTAGTACCTTCTTCCTCTTCCCAAGTAAAGAAATCTTTAGAATGTGTGAAACTGTTGACAGTAAGTCCCAATTCCCTGAAGACAGACTGATCATTTACTTAGCATTCTACCTTGGGGGCTACACTGAAGATCTCAGAGGTCAAGTCCCAAATCAAAACTTGAGTGGAATATTTTAAAATACAGCCAGTAACCAAGAGAGTTAAAAGCTCTTTGGCATGTTTATATCTGACCTTCATCTATTAACCTCAAGGAAAGGTAATGAAACTTGCATTCACGAGAGATGGTATTATCTACTTCAGGATAATCTATTTAATGAATGAGTAATAAGCAAATTTTTAAAGAAAATGAAATTCCTGGGGACTCTTAGAAAATTTAACATCGCAATTTGGGAATATGTTTACCATATAACTATGAAAATGATAATGAGCCCACAATTTCTGAGCCAGAAAATTTCTTCATTGCTAAATAATGCACTAGAAAGAAAACAAACCAGCACCACAGGATCTGCAACAGCCAATATGGATTAAATATGGATTTTTAGAACCTTGTTATAATTAGCTGTATTAAAACGCCCTTGTCACAGTATCGAACAGTAATCAAGACACTAGGAAGGAGATGTGAAATAGAAAGACACGAAACAGCTCAGACAGAACTATCTTCATCATCAGTGATGTGTAGGATGATGCAAAGGACAGGAGAAAGTTAACCTTGGTGAGGGAGTTTAATTTGTGTGTGTTTGCCTATTTATACTCAGGTAAGACAAAGATTAAATGAAACCATGTATTCATGCCTTGCTTCAACATTTTCAGAGCCCCACTCCACCCATAACCATCACTTACTGAGGAAACTGGGAACTCCACCGGCATCCAAGACCCTTCACTATCTGGCTGTCACTTCTTTGCTGTAAACAGATTTCTTGCTATTCCCCTCAAGAGGTAGTAAAACCTAGTGGTTAAGAATCTGTGTTTAAATTCTAATTCGACCACTAACTAGTTGTGGGATAAGGTTACACAATTTATTTCAGCCTCCATTTCTCCATCTGTAAAGGAGAATTACTCATCATAGTCTTAAACAAGGATTAAATGAGATTTTCTATGTCACGTGCCTAAGCACATGCCTGACATACAGTAGGTATACCAGACAGCTACTGTGAAGTTACACTTAGCTGCTCTCTATTCTCTGGCAGTTACCCAGCTTCAGGCTTTTGTGGGTTTTTAGCCTTTCCTGTTCAAAGGCTCTGCCCATCTCATGTCTTCAAATCCAAATTCATCCTTCAAATGCCTCTCCAGATAGCTCCCTAACTCCCCACCTCCCCTGAAAATCACAGTTCAGCTCTCCTGCCTCCTCTTCGGTTCCCTGGAAGACACACACTCAGCAACTGACCATCAGCTCCATGAGGACAGGAAGCAGGCTCCTGCCATCTTCATCATAGCCACATGGGCAACCTCAGCATCTAACAAGCATTAGGTACTGGGTAAATACTAGGTGATGAAAGAGGCAGAGAGAAGGAAAAGTGAAATGAGGGGAGAAGAAGGGAGTCTGAGAAAGGAGAGGCAAATGCAGGTGGTAACACAAATGCATGCAAAAGCAGCCACCCAGAGAAAGCCAGGGAAGGAAGGACCAAGTGGGAGAGAGTAGGAAGCAGATTAGAGGTGGCTATGATTTTCGCCTTAGTGGTTGCTGCTGTCAGCCTGTAAATGGCTCCTGCAGCTCTTCAGGGGGATCTCTGCTAGAATAAAGCAGCTCTGTGTAAACAATATCCCTGTGTGGTCATCAAAGAATGTGCAATAGGCTGTCTGTGTGAGGGTATATATAATAGATTCTCTGATGAGATCGCCACTTTGCCCCTTGCTATTTCTGTGTGCTGCTCTGATGAAATCTCAGAATATATTACAACTAGGACCACTGGAATTTTACTGTTGATGGGGATGAAGGGGAGAAGGAGAAGCCTTTCTGAAGCTCACAGATTCTAAATGATGATGACCACCACCACCACCCCTGGCCTGCAGTCAGCCCCAGCCTCAGTCTGTGGAAATCATTCTCACTGTGAAGCTTGTTCACAATTCTGGCTCTTTCCTCACCTGTGCTCTGTAGTGGTTGCTGCCTGTTATCTCTAAAGGATAGATTTGGGGGATTTTTGTCTATTTTCAGCCATCCTGTTAGAATTCAGTAATCCTCTTTCAGGTGTGTCTCTACCTGATATTTTCATTACTTACTGTCTAAACAAGCCACTGGAGAGGTCCTGATAAGAAAGGTCAAGCCTTACTCCCAAATTCTCCCAGATTGGCCTCTGCTTTGTGAATGATCATGAATGGAGGTAAGGCACAGCCTACACATAGCTTGCAATAATAAGTAGAGTTACATCTACTATGTCCATAGTCTAGCACTATGCATTTTACAGACATTATGTGGTTTGAATTAATCCCTATATCAATTGTATGCATTCATATATTCATTTTTACAACAGATAGATACTAAGCATCTACCATGTTCCAAAAAAGGTGGGTAAAGGAGTTTACAAAACCAAGTCCCCACTGTCATTCCTTTACAGAAACAAACAATAAATATACAACATGTCAGGGGTTACAAATGCTCTGACAAAAATAAGCAGAACACAGTCATGGAATGGAGATGTGATTGGAATGGGGAGAACTTATTTTATATAATGGGGTCAGAGAAGTTCTCTCTGATAAGGGCAGTCTTGAGCAAAGATCACAAGGAAAAAAAGAAGTAAATGCTCCTGGGAAACAGAGGTACAAGCATGGGGGCCAGAAGTGCAAAGGCTCTGAGGTGTGAGTGCATCAAGTATTTCTCAGAAATACCATGAAGGCTACTGTGGCAGGAGTGGAGTGAACAGGAGAAGTAGTAAGGGCGAGATTAGGAGTACACGGCATCTTAGTTGATATGGTTAGGCTTTGTTTCCCCACCCAAATTTCATCTTGAATTGTAATCCTCCATCTTGAAATGTAATCCCCCATCTTGAAATGTAATCATATATTGTTGAGGGAGAGACCTGATGGGAGGTGATTGGATCATGGATCCCCACTGCCGTTCTTGTGATAGTGAGTGAGTTCTCACAAGATCTGATGGTTTTAAGGGGCTCTTCCCCCTTTGCTTTCCACACATGCTGTCTTCTGCCACCACGTGAAGAAAGTCCTTGCTTCCTCTTCGCCTTCTGCCATGACTGTAAGTTTCCTGAGACCTCTCCAGCCATGCAGAACTGTAAGTCAATTAAACCTCTTTTGTTTATAAATTATCCATTCTTGGGTAGTATCTTTATAGCAGGGTGAGAACAGACTAATACACCAGTGTTCCACCAGTCCTCTAGCTTTTCTCCTCTGCCACAAGACCAGGCAGGCCCCTTATAGAGGATGCTCCACTGGCCTGGCCCCCATAATAAAAAGGTTAATGCAGCTACAGCAGCAACATAAACCTGCTGATGTGTTACACGAAAGAAAAGTACATGTTTGTGGTTTTGATCCCACCAAATTATTAAGGTTGTTTGTTACTGCAACAAAGCTGTGTGGTACTACAAAGAAGGATTCTGCCTGGCTGTCTTTATATTATATGCCCACCCTTGGAATGAACAGTGTTCTCAGGAGAGTAGGGCACTATGTTACCACAAAGACAGCCCTGGCTAGACTGTGGTAACAGCCCCCCAACTCTCCATGGTTTAGAAGATCAAACTTTATTTCAAAGCACACAAACACCAGTGCATATAGTGCCTAACAGAAAGGGCTCTCCTGCATTAAGTGACTCAGAATCTAGAGTTCCTTCTTCTATGACACTTGGTCTAAGTATCTGACCTGCAAGGTCCCAAGATGTGAGAAAAAAGTTGTAAGTATATAAAGGGTGTCTTAAAGGGCATGCCTGGAAGTTGCATATACCATTTCTATCCATATCCCACCAAATAACATGGCCCCACCTTACAGTAAGAGAAGCTAGAAAATAATGCAGTTATTCTATGCCCAGGAAGAGGGGGAAAAATAAATTTGTTTATTCTAGGACACAATCCCCACAATAAGCACTAATTTGACCGAGCCTAAGCCATGTACCCTTCTCTGTGGTCAAGACTTTGGCTTTATTACAAAAGGAGAATGAGAAAAATGCATAATCCTAAGAAATAACCCCTGTTTACTCTGCAAGGTGGAATTGCAGTGGATCACTAAGGGAGGCACAGCGGCCTAGGAATCAGGAGACTTGAGCTCTGGTCCTGTATGTCTTCTCTTACAGAGAATGATTTACAATAGAGCCCCCTGCTTCAGGAATCTATTTCTTTACGTGTAAAGTGTCAAAACCAACTTCAAAGGTTGTTATTTTGGGTAGAATAGAAGGCCCAGAAATAAACTCTCCATATATAGTCCACTCATTTTGACAAGGGTGCCAAGACCATTCAATGGAGGAAAGGACAATCTTTTCAAAAAAAAAAGGCACTGGGAAGTCTGGGTATCCATATGCAAAAGAATGAAATTGGACCCTTACATAATGTACAAAAATAACTGAAAACAGCTCAAAGACATGAATGTAAGAGCTAAAACCATACAACTCTTAGACAAAAACATAAGGGAAAAGCTTCTTGACTTTGAATTTGGAAATTATTTCTTGGGTATGAAATACAAATATGAAATATAAAAGTACAGGCAACAAAGGTAAAAATGGATAAACTACATCAAAATTTAAAAGCTGTGGATCAAAAGGCAAAATCAACAGAGGGAAAAGACAACCTAGCAGAATGGGAGAAAAATGTGTGTAAACCACGTATCCAATATGGGGTTGATATCCAGAGTATATAAAAGAACTTCTAAAGTTCAACAAAAATAAATAATATGATTGAAAAATGGACAAAAGACTTAATAGATATTTCTCCAGAGAAGATACACAAATGGCCAACAAGCACATGAAAAGATTCTCCATACCATTAATCATTAGAGAAACGCAAATCAAAACCACAATACAATACCAACCACCTACGCCTATTAAGATAGCTACTGTCATTTAAAATAAAAGAAAAACAGCAAAAAAAAAAACTAGTGTTGGTGAGGATATGTAGAAATTGGAACACTTGCGCACTGTTGGTAGAAGTGAAAATGGTGCAGTCGCTATGAAAAAAAGCATGGGGCCGTTCTTTTAAGAAGTTAAAATCACCATATGATCCAGTAATTCCACTTGTGTATGAGTGTACCCGAAAGAATTGAAAGCAGGTCCTCAAATAAATATCTTCGTGCCCATGTTCATAGCAGAATTATTCATAATATTTAAAAGCTGGAAGCAATCCAAGTGTCCATAAAAAGGTAAATGGATAAACAAAATGTGGCATATGCTTACAATAGAATATTATTCATCCACAAAAAGGAAGGAAATTCTGACACATACTACAACATGGATAAACTTTGAGGATATTATGCTAAGTGAAATAAGCCATTCAAAAAAAGACAAGATATTATTCCACATATATGAGGTAACCTAGGAGAGGCAACATCACAGAGACACAAAGTACAATAGTAGGTGCCATGGGCTAACAGAAGGGGGAAATGGGGAGTTATTTTTTAATGAGTACAGAGTTTCAGTTTTGCAAGATGAAAATAGTTCTGGAGATGGGTAGTGGTAACGGTTGAACAGCAATGTGAATGTACTTAACACTCTGAACCATACACTTAAAAATGGTTAAGATGGTACATTTTAGGTTATGGGTATTTACCACAATTTAAAATGTGTGTGTGTGTGTGCGCGCGTGCACGTGCATGCTTGTGATTTAGAGGCTCAGAACCTCTTTGAAAGTCTTAATAGAAGCTTTTAGCCAAAGAAATGTTGAAGAACGTTTTAGAGGCTTCAAGACCTATAAAGTTTGTGGATTTCAGGCTCAAAATCTTGGAAAAGGATATAATAGACCCCTTCAACTCTAACACTCTATGATTCAACTGAATAGATCAGAGGGTTAAAAAAAGGAGAGGTATTTGCAGTGGAGAGGAGACATAACCTATGGGCTATGTGTTCTGCAAACCTGCCCCATAGGCTATCATCCTCTGCTTTCCATCAGCAATAAAATTTACTCAGAGACATTTTTATCATGTCCCGTTGGAACAGGTCAAAAATATGTATGTATCAGGTGGATTTATTTTCATACATTTTCAATGAGTTGACGATCTCTTATTCTTAACTGAGATATGGCGTGGGTGATTTCATCCCATTTGCAATACAGCCTACTTTGAGTATTCGAATGACAAGTGGCTGATCCACAGGTTGGTAAATAAGAGAACAGCCATCAGCTGTGCCATGTTCTTCATCATTAACATGAATCAGTTTTACGTGATGCATCGTACCTCTTAGAGCAGAAAAAAAACAGCACCTATGGAATGCAGCTTTTGCAGTCTGTCTTGATTAGACCACCAACTCCTTTAGGTATTTTGGCACTTATGTTGTCTGTAAGTTGTATATCTGTCAGGAAAATGGGTGTCAGCCCCTTTTATTAACGCATTCTTCTCAGGAAATAAAGACAACTAGTTACCCCTCACAGGGAGGCAGTTGCGGGGAAAGGAGGGGAGTTAGTCTCACTCTTACTCTGTGGCCATGGCTGAGATCCTAGTCTTGGACTAACCACTTTACAAATATCTCAGGTGGATTTTGTGTGACAGAGTATGGATGGCCAGTTTCAAGATATTGTTATTCCTGGAATTTAAAATTTCAAAAAGATCAAAGGGTATGTACCTAACTGTAGCATCTTCACAATTCAGGGTTTGTTCACTCCCTCATCTGGTAGATACCTATTAAGTGTCCAAAGTGCACTGGGTATTATTGTGACGGAGGCATGGTTCCAAAACTCAAGAGTCGTATTCCAGTTGAGGAGATAAGACACGTATCCTGGAGTTACCTAGTTCACAGAGACTACATTCCAAAGCCAGCATTCTTCTTGAGGTTTCCCGGAAAGGTCTTGTCCATGTTAAAACCAAGATATCTTGCTCAAAAAGCCCAACAAAGCCAGTTTTTCCAGTGGTTGGAATGGACCATCAGTTCTTTGAGCACTATATGAAGGAGTTAACTTGCTTGCTATTTTTTTATTTGCCCAGGAAGAGGAAAATGAAATTGAATTAGGTGACCTTCAGTGCTATCTCTGTGGTAGGACCTATCTTTGGTCCAGCCTAAGCCATATGCCTGCCTCTATAGTTCCTCTATGGGAACTTCTCAGTCAACCATGTGGGACTAGTGTTTACAGATACATGTTTATATTATGACATGTTGTATCAGTCTGTTTTCCCAGTGCTGATAAAGGCATACCTGAGACTAGGTAATTTATAAAGAAAAAGAGGGCCAGCATGGTAGCTCATGACTGTAATCCCAGAACTTTCCCAGGCCAAGGCGGGTGGACCATTTGAGGTCAGGAGTTCAAGACCAGCCTGGCCAACAAGTTGAAACCCCATCTGTACTAAAAAATACAAAAATTAGCTGCCGGGCATTGAGGTACGTGCCTGTAATCCCAGCTACTCAGGAGGCTGAGGCAGGAGAATTGCTTGAACCTGGGAGGCGGAGGTTGCAGTGAGCCGAGATAGCACCACTGCACTCCAGCCTGGGCAATGGAGTGGGACTCCATCTCAAAAAAAAAAAAGATGTTTAATGGACTCACAGTTCCATGTGGCTAGGGAGGCCGCATAATCATGGCAGAAGGTGAAAGGCACATCTTACATGGCAGTACACGAAAGAGTGAGAGCCAAGTGAGGGGGGTTTCCCCTTATAAAACCATCAGATCTCATGAGACTTATTCACTACCACGAGAACAGTATGGGGGAAACTGTCCCCAAGATTCAATTATCTCCCACTGTGTTCCTCCCACAACACGTGGGAATTATGGGAGCTACAACTCAAGATGAGATTTGGGTGGGGACACAGCCAAACCATATCACATGTCCTAAAAGCAAGACCCTGGGAACTGGCACTAATTAAGGGTATAGCAGGTTACTTTTATATCCCACCTTGGGCTTGTTCCAGAGCATATACCCATTGAATGGAACGGCAAGTAAAATAGTCTGCTCTATCCAAATTTTAAAAAAGATCACTTGTGTTTTTTCTTTTCTTGTTTGCTAAATACTCTTTTAAAGTTCAAACAACTTTTCTTTTGATTTTACCCTACACATAAATACATTTCAAGCTACATTGTGAAAATGCGGTAAGAGAAAGACGATCAAGTACTGCTGGTCATTGAAAACATGGGAGTAGGTACTTCCAGGTGAGAGAGCTGAGATCATCCTCTTGGAGAAAATGGAATTTGAACTGGACATGAAAGATAGTGAGCCAGAGGGTTCAGCCAGGGGAAACAATCAGAAAAGACTGGGAGATGGCCACGTGTTGCATGTATCCAAATAATATCACAGACTGCATTCATAGGTGGTGGTAGAAAAAAATTTGAAGTAGATAATTGCAAGGCTTGAATGCCATGCTTAGGGTTTTGGATGATTTTGAGAAGCATACGGGAAGTTAGAATAAGTTTTCCAGTGTGAGAAACATGATGAGAGTAGTGGCAGCGGAGTGTTAAAAGTATTAGAAATGGAAAGTTTGGAGATTTGAAGGCCACGTAGGAGACAGTTGGTCCAGAGGTACAAATTCGAACTAGTCAAGATGGAGGAAAGGGCAAGGAGGAGGCAAAGCTGAATAATTAGAGATGATTTCGCTTCCTGTGTGTCTATCTCCTCAAGTAGACCGTTGTGTCCTAGAGGTTAGGGACTCTACATTCTTCTGTTTATCTCCTGAAGTTTCTAGTATAGTCCCTGATACAAAGTGAAGCTGAATAAATGCTTGCTGAATCTCATCCTGCCCCCCAACAATTTTTCTGTCTGTTTCCAGAAACTCTGCTCTCTAGAGGGTAGAAGGTAATTGGTTCCTATTATAAAGCAATCCCAGTCTTTCTTCTTTCTGGGTTATGTTATCATAGATGTTTCTCTAAGGATTAGAGAGACAGATGGAACTGGCCATTGGCATTGGACTGGAAAATTGGTTTACTATATGGGTGGCAACTAGAGGGACTCCTACACTTTCTGTGTTTGTTGTTGTTTTTGTTGTTGTCATTTGAGACATGGCCTCACTCTGTTGCCCAGGCTGCAGTGCAGTGGCACAGTCTTGAATCACTGCAGCCTCGACCTCTCAGGCTCAAGCTTTGACCTCCTGCTTCAGCCCCCCAAGTAGCTGGGACTACAGGCGCACACCATCTACGCCCAGCTAATTTTTTTATTTTTTGTAGAGATGGGGTTTCTCCATGTTGGCCAGGCTGATCTCAAACTCCTAAGCTCAAGTGATCCGCCCGCCTTGGCTTCTCAAAGTGCTGGGATTATAGGTGTGAGCCACCATGCCGGGCCACTTTCTGTGTTTTGATCAATCGATTATTGCTTGTTAGTGATTTGGACTAATAGGAAATTGAGAAACAGTTCAGTAGTCTGACATTCCTTACATTATGAGACTCCTCACTGCTATGGCTAGCTTTTCAAGCCCTTTGAAGATTTCCAGGGTCAGGAGAACACTACCCTGACATTATTGGACTATTCTAATTGTTCAGAAGCTCTAGAACCATTAGCTTCCTCCTATGGGTTTTTTGTGTTACAGCTATGGACACCTCCATACACATACATACCAGCCTTCCCACATCCATCTTCTTGTGGTTGCGGCCCTTTGAACACCTAGATTACTTAAAAATAAGATAACAACTATTTGGAAGTTATCTTGAAAGACTTTATTAACGCATGGCATTCTCATGCAGTAAGAATCATCCCTAGCTCAAATCCATTCCCACTGGGGAGGAAAAGCTTTGTTAAAAATCTTGTTTAAAATAAGAAATAATTTTAATTGGAAATTTTACAATATTACAATAGCTTTCCCCCATTCACCATAACAATCCACATAGAAAAGGGCATGAAGGGAGAGTCATATAAGGAGCCTCATCTCATTCTTTGGTGTTCCTAGATATACAATATCACTGATTAATTTGGCTTGTGGTGATTTGACCGTCCAAATTTTGCTTATCATTGGAGTTGTTTGCAGATAGAAGAAGAGAGATATGTAGAAAATAATAAGAGATATTCCACAACATTGAGTTGAAGCAACAGGAAGAGGAAGAAATCCTGAAAGTCATTTTATACATCTACATCAATTCATGAAAATCCATTTAAAGTCTTTTTGCCTTGAGAAACATCACAGACTTTGGCAGACAATAGGGCAAAAATGAGAGTGGAAAATTTTAGTCAAGTCTGAGTTCACGTCTAGCACTGGACATTCTTATTTAAAGCATAATATTTGGGCTGGGCACAGTGGCTCATGCCTGTAATCCCAGCACTTTGTGAGGCCAAGGCAGCCCAATTGCTCGAGCCCAGGAGTTCAAGATCTGTCTGGCAACACAGTGAAACCCCGTCTCTTAAAAAAAAATACAAAATTAACTGGGCGTGCTGGCACATGCCTGTAATCCCAGTTACTCAGGAAGCCGAGGGTGGGAGGATTACAAAGCCCAGGAGATCAAGGCTGCAGTGAGCCATGATTGTGCCACTGCACCCCAGCCTGGGTGACAGAGTGAGACTTTGTCTCAAAAGATAAAAACAAAAATCAAATATAATATTTGACCAGGTGCGGTGGTTCACACCTATAATCCCAACTACTTGAGAGGCTTACGTGGGAGAATCACTTGAGGCCAGGAGTTTGAGACCAGCCTGGGCAATATAGCAAGACTTCAGCTTCACAGTAAAAAAAAAAAAAAAAAAAAAAAAAAAAAAAAATTCAAAAAGTAGCTGGGCATGGTGGTTCATACCTGTAATCCCAGCTTCTCAAGGAAGATCACTTGAGCCCAGGAGGCCAAGGCTGTAGTAAGTCAAGATCATGCCACTGCACTCCAGCCTGGGTGACAGAGTGAGAATCTCATGTCAGAAAAAAAAGTAATATTCTATAGCATCACATAGCAATAATCTGCAACTCTGAGCTCTGTTTTTTCTAAAGCAAGAAAATTACCTTCTTCCACATAGCAGCCAGCTATTACTTCTCTCTTAATCCTTTTCTTTTTGGGCCCATACATTCTCAGTTCTTCCAAGCAACCAGCTAGTGGATAGACAAAGATAATCAAGGCCCAATCTCTGCCTTAGAGGGTTCACACTCCCAAATTCTCACTCACCCCATCAACCTTGATATGATTTGGCTCTATGTCCCCACCCAAATCTTATCTTGTAGCTGCCATAATTCCCGTGTGTTGTGGAAGGGACCCAGTGGGAAATGATTGAATTATGGGGGTGGGTCTTTCCCATGAGTTCTCATGATAGTGAATGGGTCTCACGAGATCTGATGGTTTTAAAAATGTGAATTTCCCTGCACAAGCTCTCTCTTTTCCTGCTGCCATCCACGTAAGATGTGGCTTGCTCCTCCTTGCCTTCTGCCGTGATTGTGAGGCCTCCCCAGCCTTGTGGAACTATAAGTCCAATAAACATCTTTCTTTTGTAAATTGCCCAGTCTCTGGTATGCCTTTATCAGCAGTGTGAAAACAGACTAATACAAACCTCTTCTATATACTCTCTGATTTATCACTGTTCCCATGAAAATATGGCACTTGGGATTAAATTAGTAGTCTAGATCTGGACTGACCAGTGTAGATGGTAATGGGACAGAAACCTCCCATATTGTGTTAAATATTGTGTTTTTATTAATAAAACCTAACAACTTGCTGGCTTGCAATGAGCGTGTGATTAACTGAAATTCCCTGGTCCAGATACCCATCATGCATTTGTGCAATTTATTTCTCCGAGCTTTAGTAAAAGACTATATATGCATCCCCATCAAATTTTATCTTAATGGTCTGGACTCCCGATCTGTGGTTTATTACTATCAAAATCCTTTTTAAATGCTAGACTCAAGTCTCTTTCTAAGCAGAGAGTAATCCTCTGTTCTGCCAAAAGTGAACTAAAGCACTGTAAGAAGTCACTTGCTGTCAATCCCAAATCCCTTGCCATCGAGCTCTTTAAAAATGGCAACAAGGAGAGTTGAGTTCAACACTGAAAAGAATACCTGCAGCAACCTCTGCCTTTGTTGGAAAAAAAATAGAGCTCTATATGAAGAATTTGAATGTTCCCATTCAGACTGTTTTAAAGATATAAATCTACATTCATCCTTATAACGCTGAATGGTTAGCTTAATATGTGGTGAAATAGGCTCACAGGCTAATTCCTTTCTGCCTGTGTGCATTGTCGCATCATCTGGAAGGAAATAGCATTGTCATCAGCTCTTTCAAGGAATTTAGTGCTCCAGAAGGAGCTATATTTTTCAGGGCTCCCAAACTCACCCCTGAGGTACCATAAAAGATTAAACTTGCCTCATTCATGGAAAGTAGATTTTTAAAAATCTTGATTTATTTCAACTTTGTGTAATAAAGCTTTCTGATCAGCCCCAGGTGTATAAGAAAAACAAAGGGGAAAGAAATTATGACACAGAAAATATTTTCTGAGAATTGTGTCTTCTCTGGTCAAGATGCATTTCAACAATATGCAAATTAGGCAGTGCCATTGTACGGTAATTATGTTTTCTTAATGTTTCCACAACAGCTCTGCCTTTGCCAGACTTCAATATTTTAGCAGCATAATGGTCACTTTGGAAGGGATTAGCACCCATTATATTTAGAGAAGGAAGGAAAACCTTGGAAAATCAAATTCAGATAATGCAGAGAGAATATACTTTCCATTGCTAATTTGTTTCACAGTTACCTTAAGGGAGAAAAACAGACTTCTATCTCCAGGGAAAAAAAAATGGATAAAATGCAAAAGAATTAATTATAAACATCCTGAAATGCAAAATCCTGAAGTTCTAAAACTATACTTAAAAATCTTCACAGGACCATTGGATCCTCAGGCTGAATGGATTTCAGGGTAGCTGCGACTCGTCAAAGTGTGTGCCACAGGATGTAAGTTCTGAGCCATGTTAATAGATGCTGTCTTTCAGAAATATGCTGTTTTTGTCAAGTAAATTTGAAAAATGCACTAGATTAAACAAAGTTAGCCAAGTTTCAGTCCCTATAGGACCTCTCCTGAATATACCAATGTTCAAGGATTGTCCTCCAAAGCCAGATAGATAAAGGACACAGCATTCCCAAATGGAACCCTATTTTCACAGTGATTTTTTTAAGATATGGGTGTTTTAAGAAAAACTCGTTAGGGAACATTGGCTACATCAATCCCTAGTGTTATAATAATAATAAAACTGTAGCCCAAGAAATTAAAGAGACTATTCTGAAGTCACCCAGATAGCTAAAGGTTGGACTAGAAATACAATTTCAGCACTCTGATTCCCGGCACAGCTCTCTGCTACCTCTTGCATATTCACTGGCTGGTAATTCAGTAGAAGCTCATGTGATAATCTATACATTTCCACTTTTTAGAAAATTCCATAATTTTTCTATAGGGAACAACAGATCTGTCATATACTAGCTTATGCTTTTCTTATTCTAAGTGGATTTTACAGTTTAGAAAATTCCAAGTAATCTTGACACATCATTATTACCCAAACAATTACTTCCAAGTCATTGTTTAAATAGATGAAACCCATTACAACAGAGGTCTCAGACCTTCTTGCCTCAGGGGCCAGAGAGATGACATAACTGAAATAGCTCAGCTTTAGCCAGCAATTGCTTAATGGAAATGTGGGATCTTTGTTGCTAGCTCTGATTTAAAAAAGACAGAAAGAAAGAAAGCCAGGTAGGGCATGGTGGCTCATGCCTGTATTCCCAGCACTTTGGAAACACTTTTGGAAGGCCAAGGCGGGCAGATCACCTGTGGTCAGGAGTTCGAGACCAGCCTGGCCAACACGGCGAAATCCCATCTCTACTAAAAATACAAAAATTAGCCGGGCATGGTGGCATGTGCCTATAATCCCAGCTACTCGGGAGCCTGAGACAGGAGAATCGCTTGAACCCAGGAGGCAGAGGGAGGTTGTGGTGAGCCAACATCGTGACACTGCACTTCAGCCTGGGCAACAGAGCAAGATTCTATCTCAAAAAAAAAAAAAAAAAAAGGAAGAAAGCCAGAAATGTATGTTTTTATATGAAACTTACAATTTTACATGTTGGCAAGTAGTTTATATTTAAAAATATAGTAAATTGCTGACCAACAAAATATACCTGCAGGCAGAATTCAACCTGTAGGCTGCCAGTTTCCAGCTTCTTCTTTACATTTTGGAATCAGTCCAGGTCTCTCCCTTGGCTCTGTGCTTATGCAGAGGTATGTCAAAGACTCTGGGTATCCCCTGGACAGAGTCAGACAATGAATAGACCAGCTGTTTCCAGCACCCAGCTTCCATTTTCGATTAAAACCAAATGATGCAAAAGAAAGTGGAAAGCCAGAGATAGGTCAGAGATAAAGAGAGGGAGATATCTCAGTTAAGATCCTGGCTGTCTGCCACTCAACTTGTATCTCTTTTTCTAGTTAATTTTATTTTTTTAATAGACTTTATTTTTTGGAGCAGTTTTAGGTTCCCAGCAAAACCGAGTGGAAAGTACAGGAAGTTCCCATATACCTGCAAGCCCCCAACACACAGCCTCCCTAACTATCAACATCCCCACCAGTGTGGTACATTTGTTATAATCAACAAACCTACTTTGATACATCGTTATCATCCAAAGTCTGTAAGTTTGCGTTAGGGTTCATTCTTGGTGTCGTACATTCTTTGGGTTTTGGCAAACATAGAATCACATGTATCCACCATCATAGTATTATACAGGGTATTTTTGCCGCCCAAAAAACTCTCTGTGCTCTACCTATTCATTCCTCCCTCCCCTCAAACCCTGACAACCACAGATCTTTTTACTGTATCCAGTTTTGTCTTTTGCAGAATGTCATATAGTTGGAATCCTATAGTATTTAGCTTTTTCAAATTGGCTTCTTTTACTTAGTAATATTTACAGTTTCTCCATGTCTTTTCATGGCTTGATAGCTCATTTCTTTTTAGCAATGAATAATATTCCATTAACTGAATATACTTACAGTTTATTTATCCATTTACCTACTAAAGGAAATCTTGGTTTCTTCTAAGTTACAGCAATTATGACTGTAGCTGCCATAAACATTTGTGTGCGGGTTTTTGTGTAGACATAAATTTTCAACTCATTTGGGTAAATTTCAAG
Source organism: Homo sapiens (assembly GCF_000001405.40). Lineage (NCBI taxonomy): Eukaryota > Metazoa > Chordata > Mammalia > Primates > Hominidae > Homo > Homo sapiens. The sequence goes on along the minus strand of NC_000003.12, from coordinate 3,208,391 downwards.
GAACAAATTGCTAGATCGTATGTTAAGAGTATATTTAGTTTTGTGAGGAAATGACAAACTGCCTTCCAAACTGGCTGTACCATTTTGCATTCCCACTAACAATGAATGAGAGTTCCTGTTGCTCCACAACTTTTATCTCTTTTAATGCCTGATATAACTTACTTACTCTCAGCTTACTGATGGATATGCATTACTCACCAAACAAGCTGGCAGGTGAAGATTCTGCTTCAGGGGCCTGGGTCTCAGAATACCTGAGTAAGGCAAGCTCTTCTTCTGTTCTTTGTGTATTTGGTTAATTTTCAAAGTTGGACATCTCAAGACAAAGCAGTTTGTCTCACAAGTCTGGCCATGAGACTAGGCTCTCCTGAGTCATCTCTCCAAATTTTGGTTGTGAGAAATCCTTTTCTTGTTACGCTTCTGGGAGGAAGTTGGGCAGCATATATTATTAAATATTGTCCCCTTGGAGTTTTAAAATAGCCCAACCTCTAGTCTGAGAGCTGATAAATTGAGCCGAATAGAGATCTGGATAAAATTAGAAGTCCCTAAAACCTGGATGGTGGCAGACTTTACTTTTTAATTTCTATAACCATTTTCTTACACTGCTGAGCTCAATATGAGGGCAGAAGACAACTTTATTTTCCTCTGTTACTTGTTCAAATTTATGGCATGAATGAAATCTTGGTCAGATCTTAGAACTTTCAGGGGTCACTTTCAGATAATTACAAAAACTCCCCATCATTTTCTGTTCCCGAAACAGTCTCAATTCAAGGAATTTGCAATAATTCAAACTCTTACCTGACTGTAGAGATTTTCAGCCTCCAGCTTAGTGATGCTTTTAGCTCTTTTTAGCTTTGCTGAAGTCTATAGAGAGGGTAGGGAGCTTCTGGGTCTCCTGGTCCTCATTAGCTGGGTTCACCCCTCCAAGCTGGAACCAGAAGGTGATAGGCAGGTGAAAAGGGCATAATTTTATGTAGCTGGTGATGCCATGATTTGGAGGATGTTTTAAAACTGCCTGTTTCTCTTTGGGGCATTTGTTTCCCTCTGGTTGTGAGGCTTTTGTGTGTTTCTCAGAGATTTCCCTCCTACGAACCTTCAACTGCACTTTGGGGACATCTCTCTTGGACCAGTTGCATAGGGTTCCCTCCCTTAGGCTCTGGAGTCAGATCTCAGGGGTTTGTATTGTCAATTTACCCATACCTCAGTGTCCACACCCAGGAAATAAGGATGATAATAGAATCTAACCCACAGGGCTCTGAGGATTTAAGGAAATGATCAATGTAAGTTGTTTACAACAAAGCTTGGTATGTAATAAGACCTCATAATATATTTTGTTATTATTAGGCCATGTATCAATATTTTGAAGGGAGTTTCTGGAAGATTAAGTTACCAAAGGCACAATTTTAGAGTCAGATAAGGAGGGAAAGATGGGAAATAACTACAAATAATTATGGCATAAAAAATAAGAAATATGTTCCAAAGTTATATGTGATGCCATAGTAAAACAGACACTGGGTTCACCTTCAGAAGACCTGGGTTCTAGTCCTGACTCTGTCCCCAACTGCTGCATGTTCTTGAAAATGTAACAGAACCTCTCTGTTCTACAACTTATGGTTTCAAGTCCATCTCTTAATTTGGCTGGTTTAATATTGGCTAAATCACTTAAATTCTCTAAACCTTAGTTTCTTCATCTTTAAAAGGGAATGATCAGCCCAGCCCCCACAGGATTCCAGTAGTGATCAAGTGGGAGAGTATATAAATGAGCATAAACTCTAAATCATTAATTCATTCGCTCAGCAAACATTTCTTGACATTTATTGACCAATCACATGTCCCAGATACTATCAAACTGTAAACCATTGCTAACATCACCATTAAGGAACTGGGTAAACTCTAGTACTTCTTCCAGTTTTAAAATTATTGGAATCAAATAATAAAGGAGGACTCCTTCCTCCCCTTGTCCATGAATGGTTTGCACCTGCCAGCTAGAGAAACAGCTAAGGCAGCTCTGTGCAATAGAACTTTCTGTGGTGATGGAAATACTCCAAATTCACGCTAACTAAAACAGCAGCCACCAGGCACACATGGCTATCCAGTGCTTGAAATGTAGCTAGTGTCACTGGGGAACTGGATATTTTATTTTATTTTGAATATTTTATATTTAAGCACACTCATCTAGTGGCTACCATATTGGACAGTACAGAACTCTAAGACCTTAAGCAAAGGGTGGTGCAGGCAGAAAAGGGAAATGCAGACCATGAAGTCTAATTCAAGAGATATGTTTGCCACTTGGTAGAAGCATACGTTTGACTGTAGATATTTGGTGTTACTGTTTTTCATTATTGAACCCTGGAACTTAGGTCATTGTGATTCATCTGGAAGAGACTTGCCCACTGCCTTTACCTAAAATGGGATGGGGAAAATCCTCAAGACCTCTGTTCTTACAGGGTATAATTTATGTTTCATGAACGATGAAGAATCGAGGATTTATTAGAAATTTTCTACTCATTGGTTTTTAAAACAGGCATGAGTTAAGAGGCATTAAATGCAAACAAATGCATTTCCTCCTAAGTGCTCCATTGATGGAAATATAAGAGTGAATGATTTAGAAAACATATATTCAGAGCCTCTAATTCTGCAATTTCTATAAATCAGACATTGCTAAATGTTGGGAATTCACACACTGAGAAGAACATTGGCATGACTTTATGAAAACATAACTAAGGCTGGGAGCGGTGGCTCATGCCTGTAATCCCAGCACTTTGGGAGGCCGAGGTGGGCAGATCACCTGAGGTCAGGAGTTCAAGACCAGCCTGGCTAACATGGTGAAACCCCGTCTCTACTAAAAATACAAAAATTAGCAGGGCAAGGTGGTGGGCACCTGCAATCCCAGCTACTTGGGAGGCTGAGACAAGAGAATAGCTTGAATCCAGGAGGCAGAGGTTGCAGTGAGCCGAGATCGTGCCACTGCATTCCAGCCTGGGCAACAGAGCAAGACTCCACCTCAAAAAAAAAAAAAAAAAAGAAAGAAAGAAAGAAAGGAAAAAAGAAAACATAACTATGGAAGGTCTGGTGTGGCTGAAGGGGTAATGGACTCCAAGTCCATTCTCATGCCAGGTCTGGGTTTTTGTTTTTCCTTTTACCATTTCTACAAAATGGGTGCACTTTCCCAAATCTATCAAAATGAGATAGCTCAAAGAGACAAATCTACTTAAAAGCACTTAAGAAGTCTGCATAGATTTGAAACCTGGTTCTAACATTTAGTGCCTACACGACTTTGGGAGAATTCCTTAACTTTTCCGTGCCTCAGTTTCTTAATCTCTCTAAAGTAGGGCGCCTGACTCACAGAGTTATTGCAGGGATCTAAACAGTAAATTCACATAAAGTACTGAGATCAGTGCATAAAATTGAAGACTCAAGGAATACTAGCTAATTTACTGTGATTAAGAGCTGCAAAAATAATAACAATAAAAGAAAAATACAATTTAGTGAGAGATTATAGATTCTGTATATTCTATCAGTTCAGAATGACAGAAAAACTGTTGGCAGGGCAGAATCCTAGAAGTTGGGTTTCTGTTACTCTTGGAAATTGGTGTAGGAGCTGTGCATCTTCCCATGTTCTCTAGCAGATCTAAAATGGGGAATCCACCAACAGGTGAACAGACAGTGAACAGGGCCAAGAGCAGGGCAATTTGACTATATCTCCCACATTCCCGGGTGAGCAGAGGAAAAATAAGACAAATATGACAGAACCAGAAAACGACATCATATTGAATACAGGCATACTTCTGAAAATGATCAATTCTAGGAAAGGGAAGAAAATACTTGGCATCTTCAAAAGGATGCAAGAAGAGTTTCTGTGATGTGAGATAAGTTATGAAAAAAACAGACTGCTGTAGAGGACTACATACAGGACAGATGCAAAGTTAGCAGGCTGGCCATGGAGAGAGACCTGGGCCTGTCACAGAAGAACAGTGGCAGGATTGGCATGGTGTAGAACAACTTCAGAAGCCCCTCCAGAGTGCAGAAGAACAGCACACAAGGCTGTGATGATGAGAGGCCATCAGCACAACAATTAAGGAGGACAAAGGGAGAATTCTCATCTAGGGTATTCATGACGAGGGAAACAGAACATTTAAAGCAAAAGTAATAAACAAAGACACAACTGGAAAAAATAAATGTTCCTGAAGAGGTCAAGGAAACGGGCAAAGTTACTGAGTCTGCAGATGGAGAGACTACTCACTTCCAATATTCAATGGGAAGAAGCTGAAAAAGGCAAGGAGACATCCTTCCCTATAGCCTCTTCCAGCTTCTTGAGGCTGCCTTCATTCCTTGGCTCATGGCCCCTTCCTCACATCATGCCAACCTCTGCTTCTGTTCTCACATCTCCATTTTCTCTTACCATTTTCTCACATTGACTCTCTTACCTCCCTCTTATAAAGACTCTTATGATTATAGTTGGTCCACACAGGTCATCATGGATAATCTCCCATTTTCAAGATGCTTAACTGCATCTGGAAAATCTCTTTTGCCACCTGATGTACATAGTCACAGGTTCTGCGGACTCACATATTTGGGGGAGCATTATTCTATTAATACTAGAGCCATAAGCAAGTAACAAGCAGCCTAAACAATGAGAAGTGTAAAGTCAGGTCAACCTGCATTTTACTTAGAGCAGTGGTTCCTGGGGTGCACTTCCAGCAGCATCAGTATCACCTAGAAATTTGCTAGAAAGGTAAATTCTTAAGCCTCACCTCAGACCTGCAGAATGGGAAACTCTAGGGAGGTGAGGCTTAGCAATGAACATGTTAATAAGCCTTCAAAATAATACTGATTCATGGCTGAAGTTTGAGAATCCATGGCCTAGAGGAGGGTATGAGAAGCAAGGAACAATATTCTGTTCATGCTCTCAGCAGCTGTCTTTCATACCTGTTTTGTCAAGGAGAAATGTCACTAAGAGGCCTATAAGTTCTTTGAAGGTTAAATTGCGATAATCTACGTCTATTTTGTTTATTCATTTTATTGTTCCAAATAGAATTTAAGAGATAGCTTGCAAAAGTCAATCACCTTAATAGGTAAGGTGTTATTCCTGATTTTGTAATCCCTGGGGAACTTTTGCAGGGAAGACAGGATTTGGATGAGAGGGTGATGGAGGGCTTGTAACCATAATAGGTCTGTTGTCCTATGTGCACAGCAAGTCAATACGCCTAGACACTGACAGCAGAAAAAGAGGTTTAATTGTAGGACCACCAAACAAGGAGACAGGAGGAAACCTCAAATCCATCTCTCTAAGAAGTTTGGTGCTAGGGTCTTTAAGGGTTTTGGAGTGGGCCAAAATGTGGAGATTGTTGATTGGTAAAAGAGTGTAGGGTGAAGTCACAGGACAGGGAAATGAAGAAATAGTATTCCCATCCATGCTGATTTGGTTTGGTTTCTCTGGAGGGGGTCTTTAAACTGGCATCAGCTGTTTTGCTGGAATTCAAGAATTCCAGATCTCCAGATCTGCTTAAGCAGTTCTTTTTTTTTTTTTTTTTTTTTGGTGGTGGTTGGGGGTGTGGGTAGGGTGGGGGGCGGTCATCTAGGCTGCAGTACAGCGGAGCAATCACAGCTCACTGCTGCCTCGACCTCCCTGACTCAAGCAATCCTCCCACCTCAGCCTCGGGAGTAGCTGGGACTATAGGTGCACATCACTACACCTGGCTAATTTATTTTTTGTGGCGACAGGGTCTCACTATTGCCCAGGCTGGTTTTGAACTCCTGGCCTCAAGTGATCCTCCTGCCTCAGCCTTCTAAAGTGCTAGGATTGTAGGCATAAGCCACCACACCCAGCCTGCTCAAGCTATTCTGAAACAAAAACTTTATGATTCTAATATGAGAGATCCCATCTATAGAAATAATGGGGACGCAAATGGTCAGTATCTAGTGTTACGTGACTTTTGGCTACAAGGGAGTAGGTTGAAGTTCAGCCTGATTAATGCTTAATTGTAACTATACTTCTTTCCATAATTCCGTTTAACGCGGCGAGGATGGCTGTAGGCTGAGTCCCTCCTTTCTCCCAGCCTCTCTCCTCCTGTCCTTCCCCACCCTTCCCTTTAACCTTTACCCCTCCCCCGACCCCCAACAAAGCAGCCCTGCACGTATTAGTTAGGAGTCAACAAAAACCACATTGGAGGATGTCGGGCAAAGTAAGTAACCACTGATTTACAGAATTAAAAAATGTTAGAATGAGAAAGAGTCTCTGAGAGCATGTTTGGAAGGCCCTCATTTTACAAAGGACTCTGAGGCCCGAGGAGGTCATGCCCAAGGTCTCACAGTTAACGTGTAGACGCCAGGACTAGCTGCGCAGATTCCTGATTTTATGCTAGTCAGCTAGACTCCAACATGCCAAATAAAAAAGCATGAGCTGTTTTCACCGAAAACCAAGAATCCTGACTAAAACAGAGTAAATCTGCCCTGCTCTTATTTTCATTATAGCTCCACACTGTGAGGAGAATCAGTTAGCAAAATGTGAGAATGAGGCTATTCGTTCTAATGCCAGGGCAGAATGAAACTGAAATTTATCTGAGGTGTGACCAGAGCAAGAGCAGCCCTGTGAAGTCTTTGTAGTACCATAGGAAGGAAATCCCCTGAGGGCCAAGAGAAGAATTTTAGAAAGTAAGATCACCAAGGGTAGATAGGGGTGATGAAGCCAGTTGCTGGGATGGGAATGGGTGAGGAGTGAGGCAGGGTTGCCTGTGCTGTTTTATGAGAGGAGACGGAGTCTTGCTCTGTCCCCCAGGCTGGAGTGCAGTGGCACAAACTCAGCTCACTGCAACCTCTGCCTCCCAGGTTCAAGTGATTCTCATGCCTCAGCCTCCCAAGTATCTGGGATTACAGGCCTGAGCCATCATGCCCGGCCCCAAGGAGTTCTTGCAATTTATTTACAGAAATGGAAAGAAGAAAAGGATTCACATTAGCGAAGAGAACTAAAAGAATGAAGAGCAGTGATTTTGTTTCCTTTAACTGGGAGGATGAAAATTAATATGATTTGAACAGGAAAGAGTTTAGAAGCATAGTTGTGGGCAGGGCCAGAAGGAGGCTGGGGAGCCAATGAAGGGGCAGGAGAGGATGTAGAAGCTTGTCCCCAAGGTCAGACACATGAAAAATTATGTGCCAAAAGAATGTGGGGCTCTTAAAATAACCCAAGCTCAAGGTATTTCCCTTATTTTTTAATGTTTAAAATTTAACTTCACTTTTTTGTTGTCTTGGTGAGAGGTGAAAAAAAGGTTGTGCGGGCGGCAAATATGTTTTAGGAATTGGTGAATTCCAAGCACTGGCATCATATAGTCAGACCTTCTAGTGAGGTCACAAACCCAGGTAACATCAGTTAGTTTGGGAACGTTTTTCAATCTTTGAAATCTTACTTGGGCATTTATTTAAATGCCTTTCTTTTCTTATCTGCTTTCATTTTCTTCTTCATTTAAGTGCAGAGATAGAGAATGTGTGCGTCTGTTTCTGCATGTGAGCCATTCTCTCAAGTCCAAGTCCAGTATTTCCTCTCCGGCCACTCTCTGTTAAATACCAACCCCGCCATCTTGTGGCTAATGGGTATTTGTGCACCTGGCTTAAAGCTCACTTTGAAAAATGAACAAGTCTAAAAAACACCAATATCATGATTTCTCATTAGCTTCAGTCATTAAATAATATATGAATTCTGATGTTGCGTATATTGACCATACTGCAATGCATTAATGAGCTGGATGCTTGTTGTAAAATATTTATTATGAAATGAAGGGCATTTAAAATGTAATCAATACAAAAAAACACTCACTGGAATTTTATGCATAAACACAGGCTTGAGAATTTAGAAGGGTCTATGGGATTACAACTGTGAAAGCTTTTGTTTTCCACTCGAACTAAAGGAGGTGTCCCTCATCCTTCTCTACTCCAGCCATTCATCATTTACTTCAGATTATTTGTTACAACTTCCTATTACTTTGTTCCCCCCAGCCCCCAGTTTTGCAGGTAGAATGCAGTGAGTTCGACAAGATTAGGGATTGCCTTTGCATTTTTCAGCGTTGCATCCCCAATGCTTAGCATTTTCCCTGGCACACAGTAGACACTCGACAAATATTGGTCAAATGGACTTAATTGATTAAAAATAATAAATAAAATAAGCTCTTAAATAAAAATAAGCACTTATAGGACTACATATAAATTAAAGAAACCTAATCAGGTGGATAAAGAAACTGTGGTATATATACGATGGAATACCACTTAGCCATAAGAAGGAATGAATTAATGGCATTCGCAGCAAGCTAGATGGGATTGGAGACGATTATTCTACGTGAAGTCACTCAGGAATGGAAAACCAAACATTGTATGTTCTCGCTCAAAGGGGTAGCTAAGCTATGAGGATGCAAAGGGCATGAGGATGACACAATGGACTTTGGAGACTCGGGAGGAGAGGGTGGGAAGAGAATGAGGGATAAAAGACTACAAATTGGGTTCAGTGTATACTGCTCAGGTGATGGGTGCACCAAAATCTCACAAATCACCACTAAAGAACTTACTCATGAAGCCAAATACCACCTATTCCACAAAAAACTATGGAAAGAAAAAATTAAAATAGATAAAATAGAGAAATTCCTCTAACCAAAGTGAAATGACATTTTTTCAAGGAATTCAGTGACACTGGTTTAGGTATGTATCTCTGGTACTTTCCAAAGCTGCAGTGTTTCTGGCCATGCTGCTGAAAGTAAAACTGGTAGGAGACTGCTTCCATTACTCAGTGATACGTTGTTAGTATTGAAAAGCCCTCTTTAGAAGGCTGAGGTCTATTAGCAGTAAACTGGTGCCTTTCAAAATCAACAGCCAACTCAGAACAGCTGGGAAATTCATATGTTTTGCCAGATTTCACTGTGTTATTAGGTGACATTTAGATAACTGATTTAATCCCCACCATCGGGAGCTGCATAATTCACTAAGCTTGTGGATTTCAATGCATGGAAGCAAAGTGCTGGGGCTCTGCCTTCTTGGATATGAACTTAATCATGTCACATCAAGCATTCATTTTAAATTATAGCACCACATCTGTATTTTGACTTCTGACAAATGCTAAGTATGTCCTGACACATATTTTTGTCGTGGTAAAAGCCTATTTGAAAACCAGAAGAGATGGTGAAAGGTAGAAAACTGAATTGCACACAGGTTTGAATTTGAGTTTGTATCAATTTTGAGTTTTTTGTTGTCTTCATTCAATTCAGAGAGCAAGTTGGTGGGTTCCCAAATGTTCTCCAATGGGGACTATTTACTTTACGAAAATCTGAGAACCTCCCAAAATACAATGAGGTGCAGCAGAGGAGCCCTGGCTATATTTAGAGAATATAGGGGAGGTACTCTGATTGGCTCTTCTTCCTCCCCCACCCCCACGGTTGCTAGGGGTCCCAGTAAACCAAGGAGGAGAGTGTGGAAATGAGAACCTACCAGCTGAATTGTTTTTATTTTTGGCAGTGAGGGACAAAATTTAACGTGTATTAAAATCATCTAGGAAGCTTGCTAAGATGTGGACTTTCAGACCCAACCCCCTGTGGCTCTGTATACAGACAGAAACCAGGAATCTGGTCATTCTGATACAGGAGAGCCATAGAACACACTTTGGGAAACATTGATTTACTACTTTCAACCAAACAAGTGCAGGGGCTCTGTTTTTTTCACGAATGCATCCCAAATGCCCCTAGCACATGGTCTGGATGCAATGAGTAACTTGTAGGTGTAGACGATGGATACGTGGATAGATGGATGAGTGGATGGATATGTACATTCAGGGATTTAAAGAGAGGATGAACAAGAGTAGAGAAGAGAATTGTAAAGTTTCCAGGGTTTCAAAGATTCTTTGAACTTATTCTTAAGTGTTTGATAGATACGTTGCATTTGCCCCCTGATTTTGTGTGACCTTTATTTAAATACCATCTCCCCTTGGCAACAGAGTAGTTTTGTCACTTGAGATTAAAAGTGATTTTGTTTGTAAAATGGCAAACCATCTTGACATTTCATCTACAAACCACTTAACAAATTTCTGTTCTCATCCAAAACTACTCTTCCAAGTAGAATAGAGACTTCTACCAGTGGTTTTATAAAACAAAATACTTCTTTGTAGTGAAAGTCCAATCAGAGGTACCCCAGAAGAGGCGGGAAGGGGACTAAGCTGTGTGCTGGGGGACCTAGATGCCAGGTGTAGCTGCTTTGCTAACAAGTCGAGTGACCTTGATCAAGCCATGTGCCTGGATGAGCACCAGTTTCCCCATGTGTAAAGTAAGAGATTTAACAAAATAGTCCCCAAGGCCCTTGGAGCACCACATATTATTTACCATCGTTTTGAGGCTTTGGGTTTCCTCACATGTCTCATTTTTGGGTGTGAAAATTAGGCTTTCCTGAAGGCCTCCCTTAATTATATCATGATAGATAGAACAATGGTTCCCCTAAAGATGCCCACATTTAAATCTCTGGAACTTGTGCATATGTTACCTTAAATGGCAAGAGGGAGTTTGCAGATGTGATTAGGTTAAGAACCTTGAAATGGGGAGAGTAGCCTGAATCATACAGGTGGGCCCAATCTATTCACAAATGCTTAAACCCTGGATTATACAGATGGGCCCAATCTAAGCACAGCACCTTAAAATCAGAGAACCTTTGCCACCTGGGATCACAGAGCGAAAGGGAGCTGTGAGGATGGAAGAAGGGTCACAGAGATGGGATATTGCTGCTTTGAAGACTGAGAAGAAGGCCATGAACCAAAGAATCTGGGCAGCCTCTAGACACTGGAAGGGCAAGGTAAGAGTTTCTTCCCTGGAATTTCCAGAATGGAATGCAGACCTGCTGACACCTTGGTTATAGCCCAGTGAGACATGAGCTGGACTTCTGTCTTACAGAACCATGAGACTTTTGTATTGTTTAAACTTCCAAGTTTGTGGTCACTTATGATAACAGCAATAGAAAATTTATAAATACATTCTAAGGATACAGGAAATATTCAGGAGTCTAGCACTTTGCACAAGCCGACCCACTGTGCAAACCAGGGCTTCCTCTACAGTGGTCCACAGGGTCTTTTAACCTGGACCTTATACTTACCACAGTCCTCAAATTTAGATTTCGACACTTATCTCCAAACAATTCCTTTGAAAACTATGTGTGTGTATAAAATGCATGTGTGCATACATAGATATGTGTGTGCATATATAAGCATACATACACATATATTCAGTCAGATATAGTCAGTGAGATTATTTCTTCAGCATCCCTATAAAACCATAGAATGATCTGAAAACACAATCGATAATTTGTAACAAATGCCACTCAAGTGAAGCCAGTTGCGGTGGGTAAGCCCAGTACAAATAGTAAAAGGACACTCTGAGGCAAGTAGTCTTTATCATGCAGCTCTGGATCGGAAAGCTAATTAGTCTGGGTTTGATGAACTCAGAGGCTGAAAGGAGCACCTGGATACACGTAAAATTATAATGCAGAAGGGAACCGTGGAAATTTCCCAGGCCTATACTTCCTTCATGCCACAGACTGAGACTCAGAGGGTCAAAAACTATTCCAAAATCACACCTGAAGTATTCTTTTGGCTACAGTGGAAGTTCCTATAATCAAAAGGAAAACAGAATTGGAAAGTGAGCTGATATCACTATATCTAGAACCTGTACTGCATGAGCCTATCTCAAAAGCCAACTGCTGTGTCATGTTTTGATGACTTGCTAAAGAAACTGGGAAGATGAGCGTGGTTCAAGGAGGCAGCGGGTGGAAGAGGGGCAGCCAGGATACGAGAACTGATTCTTATCTAAGCAATCAACGCACCCTGGCTAGCAATAGGCACACACAGCTCAAAGTCATAAGCATAACCTCTACTTTAAAGTGGTCTACAATCCACATTGGCCTAAATTATCTGGTTAATTTCCATATCATTAAACATTAATTGAGCACCATCTAGAATATTAGAGTTGGAAGAAACCTTAGGAGCATCTAGTTTATCCCAGTTATACAAATGCAAACAGGCCTAACAGGTTAAGGGTTCCTCCTAGTGGCCGAGCCAGGATTTCAGCCCCATTGATTAATTTCCAGACACTTGCGCTTTCTCCTCTCCTCACTAGAAATTGGATTCTCCCTTTTTATGAAGAGCCTCAAAGCATCATGAAATGAGTTTTCAGTGTCAGTTCCATGTACTAGCATTGCCTAACTGTTAGTCTAAAAGTGTGGCCCCTGAAGTCAGAGTTCATGTCCTCTGGTAGAAGGGAAAATGGACTCATAATGTCATCCCAACTCTTTGGTGAATAAACAAAAAACATTCCACTTCTAGGCTGAGGACACAACTTCTTTAAGGAGATTTGAATGAAAAGCACTAATTATTTGCCAGCAGTCTGATATTTGAATCACCCACAGTGTTTGCAGTACTACAGACTTCTGACTTTTCTTTCATCCGTCAAGAAATGCTACCTTAAAAGGCTGTCAGTGATCAGCACAATATATTTTAACATTAGATAAAAAAGCCCATCCAGAGCCATTAGAATAAACTCAAATTTGCTGTTAAACCTAATATGAAGATATTATTCAAACACTTCCAACCTCAGACCTTTGCTGAGGCAATTTCTTAGATCTTTGCTCCTGATATTTCTAAATTCACTCCCCGAATGAAGACACCCACTAAATGTCTCCCTGTCAAATGCTACAGTTTTAGGAAAATTCATTTTACTGTTAATACTTAAGGGACAGAGGGATCTCAGATTTGAGAGATCTGCATTCTGTGGGGATACTTGATGTGTGTCCCTGTGCTAATTTTAAATCTCATCATAGAAATGAAATACATAGATAAGAAAAGTTGTGTTAAATGAGCACTGTACATGGATTATCCATTTGCAAAGACTGATAATGCAATAAAGTACTCTTAACATTGAAAATGTGAGTAATAAAATGTAATCTTTCTTTGATTCTGAATGCTCTTTAAGATTGTGCAGTGCCTTGGACTTACCACAGGGAATATTACTTTTTATGGATCATAGGACCATAGAACTTTGGAATTGAAAGGAACATTTTGGATCATCCAGTTAAGGGTTGACAACTAGGTTTTGCCCAGTTATGAACAACAATTGATTGTTATGGTTCTGGTGTGCTATGCTGAGAATTCTGAGGTTATGTTTGGATTCAGTGGAAAAGTATAATGAGATTGATTAGCAATGTCTGAGTAGGGTGGGAGGAAGAACAGTGGCTGGTTTGGCACTTATTTGGTGTCCTTAATGAGTCCAACTTCTTCATTTAACAATGAGTAGCCTAGTAAAAGGATTTGCCAGACAGAGTCAACCAGCTGGCAAAGTTGTGGTCAAGCAGAACTAACCACCACTATTGCTAACACAGGATGTTAGCTCTACAATTTCAACTGGCAACTTCTAGAAAATAGAAAATAAAATAATTTCTTGGATGTCTAAAAACTTTGGCAGAAAAAAATAACTAAGCAGAAAATATATTTGGATGGTGATATAGTTTACCTAGGAAATTGATGACAATTCATTGAATAGTTTAAAAGAATTTGAAGTCAAATTTTTTGTGAGGCACCATGTAGTTTAAACTATAATTATGCTTTTAGAATTCATTTTTATACTCTGAAATTTGTTTGTTTTCTCTATGCAAGTTACTGCATTAGAGTTGTGAGAATAGTCATGAAATATTTTAGGCAAAAATCCCCTAGCGTTTAACAGATGCTTAGTGAGTACTTGCTGGATTCAGACAATGTACTCAGTCCTGGAAATTCAATGCCAAATGGAACCCTACGTTAAAGGAGTTGTCAGCCTGGTTGGCAATTTCTGGCACCATAACCAATGGTTAAAGCAACTTTGTTTTGTTTTGTATTTTAAATCTGTAGAGAAATCCAAGAAATGAGATAGAAGTCATGTCCTGAAGAAAGTTAAAAAATAGTAAGTGTGGCTCGGCACTGTGGCTCACACCTGTAATTCCAGCACTCTGGGAGGCTGACGTGGGAGGATTGCTTGAGGTCAGGAGTTCTAGACCAGCCTGACCAACATGGTGAAACCCCGTCTCTACTAAAAATACAAAAATTATCCAGGCGTGGTGACAGGCACCCATAGTCCCAGCTACTCAGAAGGCTGAAGCAGGAGAGTCACTTGAACCCAGGAGGCGGAGGTTGCAGTGAGCTGAGATCACATCACTGCACTCCAGCCTGGGCACTAGAGCAAGACTCCATCTCAAAAAAAAAAAAAAAAAAAAAAAAAAGGAATAGTAAGGGAGAAGCTGACAAGACAAGCTGACCATTTTTTTCAAATAAATGCTCAGTGACTATTTGAAACATCAAGCTTTTAAGTATTTTAAATATTTTTACTAAAATACAGCACATGTACAATATATCAAAATACATAGCTCAGTGAATTATCACACAATGAACAGAGTGATCACAGCCATGAAACCATCATTCAGAGCAAGAAATAGAACATCACCAACTCAGAAACCCCTTTCATCCTCCTCCCAGTCTTTACCCCTTACATTAGCCCAAGCGTAATTACCATCCTGACTTCTAACACCAGATTCATTTCTCCAATTTTTTTACCTTTATGTTGATGAATCACATTATATTTATTATTTTATATCTGGCTTCTTTTGCTTAACAGTATTTTGTCAGAGTTATCCATGTTCTGAGGAGCTATAATTTATTTTTATTACTATATAATATCACACTGTATAAATATAGTTTAGTTTGTTGATCCATTCTGTTGTTGGAGGATATATATCTACGTTACTTCCAAACTGGAATTACTACAGATGATGTTTTTTTTCTCTTTTTTTTCTTTTGTGAAAGCAAGTTCATTAGGAAAGTAAAGGAATGAAGAATGGCTACTCCATAGGTAGAGCAGCCTACAAATGATGTTTCTACAAACATCCTTGTACATGCATTGAAATGCATGCATTTCAACTAGGGACATACTTAGGATTATAATTGCTGGGTCATTGGTATAGATATGACTAACATAAATACTTCCAAGCAGTTTTCCAAAGTGGTTGTAACCAATTTATACTCATATTTATAGCATAGGAGAGTTTGCATTGTTCTACATCCTTGTTAACTTTGGTTATTTTCAATTAATATTAATTGGTCTAGTAGGTATTTCATTAGAGTTTAAATTTGCATTTTCCTAATTATGAAGAAAATTGAACATATTCTCATGTTTGGGCATTTGGAGACCCTTTTATAAAGTACATGTTAAAGCCTCTTGCTCAATTTTCTTTCAGATTGTCTATTTTTTTAATGTATAGATTGTTTAAAGAAATTGGACAATATTCAAAGTAAGAACTGAACTACAGTTCATCGACAAACACCGCAAGAATGTGCATCAGTCGGGGATAAGTCAGGTTTCATAAACCACCCCAGTTATATGAAAAGAGAGCTTAATACAAAGAATTGCTAACTAGTTACAGAATTGTAACCAGGTAACTGAAAAGGCAAAAAGAGAACATTAAGGTAACATGGAGGTAATAATTGCAGGTCTAGAATATAAAGGGAAAGGTTGGCATTATTAAACTCAGAAGCTGGAAGCAGGGGCCTATTGAGCTGAAATTCAGTGCTCTGAGAAGGTGCTGGTCAGCTACAGCCAGGGTCTCTTGACAGGTTGAAAGGCTGGTTCTGCAAATGTTGGAAAAACTACATGCTGGATGTGATTGCTGCTACAGGAACACAATGACATTGGAGAAGTGGGACGAGCATGATGTTCCCAGGAGCAAGAAGCAGACAGGAAGGAGTGAGTCCCTTCTTTCTCCAGCCTTGTGGTTTCCCTCTAGTACCTCCTAGGGGAGCACAAAGCCAAATACCTCCCAGAGAGGTTGGAGCTAAGAGACAGTAGGTTAATTACTGGCAAGAGATCAAAAAGGCAAACCAATGAGTGGGAGAAGATGCACAACAAACAACGGACTTGGCTCTAGATTTGAGTGATATATAGCAGGTAACAATAGTGTAACCAAAATGTGGGTTAGTTGCTTATCACTTGCAGAGTTCAATTAACAAGAGTGAGGTCTGGTATAAAGAAAGTGATTTATTTCCAAAGCTAGCTTAGAGGATGAAGCACAGGCATCCCACCTTTAAATGTACCGCTTCCCTCTTGGAGAAGAAAGTGAGCACTTTTAAAAGACAGGGGAGAAAGTGAGCAAGGGCAATGGTCCTCATACTAGCTTATCTACCACGCAGTAGAGCTGGTGACTGCTGGTGTTTTCCTGGGCAAGCTGTTATCTCTCAAGACAACTTCCTGGAGGGTGAGAGTTCCCTAGCAAACATGCTGTGGTTTGTAAATTAACTGTTAAGAGTTCTGTCTTAGAGCACACAGTTACGTGAACTTACCCAGTAAGAGATGTCTGAAGGAGAGGTAAAAGCCTATATAGTTCCATTTCTGAAGGGCTAAATAGGATGTGGGGAACCAGGAGAACAATAAGAGAGAAAAACCACCTCTTAGAAAAATGGGGGTACTGGGTTACAATTGCTAGGCTTTGAGATAGTGCTTACCACGTGCCAGCTCTGTTCTAAGGCTTCACCATGTTATTATAATTCATCTCACAAAGGCCCTTTAAGAGTAAATTATCTTCATTCCCACTTGAAAGATGAGGAAACAGAGGCAAGAGAGTTTAAGTAAACTGCCCAAAGTCTTACAGCCAGGAACTGCCAGATAGAATAAAATTCAGATAGATTTAATTCATTTTTGTCTTCATACTCAAATTCAAAAATAGGATTTACTGTTAAAACAGCTATAAAAAAATTATAGTAAATGAGACATGAAAAGTAGTAGCAGGTCTCCTGACTTAAGGGAACTTTTACAGTAATCAATAATTTCTAGTCATAAAGATATGGCTCATAAAAATGTGGCCGATGGCATCAAAATCTTTTATCTTTTACCTTCTAGAAAATTCTTATCTGCTTTTAGTTGGTCTTTCAAGAATTCTTGTCACTATAGTGAAAAAACATAGATTTTAGGGATGTGGGTTGTTTAAAATTATGTTTACTGACTGTTGATCTGCTTTCTGCACTTTGTTCTTGCAGATGATAATTGTCTGGGTGAGAATAGTTCTTCTTTGCCTTCTCTGGAATCAAAACTTAGGCTCAAACTGCTCCCAAAGCAGTAACTCATAGGAAAACTCCAGATTATTCATTGCCTGTGCATGATTGTATGAATGTAACTGAACTGCCTACAGGCCCAGTAATTTCACTTTTCTCACCTGTGGATGCAGCCTACACATGCTGATCGGTCAGAGATTTGGAGAAAATAGAATTCATTGATTTATTTATGCTTGCTCTGAAGTGTAGGGTAAGCTGAAAACCTGACTTTCTTTAAAAGGCAAGTCAGTGTTGGCAGTCTTCTAGAATTTGAGTGGGGAACTAAGGCTTATTGGGCCCCCTCTGTGTCTCAAGCACTGTGTGGCAAGTAATGCCACTGCCTCCTTATTGGTGTCTCCTAGTCCACACTTGTCCCGATTCTTCTGTTCCTCCACCCTGCAGCCAAATACTGATTTCCAAATGCAAAGCTAATCATAAGATTCTGCTTTGGGGAGGGTGAAAATTCTTAATACGGTCCACAGGAGCTAATTTTCTTGTAAACTGCAACCTCAACCTCCTGGGCTCAAGCAATCCTCCTGCCTCAGCCTCCCAAGTAGCTGGTACTACGGGTGCATGCCACCATATCTGGCTAATTTATTTTTAATAGAGACAAAGTCTCACTGTGTTGCCTAAGCTGGTCCCAAACCCCCAAACTCAAGCGATTTTCCTGCCTTGCTCTCCCGAATTGCTGGAAGTGCTGGGATTGCAGATGTGAGCCACTGTGTCCAGCCCTGCATCCTTCTAATAGGGACCCCTGAGATTAGATTGAACCCATCTAGATATTTCAGGAAAAATTCTCCATCTCAAAATCCTCAACTTAACACATCTGCAAAGCCTCTTTTGCCATGTAAAGTGATGTATTCACAGGGATGTAGATTTCTTCAGGGGACCATTATTCAGGTTGCCCAAACCCTACCTCATCATTCATTCTTCCCTTCTATTTCTAGTGAAGAAATGCCTCTTGCATTTGCCAAGGCTTACATCATAACTTTCCCATGTTCTGTCCTTTACCTCCTCCCACACAGTGTGCTCCTCCTCTCAGCAACTAATTCCCCTCATTGTCTTCTAATGGAGTTATCAAGTTCTCTGAATTTGCATTCCCAGCTCTGCTACTTTGATGCTGTTAAGTAGTCACAGAGCTTTGACTCTCTGGTTGCCTTTAAGTTGCCTTACAGATAACAACTATCTGTAAGGCAGATATTTGGGACTATCTGGAGGATTAACTCAAATAATGAATGAAAATCTCTCTCCCAGAGCATGGCTGGTGGAAAGCATTCCACACATGTAGGTTGTTGGATTCATTACCTTCAATATCGCCCTGTTTCTTCTGTCCTATCCTGGGGACTGGAGGTCTATACTACTTTTACTGATGACTGGGTTCTCACTCTAAGCCATCATTCGAATAGCACATATCATGACTGTGTAGACATAAGCTGGGCTTTCTCCTCTGAGTTAAATTCAGTCCAACAATTGTTTATCAACATTTCACTCTGTGCTATCACTGAGCATATAAAGATGAGTGAGGCGTGGTTTCTAACCTCAACCAACATTCTGCAGAGCTGTGGAACTGGATGTGGAAAAATAAAACTTCAAAATAAAGTGGTAAGTGCCTGGAAGAAAAGACATTTGAGCTGAGTGAGCCAGGAAATCCTTTTGCAGAAAAAAGGTTAAATTATAAGCACTATTGCTGGTTGTATTCATTGATTATATCTCTGCCCGAGGCATTGGGCCAATCTCTGTCATCAGAAAGATTCATGCTCAAGTGTTTCAGAATAATGAGAGCTTCACCACTCTCTTATTTCCTGCCCAAACCTGGTGAAGAGAGCTTGTTGGAGGGGCCTGGATAATCCCCAGATTCCCTACTTTTTCAGCAACAGGCATGATACAAATTTAAAGCAGCACAGTCAATTTGCTTTATCAGAATATGGTGGCTGCCTAAGGGTCATCAGCCAGCACAGAGACTCCTGCCAACAGGAAAATGGCCATGTGATGAAGCTCAAAAGACATCCAGCTGGACTGTAAATCAGCAGTGCTCTGACTTTCTAGATGCTGACTCATTACAGCAGAGCAGAAGACCTAACCCTCCCTATCCTATGCATTCCTGCTTTGCAGAGCAAAAGACTTCTGTGAAGACCAAGAATTGGAGTAGTAACAATAAAATCTCTAAAAATGCATCAGTCAACCAACATAACAACAAAAGCAAGTTCCAATACTTTTCTCAACTCTATTAATTAATGCAATAAGAGCAACAACCCAAACCCAAACCAACTTAAGACAGTGCTGACGCTGTATAAGTAATACAGTATCCTTCCAGAAAGTTGTGGGAACCCCTTGGTCTATGCCTGCACAGTCTCAGTAGAAGCTTTGCAATATTGTCAAAGCATTGGTTGGCTGCCAGACTTCTTGAAACAATATAAAATGAAAGTGTATAGCAAACTCTAATAATGCCCTAATTTTTGTTTATGAAAACCAAGTTTTAGTTATTCATATTTTAAATTTGTATTAATAAAAAAATCTTTAGTTGCACATCAAAATGAAAGTCCACAGGCTTGTCTTCAGTCCCCAAAGAAAAGACTTAACATTCAGGGATACATTTGTATCTATCCAGGAGGACCCCTTGTAGAGTACAGTGGCCTCATAGCCCTACCCTGAGAAACACTGAGACCAACATCCACTCCCTATCTCCCAGACCCCTTGATGTCTCGTCCCTGGCGTCTGTCTTGGGGGAAGCTGAGCAGTGTCACATAGGACTGAAAGAAGCAAGAATAGGACCACAAATCTAAAGCAAGAGGAAGAATCTGGAGGTTGACCCAGGCAATGGTGGAAGAAGGACCAAGTGAATAGGTCAAAAGTTAAGGAACACACAGTGAGTTAAGATATGAAGAGGACTAAATTCACAAAGCTGTAGAAAAAAATGAAAGCTGATTGAGACCTGGAAAATCATTTATACTGAACCTGTGTTTTCAAAGGGAGAAAGTGACTTGTGATCGCAAAAAATAGGGATAATAGCACCAACCTCTCAAGATGGCTGTAAAGTTCAATGAAGGAACATATGCAAAACACAGATATTGATTTTGGATTAGAGTAAGTGTTTAACAAGTGTTTGTTCATTCATGAGTGACAGAACCTGAACTAAGTCTTCTAATTTAGAAGCAAGTACTCTGTCAGGCTACCAGAAATCCCAAGTATGTAGGAGATTCATAATAAAACAATGGTAACCTTTAGAGCCTGATACTGGGCCTAAGCTATGGTCTATTTACAGGGATCCTGTTCAGACAGGAATGGATCTCAGGTCCAGGATGTGACTCCATCCAGTAAAGTTAAAGTCATTTGCTATGTGGTATACTCTTATAACATAAAGTTCTTATAGACAGCACTTGCCACATTGGGATGTATACTATTATTTGTATATGTGTGTCTTAGCTACTAGTATGACCTCTTTGGAAGAAAACATACCTCCTTTTAATTTTTTTATAATGAAAGTAATTACTTATAATTATGTTTATTTATAATTTCTTATAATTATGATGTCTTAGAAAAATAGAAAGCTTTTAGAAGCCAGTAGAGAAAAAACTCCTAGTATCCAGAAGTACCCACTGTTTCAAAGTATTTATTTTGGTGTGCATTATTCTGTCTGTGCATTTCTTTTTAACGTATATATACACAGATGCAATAAGCATACAACTTGCTGAGAAAAAAAACAGCTTTTGTCTAAGCATGCACCTCTGTGGACTAAATTGGATCTAAGCCCCAGTAACAAGTGGACAGGGAAGACATGCGTGAGTGTGTGTGTGTGTGTGTGTGTGTGTGTGTGTGTGTGTGTGTGTGTGTCTGTATGTCAGGGTTTTCAGTAATGAACAACAGAAACTGACTCTGGCTTACCAAAGCAGAGAAATCATTTATTGGAAAGATATCAGATAACTCACAAATTATTTTATCATTTAGCTTCTTTCTGTCTTGCATGTTTCAAATAATGTTGATATAAACATCTTTATGGATCAATTTTGTCTGCTTTTTGCATTATTTCCATGGGATAGATTTCTAGAAGTAAAAAATAAAGGTTAATCCTTTTAGATCATGAGATTTCCTATTTTGGATCCTTAATTTTTATTAATATCTTAGATACAAGTAATTTTTATGAAGGAAAATGAGTGATAAATCCTTTCAGTGTGTGTATATCCGAGATGCGTACACTATAAGGCCTACCAACTGCTCATTGCTCTGATTGTAGCTGTTGCTATGGGTACACGCAGAGAATTGATGACATCCCTGAAATTTAGTTGGTAGAGAAGCCTCCATGTTCTGCTGCTGCTGCCACCACACTAACTAGCCTGGTGTTCATGCTGAATCCAGCAGTTGAAGCAGTGTGGCTGAAATAAACCCTCTACTTAATCTTGCTTCTCTAAGATGATCCCTGCACTCCTTCACCAGCAACCACCATGGTTCATACTGTTTCTTTGGAGAAAAAACATATAATATATCCTACTTAACTAGATACCTGTTATGCTGTTTATATGTCTGCTTCCCAACCTCTACCCTCAAGCTGTAATCCAGCCCAGGGCAAAGGTTACATTTTAGTCATCTTTCTCCTCTGCTAGCTTATTAGCCTCATTCACCCAGGGTAATGGACTCTTCTGTTTTCTTTTCTGCTGTACCCCTCGTTCCTATAAAAAATACCCGGTGCATAGGAGACATATAGTGACTATGTTAATTAATTTGAGTTGAAGAATAGACAAGTAATTCAGAGTCTACAGTATTAGCATGGTTTTTGTCTCTGAACACACTGGAGTTTTGTTCTCATCTTGGTCTTGCAAGTCACTTTAGCTTTTTTCTGTCTTACGACTTTTCAGTTAGCTCCTCTACTGAAACACATTATTAGACTCTTATATCCATTTTTCTATTTTTCATTAATGAAAAGTCACATTGCTCATGCATCCATTAATAACTTCATATGCAATATCTTCCCCAATTAACACCTGGGATCTAAATTTTTCTGTTTCCTCATATACAAATGGTAAGCTAATGTCAGTTGCAGCAAAGGGTATATTTACTAGGATTTGGGGACCCAAATCCTCTTCATGCTATTGGGAATGATATTTATTCAGACTGGGATTTGACCTGTTTTTTGTCTCTCTTCTCAGTTTCTTTGTGAGTTGGTTAACTTTTTCATACAGTATAGGTCTTCTCAGTTACATGATTCTACTTACATCTGATTTTAATAATTGTGCTGGTCTGTTATTTTTAAGCGAGTTTCTTAAGTTATTCTGTTTCTGACCACTGAATAGCATCATAGCATTTTACAACTGTCCAGGGATTGTGAAACATTGGTCTTCCTCAAGTATAGAAGGGTGATGAAAGCCAAGAACATCATCCTCAGTAGTTCTTTCATTTGTTATACTTACGTTTCCATGTAAGATTTCCTCTGAGCAAATAATTTTGAAGCTTATATATGTGAATATATATGTGTATACATGTTTACATTTGTATGTATATATGCATATATCAACATATGTACACAGATATGAAAATCACAAAGTTAGTACCACCCTGTGGCAGACATTACAAATGTAACCAAGTTCCACTTCTTCTACACAGAGTATTAGACTACTCTGCTCCCTTGAAGTTAGACTGAGCCCTGGGATTCACCTTGGCCAGTGAAATATGAGTGAAGGTGATATGTTTCACTTCCAGACAGAAGCATTTAAGAGACAGTGTTCAATTCTCCAAGCTTTTTCCTTCAGCCATGGGCAATCTGCGATTATAGAAGCACATACTGATGTGAAGTTTCCACAAGACCAAAGCAGCCTTCGCTGGTGATCTGTCAACAGAGAACATGATGCCCTGGAGAGTCACCAAATCCATAGAACATTTGATTTGAGCAAAAAATACACCTCTGTTGGTTAAGCTGCTGAAATTTTTGTTACTGTAGCAAAACTTCACATATCCTGGCCTTTGTAAACCCTTATGTGCAAGACCAAGAATACAAGTCCAGGGAGGAAGACATTGAAATACCCCAACCAAAGTTACAGGTAGAAAAAAGGCAATGACTAGAATTGAGGTCTCCTCTCTCCCTGCTTTGTGTTCACCCCTCTGCAATATTCTGTACGCTTTTGCTTCCAGTGGAAACAGCACATAGTGTCAGGACAAGCTGTTGGGTGAGTCATGAACACAGTTTTGCACACAAGTTGAAAAACCATAAATTACCCAACATTTTACTTTCTTGCAAAAATCTTCCCTACTTTACCTGTCAAGTCAGAGATGGATGTAGTGGCAGGAAGTCTCAGTAAATTGCAACATTAAGTATCATCACAAATAATCATTTTTGGCAAATAATCCAACATGCCTGGGACTTGTATAGGCTCTGGTGTACCTGAAAATATTACTGTAGCAGGGAAAGTCGCATATAAAGGTATTTTTTTCAAATCCCAAATTATTCACCATATTACTGAAATATGAAACTGAATCATTAATAAAATTGTCAACATTTTGAAGGGGCTATGAAATACCCTTACTACCTCTGGTTTTCTGCCTGCTAACAGAGCAGGCTTCCCTGTTTTTCCTCTTTCTAGGTCTGCATAAAGCTGACAAGATCCATCTTTCATTCCCTCATAACTTTGGGATTTACAGGATAAGATGCTGCCATACACATTCTACAGCCATGGCTTCCAGCCCCTGCACTTGATGGTAAGAAGTAGACTTTTAAAAAAAATGCATTCCTGAATACGTTACTATTTGTCCTGATATATAGGTTGCCAAAAAAGTTTAAAAGATTTTTCCAGTGGGACAAGTTTAGGAAACTGTTTGTAGCCTCTGTAGACTGGGAACTTGAGAATTACCCTGATTTAATTCTAAAGACT
Organism: Homo sapiens; assembly: GCF_000001405.40. NCBI lineage: Eukaryota > Metazoa > Chordata > Mammalia > Primates > Hominidae > Homo > Homo sapiens. Next base: position 3,184,421 of record NC_000003.12, on the reverse strand, counting down.
TTTTAAGTTAGTGACAGCACGACTAACATAGTTCAAAGAAAGTTGATGAACATGATTCTCTGTGACTGAATCAGAGAGAGCTACAAAGGAGTTAAAGAGCCATAGTTATGATCCTTCATTGTCAAGGGAGGCTGAATATGACTGGGATTCCCCAGGCAGATAACGATGTCCACATAGCCCCATCACAGTGCTGCAAGCACCTCTGCCACTCTATATGTAGGACAATTTATTGTACAAACTGGCACACTTTGAAGAGTGGAATGGGGCAAGGGGTGGGGCTGGTCTGGTAGTTATGCTGATACACCAAACACATACCAGGGTTGTCCTGGGCAAATCCCAATGTGGGGTTGCTCTATCACTTGCTACACACTCATACATGTGGTTGCACACACAAATGCAGGCCAGATCAAGGCAGGTAACACACACACACACACACACACACACACACACACACACACACACACACACACTGGCTGGTTGGCTTCTGTGACCAACAGGGGCTGCCCCATCTAAACCAGGCATTGTTATTTAGTCGGAGATCATTGTTCCCATGCATGAATCTGACTCATGGTTGCCAAATCTTCCCAGTTTTAAAGAGAAGCAGGAAATCAATATTGGTATATGTATTCTTCAATTGCCAAATGCTGGCTGGCAATCGTATAATTCAAATACTCAAATTACCACACAGGGCAAGAAAGTCTCTAGCTTGGGAGGTCACCTGTTTGGGACCCGTGTCTCACAGAGTGGCAGAGGGAACTGTGGCACTGTGAGAGGAACATGCCCGTGGAGCTGCTTACATCTCACCTGTGCTTTTGCCTCAAGGGAGAAAGCATTGGAAGATTTATGCACTTCCAAAATTAATGAATTCATCTATTGAAAAAATGATAACCAAATATGCCTACAAGTTAATCTAGCTTTGCTTTTTCTAAAATCCACAATTTCCTTTAAAAACAATTTTGGATCTTTGGACTAGGTTGGCTGGTTTTATCCATCAAACCAATATGGGTCTTAATCTTCATCCCAGATGGAAGTGGGGAGGAATGATATCTTTGCCTTTCATCATGGAGGAAAATCTCTTCTAAAAGTTATCTTCCCTCTTCATTCTCAGAGGCTACCAAGCTGACTTTCTCTAGGTGTCATTAGCCAGGACCAGATCAGGTGATACCATCAGCCATAGAGGAGCTTGGAGGAATAGAGTGGGCTCGTTATTACAGGCTTACAGCAAACACGACCCCATAGCAGAGTACACTATTGCCCCAAACAAAATCAGAGTTCTTGGCAAGGAAGGAAAGAGGAATTGCTGTTGAGTAGGTAGGAAATCGGTGTCTGCCAGAACTGTGCAATTCATCTTTCATTTAATGAACATTTTTTGAGCAGCTTTTAAATGCCAGAACCTGTTCTTGGGAGCAGAAATTCCCCATTCAGACCTTATACCTTTGAGGGGGGAGAAATGAGACTGTTTTTAAAAGTAAGCCTCACAGTATTTTATTATTCTATTATTATTATTTTGGAGACAGGGTCTCATTACGTTATCCAGGCCTCATAGTATTTTAAAAGTTGAGAAATGCTTTGATGAAGGCAAATGAAGCAGAGAAGGGTAGAAAATGGTGGGAAGTGTGGGAAGAGGGTCACAATCTGACACTGGGTAGTGTGGGAAGGACTCCCCAAGGAAGGGGTATTTGACCCAAGACCTGGAAGGTACAAGGGGAAAAGTCACGCATCTATGCAGGAGGAGAGCACTCCAGCCAAAGGAAAAGGCAATTGCAAAGGCCCTGAGGTGGCCATGGGTCCATGTGGTTGTGGAAGAAGAAGATCAGTGTTGATGGAGGGGAGGGAGAGCCCACAGAGCAGCAGTGAAGTGACATCAGGGCAGGATATTGGGGGCCCACTGTGCATTATAAGGGCCACTGCAAGGGAGATGGGGAGCCAAGGAAGGGTACTGAGCAGGGGAGTCACATAATCTGACTTGTGTTTTAACAGGATCGCTCAGACTGCTTTGTTGAGAAAGCACTGTGAGAGCTAAGGGTAGAAGCCGAGAAACCAGTGTTGGTGCTATTGCCATACTCCAGGCAAGAGATAATCAACCGCTTAGACCAGAGTAGTAGCATTCTTTAACACATTAAAAAAATATGTAGAGGCTGGGCATGGTGGCTCATCCTTAATCCCTTAACCCCAGCACTTTGGGAGGTGGAGGTGGGCAGATTATTTAAGCTCAGGAGTTCAAGATCAGCCTGGGAAACATGACAAAACCCCATCTCTATAAAAAATACAAAAATTAGCTGGCCGTGGTGGCTGGTGCCTATGGTCCCAGCTCCTCTGGAGGCTGAGGTAGGAAGATCACTTGAGCCCAGGAGGTGGAAGTTGCAGTGAGCCAAGATTGCACCACTGCACTGCAGCCTGGGACAGAGCAAGACCCTGTCTCGAGAAAAAAAAATTTTATATATATATATATATATGAAGAGAGACAGAGAGAGAGAAAATACAATATAAAGGGAGACAGAAATGTCCTCTCCCAGTCTATGTGCTCCTTGCTGCTAATATTGTGTAGAAGCCAGAAATGGAAAGAGCGATGGTCCTTTTCATTTACATTTTCTCCCGTCTTCTACCACCCTTAATTCTGTACTATTAAAGTTAATTCTTGAGCTGTAAGACAGTGATCTATGAACATATATATTTCTTTTCCCTCTGGCTTGCAGAGCTCCTTATCCATTGATACTGCACGCAAGCAAGAGGAAATGTTAGGAACAACTCAGTATGATATCTTCTTTCAGGATAAAGTTACCAAATTAAACAAATGGTAAATGACCATGTTTTCCTTTTGGTTTTAATAACCAGTGCTTAATCCAAGAAACCTGCTTGCTTAGATATTTTTGTTCAATGATCATCTGTTATCCCTACTGAAAGGTGTAGCTGTGGATGACTAGGTAGACTCCGGAGGGATAAAATGAAGGAGGGAGCAGGTGGTGAATGTGAAGAGTGGAGAGGAGAGGAGGAGAATTGGGGAGTAAAAGATACACAGATGTGAGCTCCGGTGATCTGTAGCAATGCACAAAAGAACAGAGAAAGAGCCAGTGCTTCTCCAGCCACATTTGTAGACTCCACCAGCCTTGCAGCTGTGCTTTCTCGTCCGGAGAAGTCTTGATTGACCCAGGGTTCAGACAATTCTGGTATCACCTCTGGGGAGAAAGACTGGAAAGTCAGAGCTTACTTATTCAGAAGCTAGATGCTTGTGTAAAGAAAATTCTACTGCACGTAAGCACAGGTTATTGAAATTCTACAAACTGTAGTGAGACATAATGTTACAGCATCAAACACACACACATATTACTTAGTGCATGCTCCCTGCTTGCTTGCGTTCTCTCTCTCTTTCACGTGGGCACACACACACGCACACCAATACACCGGCCATTCCCTCATCGTTCTGTGCTGGCATTCTGGCATAGAATCATCCTTCAATTGACTGGAGTGATCACCTTAACTCCGTTAAATCATTACGTAGTATATGTAATTGTTATTAACCTCATCGTAAAAGGTGATGCTATGATTCATGTTGCAGACATTATTAACTGGAACAAATAGGCGACACTATTTGGTTCGTTCTTATTTTGCAAATGGGCGAATTGAGGCCCGCAGCCATAAGTGATTTGACGAAGACCACAGACTGATTCGGAGACAGGAGGCAAAATGACACAGGAATGATTCACAAGCCTCTGTCACAAGGGAGTTTTCTGCTTGTAACTTATCAGGGAGGCAAATTTTCTGAAATCATTTTTTCAAATCTCAGATCCATGACTTTTCTGTTGAGCAATGCTGCTGCTTCCTCTCAGCCTCCGCCCACCACCACCACTACCATGTTTAGATGTTGTATTTCATTTAAGGATTTTTCAGTTTTCCTTCCTCGCTGAAAAAGTGATACTGAAATACACTACGAAAACTTTTGTCCTCCCTCCAAAACAAATATCTTACCAGTCACAACTCCACCATTATAACAGAATTATCTTCATTTTTTACATAGTCTTTCTTTTTTGCCACAGTGACTTGTTTTTACATAGCTGAAGTCATAATGAGTAGGCTAGTTTATATTCAGACAATTTTATTTACCAATTATAAGGCGTTTTCCATTCTGTGCAATCATCATTTCAAGTATGTTTCTGATTAATACTTGTTAATTTTGGAATGTAATGTACATATATGGAAACTACTGAAGTTATTGAAGTTGTATGTACATACATTGAAACTACTGAAGAAAATCAGCAATAATTCAACCACCCTCGGAATAACTGATGGATTTCCCCAGCCTTCACATATATGCTTCTTATTTTAAGAATTGAAACTAATGCTGCATGAACAGGTTTCTATTTGCTCCCTGCCCCCTTCGTTTAAAAACAAGGTGGAGACTAAAGGCTCTCAGCCTCAGTTTCTCCATATGCAAAATATCAGGATTAAATAAGTCATGCTAAGGGCTGGAACAAAGTGAGGGCTCTGCAGCGTGTACGCCGGGCACTCAGCCGTGGATGGCAGGGGACGGCGTTCTGTCCCCGGGACGGAGCGCAGGCCTGTAATTGTCCCTCCCGCCTAGGCCATCACTTTCAGGCTTGGGTACGCGCCGCCGTCTGCTCCCCTGGGGCCGCCAGGGGGCGCTGTGGCCCCGGTGCGCGGCAGCCGCGCGACACGGGCCCTCCCTCGGAGTCTTCGGCACCGCCCTGTCCCAGCCTCCTTTGCGGGTAAACAGACATGGCCGGCGAAGGAGATCAGCAGGACGCTGCGCACAACATGGGCAACCACCTGCCGCTCCTGCCTGGTAACCGCCCGGAGTAGTTCCCTGTAGTCGGGAGTGGGGCGAGGCTCGGAGCCGCTAGCGGTGCAGCTGGGCCTGGGAGGCGGGCGTGGGGGCGCCAAGCCTGGCGAGCCAGCCCAGCAGGGCCGCACCGGAAAGCTGCTTCACGTCGGCCCTCGGCCAGCGATGGAGTCGCGGCGCTTTCTTCGCTGCTCTGTTGCCCCGAGCCGTGAGCCAGGGTGTCGGGGGGAGCATTTGCTATTAAGAACAGGAAACCCATCCTCTCCATCCTCCTTGTGTTCTGAGTTTAGCTCCTAGGAAATGCTCTGAAACTAGAGGACCGGGTCAGATTCACAGCGGTTACTTTTGCTGGTCTCCTTCCTTTTAATAAGAGTGACAGCTAACATGTACTAAGCACTTACCATGTTACGAGCCGTGCAGTTAACGCTTTGCATGCATGTCGCCTTTTAATCCTTCCCACATCAGTTTTCAGTTTCCGATTTGATAAGCGAGTATTGGATTTGCAGATTAGTTCAATGACTTGCCCAAGGTCACACAGCAGAGTCAGGATTCCAACCCGGGTGTGTCTGTCATTATATCTCTAAACCACTTCTCTGTTTTGTTTTTCTTACTATCGGTCTTTCTCAGGCATGTACGATTATGCTTAATCAGAGATACTTAGTTTTTCTTTTTCCTGTATGTTGTGTGAAATGTTTAGACTTTGGCCTTGTGTTGAAATACTGAACAAAAAAAAAAATGCATGGAATATTGCATAAACTTTTCATGGAATGCCTTTCAAGAGATGCTTTCCAAAAGGTGTATCATCCAAACTTGAAAGTATTACTTGAGTCCCTTCGTTATATGACAAGTATGTTAGGTGTTGTGGAGATGAAACGAGAGGTAATACACAATCTGATAATTGAGGTTTACTGTCTAGGCGGGGCTGCTGAGAATATAACTAAACGTAAATCAACTGCAGAGGCGGTTGATTTAGGGCCAGATAAATGAATGCTGTTGTGGCTCTTCAGAGGCAGAGGTTGTTTAAGGGTCAGAGGATTTGGGAAAAAGCCTTTCAGGTAGATCAGGAGACATCTAAAAGCACATATTTAGGATATGGTTGTGGGACATAAGGCCTAGGAGGTATATTGGGTCTAAGTTGCTGGGAAACTGGCATCTCTTGCCAGTGGGTTTGGGTTTTTCCTGTGGATTGCCAAGAAACAGTTTTAGGTTTCAGGTAATTGCCTAAAGAAATCTATGCTTGGAAGATTAATTTGTCCACTGGTAGCAGCATGGATTAAAAGAGGAAGAGACTGAGTGCGTGCCCACCATATAGGAGAGAACTTTTCTGTAAAAATAAACCATAGTCACTGGTTGTTCTCGAAGCCATTCTAGCTGAGTTGACACAAGGGTAAGTGTGCCAGCCTTTGATGGAAAGCTGAGCTATTTTTTCAGAGACATTAGCCCTACTCTCTGTGCCAAATCCGGTGTTTCAGGGAGAATGGTGAATAGAAGAGGGAGGATACTGATCTTCTGTCGACATTCACATCGTGCCTCTGCATGAGATGAGTCATCAGACTTCACTGATAGCTCTGAACAGTCAGCGTGGTTTTTTGTTTGTTTTTTTTTTGTTTGTTTTGTTTTGTTTTTTGTTTTTCAGAAAAGCGTCGGGAGAGGGCCCAGAGATGGTGTAGATATAGCAATAATGCCTCTCCAAATTACGTAAATTTTATTTGTAGGGAAACACTGGGCTTTCCATAATTCCATGTAGTACGAGTTGTTCTGAAGAGTAAATCCTCTAAGTTCCAACAAAAAGCTTTATATTTGAGATGTGAAGAGTTTATCCTAGGCAAATGAAACATTAATAAACATAACTGAGTAGGGGAAAGTGGTTTTTAGCCATATTTATGAAAAAAAGGTTACTAAAGAAATTATTTAGAGACTAGGAGTCAGAACAGTTAAAATGTAAATTTTTAACAATATTAATTCCAGCCTTTGAGCTAATAGTTTATCTTTTAAACTTTCTGTAGTAGAGCAATAAAGTGGGTTGTGCTGCATGCCAAGTGATAGCCATACTGTCAGAGTTGGAAATACAAACAATTTGATGCAGAATATTTTTGTCATCCATTTAGATAGCTCTTTTTTTATCTCAGTGAAACTTACATGTTCCAAGGAAAATTTGTATGAAGTGTTAGACCATTGGCTATTTACATATAAGTTGAAGTAATTCTGTTTTTGACAAAGTTTTATATCTAGGAAGTTGTAATAATAAATAGAAAGTCCAAGGCAGTTACCATATTGAAAATCATTTTTATTTTCTGTCAGGGGCCTGGCTAGAGGTGGTTTGACTTAAATAATGATATGCAAAGGAAAACAAATGATTATTTCGTAATGACATTTTATCGATTTAGAAGTTTATTTGGGGCATTTAAAAATACATGAACTGGGAGGTGAGAAATGAGATTCAGTAATTCTTTATTGTTAGTCTAGGCCAGGGTCTCCCAACCTCAGCACTGGACTTTTGGGCTGGAGAATTCTTTGGGTGGGATTGTCTCGTGCATTGTAGGATATTTAGCTGCATCCCTGGCCTCTACCCACTAGATGCCAGTAGGACTCCCTTAGTTATTGCAACCAATATCCCCTGAGGGGCAAAATCACCTGTGGTTGAGAGTCACTGGTCTAGGATAGGAAATTTACTCATAGTTTGTATGAAAAGGACAGACTCACAGTTAGTACAATAGCATATGTATTGTGTAGCGTTTTCTAATTTTCTTTGCTGTCATTGGTAACATCTGGTTTTCTAAGACATTCTTTTAAAATGTTTTATGCTTCATGCAAACTTTATTTTTAAATTTAAAATTAAGCAAAATAGTATGCAAATGATTGCAAAATTTTCTTTGTTTCTTTCTTTTGAGATGGAGTCTTGCTCTGTCGCCCAGGCTGGAGTGCAATAGCACAATCTCAGCTCACTGCAACCTCCACCTCCTGGGTTCAAGCGATTCTCCTGCCTCAGCCTCCCCAGTAGCTGGGATTACAGGCACCTACAACCACACCCGGCTAACTTTTGTGTTTTTAGTAGAGATGGGGTTGCAACATGTTGGCCAGGCTGGTCTTGAACTCCTGACCTCAAGTGATCTGCCTGCCTCGTCCTCCCAAAGTGCTGGGATTACAGGTGTGAGCCACCACACCTGGCCTTCATTTTAAGATAATGTAGCGACTGCCAGGGAAATGTTGTCACTAGAAAAATGCTGTGAAATTCTTCCTGCTAGGTTATCTTTCTCTCAGTTTTAATTAACAGATCTTGCCTGCTTTGTTTCTTTTCTTACTTATGTAGGAACTGATTGAAGTTGAGAGTTTGAGAGAACGTTAGAGGTTGACTTGTTGAAGCCTATCATTTTGCAGATGAGGAAACTAAAATTTAATTGGGCAGAATGAGTTGTCTAAGGTGTTAAAATTAGTTACTGGTGAGGGAGAAGAGAAAAATCTCCCATATAGAAGAATTTTAAATAACTTACATTTCCTCTTCAAGGGAGTGGAGCATAACTCATCACCCCTGAAGTGGAGGCTACACCTAGTGATTTGCTTCCGAAGGGTACAATGTGAAAAGGAGGGGGGAAAGGAACTTTACAGCGGAAAAACCTGACACACACTGCTGTAGCCAGGTGATCAAGGTTAACAGCAGGAATAGTTCATAATATATAGGCTGGATATGTAATAAAAACAGCACATTGGCAACAGACCCCATTTCTAAAAAGGAAAAGAATAACAACACTTCACTTCTGTGGTCTTCCTCCCTAAAACACGTATCCTCAGTCTAATCATGGGAATTACATCAAACAAAACCCAGTTGAGGGATACTCTACAAAAGGCCTGACCAGTACTCCTCAAAACTCAGAAACAAGCAAAGTCTGAAAACCCCCCTAGCCCAGAGGAGGGTAGGGGGACCTGATAACTAAATGTAAAGTGGGATCCTGGAACGCAAAAAGACTAGATAAAAACTAAGGGAATCCATTTAAAATATGAAGCTTAGTTAGAGTAATGTACCAAGACTGATTCCTTCGTTGTGGCAAATGTACCATACTAATATAAATTAACTATAGGGGAAAAGGATGTGTGACACACGGGAGCATTCTGTACTATCTTTACACTTCTCTGTAAATGTTAAACTATTCTAAAATTCACAGTTGACTTAAAAAAAAAAAATAGCTACTGACAGAGCCCAGCACGGACCCCAGTCCTCTGGCTCCCTCTTCACGGTGCTGTAGAGTTTACCAAATGCATGTGGTTTTAGAAGTACCCCTCTTTTGAAGAAGGAATTACATGTTTGAAAGGTTTTCATTCATCTTTTTTTTTTTCTTACAATATTCTACTTTTATAGCAGAGAGTGAGGAAGAAGATGAAATGGAAGTTGAAGACCAGGATAGTAAAGAAGCCAAAAAACCAAACATCATAAATTTTGACACCAGTCTGCCGACATCACATACAGTATGTAATTTAGTGACAGATCTAATATAATAGATATACATTTAAATGTAGATAAAAGTTCATAAAAACAAGTGACTGATATTTGTATTACTAGATATCAGAAATTGTGGATGAGGACATGGGCTATTTGCCAGTAGATAAACATTTAACTGTAATTTTTAAGAAGCTTAATACTATGTTGTGGTAGAATTGTTTGAGGAATTGTTGCTCTTTATACTCTTTCTGGTAATTGAGCTATTAAATACTTCTCTGTACTTCTAGGTACTAGAGTGTTATTGAACATACTAACATTTTATACTTACTGTTTGTGATATGTGGGCATAGAGATATTTCTTGGTAAAAATAATACTTTGTACTAAAAAAATTCTTGAATTTCTGTGTTTGTGATATATTCATAAAAGATTAGAAATTCTTCTAAGAGTTAAAGTTAGATTAAAAATTATATTTTAACATGGGATGCTTATATACCACGTTTATTAAGTGTTTGTAACCCCATTTGTATTTTTTTCTTTTTTTTTGAGACAGAGTGTTGCTCTGTCGCCCAAGCTCGAGTGAGTGCAGTGGCACAATCTCAGCTCACTGCAGCCTCCACCTTCCAGGTTCAAGTGATTCCCCTGCCTCAGCCTCCCGATTAGCTGGGATTACAGGTGTCCACCACCACACCTGGCTAATTTTTGTATTTTTAGTAGCAACAGGGTTCCACCATGTTGGCCAGGTTGGTCTTGAACTCCTGACCTCAGGTGATCCGCCTACCTCGGCCTCCCAAAGTGCTGGAATTACAGGTGTGAGCCACTGTGCCCGGCCTGTATTTCTTTTAATGTGATTTGCTCTTTAGTCTGTTGAGCTTACATTTTTATTACATATCGATCATGACACTATACCTATATATGTTTTTATATAGTACCTAGGTGCTGATATGGAAGAATTTCATGGCAGGACTTTGCACGATGACGACAGCTGTCAGGTGATTCCAGTTCTTCCACAAGTGATGATGATCCTGATTCCCGGACAGACATTACCTCTTCAGCTTTTTCACCCTCAAGAAGTCAGTATGGTGCGGAATTTAATTCAGAAAGATAGAACCTTTGCTGTTCTTGCATACAGGTAAAATATTAGAGTCCATTTGCTTAATACATTCCCTCTCATGGGTAATTGCAGTGGTCAGTGTTGAAGCCAAAGCAGGCTGTTATTTCGCATGTACAGGAGAGGTTGGGTAAGAATGTGAGGTTAGGAATTTGGTTAAGTAGAAGTTTGATAGTGCAAGTTGGAGTATTTTTGTTCATTTCATTACCATCTAACTCAGCTCTTCACCTTCATACACAATTTAACTTTCTGGTATTTGAAAAATTTTTAATCATTTATATTTGATGAAAAACATTTCTGGAATCTTAGTTTCAATAACTGTCTTCATTATAGAGAAGTAGTGCTTTTTTATTTTAACGTAAAGGATTACTTTTCCAAAAGAGTGGTCTTTTCTTTCCCTCTCTCTCAAAATTCATAGGTTGTACCACTTTAAATTGAAGCTGAATTTTAAGTATCCCATGGCAAATAAAGGAAATCTGCGGTAGAGGCAGGAAATACATACAGGAAGCTCCCACCCCAGTACAGTGCTGCCAGTAAGCAGCAGAAATGATAAGTCATTTGACAGAGTGAAAGAATGTTTGGTTTGGGAAATGAGTTTAAACCCCTGTAAGTTCTAAATTATTTTCAGTGACTAGAAATCTATTATTTTCCTAAAGTTCTCTAATTGTACTTCCTGAGTCCTTCTTGTATATCCCCCATGTGATTTAAAAATAAATAAAATTGGCCGGGCATGGTAGCTCACGCCTATACTCCCAGCACTTTGGGAGGCCGAGGCGGGTGGATCACCTGAGGTCGGGAGTTTGAGACCAGCCTGACCAACATGGTGAAACCCCGTCTCTACTAAAAATACAAAAATTAGCCAGGCGTGGTGGTATGTGCCTGTAATCCCAGCTACTCAGGCAGCTGGGGCAGGAGAATCACTTGAACCTGGGAGGCAGAGGCTGCAGCAAGCCGAGCTCATGCCACTGCTCTCTAGTCTGGGCAACGCAGCGAGACTCCATCTCAAACAAATAAATAAATAAATAAAATTATCCTAGCTTTGTAGTAAGGGTTGATTCTATAAATTGTTTACCTGTATTTATTGCTTTGCCTACTTTGCATATATTTAAAACTCAAATGTTCAAAATTCTTTCCTTTTAAAATTTTCTTGGAAGCAATGTACAGGAAAGGGAAGCACAGTTTGGAACAACAGCAGAGATATATGCCTATCGAGAAGAACAGGATTTTGGAATTGAGATAGTGAAAGTGAAAGCAATTGGAAGACAAAGGTTCAAAGTCCTTGAGCTAAGAACACAGTCAGATGGGTAAGAAATAACATATACCTTAATGCTCTTTGAATGTTTCCTAATGAAATAGTTTTCTTGTACTTTTTCTGTTCTACTGAGCCTTCATATTTTGTAACTTTTAACTAGTTGTTCTCTTTCCCTTCTAAGGTATAGCCCAGTGGTTTCCAACCTTGCTATGCATCAGAATCACCTGGGAAGCTTTTAAAACTATAGAAGCTTGAGTTCCAACCTCATCTCCCATCTCCAGAGAGTGATGAGGCTGCAGCATCTTTTAAAAATGATTTTCAGGTGATTCTAATGTCTCTCCAGGTTTGAGAACAATCATGTAAATCCAAAGGGAAGTGTTGTTTGGGATTTGGCTTCTTTAGGATTGAAGGCCTCTCGGAGCATAAGAGGATAGGGAGACCAGAGGCTTGTGAGCTGTTCGTGTGCTCACCAGGACAGCTGTGGTTTTTGTAGCATTGCTATGATGTTTGAAAGCCACACTGGTTACATCTGCCTACTGCTCCAGCTGAGCTATAAAAGCCATTTATATTTCGTGTCCCTCTCCAGTGTGAATTTTATATCACCCAGAAATGCTATTTACATAATAAATGATCAATAAATACTTGTAGTCTATGTGCCTTGTGACATTTAGAAATTCCCTGAGTATACTGTTTCAGCAGTAATTCATTTTGACAAAGCTGTCATGGCTGGGTTTTGCACAAATTCAAGGGATACACATTAAAACAGACACAAAAAAGTCCAGTTTATTTTATCCTCTTTTAAAAAGGAAACAAAGCATTTGCCTTGATCACTGGATATTACCTCTTAACGGAGTGCTTCTAAACTGTGGCATCACCCGTGAGGTCTCACAGATACACAGTCCTGGTACGCAATACAAGTACTAGTGAATTGGTTTCCAATTTATACCCACAGTTGAAAATCTCATCAGACCTCTGTGTTGCCCAGGTGGTATCTTCTGAACACATGCAAGTTCTGAGTATTTTGGGGTTTTTTTGGGCGGGGTGGGGGATTAAGACTGAAAAAACAATGTGAGCAGCATGAGGGCAGGAACGTTTTGTCTGTTTTGTTCACATGGTGGGCGTTCCTATATATTTTTGAATTATGAAAATATTGACATGTCAGGTAGCTCCTTGGAGCTAAAGAGAGCATAGAGGCATGTGAGATGGGATTGCCAGAGCTCTTAGGGTGTTTAGTTCTCCCCAGGTACTTTTCCAGAACATTCACTGTGCAAACTTTGATAGCCTTACCACATTGCACTGTCCTGACAGGATTTTATGTACGTCTCCCTCAATAGATAAGCTGCTTGAGAACAATGACCAAGACTTATTTATGTTTTACATTTAGGACCATAAATTTTATATAAATGAATGAAAGAATGATCTCCTGGGGCGGGTGGGGGTGGTCTGCATTATGATAATTAGCAAACTGTTTTGTTACTGTGGATTTTGCTAACAGTTCCATTTTTAAAGTACTTCTTATCTTCATACAATTTTGATTATTTGTGAATACTTTTATAGAAATCATTAAGGAAAATTGACTTGGGGAAAAGTATATTTCTCAGACTGTCTTGACATTAGTGACTTTTGATTGTGGAAAAACTATTGAACACAAGATGGCAGTATACCGTTAACTCTGAAAACAAGACAAGGAATGGATTTTTGACTCTAGTAAAGATTAACATCAGGCCGCGCACAGTGGCTCATGCCTGTAATCCCAGTATTTTGGGAGGCCAAGGCAGGACGATCACCTGAGCTCACGAGTTTGAGATCAGCCTGACCAACATGGAGAAACCCCATCTCTACTAAAAATACAAAGTTAGCCGGGCATGGTGGCGCATGACTGTAATCCCAGCTACTAGGGAGGCTGAGGCAGGAGAATCGCTTGAACCCGGGAGGCAGAGGTTGTGGTGAGCCAAGATGGCACCACTGCACTCCAGCCTGGGCAACAAGAGGAAAACTCCATCTCAAAGGAAAAAAAAGATTAACATCAAACTGATACAGGTGGACAAGACTTGGAAAGGGCACATTCTCTCTAGTATTCTGTAGACCCATTATTAAGGCCTCTCATAAGGGTATGTCTGTCTTCATTTAAAAGGCCTCTGTGGAATGAGATTTCTCTTGGCTCCACTACTTCTCTGGCCCTGTAACCACCTTCACTGGAAATGGTGAAATGAAAGAAATTCTGGAGTTGATTTAGTTCAGTCTCGTCTTTTTCTGTATCAGAATGCCAGGTACTAGAGAGGTTAAGTAATTTGCTTAAACAGCAAATAAGCGACAGACCTGATTGGTTCTAGGTCCCATGACTTCCAAACTGGTACTCCTTCCATTATACCAGAATTTCTCTATAACACATTTGAAACTCAAGCCAGCTTCCCTTTCTCCAGTAAAATATTTAATATTCATTTGTTTTTCTTAGAGAAATAAGCATATAGAAAAATAAAAATTAAAAAATATAAATATCCATCTTTTACCTAAATGACACTTCATTTATTAAAAGTACACTACAGAGGCCAGGTGTGGTGACTCATACCTGTAATTTCAGCCCTCTGGAAGGCCAAGGTATGTGAATCATTTAAGGCCAGCAGTTCAAGACCAGCTTGGCCAACATGGTGAAGCTGCATCACTACTAAAAATACAAGAAATTAGCTGGGCATGGTGGCCTGTGCCTGTAATTCCAGCTGTTCGGGAGGCTGAGGCATGAGAACCACTTGAACCTGGGAGGCAGAGGTTGCACTGAGCAGAGATTATACCGCTGCACTCCAGCTTCGCCAACAGTGAGACTCCATCTCAAAAAAGAAAAAAAGTATACAACCCCCAAAGTCATGAGTGTGTGTGGGTTGGGGAGGGCGGAGGGGGGGTGGGCATCTTCTGAACACATAGAAATTTTTTTTTAATAAAAACAGGTCTCACTGACATAGGACTCTTCAGAAGTTCCTACTTCTTAGCATGTAGAGAGGAGGAGGGGATTGATATCCTATTGGCATCACAAGAGAAGATCTCTTACCTGTCTAGACTGAGACCAATAATTGTTAGTCAAAAAGTTAGCTGAAGCTGGAAATCACAAAATGTTACACATATATAGCTTAAACATTTTATTTTAACTTTATAAATTCATTCATTTTTCATCTGGAGAGACCAAGGTCTTTCCATTGAAGCAGTTCTGCAGATTGGAGATGACTGTAGACTTTCTGGCACTTTCATTGTACATTATCCACAGTTTATACTGCTAGTTTTTCTTTAAAGAGGGATTCTAAAGATAGTCACAAGGCAATTTGAGTGCAGAATTTTTCCAGATTTGTGCGGTTTTTTTCCTATTAGAGTAGTCTGTACCTAATTTGAAAGCAGTTTATGTCTCAACTTAATGTTCCTTGAAGCAGTTTTATTGTTGAAGTCATATTTCACTGGTTTTTATAACATTTATATAAATTATGTTGCTGTAATCACAAAACAACTGTGATAAACAAGTTGGAAAGAAAAAAAACTAGCTTATGTTAAAAACAAAACTCAGCTGCTGGGAGAAGAACCAGCCACTGCATATGCAGTGGACCCTGGCCATGTTTAACCAGGTAAAGGAGAGCATTCCTTAATCCTTCAAGGCAATTCAGACAGTTTGTACTGCAGACTAATTAACATGATCTGTAAGCCAGGGGATCAATAATGTTACTGTTTTTATCATAATCAAATCTTATACAATAGTTGGGTAAAGCATAGTTCTTAATTCAGTTACCTATAACCTTGAAGAATCAGATTTCTAAAAATTTCTATAGGATGGTATATACTTTTACCTTCATAATGTAATTAACAAGTTATTTGTGTTCATGAATCAGGTGAAGAAAATTGAGATTTTGTTTCTAATGAGCTCTAATAATAATATAAGAACACTTGACCATAATTTGACTATAGTAAAATTTTTTAACATTTTCCGAAGTCATGTAGACAAATTTTCTGAGTATTTCTAATGAGTTTGCAGGAAGGAAATAAAGTTAGTAGAGTGAGTCTACTATTATCATTAAATTAAACTTAGATACTTTCTAACACACTCAGTTATTTTTCCTTCTAATAAATAAGTAAAATGTCAGAATTTCATCCATAATATCTTGTGGTCAAACAGTGGTTATTATGAAAGACTACTTTAGAAGTCTTAAGTATAACTAATAAAGCAGAGACTTTTAATATATTTGACTTTGTCAGTCTGACAGTGTTATATACTAGCATTTGAATATAGTTACATATTCTACATTTCAGAAGCTACACTCTAAGAGATAGAATGCCTCACAGGAAGATAGCTCATAGATACAACCTTCCTGTTTGCACTAGTTCATGATAAGATGTTTGCAATTATGATATTCTCAAGTAGCATTTTGGAAATGACTTTATTATGACATTTTAAATAACTTTTAAGAAAAAATCTAATTTATAGTTTGATCCTTTGTACAGTTAAACTCTTAAGAACGTGAAAAGGAATGCACACAGAAAGGTTGCATGTAACTCTCTAGTGTTATTTTAATTCATCCATGTAAATGCATTCTTGATTTTTCTCTTCCTTTCTCTACTTAGATTAGATGACTTATGAGAAAGGATAGATGTAAGAGTTAAGCAGCATAAGAAGTGGGGGGATAGAAGAATTTGGGTGTCTTAAGAATGTTTAAGAAAGTAGAAGTATCAAGCAGTAGTTGGTTGTATGTTGGTTTTTTTAAAACTTTGTTTCATTTATAGACTCTGTATTTATCTGAAATGTGTAGATCTCCCTTTCCATTCCACAGTGACATTGAAGATCCGTACCTTAGGTTATCTTTGGTTTTAACTTTGGTATGATTTATGAAATAAAATTATTTTCTGAAAGTTTCTGTATCTTAACATCAGTATTTGATGAATATGTTTAAAAGATAAAACTTGGAAAATCTTGGTATTTAAAATTATCACTGTTTAGAAACTTATAGTTTTGAGTTAGTCAATCTTAGAAATGAATACCATGCTTGGTTCTCTTTATTTTAGAATCCAGCAAGCTAAAGTGCAAATTCTTCCCGAATGTGTGTTGCCTTCAACCATGTCTGCAGTTCAATTAGAATCCCTCAATAAGTGCCAGATATTTCCTTCAAAACCTGTCTCAAGAGAAGACCAATGTTCATATAAATGGTGGCAGAAATACCAGAAGGTGAGAAACTAATTTTTTATGCATCTTCAAAAAATGAAGACAGGTTGTTTTTTTTCCTGTTTTAAGAAAGAAACACAACTTTCATGATTCATTACCCAGCCACCTTGTATGGCAATATTCCAGCTACATTTGATCCTCTAAAAATTGCACAGGCAGCTACTTTATGTAAAAGCAGTTTACAAAAGCAATAAAATGTCACACAGCTGTAAGGTATCCTTGTTATTATGCTTATCAGCTATATTAATCGCTTTTGATTTTTAATTCCATGGGAAATGCTTATTAAACTATGATCAAATTAGATGTTCGGCTCTTGAGTTATAAACATCCATTATCTTAAAGAAGGGAGGATTCTTTTGGGGTAGAGTAGTAGTAGAGAAGTAGAGTCTGTTTTCCTTCTTCCAAACCAGAGAGAAAGGTTTCTTTTGCTATGTGTTTTAATGAAATACAGTTGACATCGCAGAAATTGACTTGAGACTAGGTGCTCTTTAAAAATGTTGCTTGTTTGGGCACTAATTCCTATGTTATATCCTTTGACTAAATCATAATTGTCATAGGAAAAAAAAATTGAGGGAGCCTGTTTCTACTCGTTTGTGAGATGTGCAATTTTAAGTATAGTTAATATTTATAATTGCTACCTAAAGAAAAAGATTACTAGTTTCTAAATTTAGAATAATTGGGCTTTTTGAGTTTTTTTTTTTAATATGGAAAGACAGTTTCCACTGTAACCTTAAAAATTCTCTATTAATCATTCCTTTGTTGAGTGGTGAGGATTTAATATTTTAATGTAAATACAGAATCCTAATTTAATGTAAATTATTATGGATAATTAATGAAGTGGACTTATATACTAGTCACTGTACCGAATTTTTATTGTTCTTGCAGTAGAATTCCTCCAGTTTTCAGTGAAAACTTGTGCAGAATGGGCACTTGATGGGCATCAGGGTTATAACCAGGTATCTATAAGACTTCCTGGTCTTTATCTCAGTTAACTGATCTGTTTCATGGTACAGTGTGTTTTGACTAGTGTTTCTAAGGAAGATTCTAATAAGGAAGATATAATTAGACTGCTTTAAGACTCCCAAACAACCTTGAAACTAGTATTTTTTAACGTTTAGTAATATTGATACTGCCTTTAGTTAACAGGCAGCTTTTGTGTAGCTGTATTAGTCCATTTTCACGCTGCCGATAAAGACATAACCAAGACTGAGCAATTTACAAAAAAAGAGGTTTATTGGACTTAAAGTTCCACATGGCTGGGGAGGCCTCACAATCATGGCAGAAGGTTGAAAGTCAAGGAAGAGCAAGTCACGTCTTACATAGATGGCAGCAGGGAAAAAGAACTTGTACAGGAAAACTCCCATTTTTAAAACCATCAGATCTCATGAGACTCATTCACTATCACAAGAACAGCACAGGAAAGACCTGCCCCCATAATTCAGTCACCTCCCACTGAGTTCCTCCCATGACATGTGGGAATTGTGGGAGTTACAATTCAAGATGAGATTTGAGTGGGGACACAGCCAGATCATATCACCGTGCAATACTTTCTTCCCCATACCAGATACAGACACTTTAAATACATGTTTACCCTTGTTTCTTTTAACTGAACTGTGAGAAATTTTGCTCCCATAGTCATTTTAAATGTTACTGTTGAAATAAGTATGTCAGTGATCACTGTCAGTATGTGGCCCCCAAGGAGTAGATTTGGAATATATTAAGTCATTTAGTGCCTAAAAGTATGTTTGGCACTGGTTTGCTACTGAAATACGTGGCAAGGTAACTGCATCAAGTTGTTCCCTATGTGTCATCTGAATATTCACGTAGTGATGTATTTCATACTAGAGATTTTTTTTCAGGGGGTACAGGCATACCACGGAGATATTGCAGGTTCAGTTTCAAACTGCTGCAATAAAACAAGTATCACAATAAAGTTAGTCTCATGAGTTTTTTGGTTTCCCACTGCATATAAAAGTTTTATTCACACAATACTGTAGTCTATCATGTGTACAATAAGATTCTATCTAAAAAACAGTGTACATACCTTAAATAAAAAAATACTTTATTGCTAAAAAATACAAGCATCTGAGCCTTCAGTGAATCATAATCTTTTTTGCTGGTGGATAGTCTTGTTTTGCTGTTGATGGCTGCTGACTAATCAGGGTAGTGGTTGCTGAAGGTTGGGGTGACTACAGCAATTTCTTAAGACAGCAACGAAGTTTGCCCCACAGATTGACTCTTCCTTTCACAAAAGATCCCTCTTTAGCATGCGGCGCTGTTTGATAGCATTTAAGCCACAACAGAACTTTCAAAATTGGAGTCAGTCCTGTCAGAACTTGCTGCTGCTTTATCAACTAAGTTTATGTAATATTCTGAATTCTTTGTGTCATTTCAACATTCACAACATCTTCAGCAGTAGATTTCTTCTCAAGAAACCACTTTATTTGCTCATCCATAAGAAGCAACTCCTAATCCATGTTTGATCATGAGATCACAGCAATTCAGTCCTATCTGTGGGTTCCACTTCTAACTTTAGTTCTCTTTTTGTTTCTGTCACATCTGCAGTTACTTAACTGAAGGCTTGAAACCCTCAAAATCGTCATCCATGAGGGTTGGAGTAAACTTCTTCTAAATTCCTGTTAAGGTTGATATTTTCACCACCTCCCATGAATCATGATTATTCTTAATGGCACCTAGAATGGTGACTCTTTTTCAGAAGGTTTTCAATTTACTTTTTCCAGATCCATCAGAGGAATCACTATCTGTGGCAGCTATAGCCTATGAAAAATGTATTTCTTAAATAATAAGATTTGAAAGTTTAAATTACTCCTTGATCCATGGGTCACAGAATGGAAATTTTGTTACCAAGCATGAAAACAGCATTAATCTCCTTGTATGTCTCCCATCAAAACTTCTGGGTGACCATGTACATTGTCAATGAGCAGTAATAATTATAAAGAGTCTTTTCTGAGCAGTAGGTCTCAACAGCAGGCTTAAAATATTCAGTAAACCATTATCTAAACAGATGTTCTGTCATCCGGACTTTGTTCCATTTACTACAGAGCACAGGCAGAGTAGATTTAGCATTCTTAAAGGGCCCTAGGATTTTTGGAATGGCCAGTGAGCATTGGCTTTAACTTAAAGTCACCAGCTATTAGCCCCTGAAAGGAGACTTAGGGACTTTCTCTGGATTAGGCTTTGGCTCAACGGAAATTTGTGGCTGGTTTGATCTTCTGTCCAGACCATTAAAACTTTCTCCATATCAGTAATAAGACTTTTTGGCTTTCACCAGAGTAGCATTTCATATTCACAGCTTTGCTGTTTGCCCCAGGAGGCCTAGCGTTTGGCCTCTTTCAGCTTTGACATGTGTTTCTAACTAAGCTTTATCATTTTTAGCTTTTGATTTAAAGTGAGAGATGCTTGACTACTCTTCTTTTCACTTGAGCACTTAGAAGCCATTGTAAAGTTATTAATTAGCCTAGTTTCAATATTGTTGTGTCTCAAAGAAATAGGGAAGCCTGAGGAGAGGGAGAGAGATGGAGGGGCTCGTCAGTGGAGCAATCAAAACACATTTGTTAAGTTTACTGTCTTAAATGGGTGCAGTTTGTGGTGCCCCAAAACAGTTACAGTAATAACATCAAAGTTCACTAATCACAAATCATCATAACAGATATAACAATGAAAAAGTGTGAAATATTGTGAGAATTACCAAAATATGGCACAGGCAGGTAGTTAGCACATGCTGTTGGAAAAATGGCTTGATAGACTTGCTTGAAACAGGGTTGCCAGAAATCTTTAATTTTTTTTTTGTTTGTTTGTTTTTAAAGGCAGTATCTGTGAATCACAGTATGCCTGTATTAAGTATTTGGGTATATAGAATAGTTCTTCCGCACCAAGATGGCTTAAAAATTCTTAACCATTAAAAATCCTAAATTAACGCTTCTTTGCAAAGTTCTAAGTATAGAGTGAGAGCAGTGGTAGTTAATTCCTGACTCAAGTGCTCTGTACAGCTAGTTCTGTGACCTGCCTGTAGGATCCTGCAGTCTTAAACCTGAACTTGGGCTAAGCAAGTAAGACTGCTTTTTAAATTTATTTTTTATGTGAGTTACTACTTAAATTCTTCCTGTTCTATGGTTAAAGCATCTTGTTTACATTACATTCCGAATTTGGCCCATGCAACTGGGTTGCCACTGGCTTAATAAGACAAGAAAAGATAGAGCTGGGAAGACCAAAGAAGCACATATTTGCCTGGGTTCAGATCCTCTGAATTTTTCCTCTTGTCTTAATTAGCCCTTGGTTATTTTCATATTCAGAGTTGCCAAGGGCTAAAGAGACGATGCTAAGGAATGAGAAGGCCTAAAAGGTTTTAGGTGATACAAATAACTCCATCCCATATACGTCAGGTTATCTACAGGGTTCCCTTGCTTAAACATTGATAGAGTTTCTTAGGTTCTGAAATTTGGAATCTAGATCACTAGGCCAAGAGAAACCGCTAGCTGATCTATTTTGGACTCCAAGTGACCTACAAACTCTGTTCTGCTTTAGAGAGACCACTTAGAGCCATTCTGTGTGCATCAAAAAGGAATCCAACAGGGAAAGGGGATGGCAGATATCTTTGGTAGGAACTCCGTATGCAGTGGGACCATCTGAGTGGTTTGGCATGCTGCACCTTTAGTGGGACGCTAGCTTACCATGAGGGCTGGATTATGTAACAGTGTTTGTCTTTAGACAGATACAAGGTTCAGTTCATTCCTGTCTTCATAGAGCTTGCTTGTATCTGATTTGTCCATCCCACCATAATCTGAAGTACTGCATATGTGTCTTCTGTCTCTGTGTCTGAGTAGTAGTTAAAATGGTCAGAGTTGGGAGATGCTTACATAACTAAGCTAACTCAAGCTAATAAGGTTGCCGCGCACTTTTCCTGCAGAAAAGGAACTTAAAGTATCGAGGATTGTAGTCTTCCTGAGATATATTCAATTAACTTTGAAACTGCACACAGCATTTGCCGTGGAAACCTAAACAACTCAAATGACATGAAATAAAATTATTTAAGCTTCTGGAAGTGTTCTGTGTTATCTACCATTCTGACAAGGAAGCATTAGAGAAGATTCAGCACGTGTCTCTCATGATTAAGGAGTTAGGCCAGTGTAATTAGGAAACACTTTCAAAACCCACTCCATCTAGAGACATTTCTTGTTCTGGAATTTGAGCTCTGAAACTGTTTACTTCTTCTCCCATCACAGTGCCTTTCTCTATTCACTGGTTTACTGTAGGGGGATTTGAGAATCCCCCTACAGTAAAAATCCTCCTCAAAAAAAAAGAGGAAATTTTGTTTAAACCTGTTTGGAGTATGACTTAAATGTTTCTAAGTATATTCCCTGCTTGCCCAGACCATCTGCTTATTCATATATCAAGGCTTACTATGTTAATCAGAAAAGAGTTGAGTATGAAATGTAAAGATAAGTCAAATGGGAAACAGATACTAAGAAAGTAATGAGTCTCATCTTTCTGGCCTCTGTTGAACTTAGCCATGGTTGTTCCTGTTTATTGCGTAGAGCAGGGAGGAACTGAGCATGAATTTGGAAGGGCAGGGGTCTCATACGTAATCTCCCAGATTAGTGTTTAAATCTCCTCCTAATTTTATCTAGATACAAATGTTCTTATTTCTTTCTTATACAGAAGGATACGTACCTTTTTCTTAACGGTGTATCTTATAGGAGATTCTTTTGTATTAGTTTATAGAGCATTGCTCATTCTTAAAGCTGCTTGGAATTCTTTTGTATGGATACACTGTATAACCAGTCCCATACTGATGATAGATCTGTACTAAATAACATGTACAAATGACCTTTTATATAGGTAAATATTTATGATAACTTTTAAAGAGTGAGGTTATTGGCTCACAGGGTAAATGCATTTATAATTCTGTCAGTTTTAAAAATAATTTTGAGGCCAGGCACAGTGGCTCACGCCTGTAATCCCAGCACTTTGGGAGGCTGAGGCGGGTGGATCACAAGGTGAGGAGTTCAAGACCAGCCTGGCCAAAATGGTGAAACCCCGTCTCTACTAAATATACAAAAATTAGCCGGGCATGGTGGCGGGTGCCTGTAATCCCAGCTACTTGGGACGCTGAGGCAGGAGAATCACTGGAACCCGGGAGGCGAGTTATTTTCAAAATACTTAAGGTGTTTGTACTTATTTTTATTGTTTCATCATGGCCTGACAGGCAATGTAGTATCAAACCTGATGTTTGCTGATCTGATAAGTGAAATATATTACATTGAAGGTTCAATTTGAATTTCTCTGAGAGCAAGGGTAAGCATTTTGTTGTAAGAGCAGTTTGTGTTTCCTTTCTGTAAAGTGTTTGCCCATTTTTCTACGGCTTGTTGATTTCTTGGGAGTTCCTTGTAAGCTTTATAGTCTCTGTAATTAATGAGTTCCAAACATTTTTCCTAGTTTGTCTTTTGTCTTTTGTTTTTGGTGTGGTGTGTCAAACAGAACTGTTTTTTTGTTGTTGTTCTTACATAGTTTAATTTTTAATGCTTCTGTATTCTAAATCATAGCCAAAAATGACGTTCCCATGCAAAGGAATGTCTCATGTTTTCTTTGGATACTTGCTGTGGTTTCATTACTTTTCCGTGGAAAGCTCTGATCCTTGTGCAGTTGATCCTGATATAAATTCCACTTTACTTTTTTCCAGATGGCTCCCTATTGTCCTACTACCACTTTTTGAATAGTCCATATTTTCTCCCATTGATTTGAGATGCCACCATTGTCACAGACCAAATTCATATGTTTATTTTACTTTTCTTCTCTTTTGGTCTGCTTGTGTGCCATCATCATATTGTTGTTAATGTTGGCACTTTATACTTTGTGTAAATAAAAATAGGGCTGGTAAGCCCCTCACTGCTTTTTTGTCAAGCTTTTCAGTGACTACCATTGATTAACATTTCCTTGTGAACTTGAGAATCTGTTTCACCTTGTTCCAGGATAATAATCGTAAGAACAGTAACATTTATTGACTATTTTTATATAAAGAAGAAAAGTCTTGAAATCTTAGGCTATGTATAGTCAGGTGCTTCCTCAGAAAGACTGGTCATTTCCCAGGCATACATCTTGTATGTACACTTGTGTATCTGCCATTAGCGTATAAGCCTCAGGAGTAGGAAAGAGCTTATCATTCCATCCCAGTTCTTATTACCATGTAGGAATTTGGTTCATGAAAGAAGGAAACAAAAACTGGTAACTTTTTAATTATTTATATAAATTATTTCTGTCATTTACATTGCTGATTGTAATAGGATTTAACACAATAAGTGACCACTTTTAGTCACTATATAAAGGAAGTCAGTGGTAGTGATTTACTATTTATGTTTAGCTTTTCACATTACTCTTTCCATTTTCATTGCACTTCAAAGACTCACTTAAATGGAGTTTCACATGTTTTGAACATTCTACGTTGTTGGGAGGCAAAGCCGAAGCCATAGTTATGAGGCTTAAGAATGGAGGACTGTGATAGATTACCTCCAGGTAACAGATTCGTTTTAAGGGCTTTTATGCCTGCTTTCAGTAGTAAATCCTGTTCCCAGAGTGAATACTACTCTGCTGGAGAATCCGTCATTGGTCACTTTTAAGTGCCTAAACTTTTTGGCTAGTATTAAAATTTTCTTGAGGTATAACCATTTTATGACATCAATCATGGTGTTGATATATTTAAAGAATGCCTATAAATTGCTAGAACTTATCATCCATTTTACCCAGATATAAGACAGGAGCCTTTCCTATTGTGCCAGAAAGCTAAATGGGACTCTTAAATTTGAGGATGTTGAAATGTCTTAAACTTTGGCAGTTGCTCTGTAAAAGCTAGCTAGCTAATCTGTTCTGGTATATGTCTCTTCAGTGTGTCTAATTGACTAACACACATCACAAATATTAAGGATGTATTATGCATATTTGAATCTGTCAGGATGCTCCAGATAAAGAATTTTAGAGGTCTTCTGACTCTGAAAAGAAGCTACCTGAAACTGTAGCTTGCTCATGGGCATGGTGGCAGAGTGAATGCCTGATCCAGTGCATTGCTCTTAATATGCTAGTGTGCCACATTTTATTCTCTTTATACTTGAAATTTACATATTATTTCAGATTCTTTTTCTTGACATGGGTGCCAAATGAAATTACACTTTTGTACTACACTTTTTTACATTTCTTTTGTATTACAAAAGTGACCATTCTGATATGTGAAGTATATTTTAATAACTGAATGAGGAGTGTGTCAGCGAAACTAAAACTTTCAGTTGGGTCTTTGTCATTTTGTAATTCTAAGAATATATAGCTTCTTCTCTCTAAAATATAAGCTCGACAGGGTATTGAATTTTGTTGGTTTTTCTTTCATTCACTGGCATAGCCTAAATGTATAAAAATAGCCTGACACATGTTAGGCACTGTATTAGTCTGGTCTCACGCTGCTAAGACGTACCCAAGACTGGGTAATTTATAAAGAAAAGAGTTTTATTTGACTCACAGTTCAGCATGGCTAGGGAAGCCTTAGGAAACTTACCATCATGGCAGAAGGGGAAGCAAACATGTTCTTCTTCACATGATGGCAGGAAGAAGTGCCAAGCAAAAGGGTCAAAACCGTCTTAATAAAACCATCAGATCTCGTGAGAACTCACTATCATGAGAAAACCATGGCAGTAACTGTCCCCATGATTCAGTTACCTCCCACCAGATCCCTCCCACGACACATGGGGATTATGGGAACTACAATTCAAGATGAGATTTGGGTGGGGACACGGCCAAACCCTATCAGGCACTCACAATATTTGTTGAATGAATGATGGTTAGAGTCAGACTCCCTGTATACAGATCCTAGCTCCTTCCTATTTACTGACTCTGTGACCTTGAGCAAGTTATACCATCCTTGTGTGCCTCTGTTTCCTTACTTTAGAATGGAGATAATAAACTACTAACCTTAGAGTATTCTTACAAGAAATGTGAAATTCTTGGCACAATACTAATGGTTGCCATTGCTGTTCCTGAAGATTCAGAGCTACTTGATGTGCTCTTGGTAGTATTTTCTTAAATTCTGTAACTGGACTGTGACAATAATCTTACCATTAGGTATTTAGTCTTAAAAGTGAGGGACAACTTATTGGAGAGTACCTGAAGGGTCTCATGGTCTGACTCCTCAGGCTTTAACCACTACCAGAGCACACAGTAGGAGGCCATCTCAGATCACCTTTGGCAGGGGTCCCCAAATCCTGGCCCACGAACCAGCACTGGTCTGTGGCCTGTTAGGAACCGGGACGCACAGCCGGTGGTGAGTGGTGAACGAGCAAGTGAAGCTGAGCGCCACCTCTTATCAGATCAGTGGCAGCATAGATTCTTATAGGAGCGCAAACCCTATTGTGAACTGCGCATGGGAGGGATCTAGACTGCGTGCTCCTTATGAGAATCTAATGATAAATGTAATGCACTTGAATCATTCCAAAACCATCCTCCACCCCATCTTTGGAAAAACTGTTTTCCACGAGACTGGTCCCTGGTGTCGAAAAGGTTGGGGACGGCTGATCTTTGCATAGTCTCAAATATAAGGATTATATTAAGCCAGAAATGTTTCTCATTAAGGAATCCTTTGTTTTGAGCTGTAGGTCGTGTTTTAGAACAAGTCTGTCCTCTTCCATATTGCAACTCCTAAAATATTTGAAAACCAGTGTGTCCACTTGAGAGACAGCTCTAAACTGAACATCTCTGGTAACAAGACATTCCCTTTGATAATAAAAGTTCCCATATTTGAACAGCATGGAATAGAATAACATTGTCTCATAGATTCTAGTCTTCTGTTAAAACCGCAGTTACTTTTGCACCAAACTAACATAGCTAGAATAGGATTGGAGTGGCGGGGAAGTCGAGGGTGTGAGTGGTGTAGCACATTGTACAGTTGCGTAGTACAATTCCAGCTGTCAGCTCAGTCCCGAGTCCCTTTTATGTGTGCTGTGTTCCCACGTTTCCTGCAGATCTTACTCCGGCACTTGCAAGATCATATGACTAGGTATGAAACATACCTAGGGTAAGTATCATTCAGCGTATGAAACATACCTAGTCATTTGATATTGCAGGTGCAGGAGTAGGGTCTTCCTCTTGTTTTGTTAAATGTTACCTTGTTTTTCTTGTTCTGGTCTGTTAAAAGTGCCTTTTGATCTACCTTATTCCTTTTCTCTCTCACTTTCATGTGTCATGTCACATGTCAATTAACATTTTATTTACAGTGAAATTACAAAGATTTGTACGTATGTAGGTTTTGTTTTGAGAAAAATGTGATAATTCTTTATATTCTGCTATACCTTGTTCTTTGATCACTTGCAGAGCATTCCTTGATATAAACATATTCTAATGTATTTCACTCTATTTTTGATTGATGTTTAGGTTGTTTGCAATTTGTTGCTATTAGCACTGCTGCAGTGCATCCCTTCAGTAATATTTTTGTGTCCTATAGACCATTTGCTTCTCTTTCAAAAATTTTGTGGTTACTTTTGCAGTTATGTTTCCAAACGAACTTTAAATTATACTTATAAATTCCATTCTCACTGGTATTGCACTGAATATGTAATTTGAGGACTGACATCTTAACAGTATTGAGTCTCCCCCTCAAATACTGAAATTCTACAATTTCTACAATTCACATTTCTCCCCCTCAAATACTGAAATTCTACAATTTCTACAATTCACAATTCAACTGAAATTTCTACAATTCACATTTTTATATGGACTTAGGCATGCTCCTGTTTGGATTTCAGTTACAATTAGAGGTGATAAATAATCGGTTTCCCCTCTCCTTGAGTTTTATGAAATGAGGAACTTCATCATGAAGTCTCAAGTAAACGAACATTTTATCTTTCTTGGGATTCTATCACTTCTTAATGTTTGCCCTTATAGTGATTCAGCTGATTCTCATTTAAAGTTTTTACACAAAAACAGTTTGGATTATATCTTGAGGTTTTCACTTCAGATACTGGACAAGTAATTAGTATAAAGGCAACTAACATGGTCATAATAGAAGTATGGTGTTTACTCTCAACATTTATCTTCCCAAAGTTGTCTTCAGCATTGAAATTTTAATGTTTGACCTTTTTAAATAGGAATGAAGATTCTAGTTACAATATATATTTGAAGGATATAGGAAGCATGATTTCACACTTCATAGATAGTCACGTCATGGGATTATCTACAAAATTTTTTATCTTTTTAAAATTAGATGTTTTCCTAGGCCAAAATCATTTTTCAGATGTTGCTCATTCCAGCATTAGAATCTTTATTCTGTGGGGTTTTTTAAGTGCCTTTTTGTTTTGTTTTCAGAGAAAGTTTCATTGTGCAAATCTAACTTCATGGCCTCGCTGGCTGTATTCCTTATATGATGCTGTAAGTAACTTACCTTAAATTTACTTTATATATGGTAGGCCATGTCATAATTAAGGGTCATTAAAAAACAAAGGTTTAGTTTTTCCAGTTTCTAGTGCCTTATAACTTAAGATATCGTTAAGAGTGGTGGCTCACACCTGTAATCCCAGCACTTTGGGAGGCCAAGGCAGGGGGATTGCTTGAAGCCAGGCATTCAAGACCAGCCTGGGCAACATGGTGAAACCCCATCTCTACAAATACAAAAATTAGCCAGGTTTGGTGGCATGTGGCTGTAGTCCCAGCTGCTTGAGAGGCTGAGGTGGAAGGATTGATTGAGCCTGGGAGGTCAAGGCTGCCGTGAGCTGAGATTGTGTCACTGTACTCCAGCCTGGACAACAGAGCAAGACTGTCTCAAAAGGGAAAAAAAAAGGTATCACAAGACTCTTTAGAGTTTTATTAAGCATGTGAAATTTTGTTGGGTTGGGTGATAGTTACATTTAGAACATTAAAGCATCCATATTTTACTGTTTTGGTTTTTCTCTAAACAAGTATATTAACTTACGTCTCTTGATCATTAGTCTATTAATTAATGCATCCAGGAGGGTTTTTGCTCCTTAAAGTTTAACACTAGGCATTGCCACATTTTGCAAAACTAAGGGACAGTGCTGAAATGGTTTAAAGAATCTGGATTTCAGATCAGAGACTGACTTCAGAGTCTGATTTCTGTCACTTACTCTGTGGGCCTGGAGCAAATTACTTCTCCAAGGACCTATGAAATGGATATAATGGTAGCTATTGTACCTGGTGTGCATAGCGGGCATTCAATAAATGCTAGCCATTTCCCTTAATGAATCACTGCCCACAAATCTGGAGTCCTGGGAAAACTCAACAACATGCACGACACTAAAGGAAACTGCAGTTGATCTCCGCTCTTTAGCAGCTTTTCAGCAATTACAAAGACACAATATATGAGTTTTTGCATGTTTTGCATATGCTTGTGAAAATTATGTAGTAAATAGGTGCCAAGTAAGGTATGTAGATAGCAAGTGCTAGTGCAATTTATAGGTGCCATAATCCCTATGGACTGGGTCAGAAATGGCCTAATAGAAGGCAGAAGAGAGGCCAGTTCCAAGCAGGGGCATAGAACAGAACAATCTGCAAGGGAGTTGGGAGCATATACCGCTGGGTTAAGACAGTGAGTGAGAAAAGGCTGGAAGGCAGACAGTGCTGGGCAAAGGAGCTGGAGCTTGATCATTGCTGCATACGAAAATGGAGGCATTTAAACTGGGACTGAGATGGGACTGAGTGATTAAATTGCTACCAGTGTTAGTTTTAAGAGTTGAAAAGCTTAATAGTAAATTTTAATAAGCCCATGAACTTGATTATGGCTACCTTTATTTTAAACAAGGAGACCTTAATGGACAGAATCAAGAAACAGCTACGTGAATGGGATGAAAATCTAAAAGATGATTCTCTTCCTTCAAATCCAATAGGTATGAAAAGTTAGTTTCCTGCCTGGAGCCTGGGATGTCTTGCTATAAAAAATAGCTTTTTCATGGATGCGATCCAATCATATCTTCTAGGTTTTAAGACTGATTAAAACATTTTAATTCTGAAAAGCATAATTTCCTTTGAGCAGTTGAAAAAAAATGAGTATTTTAAAATTAATTGCAATAAAATCCTCATATTCTGTGAGCACTCCAATTTTAGACAAGTTTTCCATAAAAAGTTCAAATTGCAGGAAGTGGCTGTCATCCAAAAACACTTCCTGTGTAAGGACTCCTTTCCCTGTTCTTCAAGGTGCCTTTAAAAGAAGTGAGTCTAGTTCCAGGACTTGCCTTAATTATAGATACTCTCTTTATCTGTTTATAAGGTATAGTTTAGTTATTTTTCTAGTCTCTTGGCAAATAACTTCTAACATGGATTTGAGTTCATGTTTAACATAAAAGGATTTTACCAAAAAAAGTATAAGAAAAGCAATTAAATTTAGAGCTTCTGAAAAGTGTATCTTTGACAGCTGGTATATTTTTGTATTGTTTATACTTGTATAAAATGTGTAACCTTAAAGAGAAGGGTTTATTTCAAAAGGATATTATCCGATTTGTAAGTTCTCTGATGCTTATCTGACTCCTAAGTTTAAAACTTGAAAAACCATGTCTTGAAGATTTTTCTTACAGAGTAGCTGCTTGTCTTCCTATTGATGATGTATTGAGAATTCAGCTCCTTAAAATTGGCAGTGCTATCCAGCGACTTCGCTGTGAATTAGACATTATGAATAAAGTGAGTAAAGTGAATATGTTTTTGATGCCCATGTTTTATTCAGGCTGGAGAACTAGGATGCTCTGTTGGGGCCAATGGAGCTCTGTATAGAGTCCAGTAATGTAGTCATGCAATTCAGATTTCAATTGGGATCTTACAAACAAACTCATTGTTTTGTGTTTGTCAAATATGAATACATTTATCAACTTAGTGAAAAATAACTTGATTTCTGCATGGAAATATCCAAGGTTATATATCACTATTCCTTTACTCTAGAGAAGGTCATTTAGTTTTATGTAAATATGTGGCAGATCTCAGTTTCAGTGACTTTCGTGCTCCATCTTTAAAAGTGTTTTTGAATGCTTGGAAGGAAAATGTGATATTCAGAGAGAGCAATATCTTTATAAGTAAGTTTCTTGATGATCTATGTGATTACATGATAAAGTGAATGCCAGTTTTTCCTACCAATAATTTTTCTCTCAAATCTTTTAGTGTACTTCCCTTTGCTGTAAACAATGTCAAGAAACAGAAATAACAACCAAAAATGAAATATTCAGGTAAGGTCTTTATTACGTTTTTAATATACTTGCCTTATCAGAATTATAATGAAGACTGTATTTCTGTTTTCCATAAACTTTCCTCCAGTACCTTAAAGTTACAAACATTTAGCAAATGAAATATAGGGAATTAGCTCACTTTTGCTAAGACCATCTTCCAGATTGGGTACTCAGAGCAACAATGCATGTCAGGGATTATTCACAGGTAATGAGCATGGTAAAGTAAAACAACTGAGAAATTCTTTTCCCCCTAATTCTTGTTGACAATCTATATATTAGACTGTCTTCAATTAGGCCCTAACATAGATGCTTCAGAAATTACATTTCAGTCATCAGTTTTGCCATATAGGGCCAAAGTAGGACATGCTTCTGAACACATACTGATGCTCTGATATAACAGTGTTTGAAAATCATTTTATGACAAATCCATCAGTTGTAAATCAAGAAGGTAAGGAAACTGCTTTCTGCAAAATAATCAACTGCCCCAAAATGACCACACAGGACCTTGTCATTGCACTTACACTCTCAGACTCCTTTAGAAGCATTTGAGTTTTATATTCTTTACAATGTCTGTCTTGAGGAGGGTTTTAAAAACAAGTACTATTTCCTTTGGGTCATCACAGAAAACATTTAGACATTTAGACAAAACAGGCCTGTCTGCCAGCTGTACCCCCACCCCATTTTCATACTAAGATCCTGGTATTATATAAAACTGAAGGATTAAAAACTGTATAGCTCATACCTCATTTCTTGGTGAACTTCAATAAAATTCTAAGCATTTAATAAAATTAGACTTCTCGTTTTGACGTGTTCTCCATGTTGATTCTTTGTTTTAGTTTATCCTTATGTGGGCCGATGGCAGCTTATGTGAATCCTCATGGATATGTGCATGAGACACTTACTGTGTATAAGGCTTGCAACTTGAATCTGATAGGCCGGCCTTCTACAGAACACAGCTGGTTTCCTGGGTAATATTATGGTGGTGGTTGCTTTTTTTTTTCTTTTTTTACCTTAATTGGGCAGAAAAATCCAGAGTCCTAAGCAGAGTTGCCACAATCTTTATAATAAAAAGTAGACAGACAAATGAGTAATTTGCTACAAAAATTAGCCGGGTATGGGGGCAGGGGTCTGTACTCCCAGCTGCTCGGGATGCTGAGGCACAAGAATCTCTTGAACCTGGAAGGCAAGAGTGTTGCAGTGAGCCAAGATTGTGCCACTGCAGTCCAGCCTGGGTGACAGAGTGAGAATCTGTCTATTTAAAAAAAAAAAAAAATTTATTTAAATGTCCTTCATTCCACAAATAGCTAGAAACATCTGTTGCACTTTTTGTATCTTTTATCATTGAATGAAAGGAAGAAAAGGTTGACAACTGCAGTTGTCCTCAGATTACTGTATCCAGTTAAATCCAAAATTGTTTTTTTCTGTCAGTCATGTAATTCTGAAAATCAGCTGTCTTATGACCCAGTAGAACTTTATATCTGGACCATATTCTGTAGTAATGTAAAACCGGAGAATGTTTACAAAGCAATGATAGACTAAGAAGGTGCAGAACCCATTGAATCCTGCTTTTCTTCTAGTTTGCCTTTTGTTTGTTTGCTTCAGCTTAATGATTCTCTATGATCCTGGGAACCTGTTCAGTTCCCTCAGCTGTACTATCTTCAGTTTTCAAAGAGGGATGCTAAGAAGGGATTACATGCTACTCTGGGGTTAGGACTATGTATCTTGGATTGCCCTATCTTACTTGGCACCCTATGTGAGGACTAAAACTAGAATACATTTGTTACTATAAATAAATGTGGCATGGTATACCTAGGGAAAAAAATAAGGAAACAGTTGCAATTACATGGTTTATCTTAAGAACAAAATACCATGGTTTGTATTTCTGGTTGCATTATCTGACAATCGTTCTTATTTTAGAATATAAATATTTACTTTTTGAGACGTGTCCTTCCTGGCCCATCCAGTTTAACTCAGACAGAAGTGCATTATTTCTGCAGGTAATTGCTGTTTTCTAACTTGACTGCAATACAACAAAGGAAAAGCCAGTACAAGTTAGAATGTGGTGCCAGTACAAGTTAGAATGTGGTCTTGGCAACCAGCAATTTCTATAAAGAAATTCTTAAGATTACTCTTTATTTCTATGCAGTAGAAGAAAAATGTAAACATGGCTTAAGAGCATAAAAGTCATACATATTACAAAATTAGAAAATGTTTTTAGAAATGTTTTTAGGTTTCAGGGAACTGTATGGATCAAATCTCAACTTAGAATCTCTAATCCTTAGAATTTGCCTCTAAAGTCTGTCTTCATGATAGGTTTATATGATAGGCTTGGAGTACAGAAATGTTTCCTTAGCTGATATCTTTCCTTAATTTCTTAGGTATGCCTGGACTGTTGCCCAGTGTAAGATCTGTGCAAGCCATATTGGATGGAAGTTTACGGCCACCAAAAAAGACATGTCACCTCAAAAATTTTGGGGCTTAACGCGATCTGCTCTGTTGCCCACGATCCCAGACACTGAAGATGAAATAAGTCCAGACAAAGTAATACTTTGCTTGTAAACAGATGTGATAGAGATAAAGTTATCTAACAAATTGGTTATATTCTAAGATCTGCTTTGGAAATTATTGCCTCTGATACATACCTAAGTAAACATAACATTAATACCTAAGTAAACATAACATTACTTGGAGGGTTGCAGTTTCTAAGTGAAACTGTATTTGAAACTTTTAAGTATACTTTAGGAAACAAGCATGAACGGCAGTCTAGAATACCAGAAACATCTACTTGGGTAGCTTGGTGCCATTATCCTGTGGAATCTGATATGTCTGGTAGCATGTCATTGATGGGACATGAAGACATCTTTGGAAATGATGAGATTATTTCCTGTGTTAAAAAAAAAAAAAATCTTAAATTCCTACAATGTGAAACTGAAACTAATAATTTGATCCTGATGTATGGGACAGCGTATCTGTACCAGTGCTCTAAATAACAAAAGCTAGGGTGACAAGTACATGTTCCTTTTGGAAAGAAGCAAGGCAATGTATATTAATTATTCTAAAAGGGCTTTGTTCCTTTCCATTTTCTTTAACTTCTCTGAGATACTGATTTGTAAATTTTGAAAATTAGTTAAAATATGCAGTTTTTTGAGCCCACGAATAGTTGTCATTTCCTTTATGTGCCTGTTAGTAAAAAGTAGTATTGTGTATTTGCTCAGTATCTGAACTATAAGCCCATTTATACTGTTCCATACAAAAGCTATTTTTCAAAAATTAATTTGAACCAAAACTACTACTATAGGGAAAAGATGCCAAAACATGTCCCCTCACCCAGACTAAACTTGATACTGTATTATTTTGTTCAATGTAAATTGAAGAAAATCTGTAAGTAAGTAAACCTTAAGTGTGAAACTAAACATGTTCTTTGTTCAAATAATGTAAAATATCTACTCATAATTTTAAAGTTCTAAAAAGGCTGCTTTGCCACCTACCTCTTTGCTTATATTCAAGGGTTTAGTGGGTCCTTCCTTCCACATTTGTATGATAACTTTCGTTTTATTGGTAGTCCTTTGCTACTTTAAAACTAATCAGGTTAAATGTTTACTCAAATGTAGTAATAGTATGAGGCCAAAATACATGCCTTGAAGGTGGAGTGAAATCAGTTGAGTGTCACACTGCATATTTATGTAAATAGAGTAAATGAAAATTCAAGAATACTTCCAATCAGGATATGCCCCTGCCTTATTTTTTCTAAGGTCTACTTTTACTACTTTAATAATTTTGGGTTTGTGTGACTTCACTGGTCTGGTTTGTTCCTATAGTTCTTACACTGCACTAAAACTTACTTACTCCAGGAAGTTCCTGTCAGTAGCATAGTACCTCTCTGTAGGCTGAACTCTAAACCAGTTGCAATGAGTTACCTTGTCCCTCTGAAAAGTTAAAATTTCAGTATGTCCCATACCGTTTACTAGCAAATAAAATTTTCTGATCTGTAAAAACACACATATACTATACTACTACTGAAAATGGTTTTACACATGACAAAACCAGACCTGATAGCTAAATCTGCATACTTTCTATACAGAAATAGTATGTATTATATGACGTTGGGTCTAAATCTGTATTTTGGCAGTACTTAAATATTTTAAGTAAGTATTTCAAAGTATTATTTTATAATGCATCTAATTACTGACCTGTATGCAGTCATTTCTGAGGCTTTCTTGCATCATAGCCCCTGTGACATTTCCTCTTAGAAATATTACACTCTACAAAATTGTTTTATCAAGGTCCAAAATTACTATTTGCTCATAGAGTACAAAGATGTTATGACTGGCTACACAGAAAGGAAATAAATTATGAAATGTCAGTATAGCAGCTGAAATTATAGCAGCTGAAATAAACAGTTTGTATTATACATTTTATTTACCTGATGAAAGCATTTAGGACTCAAATCTTTAGAGAATATATAATAATAGCCATATCCTTTTAATTAATAAAATAACACTTTAAAGACAGGCATATTACCATTGTATATGACACCTAATACACATTGTCAGATACCACATAAACATATTTATCTTCCAATACCAATGTTTGTTTTATTAAAACAATAATTAATTAATAGGCTCAATAGTGACCCTCAAGTTAATCCCATGACTTCCCCAGGCTCTGCATGCATAAAGAAATCATTGTGACAGAAAAATATCAACCACATACTGAAGCATAGCTTGCTAGAACAAATCCTGTACATATGAATGCCAGCAACTGGGGACACATTTAGTATTCACATTTTATGCAAACTTACTTGGTCAATTATTTCTTTTTTAAGCACAGGTTTATTTTGGAATTCAGATAAGAACTGACACATCATAGACAGTCATTGTTAAGGTAACCCTGTTATTTCAATTGCAAACAAACAATAAACGTTTTTTCTTCAAGACAGTTACCACTTTTTAAGATCTTAGTACTACCCTATGCAAAAACAGTTTTTTTTAAAAGCCTGAACAGGTTAAGATAGATAATAGCCAACTATGTTTTCTCAGGTGAAACTATTCCAAAAGAACTGTACATTTCAGTGATATAAATCAGATCCAGAAAGGTGGATCTCTGTTTAGTTCTTGAAATATATAATTCACAAAATAAGACCCTTGTTGTTCTACAGAGGTCCCCTAAACTGTCTTTTATTCTGGTGTAGTCTCTAAAACCTCATTAAGAGGGAGGGGAGAAAATTTAGTCTTACCAGAAATGCTCTGCTTTTTAGTAGCCATCAGTTTTAGGTCTTCTTTATGTAACTCAGAAGTTCATCTTTTTCCATTTGGTAACCACTTTTTTTCCA
This sequence comes from Homo sapiens, assembly GCF_000001405.40. Lineage (NCBI taxonomy): Eukaryota > Metazoa > Chordata > Mammalia > Primates > Hominidae > Homo > Homo sapiens. The sequence continues at coordinate 3,148,091 of NC_000003.12, read as the reverse complement.
CTGTTCTCGCAACTGTTGTAATAGAGCCCCAATTTCTTTTCCTGAAGAAATGCCCACTTTTCTGATGTCATGGCCACTTACAGGAAATGGAGGAATGGACCACTGCTGCATTTCCTTTAGGAGACAGTGCTCTCCTTGGTACTTCAGTAGTTCACATACACGAGTAGTTGCATCAGGTTCCCTAGACTACGTGTCAAAATCAAACATTTAGTTTCGTCACACATGAAAACATACACTTACAATCTTATCCTAAAATTTAAATACTCAACATAAATTTTTTCATTTAAAATAAGTAAAATTCACAGATTTGTAGATCTTAGTTTTAATAAATTAATTCTAAATTCGTGACGATACTTCATATTTCTGACCAAGCCTAGTATATACTTACATCTATAATGAAGTCTTGATAGGGTTTCAATGGGTCTGAACTATCTGTTGCTTTAATTAAATCTTTCCTATTTTTAACTATAAATAAGCCAAGGTTTTTCTCCTCTTTTGCGATCTTCAACCTCAAATCCAATTTTGTGACATCATCTTGTACTTTGAATAATGAGGCCAAAAGAGTCACTGGCTTTGGTGAAAAACCATCAACATTTTTACTGACTTTGTCAAATTCTTCTAAACTTGCATTAGCAGGTAAACCTGTAGGGACAAAAGCATTTTTCACCTGTTTTTAGTGGGGATAAAAAACCACTCATATCCTAAACCTTGCCACCATTTTAGTATCCAGAAATGCTTTGTCACTAGGATACATTATATAGGTTCAGTCTGATGTTCCAACTTAAAGGCGAACCACTAATATATTGTTATTCTCTCCCCTGTCACCTTCAAAACCTCTAAAATGTTCTTGTTTCCATTAAAGCTACATCAAGAGTTCCAGGGGTAGTGGTGACAGTGGTGTCAGACTCACAAGGCATACTCTTTCTAATCACAAATTCCTGACTTTACACTGATACAAGATCCACCCCCCATTCAGTAATGTTACTGAAATTTGAAATATGCCCAAGCTTACCGAAGTGTGATAAACCATATAATCCCACTATTCTCTGTGAAAATGAATTACAACGTTTACTGAACAATTTCTGTGTACAAGTCACTCTTCTAAAAGAGCTTTACATGTATTAACTCACTGAATCCTTTTAGCTTTCCTATTAGATAGAGGCTACATTACTTTTAAACCGCTTTTTTGGGTTAGAAACTAACCCAAGTTGCAAAGACTAGATAAGGGGCTGAGCTTCCTTCAAACCTAGGTCTGACTAGAGACTACTCTACAAGCACCACAAGCTGTCTTTGAGCTCTTCCCTACTCACGACAAAACTTACCCCATAACCCAAACTTTGTCTTATTTTAAAATACTCCATTTCTCCAAGAATTCTTCAACCAAATGAGTCAAACATTTTTTCCTTATGAAATTTGAAACCAGATATTTCACTGCCAAAAATTCAAACACTTTATAACTTGCTCTCACCTATATAAGGAGCCACATCAAGATCATAGATAAGGTGAATCAAATGATTTACATGGTTACCAACAAGAATTTTTTTCAGTTCCACCCAAATCCTTTCTCCTGATATTCCAGCCAAGCCTTTTGCATTTTCTGCAATTGCTTCCAAAGTCTCAGGATCATGGTCACCAGGTTTGTCTACAATTCTCCCATAAAACCTACAAGACAAAATCTTCACAGGGTATTACCTCTATATTGGCATATCACAAGCAAAATCTGTTTTTCATTTTTATTGGTACTATCCCATACATCTGCTTAATGAAAACAACATATAATTAGTTAGGTCTAGAAGGGACCTTAGAAAGCAACTGGTCATTTCTCCACCTCCTCTTTCTTTTCCCAGATAAGAAAACCCAGGATCGAATAAAATATAAGTAGCCTTTTTGAGGTTAGCAAGAACTAAAACTTCAAGGTCTCCACCTCACTTCCAAATTACTGACTCAAGACATTCCGAATGGTCATCAAATGCAATTCCTGAATTGGCACTTATACTAGATGAAAAAAAAAACAGCATTCTTGTAAAGGCAGCAAACCAAAACAAGACTGCAGTGCCTTAACAGAGTAGTCTGAATTCCTCAAAGCTTGCCTGTCTGTACACATTAGTACTTTCAAGGAAAACCTTCAAATACGACTCATCTAGTTGCGCACCCTGGAGTATATTTCGCGGAATCTTAGAACTGGAAGCCCTAACGTGCATGTGTTTCCCTCTCATGCCCTTAAAATTCTAATGAATTCATCAGCGGTCCAAAGTGATGCTAAATAAGTAAATTAATGCTAAATCTGGATTAGTGATACAAATACAGCTAAGTCTTAATCTATGTTCTATTATTTATAAGACAGACTACAAATACTCAAGTTTAGAGAAACTACATTGACAAAATATCCATGTTCTGTTATAGAATATTCTGAGAGCAATCCCAACCAGTGAAAAATGAATATTACTTGACATAAACTAGCCAATTCGGATAGTTTTTTAAAAAGGTTAGTGTGTGACATTTAAACATCATTGCTACCCACAAAACTAGTCATGCGTTTCATATTTACCAAGTTTATCCAAGATCTTCTTTTTTTTTTTTTTTTTTTTTGAGATGGAGTCTCGCTCTGTCGCCCAGGCTGGAGTGCGGTGGCACGATCTCGGCTCACTGCAAGCTCCGCCTCCCGGGTTCCCGCCATCCTCCTGCCTCAGCCTCCCGAGTAGCTCGGACTACAGGCGCACACCGCCATGCCTGGCTAATTTTTTGTATTTTTAGTAGAAATGGGGTTTCACCATGTTAGCCAGCATGGTCTCATCTCCTGACCTCGTGATCCACCCGCCTCGGCCTCCCAAAGTGCGGGGATTACAGGTGTGAGCCACCACACCCGGCCCATCCAAGTTTCGATTATGTCTTTATGCTTTGATTCTTTAAATCATATAACAGGTATTTCTTTTCACCAAAATCATTTTGTTGTGAACCATCACCGATTTCCATGACTACCTAAAACCGTAAGCTGTATGAAGGCGAACACTTTCACTCGTTCATTACCACGTTTAATGCACCTAACACAGGGATTGACCTGTGGTAAGCATTCAAACATCTGTGTAATTAATAAATCAATGGAGGAAATATCAATCAAAAAGAAAAATGGACATTTAAAAAGATGACTTAAAATTGTAGGAAAGATGACATAAAGTATATGTGCGTTCTGGGAATGAAAATACAATATGAAGTAGCTAAGTAATTTTCACTCATAAGTCATAGGGTGCTAGGTCTCCACTGGAGACAGACATTTGGGATGTCACCATTTTGTACACTGACCTGCTGTGGGTTTCGTATGACCACTGTTATGCTCTAGTCATGATATTAAAACTATCATTTTTTATTTTTAAAAATTCTTACCTGAAGTATCTTAAAATTCTAAGATAATCCTCTTGTATTCTCTGTTTAGCATGTCCAACAAATCTAACTTTCTTATTTTTTAAATCTTCATAACCATTAAAGTAGTCAAATAAAGTGCCATCAAAACCTATTCATTAGAAAAGGAGGGAGAAAAATCACTATTGGCAAATAAGAATTTGAAAACACAAGAAAATCAGCTAAACACTATCACAAACAGTAAAAATTCAGCAGAGTGAACAGTTATTAAAACACATACGTATTCATACATATCAACTATCAAATGGAAGACAATAAAAGACTGTCTTTTAGTCTGTTTAGCTGCATTTACAATTGCAACTAAAAAGATAATCCAAGAATAAACTAAACAAGAAATATGCAAAACTTGTATGAGGTGGAGTGGAGCCAACAAGACACCATACAAGCTAATTTTCACAATATGGGAAAATAATAGCCAAAATAAAATGGAAAAAATACGTAACAGGATTAACAGAAGAAACGAGGAAAATATTTTTAATCTTGGAATCTTTATAATCTTGAAGATCTTTCAAACTCAGCAAGAAAACAGAAAACGCAACACAAAAACAACAGGATTTTCGAAGAAATAATTGAATGACATAAAAAATGAAATATGCCTGTATGGCAGAAACTACTATCACACACAAAGTCATAAGTGACATTTTTGGAAAAATATATGTAAGTCCATATTTTAAAAATGGCTAATTTCCATAATATATAAAAGTTCTAATAAAAAGGCCACGTAAATAGAAAAATAGGCTACCTATAAAGGAAATATAGAAATCTCTTTAATAATGAAGATTTTCAACCTTAGTCATAAATCCTTTTTTTGTTCTTTGAGGCGGATTCTCACTTTGTCACCCTGGTTGGAGTGCAGTGGTGCAATCTCAGCTCACTGCAGCCTCCCAGGTTCAGGTGATTCTCCTGCTTCAGCCTCCCAAGTAGACCTGCCACTACACACAGCTAATTTTTGTATTTTTAGTAGAGACAGGGTTTCGGCAAGTGGGCCAGGCTGGTCTCGAACTCCTGACATCAAGTGATCTGCATGCCTCAGCCTCCCAAAGTGCTAGGGTTACAGGCATAAGCCACCATGCCCGGCCAGTAAATACCCATTTCCAAGATAGCGTCTTTCAGATCGGCAACGATGCAAACACTTGATAACAGTGTTAGCAAGGGTGTGGTTAAATGGGCAGTCCTGTTCATTACAGATCAGGAGACTTCACTGTAGAGCCTTTAAAACTTTGTGAATTTTGAACCATGTTAATCTATTAGCCATTCACAAAAATGGTAATAAACAAATGTTCTCATATGTTGAATGAAAAAAGTGACATAAAACTAATTTTATATATATGTACATAAAACCTCAAGTATTAATTAGTAGAGTGACCACTTCATACTGGTTTGCCTGAGACATTCCTAGTTTTAAAGTTGAAAATCATACATCCAAGGAAGTATTTCAAGCTCAGGCAAACTAAGACAGTTGGTTACCATGGAGACTTAAAAAAATAGAAAAAGGAATTTAGAGCCGAAACACAGACACCATTCAGCTCACCAAATGGGGAGGTCAGTGATCTATGAGATACTTCACTCTGTAGCATTACAGAAAAGAGGCACTGACAACTACTTATCAAAAATACCTCTTGGCTGTGTTTGAACTTGAATGTTCTCTGATTATCCCAAAAGCAACAGTACATTGGTAAGTTCACACTTAATGCTTAACTCTTTCCAAGCTGTTAATAGTTTTATATGCATAGTAACTTTTAAAAGGGAACCATCTTGACATACATGGCAAATTTCGAAGGCTCCAGATTCAAAAAGACATAAAAGAAAATGATAAAAAGAAAATATGTAAATAGGCAAAAATATGATCACAAAGTAGCAAATAATATGGTATATCCATCTTGGTGTTATTTCTCCTAATGAAGAGACTTGTAACCGTCCCTGGGGAACCTAAAGGCAAGATCAAAATTTGGAGGAAAAAATCATAGGAATATGATCAAAGCAAAAATAAGCGTTTGGGAAGCAAAGTAACCAACCATAAATGCCAGAACTATGAATGCTTGATCCAATAAGGCTTGGAAAAAGCCAGGATAGAAAACTACACAAAGCTTAGTAAGCATCATACTGGTGTGTATTTTGTTTTGCTCTGAATATCATCCTTTTAAAATACAGTAAATAAAAATATGAAATATGGTTGAGTTGCAGGGAATAATGTAGTGGTTAAGAATGTGACCTCTGGAGTCAGGCTGCCTGAGTTGGAATTCTGATCCTACACTTTACAAGCTGTGCAACTTTGGGCAAGTTACCATCGGTTAAATAGCAGTATCTGCTTCGCAGGGTTGTCAGGAGATTAAATTTACATAATGTGCTCAGAACAGTGCCTGACATGTTATAAGGGTTCAGTAAATGTCAGAAAATGATAGTACCAATAGGAACAACTTTTATTTTATAAACTAGGACACTGAAAAAGAGTATTAGTTTCTCTCTTTCAGTATGCTTATGAGAAGCCAGTTAGACAAGACTCTATATTGCACTATTTGGAGCAGCTTCCTCTATGAGTAAATATGAGAATAAATAAATACCTGGAGCTCTGACTACATTAACTGAGAGAAAAATGCACCAATTGGGCTCTCTATGGTCATATATTGCCTAGGCCTTGGAAACAAGCCAAAATCATGGTTCTCTGTGACTTAAACTAAGTTACTTAATATCTCTCAGTCTCAAGTTTCCTCTTCTATCAAGTGGGCTTAACATACTTTATGAAGTTTTTCTGAGAGTTTAATGAAATAAAGTATATCAGGTACCCAATGTTGTACCTAGAACCCAGTAGGTACCCTAGAAATTGTATCTGTCATTACTGTAATCAGCAAGAGATGCCACCTTAGCTTATAAACTTCTTGCCCATCTATGCATGAAGCAAATCCTATTACTTCATCCTTTTACCACTACTATTGCTACAAACTAGGTTATGAACAGTGGATGTTTCATCCTTTTTTAATCCAAAATCTTAAACATAAAGGGCTTGTCTTAACTTTAAAGTACAACATATGATGCATCAGTAATGTATCAAAACACTAACCTAATTCGTATCTAGCCCCCATATAATTCCCAGTGCTTTCATTAAACAAAAAAGTTAAGCTGAAATAAATAGGTTTCATCTTACATACCAACTCTGATTATTGATGATTCCTAGAATACAATGCTAAAAAAGAATCTGAGGTTGTGTGTAGGCTCAGCAGTAAAAAGTGCTGAAGTCATTCACCATTGTTTGCCAGGGAAGCAGAAGAAAGATTGAATAAACATGCATGAAAGATAGTGCAAAGGAAAAAGAATGATCCTGGGTGTGTGTGTGTGTAGATGTGTGTGGAGTATGTACATGTACCATGTGTGTGTGCACTTCTCTTCCCTGAAATCATGTTTATATGCAGTTAAGAAGTTAGCACTGACTGAGTGTGTACATGTGTCAGGCACTGTTCTAAGCATTTACAATTAACTCTCTTAAACCTCACAACAGCGGTACAAAGGAAGCCAATATTAATTAACGTTTTTGTTTTGTGGCTAGTGAGTGACGGAGTCAGAATTTGAACCCAGGGATTTTGGCTCCAGAGTCTATTCTTTTTTTTTGAGATGGAGTCTCGCTCTGTTGCCCAGACTGGAGTGCAGTGGCACAATCTCAGCTCACTGCAAGCTCCGCCTCCCGGGTTCACACCATTCTCCTGCCTAACAGCTGGGACTACAGGCAGCCGCCACCACGCCCGGCTAATTTTTTATATTTTTAGTAGAGATGGGGTTTCACCGTGTTAGCCAGGATGGTCTCGATCTCCTGACCCCATGATCCGCCTGCCTTGGCCTCCCAAAGTGCTGGGATTACAGGCGTGACCCACCGTGCCCGGCTGAGGGACTATTCTTTGAAGCAATCTGCTAAACCATCTCTTAGAAGAAATTAATGCAACTTCTCAAGTTGAAGAACATTTCCAGAATGTAGGTTTTACTTGAAAAGAAGGCATTCTGATAGACTCACAATATGGTTTTATCTGCAAATATTACCTAAAAACATAGAATTTATAGTGAGATCTCTGCGTTCCGCATCTTTCTGCCAGTCAGTTGTAAATTCTACCTCAGCATGTCTTCCATCAGTGGTGACATCAATCCGTAGTGTAGTAATCTCAAAATTTTCTTCATGAAGCTGCAATTAAATACATGGGGTTTTTGTTGTCATTTAAATTAGGTTTTCATACTACTGAATTGAAAAAAATAAGTTTTTGTCTTTATAAAGGGATGGTACTATAAGCCCTGACAGTTATAGTCTTTTTAACGTCAACTACCATACCTAAACATTGAAACAGAAAGATATCCACATTATTCAAAAACAGATCAAAAGACTGATTTTTTTAAAAAAAATCCATCATGATTAAAAAAGATGAGTTTAACACACAAACATGTCACCTCTGCCAAGTGATGTGGAGAAACTCCACATCAAACTCAAAACTGTTCTTCAATTTCAAATCAAGCTATTATCAGAAATATTTTTAATAGCTCCAGTTTGCAAAGAGGTGAATGTCAATTTATGGAACATTTGCCATTGAGCGAAAGACTGATAAAGAATAAGTACAGTTAACAGATCTTGCAACTCCCTTACTGATAATCCCCAGTGAAATTAAAATAAAGGCTGGGGGTGGTGGCTCATGCCTGTAATCCCAGCACTTTGGGAGGTCAAGGCAGGCAGATGACTTGAGCTCAGGAGTTCAAGACCAGCCTGGGCAAGATGGTAAAACCCCATCTCTACCAAACATACAAAAAAACCAGCCAGGTGTGGTGGTGCATGCCTGTGGTCCTAGCTACCTGGGAGGCTGAGGTGGGAGGATCGCTAGACCCCGGGAGGCAGAGGCTGCAGTGAGTCGAGATCACACTGTGCACTCCAGCCTAGGCAACAGAGTGAGACCCTGTCTCAAAAGAGAAAGAAAGAAATTAAAATAAAGAGTTACCTCTATCTTGGGAAGACAGACTACCTCCAGCTGGGGAAGCTGAGTAACTTCATGTTAGGGTGGCGTCTGTGCCAAGCCTTGAAAAAGCAGCAGGGTTTGTACATGCAGGTGTGGTAGAAAAACTTCAAATGAAGAGAAGAGATGACCAAAGGCACGGTGGAGGAAGAGGAATATATGTAAAAGAGAAAGTATATCTGACAGGTAGCATATTAGCATTTAGGAGTAGAGAATAAAGTGTTTTATGTGCCAAGAGTTAGGAATGTCTTTATTTAGGAAGTGAAAGCCGTTAACGATCACCAGAAGTCTGTTGTAGGATTTCTCTCAATTTGATACATACTCTTCTCTAAATACAAGCTACATCTATCTCTCACTATAGAATTCCAGAACTCAAGAATTTGAGGCACAAGTATCTCTGAAGGCAAAGAATAAGGTAAGGTTTGAAATAGGAAAACTGTTTGCAACTCATTTTAAGAAATAATCAGACCCACCTAGAATGACTCCCTTAATGAGGCAGAAAACCAGGGACTGATTCTCTAGAAAGGTTCAACCAAAAATAATCAGAACTTGTTGCACCAGGCACAGATGCTCATGGGAATGAAGCATCATAATGAAAACAAGATTCAAGTGAAAATTAACATGACCCTCATCCCTTTCCCTACTTGGTTTCAAGATGCTAACAATCAGGTTCATTCCCTGGCATAATACTGGAGTATTCTTCTCTGATTTCTCCTAATGAAAACTCCTACTGAGACTTAGACTGGGAGTCCCAGTTGGCTGACACTTCCCATGCAAAACTACAATAAAGCCCTCAGATACAGAGCATCACCCAAATTCAAGGAAAGCCAACCTGAAAGAAAACACTCGGAGGAAACAAAGACACTGTCAAAATAACTATAGTAGATATCCTAAGAGAAATAAAAGATCTTCCATCTGAAACATGAACGGGAAGCTTTCCAAAGAAATATACTAAGAAAGACCTCTTGAAATTCTACAAGACCACAGAAGTTGTCAGTATTATACAATGACTGGGAGATGAAGTTAAGGCACTCTCATAGAAAGTAAGACAGGAGAATATAAAATAAAGACAAAAGATAAAACTAGAAGGTCAGTCCCAGCAATCCAGGATCCAAATAATAAGAGTTTCCAAAGGAAAAAGCATTTAACAAAAGGGATGAAATTATGAAAGAAACATGAGGGCCCACTAAGTGCCCTGCACAGTAAGTGAAAAATCCAAAACAAGTTATATCATCTTGAAATTAAAAACATTAGACATGAAAAGATCAGAAAGACTTCCAAAAGGAAATAATGGCAATCAGGTTTTTAAACAAAAGAGAAATCTAAATGGAACTAGACTTACTGGCAGTACTGGAAGCTAGAAAACAATACCTTTAAATTTCTGAGTAAAAATTATTCCCTGCCTAGAATTCTATAACCGTAACTATCAAACCACCATGGAGGTGAAATAAAAACATTTTCAGACGTGTAAGGCTTCCTCAGGTTTTGGATTATTAAAATGAGGGCTTAAGCCAAGAGAGAACAGCACATGGGACCCAGGAAACAGGAGGCTTAACAAAAAAGAGAGGCCAAGGAAATTCCTAAAAGTCCATATTGGAGCAGGAAGACAGCACCAGGTAAGATGTTTCCCAAAAACCCAATTGAAACTTGATATAATGTGTTTAAATCTTTTGAGAGGAACTCTATAGCTCTGGCACAGAGTGCAGGAATAAATTGGTAGTATATGGAAAGCTTATGTAAAAGAAAAATGCCATTAACTGCAGGAAAATTTAAAAACATGCCAATAGAAGAAATGTCATCACAATATACTCCACAATCTGGCTGTAAACAATACAGAGTCATAAACGTGAACCCTGAATATTGACTTAACCAAAAATTATGATATAAATATACTAGGAAGACAGAAGAAGGAGAATTATACGTGCTTGTTGTTGAGAAGGGTGTGGTAAGAAAGCTAAATCATCTTCCCTTATGGAAAGTCAATACGTAACACATCTTAAAACTGGGATAGTAAAAACTGAAAAGTAAATACCCGTAGCATACAAAGGTCTTTTTAGAAATGGAGAGGTAACATAAAAAGTAAACATGGCTGCAAGAACAGAGGACTGCAGGGTTTATGACGGGCATAGAAGAGACTGACTTTTTTATTAGACTTTTCGTTATTTGCTTTTAACTAGAGAAAATTAAGTTTTTAAAAATTACCAAAAAAGCAATGTAATTACCTGTCAAACTTTTGACTCACCCTGGCAGTAATTGTTCCGTGCTTTTCTCCTCTGTTGTTTATCATCCGAATCCCAGCCGACTGAAACATCTCCTTCATTTGAGTAGGGGTAGCAGTGGTGGCAAAATCTATATCCTGAGGCTTTACTCCATTTAATAAATCCCTCACTGCTCCTCCTGCTATTCTTAATTCGTGATTCTCTTTGACAAATAATTCTGAGATGAGAGAAAATAAGATTTTTATTCCCAAGTTCTTTATTTCAATGTGTTTATTTTAACCACAAAAGTACAAGGCTTTTCCATCTAGTTGGAACAGCAGAGATTCATTTAACTGAGGCTTTTCATATGAAAAATGAGAACAAGGCCCAAAGAAGTAAAAAGACTTGTCTACAGGAGAGTGCCTCTGAGGACCAACAGGAAACAGAGAACTTGCAGAATTCTTTGCTTATTCAGAAGATAATTCAGAATTCCACAATGCCTCAAAGTGATCAATATAAATTTGAAGTATTACTAAAGACTAAAGCAGGTCAGGCGCAGTGGCTCACATCTGTAATCCTGATACTTTGGGAGGCTGAGGTGAAAAGATCACTTGAGCCCAGGAGTTCAAGACCAGCCTGGGCAAAGAGCAAGACTCTATCTATACAAAAAATAAAAATAGCCAGGTTCAGTGGCGCACACCTGTAGTCCCAGCTACTTGGGAGGCTGAGGTGGGAGGATGGCTTGAGCCCAGGAGTTCAAGGCTGCGGTGAGCTATGATCGTGCCACTGCACTCCAGCCTGGGTGACAGAGCAAGACCTTATCTCAAAAAAAAAAAAAAGAAAAAAAAAGAAAGTAAATCAAACAATTCTGCTTTCTTTTCCCCATTTATGTGCATACTTTAGAAATGGTAACATGTTCTTGTATTTCTCTGTGTTTACAGATAGATGTTGAGGCAGGATGTTCACGCATGAAACTATCAGACATTAGTCTATACCACTTATGATTAATGTTTATAGCTAAAAATCTTCAAGAAATGGTCTGTATATAATTCTAAAATCAACTCCTATCTGTGCTCTAGGTAGAACCATTTGAACACTGAACAACTATAAGCAACTACATAGCTGACTCCTCTATATGTAGAGGATAAGGCAAAATCCACTATAACTATATCCATATGTCCACATGGAACCTAGTGAGAATGGCATCCAGGAGCTAGCCTGCCACAATATTAGGCCCTGGGGTCTGTGGTACAGAAACATTTTCACAAAACATCAATATCAGACAAGCCCATTCTGTGACCACGATGGATCGATCAAGACAACTCTGTAATCACCTAAACATACACGAAACATGAACACTGTCCATGATACACCCTACAATAGTTGGTAACAGTGACTGTGCCTTACCAATTAGGTTTAGTCTCACAACTGTACTCAACTTCTAGGAAACCATTATTAAGACACCCAATCACAGAATTACTTCTGCTTCCTGAGAGCATCTAACCCGCTGCAAAGCTCTACTACCTTAAATGCTCTCCAAAATGACCCAATACAAGCCCAACTCCTATAAGAAGTCATTTCTAAAGCCCTCTTACTGAGTATACCTCCAGGTTCTCCAGTGTCAGCATGCTACTCCTCACTCAGCATGTTGCTCCTCACTGCCAGGAGTAACAACCCAACTTGTGTCCCTGTTGGTCTTTGGCTAGCAGACAGCAACACGAGCATTCAACTAAACTCATCATACATCAAAGTTCCAGCACCTCTAATCACAACTCAAAACAGAATCCTCTATCCCTACCTCAACATCTGTTTTCTGTCCTGCCCACACTCCTCTTCCACCTACTCTTCCCACATCTTTTCAGCCCCATTCTCTGTAGACTCCTTAAAATGATGTACTTAAAAGTAACAAATGCTCCCTACCCTCTTGACTTAATTAAGGATATCTTTTCCACAAGCTCTCCCCAAGGGGAAGTGTTCATATTCCCCTAATGCCACATTTCCCATGAAAGCCCACTTCTGGGACCACATCACCTCCCTTAAATCCAGCCTCCACCATCTAGACATAGGGATTTAAAACACTAGGTTAATTACGCTACGCATTAACTGCTCCTCCTAACTACTCACAACACAGTACCCAAATTCCTCAGTGCTATATCCAAAGGCTTCCATGACCTATTTGTCTCATCTCTTGCTAAACTCTGCATCACACTGTCTGTACCAGCTGTCTGCACAAAACTCTCCCCACAGTTTTCCTCCATAATTTTGCTTGTGTGAGTCACTTCACTGAAACACCTCCCCAACTTACTCCAGCTCAGTGGCTGGCTGTCACACTTCTTAGCCCATAACCCACACTAAGACATTCACATAGCAGTCACCAAAATTTGTATGTCTACATGGCAAACAAAAGTATCATAAAAGAAAACCTACCCTTCGTACCATGCAATCTATTCTATTCTCTCTTTTTTTTAATTACTGGTCATGACCACTAAATTGACTTCATGGCCCACTAAGAGGTAACTACCCAGTTGGAAAACAATGATCTAGCTCACTCTTACTTATCTGTTGTGACTCACTTTAGGAAGCCTCACCTGAAGGTAAGGTTAGGTGAATTTCTTCTAAGCGACTAGTACAGCATATCTTTATACATACCAATTATATTAAAATTACCTGTTTTATGTCTTTGTCTCCCCACTTCTCAGGGTAGAAAACCTATCTTATTCATCTTTATACCAATCTGGCTCATAATTAAACTGAATTATGATATTCTAACTATTAAAAAAAAGAATGACTTCACTGGTAAGTATTGGGTTTTTTTAAGTTTTCTTAAAACGGTATCAAGTAGCTGTTCTGAAATTCAAGCAAATAAAGGACAAGTTTTACGTTCACTTGAACTTACTATAAACAGTGGGATGAAGAAGGTCAAGGCTTAATTTATACAGATAACTACTGTTTTAAGATTCTCATGCTGGCTTTACTAAAATAAAACGATAAGTTCAAATTTACTCAGTAAGCTAACTGCATTACAAAGAGATCCAGAACTCAAAGTAATATATTCACCATTTTGATTAGCCTATGTTATTAAACCATTCCAAAAACCTTGCCATTCAGGATTTTTAAAATAACATTTAAGACAACTGAGAAAGACGTATCAAGGCATATTTGTCTATATGAAAGAGCAGTCATAAAAATTATAAGAAAAGCATAATTTCACATTGGCCTAAAACAGCAGGGACTATCAAGCTTCAAGATTTATTTATTCCTGTTACTGATATCTTCAATCTTACAGAAACAGGGAGGCAGTCAACATTTCAAAAGACTTTGCGAGCTACATTCAATGAAATAATTCAGTGAAAATAACACCTAATGTAACTAAATTTAACTGTAAACTTAAGCCTAAAAGTCAAAGAATGCAGAATCTCATCATCCCCAAACTACGTTTATTTGCTCCAAATGCCACCTCTGATAGTAAGCAATTGTTAATTATTATTAGCAATTCAAAAGACCATACATTAATGTGTCAGAAAACTTTTATAACTGTCACCTCTTTTTAATGTTAACTTTTAATTAAATTTTCATGAACGTCTTCCCTTTACAGCTTTAAATTTTGACGACTGGAGGCTGGGGTGGGGTAAGGGGCAGTGAGTGGGAGCTATGAGTGGGAAGACATGGTGTGAGCATTACTACAGAAAAACAGACCATCTGTTCTAAGAGCTCCGGACTTCAAGAGAGTGATCAGTTGTCCCTATCGTGCTATATTTTAACATGATGGCCTTCTGACGTCACATAACACTGAGCGCTATCACCCCCTGTGGACAACAGCCAAAGGACTAAACAAGTCCTTGCTCATCCATTAATGCTGTTAGCTCAGGCAAAAATCGTCTGCATTGGGAACTTCAGCCTCATCTCTAGGACAGAAAAATAGTCTCTCATTTTTTTTTTTTTGAGAGAGGGTCTCACTGTCATCCAGGCTGGAGTGCAGTGGCACCACCACAGCTCACTCTGCAGCCCTGACCCCAAGTTCAAGGAACCCCCTGCCTCAGCCTCCTGAGTAGCTGGGACTACAGGTGTGCATCACTGTAACTGGCTAAATTTATTATTATTATTTTTGTACAGATGGGATTTCACTATGTTGCTCAGGCTGGTCTCTAACTCCTGGGCTCAAGCAATTCTCCCATCTCGGCCTCCCAAAGTGCTGGGAGATTATAGGCATGAGCTACCACAGCTAGCTGGGAAATAATCTTCTATGCCACTAGCATATGATTGTACTGAAGCAAAAAGATACATAAAATAACCTGACAAATTATAAAACCCTTATGATATGACAATAATACACTATTCTAGTCTCTCATATTCTTGCATACTGAAAACTAATTTTACACATGGCAAAGCAGCTATTAAGATTTGAAAATTGGTACAGGATTTAAACTCCAAGTATCACTATATAGCAGCCATCAGAAAGGCTGTGTGTTTTTGTACATTTTGATTTTATACAGAACATTACATTTTACCAGGGCACCCAAGTCTTTGACATTCTAACTTGTTGATCATTGCACTAAAAGATTCCATTCTTGCCACTTCTCCAGTAGCCTAGAAAAAGTCAACTTTAGAATATATCCATGTTCTCATTTGCCAGTCCTTCAAGGACAGGACTCTGGAAGCAATCACCACCTCTACCTTACCACACCATTTAGGCTCTAACTTCCTTAGGACCTCATTTCTCAGGGTGGAGAAAATCCAGTGTTTTTTTTTTGTGTTTTTTTTTTTTTCCTTCAATAGGTATATGTTTTTTTTTATTTTTTTAATTTTTTTTTTTTTATTATACTCTAAGTTTTAGGGTACATGTGCACATTGTGCAGGTTAGTTACATATGTATACATGTGCCATGCTGGTGCGCTGCACCCACTAACGTGTCATCTAGCATTAGGTATATCTCCCAATGCTATCCCTCCCCCCTCCCCCGACCCCACCACAGTCCCCAGAGTGTGATATTCCCCTTCCTGTGTCCATGTGATCTCATTGTTCAATTCCCACCTATGAGTGAGAATATGCGGTGTTTGGTTTTTTGTTCTTGCGATAGTTTACTGAGAATGATGGTTTCCAGTTTCATCCATGTCCCTACAAAGGACATGAACTCATCATTTTTTATGGCTGCATAGTATTCCATGGTGTATATGTGCCACATTTTCTTAATCCAGTCTATCATTGTTGGACATTTGGGTTGGTTCCAAGTCTTTGCTATTGTGAATAGTGCCGCAATAAACATACGTGTGCATGTCTCTTTATAGCAGCATGATTTATAGTCCTTTGGGTATATACCCAGTAATGGGATGGCTGGGTCAAATGGTATTTCTAGTTCTAGATCCCTGAGGAATCGCCACACTGACTTCCACAATGGTTGAACTAGTTTACAGTCCCACCAACAGTGTAAAAGTGTTCCTATTTCTCCACATCCTCTCCAGCACCTGTTGTTTCCTGACTTTTTAATGATTGCCATTCTAACTGGTGTGAGATGATATCTCATAGTGGTTTTGATTTGCATTTCTCTGATGGCCAGTGATGATGAGCATTTTTTCATGTGTTTTTTGGCTGCATAAATGTCTTCTTTTGAGAAGTGTCTGTTCATGTCCTTCGCCCACTTTTTGATGGGGTTGTTTGTTTTTTTCTTGTAAATTTGTTTGAGTTCATTGTAGATTCTGGATATTAGCCCTTTGTCAGATGAGTAGGTTGCGAAAATTTTCTCCCATGTTGTGGGTTGCCTGTTCACTCTGATGGTAGTTTCTTTTGCTGTGCAGAAGCTCTTTAGTTTAATTAGATCCCATTTGTCAATTCTGGCTTTTGTTGCCATTGCTTTTGGTGTTTTGGACATGAAGTCCTCGCCCACGCCTATGTCCTGAATGGTAATGCCTAGGTTTTCTTCTAGGGTTTTTATGGTTTTAGGTCTAACGTTTAAATCTTTAATCCATCTTGAATTGATTTTTGTATAAGGTGTAAGGAAGGGATCCAGTTTCAGCTTTCTACATATGGCTAGCCAGTTTCAGGTTTAGAACGTTAAACACAATTGTTAAAATGATGTTCAAGAAACTATAGTAATCAATATTTAGAACCTTATTTCCAAAAAATGCAGAATGACCTGAGTTAGGCCATCAAGAGTTAATTACTACTCCTTCTTCCAAGAGGCCTCTTGCAATTGAAGTTGAAAAATTGGGGGCTGTGAAGGGCATACACAGAAAGAAAAAAGCTTCAACTCAACCCAAAATCACAGCTTCAAAATCTGCACTATTCAAACAGCAGCCACTTGTACTTACTGAGCACTTAAAATGTGGTAAGTCTGAATTCAGATGTGCTGTATTAAATGCATGCCAGACTTCAAAGACTTCCAAGTAAGAATATAAAATATCTCATTAATTTTTTTTTTTTTTTAAAGACACGGTCTGTGTCGCCCAGGCTGGAGTGTAGTGGCACAATCTCGGCTTACCGCAAGCCCCCCTCCCAGGCTTCAGTGATCCTCCCACCTCAGCCTCCCAAGTAGCAGGGACTACAGACACATATCAGTATGCTTGCCTATTTTTCATATTTTTAGTAGAGATGGGGTTTCACCGTGTTGCCCAGGCTGGTCTCAAACTCCTGGGCTCAAGTGATCCACCCACCTCAGCCACTCAAAAGTGCTGGGATTACAGGTATGAGCCACCATGTCCAGCCTCCCAAAGTGCTAGGATTACAGGTGGGAGACACTGTGCCCGGCCTCATTAACAATTTTTATAC
The DNA here is from genome assembly GCF_000001405.40 of Homo sapiens. Lineage (NCBI taxonomy): Eukaryota > Metazoa > Chordata > Mammalia > Primates > Hominidae > Homo > Homo sapiens. The sequence goes on along the minus strand of NC_000003.12, from coordinate 3,130,735 downwards.
AAAATTCATACTGATAGTATCTTAGATATATTGGATTAAATTAGATGAACCAAAAATAATTATTAAAATTTATTTCACCATTTCTATCTTTTTAATGTGGTTAGTAAAAAAGTTTATATTACATATGGGCTCATAAATTTCTATTGGACAGCAATTTTTAGCAATTTTCACTCTCTCCAATTAAAAAAGATAGTGAAGCATCGGCAAAACCAAACATGCATTTAAGCCCTCTACTTAAAGTCTGCCTAAAACAATCTAAAAGAATCAACATATTCTGGGCCATTTATCTCTGGCACGTACCTAAAAAGCCATCATCCAATTTCAAGAATGGGAAAGTAGCTTTGAGAATAAGCTAATACAAGGTGAGTCATGTTAAAGTAATGGTTCGTCTATCTTCTGTGCATCAGAATTAACTTGTGGAGCTTTTATTAAAAATATAGATGGTCATCCCACCCAGAGATTCTAATTCAGTAGGCTGCAGGTAGAACCCGAGCATGTGTGCTTTAAAAGCTCCCCAGGTGAATCTAATAGATAGCCAGTGCTGTATAGGTCATATTTCTACATATACTACTAAATATATTTATGAAGGTGCTATTAAAATTCCCACAGGCTTTGTAATGCTACTGTGTGGCTGCTTTAGCAACATCAGCAGACAACATTGAGAATCAACACTAATGAAACTGTGGCAACAGCAAGAAGCTACTGGCACTTAGCTAAAGCCATTTCCTATGCTCCTTCCAGACAGGTTTTGCAACGTGCACAATGGAGGCAACTCCTATTTCCTTCTTCCTTCAGTTCTCATGGAAAGCATTTATACCTAGGAAGGAAACAGAGCTTAGCGGTTGCAAGCTGGGCTCTGAAATCAATCTGCGTAAGTTCGAAACCTAGCTCTCTAGTTAGTAGTTACAGAAACACAGGCAAAGCACTTCACATGCCTAACAATCTGTTTCCTTTTTCACGTAACAGGTCAAAATGTGCGTACTCATTAAGTTAGTAGCACCAGTCCTGTAATGAATGGCAAGTACTTAGCACAGCATACAGAAAAGCCATGCTTTTTACTGCAGTCAACTTCTTGCCTTTTCCAGTGATTTAGCTATATTTTTGGATCAGCCATATGTAAGCCTTTCTCTTTTAATATTCCTTTCTCTTTTTTTGAGACAGGGTCTCACTCTGTTGCCCAGGCTAGAGTGGCATGATCATAGCTCACTGCAGCCTCAAACTCCTGGGCTCAAACAATCCTCCTACCTTGGCCTCCCCAAGAGATTACAGGCTGGGTACACCCAGCCAAGCCTTTCTTCCAACAATGAAAACGTGCACATTGGGCACCGTGGCTCACACCTGTAATCCCAGCATTTTGGGAGGCCAAGGAGTGAGCCCAGGAGTTTTGAGACCAGCCTGGGCAACACAAAGAGACCCTCTACTTACGTTTTTTAATAAAAATAATTAAAACAACAATGAAAATATCCGAATGCTGGCTTAAAAAGTTAACCCTCTACTTCTCCATTTATATAGGTTTCCAATCAAGAAAAGGTATCCTAATCTCTCACCTGTCAGACTCTTCAGTCCTTCTGTGAAAAGTGACTGGAATTCGGGAGACTGCAACTTCATTGTGAATAGATACTGCTTCGGAAGGCACAGCCTACTCCACCTACGGTTCAGCACTGGCCTGTGCCAATGATACAGGCACCTCAGCATCTGGAGAGGCAGTCACCAACTACACATCTACAAGGCAAATACACAGGCATACCAATGAAATTAAAAGTGAAGGTAAGTGAAGGAAAACAAAGGGGGACACATTTCAAGTTTATCAACTCAGAAATTCATCTCTTGTTCAGATGAAAAAACTGAAAACGGTGTCAGTTTGAGGGATTACGACTAGGTCTATGTATCTACCTGGTTTTGTTCTCCAGAAGCACTTACTGTGGCAGGCGGGGTCTCACTAGCGCAGGCCTCCATAACTGTTTCAGTACTGACTGACTGGTTGAGTTACATATTAAAAGCTGAAAGAGCCAGCCAGTGCCCTTAAACAAGGCTAGAATGTAACAAAAGCCCCCCAAGAGTTTTGCCTAGGCCTTTCCTGGACCTTGAAGCATGATAAAATAACAAAGGAATTCTTTTTTTTTTTTTTTTTTTTTTTGAGATGGAGTCTCGCTCTGTCGCTCAGGCGGGAGTGCAGTGGCGCGATCTCAGCTCACTGCAACCCCTGCCTCCTGGGTTCAAGAGATTCTCCTGCCTCAGCATCCCAAGTAGCAGGGATTACAGGCGCACACCACCACATCCGGCTAATTTTTTATACTTCTGGGTAGAGACGGGGTTTTACCACGTTGGCCAGACTGCTCTCGAACTCCTGACCTCAAGTGATCTGCCCGCCTCAGCCTCCCAAAGTGCTGGGATTACAGGCGTGAGCCACTGAGCCCGGCCACAAAGGAATTCTTAACAGGACCCGTTTAGAATTAAACAAGTTTTACTGGGGATCTGAGGAAACTCCCCAGGCCTCCACGAACAAGTTTATTAGGGGTCTGAGGGAACTCCCCAAACCTCCATGATTTAGCAGGAGAGAATATAAGGGTAATCACCCCAGCACCTGGACCCATTTAGATTAAGTAAATTTACTCAGGCTCCAGAGGAAGGTCTTCAGGACTCAGATCTTATGGGTAAGAAGTTAATCACTTGTATCTTTAGATCAATGCACACTTACACATAAACATACAACTTACAAGGTATATAAGCTCTGGAAAGCTCTGTAATTCTGAGTCGGTCTGGGATATTTTCCACGCCTTCGCCCCGTACCTGGTTACAGAAATAAACTCCTTTCTTTCCTAGTTTATCTGCATCTCATTATTGGGCAGCGAGAATAAGCAGCCCAACCCTCGGTTTGGTGGTTTGGTCGGGGAGCATTACCACGACACTCGCATGCCACATGGTACTGTGATGACACTCTCCCCAGAGCAGGGCTTCAGGCAGTATGAGAGGGATGCGGGGTTCTAGAAACTCTAACCGAGTTTCTGGTCTCCAAAACTTGTCATGGTCACAGGTGGGTATCACCCTACTTCCCCACCTGCACTCGAGGATTCACGACCCTGGGATAGCTCCTAGACATTGTATTTTCCCATGAATTTAGTTTTGCTGCCCCCATTTTCCTGATTCTTTTCCTGCCATCTTGCAATCTCCTCTGATTTCTGGCACACCGCGGCCTTCCCTTCTACATATCACATCCTCGTTCTCCCCATACGGGGGTCCTGCCCATAAGGAGGCCGCAGCAGCTCTCGAGTGACCCCGGTGTAAACCTGCAGAGAAAAACCATTCCATTCCACGGAAGCGGGTGGAGGAGCCGCGCTTCCCGGCAGGCCACGTGGGGCGGAAAGACCCACTCAGTTTCCTCGCACCTCCGCCTCGACTTAGGAAAACGCTCTGGGGAACCCCAGCCCTGAAAAGGCGCGTCTCACCCCCCACGCCGGGTGCTGGCGACAAGGCCCAGTGAAAAAGCGTCTCGGGGCCGTCCGCGCGGAGGGGAAAGTGCTGAGGGAAGCCAAGGAATCCGCGCCTGCGGTCGCCGGAAACGTGGCGGGGACACGACCTCCGCGTCGGGGCTATTTTGCCCACTGCTGAGGAGGCCTCTCGCCACGTCCCGCTCCCGTCTTCCTCGAGGACCGGGCGCGGTGGCGCCTCTGGCCCACAGCAGGAAGGAAGGGGCAGCAACTCACGCCACCAACTCTGCCCCTCTGAGCGGCGCGCGCCCGCTTACCGGCCCCGCTGTTGCCGCAGCCGCCACCGCCGCCACGCGCACTTCCGGGCTGGTGAACGCGGTGACGTCACCAACGCACATGGGTTGGCGGCGAATGGGAAGTCGCGGCGGGGCGAGGGCGAGTGCGGGGGCGGGGCCCGGACCGAAGGGCTTCCGCCTCCCGTCGCTCCTCCCCACCGTGAGGCGAACCTCAGCCGGTTTCCCAGCCCCGCCGAGGCCCGCTGGGGCGAAGCGGAGCCCCGGGGGGCCCTGAGGAAACCGGCGCGGGTTCGTTTAATTACGCCCTTCTCGCCAGACCTCTGGCTGGCCCTGAGCTGCTCAGAAGCCCATCTGCGCGGCATGCCCGTGCGATCTGAGACAACTGGCAGCTGTCTTCCTTTGCAAAACGAGACTGTTAATAAAACCTACCCCAGGGTAGGACGGACTGTTCGGTAAATGTTAACTTATCCGTGTTTGACTATTCTCTCCTCTAATCTCTGCATAGGGTTAAGTCCACAGTTGACAGAGTCACGCGCATTCGAAATCTAAGCCCGCCGGTCCTATGAACTTACTGGGCATATTTTATTTTCTTACCTGGTTTGTGTAACCATTGGCCTCCTTGGCCCGGAGGCTTCCCATCTGTAACGTGGAGAACTTAGATTTGATCCAGTTCATTAATTCTTTCTAGAGCGGAAAAGAGCAAAGAGAGTGGCAAAGGAGTGGGAATACAGCCGTTGAGCCCTTAAAGTGCGAAAATGTGTAGTTTTTGTTTTGTTTTGTTTTTGAGACGGAGTTTCGCTCTTGTCGCCCAGGCTGGAGTGCGGTGGCGCGATCTGGGCTCGCTGCAACCTCCGCCTTCCGGTTTCAAGCGATGCTCCTGCCTCGGCCTCCCGAGTAGCTGGGATTACAGGTGTCTGCCACCACGCCCGGCTAATTTTTAGTAGAGACGGGGTTTTGCCGTGTTGGCCAACTGGTCTCGAACTCCTGACCTCGTGTTCCCCAGGCCTCGGCCCCCAAAAGTGCCGGGATTACTTTTGCCGGGATTCGGCCACTGCGCCCGGCCGAAAATGTGTAGTCTTTTAAGTGTAACTTTACATCACTTAGCTTTCCCTAAAATTTTCCTAGAAAAATGCTTGTGCATGTTATTTCTGTTCTTTTGCCCTCCCCACATGCCTACCTGTTCTTCCCAAACTTTTCAGCCCCACTCTCTGTAGACTTCCTAAAACGTAAAAAGTAAGATGTGCAATTACCACACCTCTTCAAGGTGTTGAATATCCTGTTTTTGGAAGCACAGGACTGGCTTTCCAAATGGACATTCAGAGGCACAGCATTGATATCATCCGGTGCAAGGATTTTCTGTCTCTCTCTCTCTTTGGGGCAAGGAAAGCCCCAAATCATCCTTTCAGGCTTGTCTGCTATTTCTCACCACCATGACCCTAGACAAACTGGACCAAAGCCTCCATTGCTGTACCCACCTAGAATAGATTCTCCAAATCACCACCTATGAAGGCAACGCTAATACAACTATTATGATGACTTACTTCGTGCCAGTTACTGTGCTGGGCACCCTCAACAATTTCTGGCCTTGTAAATATATAGTTTATATATGCAGGTGTATATACAGTTGTCCTTCCGTATCCATGGGGTATTGGTTCCAGAACATCACCCCAGCCAGTGTTCAAGTTCTTTACATAAAATGGCATAATATTTACATATAGACTATACACATTCTGTAGTACAAATCATTTCTAGATTACTTATAATACCTGATATAAATGCTGTGTAAACAGTTGTTATGCTATATCGCTTCTTTGTGTTTTTTAATTGCTATTTAATTTTTTTTTTTTTTTTTGAGATGGAGTTTCACTCTGGCGCCCAGGCTGGAGTGCAGTGGCACGATCTCAGCTCACTGCAACCTCTGCTTTCCAGGTTCAAGCGATTCTCCTGCCTCATCCTCCCAAGTAGCTGGGATTACAGGCACCCGCCTCCACGCCCGGCTAATTTTTGTATTTTTAGTAGAGACGGGGTTTCACCATGTTGGCCAGGCTGGTCTTGAACTGCTGACCTCAGGTGACCCACCCACCTAGGCCTCCCGAAGTGCTGGGATTACAGACGTGCGCCATGGTGCCCCAGCCTTATTTAATATTTTGACCTGTGGCTGGTTGAATCCACTGATGGAGAACCCATGGCCATGGAAGGTCAACTGGAGAGAGAGAGAGAGAGAGAGAGAGGAGAAAGAGAGAGAGTAAGAGAATTCCTCCTGTACTGGCCAAGACAATAAAACAAAAATAGGGGTATTACTACAGATCATGTAGATATATATGAGGAGGTATTATAAACAATTTTATGCCAATTAATTTGACAATGTAGATGCAACGCACCAATTCTATAAAAAAGACAATTTATCAGAACTGAAATAGGGTAGAATTTAAAAATCTGAATAGCTTTTCATTTTTAAAGAAATTGAATTGTTGTTCAACAGACTTCTCACAAAGATAATTCCAGGCCCAGATGGTTTCAGTGGTCAAATTTATCAAACGCATAAGGAAGGAAGAACTCCAGTCTTGTGCAAAGTTTGTTTAGAAAATAGAGGAGGAAACAGTTTTCCTCTCATTTTGAGGCCAGCATAACCCGCATAACATAAAATCAACACTACAAAAAAATTAATATACAGCTTAATATACCACATGACCATAGAAACAAAAACAACTTTAATAAAATGTTAGGAAATTGAATCCAACAGTATATAGAAAGATAATACATCATGATCAATTTGGGTTTGTCCCCAGTGCAAGGAATGCAAGTTGTATTTAATGATCTAAAACCAATCAACGTAATTCACCATATTAACTGAAAAAGAAAAACTGTTGTCATCACAATAGATGCAGAAAGACCACTTAAAATTCAATCCCTACTCATAAAAACTGCCAAAAAAATTAGAAGGGACTTCCTCAATATAGTAAAGGTCATTCATGAAAAATCCATAGCCAATATCAGACTTAGTGGTAATATATTGAACACTCTCCCCCTTATATCAGGAAGAAGGCAAGGATGCCTCATCTTACCACTTCTTAACATTTGTCTGTAGTTTATAACCATTAACAAAGCAAGAAAAAGATATGGAAAGTGTAACAATTCAAAAGGAAGTAAAATTGTCCCTATTTTCAGATGACATGATGGTGGTTTATACAGAAATCATAGGAACTGACAAAACTACTACTAGAACTAACAAGTAAATTTAGGAAGGTCTCAGGATACCAGGTTAATATACATAAATCAATTCTATTTTTATATATTATCAGCAAAAATATAGTACATAAAAATATATATCACATATGAAGAAATAAGCGTAATAAGAGAAGCTATATGGTTAGCAACCAAACATATATAAAGATACTCATCAATCGCTAAGAGGCCAGATATGGTGGCCCTTGCCTGTAATCCCAGCACTTTGGGAGGTTAAGGTGGGAGGATCATTTGAGCCCAGGAGTTTGAGCCCAGCCTGGGCAATATAATGAGACCCTTTCTCTATAATTTATTTTTTAATAGCCGGGGTTGCTGTTGCGTGCCTGTATTCCCAGTTACTCAGGAGGCTGAAGTGGGAGAAACACTTTGAGCCCAGGAGGTCCAGGCTGCATTGAGCTGTGATTGCACCACTGCATTCCAGCCTGGACAACAGAGTGAGACATTGTCTAAAATATTATATATATATATATATAAAATCACTAGGGAAATACAAATTATACAACAATGAGATACCTTTTTGTTTTTTTAAGACGGAGTCTCACTCTTTCCCCTAGGCTGGAGTGCAATGGCATAGTCTCGGCCTACTGCAACCTATGCCTGCCAGGTTCAAGCAGTCTGCTGCCTGAGCCTTCTGAGTAGCTGGGATTACAGGCACGTGCCACCACACCTGGCTAATTTTTGTATTTTTAGTAGAGATGGGGTTTCACTATATTGGCCAGGCTGGTCTTGAACTTCTGACCTTGTGATCTGCCGCCTCAGCCTCCCAAAGTGCTGGGATTACAGGCACGAGCCACCACGCCTGGCCAACAATGAGATACCTTTACATACCCATTAGAATGTCTAAAATTGAAACACCTGGAAATATCAAATGCTGATGAGAATGAAGAGCAACTGCAACTCTCATACACCGTGGGTGGGAATACAAACTGGCCCAGCCACTTTGGTAAACAGTTTACTGGTGTCTGATAAGACTAGCTATACATATAGCTTATGGCCCAGCAGTCCCACTCCTAGATATTTACCTGAGAGAAATAAAAACTTATGTTCACACTAAAACGTGTATGTGAGTGGTGTAGTCACTTTATTTATAATTATTCCAAACTGGAAATAACCCAGATTTCTTCCAGCAGATGAATGGATAAGCAACCTGGAGCATATCCATACAATGGAATACTACTGAGCAAGATGAAAGAACAAACTGCTGATACACACAGCAACACATCTGACTCTCAAGTGAAGAAAGCCCCTTTCAAGAGGCTGCATATAATAGACTCCATTCATATGACATCCAGAAAAGGCAAAACTATAGGTCGGGCACAGTGGCTCACGCCTGTAATCCCAGCACTTTGGGAGGCCGAGGTGGGCAGATCACGAGGCCAGGAGTTCAAGACCAGCCTGGCCAACATGGTGAAAACCCATCTCTATGAAAAATACAAAAATTAGCTGGGCGTGGTGGTGGGCACCTATAATCCCAGCTACTCGGGAGGCTGAGGCAGGAGAATCAATTGAACCAGGGAGGCAGGGGTTGCAATGAGCTGAGATGACACCATTGCACTCCAGCCTGGGCAACAGGGCAAGGATCCATCTCAAAAAAAAAAAAAGGCAAAACTGTAGAGAGAAAAAATGATCAGTTCTTGCCAGGGGGCTCAAGATGGGATGAGGTATTTACTACGAAAGCGCATGAGAGAATTTTGAGGGGAGAGAAAGGTGATAGATTTGTTCTATGTTTTGATTATAGTGGTGATTAAATAACTCTGTATTTGCCATAATGCATAGAACAGTATTGTATTAGTCCATTCTCACACTGCTATAAAGAAATACTTGCGACTGGGTAATTTATAAAGAAAAGAGGTTTAAGGCCAGGTGCGGTGGCTCAAGCCTGTAATCCCAGCACTTTGGGAGGCCGAGGCGGGTGGATCACGAGGTCAGGAGATCGAGACCATCTTGGCTAACACGGTGAAACCCCGTCTCTACTAAAAATACAAAAAAATAGTCGGGTGTGGTGGCGGGCGCCTGTAATCGCAGCTGCTCGGGAGGCTGAGGCAGGAGAATGGGGTGAACCCGGGAGGCGGAGTTTGCAGTGAGCCGAGATCGCCGAGATCGCGCCACTGCACTCCAGCCTGGGTGACAGAGCAACACTCCGTCTCAAAAAAAAAAAAAAAAGAGGTTTAATTGGCTCATGGTTCGTTCGGTCGGCTCATGGTTGGGGACGCCTCAGGAAACTTGCAGACATGGTGGAAGGTGAAGGGGAAGTAGGCTCCTCTTACATGGCCAGAGTGGGAAAAAGGAGTGGTGGGGAGGTACTGCACACTTTTAAATTGCCAGATCTCACTGCAACTCACTATGAGAAGAACAGCACTGATGGGGAAATCCACCCCCATGATCCAGTCACTTCCCACCAGGCCCCACCTCCAATATTGGAGATTACAATTTGATGAGAGATTTGAATGGGGACACACACCCAAACCATACCAAGTACATTTAAAAGGTAAACTTTCCTGCTTATAAATTATACCTCAATAAGCCTCCCCCCAAAAGTAATTACATTTTTATATATTAGCAAAAAAAATTAAGAACATGAAAATTCAATTATTGAAGTATGTACCTATGAAAGCAGGACAGAACTTTGAGGTCATTAAACTAAAGGGTGAAAGAACTCTGGACAGAATGCCCAGTTCAACCCCTTAGGACATGGTGAAGACAACCAAAGCGGTCTCAAACTCCTCTCTCCCACACAAGACGTTTTCTATTATCTCTTAATATAGACCCATCCTAAAGGAAATAAAACTTTATCTGCAAAGGAACTGACATTTACTGCACAGAAATCCTACTGGAAATATTCTCTCTCTGTAGAACATACCCAAAAGTAAATACCATAGACAGGGAGTGCTGTTAGCATCTGGCAAGTTTATACCTTTCTGTGGAAACACCACAGTCATGAATATTACTCTTCAGTTAGAAGGCTACACATTATTAAATAAATTCAGGAGGCCAGGAGTGGTGGCTCAATTTGGGAGGCTGAGACATGCAGATCACTTGAGGCCAGGAGTTTGAGACCAGCCTGGCCAACTTGGTGAAACTCTGTTTCTACTAAAAAAAAGAATAATAATACAAAAACTATCTGGGCCTGATGGCACATGACTGAAATCCCAGCTACTCGGGAGGCTGAAGCAAGAGAGTCGCTCAAACGTGGGAGGTGGAGGTTGCAGTGAGCCAAGATCCCACCACTGCACTCCAGCCTGGGCAATAGAGTGAGACTCTGTCTCAAAAAAAAAAAAAAAAAATCAGAAAAGTAAGATAAGAACAGCTTAGAAGTATATATCAATATTTCTTAGATACACCAATGTTAGGTCTGAACACTGGTTCGAGTGTCCTTCAGTGCTTACTAGAGATGCCCTCAAGAGTTTAGCAATTGCCTCAAAGAGCTTCCATCTTTCTTCATAGTAAACCAGATCTTAGATCCGTTCTTTGTACATCTAGTAGCCAAAATGTGGCTCCCCAGTGTTCAATTGTCTCTTGGCTTATCTAAATTTTGACTATGTGTCTGTGACACTGATTCATTCTGCACACTAGAGAGAGAAGCAATGGTACACACAGAGAAGTTGTGAATGTAACATTACTTCCATTCATTTATGCATTCATTCATTCACCAGAGGTTTCAGTGCTCACAATTTGCCAGTGGCATGGGTAATACAGTAAGAATAAGGCTACCTACCAATGGTATTGTGTTTAGAATAGTGCCAGGCATTTTATTTTGATTAATTTGTTTAATCTTCACAAACATCCAATTAGGTACTGTATAGAAGAGGAAACTGAGGCATAGAGAGGTTTATTTGTCTAAGGTCCTACAGAGAGTAAGTGGCACAAGCAGAATTTGGAGCCAGATATTCTGCCTCAAAACCACCATTGAACACTGATAAGGCTGGAGAAGACGGCAGGGACTAGAGCATGCAGTGCTGGGTGCTTCTCGGGATGACATCTGGATTTAATTTTAATGGCAATAGCAAGATATTAAAGGTTTTTCAAAGCAGGGGTTTTCATAAACCTATCTGTGGTTTCCTGCCATCAGGCAGACTGCAGCATGAAAATGGGTTGGAGAGCCCAAGCAAGAGGCTGGGGCAGTTATGCCCAGGAGGGTGGGCCAGCACGTTGCCACAGTGGGGAAGAGAACTGAGTGAATGCTAGAGTCAAACTGGAAGGCGGTGAGGGTGGAGTGGAATGAGACATGAGGAAAGACCCCTGCATTCATTTCCTATGGCTGCTGTGACAAATTACCACAGACTTCAAGGCTTAAAACCACATTGGTGTATCATCTCACAGTCCTGGAGGTCAGAAGTCTAAAATGGGTCCACAGGGCTGCCTACCACAACCTCCGAGCCTGTGCTTTAGTAACTTAGTGGATGAAAAGATAACAGGACTATCAAGGAAAATGATGTCACAAAGAATTGATGGCTCGACTTAGCATTAACTGCATCAGCCTCAATGCTGAATACTCTTTCTATTCCCCCCAGCCCCACCCACCTTTCTGGGTTTTAGGCAGGTAGTTCAATTTCATTTATTCATTTAATTTTTTATTTTACTTTTTTTTTTTTTTAAGATGGAGTTTCACTCTGTCGCCCAGGCTGGAGTGCAGTGGTGCAATCTCAGCTCACTGCAAACTCTGCCTCCCGAGTTTAAGCGTTTCTCCTGCATCAGCCTCCAGAGTAGCTGGAATTACAGGTGCCCACCAACACGCCCCACTAATTTTTGTATTTTTAGTAGAGACGAGGTTTCACCATGTTGGCCAGGCTGGTCTGCAACTACTGACCTCAGGTGATCCGCCTGCCTCAGCCTCCCAAAGTGCTGGGATTACAGGCATGAGCCACAGGTAGTTCGATTTCAAATGAAAACCCACAGCCGAGTAGAGGTAGACCCATCAAATAGCAGGGTGAGACCTTACTGATGGAGTTCGCCACTGCCCACCAGCAATTACTCTAGGACTGTCCCCTCCACATCAGCCTTCCCTAACATATCACTGTTCCCAGTGCACTTATATTTTAAAATAGGACAGAGAAGGAAGAATAATGCTTTCCATAAAAATAGGAATTAGGCTGGGTGCAGTGGCTCACACCTGCAATCCCAGCACTTTGGGAGGCCAAAGTTGGAGGATCACTTGAGCTAAGGAATTAGAGACCAGCACCAGGAACATGGCCAGACCTTGTCTCTACTAAAAATAGATTTTTTTAAAAAAAGCAGCGAAGTGCGGTGGCACAAGCCTGTAGTCCCAGCTCCTTGGGAGGCTAAGGTGGGAGGGTCACTTGAGCCCAGGAGATTGAGGCCGCAGTGAGCCATGATTGTACTACTGCACTCCAGCCTCAGCAACCTAGCAAGATTCCAACTCAAAAATAAATAAAAAAGGACAGTGAAGGGAAAATAATGCTTTCCATAAAAATATGGGTTAGGCTGGGCACAGTGGCTCACACCTGTAATCCTAGCATTTAAGGAGGCTGAAGCAGGAGGATCATTTGAGCCCAGGAGTTTGAGACTAACCTGGGTAACATAGTGTAACTCTGTCTCTGCAAAAAACTTAAATTATAGCACTTTAGGCCTCCTGGGGAAGATATTTGAGGCAATATTTAGACAAGTCAGAAAAAACATAAATATGACCTAATTTTAATATTGTGCAATTTATTCACACCCCTCCCCACCCTCACTTTTCATTGTAAGTGACACTGAGTAATTTGTTTAAAAGAACAAGTTCTGTTTCAAGAATGTATTCTTTCTTTGAAACAACCAAAAGTACCTGTTTGGGGAAAAAGTCATTTGCTAGTTTTGTTCTCATAAAAGTTTAATAGAAGGCAACTAAAGTTTAAGATCTCCCAGAGGACAAATAAAGATATTTCTCAGCAAATGTAGAATCGCAATTTTCATTGGTGCTGGGGGATTTTACACACAAATGCAATTTTATTTTACTTTTAAAAGAGGTAAGTAAATAGACAAATCAATTTTAGCTGCTCTGAAATGTCATACCGGGTCATTAATTTTAAAAGATGAGACTTCAATAATAGTTAAAAGAACAAAGGCCCAAGGGTAAAGACTGAGAATAATCACCTTCAAAATTCTGAATTATCAGCAGCCTCAGATCAGAATCAAGAGGAGCCTAATTCAGTTTCCTTGTGATGTTCTCCATTGCATTTTTTACCTTCAAAATATAGGTTCAAATGGAATTCCCTTTTACAAAAACAGAAACCCTCTTTCCTTAAAGCACGAGGACCTCCTCTGTGTGCTGGATACTAGGATGAATTCTGGCAAAACCAAGCTCGATAAAATAAAGACCTATTGTCTAATCTACATTCAGATCGGAGGTATGAGACTTGCACCTGGCCATCTCTGTGGTGGAGACAGAGATATAAACATAATATTTGGTATGATATAAAATTTAAATGAGGCCAGGCATGGTGGCTCATGCCTGTAATCTCAGCACTTTGGGAGGCCAACGCGGGTTTATCACTTGAGCTTAGGAGTTCGAGACCAGCCTGGGCAATATGACGAAATCTTCTCTCTACAAAAAATACAAAAATTATCCTGGCATGGTGGTGTGCGCTTGTAGTCGTAACTACTTGGAGGGCTGAAGCAGGAGAATCGCTTGAGTGCAGGAGTTCGAACTGCAGTGAGTCATGATTGCACCGCTGCACTCCAGCCTGGGAGACAGAGTGAGACCCTCAAAAAAATTACATATTTTATATATATAACATATATATATAAATATATATATATAACATATATATATAAATATATATATATAACATATATATATATATAATGTTAAATAGACAAATACAAGCAGCAGTTTAATGCACACTTGAGGGAAAGACAAGAGAGAGAGTGATCTTCCCAAATAACATCACATTCAGACTTATTCTGAAATAATCAGGAGTTTCTCAAGAGGAACTCCACACTCACCACCATCAAATCAGACAGTCCAAGTTAAACAATTGTACTGTTTTGTGAAAATAATAATTATGACAATCATGGAATTAAGGTTTTGACATTCTAGGCAATGTGAATTTGGAGAGCATCACAAAGAGTCTGTGCTATGTAAATTCTCTAAGCCTCAGTATACTCATCTGTAAAAGAGGTTTATAGAGCTGTGATGTGATCGTGTGTATAAGGCAACTGACAGTCCCAGGAACATGGTAGCTTCTCTTTTGACTGAAATGGGACATTAATCTACATTAACAACATAAGTTTAGCCCAGGTGTGGTGGCTCATGCCTGTAATCCCAGCACTTTGGGAGGCCGAGGTGGGCAGACCACCTGAGGTCAGGAGTTCGAGAGCAGCCTTGCCAACATGGCGAAACCCCATCTGTACTAAAAAATACAAAAAAAAAAAATAGCCGGGCGTAGTGGCGCACACCTGTAGTCCTGGCTACTCAGGAGGCTGAGGCAGGAGAATAGCTTGAACTCAGAAGGCAGAAGTTGCAGTGAGCCTAGATCGTACCACTGCACTCCAGCCTGGGTGACAGAAAGAGACTCCATCTCAAAATAATAATAATAATAATAAGAAGAAGAAGTTTAATTGTGTAGTTTTTGCTATTGTTTTTACACATTCTGGTTGATTTCCTGTATCTGGTTTTCAGAGCAAAGAACTGGTCTCTGACTAAAGAACTGAAAAAAGGACTAAAGAACTGAAAAAAGCTTAAGCTACTGAAATTCTTTACTGAATAAAGATATGCTTTTAATTTTAGCTACATGGGATAACTCAACAGATTGATTTTACACTAGAATTTTTCTAACGATTACCCAGAATTCTGTTTCAATCCTTTGAGGGTATCTAATCCTGCTAGGGTATTTTTTAATGACAGTTTTATTGAGATATAACTTACATATCATAAAATTCACCTATTCAAAGCGTACAAGTCAATGGTTGTAATATATTCACAGAGTTGGAAACCATCAATACAATCAATTTAAAATATTTGTGTTATCCCAGAAGAAAATCTCATACCCATTAGCAGTAACTTCTTATTTTTCCCAAACTCCCTCCATCCCCCGGCAGCCCTAGGCAACCATGAATCTATTTTCTATCTCTATAGATTTGCTTATCCTGGACATTTCATATAAGTGGAATCATGCAGTGTGTGATCTTTTGTGACTGACTTCTTTTACTTAGCTTCATGTGTTCAAGGTTCATCCATGTTGTAGTATCAGTGCTTCTTTTGATGGCTGAATAATATTTCACGGCATGGATATACCACATATTCTTTATCCATTCATCAGTTGCTGGACATTTGGGCTGTTTTCACTCTTTGGCCATTATAACTAATTCTTCTGTGAATATTCACATATAAATTTTTATGTAGACACATGATTTTAACTCTCTTGGGTGGGTATTTGCCTAGGAATGCAATTACTCAGTCGTATGGGAACTCCACATTTAACCTTTTGACGAACTGCCAGGCTGTTTTCCAAATTGGCCACCTCACTTTACCTCCCCAGCAACAGTATGTGAGGGTTCCAGTGTTTCCACATCTTCATCAACAGTTGTTATTGTCCTTTTCATTTCAGCCATTGGAGTGGGTGTGAAGAGGTATCTCAGTGTGGTTTTCATTTGCATTTCCAATAGCTAATGATATGGAGCAGATGTTCCTAGGCACCTTTGCTGTTGGTACATCTTCTCTGGAGATATGTCTGTTCAAATTCTTTATCCCATGCTTAAACTGGGTTATTTTACTTTTTTCTTTCTATCTTTCTTTCGTTTTTTGAGAAAGGTCTTGCTCTGTCACCCAGACTGGAGTACAGTGGCACGAACACGACTCACCAGAGCCTCAAACTCCTGGGCTCAAGCTATCCTCCCACCTCAACCTCCCAAAGTGCTGGTATTACAGGCTAAAGTGGGTTATTTTTCTTTTTATTGTTTGGTTTTAAGAGTTTTTGACATATTCTAAATAAAAGTTCCTTGTCAGATATGTCTTTGCAAATATTTTTCCCATGCTGTGGCTTGTCTTTTCACTTCCTTGTATTTTATTTTATTTTATTTCAGACAGAGTCTTGCTCTGTTGACCAGGCTGGAGTGCAGTGGCACGATCTCAGCTCACTGCAACCTTCGCCTCCCGAGTTCAAGCCATTCTCCTGTCTCAGCCTTTGAGTAGCTGGGATTACAGGCACCTGCCACCACACCTGGCTAATTTTTGTGTTTTTTAGTAGAGACAGGGTTTCACCATGCTGGTCAGGCTGGTCTTAAACTCCTGACCTCAGGTGATCTGCCTACCTTGGCTTCCCAAAGTGCTGGGATTAGAGACGTGAGCCACTGCATCCGGTCTTTTTTCACTTTCTTCATGGTATCCTTTGAAGCACAAAAGCTTTTAATTTTGGTGAAATCCAGTTTATCTATTTTTTTCTTTTGTTGTGTCTGCTTTTGTATCTTATTGAAGAAACCATTGGGTAGGTGCGGCGGCTCATGCCTGTAATCCCAGCTCTTTGGGAGGCCAAGGTGGGTGGATCACCTGAGATCAGGAGTTCGAGACCAGCCTGGCCAACATGGCAAAACCCCATCTCTAGTAAAAATATAAAACTTAGCCGGGTGTGGTGGCACACGCCTGTAATCCCAACTTCTCGGGAGGCTGAGGCAGGAGAATCGCATGAATCCAGGAGGCAGGGGAGTTGGCAGTGAGCTGAGATCATACCACTGCACTCCAGCCTAGGCGACAGAGTAAGATTCTGTCTCAAAAAAAAAAAAAAAAAAAAAGAAAGAAACAAAATGAAGGTCATGAAGATTTATGCCTATGTTTTCTTCTAAGAATTTTATAGTTTTGCCTCTTACTTTTAGGTCTTTGATCCCATTGGAATTCATTTTTGTCTATGCTGCGAGGCATTCTTTTGCATGTGGATATGCACCACTTATTGAAAGGCTGATCTTTTCCCCGCTGAATTGTCTTGACACTCTTGTCAAAAATCAATTGACCCTAAATGCGAGAGTTTATTTTTGACTCTCAATTCTATTAAATTGATCTGTATGTCTCTAATATTTTTTAAAATAACTTTTTCTGCCTGCATTTGTACAGAATAAAACGTTTGTAAATATAGAAACACAGAATAAAAGTAAGAGAAACACTAACCCTGCCGTGGTAGAATGAACTGTTGGTCCCATTTCTTCACTCCCCACTAGGAGTTGTCCATGTCCACATCCTTATCATGGCCTTATCATGGTGGAATGTACTTTGGGCTTCGTCCATTTGACTCCGGGCTTGGCCATGCAATTTGCTCAGCCTCTTGAGATGTCAGGGAATGTGACATGAGCAGATGCTTGATGCGTGCTTGTGCAGTTGGTCCTGCTCTCTTGCACTTTTGCTGTCACCATAAAAAGATTATGCCCTGGGTAGCCACTGGTTCCAAATGAATGGCAGATACTTGGAACAAATCTGAACTCACTTTGTGATCTGGATCCCAGCCCAAGATTAAGCAGACCCCAGTCAAAACTCAGACACATGGGCTACAAATACATGCCTATCACAGTTTACCACTGAGGGTTCTGTGGTTGCTTGTTCTGTAGCAATAGCTGACTAATACACCTACCACTTAGAGATAACTATTCCTGTTAGTCTGATCTTCTGACCAAAAATAAGACTGTAAAAAAAAATTACATGTGTGTATACCCTCCTGTTGTTTTTACTTAACATTTTTTCATAATACCCTATGTTATTAAAAGTTCTTGATTGGCTCATACCTGTAATCCCAGCACTTTGGGAGGCCAAGGTGGGAGGATCACAAGCCAGGAGTTTGAGACCACCCTGGCCAACATGGTGAAACCCTCTCCCTACTAAAAATACAAAAATTATCTGGCATGGTGGCACATGCCTGCAATCCCAGCTACTCCGGGGGCTAAGGCACGAGAATCACTTGAACCCAGGAGGCAGAGACTGCAGTGAGCCGAGATCCTGCCACTGCACTCCAGCCTGGGTGACAGGGCACCACCCTGTCTCAAAAGAAAAAAAAAAGTTATTGATAAACATTCCTTTTGACATCCACATCACATATTTCAACCTTGAGCAGTTACATATTTCTCTTCACCATTCCTATAGTACTTTTACTATTTTACTATTGTAAAGGTACAATGAATTTTGCTCTCTTTTGTATAAATCTTGATCTACATTTTTCCATTATTTCCATGGAATCAAGTTCTAGAAGTTGATACCTTTAATAAGCTCCTTTAACCAAAGTTCATGGTAGAGCCACTGAACCATGATTTTCGTTTTATTACTATTCATATTTCTATTTGGCTAAACTCACATTGTTTTGCTTAAAGGATGCAGACACATTTAATTTCACTTTTTAAAAAAACGACTTTTGTGAATTCTTCCAGCATGTTCTATCATACTGTCTTTGGACGTTTACACTTTATTATAAAGAATTAAATTATTGCCATAAAAAACCAAACAGGCCTCGCTCAGTGGCTCACGTCTGTAATCCCAGCACTTTGGGAGGCCGAGGTGGGTGGATCACCTGTCAGGAGTTCAAGACCAGACTGACCAGCGTGGTGAAACCCCATCTCTACTAAAAATACAAAAAAATTAGCTGGGTGTGGTGGCGGGGGCCTGTAATCCCAGCTACTCAGGAGGCTGAGGCAGGAGAATCGGTTGAACCCGGGAGGTGGAGGTTGTGGTGAGCTGAGATCGCGCCATTGCACTCCAGCCTAGGCAACAAGACTGAAATTCCATCTCAAAACAAACAAACAACCCCCCCGCAACCCCCCGCCAGAAAAAAAAAAAGTCCCTGCCTCTCATTTTTTCGTTTGTGCTTATACAGAAACATAGAGACAGTGTTTCTGTATGAGCATGTGTTTGCTTTGTTTGTTTGTTTGTTTTTATTGGCGTAGTTAATTAAAGATCATATACCCAGGAAGGTGGTATGGAAGGAGCAGCCAGATCTAATTTTCTTTATACCCTTCACCGCGCCTAGCATAGTGCATAGGTGCATTCAATGAATATTTGAGTAAATGAATGTAAGAAATATACAGACCATTGGCTGAGTGTGGTGGCTCACACCTGTAATCCCAGAACTTTAAGAGGCCAAGGCGGGTGCATCACTTGAGGTCAGGAATTTGAGACAAGCCTGGCCAACATGGTGAAACCCCATCTCTACCAAAAATACAAAAAATTAGCCAGGCGTGGTGGCGGGTGCCTGTAATCCCAACTACTCGGGAGGCTGAGGCAAGAGAATCGCTTGAACCTGGGAGGCAGAGGTTGCAGTGAGCAGAGATTGCGCCACTGCACTCCAGCCTGGGCGACAGAGTGAGACTTCATCTCAAAAAATATACATATATATATACGGAGAGAGGCCATTAAAGCAGGCTTTTAAGCCAGAAATTACTGTCTTCCCAATGATTAATAAGTATTTTTAAGGTTTCATTAGTGACAAATATGTTACATGTATAAACAGATGGGCAGGACTTAAAAGAGTAGGCCAGATAGTTGATACTATATCTAAACTTTTCTGGGTGCCTCTTAGCAAATAAATGGATCTCTCTCTGTTCCTTGTTTTACTTCCCCTTTCCCCGAGGAAAATCACATTTTTCAGGTCTGACAACAATTTTCAACCTGATAACAATTGCTCCGGTTTCATTTTGGCAACTGCTAAAATGGTCACCTTGGGAACCCCAGGCACACACGCTGACTGTACTTGCACAGCTTCTACACTGAGCCTTTTGGAAATTGCCTCCAGGAAGCCTGTCTCTCATCTCACAAACAGAACCACTGATCCAACCTGGGCCACCATCTTTCTGCATCTGCTCTGTCTGAGACTCTCCCAGTCAGCTCCTAAGGAGACAGGGAATCCTGCATCACTCATCGCTTAGGCTAGACTGAAGGTCTCCTTCCAAAGGCAACTACTTACTACTCTCTGCCGTGGGTCATACAATAAGCACTACTCTTATCTATTCACACGCTAAGCTACTTTTTTAAAGCCAGCTTTGCTAGCTAGCCACCTCGAAATTCCCCAGAAGGAATCAAACAGAAATGGAACAAAGGACAGGAAAAGCCAAGGAGGTTTGCTGAAATTGAAGCATTCTGAAGACAGCTGGGTGGTAAAATGGATGTGACGTGAGGAAGGTGGTCTTGGGTGCACCCACAGACCAACACTGCCATTGTTACAATTTGTGTAGGATGATCTCAGGTGACAGACAGCAGCAATTTATCACACCCAGAAACGCATCCCCCACACATATTTACTTGAGGGTACCAGACCTGCTCACAAAGCAGAGAAGAGCTAAGGCGGTTCTCTAAGGGCAGAGAATTGCTGCTATTGCCTAGTGAGTGGGGAGAGGGTACTCCTCAGGCCTTACTTCCTATCAAATCATGTGTCAGTGTTGCCTAGGAGACAGAGGCACAGTAACTACTGTAGCCAAACAAGGCACATAAACAAAACAGAAATGCAACGCTTTAGAGTACCCACGGAAAACTTGTTTACCTTGTCACCATGAGTAAAAGTTAATTCCCACTCCTGAAGAGAGCAAACCAACTCTGAAAGAGAGTGAAAATGCAGACAAGACAGTTATCAGATAATGGCTATCTGGACGAGAGATTCTTTCGTTTGACAGCAGTTTGGTTGTTGGGAGTTCCAGTTCAGCTCCTGCACAGTTGCTCTGTACAAATCCTCCTCCATATTTGCTTAGAGAAAACGTGTTGCCATCCCATCATGAAGGAAGCTGCCTGAGAGTTTTTAACCATTACAGCCGTGATGATGAAAGAGTGAAGAACCGCCTCTAAGTTAAAAAGTGCACCCAGAGATAAGGTTCGTTCTCAATGCCCTGCCGCTGCTTCTCATCGCATGGCCACCGCATTTCTCAGTAAGTGGGAATCAAATGCTTCACTCACCACAGAGTAAGCAAATAAATATCTTTTTTCTATGACATGGGCTGTAACAATACCCTGTGCTCCACCTCCTAATAATTTCACTACACCCAGGGTGGGGAGGAGGGTTAGGAAAAGCAAGAAACAATGACTTCTAAATATATGACAAACTTGTAAACAACAAAAAGGGGAAACAAAACTCCTTATAATTCTATTATTATTAGCAGGGACAGAACTAATAATGGTCCCATTAAACTTGCATCATTAGGCAGGTCATGTTGATTCTGGGTATAACCTTCTATTCTTGTGTTTTGGCTCAGTAAGTGAGATGTGCAAATCCGTGGCAAGGTGAGTCATATGAAAACAACACCTATGGTTTTGTTAGTGCTTACATCAATATAAGACATCTGTTTTCCACCGCTCCAGATAATTATGCAATTAAAATGAGAACATATATTCTGCCAAGATTTCTTAGAAAATAAATGAGCTTCCAAAATAGGGTATAGGGTTTAATAAAATATCTCAGGAAGTTTCAGAGTTAAGCAAGAAATCTACAAATAAAGAAACAACAACAAAAAGTAGAGAGAGGCACTTTATCTAACTGAAGGAGGCGTTCTGCTTTTTCTTTCTGGTAGGGGTTCTTGGATTTCCAAGATTGTTTCATTGTATATAAAATGTACCCAAATTTGCTGAAATATGTCACTTGGTTTTGTGTTCACTAATGTATTTACCTAAAGCAAGGTAAGCATATTTCCATGTAGACAGAAAAAAGGATGAAATGGAACCAAAAAAAAGGGGGAAAAAGGAGAGACAGAGCGAGAATATTTTAATACCCTTGAGCCTAAAATTAATAAACACATGAAAAGTGATGGTGCTTTTATAGCCATGTGAATAATGTACTTAGTACTTGCTTTAATGAATTACCATACTGAACATTTTATTACCTGGCATGATTTCTATTTTAAGTGAATATGTCCTCTTTCATGGTTATCGAAAAAGGAATTTATGTAGCTATTTGTTAAAAGTTTGCATTTCAAAGCAAAATAAAGTTTTAGAAGTTAAATCACCTCATTTGTTTATATTATTTGAAACACCGCATGGGAAATTTTTAGGCAAAATACCAAAAGTGGGCCAGGCTTGTTACACACTCCCCAGCCTGCTGCTCTCCTGACCTAACTCATTCCTCTGTTAGGTTTCACCGCACATTGCACATTAGGGCTGTGCACTAATTTGCTTCTATTCCACACAGGGCCAGGCACATTGAGCATTGGTCCTGTGCCTGACGCTATGCTAGATGCTGGGGTTGCAGCCACGAGCATAGACACG
Organism: Homo sapiens; assembly: GCF_000001405.40. Classification (NCBI taxonomy): domain Eukaryota; kingdom Metazoa; phylum Chordata; class Mammalia; order Primates; family Hominidae; genus Homo; species Homo sapiens. Next base: position 3,108,614 of record NC_000003.12, on the reverse strand, counting down.
ACAGACACGGTCCTCGCCATCTTCTGTTGAGTACTGGTCGGAACAAGAGGATCGTCTGTAGACAGGTACGCCCAGGAGCATGGATGTGAGATGACAAATTGCACCATGTGCAATTGGCAGGAAATATTTTGCTACTGGGATATTTGTAGCAAACTCTTTCTTCTATTTTTCCAAATACTCAAGGTGGCAACACCATTTCCACTTGGACTGACAGAGAGTTTTATGTTTACAGCCACAACCTGAACTCATGAGTTCTATTTTAGGACTATTTCAGAAATTTAATCAAAAGTACAGTAGTAGTAAAAAAAAATTGCATGCATGATAAGTGGTCCTTATTATTCATTTATATATTTAGGAATGTGCAGTTTTTCATTGGGGGGTAATGCAATATACCTAGGTAAACATGTCTTTTGCAGTTTATACCTTGGTTTATTCTTCATCCCCCAAGAGATAACTTTTATTGCTGATTATACTGTACAGGATAAAAGAGAAAGTAAACTCTTCATATTTAAAAGCCTACCAGAGCATGAATCCTCTCAGTTGCTTTACAATTTCTGCCACTAAGGTTGAGTCTGGAATTAGGTGTTACCACAGTTGACTCAAAAAGGTTTTAAAAACAGGGGTGCCAGTATAACTTTGGTTATAAAACGAACGCCCCAGGCAGAAAAATAAGTTGGGAAAAAAAAGAGGGGAAAATATTTGTAAGTCTGAACTTCAGTAGAATTTGACCAGTTCTCAAGAACGCTGGGGAAATCCACTGCTAATTGTCAAAATTTTACCAAACTTCCTAGAAACACCTATAGGGAAGGAGACTGTGGTTGTTTTCTCCAAAATTTCAAAAAATGTAACACCTATCAGAAACTAGATTTTTAGAGAGCACTTGAGGAATTTTAGATTGACTCAATGAAATGTTATATGAGCAAGTAGATCATGAGATCATGATTTCTCTTAAAGATTGAGCATGTCTTCCTGGTGATAGATAAACAACCTATAGTTGCTTCATTCTGCTTAGTTTGCATCTTATTTTAACAATTTAATGGTTTTCTGCTAGATTTTAATTGGTAGCCATGAGAAGAATGAGTCGAACATATTGTCGATATATATGTTTAAGCTAATGAAGTCGCTCTATTCTTTTATAGTGAAATATGACCCAGTTGACATCTACATAACAGTGTATCTTTGGATTAAAGAAATGGCCTGAAGAGATTTGTTGTTGCTGTTGTTGTTGTTGTTTTAAGCAGGGACAAGAAGTATTAAGGGGCCACAGAGAGTGAGCAGAATTGTAGAAAACATGGTATCAAATCCTGAAGCTCTAGTACTATTCAACCTTATGTAAAATTTATCTGACTCACAAAAAAAAAAAAATGTCATTCTTTTTAATATTTAGACCCCTACTGAGTACCTTGTGCTGCCTATAGGACAACTGATTTTGTTCAAAAGCACCTCTTTTTAAATATGACAATGAGACATGAAAAAGCTGTCTATTTATTTATGGCCAAAAACTAATAATCAAAAATTTTTTGAATGATTAAATTTGAAAAACAATTCTATTTTTAGCAGCTATAAAATCAGAATACATGACAAATTCTAGGGGAGAGTGCTTGCTCATATAAAATATTCAATTATCTCTCCACTGAGATATTCAACAGTTTTATCATTTACTTCAACAATTTAATTGCAAAGGATAAATACATGTTTATTGCTTTTACAAGTACATTTATAACATAGTTTTACTTTGCCAGTCAGTGAAAGTCACAAAGAAATATTAATTTTGCAGTTTTTTCTGACCTAGAATTCCTATTATTGAAAATTAGTGCAAAATCAGAGCATATTTAATATTATTTCAGGAAATGCTGACATTTTAAGAAATCACCTTCATAACTTAAAGAGGAAGCTATCTTTGTTGCTGTTCTTAAGGAATTTTTATCTTTGCTTCTCAGGCTTAGTAGATTACTAGTGTTTTCCCTTAATTCATTAAAATTCTCACTTGTTGAAAATTTTAAAAAAATTATAGAGTACCTGCTTTTGTTGTCATCGTCATCGTTTCATTTTTTTTTTAATTTCTACATGGTGTGAAATCCTCAGAGAAAAATAAACAGGATTTTAAAATCAAAACTGGCATACTTCTGATTAACAGTACTTAAGCTTATTTGACAAGGAATTGAGTGATTTATATGCCGATCCTTTCCTGCTGTTTTGGCATTTTACCAATTTCATTAGTAAGTTCAGCAGTAATTGTAGCAACTTAAGTAATAATTTAAGAAGTAATAATGAAGTTAAGAGTGTTCTGTGCTATTTCCTGGAGGTATTCATTTAGCCCAGGTCTCTCCTGTGGTTCTACTGGAATTATATTTGGAAAATACCAAGCCACTTAAATAAATGTTTTAAATGAAATTATAAATCATTGTAATTAGTACCATAAAGTTGACAGAGCATAGGTTTTGCCATTGGAAGATCAGAGATTGGGTCTAGGCTCCATTACTTAACAGCTGTTTGATCTTTGGCAGATTATTTCAGCTTTCAGACTCCTTTCCTTCATGGGTAGGAATAACGTCCATGGAAGGGATTTCCATCATGTATAACAGCCACATGTGTCTGGTACCAAATCTCTGGGGGGAGCACGTGGTAAGAGAGTAGGAAGAACTCCTTTGTAAAAGTGAGGACAACACAGGGGGAAGCCATGCGTGTTATTTGCCCTTGAAAGTTAAGTTCTTATGAAATATGCCTTTCAAAATGTGCAGAAGAAAAACTCAAGACTTCTCATCTACAGTTCCCAGAAAGAGATCACCGACTCTCCTCTTTGACATGTAGAACAGGATGCCGAGACTTTTGTGTGTGTTCACACTGGGTTATCACATTTCCAGCTCTAGATTCCTTCTCATTGCCCAATTGTTTCAAGGACATAGAAATACTGTCTTTATTTTCCCCAGGTCTATCACTGTGTTTTTCAATTCTTTTGTGATCCGCTCCCTTTGCGGGGTGGGGGGGGGAACAAAACAAATCAACAAACAAACAAAAAAAACACTCTTCAAAGTACCACAAGTTGATTCTGGATTGGTGATACAAAGTTTCTCTTAGGCTACAGATTGTTTTAGATTGAAGTTTCCTGTCATGTTCACTCATCTTTAAATCCTCATAGTGAAAAAGGTAATGTTTATTTCTTTTGCTGACTATGCTAGAAATTCTGCTATTCAAAGATCTGCTCTGGTTTCTTGTCGAAAAGCAATCCCTTCCTATTTGTTTCCTTCTCTTCCAGCTTTGCACATACCTTGGGTTCCACCAGGCATGTCTCTTCCCTGTTGTGTGCGTCAAGGACTCTAGTTCACCCTTTAGATGGCAAATCAGAAGTCTCTGCTCCTATTGTACCCCATACACACCTTTACTGAGGCAGTTTTTCAACTGGTTTACATTTATCAATTTATATTTCATTCTGTCCTTCAAACTATGAATCTACATTGGAAGGGCAAAGTCCAACATTTGGTCATGTTTGTACTTTTTGCGCATAACAAATATGCCATAAATGTCTGTTAAATGGCCAAACGACTGCATTTTATGTTAGAAAGCAGCTATCAGTTTTTCTTAAAAATAGCAACAAGATGATTTTGGTATCTCCCTTGTTTTCTGTAGGATATGATCATCGTGGCGCATGTATTACTCATCCTTTTGGGGGCCACTGAGATACTGCAAGCTGACTTACTTCCTGATGAAAAGAGTAAGGACCTTCTATTCAATTCAATAATGTTTATTTTTAAAAATATGTTAGTAAAAGGATAACATTATTTCCTCTTAAACTGTCGATTAGAACATTATATATGGATTTTTATGAGACAATATTTATCCCCATCAGAAGACAGATGCTTTAAACATGCCATATTTTAAGAAAGCAATGTTGGCTGAAATGCAAATGTTATGCTACAGTGGGAAATCAAAGTCAAAGTGTGGGTGTCCGGGCACCATGGAATAAAGCTGGCGCCAGTGGTCGCATTTGGAATGTCTTCTCACACAAGGGAGTAGTTAGAAGGCCCCATGACCAAACGTTAAGAAACTTCCACTGCATTTTGTCCTGAAATCTGCTGATGTTATGTATTTGATGTGATGACAGAGTTTAAGGAAAATCATCACATGGTCCCAGTCTAGCATTGTCAACAGAACTATCTATGGTAATGACAATGTTGTATCTCTCTAATGTCCAATGCAGTAGCCACTAGCCATATGTGACTATTGCGCCCTTGAAATATGGATAGTGCAACTAAGGTAATGAATTTAAATTAGTTTAGGCCGTATGCAGTGGCTCACACCTGTAATCCCAGCACTTTGGGAGGCCGGGGCAGGTGGATCACTTGAAGTCAGAAGTTTGAGACCCACCTGGCTAACATGGTGAAACCCCAACTCTACTAAAAATTCAAAAATAGCCAGGTGTGGTGGCACATGCCTGTAATCTCAGCTACTTGGGAAGTTGAAGCAGGAGAATAGCTTGAGCTGAGAGGCAGAGGTTGCAATAAGCTGAGATCGCACAACACTGCCCTCCAGCCTGGGCAACAGAGTGAGACTCTGTCTCAAAAATTAATTGATTAATTAAATAAAATTTCAATAGCCACAAGTTGCCAGTGGCTACCGTAATGGACAATGCAATATAGACAGAGCTCTAAAAGTCCTCATGTGGTAAACATGGATGTAGAGGTGTGGAAGTCCGTTAAGGTCAATGGATAAATCCTGATAACTTAGTAAATGAATAAAAGAAGGTTTTGTAGTTGTGTGTACAATACCGTCCTAATTGTGGTAAAAAAAATTAAAAATTGCATAAATATACGCCCAGAAAAAAACATAACGAATATATCATATGTTAATTCCATTCTTAGTGGTACAATTATTTTAAAAAATTTATTTTCTTCTTTCTGCTTATCTGTGTTTTCCAAAATTTCTTCAATAAACAGATATTGATTTTGTAATTAAACAAAAGCTTTAATTTTGAAAGCAAAGTCAGAGAATGGCTCATGCAGGGGGAAGAAACCTTTTCTTTCTGTAAAGCCCTATTTAAGTAAGTTTGCTTGCAAATATTTTTGTCTGTGACTCATAATAAGAGGTAAATACATTTTTACATTATGTACCAGCACACATACAAATATATAACTACCTTTATGTAGTGGAAACGAGATTCATGAAACAGCTCTTATTATGTTTGATGCACACTGATATTTTCTATTCTATTTTTCTTCCACATTACTAAAACAAAAATTCTGGTCACAAACCAATACATTGTTATTATTGCCTGTTAATGGATAATGACTCTCAGTTTGAAAATTATGGTTATAGTGAATAGTGATATAGTAACATGTTCATATTTCAATAAAAATATAGGTATTATAGGTAAACACCTGGACATGGGCAACGTAAAAAAGATATTAAAAACAGTTTTGAAGAAACCTCTTCTAGGACAGGCGTGGTGGCTCATGCCTGTAATCCTAGCACTTTGGGAGGCTGAGGCGGACAGATCATTTGAAGTTAGGAGTTCAAGACCAGCCTAGCCAACATGGTGAAACCCTGTCTCTATTAAAAATACCAAAAAACCCACATTAGCCCAGCATGGTGGCATGCGCCTGTAGTCCCAGCTACTCGGGTAGAAATAGCCACTTTCTCTTTGCCCCGGTGTTACAGGCACGCAGGAGCAACTGTGTCTGTGGTGCTGGCAGGTCCAGGACAGCATCTGCAGGGCAATAAATATTCGAAAAGTTTTAAAAGTGCTGCCTATGTCCAGTTGAACATTGTGTTGTTTCTTTATTCTTTGAATCAACAGTTTCACTTCTCCCACCTGTCAATTTCACCATTAAAGTTACTGGTTTGGCTCAAGTTCTTTTACAATGGAAACCAAATCCTGATCAAGAGCAAAGGAATGTTAATCTAGAATATCAAGTGAAAATAAACGCTCCAAAAGAAGATGACGTAAGTGTTTATTCTAATGGATATCCTTATTGAGAATAAATATGCATTTTGACTGCATTTTCTTTATCAAATAAAATTTTGGATTAAAAAAATAAAATTACTGACAGGCTCTATGTTATGTTACCAGTAGAATAGTGTCTCTCTAAGAATGCCTGTGAGCTAGCGCCGGGTGTATTGTTCAGCGTTAAACAGCATCACAGAATATTTTAACTTTTGGATGATTCTTTCCCTTAAGGAAGAATGTTTAGTAACTTTTTAGGCACCATGGATTGGGTACTGGTTTTCTGTTTCCCATAAAATTACCAACAGAACAGGAGACAGTAGCCTAGTAAAACAAGAAGTGAGCAGGCAGAGTGGAGAGTCAGGGAAACTAAGTTCAAAACCCAGTTCTTCCACTTCCTGCCTTTGCAACCTGGGACAAGTCATTTAGCTTCTCAGAGCCTCAGTTTTACCTCGGGGCTACATTCAGGCACCTGCTACATATTAGGTGTGCAATAAAGTCAAACAAAGGGAGAAGTGATTCATATTCACTATTTTTCAGTCAATATGGAATTCTAGAGAATTTTCTGTCCGACATTGACCTCTGGGGAGATGGTGCTCAAAGGGAACTTGAGTTTAACTGTAATATTTCGCTTGTATTTACAAGAATAATGCGTTCATGTGTCATTGAGAAATTACTATGTTGTTATTACAATGGTTTTGTTTTGACTTTTTTTCTAGCAAAACTATTTCATTGCATCTTACTAATCATTTAAAAAGTAGAAGAAAATGCATATTTGATTAAAATAGCTCTCTTAAGTCTAGTTCTCTTTTATGTATCATGACTTGTGGGTTTTATTTTTAGTATGAAACCAGAATCACTGAAAGCAAATGTGTAACCATCCTCCACAAAGGCTTTTCAGCAAGTGTGCGGACCATCCTGCAGAACGACCACTCACTACTGGCCAGCAGCTGGGCTTCTGCTGAACTTCATGCCCCACCAGGTAAAGCAGGCCTCCAAAAGTCCAGTTTGTATGTTTTGGACTTTGCAAATATGGAAAAGTAGAAAAATTAACACTAACCCACTTTTCTTTAGTCAGTCACCCGTTCTTCTCAAGTACTCTCCCATATCAACAACATCCTAACCAAGGCTGCTGCCACTTCTTATCATAACCAACTGAATTCCATCTGGCACATTCTTGCAGAAATATCCACTGTCTCTGCATTGGCCTCCAGTGGAAAGTTGGTGTTTCTGATACTTAGAGTCAGTAATACTTCTGATCAAACACTTAAGTGCACACACAACAGGGGAGAGAAAAGAGGAGAAGCAGGCTACCAAGTCCTGGGACATGTGGGTGCACCCAATAACCATTGTCTTGGTCAGTTGAGCTCACGGGTAATTTTCAAACGACTATTTTGTCATATCACCAGCTGAAAAGACCATACCTCCTGAATTGTGTCAGTGACTTAAAACAGAAACATAAAGATCTTCTCATTTACTTTTTTTTTTTTTTTTTGAGATAGAATCTCCTTCTGTTGCCCAGGCTGAAGTGCAGTGGTGTGTTCTTGACTCACTGCAACCTCTGCCTCCTGGGTTCAAGCGGTTCTCATGTCACAGCCTCCCGAGTAGCTGGGATTATAGGCATGCGCCTCCATGCTGGACTAATTTTTGTATTATTATTATTATTATTATTATTATTATTATTATTATTATTGAGATGGGGTTTTGCCATGTTGGCCAGGCTGGTCTCGATCTCCTGGCCTCCAGCCATCCACCCGCCTCGGCCTCCCAAAGTGCTGGGGTTACAGACATGAGCCACCGTGTCCGGCCCCATTTACTTGTTATAACTTGTCTAGACCACATACCAGCCAATTTGCATGGGCTTGATCCCAAGTACAGAGACTAATCCAAGGTAGATACAGGAACACAGAGATGGGTTATTGTATGTGGCTTACGTCAAACCACCATTCCTCCTTTCTATAATGAACAACTGGATTTTACCTATGAGGCACTTTGCAGCTTACATTTCTACAATTCTAATTATCCTCTGAACACTCTGATACAGGATGACACTAATAAAAATTATTTCTGTTTTGAACCAAGTGGAATTCACTTAAATGATTCTTTGGATGAGAACTATAAGACAAAGAGTTGTCAGGATCTCTAAAGTGTACTTGGGTGTGGACTTTCTGGTCATTTAATGCATGGACAAATATATATTAGGTTGGTGCAAAAGTAATGACCAAAATCACAATTACTTTTACATCAACCTAATATATGCATATATACATGAACTGAATAAGTCAATTTGCTTTGAGGTAGTTCTTCTTTTTGTCTGTGCAAAAGCACAGATATGAAGAAGAAATCCATCTTTAACTTCTCTACAGGTAATAAGAGGCTCTCTCTCATCATCTTCTCCCTCTGCTTCTTGAAAGACACTGGCTGACAGTGATAAAAATGATCTACAGCTCACTTAAGCTACGATCAAAAGACCCCCTTCTATCTCTCAAGGCTCCCACTTGAATGCGGTCCTTCCTGGCCCAGGTGCAAGAGCTTGTTTCCTTCTCTGAGCAACCACCAACAAGGCCAGTGTTTCCCACAGTGTATTTTAAAGACCAACAGTTAATACAGCAACGAGAGGTTGAAATGAAAACAAGCCTTTCTAGTCACATAATTTGAGAAATCCTTAATGAAGCAAACATAAAAAGGTTGCATTTAAAATCTTGGCCGGGTGCGGTCGCTCACGCCTGTAATCCCAGCACTTTGGGAGGCCGAGGCGGGTAGATCACTTGAGGTTAAGTGTTCGAGACCAGCCTGGCCAACATGGTGAAACCCCGTCTCTACTAAATATACAAAAATTAGCTGAGTGTGGTGGCACGTGCCTGTAATCCCAGTTACTCGGGAGGCTGAGGCAGGAGAACTGCTTGAACCCGGGAGGGTGAGGTTGCAGTGAGCTGAGATCATGCCACTGCACTCTAGCCTGGGTGACAGAATGACTCTGTTTCCAAATAATAATAATAATAATAATAATAATAAATAAAATAAAATCTGAAGGTTTTGTTTTTTGAGACAGGGTCTCACTCTGTTGCCCAGGCTGGAGTGTAGTGGTATGATCTTGGTTCATTGCAGCCTCGACCTCCCCAGCTCAAGTGATCCTCCCACCTCAACCTCCCGAGTAGCTGGAACTATAGGCACATGCCGCCACACCTGGCTAATTTTTGTATTTTTTGTAGAGTTGGGGTTTTGCCATGTTGCCCAGTCTTGTTTCAAACTCCTGAGCTCAAACAATCTGCCCGCCTCAGCCTCCCAAAGTGCTGGGACTACAGGTGCATGCCACCACACCTAATTTTTATATTTTTTGCAAAGACGAGGTTTCACCATGTTGCCTGGGCTGGTCTCAAACTCCTGGGCTCAAGAGATATCCACCCGCCTTGGCCTCCCAGAGCACTGGGATTACAGGCATGAGCACCGTGCCTGGCCAATTCAAGGTTTTCTTCAAGTCCTAGTATATTAAAGAGGACTTTAACATGCTAATGTGCATCAAGTCTGCAAAGTCTGCAATCTTGCAGTGTTGTCAAAACTCATTTCTTCTGAGCAGCAACCTATGTAATTCATGAAGAATTTGGATACAACCTAATGAATCACACAATTCTAGGATGGAAAGGGATACGCAAGACCTTCCTGTACCAACCCGCTCCTTTACAGTTGAAAACACAGAGCCCAGAAGAGTGGGGGTCAATGTCTCACAGCTAGTTATTAACAAATGTGGCATTAGAGCACCAAAGTTGCCGGACATCAACCTCAAAATGACAATATATTGTACTTCTCTTGAACTTCCACACATGTATTGCACAAACACCACCCCCAGGCCCCAAACAAAATAGCTGGGAAGCTCTCGAATATCAGAAATGGGGACTTTATAATTCTAATTCCATATCTCCAGTAAGTTGGCCTTTTGTAGTTAGTAGGTTTCTAGAAATATGTGATCATGGCCGGGCATGGTGGCTCATGCCTGTAATTCCAGCACTTTAGGAGGCTGTGGGTGGATCACTTGAGGTCAGGAGTTCAAGACCAGCCTGGCCATCATGGTGAAACGCCAGCTCTACTGAAAATACAAAAATTAGCCAGGTGTGGTGGTACACACCTGTCATCTCAGCTACTTGGGAGGCTGAGGCACGAGAATCGCTCCAAGCCAGGAGGCAGAGGTTGCAGTGAGCCAAGATCGCAACACTGCACTGCAGCCTGGGTGACAGAGTGAGGCTCTGTCTCAAGGGAAAAAAAAATGTGAAGATGATTATTTTTTGGTGATGAATACGACGTTCACATCACTATAGTTCCAAAAGAAGCATGAAATTCAGAGTTTGCCATGGCAATGTTTTGTCCTTTTTACTTTTGACTACCTAGGGTCTCCTGGAACCTCAATTGTGAATTTAACTTGCACCACAAACACTACAGAAGACAATTATTCACGTTTAAGGTCATACCAAGTTTCCCTTCACTGCACCTGGCTTGTTGGCACAGATGCCCCTGAGGACACGCAGTATTTTCTCTACTATAGGTTAGTACTGTACCTATTTTTACTTAGGCAAATGGTTGTTTCCTGCAACCTCATAACACTCGTAAATGTTCCAATTTAGGTATGGCTCTTGGACTGAAGAATGCCAAGAATACAGCAAAGACACACTGGGGAGAAATATCGCATGCTGGTTTCCCAGGACTTTTATCCTCAGCAAAGGGCGTGACTGGCTTGCGGTGCTTGTTAACGGCTCCAGCAAGCACTCTGCTATCAGGCCCTTTGATCAGCTGTTTGCCCTTCACGCCATTGGTAAGACCGACTTAACCCAAAGCTGAAATAACTGAATCTCGGAATCTCAGCACTGGAAGGAAGGGTTATAAAGATCACCTAGTTTTACTGCTTCTCTGATGCCAAGTAAGCATCAGACCCATGTTTGAAAACCACTGGGGCAAGGTTCTCCATTCCAACACCACCAGTGAGTTTTGCTGGACAACTCTGTGTTATGGAGGGCTGTGCTGGGCACTGTAGGATATTTAGCGGCATCTCTGGCCTCTACACACTAGATGCCAGTAGTATGCCCCTCTGTCCTTGAGCTGTGACTTTTAAAAAAGTCTCAGACTTTGCCAAATGCCCCTCAAGGGGTAAAATTTCCCCCAGTTGAGAATCACTGCACCAGAAAAAGTGAATTTAGCTGCTTAAAAGAGACCATTTAATCCTTCATGAGTTCTGACAGGTTTTGTGAAATTTCTGCCCCTGGGTCCTGTGATGGACTAGTGCCACCCCAGGTGATTTGAGTCCCTTCCCTATAGAATAGCCTCTCTTAGCTGTTCACAGGCAGCACGTTTCCCATCCAGAAGCCCTTCTTCTCCCAGGCTAACATCTCTCTCTCTCTGAATTTCTCACTGTTCTGGCCCATCTCCTGGATGTTCTGCAGCTCGAATATCTCTCAGTGTGCAATTCTCAGCTCTAAAAATTCTATTCGTGGTTTTGTCTGCTCAGTTCTCAATAGAGAAGACACTCTCCCTCATCCCAGATAGTTCTATTAGTGAAACTCATCAGGCGCTCTCACATGGCATTCTTAGTTATGGAGATTCCAGATTTCAATGGTGGGTGGTTATTATGGGCTGTGGGGCCAGACTGCCTGGATTTGGATCCTGGCTCCACCACTGGCTGAGTGACCTTGGACAAGCTGATCATTCCTTTGTGCCTAATCTTCTTATCTGAAACAATGGAGAGGAATCAATACTTCCTGTGCAGTCTTCGTGAGAATTGTGTTACTAATGATAAAGCACTTAGAACAGTGCCTGGCATAAAGGTTTAATAAATACACTACAATATTATTTAGAAGGTATGATTTGGCTGTGACATATCTATATCCAATGGAATATAACTTTGTGTAAAGAATCATAGCCCTTACTAAAGAGGTTATGCAATTCTCTCCAGTAATATATTTCTTAGGTGAACTAAAAATGTCACTTTCATGAAAATAGGCAATAAAAGATGCCGAGGAAGACCTAGGAAACAATGATATTAATATGAAAATGGATATGATCTAGTACAGACCACAGGAATTCATTTTTCTTTTATGATTTTCATTTTATTGAGGCTGATTCCTAGGATTACTAAAATAAATAAGTACTTTCTTGGTTAAGAATTTTCTTCATAGGGTATAGGAGGCTCTGAAGCCAGTGGATCCCACTCCTAGCTTTTCCCTATTAATTGTGAGATCTAAGTCATATTACCTAAGACAAGGACACTCATTAAGAATTCATTTCCCCTCACCTCACCGGACCATAAGACAATCAAGTGAGATCTCAAGGGAAAGGACATTAGAGTCCTAAGTAAAGACAAATTTAGCCCAATCCACTCTTCTTCTTCTTCTTCTTCTTTTTTTTTTTTTGAGACAGATTTCTTGCTCTGTCACCCAGGTTGGAGTGCAGTGGCGCGATCTCGGCTCACTGCAAGCTCCGCCTGCTGGGTTCACGCCATTCTCCTGCCTCAGCCTCCTGAGTAGCTGGGACTACAGGCGCCCACCACCACGCTCAGCTAATTTTTTGTATTTTTAGTAGAGAGGGGGTTTCACCACGTTAGCCAGGATGGTTTCGATCTCCTGACCTCGTGATCCACCCGCCTCGGCCTCCCAAAGTGCTGGGATTACAGGCGTGAGCCCCCACGCCCTGCCCCAATCCATTCTTTTTGATGCAAAAGAAAACTGAAGCTTCCTGCTCCAGCCCCCAAACAAACAAAAACCAAAAGACGCAGTAAACAAAATGAAATTAAAATTAAAAACTGAATCTCAGAAAGGGGAAGTGATTTGTTCAGGGCCACATACCTACTGGGAAGAGGCAAGGCTTGGTGGAAGGTCCAGGGAAATGTTCTCTCAGTGGTCAGGTTTATTCTGGGCCTGGTACAACTTGAGTAGTAAAGGGGGATGGTGGGTGAGTCTTGCAATGAGCTGAGGGGGGGAAGTAATTCAAGCATTCAACTCTATTTGGAGTAGTAATCCTTGTAGTTTCCAGAAAGGGTCTCTTCTTCTTCAGCACTATAAGACAAGAGTATTATGGGAGGCCACCGGCTTCCTGTGGCTTGGAGATCAGTTGATTAAGACCTGATGGTAAATATTTGAAAAAAGCGTATCTTAGAAATGCCTTGAGAAGTGTGGGTGGATTGGAATTATCAGCTTTGATCACTGATTCTAAAAAAAAAATCACTGATCTTTCGTTCCCTAACTTAGATCAAATAAATCCTCCACTGAATGTCACAGCAGAGATTGAAGGAACTCGTCTCTCTATCCAATGGGAGAAACCAGTGTCTGCTTTTCCAATCCATTGCTTTGATTATGAAGTAAAAATACACAATACAAGGAATGGATATTTGCAGGTAATTACTCAGATTATTCCAATATTTGATAACAGACATTTGTTTTAGAAACATTTAAAAAATTATCTTCAGTGACTGCAACCAAGTTACAGCTTGGTACTAACAAGGTCAAAGTTAACTTAATCTACCCAGGTATTATAGATATAACCAAATAGATATAAACCAAATCTTACTGGCCTTTTGTTTTGAAAGAACATACTTTTGGTTGAAACTAATACAAAGGATTAGATACAGACTCATTGGTACTAGTGCTGGTTAAAATCTAAAATGATAGACGGGTGGGGTGACTCACGCCTGTAATCCTAGCACTTTGGGAGGCCAATGTGGGTGGATCACCTGAGACCAGGAGTTCAAGACCAGCCTGGCCAACATGGTGAAACCCCATCTCTACTAAAAATACAAAAATCAGCCAACGTGATGGCGCGTGACTATAATCCCAGCTACTCGGGGGCAGGGGCTGAGGCAGGAGAATCACTTCAACCAGGGAGGCGGAGGTTGCAGTAAGCTGAGATGGCGCCACTGCACTCCAGCCTGGGTGACAGAGCAACATTTCATCTAAAAAAACAAAAACAAAAAAACAAAAAACTAAAATAATGCAGCTACTATAAAAACGATATGATGAATTCTCAAAAAATTAGAAATAGAATTCCCATACGATCCAACAATTCCACTGCTGATTACATATACAAAAGAATCGAAAGCAAGGATTCAAAGAGATGTTTGTACACCCATGTCCATAGCAGCATTATTCACAATAGCCAAAAGCTGGAAGCAACCCAAGTGCCCATTAAATGAATGGATAAGCAAAATGCAGCATATACATATAATAGGATATTATCCAGCATTAAAAGGAAGGAGATTCTGACACATGCTACCACATGGAGGAGCCTTGAGGACATTATGCTAAGCAAAATAAGTCAGTCACGAAAGGACAAATACTGTCTGATTCTACTTTTATGAGGTTAAATAGTCAAACTCATAGAAACAGGGTAGGATGGTGGTTACCAGGAATTGGTAGGAGGGTGGAAGGAGAGGTATTGTTTAATGGGTACAGAGTTCCAGTTTTGCAAGATTAAAAGAGTGTTGAACATTGGTGACACAACAATGTGAAACTATTTAATATCACAAAGCTGTACACTTAAAAAGGATTAAGATGGTAAATTTCATTATATGTATTTTACAATTAAAAAAACTCATTAGCACTAATAGACAAAAATTTCAAGGGGAAAGGAACTGAGAAGAAAGCCAATCAACATTTCTTGAGCATCAATTATGTGTCAAGCTTTATTATGTGTTTATTCCATCCTCACATAATTCTATGATGTAATTACCATTCCCATTTTATAGGAAAGTGAGGCAAAAGAGATGAAGTAACTCTCCCACAGTCACAAAGCTAGGAAAAAAAATAGGATTCCAACTTATGTCTTACAGAGAGTAGACAAAGCCAATTCAATTAGATTCAACAAATATTTACAAATTGGCTTCTTTGTGAGAAATAAGACTGTTTCTGCCATGGAGTGACCCAATCTTGTGACATACTTGCCCAGCCTTGGGGTTGCCCTCCCACAGGAAAAGCCAGTACAGCTAGAGATGGGGGTGTGGGCACAGAGCCTGCTCTGCAGAGAGGAATTGAACGGAATCTGTAAGGATGAAGAGAAACTAGTCTGGTGAGAAAACATGAGAAGGACTTTCTTAGCCAGAGCTTCCCAAAATACTTACACTGAAGGACTGTGTGTGCACGTGTGTGTGCGTGTGTTTTTATAATGTCTAATCTACCATAGATTGGTGCTTTTGTCAAATACAATAAAAATGATCTGCTAGAAAAAATTAAATATAGCCAAAGACATGTAAAGTGTCAGTTCACTGATCATGTGTTTGGATATCATGGCAATGTCAAATTGCTATCAAAACTTCCAAATTGCAGTCATAATTTTATCTGTATTTAGCCCATCACAAGCCAGTAATAAATAGTTCCTGACTTGCACCAGCCTAGGAAAAGGAGTAACTTTATGCTTGAGAGAGTATGGTTCTTTCAGTCAAGTGGCAAGTAATTCAGTCTGCCTGGATGCCTGGACATAAGACCAATGCTGAAATCATGACTCTGTATCTGACATTGTGATTTCTCCCAGAGTGGCTCTATAAGATTTTGCTAAAAAATAAAGAAGTGGCTTCTTTTTTAAAAACCATGACTCTGGGCAATGGATGCCACTGAAGAGTTTTACACAATAGAGAAATATGTCTACATTTGCAGAGTAAAAGAAGATTTTTGGTAGCAGCATGAAAACTGGATGTGAGTGGGGAGGGGCGACATGGACATATGATATCAGTTAGCGGCTACTGCAAAGGTCCAAGCAAAAGATAATAAGAGCTAAAATAGGCAATGGTCACAGGGCTGGAGTAAAAAAGGGAGAAACACCTCCGGGGGTATTCAAGATACAGGTGTCAGGAGCACATCTCTGGTACAGGGGACTAGCTGGATGGTGGCGACCATGATCAGTAGAAGGAAAAAGAAGAAGGGCTCATTCATGAGAAAATAGCTTCATTTCAACACTAGACAATCTAGCGTTCATGTGACATTATTTAGTAATGTGACTATAGATTATGGAGAGACAAGGTGAGGGAATAATGCATTCTAGCATAGGCCACTCCAGTCTTTCAGTCTGGAAACATCAGCTGGGCCTGGATAGGAACACCTGGATCTTGACCGTTGATCATTTCGTATATTTTGGTTACAAGATAGCGTTCCACTGAAGGGTGACTGCCAACACATCCACACTAACGCACCTAGCATAAACGAATTAATGTGTGCCCTGTTGATTTTAAAGGACTTGCTGAACAGTGAGTCACATGACCTATATAGGACCTCCCATTCTGATAATCGGCAGAACTAAATTAGGTGTCTAGAGATTCTTCTAATGCTATCTTTCCCCACTTAGATAGAAAAATTGATGACCAATGCATTCATCTCAATAATTGATGATCTTTCTAAGTACGATGTTCAAGTGAGAGCAGCAGTGAGCTCCATGTGCAGAGAGGCAGGGCTCTGGAGTGAGTGGAGCCAACCTATTTATGTGGGTAAGTAGCTTATGTTTATTTTACATTGGCAGCCTTCCTTGTGATCAAAAAAGGTAATCCCAGAAACGTACCCGTTCACTCGTGGGTCTTAAAATGGTTTCATATCTCTATTGTGACTAATTTTCTCTCGGTCTACTGCCTTTTCAATCAGGAATAGATTTGCCATGAAGCCAGTGAAGTTTTTAAGTGTCTAGGCTTCTCATTAGCGCCAACTCTCCTAGACCTGGTGCCTGTTTTTTTTCCAAGTTTTGTTTCTACTTCTATCCATTTTTTAAATTAAACTTTTTATTTTGAAATAATTATCACACTCACAAGCTGTGGGAAGAAATAATAGAGATCCTGTGTCTCTTTCATCCAGTTTTCCTCAAGGGTAACATCTTACAAAACTATAGTACAATAGTGGAATAGAATATTGGTGTTGGTAATCCAGATCTTACTGATTTCATCAATTTTATATGTCCTCATTTGTTTGTTTGTTTTTTTGTTTCTTTTTGGACAGAGTCTTGCTCTGTCGCCCTGGCTGGAGTGCAGTGGCGCCATCTCAGCTTACTGCAACCTCTGCCTCCTGGGTTCGAGCGATTCTCCTGTCTCAGCCTCCCGTGTAGCTGGGACTGCAGGCACATGCCACCACGCCTGGCTAATTTTTGTATTTTTAGTAGAGACAGGGTTTCACCACGTTGGTCAGGCTGGTCTCGAACTCCTGACTTCAGGTGATCCACCGGCCTCAGCCTCCCAAAGTGCTGGGATTACAGGCATGAGCCGCTGTGCCGAGCCATATGTCCTCATTTGTATGTGTCTGTTTGGTTCTATGCAATTTTAGCACATGTTTAAGTTCATGTACCCATCACCACAGTCAAGATACAGAGCAGTTGCATCATCACTTGTTACACTTTTATAAATACACCCATCTCTCTCTCCTCTCTTCTATCCCTGAACTCTGGCAACGAGTAGTCTGTTCTCCATCTCTTCGATTTTCCCATACCTAATTTTGACTTTATACTTTTTTAAAAAAAGAAGATTCCAAAACTGTGTAATCTATAGGGTCCCACAAAATCTGGATCTGTCCCTGAGCCTTCAGCCTAGCAGATATAGAGTATAAAGAGGTCCATGCATCACCGGGACTCCTGTGTTAGCTCTGCAACTGTTTATGTTACGATCAAATGGACTAGTTTGCTTGGCAAGTAAGATGGGCATCGTCTCTGTCAGTGAGATCCATGAAGGATAATAATATACCCAATGGCAGCTATGGATGAAGGGGCACATTTCCAGTCTTACCCTGACACAGATGTCAATTCCACACCCAGGACATGTGGTATTGCACCTTGAAGATAGAAAATTCATACCCTGTGTTGGCCGGGCGTGGTGGCTCACTCCTGTAATCCCAGCACTTTGGGAGGCCGAGATGGGCAGATCACGAGGTCAGGAGATCGAGACCATCCTCGGTAACATGGTGAAACCCTGTCTCTACTAAAAAATACAACAACAAAAAATTAGCCGGGCGTGGTGGCGGGCGCCTGTAGTCCCAGCTACTCGGGAGGCTGAGGCAGGAGAATGGCGTGAACCCGGGAGGCGGAGCTTGCAGTGAGCCGAGATCGCACCACTGCACTCCAGCCCGGGCAATAGAGTGAGACTCCATCTCAAAAAAAAAAAAAAGAAAGAAAAGAAAAAAAAAAAAAAGAAAATTCAAACCCTGTGTTTGCTATTATCCAGGTGTTTCCGGCAAGTCAACATAGGCATTGTATGAGAGAAGGAAACAGTTAAAAAGCAACTAGTGCGTCTCATGTGTATGATAAACCATTCAGCCTGGGGAGGCACACACACGTCGTTAACTGTTGCACTAGGTCTATAAGAGCATGGGATGGTGGGAAGAAGACTGGAGCCTTACATAGAAAGCCCAGGTTTAACATTCAGCCTTTACAAGGATTGATTGTGTATCCCCAGACAAATAATTTCTCTCTGTTTCCTAGGGTTCTCAAGATAAAGGAGATAACATCCAGCTTTCCTGCCCCACACCGTATCTGAAATAAAAACAACAGCAGGGATAGCAGATTACATGTGTTTTTTAATTTTTATTTATTTTGCCAAGCACTATGCTAAATACATAATCTTAGTCCTATCAAAAAACTTGTTTGGAAAGTTTAGGTAATTGGCTTAACTCTGTTCTGCATGGCCAACAAGTGGCAGGGATGGGGCTCTAACCCCAGATTAACTGACTCTAGCACTTGATCTCTGGACACTCTGGCATGGTGGGACAGGATTCTGCAAGCTTTAAAGTGCTGGGTAGATTAAAGTCTTATTTAAGAGATCTTGGGGATGGGTGCGGTGGCTCACACCAGTAATCCCAGCACTTTGGGAGGCCGAGGTGGGCAGATCAGGAGATCGACACCATCCTGGCTAACATGGTGAAACTTGTCTCTACTAAAAATACAAAAAATTAGCTGGGCGTGGTGGTGCGCGCCTGTAGTCCCAGCTACTCGGGAGGCAGGAGAATCACTTGAACCCAGGAGGCAGAGGTTGCAGTGAGCCAAGATTGCGCCACTGTACTCCAGCCTGGGCGACATCTCAAAAAAAAAAAAAGACATCTTGGTAGCCAACCTTTGTGATTATGGGTGATCAAGCATGTGGATGCCATCTCTCATGAATCCTATGAGGTATTCATCAACCATTGGAAGAGTATACATAGGAGAGATTTAGTTCAGGCACATGCCAAAATGTTCTACTATTTAATTCATTCGCTTAAGCTATGGGGTAGGTCTTCAGGAAAGTCTCGGGCAGTGACCCATCAGCCCATGTGAAAATGACTCCGATCTGACACACAGCAGGTAGATTTCCACTGAAGACTGGGAAAGATAAGGAAAGGCCTAATAAATGGAGAACTGTTCTGAATCTGCCAGGGGGCTGGTCGTGCTAAGTTACCGAGTTCCCAAGGGAGAATAGCGTCCCCTAAAGTTGTGCAACACACAACCAGCTCAGCCTTACAGGGGTAGCCCTCACATCACTCAGAGAGACTTACAGGAGCAGCATGAGCCTTCCTGGGGAGAGGGAACTGAAAGGACACTAAAAGGAAGTGAGAATGGGCTAAACTCACCTGCTTCATAATTCTGTTGAGACCAATCTTCCCCTCCCTCCCCTCCTCCCTAGGTTGATGCCCCCACCTAACTAAACTGACCCAGCACACACAGGACTTTCCTCGACATGGCTCCATTTGCACCAGGAAAATTCACTCTGTTCCCCAGGAGGGAAACAAATACGAGAAGCATTAATCAGTCTCAGGGAATTTTTAACAAGGTCATTAATTTTGTCAAATGCCTAAGGTGGAAGTTTAATTTTTGTTACTTGAATTCAATAGACTTCTTTTTAAAAATGCTTTATGTTACTCCCCAGGGGCACAAAACTCACTGGCTCAAAACTATTGCTATTTCTAAGTGTCTTCCCAACACCTCTCTCTATATGTATTCAATTTTGGAGATTTTAAAATGCTGTCTAAGGAAACTTAAACCAAGATGATGGATACCAAGGTCAGAATCCTAGATAAGAAGTTAGTTATGCTTTCTGAGTCTTTGACTTTTGAAGTCATAGTCAATGTTGACTGTAGAGAATTTAGAACGTATTAGGTGAAAAAGAAGCACTAGATATTCAGGACATCTAGGTTTTTAGCTACGGCTCTGCCAACATCTAGCTCTATGTTATAAGCTAGAGATGACAAAAGGTAATGTTTTGTGAGCAAAGTAATCAGAGACTGCTTAGAGTGCAGCATTGAGGATTCTGAGGCTAAATTTAGATTGTCAGAAGGAATCGTGATCTCCTGCCACCACTGCAAGGGACAGAGTGGTGACGAGCATGACAGGGTTTTTCCACCCTGGCCTAGTCAGTCTACACCTAACCTCTCTGGGCTTAGCATCCTCACCTGTAAAATATAAGTGCTGCACTACAAACCTGCTTCCACCTCTGCCATTCACATTCACCTCCTCTGCACCACCCCACTGCAAAAGTGCTGAGAGTGAAATTGTGATCCATAACGAGCGCTTATTTTAAGCTTGTTTTTAATTTATTATTCACTCTCCACTTTAGAGCTCTCTTACCATTATTATTTCCTAAATAACACCTTCCTAGTTTGAATCTGGGCTCATTATAGTTTTCCCCCAGGTGTACCTCGTTGCCATTATCTATAGCAAATCCCATTTCATTTACTGCCATCCTTTTCATGAAGATGAGCTGATTAATATTACTACTCACCTTATAAATCCATCCTTTCTGGAATTTACTCCTCTGCTCAGTTTAGGATCATTAGTGAATTTAATCAATGTAGACTTTCCATTTTCATCAAGATGATTAATAAACGTAATAGGAAGTCCAAGCCCCTCTGGGACATTTTGCATGGCTCTTTTTTATCCCTTGAGGATGCAGCAATAATTATACTCAGCTAGGAGTCCATCAGGCGATTTTGCTGCTACATTCATTTCCTTTAACTATGCTTTCTCCTCTTTTGCCTTATCTTAAAAACAGCATGCTGTAGCCCTCCCACTCCATTTTACTCCAAGACTCAACTCAAATATCAACCCTTTCATAGTTATTAATTTCCCCCCCATTATTTTAATGTAAGAAAATGGAGGTCCTGAGATACTAAATGACTCAGCAGTTGTCAAACAGCCAAGAAGTGGCTATTAATATACAATTTTCTCAAATAGATGACATATGAGCCAATCAGTGAATTAGAATAGATTTGATTAACTAATTAACCCATTATAGCCCAAGGTTATTTAATTTAAAAAATGAGACACAGAGTAAGTTTTGATTGATGAGATAAGGTGAGCTGGGAGAGGCTGGGGGTGCTGTCCAGCTCTGTTGGTAAGGTCCCTGGCCAGCCAAGGAGCACAGGGGACAGCAGGGAGGGGGTATAGTTAGCAAGTGAGTGCTCTTTGCTTGCTCTGAACAGTGCCTGATTGGCTCTCCTGTCCTAGAATTTCCAGAGCATGGAATTTTTTAAATTAAAAACAATTGTTTTATTTCAGCAGCTTTAGGGGTACAAGTGGTTTTTGGTTACATGGATGAATTGCATAGTGGTTAAGTCTGGGCTTTTATTGTACCCATCAGCTAAATAGTTTACATCATACTGAATAGGTGACTTTTCATCCCCCATGCTCCTCCCACCCTCTCCCCTTCTGCGTCTTCAATGTTCATTATACCACTCTGTATGCCTCTGTGTACCCAAAGCTTAGCTCCCATTTATAAGTGAGAACATATGGTATTTGGTTTTTTGTTCCTGATTACTTTCCTTAGGGTAATGGCCTCCAATTCCATCCAAGTTGCTGCAAAAGACATTATTGCATTCTTTTTGTACAGCTGAGTAGTATTTCATTGTGTATGTTTACCACATTTTCTTTATCCACTCATCGGTTGATAGGTACTTAGGTGGATTCCATATCTTTGCAATTGTGAATGGTGCTGTGATAAACATGCACGTTAGGTGTCTTTTTGATATAGTGACTTCTCCTTTGGAAGATTTCTCAAAAAACTAAATGAGGCCTACAATTTGATTCAGAATTTTTTTTTAAGAGATGAGGGGTCTCACTATGTTGCCCAGGCTGGTCTCGAACTCCTGGGCTCAGGCAATCCTCCTGCCTTAGCCTCCTGAGTAGCTGGGACTATAGCTGGGCTGGGATTTTTTTTTTTATGGAAGTAGCAGTTTCATTTTATCAGTACTCGTTATCACCTGCCCTAGATCAGCTGGCTTCTCTGTCTTATCTTAAGAGCTAACTTCCCAATTTTTACATGTCTTTCTCCTTTTTAAACTTTCTTAACTTCCGGATTCTTCTGTTCCTTTGTTATCTTTGCTGTCTCCTGTTTATCGAAACCTTTTGTTTCCTGACCCTGGTCTTCATGAAGCTGTGTGTTTTCTCAAGTCCATCATCTTCTCTTCTTCCCGCCATCCATGAAGCTCAAATGCCAAGTGTGAAACGAGGAATGATGAAAATAAATTTTTCCATAGTCATATCCTTGCTTGAGGAAAAGAGACTTATGTGGGTCTACCCTGCACTTATTTCTGGCCGTGTCTTTGGTCAGGATCAGTGGTTCTGAGAACTGCTTCTTCTGTGACAGACTACAATCACTGCAATTGCCCTTCAAAGAAACGATGGAGTTTTGCTTTGACCTCACTGAAAGCAAAATTTGATGGCCCAAATTTGACTTTCGTTAGTCTTGAGATGTATGGCACCTACACCCAGGGGAGTAGAAGACTCAGCACCGTTTTCAGATCACTCATTCATGAGGTCACAGCAATTTTCAGATCACTCATTCATGAGGTCACAGCAGACAGGGGCACAGCAGACAGCTCCTTAAACATAGAGATGTGTTGTTCATAGGAAATCTTGGCCTTTGCTTTCCTGTCGGAGTTTGAGCTGGTGGAGTGGGGGTCTCAGAGTCCCGTGACACATCCTAGAATCTGTTAGGACTTAAGGAAAATGGGTTGAGGTAGGGTATCAGGGTGGCCTATGGCAATATGGGCTGGAAGGAAGGCCACCCCAGAGAAACTCCTGTGCCTTTTTCTTTTGACTTGATATTCATGGGCTGATGTGTGAGGTGACTTGGTACCTTTGTCCTGGGCACCTGGAATCAAAAACTGAAGTCACCTTTGGGACCATCAAATGCATCTTCATTTTCCAGTTTGCCTGCATTGTGCCAAGGTCCCGCAGCTCCAACCTGATTCCTTGCACTCTGACTCCCACCTGGAGCTCTAATCCCTTCTCTCTGTCTCTCCTGATCCCGTCACTCTCCTTCAGCAGCTTTTTCTTGTTAAATTCTCACACTGTGGCAAAACACGAAGGAAGATGAAAGGGAAATGTTGTAGGAGGGTCCACATGAGCTATCCCTAGGCCTTCCAAAATAATCTTGCAAAACTCTTTTGAGGTTACAGATGGGAGCCACTGGGTCTACACAGTAGCAGAAATTGCTTAAAAGTAACAAGAGTTGACCCAATAACAACATGAAAGACCCACTTAGGCTTACCTAAGACTAACACAGCTTATTGTGGTTCTGCTTTCCCTGTGTAGACAGATGGCTTGGTCACACTGCTTCCTTTTGTCCAGGCTGGTTAGATCCCACCTGGCAGCCCCACCATTTGTTCCCACCAGGGGGGGCGGACTGCCTCACGCCTGTGGTCATCCCACTAGCCTGAAGGAGGCCTAACAGGGACCTTTCAGATTTCATCTCCAAATGCCAGGAGCAGGGAGTTCCCACAGTGCTTTCAGGCGCAGCCACCTCTATTGGTGCCTACATCACCCTTCTAGGCATACATTCTGCCTCATGGAGGGATGGCAGCTTGTGGGAGGGAGGGATGCTGTCAGGGGGCCAGCCCCTGTGCAGGACATATTCATCTACATCATCTTTTATCATCACACACATGATTTCCTAATCACACAGGTGAGAAAACAGATGCAGAGAGGTGAAGGAACTGCTGGAAGCTACACAGATAGTAGGTGGGACATCCGGGTTTGGAACACAGCTAGAGGATTGGCTCCACACCTGGGTTCTTTTCGAGATGTTCCATTGCCCCGGGGGCTATTACTCCAGCCAGGGAAACTGAGGCTGGAGGATGGGCCACACTCAGCAAGAGGGGCTGGGGGCTGTGCAAGCAGGAAGCTCTGCCAGCTCTTGACCCTGTCAGCCTCCATCCAGACAAGCCATTGGGAATGAAGTTAGCCTCTTCAGGCCATTCTTGTCTAAATGTTCCTGTCCAAGTTCTTCATAAGATTCATCTTAATGAACATTTTGAACCCTAAATCCTTGAAGGGTAGGAATACCCATACCCTTTTCTGTTCCTCAGTATCTAGAATATTTGGTGTGTGTTTATTTCTCCTGGCCTGAGTTTATCTCTCTGCATTTTTAGAATTCTGATAGCACTCCAATTTTGGCCTTGCTTTGATGAAAGGGAAATTATCTTGATGAATTTGTTGACACAATGCATTTCATCCTAATCGTAATTATAGTAAGTAATATTTATTGAGCACCTGTGTACCAGCACTGTGCTAAGCACTTCACATGTGTTAATTCATTCGATCCTTATCCCTGTTTTATAATGCAGGACATAGAAGCTGGAGAGGCTACCCTGCCGAAGGTCACTTTGGTAGCAAGTGGCAGAACCAGGACTAAACCTTTTTTTTTTTTTTTTTTTATGAGATGGAGTCTCACTCTCTCACCCAGGCTGGAGGGCAGTCACACAATGATCTCAGCTCACTGCACCCTCCACCTCCCATGGGGGTTCAAGCAATTTTCCTGCCTCAGCCACCGGAGTAGCTGGAATTACTCATGCCACCCCGCCTGGCTAATTTTGTATCTTTAGTAGAGACAGCATTTTCACCATGTTGGCCAGGCTGATCTTGAACTCGTGACCTCAAGTGATCCACCCACCTTGGCCTCCCAAAGTGCTGGGATTGCAGGCCTGAGCCACCACACTTGGTCTAGGACTAACCCTCTTTATCCCTTGTTGCTTACTTCTATGTGATGACTACATCCTCTGCAGCCAGCTTTCATCTGCTTTAGCAGGTTGATAAAATAGGCCCAGCAACCCCTTATAGGGAAGAAAGTTCTGGGTTGCTTGGGGGGCTCCAGAAGGTACATAGCCCTTGGTGCTTTGTGGGAAAGCCTGCAGAGAAGAAAACTGCCATGAGGAATTCCCCACTCAACTTCATCAAGTCTAGTCCTACTGGGGGATATTGCAGACAAGCAGTACTGCAGTGAGCCATCCAGCTGATCCTGAATGCACACACAAATACACGCATGCACACAAATACACACACGTACACAAATACACAGTCTCCATTTCCTCTCTCTATTCGGTTAATGCAAGCCCAGTTCCACCAGATGAACATAGTGCAAGCTGTGTGTGTGATCCGGGTCCTTCACTACTCTACACATTTTGTTCACTGAGGCTGCATTTTGCTGCCCTCTTTTTATTTCTCTAAACCAGGTACCTCCCACAGTCCATTTGACAGCTGCCTTGAAAGCTCACTCACCCAAAAGGTCTGCTCCTGACTTGCCTGCACTGGAAGCCTGTGATCTGGTTTGGGATGTTCATTCATGAATGATGCCATTCTCCCCTCCAACTGGAGGCAAGTCACAGGAAGCTAGTTAAACCCTGTATCATAGACTGCCATATTGACATCCTCTCAATTATCCAACCCTGTTGGTGCCATTTGAACTTCTCCCAGCACCTGCTGGCTCTAAAAACACAGCAGGCCTGCTCTGTTGGAAGCATCCCATCAATTTACTAATTAGCTCTTTTCCCTGGAAACCTATTGTTGAGTCTGAAATCAGATTCAAAATCAATATGTAAGCACTGAAAGTTCATACTTACATGCAGAATTTAAGGTGTAACAGGCTTCCAAATCAAATTCATCTCCTAAGAGCTAGTAGTCTAAACTTCATACATCATAGAATTCTAGATCAAGAGAGACTGCAGCCCTAAAAGGGAAGTGGCTTGACAAAGCTCCCAGAGGCAGAGCTGGGACTAGTTTGGGTCCAATACTTGCAGTCCTTCTGCCCTCTGTGTTGCCACTGTCCCAGCCCACCTGCACCCCATGTCCCACTCCATATACATTCTAGGGTCATAGAAGAATAGCAGACTATTGGCTTATTTGCAAGGTCAAATGCTTAAGATGTCAAAAATAATGGAAACTGAGGTCCCCAGACACCAGACAACTGAATTTCCCAAATGCTTTACGTTAGTGATGCCTAAAAAGCACCCAGGAATCAAATGGGGAGTCTGGAGAGCTTCTCCTCCTTACAAGAATAGGCTGTGTGACTTCTTCTTTCTGAAACCCATCTTTGCATAACCAAATGGCAGTGCCCATTGATTTCTTGAAAAGAAACATCTGTGACTTCCTTTTTAATGGCAAGAAAGGTATTCTCCTTGAGTCAGAGCAGAGAGTCAAATTACCTCGAAATACTTTTTTTTTAATCTCCAAGGTTGGAGACCCCAGAATTCAAATTAAGACTATACTACGGGATCTCCCAAATTTTATAGTATTGAAATTCTTAATCATTTTGACCCAAAGAATGTATACTCTCAGTGGGATCTTCCCTCCTTGCTCTACTTTCAGTAAAACCAGAGCAGGTGCTTACTTTAATTCACTAATGTACTGGCATTTTTTTTTGCATAAATAAGTAACTGAACAGTAGATAATCCACAAGTAATGTCTACTTCGCAATAGGTATGTGAAATCTTTTGCTTGCACAAAATTTTCCTGCCAATTTATGTTTTCTTCAAGGAAAAGCCGACCTTGGTTGTGTTTTCAGGGGTTAGTTCTGTTTTCAACTAGCTATAGGGGAGTAGCCCTAATGCATTTGGGGCAACTGGAGAGGCCAGGCCAGGAGAAATGACTAATGTGCCACCTCCCTCCCGGCAGTGACCGTGACTTTGCTTCTCACGTAGTACCTTGTATGCATCAATAACTTTTTTTCATTTAATGAAATAAAATCAGGGTTGCCTCTATATTTTTGCTAATTCAGTGAGAATCTTCGCTTATCAAAGTGAGGGCTGAAGTGAATAACTTGAGAGTGGTTTAACTGAAAAGATTTTTGTAATCATGGTCAGAAGAAAACGGTACTGTTATCAAAACTTGCCATATCAGGCTAGGGGATATTGCACAAGTTGAGACCCAAATGTGACTGACAGTGTGACCCTGATAATTATTTACAACACTGCCCCTTCTTTCTGCAGGACCCACACTTTTTCTGTTGGTTTAACCTAGTTATAAACAGGATAACTTTTTTTCTGCTGATGTACCACTTGCTGAATTTGCATCCGGTGTCTATAAACCTGCAGTTTCTGAATGTGGTTGTCAGAATACTTGCATAATGGTTACGAGCATGGAATAGTTTCAGAGATGGGGCCATGAAGCAGGCTGAATTCCTTACTCAGGAAATCGACTGGGAAATAAAGTAAGACGGTATTTGATTTGCTGTTATTAGTTTGTCCCAGCTACTCTTTACATTAACTAAGAAAGAATGCAATAAAAATGAAGTCTAACAGAGCCCTCAGTTCCAATCCAGAGAACGGAGTATTAATCCTGGAACCATCGAGGATCTGTAGGATTTAGGAAGACAAAAGCTTTGCCACTTTGAGGGTCTGTTTTCCATTATTTAACAAAATGTGGCTAATGCCTTTTTGTAAAACAATAGACATAAGTATATTTCAAAAAAAAACTTGAAAAAAAATACTATAGCCATAGGGCTAGGCACAGTTGGTCACGCTTGTAATCTCAGCACTTTGGGAGGCCAAAGTGGGAGAATTGCCTGAGTTTAGGAGTTTGAGACCAGCCTGGGCAACATACTGAGGCCCCATCTCTACAAAAGATTTTAAAAATTAGCTAGGCATGGTGATGCGTGCCTGTGGTCCCAGCTACTTCGGAGGCTAAGGCGAGAGGATTGCTTGAACCCAGGAGTTAGAATCTGCAGGGAGCTATGATCATGCCACTGCACTCCAGCCTGGGTGATACAGCAAGACTCTATCTCATATAAATAAATAAATAGTATAGCCATAGGTTTTTAATAAAGGGCTTCAGTCCCACCTAGAGTTTGGGGAATGTCAGGAGAAACGGTAGTTTGCAAAGCAGCCACCTTTAATTAGAGAAGCTGCCTGCACACTTAGCCTTATCAGAAACGGGGATACAAACAATAGAACAGGGCTTCCCACAGTGAAGCACAGAGAGCTATAGGGATCATGCTCAGGAGAGTTCTCAATGAAAAGCAATGCTTAAAATAAGTGAAGCGAAGCTCCTATGTATTCAGTGTGCCCTCAGTTTTGCAGAGGGAGGGAGGGGAATGGGATTCCTACATCAAGGCTAAGAGCACGGACTGGTTGGGCTTCCGCACTTCCTAGCTGTGTGGCCTGGGCTGACTTACTCTGTCCTTTTCTGCCTCAGTTCCTCCATCTGTACAGTGAGAATAATAGTGTCCATCTCAAAGCATCGCTGTAAGAATTAAATCGAGAAAGTACGTGAAGCACTTTACACAGTATCTGAGCACCTAGAAGCACTCAGAAAAAGCGAATGCAAAAATATGTATAGAAAATAAGCTCTTAGTTACTTCCAGTGACTACTGATTTTTCTTTTTTCTTTTTTATACTTTATAAACTTTTAAAGTTCCAGCAGCAAAAAGGCACTACTTTTGTTTTCTTTTCTTTTCTTTTTTTTCGAGACAGTGTCTTGCTGTGTAGCCCAGGCTGGAGTGCAGTTGCGTGATGGGCTCACTGCAGCCTCTGCCTCCTAGGTTCAAGGGATCCTCCTGCCTCAGCCTCCCTAGTAGCTGGGATGACAGCCATGCGGCACCACACCTGGATAATTTTTATATTTTTAGAAGAGATGGGCTTTCACCATGTTGGCCAGGCTGGTCTCAAACGCCTGACCTCAAGTGATCTGCCTGTGGGCCTCCCAAAGTGCTGGGATTACAGGCATGAGCTAACACACCCGGCCCAAAAAGGCACTGCTTTTCTAAAACCAATTTTATTAAAGGTATGTGTACATGAAGTGACAGTACCCTCAACTGAGTGAGTGGTGCTAGAAAAGGTGCTGGCTGGGGAAGGATCTATGGATTATATATTTCAACTGCCATGTGTTTAGATGAGGAAACCGAGGCCCAGAATGACCACCTTCACAGCAAGCTGAGACTACAAGCCAGGTTTCCAGAATAGGCAGGGATGAAAGCACTGGACAAAGCCTGCCTGTCCGGCACTAATCACTGGGTACGCAGTGACGACATGAACCAAGGGAATGAGGAGAAGGGACAGCGGCTGTAAAGGATGGAAAGAGTCAAAGTGACTTCGAGGCTTCAGGTCTGGGGGCTTGGAAGAATGGAGACTGAAATGGGCAGTTAGTGAGAGAAGGGGTTTTTATATGAAGAAGAACATGCGTTTGGTTTTGAATGTTGTCAGCCTTGAGAAACATCCGAGCAGGTTTTACCTACGGACAGTTTAAGATCCAGGCCTGGAGCTGAGTGTCAGGCAGGACCAGGAATAAAAACCTGGGAAAAGACTTCATAAAATTAAAAGATGAAGTGGTATAAACAAACTTTTCAAAGTTCAAAGAATAGGCCACAGTGGAAAATAGCAAAGGGTCAAAGGATGAGTGGAGAGGGCCAATCGAAATTAAAATGGGGAGAAGGGCCATCTAAGAAGAGATATGGGCAATAAAGCTGAGGACTCGGTTTCAAGGTGGGCTCAACTATACACAGTCTGAAATTCAGGAAGGAGGTCAGTAAAAATAAAGCTGGAAAAAGAAACCAAGCGTCTTTTGAATTAGACTAGGAGGAAGTCACTGTGATTAAAAAAGCAGTGTTAGAGCTGGGAAATGAAGCAGCCCGAATCCCTTAAATAATTTTTTTTTTTTTTTTTTTGAGACGGAGTCTCGCTCTTGTCACCCAGGCTGGAGTGCAGTGGCGGGATCTCAGCTCACCACAACCTCCACTTCCCAGGTTCAAGCAATTGTCCTGCCTCAGCCTCCTGAGTAGCTGGGACTACAAGCATGAGCCAGCATGCCCTGCTAATTTTTATATTTTTAGTAGAGATGGGGTTTTGCCATGTTGGCCAGGCTGATCTTGAACTCCTGACCTCAAGTGATCCACCCGCCTCAGCCTCCCAAAGTGCTGGGATTACAGGCGTGAGCCACCGCACCTAGCCCTTATTCAAGAATTTAGACTGGGAAATAAAGTAAGAAGGTATTTGATGACAGTGGAGAGAGATGGCAAAGCAGGGTCATGGCTTATTCAAGATGAAGGACTCTATGAATATTTGAAAGCAGAAGGGAAGAGATGAAGAAGGAGATTAAAACTTTCGGGAGGTAGAAGATAAAGCTTGGATAAGGGTCCTCAGGAGGCAAAAAAGCAAGAGAACAAGGCAAGGCTGGAATCACTAGCATTATATCCCAAGGTATCTCTCCTTCCTGTCACTTGAATGATTTGAGTTTTAATTATTTTGGAAGTCTTAGGCTATTAACAAGGACCTGAAAATTCCACTTATGTATTTCTTCTTTTCTAGAGGAAGCAGTTCATGGCAAACTGAGCATGGTAACCTTTTCTCCTGGTGCGGTGTGGTTGAAATCTCACCACAGTATTTAGCACGCTCGTCATTAAATCACTGCTTGTGTTGCTATTTGCTGAGTGTGATTCTTTCCTAATGGACTCCATGACAGGAGCACCCATATGTGATCTTTCGACCACTGAATCCCAGTAATTTGTACAGTTCCAAACATATAATAGGAGCCCAGTAAATATTAGTTAAATGGATGAATAAAGGAATTAATGAATGAGCAGCCTCTCCCACGGAAAGGAAACTCATATTCAGGGAGATGACACAGGATTTACATTATTCAATCCGGCAGGTTAGCAAGCACATAACCTCTTTAAACACTATTTGGTAAATGGTCTTGAGTTTTTCTTTTCTTTTTTTGCAGGGGGGCTGGTGGGGGACAGAGTCTCATTCTGTCCCCCAGACTGGAGTGCAGTGGTGCAATCTCGGCTCACTGCAACCCCTGCTGCCTGTGTTCAAGCGATTTTGTGCCTCGGCCTCCCAAGTAGCTGAGATTACAGGTGCCTGCCACCACGCCTGGCTAATATTTGTATTTTTAGTAGAGATGGGATTTCACCATGGTGGCCAGGCTGGTTTCAAACTCCTGGCCTCAAATGACCCACCTGCCTCAGCCTCCCAAAGTGCTTGGATTTACAGGCGTGAGCCACTGCACTTGGCTTGAGTTTGTCTTGGACGCCTTTCTAGTACTTAAAAGAAAAATTACACACCCCAAAGCTATCATAGAAGTTCCTAGAAGAGTTAATGGGTGCAGCACACCAACACGGCACGTTTATACATATGTAACAAACCTGCACGTTGTGCACATGTACCCTAAAACTTAAAGTATAATAATAAAAAAAAGAAGTTCCTAGAAGAATCTGTCCCTTAAATGTAGATTCAAAGCAAATTTAAACAGAGAATAAGTGGCATACAAAATACTGACTTTCTGTACTGACTTAATGGCAGTTTTATTCCTTTCATGTCTGTAAAATGGGAATAATGGTAAGGGGTGCTTTGAAGATATTTAAGATTGAAAAGCACTTGGAGTCTGATGCCTTTATTGTTCACTACAAGTATTATCTCATACTTTACTTCCTCCAAAAGTTTAATTTCCAACTTTGTATTTTGATTGTGATGCCATTGGGTTACTCAATAGGCTTATCTTTTTGTGGATTTTCTATCTAAAAACCTTACTACGTACCAAAAACAGATAAGCTCCAAGATCCAAGTGGCACAGTACATGGAATGAATGCCATAAATATTTGCTGATTGATTGAATAAATCATTCTTTAAGAATAAAAGTGGCCTCACTGCCATCATTTCATCTCACCCTATATCAACTTTGTGAGATGGCTGTTACCCTTCTTTTACAGATGAGAAATCTTAGGCTCAGGGAAGTTAAGCTACTTGCCCAACACCACCCAGCACCGGCAACTCAAACCTGAGCTGTCTGATGACCCAAGCCTCATCATTTCTTTTACCTGCTGCTTCTAACTTGGACTTTATATTTTTTTGTTTCTTTTTTGTTTTCCACCAGGAAATGATGAACACAAGCCCTTGAGAGAGTGGTTTGTCATTGTGATTATGGCAACCATCTGCTTCATCTTGTTAATTCTCTCGCTTATCTGTAAAATGTAAGTGTTCTTTACATTTGCGTGCTTGCAGTGGGGTTTCAGTACTGCATTTTTACAGGCTTACCATGCATCCGGTAGGCAGAGGGTTCTTATTATCAGGTAAAATTTGTGGCATTTTTGTGCCTAGATGACCTGTCCAAGATGAGTGTAGGCCAAATCAAAAGTGGAAATGTCCAGAGGTGATTTACAGAAGTTGGACAGAGCACACAATGCAGCCCTCAGCTATCACTCACTCCTACCTGAAGTTGTCGACAGCTTTTAATTTCTGTGAAGGTTTCTACTTGCGGGTTTCTTTTGATTCCTTCTCAGTCTTCCACTCGGTCCTTGGCTGTCTAGGGTAAGCTGCCAGTATAGGCTTTTCACAGCTCAGGGAGGCTAAAATCACCACAATGCCTGCATGTCATCATCCTCAGCTATCAAGTCACCAGGCCCCTGAGTGGCTGATGGTTATTAGGTCAAACACGGATTCTAGAAATCGCATGTGGATCTGGTATCCTATCCTAGAGTCCACAAATGGTCCATAAGTATCCCTTACCCATTTTAGCATTCAGTAAGGCACAAGACCTTTTAGGAGGCTTAAAAACATGTTTTGTCTTGGCCCTTTCATAATTTAGAAAATGAGTTTTATAAGGTCCGGGTGTGGGGGCTCACTCCTGTAATCCCAGCACTTTGGGAGGCCACAGCGGGTGGACCATGAGGTCAGGAGATCGAGACCACCCTGGCTAATGTGGTGAAACCCCGTCTCTACTAAAAATACAAAAAATTAGCTGGGCGTGGTGGTACGTGCCTGTATTCCCAGCTACTTGGAAGGCTGAGGCAGTAGAATCACTTGAACCTGGGAGTTGGAGGCTATAGTGAGCCAAGATCGTACCATTGCACTCCAGCCTGGGGGACAGAGTGAGACTGTGTCTCAAAAAAAAAAAAAAGACTTTTCTATTAAACAGCTTTACTATTATAAACGTTATATTCGGATGGCATCTACAGTTTGGGGGAAGGCAGTACAAAGGAGATGAAAAGAAAGTAAACTCGGCTGGGGATGGTGACTCATGCCTGTAATCTCAGCACTTTGGGAGGCTGAGGCTGGAGGATCACTTGAGGTCAAGAGTTCGAGACCAGCCTGGGCAACATGGTGAAACCCTGTCTCTACAAAAAATACAAAAATTAGCTGAGCGCAGTGGCATGTGCCTGTAGTCCCAGCTACTCAGGAGGCTGAGGCAGGAGAATTGCTTGAGCCCGAGAGGTGGAGATTGCAATAAGCCACGATGGCGCCACTGCACTCCAGCCTGGGTGACAGAGCAAGACCAAAAAAAAAAAAAAAAAAAAAAAAGTAAGTAAACTCTGTGAGTAAACATAATTGAGGAAGGAATGCTTCAATCAGCACCACCCACTTGAAATATACAGTTCGTTTTCAGATATTAGGCCTGGTAACACCCACTGACACAAAGCAGTTTCCATTTGGTCTTCCCTGGATGACTCAGGGCCACAGCAGAGGCTTGCGGTACCCACAAAGTCTTCACCTATAATTTTGGAAGTCTTGGTACGTAAAGATTTTGAATTTACAAAACAGCAGGTTCTAGAATCAACCAGGTCAATTTTTAGAGTAGATATTTAGAGACAAAAGGTATACTCATGCTCACCTAATTCCTTCTTTACTCTGTTTTCAGATGTCATTTATGGATCAAGTTGTTTCCACCAATTCCAGCACCAAAAAGTAATATCAAAGATCTCTTTGTAACCACTAACTATGAGGTAATGTTGAAAGTTCTTATGATATGCCGTATGTGTCCAGGGTTGAGTCCCCTGGGAGCTGTCATTCGGTTCTTAGTTTTCTATATTATAAGGCAGGGTTTTTACTCAGAAGGCCAGGAGCATTTCTGTTGCTTCAGTCATTCTGTTCTTTGGCTGATTCAGTTGTTTGTATTTTTTAAGAGATGGGGTCTTGCTATGTTGTCCAGGCTGGTCTCAAACACCTGGGTCTAAGCGATCCTCCCACCTCAGCCTCCCAAGTAGCTGGGACTGCAGAAGCATGCCACCATGCCTGCTTGCCTGATTGTTTTATTATGCACGTTCATTACTCTTCTGACATATTGGAAAGGTACTGAGTTATAAGTGTTCTTGACAGTTAGACTTAAATTTTAATTTCATATCAGCCATGCCTTAACTGACTTTGGACAATCTCTTCAACCCTCTGAGTTCTGAATTTCTTTCTGGTATAATAAGGGACACAGATGAGATTGTACAATGTTCTGCTTAGCTCTAATGTTTTAAGACTCCATGTTTCCACATGAATATCTTAGTTAATAGAGAATTTTCAGAGGGAACTTTAGCTCTTTAGTATAAAAAAGACCATAGAAAAGGCAAATTATTTTACCCAATATGCATTTTCTTAGGCCTGTTCACCATTCAGAGCGCTTAGGTTCAGCCCAGTGGTCACTTAGTTATGGCTCTCCAATTGTTCCAGCATCATTTGTTGGAGTAAATCATCCTTTCCCCAGTGAATTGCCTTGGCATTTCTGTAGGAAATTAGTTGCTGTATGTAGTTGGTTCTATTTCTGGACTATCTGATTGGTTTTATCGATCTATTTGTCTATCTTTATGCCAATACAATACTGTCTTGATTACTGTAGCTTTATCGTAAACCACGAGACCATTTGTGGAAGGCCTCCAAAAGTGATTTTTTAAAAATTTGTTTTGGTTATTGTAGGTCCTCTGCATTTTCATATACATCTTAGATTCAGCTGACAATTTTCTACAAAAAAAGGTAGCTGGGATTTGGGGTGAGATTGTGTTGAGTTGTCAGTTAATTTGGGGAAAAGTGACATCCTAAGTCTTATCTATAAACATAGCATATCACTCCATTTATTTAGGTTTTCTTTACCTTCTCTCAGCAATGGTTTGTGATTTTTCAGTGTATGATTATTGCACTTTGTCAAATTTATCCTTAAGGTGAACGGTTATTTAGATCAGGGCTCAAGAAACTTTTTCTGTAAAGGGCCAGGTAGTAAATATTTGAGGGACAAATGGTTTCTGTCTCACCTCTTCAACTCTGCCATTGTAGTGTGAAAGTAGCCACAGAAAATGTGCTAATGAATGAGCGTGGCTGTGCTCCAGTAAAACTTCATTTTCCAAAACAGGCAACAAGCCAGATTTGGCCCGCGGCTGTAGTTTGCCAACCCTTGATTTAGATCAAACAGTTTTCTTAGCAAATTTAGGTTTCTCTCAAATGAAGTAACTCATGATTGGATGAACCACCTGGTGACTGGTTGTAGGGAAAAGAAAGCGTTCGTGGAAAAACTCACCAAAATGATTAATTTCAATAAGTGGTGAACTTTCCTTAGCATTTGCAGTTTGGGTATTGGAAGGATTTATAGACAGTTACAGTTACTAGCTGACTGAAGTAGAGAATGGAGGCTGGCAAAAGAATCATTCTGCCCATGGTTGGATCTTTGTGTTCTCCTTTATCAGGGGAATGGCCCATCTGCTCTTGTTCACTGAGTTCTTTGGGAAGAAGAGTGGGCCCCAGGGTGGAGCTTTGGTGCCTGTTCTGGATGTGTGCTGCCAGTCCCTCCTTGCTCTAGCACACTTACCCCTGAGTAACCACATCTGGTTTTGTTTGTTTGAGATGGAGTCTCGCTTTGTCACCCAAGCTGGAGTGCAGTGGAACCATCTCGGCTCACTGCAACCTCCACCTCCCGGGTTTAAGTGATTCTCCTGCCTCAGCCTCCCATATAGCTGGGATTACAGGTGCCCGCCACCACGCCCAGCTAATTTTTGTATTTTTAGTAGAGACAGGGTTACGCCATGTTGGCCAGGCTGGTCTTGAACTCCTGACCTCAAGTGATCCAGCCTTCCCAAAGTGCTGGGATTACAGGCATGAGCCACTGCACCCAGCCCACATCTAGTTTAAGCAGCCAACTGAAGTCATTTGTCCTGGCCTCTTAATGGAACATCTTAATGCTGGTATCTAATTTCCCTACAGAGCCCCAAAAGATTTCCTTTAATATTCCGAAGTTGGTGAAATAAACTGGTATAAAAGCTTATTGTATAAGGTTGTGATTTGTTGTTAATTAAAATCAAGTCATGTGTGTAAAATAACAACTTGGGGCAGACAAGCTGGTTTCAGAATAAGCAGAGGATGAATGACGGCACTCCACAGCGCCTGGCTTCTCAGGACAACTTATTCTCTTCTCACATTGCAGAGTTTCACATAAAAACAAAGCAGTTAGAGACTGAGAGAAGAAAGAAAGAGCACACAGAATGGGAGAAATGAAGTACTGCCTGGTGCTGTGGGCTCTATGGCCTAAATTCTCCACCTGAGAGGGGATGAGAGCCAGTGCAGAGCTGCCTACAGCTGGGCCCCATGAGGCCGTGCACAGCCTCCACGTCCAAGGACAAAAGCCATCCAACCCATTCTCAGAGGCTGTGCTACAAGGGTGACAAGAGGGCACATTGGTGCTATGGGCAGTGGCCACTGGGAAATGTTTGGCTAGTGGGAAAGGAAACCCTCTGCTTTTCATGGTAATGTGCACCTCTGAGCTTGGGGTGGGTGCCCAAAGTCCCAGGACTTAGAGGAGCTCTGCCACCCTAGAAGCAAGTTTTTGCTTGTTCAGACCTCAGTTAGAAATTTGGACGTCAGTGAAGGGCCGGTCACAGTGGCTCATACCTGTAATCCCAGCACTTTGAGAGGCCAAAATGGGCAGATCATTTGACCTCACAAGTTTGAAACCAGCCTGGCCAACATGGCAAAACCCCATCTCTGCAAAAAATACAAAAATTACTCAGGCACGGTGGTGCACACCTGTAGCCTCAGATACTCGGGAGGCTGAGGTGGGAAGATGGCTTGAGCCCAGGAGGCGGAGGTTGCAGTGAGCTGAGATTGTGCCACTGCACTGCAGCTTGGGTGATGTAGCCAGAACTTGCCAAAAAAAAAAAATACACACACACACACACACACACACACACACACACACACACACACTGTGAAGGAAGAAAGTTGGCCTTTAGCAGTCAAAAAGAAAGGCTTATTCTAAAAAAGCATATCCTGAATTTTCTGATAATTTACTTATTTAGACAATTTTTATAGAGACAAGATCTCACCAGGCTGGTCTCCAACTCCTGGGCTCAAGCTATGCGCCTGCTTCAGCCTCCCAAAGTGTTGGGATTACAGGCATGAGCCACGCCACCTGGCCTGAGCTTTCAATTTATGAGACTGGTTTCCAGCTGTTCCTTGTTTCTACAATGGCCAAGAGAGGGTTCCTCCTCCAATTAGGTTGCCCGTAAACTATTAACAGTAAAATGGATAAAGGCAGGAGCCATGCCTGCTGTGTGCATCAGTGAATTCCCGAGACACGGCACTGTGGCTAGTGTGGAGCAGATAGTAAAAAATATTTTGGATGAGTAAATGAGATAAAGGAATAGGATCTCTTACAGGCAATTTTATTTTTTGTTACCAATTTTCCAATTATTATCAGCACTATTCATTATAGCCAAAATGGGTCAGAACTGTCCAAAGTTAGGGGGATACTGTAGTAAATTATGGAAGGAATATGATGAAGCTATCAAAAGTGATGCCGCCAAAGCACATTTAACAATGTAATTTACAATCAGTGATGTCAGAGAGAAAAAAATCAATTTTTAAAGATGTGTATCCGGCCGGGCGTGGTGGCTCATGCCTGTAATCCCAGCATTTTGGGAGGCCGAGGCGGGGGGATCACAAGGTCAAGAGTTCGAGACCAGCCTGGCCAACATGGTGAAACCCCGTTTCTACTAAAAATACAAAAATTAGCCGGGCATGGTGGTGTGTACTTGTAGTCCCAGCTACTTGGGAGGCTGAGGCAGGAGAATCACTTGAACCTGGGAGGTGGAGGTTGCAGTGAGCCGACATCATGCCACTGTACTCCAGCCAGGGTGACAAGAGTGAGACTCTGTCTAAAAAAAAAAAAAAAAAAAAAAAAAGATGTGTATCCATATGACTTCAAGTAAGTCTAAAGAAAACATTATGCCTAGAAAGAAAGGCTTAGGAGAAGCAGTGGGCTGTGTTTGGGAGATAGATGTATGGCTAGGTATTTTCTTCTTCTTCCCACTTTATTTTTCACATCTTCTTTGTGAACATTTACTATTTTTATTTAAAAAATAATAGACTTAAAGCCAATTGTAAAGATTTCAAAGAACCCAAAAGTTCTCTAAAAGACATCTAAGGAAAGATGATTTGTTTTGCAGAAAGCTGGGTCCAGTGAGACGGAAATTGAAGTCATCTGTTATATAGAGAAGCCTGGAGTTGAGACCCTGGAGGATTCTGTGTTTTGACTGTCACTTTGGCATCCTCTGATGAACTCACACATGCCTCAGTGCCTCAGTGAAAAGAACAGGGATGCTGGCTCTTGGCTAAGAGGTGTTCAGAATTTAGGCAACACTCAATTTACCTGCGAAGCAATACACCCAGACACACCAGTCTTGTATCTCTTAAAAGTATGGATGCTTCATCCAAATCGCCTCACCTACAGCAGGGAAGTTGACTCATCCAAGCATTTTGCCATGTTTTTTCTCCCCATGCCGTACAGGGTAGCACCTCCTCACCTGCCAATCTTTGCAATTTGCTTGACTCACCTCAGACTTTTCATTCACAACAGACAGCTTTTAAGGCTAACGTCCAGCTGTATTTACTTCTGGCTGTGCCCGTTTGGCTGTTTAAGCTGCCAATTGTAGCACTCAGCTACCATCTGAGGAAGAAAGCATTTTGCATCAGCCTGGAGTGAACCATGAACTTGGATTCAAGACTGTCTTTTCTATAGCAAGTGAGAGCCACAAATTCCTCACCCCCCTACATTCTAGAATGATCTTTTTCTAGGTAGATTGTGTATGTGTGTGTATGAGAGAGAGAGAGAGAGAGAGAGAGAGAGAAATTATCTCAAGCTCCAGAGGCCTGATCCAGGATACATCATTTGAAACCAACTAATTTAAAAGCATAATAGAGCTAATATATCACCCCATATCAAAAGAGACGACAGATTTTGTTCAAATATTATATTCTTGAAGGAAGCCTTAATATTCTGGAAATGTGCTGAGGAAGTCATTGAGCATAATTCAATCATGAAAGGGACCACTGAATCAAGAATGAACTTTCTGAAGAGATGTTTGCTGCCAAAGACTTCAGAACAACTTGTTGGTCAAGTAATGCCAGATCAATCCTAGTCTCTCAAGTTTGGAAAAGTTTCTACAAGGCCATTCCATCAAATATCCCAATATACACAGAAATTCTTCTTCCTAACATCTTCATATATGAGTCTGCATCCAGATTGGAGGCCTTTGTGGTGGGTGGTGGACTGCAGGTGGAACCAAGCACAGGTGTGCCCTGGGCAGAGGTGGGCAAGAGGAAGGAACCCAAACAGTGCTGATTCCACATGGCCCTTGGTCAAGAAGCTGAAGGCCTAGAAAGGAGGTAACAGTGCCCAGAATCCCCACCTGGCACACTCTTTAAATGCTTTCTGGAGGTGTTTTAGTCAGTTTTGATCCATCGGTGGGGACACACTGACTACCATATATTTCCAGGTTTGTTTGTTTTCTTAACTAACCTGTAATTATCCACTGTAACTAGCAGAGGGTTGAACCCTGGGTAATAGGCACAGAAACATCTTGAATCTTGACAAGCCTGCACTGTCTTATAGTAATCTGTATTACTGTCCCATTT
Organism: Homo sapiens; assembly: GCF_000001405.40. Taxonomy (NCBI): domain Eukaryota; kingdom Metazoa; phylum Chordata; class Mammalia; order Primates; family Hominidae; genus Homo; species Homo sapiens. Next base: position 3,068,843 of record NC_000003.12, on the reverse strand, counting down.
TATAGTTGCAGTTACTAAGGTTCAGAGAAGTTGATAGGAAATGGCATAGTGAGGAGTTGAATACCAGGCTCAGGTAAAAGTGACCCCAGAAATGTGCAGAGGAGTGTCAGGGAAAGCTGAGGCCTGCTTAGGGGTGTGGCTGAGAAGGCAACACCCATGGAGGTGCTGCAATAGTTGGCAAAATGTTTAAAATGTTTGGTCACTCAAATGATTCATAATCTCAAACCTGTTTTTGTTTTTTTTTTTTTTTTTTTTTGTGGGGTGGGTGGTGGAGACAGTCTTGTTCTGTCTCCCAGGCTAGAGTGTAGTGATGTGATCTTAGCTCACTACAACCTCCCTGTCCTGGGCTCAAGCCATCCTCCTCCCTCACCCTCCCAAGTAGCTGGGACTACAGGTGCATAACACCATTCCCAGCTCTTTTTTGTATTTTTTTTTGTAAAGCTGGGGTTTTGCCATGCTGTCTAGGTTCATCTCGAACTCCTGGGCTCAAGCGATACACCGGCCTCAGCCTTCCAAAGTACTGGGATTACAGGCATGAACCACCATTCCTGGCCAGGAAACTGTATTTGTAATGAACACCTTAGGTCAGAATCAGAGGCGCCTGGAGGGCTCCTTAAGACACAGAGGAGTGGGCTCCATTCTTAGAGTCTCTAACTGAATAGGTCTGGGTGAGGTCTGAAAAGCTGCGTTTCTAACAAGTTCTCAGGTGATGCTCATGCTGCTGGTCTCCAGGACACACTCGGAGAACTGCTGCTCCAGGAGAGTCTTATGAATACCAAAATTTGAAAATCAGCCGCTGAAGGAAGATGTGACAGAAAAGTCCTGTCCCCAGAAAACTGTCCTTTTGGGGCGGCTTGGAGCACCCTGTCTGATCTCTTTCAAACCACAACCCAGACAGTTGGCATTGTGGAAACTGCCTCTGCTTAGGAGGCAGGAACAGAAGCAGGGAGCTCCCCCTCCACAAATGTGGCCAGCTCTTCAGTGCTTGGTGTGGTGCCCACTTCAGACTCCTCCCTCCACTCAGCAGCCATAGATCACCTGGGCTCTGTGGAGCTCCTTGCCACACTTCCCTGAGCTGGTACCGTTATCTGGCCCTTGGTATATGTGTTTCAGGAGCAACACAAAGTAGCCCATTGGCCTCCTTGGTGGATTGGGAACTCCTTCCTCCCTTCTTGCCCTGTGCAACTCATAGTCATTCTTTGGGAACCCGTAACCATCATCACTTCCTCCATGAAGCCTTCAAAAGCAGAGTTGGTTGATCCCGCCTCTGGATTCTCATTCTGGGCCTCATACCCGTGTTAGAGCTACTGCATTGTAGAATATACCATTAACAGCTGGGAGGCCTCCCCTCTAGACTGCGGCTTCCAGGAGGATGGAGCTTGTGTGAAATACGTCTTTTTATCTGCAGTGTCTAGGACAGTATCTGACTTAAGAAAATATAAATGTTTCTTAAACCCTCTGTCAGCCCTGATACGGCACCTTGTATATAGGTTAGACTGAACAGTATTTGGCAGAGATCCTCAAGGCCTACAATAATGACAGGGGGAGGAAGCTGGGTATCTAATGAGAATGCGGTTAGTTAGAAGCAACCAGGAGACACATGTGCCTAACAACTGGGCTACTGCAACCTGGATGTTTTTGCTGCCAAAGTGTCTAAATGGTTATGTATAAATTGCTGTGTAAGAGGCATTTCAGAAGTGGCTCACTGTGAGTGGTCTATACTGTTCTCACCAGCCTTGTCATAGCAAGTCAAAGAGTTTGAAATTCACTTAACAGTAAACACCATCAGCAGCAGGTTGATGTAAGGTAAAGTCATGATATTGGCTCCCATCTCTTGCCATCTCTCACTAGGACGAGTGTAGAGAGTCACTTTTCTCCTAGAGCCTCCACAGCCACGGGATCAGAACAAACATGCTTTTCCAAGATATCCGTTCCAATAGGGATTTTTAGCCCAATTTCTTTCCTTGGCATTTGGAATTCACTGCGTGCAGCATGGGGGAGTGCTGGGGAGACTGGAGGGTGAAGGTCACATTTGCCAACAGCCCGACCACCTGAGCCTCATTGAAATGCCTCAGACCTCAAGCTATTCATGCAGGCTGGGGAAGAATCCACGTGGGCAAAGAACATCCTGATTAAAAATCCAAACGTTTTCATGGTGAGACTTCTATGTGTCAGGACCATCTGCTGGTGGAATTAAGAAGCCTGAGGTGCTAATTTGTTAAAGAAAAAGTAGATATCTGGAAGTGAGAACAGAGAACTGAAAACAATCTCTGATGGCACAAGTAAAGGTGAAAAACCTAATTAGAATAGGACTTGGTGCTAGCCTAAGGACTGTAGCTATTCCTGCTTCTACATCCTTCAAATTGAGTACCAGGGTGCAAATTTTTTCAAAACCATTCCTTCCTTTGGAATTTTGTATTGTACTATAAGACAATCATGCTTATCTCCTGTTTTGTAGGTAATAGATGTGAATATAAATATGTTTCAGAATGAGAAATATTAAACATAAATGACAGTGAATTGTCTAAGTCTGCAATTAAAGAGGGGTGGGTACCTTTCTCATTTTTCCCCTAAATATTCCCCTTCTCTGTCCCCACCATTGTCTTCCTCCATCTCTCAGCTAGGACTATTACAGTAGCCTCTGAACTGAACTCATGGCCTCCAGTATTTCCTCCCTTTGAAGGATCAATGTAAAAGGCACATCTGCCTATATAACTCCCCATCACCTTCAAGTTAAAGCTCCTTTTAAGGCAAAGTCCACTATGACTCAGCTCCTTACTAGCTCTCCAGGCACATACCCAAATACTCCTACCTCCATTCTCACCAATGTGCTGATGATTTCCCTGTAGCTCCATGCTACTGCATCACTCCATGCCTCTGCCGAAACTTTCTCTGGTGGAAAAAGCCTTTTCAACCTCTTTTCATTTTGTTGACATTTTGATTTATCTTCTAAGTCTCGGCTCTTTGCCACCTGAAAATCTTTGCTCAACTTCCAGTTTGAATTAAGTGTCCCTCTATGTTCCTTTTGTTTAATTCTATCAGTGATTGGACTTTCATTTATTTATTTATTTTGAGACAGAGTCTGACTCTGTCGCCCAGGCTGGAGTGCGGTGGCGAGATCTCGGTTCACTGCAATCGCCGCCTCCGGGTCTCAAGCCATTCTCCTGCCTCAGCCTCCCCAGTAGCTGGGCCTACAGGCACGTGCCACCACAGCCAGCTAATTTTTATATTTTTAGCAGAGACGGGTTTTCACCATGTTGGCCAGGATGGTCTCGATCTCCTGACCTCGTGATCCACCCGCCTCGGCCTCCCAAAGTGCTGGGATGACAGGCGTGAGCCACCGCACCTGGCCTGGACTCCTCACCAATGCTCTGTCTCGTTTCCAGTGCAAACACTCTGAGGCCAAGAGCAGTGTCTGACTTATCTTTGTGTCCATAAGCCCCAAGGAGGAACTGACTGCTGGTTGAGTAACCAGACGAAGGAAAAGGAAGTGAGCTTATTAAACATTTAAAAGAACGGAAAACAATATAGATTCTAAAGAACTATGTTCTAATGGTAGGTTCATTTATTAAAGCTGTGTGGTTATAGCAGAAGTTAAATCGTCACTGGAGCTTAAATTAATGAAGTAGTAAAAACTCACAGTGGGTGTGATGCTGGTCTCAGAAACGCTGCCCTCCACCTCCGCGGCCGGCATCACCCACCATTTGGCTCTCAGTAGACATCTGCGTTGTTGGTTGTCAGGAGCAACACAAAGCCGCCCATATGGCCCATGTGCATGATTTTAAAGTTCTAGCGGACTCTTTTCAACTTGAAGGTGTTTTATTAGGTTTGTTTCATTTATTAAAATTAAAAGCAAAGATTTGTCCCTGCCAAGTAATAAACTGGAAGAACACAGAAACCTGAGGGGAAAATTGCAAGAACGAAATCAGCAATAAAGTACTGGTGTCGTAGTTTAAAGGTCGGCAAGCTGCTGCTGCCTTTTTTTTTTTTTTTTTAAGACAGGGTCTCCTGTCTCACCCAGGCTGGAAAGGCTGGAGTGCAGTGCTGTGATCACCGTTCACTCCAGCCTCGACCTCCCGGGCTCAAATGATCCTCCCACCTCAGCCTCTCGCGTAGCTGGGACCACATGGGTGTGCCACCATGCCCAGCTAATTTATAAAATTTTTTTGTAGACACAGGGTCTCCCATGTTGCCCAGGCTGGTCTTGAACTACTGGGCTCAAGTGATCATCCAGCCCTTGGCCTCCCAAAGTGTTGGAATTACAGGCACGAGCCAGCAAACTCTTCTTAAAGGGCTAGATAGTAAATATTTTCAGCTTTGAGGACCATATGGTCTTTGTGGCAGCCACTCAGTTCTTCCGTGATAGCACAGAGTGGCCGTAGGCAATCTATAAATCAGCATGGCTATGTTGCAATAAATCTTGATTTACAAAAAAAGCGGGCAATGAGCTAGATTTTCCCAGAGGGCCAATATTGACACATGGCTTAATGGATTCAAAATATTTATGAATGTGTTTTTCTTTTTTTTAAGAAAAGCAACCAATTTGGGAAAATAATCATGTTTAATCAAATGAAAATATTCTATCCTGGGGGATCAATGGTAAAAAAAATTGTGTTTGACTGAACTTAACCTCATTATAAGTAGGTTTTGCAAGAAACACAGGTCCAGCATTGTGTTCATACCTTTATCTGTCACACTATTCACACCATCCTTCAATAAGTGTATTTCTGTCTCCTTCAGTGAACCATGAGGGAAGCCTTAACCCTATTTATCTCAGTTTCTCCAGTGCCCAGCAAGTGCTTGACACATAGTATGCACTCAATATCTTATTTGTTAACCACTAAATTCAAGAGGAACAACTGGGCCAATTCTAACTGCCAGTTATTTGGTCTCGGATATTTGGTCCCAACACTGCAGTTGATAAACGATGCGTCCACTACATAGTTTTCCAACGAGCTGTGCTGTGGCCTATGTTCCTGGCAACAAACCCATTTTTTTAAGCTTTCAGAATATTTCTGGAATCCCTTCCACCTGCTTTAACACCTTCTTGCCACATAATGTGGGCCTTTGCTGGGGAAAGATTCCCTTGTCTTAAAACTCTTTTCTGGGCTGGGTGCGGTGCCTCACGCCTGTCATCTCAGCACTTTGAGAAGCCAAGGTGGGTGGATCACCTGAGATCAGGGGTTCGAGACCAGCCTGACCAACATGGAGAAACCCGTCTCTACTAAAAATACAAAATTAGCCAGGCGTGGCGGCGCATGCTTGTAATCCCAGCTACTCAGGACGCTGAGGCAGGAGAATCACTTGAACCCGGGAGGCGGAGGTTGCAGTGAGCCGAGATTGCGCCATTGCACTCTATCCTGGGCAACAAGAGCAAAATTCCGTCTCAAAAAACAAACAAAAAAAAAACAAAACCTCTTTTCTGCCAGCTCTAAGAGGAACTTCACCCACCAGCCCTGTCTCTCTGGACACACACACATCCCATCCTCACACCATCCAAGGAAAAGTGGGAAGGAGAGTTCAGCAAACGAAACAGAACTCAAAACAGCAAACTTCATGTCTCGCCCTCAGAGCCATTGACCTTCAGAGATCTGACAACACATTCGCAAGACCCTGAAATTTTGAATTACAAATTAATTACTTCAATGAGAGTAATGAAGACCTCCTGGTGTCAGGTTGCCAGATTTAGCAAATAAAAATAAGAGGCTCAGTTAAAGTTGAATTTCAAATAAATATCACATGGGGCATACTTATACTAAGGAAGCATAATTTTTTTTTTATCTGAAATCTAAGTTTAATAGCTCCTCTCCTATTTTATTGGGTAATCCTGATCTTGAAGGGTAGCCGGAGTTTAAAGAAACAGCTCTAAGACACCTGAAGTCAAGGACAACGAACACGCAAAAAACAACATTTGCAGTCAAGGAAAGAGAAGCAGAGAAGCTGAGCCACTTTAGAGCAGACTGAAGCTCATGACTGCCTTTCCTTCTTGTTGCTATATGGGAACCGTATCTATCTGTCTATTTATCTATCTACCTACCTTATTGTTTATGTATCATCTATTTACAGATAGAGACATCTAATGTTTTGGAGTAGGGCCCTAAACCCAAGCCACCAGCATTTCAATTCCTGGTCTCTCTGATCAACTGTGTGATCAGGGACAAATGTGAACCTGTCAACCTCAATCCTCTGTGTATAAAATAGGAATAATAAATGGTAACTAAATCGGTAGGTTGATTTGCACTGAGTCTGGCACATATTATAAGCATAATCACTGTTTACTATTATTATTATCATTGCATTTCTCTGTATTGTGACAAAATACTGTTACTGGTGCCTTGGCTTCCTCACACACATCTGAATGCCACATCATTCTTCTATGCCCAGAATAGTGCCTGGTACAGAGAGGGCTGCCAGTAGTCCCTTGCTGAATAACTAAAACCCTCTCCAGGCACCTATCCTATCCCATTCCTCCAGATGGCTGTGCCCTGGGCCTGGCCGGCACTCAGAACTTCTCCACCTCCAGCATCTGAACCTCAGACATCTCACCCTTCTACCTCACCATTTCCTCTGGCCTACCTACTTGTCCTAGAATGTTCTCTAGTTGAACTTCAGAGTCTAGTTCCTTACTCCATCCTGTCCTTTCTCTAAGTACTTATTTCTAGGTGTATGAAATGCACTAATGAGTCTATGTTCTAAATTCTAGTCCTTCTTTTTTTTTTTTTCTTTTGTTTGAGACAGAGTCTCACTCTCTTGCCCAGGCTAGAGTGCAGTAGGGCAATCTCAGCTCACTACAACCTCTGCCTCCCAGGTTCAAGCAATCCTCCTGCCTCAGCCTCCTGGGTAACTGGGACTACAAGCACGTGCCACCATGCCCAGCTAATTTTTGTATTTTTAGTAGGAATGGGGTTTCACCATGTTGGCCAGGCTGGTCTCGAACTCTTGACCTTGTGATCCCCCCACCTCAGTCTCCCAAAGTGCTGGGATTACAGGTGTGAGCCACCATGCCCAGCCCTGACTTTCTAATTGTCTATGTTACTTTGGGCTTCTTATATAACCTCTTTGCTTCCATTTCATAAATAAAAAAGGAATAAAAACCTATGTCCTCCCCTTATTAGTGTGAAAAGCACTTTGAAAACTAGAAAAACAAATTAAAGATATTACTATTTGTTAAAGTCCTAGGACATATATATTTCCTGGTATAGTTCGTGTTATTCCTAACAATAAGGATATGTGGCAAAAACCCAGTTTACAGAGAATGGGGATATCACATGTAATTGCATCTATATTTAAGTAGCTCAGCCTTCCAATTTCCAGACTTTCAGATCGATCATATGGTTGACCTTTTTTAAAAAAAGCTTTCTCTCTATGTGATCTATATCACTAGAGCTCTGCTAATCTACCATGGCCCATAACTGCTTGTGATAAAGGATAGAGGCCAATTTTGTTTAAACTGTGATCTCTGTTGAGTATTGTAGTTTGCAGGTGAGTTGCAGAGCTGGAACATTTAATCCGCATGGCCCATTTAGCACAAGGGGAAACGGGGCCTCTTTGCAGAATGGGCAGCCTGACTTGCATTTACTAATCACACTCTGGCAGGGGGCCTGAGGAAATCACAGGAAACGGGGCCAGATATTCTCCTCCCTCTAGGTCTGAGATGGAGGTGACACAGGCCTTGTGCCTGGGAGCACAATGAGGAACCACACCCAGATGCCAACGCTGAGGTGCCGTGTGTCTACTATAAGGCGGAAGACACCAACAAAAATGATTTAAATATAAGGTACGAAGGGATGACTGACATGAGTGGGTACAGACCCCATCCCCTGGAGGTCAGAGAAATGCAAGGTCAATTTCAGATGGGGAAGCTGAGGGAGGCTTTGTGCAAAACCTGGCATCTGAATGGGAACCCTACTGCCTAAGTTTGAATTAGTTGATTGTATGATTAAAATTATCGAACATTAAAATTTATATTAAGAAGTGATCATGTTTAAATAAAAGGTGATAATGGATGTGTCAGCTGAGTTCCACTCATTTTGGTGATAAGAAGCATCCACATCCTACATCTGTGGGTCTAGTAAAGTCCCTGGAGAAAAAGAACAATAACAGACGGTAAAATCATCACTGTTTGGAGAGCTTTACAAACTTTATCCTCCCTAATAAGTAGCCAATCATTACAATGCACCCCAGGCAGTCAAACTCCAGGATCCACGTCCTTAGTCTTTGTATTAGGCTGCCTTTGTAAGGCCTCAGTGTCTGGCATTTTGTAATGGAAAAATCTGGGGTATGTCCACAGATTGAATATAAGTCCTTGATTTTAAAGGCTTGCCTTTCAAAGCACTATGGTTGGCCACATAACGTTTTTAGCCAGAACATTTTGTAAATTGTAACAACAGGAAAATAACAGTCACTTCTTGATTATAAGTGTTAACGGAGGAGAACAGTAGCATCGATAATCCAATGTAGTGAACAAAAATCACCTGTTGGTTGATTACATTAGATTAAAAACTGCATGACATTTTTGTTGCTAATTATGTGCTATTTGTATACTTTTTATAACTCAACATTCTTTGCGCATATTTGTAGTGAGGCAAGGTGGTGGAAGAGACTGGGTAAAGGTTAATCAGGATTTAACATTGCCTCCTGGATATAAACAACCACAATTTTGATGGTGGGAATAACACAATCATTCTTTCTTAATATCAAAGTCTATGCACCTTCTACCTCACAGGCTGGAAGAATTCAGAGCTTACCTGAGAAATGAAGCTTATCATCCATGTCTTCTGTGCCCATGGAAAGGTGCTGCTTTGTATGTAGCATGTGTGGGCTCCATAGAAAGTAGGTACACTGAGAGAATCCAAATATCTGGCACAATAGAATTTCCTTTCATACAGTTAAATCACAAGTGGACTACACACACAAAAAGGAGGGCAAGAGTAAGCACTTTGAAAGGTTAAACAAGCAAAGCAAATTTTCCTAGTGGTCCTCCTTCAGAAAAAAATCTCAAGCAGCAATATAGTCATTCCACTCGAGTGTATTACTTGGGCTAAGGGCCTAAGAAAGTCCCCTTGGCTGGCTAAGCCTAGAAAATCTGTTACTTATACCAACCCAGCATTTCTTCTCTTACCTTTGGAAAACAGCATCTTAGTTTTCCTTTAACTATCCCTCCCCTGTGAGTACAAGGTACTCTGGCTGTGGAACTCAAATGGAACTGATCACTTTCCCAGGAATCTGAATATTGAGCATAATGGCGTCAAAATTGGAAACAAAGCTGATTCATCCCCACAATAGCACCCCAAAAAGACTTTCCAAAGTTCCCATTGTCTGGACCCACAGAGTGGCCTGGTTCTTATTCTCCTCAAGAGTTGGTCCTTCAGTGTTTCCTTGGCTCATATGATGTAACCTGTGTCATTCTAATTCCTTACTTTTTGTTTGCTCAAGTTACCCAGGGTCGTTTCTTTGCTTACAGCCAGTGGACCCTACCTGAGGCAACCATGAAAGCCAACAAATGAGACAAGTTTGGGTGGAGGTGCTCATGGGGCACTTTCTAAAACATCTTCAATTCAGTTAGACTCAACTAATCCAGGACCTCATTTACCCGATGATGAAGCCAATTGGTCAAAGACTTCTTCCAGGTACAAAGTTAGAAGCCAGGCCTTTTAACGCTTTTCAGCACATAACGAAAGTAATGACACAGTCTTCCCTGGTTGGTTTGCTGTGGCACACAGGCAGGCAACTGATGCAAAATGCTACTTCAAAGACCCCTTCATTCAATTAATCAGTGAGTATTTATTGCAAGGCACTGTGCTAGGCACTATGGAGAGTACATGGAAGATAAGACCAAAGTCCCTGCCCTCAAGGAGCTTACAATCTAGTTGGGAAGACAAGCCATACATACAAGAAAAAGTAAGTAACAATACAGGAGTTAAATTAAAATGCAAGATAACAGTACAAGAGATTTCCAAAAGTAGTATCTGATTAATTACTAAATGAGCAGCATTGATAGGGGATGCAACTACTTCCAAGCGAGAATGTCATAAAGGACTGAAGCATGGGAAGTCTTTGCAGACAAACTGGGGCTGGAGCTACCCTAGGACAGCAGGGATCTGAATGGGAGAGAAGGGTGGAGAAGGCATTTCAGGAAGGGGCAGCCATAAGACCAAAGGCACAGAGGTGAGACCAAAAGCAAGCAGTGTTCAGGGGTCAGGGAGGGCTTACTGTGGCTGGATACACAGTTAAATCGTTTTGGATTAAAAAGGGCCTTAAGGGCCGGGTGCGGTGGCTCAAGCCTGTAATCCCAGCACTGTGGGAGGCCGAGGCGGGCAGATCACCTGAGGTCAGGTGTTTGAGACCAGCCTGACTAACATGGTGAAATCTCGTCTCTACTAAAAATCCAAAAATTAGTCCGGTGTAGTGGTGGGCGCCTCGGGAGGCTGAGGCAGGAGAATTGCTTGAACCTGGGAGGCGGAGGTTGCAGTGAGCCGAGATCGCAACATTGCACTCCAGCCTGGGTGACAAGAGTGAGACTCCGTCTCAAAAAAAAAAGAGCCTTAAATGCTCAAGCTTAGAACTTACCCTTTTAGCAATGGGGGGTGAGGGAAACAACAGATATACTTACAGTAAATATACAAAAGACTTAGCTAATCAAGAGAAAATATTCAAGTCTCATCTTCAGGACATTTACTTGTGGATTAGGACCCTCTCTACTTCCAAAGAGGATTTGAAATGGTGCTTCAGGGTTGTCAATTCCAAAGGAAAAGCTCTGGGTCATCTAGATTTGGGTAGAGACTTTTGAGTCCCTCTATGATCCCAAATTATAACTAGCACAAAGGTAAGCTAACAAATTCCCTGACAGGCAGGCAGGAAAAATGCTCCCGAAAGACAAGTATCTTTACAAATGACAGAATATTTATTAACAATACCTTTAAAAAAGATTACATATGCTAGATCACTGGTAAATATCATTTACACTGGGGTTGGGAACTCCCTGGGTGTCATTTTTTTTCGTTCATTTTATTATTTTGCTGATTTTTTTTTTGCATGTGATTTTAAATTTTATTTCAACATAGAAGTAACCATATCAAACTAAGAAAGGAACACAGCTTGAAATACTGACAATATTTTTTTCCGGTTACCACCCTAGTTTTTACACAAATGGAATCCCGATTATGACTTTATTGGATAAATATAACTAGAAGGTTGAAAAGTTATATTATTTGTAAGCAAAAATGACAAACTATAGCAAATTTGAGTTCTCTGAGAAAGAAGAAAAGGTGGCAGCATGTTTACATGAGAAAATGTTTATAGAAAATTCCATTGCCTTTTATGTCACTGTCCAGTAGGGTTTACTCACAAAACCTTTCTCATTGTAACAAATAGTTCTTTTCATAAGAATACAGTTTTGTTGATATTGTCATTTTCCAATGTGTGATTTTAAGACCTAGAAGGTAAAGCATATAAAGCAACTAGGCTACCTATTGCAAAACAGAATCATCAAGAAACCATACAATTGTACTAAAGAGCTTTTATAGAGTCATATTAAAAATTCTTGCAGCAACTATTTGTTGAAATAGGAGCAATCTTCCAAAGTCCATATGTAATTTTGATTCAAAAGAAGGGCTCTATTATTACAGAGATACACATATTATATATAAGAAATTTTGTAAAGAAATTACGAATCCATTGACAGAGAATTACTTTTTTTAAATTTACATTCAAAATAGATACAGTTAAAGATAATAAAATGATCTTTTATCCTTTGAAAGACTTGGTTGACTATAGTAACTTTGGGTCTATGTTACTACAGGATATATGTTACTTCAAATTTAATGTCTAAGATAATGCTACCACAAAGACAATGCTAACTCAGTTGAGTGAAAAGAAAATCTTCCTGTACAATGCTAAATTCAGGGATGGGAATATTGCACAAGGTGCCTCTTGGGCAGTACATTGAGCTTTTGAGATTGCAGCCATTCCTGAAACCATCTCAAGTTGGGTTGAACAACAAAATTCACAACGGCATGAAAACATACTGTACATGTCAAAATCACAACGGCATGGGAAACATACTGTACATGTCAAGTGCATTAACCACTAGAAGAGTAGTTTGCATACAACAGCCTTGAGTTACGGACCAAGTCTTCCGCTGTTCTGCCATGAGATCCTTGTAAAACTGTACGAGTAATTTGCAATTTATTTACCAAGATGAGTTTCAAACTCTGTCTTTAAAGGAAATATTTTCAAATTATAATTGCATGATTGTGTTGCCCATAGCATTTTACAGCCGAGGAAAAAATTAATATCTACATTATATGTTAACTTTAAAAAATTCTATAAAACACTAAATATATAATAAAAAATATGCATATAAGGACATATGTAAACTGCTTTGGTAACATCATATTACAGATGTCTTCAGTGCATTGCAGAGTTTCCAAAGAAACTTCAGACAAAGCTAGATTTGCTTTGAGGAAGTACTGTATAATGCCATTCCTAAAGAAGCAAAAAACATTTTTATTCCAGTAATAAGATGTACTTGAACAACAATATTACTTAGTACTGGGTGTCTTCAAAACAACTAGCTAAATGTTGCTTATATTATAAACAGCAAGTCCTTCAGATAACTTTTGTCATAAACTGGACCTAGCTGTGAGGGAAATCATTATTGTACTGATGGCTGACAGCGTACATGCATTCGAAGTGGAAGCCCCAGATCCTCTCGCGTAGGCATCTGAAAAGAGAGAACAAATTCACTCAAAACAGCCCCATCCCGGCTTCAAAGGGAAGAGGGGCCACGGGGCTTTTTGAAACAGCAGAACTGCATGGATTCTACTGGAAATGATGATCAAGGTCTTAATGGCTTTTAAATATCAGTTCTATGACTACCAAGCTACAAACCTGGGAGTAGGGTATAGGACAGCCCTGTACCTCTGTCAAAGCATTTGTAAAGTAAGGAGGTTCCTATCTAATGTGAGAAGAAACTTCAATATTACTAGTAACAATACTGATAAACAGCATGCTATGTCGATGATTCAACAAAATGAAAATTGCTGCTCCCTTTTGAACTCTATCTTTCTGCTGGGCACAGATGAATATGACACTTAAATCTTGCAAAAACTGGATGAAGGCCAGGTATTATTATTACCTCGCTTAACAGATGGCGGTAATTTGCGCCCAGAGAAATAAAGTAACTTATCTAAGATCACCCAGCTAGTAAATGGCTAAACTGGGGTTCAAACCCATGTCTGTCTAAATCTACCCCTTTTCTGCAAACAAAATAGCCTCAATCCTTTTTTAAATTTTCTTATGGGTCTTACACTTTTCATAGTAAGAAGCTATCAACTGTCATTCGGGGGTTCTTCAATCTTGTAAGGTCTCTTTGACCAACATGATGAAAAATCTCTTGAAACAGATCATGTTTGGTTCACAGTCACTTCCTTGTTATCTAATAATTACACCAATATAATTGCTTAATATATGTTTTTGTAATGAATAAAACCAGGAATCATCAGTCTATCTAAAAATGTCAATCCCTGCAATGATAAGAAAGTATGAAGTATAAAGTCAGATTTTTAATGAAGCGAGATAAGCCCCAATCTTGTATTTTTGTGGCCTGGAGATTTTACTTCCACATCTCACCAAAAATCTAGCTCCCTTTCGATAGAAGTTAGAGGCTTTGTTTGATAAAGTATAATCCAATTGTCCCCCTTTTAAGACAAAAATGCCTTTTGTGTTTGTATGCAAAAAAGATGCAGTAAATATAAACTCCATCCAGAAACACTGGCATATCACCCCTTAGCAGAGGGATGTCACATGGCTAAAAGTCAGGATGGTGGTGAGGATTTTGTCCATAATTTAAAATATCATCTTTTTACCAATGTCTTGAAAATTTATACCTCCAGCCTTCACTGCTCCCCTAATCTCCAGACTGAAATCTGAAAGCCTGTGAAAGTCTACACTTAGATATCTAACCACAGTCTTTTTTTTATTGCTGTAAAATACACATAACAAAATTAGCATTTTAACTCATTTAAAATGTACAAATCAGTGGTACTAAGTATACTCCAGTGTTGTGCAACCAGCACCACTCTCAAGCTCCATAACTTTTGTGTCACCCCAAATGAAGACCCAGTGCCTAAACCCCCATTCCCCACTGACCAGCCACTGCCAATCACTAGCCTCACTTCTGTCTCCACGGATTTGGCTATTTTGTTTTTTTTCTTTAAATAAATGAGATCACACACAACAACAAAAAAATCATGCTCTTAAGATACTTACAAACATGGTATTTGTAAAAACAGAATTGAATGTATTTGCTCAAAAAGAATATGCTATTCTCCCATGCTATTCAACAACATTTGAAAGTGAAGATAATCTTGACTATAGAGAGACATACACATTGATGCACATGTTGCATATACCCATTGAAAATAAGTAGTAAATTCCAAATATTTCCAAGATACTGAACTGCATACACTGTTTCACTGGAGAAAAACTGCTACGGCATACTTAACAATGCTTGTCCTTGTTCCTTCTGACTGAGTCAATGCTTTTCACTTTCTAAACTGTAATTCTGGGGCTACAATAGATGCAATGCAAACTACACAGGTTGACACGGAAAAACCTTAGTGACTAATTCGGGTCTGCTTTAATCTGATTTTTGATTAGCAACTGAGTAGATCAGTCAACACGGGCAAACTGATTTTTGCATGAAACTGCCTATGGCCAGCAAACATCTGGAGAAGGGGGGTAGTGTTCTCCATTTCTATTTTAAGTCTGCTTTTGCAGGCTGAATGTCTTTCAAGCCCTGACTCATCTGGAAGGCTGATAAGATAAGACAGGCAGGAGAAAAGGGAGAAAAAAAGGCATTCTCACTTGATATCTTTGGAATTCGAATTTGTTCACTGCTGCTGCCATCTCCTCCGTCGCTGAATGGCTTAATTTCTATTATATAATCTTCATCGAAAGGCAAAGAAAGCTCCACCGATGTTTTATTTGTTTCAATGACAGATGTGCTGCTTTGTCTGTTCCATCTGTACAAGACCTGCCAATACAGAAAGAACAGGTGTCACCTGCCGTCTTCACAAAGGTCCCAAATATGGAGCATTCATTTGTTTTCACCTCTGGGCACGAGCAAAATGCAGGGATGTAGAGGTTGTCTGGCTGCCCACTTGCATTTGGAAGGCTCATTTGCAGTGAGGGCCATGACTGCAGCTACCATTTTATTCCAAGGAAAGAGCTGAAAGGATATTATATCAGGGGCATCAGCAACGTGATTCTACCTACTGCCTAGCCTCTCGGAGGCTCAGTTGACACTCTTGGGAAAGTGGAAAATATGAGTAGCTCCTTAAGGATGTACAGTGCTCAGTTACACATCGGTGCTTTGGCATCAGAATAAACTTGGCCACTGTGGGATCACAGGCCACTTCACCTTTCAGAGCCTCACTTCAGTCATCTGTAAAAGGGGGACAATAATACCCAGTCTTCTGGAGTGTGTTTTCAAGATTGCACAAGGAGGCTGGGTGCAGTGGCCCATGCCTATAGTGTCAGCACTTTGGGAGGCCAAGGTGGGTGACTCACTTGAGGCCAGGAGTTTGAGACCAGCCTGACCAACATGGCGAAACCCTGTCTCTACAAAAAATACAAAAATTAGCCAGACATGATGGCACACACCTGTAATCCCAGCTACTCCAGAGGCTGAGGCAGGAGAATTGCTTGCACCCGGGAGGCAGACGTTGCAGTGAGCCGAGATCAAGCCACTGCACTCCAGCCTGGGTGACAGAGCAAGACTGTCTCAAAAATATAAAAATACAAAAGATTGCACAAGGTTTGAATCTGGTGATGGCCTAGCTTAGAGGAAGCATGTAAGAAATAGTATCTCTGAAGGCTTAAAGATAATCAGAGAACATACATGGCAAAGGTTAGAGCACAAGCCAGGCACAATAAGTTATGATCACGACTCTTAGAGACAGGACATTTCAGCACAGGGAGAAGATATCGGAAAGGCAAGAGTAGTAACCTCCCATTCCTTTCCTCTGGAACCCCACTTTATGGGGCTAGGTAGCCAAGAGGCAACCATTGTCACCCTGGACATATCTGCAGCTTGCAACAGTCCTGTTTTCATCTTGGGCCCCCCATGGGTTCTGAGTTTGGAGGTGGATTCATTTGATGAGGTGGCCAACTAGCCTCCTAAAAACACATTCACTTACCTGGGATTGCCTGCTGTGATTGGATTTACTCCAATCAGGAACAAAATATACAGGTCTGGGAAAGTGTGCCTTTACCTATAGAACCACTAAAGCTCATCCTCTGTAGTTTCCCCTGACAAAAAGATAGGGTTGGATGAGGTCAGTGGTTTTTGGTCCTGGCTGCATGTTAGAACCATTGGGGTGCTTGTAAAATACTTATGCTGTAGCTCAGTGGTTTTCAACAGGGTGGGAGGGGCAGGGGAGCAATTTTGCCTCACAGGGAGGTATCTGGCAATGTCTGCAGACATGTTTGTCAAAACATGTCCTCCTGTTGTAGTGGATAGAGAGACCAGGGATGCTGCTGAACAGTCTACAATGCACAGAGCAGCCCCGCAACAAAGAACTCTCTAGCTCAAAGTGTTGACTGTGAGGAGGTCAGTAACCCCGCTCCAGTTCCACTCTAGCCTGCCTAAGACTGCACAGAGGTGGGATCCATGCTGTAGTTGTTTTCTAAAAGATCATCAGGAGATGTTAATATGGGATAGGCATCATGATTAGATGAATTAGACGCGTAGTTCTCAAATTCAAGCGTGAACAGAATCACCTGGAGAACTTGTTAGAACACAAATTGCTGGGCCCCATTCCTGGAGTTTGTGATTAGTTCTGGGATGGGACCTGAAAATCTGCATTTCTGACAAGTTCCCAGCTAATGCCAGTGCTGATGGTCCAGGGATCATGCGTTGAGAAGCACGAGATTAGCTCATCCTTCCCTAAGATCCCTTATAAATTCTGATCTGCTGAGGCTACAGACATAAGGTCACTCTTGTGTCTCAAGACAAAACCAGACACAAGTGAAATTCATAAAATTCCTTTAGAATGGTTTAGAACCCATCTGTTCCCTGGCATTTCATCACCTTAATTTATATCTCTCTAACACAAGGTGGAAAACACAATTTCCTTAAGGTAGAAAGATTCATAAGTGTCCCCTTCTTCTCCGCAGCATCAGTTGTATCAGACCCAGCATCCCCTTGCTGATGATTAGGCACAGATAAATCCTCAGGCACATTCAGGAGTGTCAAAGCTTCTCATCACGGCCCTCCAGGAGAATGGGCTGATGGGATGCAAGGTCACATCTGGCTTTGAGGAATAAATTGCTGCTTTGATTTACCTCTGGTCCTTGCAAGAGCTCAGAGGATTCAACTTGTTTCAAATATAAATCCAAAAGAAACACTTCCAGGAAAAAGCAGCACTTTTATCAGCACTGCTTATCAGTCTTGCAGTATTATGGACTGCAGCAGAACCCAAATAAAGTCCTGTAAAGCCTTTATTTACACCAAACACTTGCTTGAGCTGATTGAAGGCTGTGCTTGCATTTGATATAATCTAGGGTGGAAGACAAGGGGAAAGAATGGATTTGTGGGAATAATGATAATAGCAAATATTATAGACTACTTCCACTATTTAATGTCTGAACACTGTGTGTTCTAAATCAGGGGTGTCCAATCTTTTGGCTTCCCTGGACCACACTGGAAGAAGAAAAATTGTCTTGGGCCACACATAAAATACACTAACACTAATGATAGCTGATGAACTTTTAAAAAATTGCAAAAAACATCTTACGATGTTTTAAGAAAGTTTATGAATTTGTGTTGGGCCACATTCAAAGCCATCTTGGGCCACATGTAGCCTGTGGGCTGTGGGCTGTACAAGCTTGTTCTAAATGCTTATGTGGATAACCTCTTAAGGAAGGCAATGTTATTATTCTGATTTCAAAGATGAGAACTTGAGATGTGGAGATGTGAAGCAATTGCCCGGTCTCATGACTGGTAAGTGGCGGATCCTGCATTCAAACCTAGGCAGTCTGGCTCCAGAGCCTGGATTTTTTTTTTTTTTTTTTTTGAGACGGAGTTTCACTCTTATTGCCCAGGCTAGAGTGCGATGGTGTGACCTCAGCTCACTACAACCTCCGCCTCCCGGGTTCAAGCAATTCTTCTGCCTCAGCCTCCCAAGTAGCTAACATTACAGGCATGCGCCACCATGCCCTGCTGATTTTATATTTTTAGCAGAGACGGGGTTTCACCATGTTGGTCAGGCTGGTCTCAAACTCCTGACCTCAGGTGATCCACCCACCTCGGCCTCCCAAAGTGCTGGGATTACAGGTGTGAGCCACCGTGCCCGGCCTCAGAACCTGGATTTTTAACGAAGACTACCTTGGCTACCACCTGTAGGGCTCTGGGCAAATTGCTTTCCCTCTCTGGCATCTGTCTTTGGGAACACAAACCAAGGGAGTTAGACAGCAAAAAACTAGTGGCCCATGGGTCATAACCAGCCTGCATATATTATTTGTTTGGCTGTCATAGTGTTATTTTTTTTGAGTTAGACATGAACATTTAAAAACCGAGAAATTAGACATTAAAAATTTGTGGGTTCTACTGAAAAACTGGAAGATATGGCCACACTGGTTGCTATGCTTTGGATGCTTGTCCTCTCCAAAACTCATGTTGAAATTCGCCATTTTAACTGTATTAACAGGTGAACCTTGAAGAGATAATTAGGCCATGAGGTGATTAGGCTCACCCTCACAGATGGAATTAGCACTGTTGTAAAAGGGCGAGTCAGCTCTCTATCCCTCTCCCTCCCAGCACTGGGTGTCAATAAACTTCTGTTCATATTAATTGCCCAGTCTCAGGTATTCTGTTCCTGAGTAAGACTCTACAAAAGTGCGATCCAGAATAAAATAGACTAAGCCAGTGATCTATATTCCTGTCTGCCAACAACTGGTTGGAGTTGAGAAGTCTCATTCTGAACAATCACAAACTCTGCAGTTGGTGATAGTCCCAACACTTCCAATGTTGCTACATTGTCACATGCCTACCTCTGGACCTTTGCACTTCCTTTTTTGCAGTACTTGGGACATTCCCAGAGAGGTGCCAAGGCCCAACTGAAATCTCACCACTTAAAAGTGGCTTTCCTTGGCCTTTCTATAAAATAATACATCTCTCCTGTCCACTCCATGGCTTTCTCTATTCCCCTCACTCTAGCCTCTTTTTCTCTGCAGTACTTTGTTATCACTTATTCTATTTATTTATGGCTGGTAGGCAGAAGCACCAAGTGGCTAAATGTAGAACTCAGGATCCATACTGCTGTATTCGGATCCCAGGTCTTCAACATACCAGCTGTGTGAAAGGCAAGTGACTAAACTCTATGCCACAGCTCTTCATCCGTAAAACTAGCAATAATAACTGTACCTATCTTCATGGTTATTATACAGTTAAGATGAGGCCAGGCATGGTGGCTCATGCCTGTAATCCCAGCACTTTGGGAGGCTGAGGCAGGCGGATCACCTGAGGTCAGGAGTTTAAGACCAGCCTGGCCAACATGGTGAAACTCCATCTCTACTAAAAATACAAAAATCAGCCAGTCGTGGTGGTGGGCGCCTGTAGTCTCAGCTACTTGGGAGGCTGAGGCAGGAGAACTGCTTGAACCCTGGAGGCGGAGGTTGCAGTGAGCCAAGATTGTACCACTACACTCCACCTTGCGTGACAGAGGGAGACTCTGTCTCAAAATACAACAAAATAAAATATAAAGTTAAGATGAATTGGAACAGTGCTTAGTAGACGTATTAGTAGTAGTTTCTGAATGGACTGAACAGAACTCATTTATGTTATCTGCCTGGCCCTGCAGGTAGTTTAATTTGTGATACTAAAACCAGATGCTCTCCTTTTAGCTCTAATGCCATAAAGTAGCTTAAGGATTTGTGTTGACAAAATATTTGGGGCCTTAAACTTTCTAAAGTCAGCTTCTTGTTGAGACTGTCTACCTAAGCTGAGATCTAAAGAATTCAGACAACTTAGTGAAGAAGGGAAAATAAACCCACACCCCAACATGTTCAGTATTTGGGAGGAAAACTTAATTTTGGAAAGGGTCAGTCTGAGATAAACAATAGCCATATTTAATGGGTCAAATTCTCTAGCAAAGGTCAACTCTTCCGTTGCAATCAGATCCGCTTTTTATTCAGCCTCTAATCTCACCCTAAAAGTGACACTAGGGAGAGTTTCCTGAGCTATCATGGGACGTGAGATATCACGGGAGGTACCACACATACACACACACAAATACACACACACACACACACACACACACACAGAGAGAGAGAGAGAAAGAGAGAGAGTTATTCATTGGTACCTTGGTAATTCAGGGAACTGGCTTCAGGACCTCCCTAAAATACCAAAATCTGTGGATACTCAAGTCCTGGATATACAATGGTATAGAATTTGTGTATAACCTAAGCATATCTTTCCGTATACTTTAAATCAACTTTAGATTACTCATAATACCTAATATAATGTAAATGGTATGTAAATAGTTGTTATACTGTATTGTTTTTAAAATCTGTGTCATTTTCATTGTATTTTTTTGTGTGTTTTTTTTCCTGAATATTTTTGATCCACATTTGAGAGTATGGAACCTGTGGATACCTGTAGCTTTAAATTATGTATCTCTAAACATTCACATGTATATGTAGCAATTCAAAATGTATAGCCAGTTACAGTGACCTTCCTTGGGGTGTAGTTGAGGAGGTGTAGGGTGTCTGGCTCTTCCAGTACCACTCCTAAAAAGAAGGGGGAGTGACTGAGCTGGAAATTAAGAAGAACTCAGAAAGTGTCCTTTCCTACCATCTGGTCTAACCCTGTTACCCACTCTCAAGGGTGGTGATATCCCCTTGATCATTTTTTATTGCATCTATTTGATTCTTCTCTCTTTTCTTCTTTATTAGTCTTGCTAGCAGTCTATCAATTTTGTTGATCTTTTCAAAAAACCAGCTCCTGGATTCACTGATTTTTTGAATGGTTTTTTGTGTCTCTATCTCCTTCAGTTCTGCTCTGATCTTAGTTATTTCTTGCCTTCTGCTAGCTTTTGAATGTGTTTGCTCTTGCTTCTCTAGTTCTTTTAATTGTGATGTTAGGGTGTCAATTTTAGATCTTTCCTGCTTTCTCTTGTGGGCATTTAGTGCTATAAATTTCCCTCTACACACTGCTTTGAATGTGTCCCAGAGATTCTGGTATGTTGTGTCTTTGTTCTCGTTGGTTTCAAAGAACATCTTTATTTCTGCCTTCATTTCGTTATGTACCCAGTAGTCATTCAGGAGCGGGTTGTTCAGTTGCCATGTAGTTGAGCGGTTTTGAGTGAGTTTCTTAATCCTGAGTTCTAGTTTGATCGCACTGTGGTCTGAGAGACAGTTTGTTGTAATTTCTATTCTTTTACATTTGCTGAGGAGTGCTTTACTTCCACCTATGAGGTCAATTATGGAATAAGTGCGATGTGGTGCTGAGAAGAATGTATATTCTGTTGATTTGGGGTGGAGAGTTCTGTAGATGTCTATTAGGTCTGCTTGGTGCAGAGCTGAGTTCAATTCCTGGATATCCTTGTTAACTTTCTGTCTCGTTGATCTGTCTGATGTTGACAGTGGGGTGTTAAAGTCTCCCGTCATTATTGTGTGGGAGTCTAAGTCTCTTTGCAGGTCACTCAGGACTTGCTTTATGAATCTGGGTGCTCCTGTATTGGGTGCATATATTTTTAGGATAGTTAGCTCTTCTTGTTGAATTGATCCCTTTACCATTATGTAATGGCCTTCTTTGTCTCTTTTGATCTTTGTTGGTTTAAAGTCTGTTTTATCAGAGACTAGGATTGCAACCCCTGCCTTTTTTTTGTTTTCCATTTCCTTGGTAGATCTTCCTCCATCCCTTTATTTTGAGCCTATGTGTGTCCCTGCACGTGAGACAGGTTTCCTGAATACAGCACACTGATGGGTCTTGACTCTATCCAATTTGCCATCTGTGTCTTTTAATTGGAGCATTTAGCCCATTTACATTTAAGGTTAATATTGTTATGTGTGAATTTGATCCTGTCATTATGATGTTAGCTGGTTATTTTGCTCGGTAGTTGATGCAGTTTCTTCCTAGCATCAATGGTCTTTACAATTTGGCATGTTTTTGCAGAGGCTGGTACTGGCTGTTCCTTTCCATGTTTAGTGCTTCCTTCAGGAGCACTTTTAGGGCAGGCCTGGTGGTGACAAAATCTCTCAGCATTTGCTTGTCTGTAAAGGATTTTATTTCTCCTTCACTGATGAAGCTTAGTTTGGCTGGATATGAAGTTCTGGATTGAAAATTCTTTTCTTTAAGAATGTTGAATATTGGCCCCCACTCTCTTCTGGCTTGTAGAGTTTCTGCCAAGAGATCCGCTATTAGTCTGATGGGCTTCCCTTTGTGGGTAACCTGACCTTTCTCTCTGGCTGCCCTTAACATTTTTTCCTTCATTTCGACTTTGGTGAATCTGACAATTATGTGTCTTGGAGTTGCTCTTCTCGAGGACTATCTTTGTGGCATTCTCTGTATTTCCTGAATTTGAATGTTGGCCTGCCTTGCTAGGCTGGGGAAGTTCTCCTGGATAATATCCTGCAGAGTGTTTTCCAACTTGGTTCCATTCTCCCCGTCACTTTCAGGTACACCAATCAGACGTAGATTTGGTCTTTTCACATAGTCCCTTATTTCTTGGAGGCTTTGTTCGTTTCTTTTCATTCTTTTTTCTCTAAACTTCTCTTCTTGCTTCATTTCATTCATTTGATCTTCCATCACAGGTACCCTTTCTTCCAGCTGATCGAATTGGCTACTGAAGCTTGTGCCTTCGTCATGTAGTTCTCGTGCCATGGTTTTCAGCTCCATCAGGTCATTTAAGGACTTCTCTACATTGGTTAGTCTAGTTAGCCATTTGTCTAACCTTTTTTCAAGGTTTTCAACTTCTTTGGGATGGGTTCGAACTTCCTCCTTTAGCTCGGAGAAGTTTGGTCATCTGAAGCCTTCTTCTCTCAACTCATCAAAGTCATTCTCCATCCAGCTTTTTCCATTGCTGGTGAGGAGGTGCGTTCCTTTGGAGGAGGAGAGGTGCTCTGATTTTTAGAATTTTCAGTTTTTCTGCTCTATTTTTTCCCCATATCTGTGGTTTTATCTACCTTTGGTCTTTGATGATGGTGACGTACAGATGGGGTTTTGGTGTGGATGTCCTTTCTGTTTGTTAGTGTTCCTTCTAACAGTCAGGACCCTCAGCTGCAGGTCTGCTGGAGTTTGCTGGAGGTCCACTCCAGACCCTGTTTGCCTGGGTTTCAGCAGCGGAGGCTGCAAAACAGCAAATATTGCTGAACAGCAAATGTTGCTGCCTGATCGTTCCTCTGGAAGTTTTGTCTCAGAGGGGTACCTGGCTGTGTGAGGTGTCAGTCTGCCCCTACTGGGGGGTACCTCCCAGTTAGGCTACTCGGGGGTCAGGGAACCACTTGAGGAGGGAGTCTGTCCATTCTCAGATCTCAAACTCCGTGCTGGGGGAAACACTATTCTCTTCAAAGCTGTCAGACAGGGACATTTAAGTCTGCAGAGGTTTCTGCTGCCTTTTGTTTGGCTATGCCCTGCCCCCAGAGGGCAAGGAGGCAGGCAGGCCTCCTTGAGCTGCAGTGGGCTCCACCCAGTTTGAGCTTCCAGGCCGCTATTTACCTACTCAAGCCTCAGCAATGGCAGGCGCCCCCTCCCCCAGCCTCACTGCTGCCTTGCAGTTCGATCTCAGACTGCTGTGCTAGCAACGAGCAAGGCTCTGTGGGCATGGGACCCTCTGAGCCGGGCATGGGACCCTCTGAGCCATGCATGGGATATAATCTCCTGGTGTGCCGTTTGCTAAGACCATTGGAAAAGCGCAGTATTAGTATTAGGGTGGGAGTGCCCTGATCTTCCAGGTGCTGTCTGTCACAGCTTTGCTTGGCTAGGAAAGGGAATTCCTTGACCCTTTGCCCTTCCCAGGTGAGGCGATGCCTCGCCCTGCTTCAGCTTATGCTCGGTGCACTTCCCCCACTGTCCTGCGCCCACTGTCCGACAAGCCCCATTGAGATGAACCCAGTACCTCAGTTGGAAATGTAGAAATCACCAGTCTACTGCGTTGCTCACGCTGGGAGCTATAGACTGGAGCTGTTCCTATTTGGCCATCTTGGAACTGCCCACGTCCATCCTTAGCTTTTAAAAGGGCTGGCAGCTTCTGCTTTCTTCCTCTTGAAGCTGACAACTATGTAAGAAATCCGACTACTCTGAGGTCACCATACTGTGAGGAAGCCCAGGTTATCCGTGGGGAAAGGCCTCATAGAGAGCATGATCACTGGCCAGCCTCAGCTTTCCCACCTATCCCATCCAAGAAGCCAAAAGTGTGTGAAGAAGCATCTTAGTTATTCCAGCCCTAAAATCTGTCCATTCTGGCCCTATCCACATTGCAAAGTCATAAAAAATGATACACTGTTGCTGTTTTAGCCCCTAGCTTCAGGTTGGTTTGTTAGGTAGCAAATAGGTAGCTGGAAACGTTGCAAGATATTTATAACCCTTTTTGATTGCTGCAAGAAGGCTACAGACATGTTCTTTTCATTTTCTCATTAAAGACAAGCCAACATTTATGGGGTCAGGCAAACATTTTCTCCACTTTTCCTGCTTTTTCTCTCTTTTCTCTTTTTCTTTATATAACTCTTGACTATAGAAACATACGAACAAAAATGATTAATCATTGGTAATATCAGGAGGCTACTAAGTTGACTAAAAAATATATATAAACCGAGACAGGAGCAAAACGAAGCTGACAGTAGGAATGTTTAAAAAGTGGTTCTTCAGGGTATTTTTGGAGACCCAAACACAGGGTCTTTATCCATTTCTGATTGATGCTGCCTGAGACTAAAGTTAAGGTGATTGTCTAAATCCTGACCAATTGCCATAGACTATTTATACAACTCAGATCAAACCGTGTTGGAGGCAGCGATTCCTAGAGGGTAGGAGAGCATCACCAGGGAAACTGACAATGCAGACAACTGTATAATTCATGGAGGAGACTGCCCCCACTCACAGCACGATTAGGTGCCTTTGCAAAAAAGAAATTACCTACTTTGTATCCTTTTACTTCCGACTCATTATCCAGGGCCTTCACTTGATCCCAATTCAGGATAATTTTGGAGTCTGATGAATTCCATATGATGTTTCCGGGGGGTTGACTTGGTGCTATAAAAAAATTAAGATATACGAAGTCACAGATTATTAAGTCTCAATGGATTCTGAGGAATATCTCCTTACTAGAATTCGAGAGTGGAGGCAATTTAATGGGCTATTGCACTAATATGTGTCTTCAAGGTCACTAAAATCTGATGAGATACAGCATTGCAAATGGAAAAAGATTCAGTTGGTCGCCTAACATTTATAGCTAAAAGAAGTAGCCCTTCCCAGTGAGGAGAAAAACATTTATCTTTCTGTCCTCCACAGCAATGAATTTTGCGTGGTATACGGAAAGGTTCAGTTAAAATGCTGAGGGAAATTTGAATCCACATGCTACTAATTAGTATGCAAATGATCATTGGGAGGTGGGGATAAGGAATAAACTTGGGATATGTGTGATGAATCCCCAAAATATTTCTGAGCAAGTCTGTTCTTACGTGGCTTTCGGGTTGTCACATTGACTGTTGCACTAGAGGGGCCTGTCCCAGCAGAATTATATGCCTTGACAGCTAAGTGATACAGCACACTGCCTTTTAAGTTCGTGATTTTTGTTGATGTCTGATTTCCAACTGTTCGTATTTTTCTAGCATTTTCTTCTTTGTCTTCATGTCTCCAATATTTAACCTAAGAAGATAAACAGAAAGACCTTGGAAACCATACCCAATGGGGATATTTGCAATGTCATCAGGTAATTTTGTACGCAGATTCTTATGATGGAGTTAGTTTTCTATACTACATCATGAGCAGAGCTATCAGGACAAAGGACTCTGTATATCCTGAGAAATTATCCAAAGTAAGAAGGGTCCCTTTTTTGTCCTTAGCTTCCTAGTGAGACGGTACATTGACACAACCGTCGTTCATTATTTTCTTTTTTCCCATGTTTGTTTTGAGTCAAAGTGATCCTGGGCATATCAGAAGTCAAAGCTCATTTTGCCAACCATCCCGTAAATGCTTAGATTTGCATATAATTCGAAAAATACCTCTAGAATATAACATAGAAAAAGGGTAGTCTCACAGCTGAGTATTCAATGCTTCCATTAATGTTCAGCTGGAAGCCAGGCCTAAAACCAATGCCTCTTAGTGGGAATGTGGGTCTCTTCCTATAAGAATGTGACTTGGAGGACTTATCAAGGGGCATAGACTCTCTTTCAGACCCAAGGCACATATGTCTTGCCTACCTCATAACCTTGTATTCGTCCTCTATTCTTCTCCAGTGGGGAGGCCCAGAAAACTTCAATATCTGTGGCAGAAAGACTTCTGGCAAAGATACTGGCTGGTGGTTTGGTGGGTTCTGTAGATGAATATGGAGATAGTTATTACTCTATCAGCTATATTAGGACAGGATTGTAGATACTAGCATTATAAGGTAAAATAATTCATGGTTATAGAATCGTCCTTAATGATTGTAAGCCAAACCCTCATTTTGCAGAGGGGCAGTGATTAATAGCTGGAGTTGGTGGTAGTGAATATTTGTCCAGTGTTTGGGTTCTGAATTTAGGTGTGGGTAGAAGAGAAGAACCACTTAAGTTTAAGCACCAAGTTTTCATAGCCAGCAATTCCCTTAACACAGATCCTTCTTAATTAGCATCTCACAAATGTTATTGCTTACGACATGGCTAAACTGCTTCTCTTTTTCTTTTTTGAAATAGGGTCTCACTCTGTCACCTAGGCTGGAATGTAGTGGCACAATCATGGCTCACTGCAGCCTGACCTCCTGAGCTCAAGCCATCCTCCCGCCTCAGCCTCCCAAGTAGCTGGGACCACACACACATGTGCCAACACGCCTGGCTAATGTTTTTTTGTAAAGACTTGGATCTTGCTATGTTGCCCAGGTTGGTCTCAAACTCCTAGGCTCATGCTATCCTCCCACATCCCCCTCCCAAAGTGCTGGGATTACAGGCATGAGCCACTGTGCTTGCCCACTAAATTTTTTTTAAGGAAGACTATTGAAAGAAAAATGTGAACATATACAAATGGTACACAGCTATGGCAGAAATCTGGCAAAAATAACTGAAATTTGGGAAACAGTCAGTCTAGCCTCTCCTTTGCAGCCAAAGATGCTGAGGCCCACAGAGTATACCTGAGTTATCCAAGATCATACAGATTGCAGTGTGAACCTGAAGTGTCATCCAGCTCTCTTGAATCTTAGTCAAGTCAGCTGACTGTCCTTTTCCCCTTTTCCTCTCATTTTCATAATCCAGAGACATGAACTATTATCTAAGAGAAGTTGAAGGCTATGAAAAGGGCTGAAGCTTGTTTGAATAATTGTAAATCCTTTGGCAATGGTTGGAACATGAAATATGCAGGGAAAGGCATCAGCAGCTGAGGCAGACAGAGAGGCAGCAGCTAGATCATGGAGGGCTACTGAGTCTAAGGGGATGATCTCTCTGATTGGGAATAAGTTATTGCATCTTCACTGACTCTAAATCAATGATTCACCTTTCAGATGTTTTAACATGGTCCCATTCTGAGCATCATCTTTAAAACAACATAGACGAACTCCAAAGGTAACGAAGACTGTGTGAGAGGCATCCCGAGAGCAGGGATAGCATGGAGGTGATAATAATGTGTGAGAAATGTTAAACATAATGATGGTGTGGATGACAGTGAGCGCAATCACACTGCTTCATGACTTACTCTTTTCTTTAATAAGTGAGATTTTTTTTTTTTTTTGAGATGGAGTTTTGCTCTTGTTGCCCAGGCTGGAGTGCAGTGGTGCGATCTCGGCTCACCGCAACCTCCGCCTCCTGGGTTCAAGTGATTCTCCTGTCTCAGCCTCCTGAGTAGCTGGGATTACAGGGATGTGCCACTACAACTGGCTAATTTTATATTTTTAGTAGAGATGGGTTTTCTCCATATTGGTCAGGCTGGTCCCGAACTCCCAACCTCAGGTGATCCACCCGCCTTGGCCTCCCAAAAGTGTTGGGATTACAGGTGTGAGCCACAAGTACCATATGCTTTATGAAAATACAAGTGGTAAGAAAATGCAAATTATATTTTGATATTCACTTAAAGGCAAAAATAAAATTCTTTTGAAAGTAATGATAACATATAGATAGATATGAAGATCTTATATGGTATTTGCAATTCTGGTCCTTAGCAATGGAATCAATAATGGACAGCCAAGTGTTTTCATATACAGAGCAGTCGCTATCTTTTCAAGAGATTCATGGTGGACAGCGAACCAAATTGTTTACATTATCCTCTTCTCAAATCAGGTATGCCTTCAAGATACATGTACCATGCGAAATTGATTGTACGTGCTACAATCCACATTTTAGAATTGAAGAAATATTAACAGTCAATGATCTAGGCAGCATAAACGATACCTTCTTCTGCAGAATACACCACCGTGGTGGGACTGAAAGGGCCTTCTCCTTTGTTGTTGAAGACACCTACTTTAACCTCAAAGGGAGAGAAGGGGTGCACGCTCTCATTCCTGAACACGTATCTAGAGGCATCAGCTGAGGCCAGCACTGTCAGCATCCAGATCATTTTACCGTAGGGCCGGAAGGCCACCACATAACCAAAGCCTCGACCATTCTGTAATTCCTCAGGGACCGTCTGGGAAAGAAGGAAGGTGGTCTTCAGAAATCACAGTAGTTTCACTCAAATGCAAAAATCGTTTTTGTTTCCCTTGTAACATTCTTGTCTACATCCTTCTCCACCCATCTTATTTGGCGTTTTGTTAACAGTCTTTTAAATTTAGGGCTTGCAGTCAGTCTATCTTAAACAGTTATGATGTACTGGACAGGGTTGAAAACGTAATGAGGATCTGCAGTCCAGAGCTTGCTCTTTGATGGGGCAGACCCAGCTCTGAAATGGTTGGAAATGATTGTAAAAAAAAAAACACTGGACATCGGTCTCCTGAAAAACCACATTTCCAACACGTATCCTCTAATACTAATCTTCTTCCATTGCCAAATAGACAAAAGATCTCACTGAAGGAAGAAAAACCATCTTGGCTGAAGATCCTCCCTCTCAGAGGGAAGAGTTCAGCTGGAGGGATGAGTGATTTCTTTCACTGCTGTGCTTTGGGTAAATGAGAGATTTTAATTTCTGGGGCTGTTTAGAATCTTTCAAAAACATGAAGAACCCTTTCTAAAGCTCCCACCTCTTCTCTCAAAGCCAATTTTTAATAAATTGGTGACTAACTTTCCTCCAGGTTGTTTTAAAAAATACCTCCTAAAAGAGGGCCCCTTCTAGAAGCAAAGCCAATTGCCAGGAAATTGTGCTGGTGCACTGAATCTATTGCTGGCAGACGTTTTAAATCAATTGGCCATGCAGCAATTCAGGAAGAAAAGAAAAACTAGTTTTCTCTGAAACAGCCTTCTTTATTTTTTTTTGTAACGTGTGTTGTCTTCCCTTCATAATTGTTTTTACTGTGATGGATTGAATTAAAACTTGCCTCAACAATGGATGGGCAAGTGCCGTCCTTCCTGCTAGCCATTAGCTACGTGAGAGGGAGTGTCTGAACCCAAATGAATTTTCACTGTTAAAAACAGAGGAGGAAACTTCCCAGCTATGTCTAACATGGAGGAAAATAATAAAATAGCTTCGATGCGTGTACGTTCCTTTTATTCTGTGATTCATTTACCTCCCAGGTTATAACCAGTTCAGATTTGCTGCCTCCGCCACCACTGACATTCGCTGGTGTGACTTCGGGGACTGCACAAGGAGACAAAAAACAAGTTATGTCAGGCGGCAAAGGCGAATGAGGGCCAGGAAGGTTGCCTGGCAGAGGTGACTCACTTTCAGTGAGTACTCTGAGGCACGCCCCTTTGTCTCTGGAGATCAGCAACAGCATTGTCAAGGGGCCCACGGCGACCGCTCGAGGAAGTGAAATGTACCAAGGAGACTGCTATTAATTACCTGTTTCCCATTCAACAAGGCACACGTGTTATCTGACACGTCTGACCAATTGTTCAGCTCCATCCCTAGAGGCCGAGGGGTTCCCGAAGGGAGGAAAGGACTGAAGTCTGGTCCTAATGTTTGGTTATGCGTTTATGAGCCACGTGGAGATACACAAAGGGAAGAGTACAAGCTCTGCCCAGGCAGAGCTTACAAGCTGGTTGGAGTGGAGGAGCGCCTGCACCAGTTAGAGCAAGGTCGACAACCAGGGTAAGGAACAGTCAGCATGGAGAAGCGGGGGGCGTTCCGGAGTAGCGCCCTGCTCAGAGCTGGGGTGGGCGAATGGCTTCTGGGAGGAAGAGTTTTGATCTGAGTGTTGAAGGAAGTGGCAGACAGAAGTTGACCCCCGGCTCACTGAGCTTAACCTCTTTGATCACCAGTTTTCTCTATAAAAGAGAGGAAATTATGCGAGCTTCCACCTCAGGATTGCTGAGGGGAATTAATTCAATTATGGTTTTGGAAGGGGAAAAGAAAGCAGGGGACTAGCTATATTGTCATCACGTAACTGAAAGGCTCCGGGCCACATTTAAAAAGGTCTCACTGGGGTATGTGGCTGGTGACTGGGTATGTCTCCTTGGTTAAAGCCAATCAAATAGATCTAGATGAGTTTTTGCTTTTCTGAGAGTAGGGTCAGAACTCCTATTTGTGTAGGGACCTTATTATTCCTTCAACACACTGGCCTCTCTACAGGCGGGAACTCTATAAAAGACGGCACATGTAGGCCTCTTGCTTTACACCAGCTAAGTAAAAGTACGGCTGACCCTGATGAACTTGTTCTTCTCTCCCCGTGCTCATTCAAGCTGCATATGCAGAGGGCCATACTGAATTGCTGACTGGTCTTGTTCGAATGAGCACGATGTTCTGAATCTTCGTTTCTGGGAATGGTTTATACCCTAAGAAAGATAATCTAAGTGAACATTTCTGAAGAAATTATTTTTTATTTCTATTCTAAACAGGATTACCCCATGGTGGCTGTGTCCAGAGCAGTCACAAATTATTCTTTGCCATTAGTTACTTATGTGAGATAATTTTATTTGAAATGTGGGATTTTTTTTTGAAATTCTGTTAGAATCTTGGTGACAAATGAACCAATGAAGAAAGGGCTGGCTTTTGAGAGGACTAAGCACCGTGTGTCTCTTGCTGTACAAGTGGACCTAATGAAGAAAACAACTCTTGATTGAAACCCGTTGCGTGTTCAGCTGGGCTTCTCCTGGCCTGATTTCTATCATTATAAACATTTAAAGGGAAGGGTGAGCTAACACAGAGCCGCATGAGCGCTGAAGAGCAGCAAGAATTCAAACGCTTTTCCTAAGGAACAGCAGCTGGCAGAACAGATGATCTGAATCTCGGGTGCTACTCACGAGCTTCTTCTGTTCTCCGTTTCTCTGAGGGGCGGCTGGGCTCCCCAATCCCAATCACGTTGGCTGCAACTGTGCGGAATTCATATTCAACCCAAGGGTTCAAACCCACCACGGTCGCTGTGAATGTCTTCCCATCAATGAGTTCTGGGACTGAAAGACAACAAAAGGTGGGGGCTGTTTCATAGGTTCTCAGAAAACAAATGCAGAGATTACGTTAGGAAGATAGGAACATCCATCCATCCTCATCATTATTGTATTCAGGGCAGTGTAGGTGTTCTGATATTAGCTGCATCAACAGTTGTTTCAGTGAGGTAATCTCAGAACTATCTCTGTATGTTAAACTAACACACTCTAATCAGATACCAGCAGATGACATCATAAAAGACACACAGTCCACAAGACCCCAAACTACCTGACTCAATCATTACTATCACCCCTTCACATGTGTTTCCGCATTTATTGTATAGTGCCAGACACACTATTTCAACTATCCTCTGAGAAAGGTAAAAGTATTATATTCTTTTTTTCTTTTCTTTTTTTTTTTCTTTTTTTGAGACAGGGTCTCTCTCTCTCTCTCTCTGATGCCCAGGGTAGAGTGCAGTGGCACAATCTCGGCTCACTGCAACCTCCACCTCCCAGACTCATGCAATTCTTGTGCCTCAGCCTCCTGAGTAGCAGGGACTACAGGTGCATGCCACTATGCCTGTCTATTTTTTTTTTGTATTTTTAGTAGAGACGGGATTTCGCCTCATTTCCCAGACTGCTCTCAAACTCCTGGGCTCAAGCGATCCACCCGCCTTGGCCTATCAAAGTGCTGGGATGACAGTTGTGAGCCACTGCGCCTGGCCTATATTCATTCTTAAACAATTCTTATTGTGCCCATTTAACAGAAGAGGAAAATGAAGATGTATAGAGATCAGCTGATTAGCAGTCAGGTCTAGAATTCATCTCCTAACTTCTATATTTTTCTCATATTTCCTTCTTAAAGCACACCTGTGACTCAGTGATTACAGAAGGAAACACAGAAACCCATTTCTAAGGATTAGTAAACTAAAGTGAAAAAAACAAATGGGTTAAAATCAACAAGATTTATATGAATTGCTCAACACTGGGCATATTCTCCTTCAAAACATCAAGGCCATATAGCCTACTTTTGCTGTCTAGAGGAGTGTGTATCTTTGTTTGTAATAACTACTTGTTCATCCAATTTATCCTTAAATGAAATCTAAATAAGAAAATGAGTCAATTTGGAGGTACTGACAGAGTGGGGTTGGTATAAGAATTCTTTTACATGCAAAGAGAAATAACTGTGAAACTTTTAAAAAATAGGAAGTGCTGTATACATGTAATAAAGGGAAACAGGATGGAAGTGTTGCTGCTAACAATGTTTTTTTTTTTTTTAAGAATTTGTAAAATTGGTTAAAAAGAAATCTCATGTCTTTTTATCCCCAAATTTATCCATCTAAAAAAATGGGGCTGGACACAGTGGCTCACGCCTGAAATCCCAGCAATTTGGGAGGCTGATGGAGAATTGCTTGAGCGCAGGAGTTTGAGACCAGCCTAAGCAACATAGCAAGACCTGTCTCTACAAAAAATTTTAGAGAATTAGCTGGGTGTGGGGGCCTGCGCCTGTGGTCTCAGCTACTCAACAGGCTGAGGTGGGAAGATTGCTTGAGCCCAGGAGGTCGAGGCTGCAGTGTGCTGTGATTGTACCACTGCACTCCAGCCTGGGTGACAGAGTGAGACCCTGTCTCAAAAAACACAGCAGCAAGTGAAGAGGCTCCCTATAATCCTCTGTTATTGGTTTTTGAGAGCACTGTGTAAACTTTATGAAGTCTGTGACTATTAAGTGACTATAGTCAGGCAGAATCCGCTGCTTTCCAAAGTGAACCACAGTGCTACACAGATGATTTTAGGTAATACAGATTGATGCATTTTATTTTTATAACTAATATATTTTTAATGTGTGTTACGGAAAATACATATACAACCAGCACAACAGACTTTTTTTTTTTTTTTTTTTGAGACGGAGTCTCACTGTCACCCAGGCTGGAGTTCAGTGGTGTGATCTTGGCTCACTGCAACCTCTACCTCCTGGGCTCAAGCAATCCTCCCACCTCAGCCTCCTGAGTTGCTAGGACTGCAGGCACGCACCACCATGCCAGGCTAATTTTTGTATATTTTGTAGAGAGGGGGTTTTGCCATGTTGCCCAGGCTGGTCTGGAACTCCTGGGCTCACGCGATCCATCCAACTCTACCTCCCACAGTGCTGGGATTGCAGGCGTGAGCCACCAAATCTGGCCTGGACATTACCATTTCACAGATACTATTGCTTAGGATGAGTTTAAAAAAACCCAACTGTGATTTGATATAAAGAAAAATATTAATGATAGTACAGTTGGCCGAGGTTTAGGAAACACTGCCATAATATATCATTTGTAGTAGTGTCTGAATGAGAACTTAGACGTTCCTTGCCACAGTGCTGTGTCCAGTATGCTGAGTTCCCAATGTCTCTGAGCCAAGCATCCAATATGGTACCTGTACTGACTGCTTGCCAGCCCACGGAGAATGGAGTCCTGGCTTGAATGACATACATGGTGATGGGGCTGTGGTTGTCAGGCCCGGGTCTCCAGGAGAGCTGAGCAGTGGTATCTGTGATTTCGTCTATTGTCACAGCCTCTGGGGGACCTGGAGGACCTGGGAAAGAGCAAGACCCCCAGAATTGGAGCAGTGTATTCAAACACCCAAGTAAAGGAGCCACATACTTGAATGGGGCATTGACCCATTCATTTATCTACCCATTCACAGATTCATCACTTGTCAAATCCTTTTTGAACTCCTACTACGTGCTTGGAACTTTCCTGGGCTTGGAAACCACAGAGGTGAATGAAACACAGCCCCTTCCTTCTAGGGGCCCACAGTTTAATATGAAAAACTAATAGGTAAACAAATAATTACAACTGAATACTTAATGTTAATAGAGAGTATTGGGGTACCATAAGAGCCCACATTCATTAATTCATTATTTATTTATAGGTTCCTAATATGGGTCAGACAGTGTTATTTGAGGATACGGTAGTGAGAAAAGATAGATATTGCTCCTGATTTCATAAAGAGTATAGTCTGCTGGAAATGGTTATTTCTACCACTGAGAATATAGATTTAAGCACAAATGGCTTTAAAACTTTGAAGGTTACAGTGTTGCTCTGCACATTCTGCTGCACTGTAATTACTAGCACTCTCTTCACATCCAACCCTGCTTCCCACGTGAGCACACACTTGCGTGCAAGGGAACTGCTGTGAAAATGGCCGGTGCGCAAGAGTCAAGGCGCTCCCTTCTTCAAAGCAATTTCAAAATTAGGCTAGATACTAAAGACCCTCATCTGTAGTTTCTGCAACTCATACCCGTATTTTTCTACTTCTCTTCCTGATGTTCGTTGTTTCTGTCCATGTACTTAAACCATGGAAAGGGGAGGAAATCAGATTTAAATGAAGGCTTGAAACTAATAAAGAAATAGAGGGATGGAAAGCAGCTGGCAGGTAAAGACAAAATATCAACAGAGCCAGAGCAAAGACCCGCAGCTATCCCACTTTCCAACATGAAAATCTCTTACCAGGCAGTTAAATGCATTTTTAACAAGGTACAATTGACCACCTCAGGAGGGAAGGTGATGGTGAGGGGACATAATGACAAACCTCATGCCCATTAGACGGGCATAAGGAGATGTTCCTAGGAAGGATTTGCTAATCCCCAGTCTAGCAATCAAATGTACTACCCAAATACTATCAGGCCATGTCACAGGGACAGGGAAAAAAGAAACCTCTCACAGAGCAGTGCAAAATTAACAGCAATTTCCTGAAGTTAGCCTTTGTTCTAGGATTCACTCCTTCACCGTTTACGTGATGCCCTAAATTCCCTTTCCTTTTTTAAAAATCACTTTTATAGACCCACAGGTGAGACTAAATTTATCTTCTCCCTCCCACTCCTGAATGAAATGTCTGGAAATCTGTATGCTGGAACTGATTAATTTTCCATGGTGACATTTCAGCATGTCAGTCTAATGTCACCTAGATAGAGCTGATGTAACCTTTGGTCTTGGGACCCCTTTTAACCAGATAAAGTCTAGAAGACAATATAATTTTTTTCACTAGTTTTCTCATCCTAGCATTCCCCACCATTTTTTTTAATGGATGCTGCACTGATGTCCTTTAAAATCTAAGTACCACAAATAGAAAAGTGTTTCCCTCTGAACTCTTCAAAGAATTAAATCGATAGGAAATATCTGAGTCCATTGTTGGCCTCTCTATAGGAAGAAAATGAAGGGCTGGTATGAGTTTGGACACTGGAGAGAAGATGGTAGTTTCCTGGATTTGTTTGTTCTTTTTTTTATCTTCCTGCCACCCTCTCCTACCGATGCATAGCTACGACCTTACAGAATGTTTACCAACTTTGTTTTAGGGAAGTGGACTCCCTCTTTCAAAATGAAAAATGTACAAATGTTTGTCCTCTGAACAAAATGATAACACACTCAGGGGCATGTAGAAGATTTTGTTTCAGGCAATGGCAAAGGGAAGATTAGTTTGATTCTGGGGTCTGCTTCTCCCTCAGGAAGGGTGGCCTTTCTGGCTGCCATTACAGTGCTATAGGTTAAATAGAACAGGCCTCAGAAAATCAAAGAATCTGGAGCCAAGACTCAAAGCTGCTATACGTTTCAAATATGAAAATGTCTTTCAGGGTGGTGAAATACATTCCTGCCTCCCCCTCTGTAATGTGCAAGAAAAGCTGCAAGGGCAGAGCAGAAGGAGATAAAATGAAAGATTATGGTTTTAAATGGCACATTAATTTATTGGCCTTATTAACTGATTAGACTAGATTTTCTTTTAGACTGCGTTTGCAAATTCCTCCTGGTATTTAATGTTATTTTCTGTGAAATGAAGTATACAATATCATTTAAGAACTTCAAGTATTGCTGATTTAAATATTTATTAGTCTAATTTATTGGTGTTTTAACTGCTGATCTGAACATTATCCTAATTAAATAGAGGATAAATTTTCAGCAACAGAATTCTTTTGTTCCCAAGGGGAGGGCAGACCAGCCTGGTGTATTTTCAAATGGAAATAAACACATTTCTATAAGTTATTCTGTGGGCAGATCTACCTCGGTTGAAAGTTTTTTCTCATTTCCAGCCCTTGTCTGCACTGTTGCTGAAAGTTTTTTTAAAGGCAATTGAAAGGGGAACAAAGCAGACACATTGGAATTGCTATTTCTCTTGAACCCTCTCTTCACAATCAGTTTAAGTTGGTAACTCCCACACATTTCCCCCCTTACATTATGCCTAGAGGATACAGCAACACTCTTTATGGCTTCCAATAATACCTTGTTCTCTGTGCATGCAGATTAACCCTGCCTCCAACGCTCATACCCTAAATTTTTATTTTCTTGCGTTCGAAGTTTTGCCATGCGCTCTGCCAGCCGGCCAAAGATGCCTGAACACCAACAGTCAGGGATTCTGATGAAGGAGATTCTAGCTAAGATATTATTTTGATGTCTGGATTGGCCTCTATTTTAATGCTATAGAAAACCCCTGAGCATGCATAGGTTGGATTCTGGTATGTACACTGGTTA
Source organism: Homo sapiens (assembly GCF_000001405.40). NCBI lineage: Eukaryota > Metazoa > Chordata > Mammalia > Primates > Hominidae > Homo > Homo sapiens. The sequence goes on along the minus strand of NC_000003.12, from coordinate 3,031,701 downwards.
GTGAAGATTTTAATTTTCATTTAAAAATATTTCTTAAAAGTCCATTTACAGTTCCTTTGCCAACCGGTTTGGTGAGGCTTGGAATGTACTCAGTTGGTGTTGCTCAGCCGGGGGGGTCATAGCTCTTAGGTCCAAATTAGGTCATGCTGATAATATTCAAGAGAATCTCAAAAATGTTAGTATTTACATCAACTCTCAGCTCATTTACTACATCCCAGGCAGTCAGGAAGTGTCCTCTCCCAAAACCCTATTTTAGGAACCGAACAGCACTGTGAAGTTTAGGGAAAAAAGGAAACTCGGATAAACCTGATGATGACTTTACTTAAGCTGCTGTTATACCAGTGGCCTAGGATACTAATTCAGTTTGGCCCAGATGAAACATAAAAAGGGACAGTTTAATCCCTCTTTAAACTATCTGCTTTTGTTCACCTAAATTTGTTCTAGAAGGTCATATCAACTCCAACAGCCGTAATCGGGTACTCGATTTACTCAATTATCCTTCTAGTGTAAAGTTACTGGATGTGTTCGGTGCATTTTCTGACAAGCCGCACTGAGGAACTGTATATGAACCAGAAACTTCTGTGGACTGTTAGCCACTGTTTACAATGTTCAGCTTCTGCCTGACTTTTTCCCATAATTCTAAACCACTGAGGTTTCTGGAACTCTGCGCTACAGTAGATATCATGAAAATATTTCAAGAACAACAATAACAACAAAATCCAGTACCTCTTACAATCAGGTCTGCAGCAGCAGATAGCCTGTCCACACTTGTTTGGACCATGCAGACATATTTCCCAGCATGCTTCAGTTGGATGTTTCGGATCATCAAATCACCAGCTGAATCCTGCTGATAAAGTAGGGGAAAGTGGCTGCAATTACTTTTTAATGAGCTCTAAATATCATTATCACATGAAGGACACGGTGACTAATGGATTTATTTTACACTGGCTGATGAAAGCATTAGTGATGCAAACCATGGCCTGTTAAAAATATGTGAGCCTGCCTGAGAGATGGGAACACCGACGTTTTCAGAACACATCTTCGACAAGACCTCAGGTGTCTGGCTTCTCTGAGTCTCTGGAGCAGTTTGGCACCCATGTCGGAAGGACGTAAGTTACATGCTACATAAGTCCTACGTACTACGGTGGCTCTCGATCTAGTTTTGTGAGTTTCTTCAGAAATGCCCTCAGCCTATGGCCTTGGTTGGCGTTCGGATACTTTAGAACTCTGTATTTGGAAAACGGAAGCAAGCCCACATTTGGAAGTATCTGCATTTTATTGCTCAACCCTTTCTTAGAGCCAGCATTGTTATTGCTCCCAGGTTGGAATGAAAGGATTAGGAAGACCAGATTCTCCAAGGAAATCTCGCATCACCTAGTGTGGAACAGTGCTCATTTGGTTTCCAAATGCCAAATGCATGTTTGATTAGCAGAAGAATGGGACTAATTACATCCTGGTTTGGATGTCTATGCGCCCCAGAAATATTTCTCCAGCATTCGCCAGCACAGTACTTTTAATAAATGTGAGGAGATGATTCCACAGGCTATCACAAAGGCAGCACTTTACCTGAAGAACACTGCTACACCTTGGAGTTTGGTTCATAGCCCTGTTAATCCAAAGTTTGGAGAATAGCTGCTTGATGAAGAGACCACCCTAGAGGCCAGATTTGAAAAAGTACACTTCATTCTAAACCCGTAATGGATGACAAGATAATTTAGGGTATATTGGCCCTCCTTCATTTTCCCATTCCAAACTATACAACAGGAAATTGACACAGACTCTTGTGTTGCTATTTCTCCAATGACAATAGTAATGGATGATGTTTAATGGTATTTACTATATGACAGGCAGCTTCCAAGTACTTTACCTATATTAAACTCACTAAATACTCACATGTCCTCTGAGGCAGGTATTCTTGTTATCCTTATTTTACAGATGAGGAAATTCCAGCACAAAGAGGTTAGGAGTCTTGCCTAAAGTCACGTAGCTAGAAAATGGCAGAGCCAGGATTTGAACCCATATAGTCCCTGTTCTTAACAGTAACACTAGACTAGCATCCGGAAAGACCATATCCTCATTCTATTTCAAAATTAATATGTATTTGGTTATCTCCATCGTTTCAGTACAGAGTGTCACATTCACAGGATAATGGAAGAGATAGAATTGCCAATTAGAAATACGATTAGAAGAGATGCCAAAGCATGGAGTGAAGGAAGAGCTACAGTTTTGGTGCTTAGTTGTCTTGGGCTGATTCCTGCTGTGTGATTTCATCTAAATCTCTTAATCTCTCTTGGCCTTGATTTACTGACTTTCAAAAGACCTTTATTGACCTTCATGCTAGGTTGTGAAAATCAAATGAGATTATCTGTGTTATGTGAAAATCTTCTGAAACCTTGAAGCGTAGATTAACTCTAAACTGGTATTACTGACAGCCATGATCCATTTTTTTGTGAAACAGACATGTCCAAGATGTTAAATCTAATTCAGGAAAAGCTATGGTATTTTAACCCAAAACGTCTTTTGTTTGTAACACTTGGCTTCTCATCCAGATGCCACTGTTTACGGATCAAGTCTTATAATTGCTCAATAAAATGGGAAAATAATTGTTAACCTATTTGACAAGATTTCTGTGAGGATTAAGGAGCTATTACAGTCATCCTTTGGTAGACACAGGGGATTGGACTCAGGACTCAGGACCGTAGTACACTAAAATCCACACATACTCAAGTCCTGCAGTCAGCCCTCTGGAACCCGAGTATATGACAAGTCAGTCTTCCATATATGTGGGTTATTTCACATCCCACGAATATTGTATTTGCAATCTGAGTGTGGTAGAAAAAAAATCCACATATAAGTAGACCCATACAGCTCAAACCTGTGTTGTTCAAGGGTCAAGTGTATATAAGAAAGTACCCGATAAATGATTAGGCACTTTGCAAGTATCAGGAATTATCACTATTATCATCATCATTATTAAGATTATTGATACTTTACCTAAGAAATTTCACATATGGGGACTTCGAATACAGGTTTAAATAAAAAATATGCCCCAGGGGATGCGTGCAGGGAAGGTGGGAAGCCACATTGGCCTTAGGGAAATGCCTATACCATCTATCTAATTCACTTTATTCATGAAGGGCTTAAATGTCAAAGAAACTTGCAGCCTGGATATTTCAGAGCACAGCAACCTATTAATAGAAAATTTTGATTTTGCGATTCAGAAGTACTGTAGTTATTTACACATTTTGACTGGATTTGTGTTTTTAAAGTAAAACTGAAACAAAGAAAAAAATAGAGTGAGGAGTGAGGTAAGAGTCTCATCAAAGCAGACCACAATAACTTTCTCTTTCCCTTTGAAGTCACCCAGACCCAACTATTAACTAAGATCTACATTTTTTATGTTCCTACCAAAGAAAACAACAGCATCTGCTTATTTTCCACCACCGCAGTCTGTTGTGTTCCTGACAGAATACTCGGTGGGGATGGGGTGTATCAGAGGACAATGAAATAATAACTTTTATAAAACCTCAATAGGTTAACTCTATACCAAGCATCATTTCCACCATGCTGACCCAGGAAGTCGAAGCTGAAATAGGCTTGACTTCAAAATTGCGCTTGCTTATCTCTTCTATTGTCAAGTCCTGACTCCACAGACATTAATGATCCTAGTGGCTAGTACACTTAGATCTCACATGTGGTTGTGCTGTCCTTAATTTTCTATGTATTTCTCAGCAGAAGTTGATTGGTGTTAGCACTAGTTTAACAGGGGAGATAGACATTTTCCATATGAAAGATGAATGTGAGCAGCTCTACGGACAGCTGTCTTTACAAAAGGTAGTCATCAGTGTTTGACTTCATTAGGTGTCCCTGTTTCTGCCTTAGCCCTGGCACCATTCTGGCATAAAGGCTACATGTGTCTGAATGGTAGGACGTCCACTTCGATTGGTCGGGCATCTGTTTTCATTGGTTGGTGCTTGCGCCATTCTGAGATTTAGCATTTTTAATATCTCTCCTGCCCAAGAAATTGGTTTTAATGTGAGAACATTCTGCTTAATTTATGAAGAATGTTCTCGATTTACACTTTCCTGTTATTACAATCAATGTTACCCTTCCTTCAATTAATACCACCATTAAAGTTTATCAAGTACTTCTTTTGTGGTAGACATTGGGCTATGTACTTTCCTAGACCTCAGGATATTCAATATCTCCAATGTCTTTGTGAAGTAGTTAATATTTCTTTCACTTAGCCAAAGTTATTAAGCTGAACCATGTGAAAGAGGTCCAGAATGGTTTACGCTGGCAATTTCATCCAGCCTTTCTCAGTCAGGGTCCCAAGAGATAATCCCTAGTGAACCCAGGCATCCACTGATGTAACGAATTAACTTCTTTCCTGTGCCATCTAAAGTTGTACCAATCAGATACCACTCTTGGCATAGAACTGAGACAACAGTCATTGAAATTGTTTTGGGCATTCTGTGACTCAACTGCAAAAACCCTGTTTGATAAAGGTAGTAAGACTGTGATGAACAGGGCTAGTACTGTAGTTGGGTGGAAAATATGCTCTCACTATATCACATGGATGACTTTAGGCCACTTATTCTCAACGTAAAGGGGGTGGACAGATTTTTATAGCAGCCTAGGAAGTGGGGAGAGCTTTTCAAGTCAGGGCCCCATTTTTGTATTCCGCTATGTTTTGGCTGGACTCCATCATAAAAATGGCAGCCGGAGTCCATCTTTATTGTCAATGGGATCACAGAGGTGCGTTAGAGCAGAAAAAAATTTTTTGACAATGATTGTGATTGATAGGAATTGTTCCCAGATTTAACCTCTTCTTGTTATGTGTTCAATGATAATATACCGTTATGGAAAGGAAGGCATTTTGAAAATCCAATCATTTTGAATTCAAATTACCTGGAGATAGTAAATAACCCCATCAGACTTTCAAATTCAAGAAAGAAAACCCTAAATTCACAATGACGTGCCTTCTACAAGGTCAAAGGGAGTTTAATTAGCAGCCTAAAAACAGAAGGAAACTATCCTTAAGCTATTTTCTTGGTCAGATTCTAGGATATATGATATGATATGTGACACAGAGTTTGGGATTTGAAGTTTTAAGCTGAGTTCCACAATTCAGTAGCTATGAGGCCAAGGCAAGTCATCCAATGCCTGTGAGCCTTAGTTTCTAATCCATACACAGGAATGAATAATTAACCTGTAGGATTGGTGCCAGTTAGGGAGCAGTCCTGCCATATAGAGTTGTTCAATGAGTGATGCCACATTTATTGTGCAAAAAGGAGCAGGAATTAACCAAGAGTTTCTTGCCATAAGATTACTTGAACAAAATTCTAAAATAGTAACTTTAAATATATTGTTAAGTTGGTCTAAACAAGTTAGTTTGAGTCAGTTTTTGCTATTAATACTTACCCCTCCAACTCTTTCAAAGTGGTCCCCATCTCTGTCAAAGTCTATCAGGTGTCCATTAAATGACCAAGTAAACACGATGTCTAGCGAGTGATCATGCGTTACCTGGCACGGTAAAACAATACTCTCTCCAACAGTGACATCCATACTGGAAGGGGGTACCATTACCCTTGTTGGATCTGGAGAGTTAAAACAAAACAAACAATAACAACAACAAAGTCTGTGAGCTTGTGTGGAAATACAATGTAGACTCCAAGAGCAGGATGAAATACTAAGTAATTTTGCTTTATTTTTTCTGAGGCTGTGACCAGCAAACCTCAGTCATCTGGGAAGCTCAGACTCAGGCCAGGAGGTCATTTTTAATATGAAAAGATGAAAACACTCATTATGTGAACCTTCTCAGAGCAACAGAACTCAGCCAGGGAGCATGGAGGTGAGATCTCTAAAGATGCTCGTGGAAGGGCTTACTTTCTGGCAGCCTGCTCTGAATTGCCTCTTTGAAAAGGTTTTCGTCTCTCTCCAGTTTCACTAGAAAGCTACATTTCAGCTGAGTGCAAACAGGAAAAATCCATGTTGATTTGAAGTTTGTTAGGCTCTTTTTTTCTATTGTAAAAGTAATAAATGTTTTAGCACAGGTAATTTAGGAAATTCAGGAAAATTAAAAGAAGGAATAGAAAAACAAATCCTACCCAGATAAAACATCTATTTTCATGGTGGTATAATTTCCCCCAGTCTTTTTGGTTCACAGTTTTTCAGTTGTTTTGTTTTACACCATTATAAAAATGAGACAAATACGATTTTCCTTTTTCTCCTCAATATTGTATAGGCATGTTTATTCCTTTGTCAACATAATTTTATAATCTGCTTTAAGCTTACAGTTTTAACCATTTTGAAACTAGTTGGCATTTTAGCAAATTTTATTAGACATTTTTCTAATATTTATAATTAGAAATAATAAATAATGCTGTAATGAACATCACTGACAAAATGATACAGGTATATTACTTTTTAAAAATAAGGACCATCAATTCGCTTTAAAATTCACCCTTTACATTATAGTTTAAACTGGGAATAGAATGGGCTTGCTTAGCTGAGACAGTTTATGAACTCCAAAACTACATTCACACCCATAGTGCCTTATTTTTCTGCAACATGATTTCATAAATGGTGTCAGAGAGTACACTAGTGAGAAGCAGTTTGAATTCAATGTAAAGGCCGCATACATGCCTAAAGAATAAAATTCTGAATTAGGCCATATTCCAGAAATTTCTACATACTAAACCAAACCGAGCCAATCAAACAATTACAAAGAAGACAAACCAAAACCAAACCAAATAATAAAAGAACACTGACTAATCCTCTCCCATAGTCGCGGGATTGCATTTCAGGCTGTGAGGTACATAAATATTTATTCAGGGAACCTCTGGGATTAAAATATCCGCTGGGAATTTTGTAATTATATCTGACAGGAGAATTTTTGTGAGTCTTACTTGCTGATAACCCATGCTAAAATTTCCTCTTTAAAGAGAGTATTTAAAACATTTTTTCTATCCTTTTATCCAACTACAGAAAGAAAATCTCTCAGTTACAAAAGGGAAATCTCTGTTCTAAATAGGTTATAATCTAGTAGTGGGATATACTTTTGTTGTTTTCTAAAAATAGGAAAAGATCATGATAAGTAGATTAATGTGCTTTTAGTCACTGTTAAATGAGTGATGTCCATGAAATGAGAAGTGAACAACAGGTACTGCCAGCAAAGAGGTAATGGGATAGAAAACCCCTGATTTGAAAGACCGAGGCTTTTGAGGACTACATAATAAAAATCCGCTATATTGATTCACTTACCATCAGGAATAGATAGTGATGAAGTTGTTTTTTTTTTTTTTTTTTTTTTTTAATGAGGAAAAGAGGTAAGTACAAATCTTACTCTAAGCAAACATCAAGGAATAGCCCCATTTTGACTTAACATGTCATTTGACGTTTTTAAATTTACATTTTCCTCAAGAAAAAATGAAGACTGAAACAGATCCCAGGCTAAAATGATATACCTCTATGGGTTTTATTTGATAAAGATGTTGCCTAGTTCTACTTTAAACAGCTGCCCACTGATTCTGCAATTTAGATTTTCATTTTAATTCATTTATTTCTTGATTTATCCGCCAAGCATGGATTGTGTTTACATGGATAACACATATAACAGAGGCTGAAGGAATAAGAACATTCATAATAACTGAGTCCCTTAGCACTGTTAAGCACTTTACATGGATTATTTCATTTATTCCTAACAAATAGGTACTATTATCATCCCTATTTAACAAATGAGCAGACTGATGTCTAAGAGTCATTAAGATATTGTCTGTTGTGCGATTCTGCCTTTCTTTTCACTGAAAACACGATGTCCACATGCAAATCATGCAGGAATAAGTCTAAGGGCATAATACAGCAATTTACACTCCTATGTGTAGTCAACTGAAGATATTCAAACGCAGGAGGAATTCAGAGAATTTCTGCCATGGGGTGCAGATGGTTGCAGAGGGCTTCACTGCACGTGTCAGGTAGTTACTGCCTTAGACAGGTAACAAGCAGTGATGATTTTATGCCTAAAATGGTGGCTCTAGCTCTAAGCCTACACATCAGACTTATGAGTGTGGAGTCAAATGCCCAGGCTCCAGTCCCTAAAACTGTCTTGTCTTCCTATCTCCTGACAACTTTTGGGCTAGCAGCAAGGAGTTGGCACATACCCCAAAGCCTAGAGCCATTTGAAATTCTGGCTCACGTTTCTGAATGACATTTCTTTCCTAAAGAAACGTTCACCTCTTTATGCACATGTAGGGATCTGGGACAGATTTTTATTATTGGTAAACTTAGCTGTCTTTTAAGCAAGGACCAGAGAAGTTCCCTGAGTCAAGGATTATGTTGGTGCAGTTGTTGTGCTGACAGCTGCTGATTCATTAACTCAGCACTTGTCGCCGATTCATGTTCTGAGCCTTAAAGCAGCAAGAATCAATGCAACGTCATGCACTGTACACATACCAGAGAGGTCTCCTAGGGACAAGAAAAGATTAAACTAAAGAGGTTCAAAATCTCATTAGCGACTTGGTTTTCTCAAAGTGTATGTTTGTTCAGTACTCTTGTTTTCTGTGTTGTGAATTTTGATGTTTTTTACTTGATTAATTTCCTAAAATTTGAATACAAACCCTGTATACAAACAAACAGATGGCTTCCTGCAAAACAAACTGTCTCCTCTCCTTTGGTTTTAATTCATCGAGATCAGGAAGAACCTATATTTATGACTTCTGTTCTGAAGAGTCACTTCAGCTATTGTTCCGTGCATAGAACTCTCAAAGGCAATTAGAACTGAAGATGTGAACTGACGGCTGGATTTGGATGTAATTAAATAGCAACAATAAATAGGACCAACAACATCCCTAAACTTTCCTACTTGTGGTTGGTTCATACTGTGTAGAATGATAAATTCTGAACTCCAGAGGACTGATGCTTAAAAATCTATATATTTACCAAGTGCTTAATTCTCCTAGAGTTAAAAAAAAAATTCTTTTACTTTCTACAGTGTTTTCTATAACGTATAAATGACAAAAGGCAAACTAACTGCTTTGTTCTAAGGATTATAACCATGAGGAAGAGTTAATTATTAACCATTATTTTTAATAATATTAACTACTCAATTAATAATCAGATCCACAATTAGATGTATAAATACAACACTTATCCAAGCCTTATTACATTCTCACTTTCACTGCTGGTGGAAAGACTTTCTGATTTATAGCTTTTATTGTCTCTAAAATGAAGTGTTTTGGGGTCCATTGGATAAGGATTCTATTTTTTAAAACACTACGCTGTTTTATATTTTGTATTTTTTGACAGGGTCTTGTTCTGTTGCCCAAGCTGGAGTGCAGCAGCATGATCAAAGCTCACCATAACTTCAAATTCTTGCGCTCAAGCAATCCTCCCATCAAGGTAGGACTAGAGGCATGCAACACCATGTCCAGCTAGTATTTTATTTTTATTTTATTTTTGAGATGGGGTCTCATTCTGTCCCTGAGGTTGGAGTGCAGAGGCACAATCTTGGCTCACTGCAACCTCCCTATCTCAGGTTCAAACGATCCTCCCACTTCAACCTCCTGAGTAGCTGAGACCAAAGGTGCACACCACCATGCCCAACTAATTCTTTTTTTTTTTTTTTTTTTTGAATTCTTGGTAGAGGCAGGGTTTTTGCCATGTTGCTCCGGCTGGTCTCGAGCTCCTGAGTTCAGGCAATCTGCCTGCCTCAGCCTCCCAAAGTGCTAGGATTACAGGCATGAGCCACTGGTGCCTGGCTAATGTTTTATTTATTTCTTTGTTTTATAGACACAGGGTCTTGCTATACTGCTCAGGTCAGTCTCAGACTCCTGGCCTCAAGAGATCCTCCCGCCTTGGCCTCCCAAAGTGCTGGGATTACAGGCGTGAGCCGCCATACCTGGCTGATAGTTCTTATTATCTGCAAAAATAAGTGCTTTTGGGTCCACAGGATACGAATTCCATTTCAATGTTGCTTTCCTGATACCCTACCAATCCTTCCATTTTAGTGTATAATTTATCTTTCATTTACAGTGCCAAGATATTCACTTGGTGCCTATCAGGATAGTATTTAATGTGTGTTTCAGCCATCTTCATTTGTGGAAGGAGACACATCCCTTTTGTTAACAAATTTCTTGACTCTAATGGTTTTGATGATGCCTTTCAGTAGAGTTGTATCTTTTTTCCTTAAATTAGTTTTTATAGGGACAATTTAAAAGTGGGATTCTTCAAAGGCCTGGAGCTGGTCAAAGAGCAGACAGCAAGCAAACCTCAGATGACATAAGGGGACTGGTCAGAGAATTATTTTTAATCATATTTAAATGCCACAGCAAAGAGTGTTGATTAATGATGACAATAATCCTGAGGTAGCATCTCTACGGATGAATTTCAACATTCTATAGTTGGCACCATTTTTTCAATAAAAATCAGTGCAAGATAAACTGTATCAATTCTGCATAAAACACACATCTAAAAGGCATACCCTAAACATTAGATGAGAATCAAAATTCATAGTGATTTCAAGTGGGACCAACCTTTTCACCTAGGCAAACTTTAATAGGGATAAAGGCAAAAAACTACACTTAAAAAATCAGCTACTAAGTACATGCTGGGGGATTGGCAGCTCACATGGATAATACCTAAGCATTTCAGTGCTCATGGAGTCTGTGCAGCTGCCAAAGAAAGGGAATGAAATCTTAGGTTGCATAAATAACACATGATGTTCCAATTTAGGGAGGTAATAATCTGGTTGTATTTTGCATTAGTCAGACTACAGCTTACTAGGAACGTGTTTTGGATTCATTAATACATTAGTATACCTGGGTTAGTGAAAGATCTAATAATTCCATAGCAGCTAAAATAACTGAAAGTGTTTGGCACGAGAAAGGTAAATTAGGAGAGACATGACAACAGTCCTCAAATATGTGAAGGGCTTATAGGCAGAAGATAAGCTAAGGTTATTTTGCATTGCCCCAAAGTAGAAAGCAAAGAGTAACTACAAACAGGCATATTCTGGCTCTGTAGAAGGAAGAACTTTCTACTAATTTGACCTTTCCAACAGGGAAATAGGCTGCCACAGAAGAACATGAATCTCCATTTCTGGAGGTATTCAGGTGGAGGTGGGCGCCCTCAGAGAGGGGATGCCAAGTTCTGCTAGTGGCCAGCCAGGCTGGAAAAAGCCTACTGTCTTGAAGAGCCTATGAATCCGAGCCACCTCCCCACATGCCCTTCCTGGCCACCCTGTTCGCTGGTGATCCTATCCTTTCATGAAGCTCATCGGAATTAACTGTTTTTCTTTCTTCGACATTAAGCTAGTGCATTGTTGTGCAAAATCATTTGTCTTTTTTACACGTGCCCTGCTTCTCCCCCTGTAACTGATCAGCTTTCTGGGAGTCACGGACTAGATCTTACACTTTTATAAGTCCCTGGTGCCTAGTTCTGTTCCTACTCATGAGAGTTGGTTAAAGATAACTTATGGACAATCTGTGAGTGGCCCTGTGGGAGACTGATGAAAATAAGGCCTTGAATCTTGAAGTACTATAAATCAGGAAGCTATATTAAGTATTTCTTATTATTTATCCAGACTTATGTCGAATATGGAATTTTAAAAAGGAACTGCCTGAAGGCTAACTCAGCACTCACCATGCAAGCACTGGCCCTTCATCTGTGTTTATTGCTGAATTTTCTTATAAGGCCACATTTTGTACTTTTTTCTTGATTTTAAAAAGTAATTTATTTTGAAATAATTTCAAACTTACAGAAAGTTTGCCAGAAAAGTACAAAGAACTCTTTCACCTTCATATACACTCCTCAGTAGCTAATATTTTACTGTATTTGCTTATTTTCTTCTCCCCCATATACAATATATGTGTGTAAATATATATATGTATATATATATGCATGTGTATATATATATATATATATATATATATATATATTTGTGTACACACACACACACCCCTTCTCCCTACCATATACACACAAATACACCTACACACACACACAGACACACACATATACATATATACACATATATATATATGGTGGTGTTTGCCTGGCTTCTCCATCTTATTCTTACCATTTACACCCTTGTAACTTATGAGTATTTTGGCTGGCTACCATGGCTCATGCCTGTAATCCTAGCACTTTGGGAGGCTGAGGCAGGCAGATCACTTGAGGCCAGGAGTTCCAGACCAGCCTGGCCAACATGGTCAAATCCTGCCTTTACTAAAAAAAATACAAAAACTAGTTGAGTGTGGTACACCTGTAGTCCCAGCTACTCGGGAGGCTGAGGCAAGAGAAGTGCTTGAACTCAGGAGGTGGAGGTTGCAGTGTCGCACCAATGCACTCCAGCCTGGGCAACAGAGTGAGACTCTGTCTGAAAAAGAATAATAAACTAAAATAAATAAATAAATAATGAGTACTTTGTGGGGAGGTATTCAAAGATTACACCAGTACCTGATGGTCATCAAACTTGTACCCACCAGCCTTAGAATCCATTAAAGACTCCTTCCTGAATTAGTGGCTTTTATGATGGTTGTCAAACGGTGATTCTCCATTGCTATCTTTCCTTCTACATATATCAGCTGACATTCTACTCTAAGGAAGAGTGTTCCCCTCTCCCCCATTTATTTATATACTTACTTACATTAGGATAAATTCATGGCTTCTTTTGACAGGTGGTAATACATTACTATCATTATTTACACTGATGCTCAAATTGTCCCCATTTTGGCCACTGGGAGTCCTTTTAAGTTGGGCTCTTCGTATGTTTTACATTTTACTATTATTCATTAAGTGTTTCTTTACTTTCTGGTCCAGTAAGGTTCACATTATACTTTTTTTCCTGCAATAGTCCCAGAATCAGTCATTTTGTCAGGGAGCTCTGGTTCTTTTTAGTGGAGGATGGCTTTGAGAACTAAGAGGTGGAGACCCAATGTGCTCATTGTTACTGAGGGTCATTGATCCTAGGCCTTCTCAGCAACAGAGCTGGGAAATATCTATGTGTGTATACATGTATAATACCTACACATCTATAAGTATTTCTGTATCTTATCCTGAAAACATTTCCTAATTTGCTTAATCAACTTACATTTTGTTCAGTATAACCAATCTGCCAACATTGCCAGCTGTCTCCTCTGCCCACCACCTCTATACCCACCCACAGCCATGTCTCCATAGAGCTCTCCAACCTACCTCACCATTCTGCATCCTCACTCACTGTGATTACTCTTCTGTGCCAGACAGGAAAGGGAGGGTTGCTCAGATTGCTTTAGTACTTAAAATGTAAATATTTAAAATGAATACTCCACAGAACAATAAAATAAAAAAGATGGCGAATACTAATTCTAGAGCATATGCCATTTAAAAATTAAAGTTTTATGCTACTTATAAAAAGAAGAATGAATAAAGAAAATGTATCAGTTCCCTAAAATTTAAACATTGAGTTTCTGCATTTCACACCAGGGAGAAAACCTGAATTAATACTTTCATAAAATACCTATTGTCAGGAGCAAGACATTACTTAAAATTATATTTAGTTTTTAGAGAATAATTCATCCTTAAATGGGAGAAACATTAATTTTATAATTACTATTCTCCGCTGGGTCATTAGGATCTACATTTTGAAGGAGCTATCAAAACAAACAAATGGAAACACCACAGTTTCCAGTTTGTTCTGTTCCTCCTGAGTTACTTTTCAGAAACAAATCCATTCTGTTAGGAAGGTAAGGAGGGAAGTAGGAAATGATGGATGGGGTTGGTGAGGTTATCCTTGAGAAATCTACATATACTTAGCTAAAAGTCCTTTTCAGGTGGTTCCGTTATTGCTACTTTTGAAGGTGCCATTTGTTCTATTTGCTGATTGTCTCTTATGGTGGCAGACTTCCTCAAGGTCTTTGTAATTTTGGTTTGGGAGTTCATCTTATAAGCGAAGTTTTTTCTTCCTCGTGAGCACCCACTTCTCCCTGTTGTGTGGCTGTAAAGGCCTGTATCAGGTTATGTGAAAAATGTGCAGTTTGCACTTCACGGCATAGCAAAATAAAGGACATTGCACCCAATACTGTACAGGTCTGACTCTTTTTGGGGGGTGGCCTTGCTGCCCATTCTGGCCACAGGTAAATGTCCTTTAAAGGTCTCAAATCTGGGTAGAATTTTTTTTGTCTGCCCCAGGTTCCTGGAAGGGAGCTCAGCTCCAAGTCCTGATTTTAGGGGTAAGCTTTAACTGCCGAAATATCCTGATGAAATAAAATCTGTTCAGGTTATCATCACTCACATAATATCAGACATCTATATATGTAGTTTGTTCCTAAGTGTCTACTTTGCTTATAATTTTGCTCTTTGGAAAATCCTTTACACATTTGATCTCTTTTAGACACATTTACTTTTCTCTAAGATTTGTTTTCCATTGAGGAATTATGTCTGTGAATTGAGAATTTTTACAGTTTTAAAACATAGGCTAGTTCTCTCAATAGCACCCCTATTTATCTTACCTCTCTTTTTGTTAACATAATTAAAATGTGACTTTGCTTTAAGAAGAAGGGAAGAGGAACCAATTGGAAAAAGAACAATAAGTGTATTTTGGCTGAAGACAAGGAAGTCTGCCCTTTTAGGTGGCAGAAGAAAACACAGAAGTAGCATAGGGCACGTTCACAAGTCAAGGTTTTTCATCGATTCATACCGAGAGGCACAGCCACATAGTATTGTGACCTGGTTCTCGGAACAACGTGTGCAACTTGACAAATGACATCAGAAGAAAACACAAGGCAAATTTTGACCCCAGTCGGCGTGAGCACAAACTGGAGCCTTGTGTAAAGCAATTTACAAATCGCCCCTGAGTGGAATGCTTACTGATCTATTTTCAAGGACTGGGGGAAAATCGCAAAGCAGAGCTGTTTAATAAGCTTGACTGCCACAAATGGAAACTACTATGCACAAGCCAATTGAGGGTGGCCAAGTATAGGTACTTGGGAAACAATCAGTCAGGTGGTAATCAAAGTTATTAGATCTGCCTGGTCAAAATGTGTAGCATAAAGCACCTATTTAATTATGAAGACGGTTCTAATGATGCTCGAATGCTCTTGGTTGCCTCCCAAGTCTCTAACTTGGTCACAACGATTAATAAGGAGGTTTTTGTTTCTTTGTTTTTAATAAGCAAGATATAATCTGTCTTAAAGTCATTCACCGTCAACTTGTTTGTTTTTATTTTTACCCATGACCAGGGAAAGCAAACCTCCGGGGTCTGGATTTGTGCCATGCTTCAGTAGCAGGGTTTCTCATCTGGGAAGTCTTTCTAAATGCAAAGAATTTTCTGCAGGTGCCTAAGCTTCCCACTATGAATAAGAATACTTCCTCAAGCAAAATAGCAAGTAATAACAGAAGAGGGAAGGGGGGTATATGTTAAATTTGCCCTCTCACATTTTCTTTTTGAAGCTTTCTTTACGATTCAAAAGAAATGACAATCTGAAAGGACTAGGAAAAGACTACTGTCAATGACAAATTAAATACATTGTATCTTCGAGTCAAGGTATAATTAAAATCACTCTATGGCGTGCCTTTGACTGTGATGGAAGATAAAAAAGAATCATAAATGGGAACCACAGATATCTTTTACCCACGGAGAAACATTTTCATCAAATAATAATTAGAATGTTTTCTGTTTATTTCAGTGACTGCACATAAGTAACTCTCCCTTATGACTCACTGAGCAAAAGAGTCCCCCCAAAATCCCATTAGTATCAGTGAAATACAGTAAATTTCATCATAGTCAATGTGTAAGAATGGCATAATAAGATCTTTGCTGATTAAAGGAATGTGTGATTGCATCTGCTGGGCATCGGGCTGCATCTACTGATAAAAAGTAAGCGAATATTTACTTAAACTATAAAAGAAAGGAAATGTACACCTTGAGGCAAGGACAATGAATTCCAAAGACAATGCCTTCCATTGTGATTACATGCAAAAGAAAAACCAAGTGCCATTCACACACAGTGCAATGTGGGGAAGGATTAATATTCTGGACAGTAGATGGTGCTGAAACCTCAGCAGAAGGAGAGTGTCCCTCTTTTTCTGTTTAACCTGCTCCTGTCAGCAATTTTCTACATGTTTTCAGATTCCTCTGTTTAAGGACTGCATCTTGGGAAAGAAGCAATAATTCGCATATTCTAAAGCAGTACTTCTTTGTTTGCTTATAGATTTGAGATGAGGTCACCGAGGAGCATATGAAGCTTAAAATAGAAGGTATTAATATCTTGGTAGACAATATTAGCTACCCTCTCTTTATTTGATGTAGATAGGATTGATTGATGAAGCTTTCTGCAAAACAAAACCTTAAACAATCCTCCCTCCCCCACCCCCAACAGTCTGGTCCACCACTGACTAGCTTGTTTGAGGACTTGTCTGTAATTCTAAGTGAACTTTTTCCTGAAACCCTTCAGAATGGGCAACTATTAATAGATATTAGGTCCCCTGCAATTGTTGAAATGCCCCCTTTGTGTGCAGCTAGGTAAGGCATTATGAGTTTAACTAAAAGAGACTCTTCTTCCTGCTGCATTGCTTGCTTCATAGTGAGACCTATATACACATTCAGTGAAATTTAAAGGAGGGAGAATGAAAATCTGAAGAGCCCTGAATTAAGACTTTGTTACTGTTTTTCATTTTGGAGAGAAAGAGGCAAATCATTGGAAAACTCACTCTTGTAAGGAAGAACTACTCTCTGGAGCAGGTTTGAAGGTCACTGGACATTTAGTCCAATCTTCCACACTAGAGATAAGGAAACTTTTCTATTGAGAGTTGCTGACCCAAAGAGAAAAAAAAAAAAAAAAAACCAATCGAGGGTCACGCAAGTATAAAGCAACTTAATTTAGTTTATTTTCAGAGAGATGTTTACAACTTTTCATGTCTTTTAAATTAGGTACAGGGAACACAAAATTTAAAGATACATCAAATAATTTAAAAGTTAGATCTAATCTAATATAAAGGGTAATGGAGGTGGAAAGAATGTTAAAGCCAAGAGACAAGGAAAAGGAGATGAAAATGCAGAGAAACAGAGCAAGACAGACAAGCAGAGAGCGGCAGAATCCTCTACTCCACAAAGACATCACATGCTAATAAATGACATTCACACCAAGTGGAGTACACAGAGCCAGAAAAGAATTTTTAGAAAGTGAAAAGGCAGTCTTTTGTGGAGCACCATTCCACCTTTTGGTTTTTATGATATTAAAATAGAAACCCTTTGTTGGGCAAGCTCTATCTTTGTAATTACAGTCATTTGCAGATAAGCTGTATCTTGCCACTTCCAACTAAAGGGTGCCTGAAATTTAAGTCAGAGTTCTGACGTGACCCAAAGTCCCACATTTTCCAAATCCACATTTACTGTTCTCTAAAATGACAAGTAGGTTTTGCCACAGTGATAAGTGAAGCACTCTAGTACTACTACAGACTGAAAGTATTGAGAAACGGTCAGCATTAAAAATTGGCAGGATACTTCAGAAAGAGATTAAGGGCAGAAAGAGAAATAGATTTTTGGCTAGGTCTTGGTTAGTCAAAAAACATTAATGACTTCCTCATTCCACAAACGTGTTAGTTTCTTGAATTAAAACAAACAAAACCCCTAGGGGTGTGTGTGTGTGTGTGTGTGTGTGTGTGTGTGTGTGTGTACATTTAAATGTCTGTTCCTCAATAAAATTTGTTAAAGTTTACAGGAATGTATTCACTTCCTAGATTATCCATTAGAATCTAATAGCTCAGTATTGGTAGGAAAGATAGTGAGGCAAGACCCAAGCCTAGGTTATAACAAATAGGTACACATTATTTGTATGACACATGCCAACTCCCTAGGGTGTGTCTCTGGGCTGCAGTGCAAGAGTGAACAGAGTTTGCAAACTGCTGCAGCATCGAATAAACCAATATTCACAGAGAGATACATAAGAAAAATCATTCATTTACTCAAGCAGGCAAGATGTACAAGGCATATGGTATTTTGCATTTGTAGATCATTCCATAGTTTACAAAATCATTTCTTATCCATCATATGCTTGCTTTCCACAGAAAGGTTATCTTGCATTTAGTTACCATAACAGGACCTGACACTTTTTACAATCCCGGAGGGCACTTTTCATGCAGGATGCAATGTTCACTTGGGCACCCTGGCGGTCAATAGGATACCCTGCTATTTTCCCATGGCAGGAGCTCCCAAACAATGCTGGAGCACCAGTAATAAGCAGGACTCCGTTCACTGGAAATCAGCCCAGGTCTAGAGCTCATCTCAGAAATAGTTGCTGGATGTCTTCTCAGGGAGTAAAGGACTTTCTCTTACTGACTCTCTGATACTAACCTAGCTTTTGCTAAACATGTCATCATGATGAAATATATAAAACACTCAATTTAGTGTCTAAAAGCCTAGTTTCTAGGTTTGGCCATACAGCACTGATTAGGCATGAAACCACCAGCAAGTCATTCGACGTCTCTGAGCTGTAGTTTTCTTATCTATAATTTGGAGGAGATGGTATTTGGCATCCCAGGATGACTATGAAATTCAAAATGAGTTAATGGATTTTAACATGCTTCATAAAACATAAAGAGCTACAGAGTATGAGATACTATTATTACCATTACTATTGATGCCAAAGATTTGCACGGGGAAGAAAGGAAAAAGAGACACTTATTTCGAGAGTAAGAAGAGGGTGATGTTCTAAGGTGAATTAATACAAAGGGTTTTTTTTATTTTTTTATTTTTTAGATGGAATTTCGCTCTTGTTGCCCGGGCTGGAGTGCAACGGCACAGTCTCGGCTCACAGCAACTTCTGCCTCCCAGTTTCAAGCAATTCTCTCGCCTCAGCTTCCTGAGTAGCTGGGATTACAGGCATGCACCACCATGCCTGGCTAATTTTGTATTTTTAGTAGAGATGGGGTTTTACCATATTGGCCAGGCTGATCTCAAACTCCTGACCTCAGGTGATCTGCCCGCCTCCGCCTCCCAAAGTGCTGGGATTACAGGCGTGAGCCACGGCGCCCAGCCAATGCAAAGTTTTGAGAATAGAAGTCTGGCCAACATAGTGAAACCCTGTCTCTACTAAAAATACAAAAAATTAGCTGGGTGTGGTGGTGTGCATCTGTAATCCCAGCTACTTGGGAGGTTGAGGCAGGAGAACTGCATGAACCCAGGAGACAGAGGTTGCAGTGAGCCGAGATCACGCCATTGCACTCCAGCCCGGGCAACAGTGTGAGACTGTGTCTCAAAAACAAAAACAAAAACAAAAAACCAAACCGATCAAACAAACAAGAATAGAGCTTGCTACATAAAAAGTGCTCAAAAAATGCTAGCTATTACTAAGAATGTGACAGAAACAAAGATGCCTCCACGTTTACCTCAGAGTAAATGCCAAAATCCTTGCAAAGGTCAAGAATGCCCTACGTGATCTCAACTGATATTTTGTTGAATACAGACATCCTAAGTAAAAGAACCTCTTCCAGGTGTAAAGATAGATGCCTGTACCATGCAGATCCAAAGGAAAACCAGCTATCTAGATTCTTGTGGTGAGGGTGTACAGATTCTAGACAGAAAGCTGCTCTTACAGACTGGAAGTAGCTAAGAAACTGAGTTTTGAAGTCAGAAAAATCTGGATGCAAATTTTAGCTCTGCCCCTTACTAGTTGACTGATTGTGGGAAAGTTATTTGACTTGTAAGTCAGTTAATTTGTTTCTTAACTTGTAATATTCCTGTGGTTGCATATAACATGATGAATGGTTTCAGTGTTTGAATAAAGATATCATTACCATCCTCATCCTCATCCTCATCATCACTGTCATCATCACCATCATCATCATGGAAGTCTCTTGTGCCTGGGTCTGTTTTAAGTGCAGGAAGCTTCAGAGGAAGATAACTTCTCCAAACATGCAGAGACTGGGGCGGGGAGAGGAAAATTTAGTGAGAGGAAGACGCTCACATGAATCTCCAAAGAAATATCGCGACTCTAAGTCAGGACAAAATGTGCCTCGACTTTACAAGGAAGCTAAAGAAGAAACAAAAATGACAGCTACTAAAACTGGTAACAAATGCTCAAAACAAGTTGTTGCTAGTGAAAGTATCATAAGGAAATTATCATTGTACATAGACATTTATTTGCCAGAACAGTGTACAAACATCCAGATAAGTGACACAGGTGCCTTCTTGCTCATTTGCCAGGGCAACACACAAAGTTTGAAAACGATCCCTAGAATGACATCAAGTCAAGGGATTATCATGCTTGTTGTATCCACATTTCAGGACCTCCATTAACTCTCTGAACATCATCAGACACTGTGAAAAATGCTGAAGACAGGACAATATGACCCTGAGCTGAGAAGATTAATAACCGGTGAATAACTAAACCAGCTCACTGATAGTTTGCTATGCTGATTTCTACAGCTATCTTAATGGATTATTGGAGTAGTTTATGGGGCATAGCCAAAAATATACTTTATTGAGGGACATGAAAGGTCTGAGAAAAGCTTAGCTGAGAAGTATCTGGCTTTAAAGAACACAGAATCTTTTTAAACCTTTTCTTCCCCCACTTGTCTTCTATCTTATAATTCTCCTGAGGCTAGAAATTATGCAAGGACTAAGGGTTGCTTCTGGGAAGATCAGCGCAAATGCCCACATACAGTGCAAGATTGCTTACCTCACAGGGTCACCTGAGGCATGCTGCATGACTTTGCAGAAGTGATAAACGTGAGAGGATGGGGTAGCAAACTTCAGAGGAGCAATTCTTTCTTCAATAGGAGTGTGTGGAATTACCAGTAGTGGAGATCTGCATTTCAATGAGGGTGTACTTACATGATGCTGAACATAGATTTAGAATGCTTATCATGTTAGTGGTTAGGTGTCACTCACACCCAATCCCTGTTTCTTTTACAAGGTTATTCTAAATGAAATGGAATGGGAACTAACCATACTAAAAGCTCATGGTTGTAGAGATGACCTGACACCACTGGGAAGGTGAACGACGTAGGTCTTAATTTCACAGCGCCCTCCTCGTCCATGCTGTTTGGCTATATAGTACATAATTTATAAACTTGGATGATTTTACAAGGATTGAATATTAACAAAATAACAAAAATAATCACTACAATTATGTGTCAGGCATTGTGCTGGCTTCCTTAAATTATCCATTTCTTCGTCACAATGATCCTTTTAGAGTCCTAGGAACCTTCTAAAACTTTTTTAAACAGTAGTACAAGGATTTTTTTTTTTTTTTTTTAATGGCATAAGCCTATAAAGACAGAGAGAATGGTTGGGAGGTATTACTGTTAAAATACTGGAAAGCAACTGGATGATTAGCAGATAAGAAACCCTGAATCCTAAACTGGCAGTGGGGAAAGACAAGAAACAGTCTGACTTACTCTATAGAAAAATGCCCAAAGATTTGGGAATTCGGGTATTACTTGAAGTCAGGTAACAGAGCACTGGAAGATGCTGTTTAAAATCAATTAGGTCCCTATTTGCTCTCCCTTATTCCATGCATCCAGGTGACTAACCCTCCCCATCCCAGAAGTATTCTGGGATTTTACTTTCTGAGCAGGTAATACAGAGGTAGGTCTCTGGGCCAGAGGACACCAGGTTGAACTGAGGATAGCAGGGATTTAGTGAGTGTTCATACAGTGAAGCTGAGATTCTCAGTCTCCTTCCCCAAGGAGGCTCCCAGGACACTGCTGTTGAGTTCTGTGTTCTTCCAAATGAGACTAGGTACTAGATATTCTTTCTCTAGGTAGCGATCAGCCGAAAAGGAAACACCGAAATATTAATGTGGGTATGGGGAGTTCCACAAGGAAATGGCCCAGTTCTTAGTCAATGAACTTCATCTACATGTTCACGGCTTCACATAGGCTTTTTCGTGCCACACTCTTAAATATGGGCCAACAACTGTGAGTCAATAGACATGTGAGGACAACTAACACAAAAGATCAATTTCAAGGCAAGCAAAAAGAAATGCTGGCCGGGCGCGGTGGCTCACGCCTGTAATCCCAGCACTATGGGAGGCCGAGGAGGGCAGATCACGAGGTCAGGAGATCGAGACCATCCTGGCTAACACGGTGAAACCCCGTCTCTACTAAAAATACAAAAAATTAGCCGGGCGTGGTGGCGGGCGCCTGTAGTCCCAGCTACTCGGGAAGCTGAGGCAGGAGAATGGCGGGAACCCGGGGGGCGGAGCTTGCAGTGAGCTGAGATCGCGCCACTGCACTCCAGCCTGGGCGACAGAGCAAGACTCCATCTCAAAAAAAAAAGAAATTCTGTCATTATTATTTTCAGAGAAATATTAGATATTGAATTGACAGTAGCAAGAAAAGGGTGTTTCTTGTTTATTTGCATAAACAAGAAAAGGGTGCTACAAATAAGGAACATTCAGATACTAGAAGAGAGTTCCTGAAAATTTAAGCCATGATAATTGAAAGGTAAAGGTTAACTTGTCTAAGACTGATCTCCTGTAGGCTGGCCTCCCAGAGAAAGAGGCTCTCTGCAATGCTCCGAGGAAAGTAACCATGGCCCACTGTTTATGGCAATCAATCCTAGTCAACTCTTATAGTCTAACATTGGCCCCTACTCTCCAGTCATGCCAGGGCAAGGCATGGTACTTCCCTAATTGTGGCTCCGGAGGTGGTGCTCTTGCCACTTGCTCACTGTGCTAATAACACCAGGCTTGTCCTCTAGCCCGCAGATCATACCAAGAAAGACGCTGGTGATTCTGTAATGACGAAGTTTGAAGCCGTGCAGCCCAAGGTTTGGCGCCCTTCTTTTGGAATCTCACAGCTTATTAGATCTTGGTGGTTTGCCCTAGAATGCCGAGGACAATGGGAAACCCGAATGCCTGCTACTGCTGTTGTCTATTCCTATTATATTAGGTTGGTGCAAAAGTAGTTGCGTTTTAAATTGCATTAAAAGTAATGGTAAAAACTGCAACACTTTTGCATCAAGCTATAGCTAGTTGCCTCTAGAAATCTGGGTCGTTTGAGAAGGGAAATGACCTATTATTATGTAGAGTGTCTCTGTGTCAGGTTACATGTTTAATGCTCTGCATAATGTTACCTTTCTTAGACACGGAACGACTTAGGGAGGTGGGTATTCTCTTTTTGCAAAGGCAGAATCTATAGCTTAGAGACGAAGTAGTGAAATCACGATTGAAGGAGAGGCTTAAAAGCCCACACTAAGGAGCAAAAGTGCTACATATTTTACTCTTCCCCATCATATTTAATGAGTTGAGGATGTTGTCAACCTTTACAGTTTTTTCAGTGTAAATGCTCTTTCTTTGGCTTGCTGTTATTTAGTCTTAAAAAATCCAACTCTGATTTGTTTGTTTTCTTTGGCGGATCCATGCCAGGTAAAATGCTGCCTGACAGATTTCGTGTTCTGTGGCCTAACGCTCATTTAGGAGAATGGCGTTTTTCTGCTTGACTTGCTCTATCTCCAAACAGGTCTGGATACGAGGCATTAGCATTTTTCCTAAACTGGCCATAAAAAAGGAGCTTAGTGCAGACTGAAAACTGTCTAAACTTGATATAAAATTATCCCTCCCAAGAATTAATACCTCTTCTCTCTTAGTAGGACTCATTATCTTAAGTATGGAAACACACATTCTCTACATGGCTGAATAGTAAGCAATGATTAGTTTATATCTCAAAAGATTTTTCTCAGGGAATCCAACAGAGGAGTACATCACAGATACATCATTAATCCCAAATGTCCCAGTTACTCAACATCATGAGAAAGTTTCCTAAATTACAAAACAGGGTATGACTTTATTGTTGACATGTGTCCTTGCTTGCCCAGGATGGTCTTGGGTTTATCTCTGTTGTTCCAGCCTATCTGCAGCACCCCATTTATTCTAATTGGGATAAAAGATTATATGATAGCCCAGTGTCACTTCCTCATTGCTCCCATTTTGCTATGCCAGCACAGAATCTATTGCATACCCTACTTTTATCTTGCTCCCATACCAATCTATGGGTTACCAAGCCAGTCTTGTGTGATGGAGATGGATAAGTGGATATTTTACCACACTGGTATTCTCTCTTTTTAATAGGGTAACGTGCAGAAAACAAGCATACATTTTATTCACCTAACATATTGTTCTGCATACTGTTTCAAAATAAAGGCAACTTCATTTCCTAGGTGCTTTAAGTTAAACAGGTTATTTGAAAAATGACAACACCCTTTGGGTGAGATATTATAGATAACCACAGGCAGAGCCAGGTGACACCTTTTGTAGGCTATTGATTAAAATGATCTGATATACATCTTTCCAAGCACAGAATAATCCACTGGCATTATAGAAATGATGGTAATCTTACAGGGAGGGTTAATCAGATACATGAGAAATCACATCTATTCCTTGATAAAGTACAAGTTACTCAGAAATCAATCACAGACTCCAGTGCTCACACCACCATCCTTCAGAAAACAGAATTCAGGACAGATATATACTGTTTTGTCAAATACCTAGTACACAACAAGACGTGCTGCAGATTTGAACAGTTTTGTCTGCTGAGAGCATTGATTTGTGGGTTCTATAATACATGCACAATAGTAAACAACATAAATATAAGAAGTAGATATACAGTAATGATTTACTTTTTCTAGGAGGAGAGTGACTAATTTCTCAGACTTCAGTGCTGCTACAAAAACACTGCTGGGATTTGGTATGTTTTCAGGGAACTACACAGTGAGACACACAGTTAAGCACTTGGAGACATTGCTCTTGGATAAATGGTAGTGGAGTTGATGGCGCGGGGAGGTAGCAAAAGGAATACAAACACAATGATATTGATTATCAGTTAAAGGTACACACTCAACACCAGGAGCTCTTAGATGTTTGACAGAGAAAATTCTAATTCTTATAACAGGTTGGACCTCCCATTTTAAGGAGGAAAAACGGAAACTTCTAGAGATTAATTGTTCCATGGTATAGAGCTGCTAAGAACGTCTGGAGTTAGTATATGAAATCGGGCCTGGCAGACACCAAAGCCCATGTCCCTTTCACTATGCCCCATTGACGACCTCTGTTTTTCCTTGGTCTGCTGCTTACTAATTTGCTCAGTAGTTACTTGAATAACAAGAATTTGCTAAGTTCCTCTGTGAGACAATAAGGTATAGTAAAAGGCCTAATTATTGGGCCTTAGCTTGAATATAAAATTTTCCCTTTCTAGTATCCTTTGCAAAAAGAATGAGCTGGAAGAGATGATCACTATCTCTTTCAAAAATCGCAAAGGGACCTTCTAGTTGGGGCAATTTATGAATCAACTCTGAGATAGGATGATTCCAATGCACTGCAAAAGGAGACCTGGTCATGTGGTCCTTTCATTAATTCATTCTTCCATCCATTCAATAAATTGTTACAGAGCACCTAATATGGGCCAGACGTGTCAAAGACTATGAGTATACGTGAGTGTTCTGATCGTGAAGTTTATGTTCCCATGAGGGTGACATGAAGTTCAAATAACCAAAACCAAAAGTACGTTTAGATAACAAAAGTATTATTAAAAATCTACACAGCGTGGGCTGGGCGCGGTGGCTCATGCCTGTAATCCCAGCACCTTGGGAGGCCGAGGCGGGCGGATCACAAGGTCAGGAGATCAAGACCATCCTGAAACCCCGTCTCTACTAAAAATGCAAAAAAAAATTAGCCGAGCGTGGGGGTGGGCGCCTGTAGTCCCAGCTACTTGGGAGGCTGAGGCACGAGAATGGCGTGAACCTGGGAGGCAGAGCTGGCAGTGAGCCGAGATCGTGCCACTGCACTCCAGCCTGGGCGACACAGTGAGAATCCGTCTCAAAAAAAAAAAAAAAATTCTACACAGTGTGCTGAGATAGAGTGCAATTGACTAATGTTTGTTTCCCCAACCCCCAAATTCCAATGTTGAAACTCTAATCCCAATGTGATGGTATCAGGAGGTGGGGTCTTTGGGAAATAATTAGGTCATGAGGGTAGATCCCTCATGAATGGAATTAGTGCCCTTATAAGAAGAGGAAAGAAAGCCGGCTAGTTCTCTTACTGCCACGTAAGGATACAGTGGTAAATGACCATTTCCAAACCAGGAGGCAGGCCCTAGCCAGACCCTGGATCTGCCAGTGCCTTGGTCTTGAACTCTCTAGACCACGGCCTCCAGAACTGTGAGAAATAAATTTCTGCTTACGCTGCGGAAACGGGGATCCTTGTTAAAAAGTGGCAAATAATTTGGCTGAATTGTGTTTGTGTTCTAGTGTTTTCTGGCAGGGAGAATTTGCAAGTGATGACACTGGATATTTAGCTGAAGAGATTTCTAAGCAAAGTTTGGAGTAGCTTGGTTCCTCCTGACTGCTTATAGCAAAATGTGAGAAGAGAGAAATGATCAGAAGACAGAATTAGTAAGCAAAAAGGAAGTAGAAATTAAACATTTGAAAAAAATCTCAGCCTATCCATATTGCAAAGACAAAAATAAAAAGGGAAAAGCACTTTCTGAAGAGAATACAAAGGATGTGGCCAAGTGATTTTTGGGTAAGGAGATTAGCCTCGGTGTGAATCACTGACTTAATCAGCCACCCCAGCAGGAAAACTTCCAATTTAAACTGAAGAGGAAGAAGATGGGAAGAACTGAAGAAGGGCTACCAGAATTTTTCGATTTTATAGAAGACTATAAAGCTATTTGGCAGTGAATGTGTGCTTATTTCCAAGACAAGGGAAGAATGACGCTAAAGGTGATTCAGAGATCATCAGGGCTGCCTCTTGAATTTTAAAAGAAGGAGCTTCAACTTGCTTCCACCGACCAGGCAGCCTCCACCCAAAGGCATGGGGATAGAGCCACCCAGCTGACCCCTGAAGAGCTACAGGTACAGGACCACTGCCCCAGTGGGTCTGAAAGGCTTTATTGTGAAGCCAAGTACACAATGGCATAGACAAGATGTTAGCAGAATGCGGCCATTTGGCCAGACACTGGGGTTCTCATTGGTGGGCTGTGAACAGTACAGCAAGAGAAGAGAGTAACTATTTGAGTGCTGGTGTGTGCTGATTAAGGTTAAAACATCATCTAATTTAGTCTTCCCAACTATCCTATGAAATAGGTACTATTATATAAATTTTACAAACGCACTTTCAACAGCTTATAGGTGGTAATGTCGAGATTAGAACCTGATTTGTCTATCTTCAAAGCCTATATTCTTCCCTCTATAATACATTAGAAGAAAAGGGAACAGATGGACTGTAATGGATCTGTCAGAGACCTTCTCTGTCCAGTAACTCTGCCTTAAATATCAGGTACGGTGTCACAGAAATAGAGAGGAAGGGTGCCCAGATTTTGTAGAGCTACAGTGGGTGGAAGACTGATGGGGGGACTATTCTCCAACAGTGTTTTCTAGGAATAGAGTGGAGGGCTGTTATCAGAGTAGAGGCTGGATCAGGAAAAACACCAAAGTAACTGAGAGGAGAAAAGCTGGTGACCCCTAAGAATATGTCAAGCTCTAGGACATCTAGGACATCTGGAGATCACAGCTGATGAATTTGCTTCATTACTTCCTTTTTGTCTTCATTCATTCTTTTTTTTTTTAAGTGTGCAAAATAGATCATTACTTATTTTTTCCTTTTATAATTGAAGATATAATACATATAACATAAAATTCACCTTTTTAAAGTATACGCTTCAGGCCGGGCATGGTGGCTCACACCTGTAATCCTACAGCTTTGGGAGGCTGAGACGGGAGAATCACTTGAGCCCAGGAGTTCTAGACTAGCCTGGGCAATATGGCGAAACCCTGTCTCTACAAAAAATACAGAAAAATTAGTAGGGCTTGGTGGCGTGCTGGCGTGCGCCTGTAATCCCAGCTACCTAGTGGGCTGAGGTGGAAGGATTGCTTGTGCCCAGGAGGTCAAGGCTGCAGTGAGCTATGATCATGCTACTGCACTCCAGCCTGGGTGACAGAACAAGACTCTGTCTCAAAAATAAATAAATAAACATTTAAGAAGTATACAATTCAGTGGGGTTTTTTTGTTTTTTTTTTTTTTTTTTTTTTTTTTTTTTGGTGCAACCATGACTACTATCTAATTCCAGAATATTTCCATTATCCCCAAAAGAAGCCCTGTACTTATTAGGAGTCAGTCCTAATTCTTGCCTCCTTGAATCCCCTGGCAGCTACGAATCTACTTTCTGTTTCTATAAATTTTCCTATTCTGGGAATTTCATAGAAATGGAATCATATAGTATGTGGCCTTTTGTGTCTGGCTTCTTTCACTTAGCATCATATTTTCAAGGTTCATCCACATATCAATAGCATGTATCAGTACTTCATTTCTTTTAATGACTGAATAATAGTCCATTGTATGGATACACCACATTTGGTTTATCCATTCATCAGCTGATGGGCATTTGGGTTGATTTCACTGTGGCTATTATGAATAATGCTTCTATGGACATTTGTATACAAGTTTTCCTTGCCTTCTGATACATCTACACATGGCTCAGTTTTAAAGTCAGTATCTAAAACAAAACATTTTATATACTGAAAACTGCCCTTAGAAGTCTCCCAGGAAGGCACCACCTTGGAATCAATATGCTGTTCAAATGAACCAGTTTTCTCTCTAGCCCTTTCTCTATGAGCCATTTGAAGTGGCTTGCTTGTGTTTGGTGGCCATACTGTGTAAAATCAATGTCATCAGTTCTATTCAGCCTGGCAAGATCATCACATTTTGACAGGTATATGAAGATCGAGGCAAACCGAGTCCAATGTCCTTTCAGGTCCTCATCGCATGACCATTCGTGGATGAGCTGGTTGGTAAAACTGCCCACACGATTTAAATGGTAATTTTTCTCTTTCCTTGAGTGACCATAACCTGATGCATGTAAAATAAATGTTCATAAAATAGAAATCTCTTGCACATGAAAAATTTCATCTCATTTTTGGGGGTGCCTGAGTTAGAATATCTCTGGATAAATTTGTTGTTACTGTTAACAAATAAATTTGAAATTGGAATGTTTTAATGCTTTATTCCAACTTCTTCTTCATCAAATCAGAGAACTTTAGAATTAGAAGGGGACTTCATTTTCTCGATTAAAGGCTCTTCATTTTACAGGTGAGAAAACTGGAATCTGGGAACCAGCCCCCAGATGTACAGGACCTCAGTTCACTGTTCTTTGCATTAGACTGCAATGATTCCCATATTCACAAATTGTAGAAAAAGTAGGTCATATCTCAAGTTTTATCCTACTTGCAACCCTTATAACTCAGGATGTTACCTACTATTTTATTATTTCTCTCTCTCTCTATCTCTGTTTCTCTCTTTTTTGAGCTAAACCTGAATTATATTCGTCCCTAGTTGGCAAGGAGTTCATGAAGGTAAATTAGCCAAGAGGAAGAGCTACTTTGTCGGTATTTTATGGCTTTTTCTTTATACACAGAACTTTCCCCAAACAGACTGGTGCACCTACTGATTTCAGCTGGAAGATGGCACCCTGATTTTCTGGAGCTGAAGCTTAGCACAAATTTTGTCATTCAAACACACTGGTCGAATCAATTAAAAATATTCATAAAAATTAGAAAACGGCTTTATGGTTGTTTCATGGCCACTGTTACAGTACCATTAATCTACACTCTCCCTATTTCATTGGCAGTTGACAGGAATCCCCAGTCAGCAGAGAGAGAAAGAAGTCTTTTTAAAGACAGGGCTAATTTGTTTCCTGGTGAAAGGTGACAACCTGCCTCAATTTGCTTCAGATTTCTCAATGATAATGACTTGTGTTTTCTTGTCCCAATTAACCACTGACTGCTCCTGAGAAGATCATGTCCATTCAGATAACTGAATTTCTCTTCCACTGATAACCTTCTGGTATAGATATGGGAGTGAAATGCAGATTCAGTGTAGAATCATGTACAGCATTATAAATAGAAAGATTTGAAACATTCTCTTCTCTAGTAGTCGTCTTCTCAAATCCCCATCATGGTCAATTTGCATCTACTTAATAATTTAAAAATTGGAAATAATCAAGAGCTGGCTTTTTTTCATAGAGCAATGAGACCCACTTAATACTGCGTGTCAAATGCTTACAGAGGATGTGGCAGTATCCTAAGCATGTGATTTAGAGCTATAAGATAATACGGAATAATTAGGTCTGGGGTCAGTTTAGAGAATACATGCCCCCTGTCTAAAGGCATTCTAATTTAAAAGGTTTAAACACTCTGACAGCCAAACAATACAAGTCTGTGGGTTCAAGTCAAATTAGCCATGAGAGCTACCAGTTTGTAACCCTTGGTCTATAGCTGACATTTAAACACACCTGATGTTTCCTAACATGCCTGTCCTCTTTTTTCCTCTTACTCACTCCTTATCCAGTGATGCATCTGGGAAAAAACAATGAGGAATTCTTGGCTCAGTGCCATTCTTTCTCCTGGAAGAGTGAAGGATGTACACCTATTGCGTTGATCCTCCACTCCTTATTTTTCTTTTCGTAGTGAGAGAGACTTGAGGTTGTGTAGCGGTAAAAGTCTGCTTAATTTGGAGTTCAGTGTTAGGAAGCCCATTATTGCTATGTCCCTGAGCCACATTCCCCTTTATCACTAGCAAAGCTGACATTTGATTTTCATCTGCCCAACTGCCTCAACTTACTTCTCAAGTGTTTCAAAACTCAGGCACTGAACAAGGTACTGTTTATTGAACCCCTTCAAATCCCAACATATGATTAAATAGAAAACGGATACTTTTATTGGACTCTATTTTGAGAATAGGTTACTTGAGAATATATTACTCAAAATTAGCGGAATAACCTTTTCAACCCATACTGCATTGCTGATTATGGATAAATTCACATTGAAAGCAAAAAAAAAAAAAAAAGAAAGAAAGAAAGACTCTACAGTAAGAAAACAAAGTCAGTGTGACAGAATTCAACCTAGGGGTATGCTTTTGCTCTGGAGTAGAAGCACATTAGGGCAGAAGTAAGTTTTCCAAGCTATAAAATCAGAGAATGATAACATTTCAGAGTTGGGTGGGATATATGAGTCAACATTTACTTAGGGCAGACCCTGAGAACGCTAAGATGAATAGAAAATGACCCTACAGGCTACTCAAACCACACACTTGTATCTGATACATGAATTCTTTCTGCCATATTTCCCTAGAGTAGATGTCTAGTCTGGAAATGAATGTCATACATAATAGGCCAATGGCCTAATTGTTTGAAAATTTTCCTTTTATCAAACGTAAGTAATATCCTCTGCTCCAGCAGTTCCTGCTCATCTCTTATGGTACTGCCCTCTGATGTCACATAGAGTTTGATATCTCTTTAAATGTTTGAAAACACTGACCACCCCTCCCCTCCCACCCTCTATAAGTCTTCTCTTCCTTGGATTACCCAGCCTCAGTTTCTACAGCTGTTCCTATCATCCCAGTTGTCACTCTTTAAGGTGATTTCAAATTTTAATGTCTATCTTAAAAGCAATCCTCTTCCAGTTGTATTTTTATCAGTAGATCTCTATATTTCCCCCCTCTCTTGTTTTGGACACTATTATGTTCTAGATTTAATTTTTTTTTTAAAGAGTATATATATTGTAGACTCATAAATGATGTTATAGTCATCTAAGACCTATCACAACCTGACACTAAAATTTGGCTCTCTCATCCTGAGTTTTGAAGAAAAATGCAAATCTTTATATTTTATCACTATTAAGATGTATCTTGTTACACTTGGTTCACATGATTATCTTTCAAACTAATTTTGAATACTACTTCTGATATTTAGTTTATTCCCTAATGATTCATGTGATCAGAGAATGTACTCAGCATGTTATCAGTAACAGCATGTGTCAACTGATAAGAAATTTCAATAGGAAAAGTTTGAGGAAAGGGCAGAGAATGGCTAGGGATTTCATTCCCCCATTGACATAAATCCCTTCTATGGTTTGAATGTTTGTGTCCCTTCCAAAATTCATGTTGAAACATAATCCTTAATGCAACACTATTAAGAAGTACGGCTTTTAGGAGGTGACTGAGTCATGAATGAGGTTAGGTGTCATTATAAAAGACCTTCGTGTGGGGAGTTTGTCTTCTTTTGCTGTTCCATCCTCTCTGCCATGTCAGGACAAATTAGCCATGTTCCTCCCCTCTGGACACAGTGTTCCTCCCCTCTGGAAGATGCAGTATTCAAGGTGCCATCTAGGAACTGACAATTGGCCCCTCCCTAGACCCCAAACCTGCCAGCACCTTGATCTTGGACTTCCCAGCCCCGAGAGCCATGAGAAAGAAGCTGCTATTGTTCACAAGTTACCCAGTCTATGGTATTTTATTATAGCAGCACAAGTGGACTAAGACAATCCCCAAACCAACACTTTCAGGGTGAAACATGTGAAACAATCCTCCTAAACATCCCCCAGATTCTTCTATCTTCCCCACATAGATATTACAAGAGTTGTTCTTTTTGTTTTGTTTTGCTGATGCTATTTTGAGGAGCAGGAGATAGAAACATATTCATAAAGAAACCAGGCTAGTCCTTATTTATTGTTCAAAATAATCTATGCTGGTAGAAAGATACTAATGAAAAAAGAAGTTACAAACAGTGTATACAGTATGATCTTTTTGTGATAAGGATATTTATTTACAGATCTGAGAACAGATACATACACAGTTAAGATACAGATGTAGATATGGATTGAATACAGCCTGGATGTAATTCTAGAAGAAAATATAAAAAATATTTATGTGGATCTCTCTGAATGATGAGATTATCTTTTTGCTAATATTTCTACAAATAATATAATTACAACATAATTTTAAAAAATCATATGCTGGTGATAACTACTTTTCATTCTAATGTCTCTTAGAAGAAGCAAAATTTCTACTGAAGTTGGCGTCATGTCACTTAGCTACAGTTCATGAAATCTGTTTTATTTCCATTAAAAAGGGAATCAAAGTATTTGCCTATTTTCCACAGTTCCTGAAATATGAGCAATAGCTATGGGTGTGTTCCCCTCACTTTTCCACTGTATTTTCCCTGAATATGCTAGGAGCCTTCATGTACTGGGGCCATTAGATACATTTCTTTTTCCTGGGATTACCTTGACTTTTTTTTTTAATCTGGTAGACTCTTACTCATATTTCAATTCCCTGTTCAATTGTCACCTTTACCTCTTAGTTAGTTTTGCCTCCCTTTGTGTTCCTTCTGTACTTTGAACACAGCTCTGTGTCTTTGTTTATCAGTATCTACTCCTAAAGGTTGAGCTCCTAAGTTTGCAGGCTTTGTTGAGTGTAGGCATTCCCTGAAGAACTTGTTGAAAATGAAAATTCCTGGGTCTCATCCCTGGAGATTCTGGTTCTGCAGGTCAGAGGTAGGGTCCAGGAATATGCATTTATTTAAAAACTCCTACGTGATTCTGATGCTTGTGGTCTACGGCTCACAATGGCCTACAGGGAGGAGACAGTTTTGTCTTTTGTACCTTTTGACTATTCCCTCATATTTGGACTGCATCAGAGTGTCCCTTCATCAACTATACTGGTCATTATAATTTAATTTCCTTTGTCTTACACATGAAGAAGTTGAAGTGTTGGTACAAATTGCACAGTGACCAGGTGTTCTACCCATGCTGTGGACAAAGCCAATGGAGGCAGATACATGTTCTATCAGGAGAGATGTGGGCCAGGCTTATTAAAGTATACATGGAGGAGAAGGCAGTTCTGATTTGACCCTTTGGATCCTCCTCTTCTAGGTAGAATCCAAGCTTTACTTACATTTATAAGCAGTTCTACTTTTGAAGAGAGAGAAAAGGGGAAAAAGTTAATAAGATGACAGTTGGTATGTTTTCCAGTTTGGGAAATCTTCAAAGCAATGTTGCTAATCTTCACTTAATTATGTCTTGCACTTTTGCACACTGATTATAGACCTGCTAGAAGGCCAAGCAAAAAGCCACTGTTAACTCTAAATGTTCTGCTTACATTTCCTCTCCCATAACCAGGAACCTACTTTCACCTCCTCAAATGGATACATAAAAGAGACAACCATTTTAACTTTTTAGAAATGGATCTTCTACAGTAAATCAGAGAGAGATGATGAAAATGTTAATTAACTTGCTTTCATCTTGGTCAGATTCTGTATTTAACCTAAAGGCCTAAAGTCTTTTGGGCAGTTTTCTTAAATTTGATTGCCTGCGACAGCCAAAGAAATTCAGTCGTGATTTGGTAGGACTGCCTCTTTGAGAGTTATACTCCTCCTGCCTCTGGCACAGAAAACAAATGCCAAAACAGGAAGGGGAGAGTCACTCATGAATTATTCTGACACGTCTCCTTTCTGATTCAAGCTTTATAAGAAACCAAGCTTTCCCTTTCAGACCTGGGACCAACTGTTGGCTCCCCCCATGGGACCACCTCTAACATACAAGGAGACAGATGATTTAAAACATACACATAGACATACCACAAACTCGTCTTCTTCTGAGAGATCATGTGCACATAAAACCAGTCTACATGACAAAGCATCATTCTCAAGCCACAGGAAGTTCAGATGTTTAGAGACAGAAGGTAAAAGTGCCTAAGTTTTCTTTTCTCTTTATTTATTACACAATTAGCCATTTAAACTCCATTTCAGCTATGGAAATTATTTTTAAAGACTCCATAGTTTGAAAACAACCTACCTTGAGATTTAAACATTTAATGAACTGAAAAGCTTAACATAAACCATTTCTTTCCTTCAGTAAAGGAATAGCTCTATGGCAGGATGACAGAAGGAAGATGACAGATGTACTTTAAAAAGATATGCACGAGAAAAAGATAGATTTTTATTTATGTATTTCAAAAATATATAACTGTAATAATGCTGAGGATGAGTTCAGAAGTGGTAGCAGAGCTAGGTGAGAGATCTATGCTTTTTAATATCAACTTCCTCTGGAGTAAGAATTTTATCGCATTCATAGCTAAATCATACTGATTATAAAACAGCTGAAATGAGGCAATTAGTATGGCCTATGACAGTCATGAAGAATGAAACATGTGAGGTTTTCAATGCAAGCCAGATGGATAGCTTCAATATATTTCTTATTATCTTCTTGTGGTAATAAGTTCAATTAAACTGAATCAGTATAACATAAGTCTCTTTGAATTGCTGGAAAAGAAATTAATTATGTGCTTCACATATAATGAAGCCAAAGAGTCATATTCTGTTTGCCTTTTTTGTTTGTTTGTTTTGTTTATTCTGATTAGTAAATATTCATTACAAAAGAATTCATTAATTCATTTTATAGGAGAGTTTTTTCCTTACAAGAAAGAAATTATTTGTATGGGATGGGTTAAATATCACCAGGTAAAAGGTGTCTCTTCTACAATATCTGAGAGAGAACTGAAAAAACAGACCTCCTGTCTGGATGGCTTTGCCTGCAATATCTGACCATGTAGGATTCTGACCTGAGGTATTCTTTTTAATTTGAAATATTTTACATATAAAACTACAACAAAAATTTACCAATATGTGCTCATATTCCCTCTTCCAGAATTAGAAGGCTTTAACACATTTTCATGTACCTCCAGCCTTTTTCCCCCCATGAATATATATTAAAAATTTACCCAAACAGATATTACCAATACAGCTAAAGTCCTTTCACATAATCTCACTCCAGGCATCCTCCCTCCAAATACTGAGTTAGGGCTTATGCCGCATGTGTATTCTGTATGCAAACATTATAAGGTATTATTTTATATTACTAATTTTATATTTAATCATACAATATATTAAATAAAATGATACCATATGTATTATTCTTTAATTTCCTTGTATTTTCTTTTCATTACAAACAACAACACAAGGAACACCTTTGCAAGTCTGCCTCAGAACACGTGTGAATCCCACTAGGTTAAATGCCCAGAAAATGGAATTGCTGGGCCATGGAGATTGCACTTTCTCAATTTTACTTGCTCTCCACAGTATCTATTGCAATTTCTATCCCTACTGAGAGTGTGTGAGTACCATTTTCCTCACATAGTCACCAACAAAAGGTACTGTTAGATGTTTCTCTTTTGCCAGTCTCATATGTAAAAAAATCACACCACACAGATGCTTACATTGCCTTTCCCTGATTATTAATGAGGTGATGTTACCACACAAGCTTCTTGACCCACAGAGTGTCTTTTATGCCAAAAGCAAAAATACGAGGCCTGTCTTCAGCATAGAGGCTTTGCTACGAAAGACAGAGTTGGCATAGAGAAATGTAACAGTTAAGGAATTACATCTTCCCTCTAGACCAAGGATGGAGAAGTGATGGGCAGGCTGGAGTCAGGGCAGACTGTCATGGTATGCAATCAGCATTACAAAAGGAGAGAAGGTTTTTACAGAGAGATTTGGACAAAAGGGGAATCATTCTACTCATGATTGATATCGCCAAAGGCATGTTATTTGCTCAATCTACGTGGCTCTCACACATGTCCATAAGAATGTCAGAGGAAATAATCACACCCTGTTTCATCAGATTTCCAGGTTATGTCACACGCTTTGTGAACACAGGAAGAACAAGATGCACAATTACCTACCCTTCTTTTAAGATTCTCCTACCATAGCTGGTACCAACTCCAGGGTGACAGATCTCAGATCTAACAGGATCTAGTATTGAAATGTTCTGGCCAGATGTTCTTCTACTGAGGGACCTACCATAATTAGCATTTAGCACTTCTAATGACAAACTTTTCCTTCCTACTCTAGATGCCTAGGGTCACAAT
This sequence comes from Homo sapiens, assembly GCF_000001405.40. Classification (NCBI taxonomy): domain Eukaryota; kingdom Metazoa; phylum Chordata; class Mammalia; order Primates; family Hominidae; genus Homo; species Homo sapiens. The sequence goes on along the minus strand of NC_000003.12, from coordinate 2,995,024 downwards.
TTGTGTTAATCCTATTAGAAATACCCTTAATTATCACCCAGAAATAATTGGTTCCAGTGGAAGATATCTAATTGGGTTGAAATGTATTCAGTTATAAGGGACCAATGTTAAAAGCTTTTGTTGTGTGTTAGCAGCCAACCGTCATTGTATGTTACTGATTTCTGATTGATCCCCTGTCAAATCTGTATAAAGCCTTGAACAGTTTTACATAGAAGATTGGGCTGCTTCAAACTCATTTGCAAAATAAAGTTCCAACTGAAAAGACTCTACTTTATTGCGTCTATTATGCTATGCATGGAAAGGTTGATATTTCCCAATGTCCTACAGTTAAAACAGAAGAATTTTATATAGTGCGCAATAGTAATGCTGTAGATACTCTTTGGTGCTGGTACAAATATATATATACACACATATATATATATATATATATGAAAAAATCTGTTGATTTAAACATAAATAAACTTTCTATGGGGTGAACAATGAGCACTCTTTCTGGCAATAAAGGAATCCGTTAAATGCTCAGCTAAACCACAGGAACCTTTTCGGCTTGTAGGGTTGAAGAATGAAAATACAAAATAATTTCTTGTTACGTGTATCTGTGATCTTAGTCAATTTCCACTAAAGACTTCTTTTCTATTAAAGCTACTTAAAGTATAAATTTATTTTTTCTTATTATAAAAGTAATTCTATGCACTGAATTTAGACATTTAAATAAACAGAAAAGCCAAAAGAACTCTTTTAAAATCCAGACAGAATTAGGGTAAAACTTTATATAGTCAATTTCAAAATAAAAAAAAATTGCTATTAGAGGAAGAACATGCAGTCTGAGAATTATGAGGTAAAGGTGGAACAGTTCTGCTGATTTAGGCTGGTGACGGTGGGAGGTTTAGGAAGAGAGAAGTGTTTTAAAAAAACACCAGGTCATGTGCTTCTTACTTTAGGGTCTTCTTAGCTTACTATTCTGGTTCCAGCTGTGTGAATCCTCCCCACATGCTGGAGAATCAAATTGAATTATTGTTCCAGTGTCTGCCAAGTAATTTTCCTCCTCCCTCTCAATCAATGATTTATTATCTCTCCTCTGGATTTTCAACTCGTATCCAAGTTCTAAAGTCAACTGTTTGGATACTGGGGTGAGGCTAAGGTCCTGGGAAAGAAAACTCCCTACCACTTCCAGCTAATAATCAGACTCAAGGACATGTGGAAATTTCCAGCATGCAAGATCAGCAGGGGTACAAGAAAAGTTGTGTATAGCTTGGCCAGACTATACCTTGGACAGAATTTTGAAGATCTGAGGAAGAGAAAAAGTTATCAAAGAGAGGATAAGTATTTTTCTTTTCTGTGAAGGACTTACTAGTAAATATTTAAGGTTTTGCAGAAGTGGCAAAGTTGAGGATATTATATAGGTACTTATATATTACACAGTCTCGGGGGGCGCAGTGGCTCATGCCTGTAATCCCAACACTTTGGGAGGCCGAGGCGGGCAGATCATCTGAGGTCAGGAGTTCGAAACCAGCCTTGACCAACATGGTGAAACCCTGTCTCTACTAAAAAATACAAAAATTAGCTGGGCGTCGTGGCATCTGCTTGTAATCCCAGCTACTAGGGAGACTGAGGCAGGAGAATCGCTTGAGCCCGGGAGGCAAAGGTTGCAGTGAGCTGAGATCTCACCATTGCACTCTAGCCTGGGCAACAACAGGGAAACTCCATCTCAAAAAAAAAAAAAAATTACACAGTCTCTGTCATAATTACTCAACTTTGCTGTTGTAAGGCAAGAGCAACCTTAGTTAATATGTAAAAAAATGACATGGCTATGTGACAACAAAACTTTATTTATGGACACTAAAAGATGAATTTCATAAAAGTTTCATGCCCAAAAATATTATTGTTCTTTTGGTTTTTTTCTCAACCAGCTAACATGTGAAAACCATGCTTAGCCCCTGGGGTATATAAAACAGGTATGGATTTGGCCCACAGAGCATAGTGTGAAACCCCTGAAAATGCAATGTTCTAAACTCTGATGTGTATAAGGATCAATTGGGGTATTTATTTTAAATGTAGGTTTTTCCAGGCCTCCTCCCTAGGAGTTAGATTTGTTAGGGTAGGAGTGAGGCCCAGGAGATCTGCACTTCTAATATGCACTCTACTGAACTGTCACTTGCTAGGTGGCATGCATGTACGAAGTTCTTTGGTGTAGGACAGTGTTTCCCAAAGTATAGTCTGGAACCACCAGTTGCAAAATTGCTCAAGGTCAGTTTGGATGTAGTTCAGCACGATGACTATGTTAACAGCATCCACAGCATACTGCCCTACATTTTGAGTCCTGGAGATAATCAATAGGAGTGAGGGTTGCTATTAACATAGTTATCTTGTTGAACTACATCCAAACAAATACTCTAAATTGCTCTTCTCTAGGACTGCTACTTAAAAATATCTGTCATATGAAACCTGTATAGCAGAGGCACTGTGTCATGCAAAATCCCCACCCACCACCACCCCTTTAACTCTGCTGTAGAGATAAACATGATTTAGTAAGTACAATATTGCATATAAATGTACCCTGCCCTCTGTAGAGTTCTTAATGATGTCAATGATCACAAAAGCACATTTTTGTTTAAAGGTCTAACATTATGCTTTCTGTGAGTATTTGAGGGTTTGACTTAAGAACTGTTCTTGCTTAAAATGAAACAGCAAACCAAATCCCAAGTATATTATAACTAGCCTGAAAAACAAAACCAGTAAAATTTAGGAATTCAGATGATGGGATGATAATCAAGAGCCCCCTGGGCACCTGTCAGAATTCTGCAGTTTGGGAGCCTGCTCATGCAGAATCTGAATATTTATTCATGTGATGATTGCTTGTCAGAGGTTTATTCTAAACCTCCTGTATCTGGTGGAATAGATGTGCCACCTCCCTCTCCTCCCCTACCTGCTGACCCTGTGTTTGACACTATCTTCAGCCTCTCTCCGAAACATGGGGGCAAGGGTAGGGAGAAAGAGAATTGGATTTTGAAAGCATGGTTAATGATAGAACTATTGTAAAAAGGTTAGAAAAGATATGTTCTGACGCCCGACCTTCACGGTGTTTTAATCCCAGACACATGAGGAAATCGGAAAGAATACAAGCACATTTTAAGGTTACAGAACACCTTCTCTGATAAATTAGTCCCTTTGTAGATCTCAAAATTGAATTAAAATACAGCGCTCAGTCATATTTCGGGCTAAGCTGTTACACTTGCACTAAAGGTGCAGGGCTCAAGCATTTTGATGTGGGATTCAGGACTTGGCACAGTTCATGCGGAGTTCAGAATGGTTTTCTCTGCCTATATCGTGCTTTATGGGGCAGATTTTTAAATTATATTTCTCAGTTTATGTTAATGTCCTTCTTGGAGACCTCGCACTGTGGATGGCCCCTCTGCAGACACACGTACTTCCCATTAATGCTAATGGGAGTGAGAACCAACCACACTGGGAGATAAATGATCCCCCAAATCTCTTCTGACCTTATCTAAAGTAACAGGATTGTTAACTCCTGAGAACATATTGGCCAAATAAAACTTTTTTCCCCCACCTCACCTAGAAGAAGAATATAAGAATCAGAGGACCTCTGTGGAGAAACTAACTGCAGCTCAGAACCAGGAGCCACTGCCAGAAATAACTCTGCTTGGAAACACATGAATTCTACCTGTCAATCAGGCTACCTGGGCACATCATCCCTTAACCTCATGGCTCATACCTACACATCCCTGCCTTCCTCTTTTTGTACTGGGCCAGGCTCTTCCTACCTCAGTCCCTCCTCGTTCTCTCACCTATTAGGAAATTTCAGTTTTTAAAGTGTTGTGCATGTTTCAGCGAATCATGTGGCTAGCATAGGCAGGACATACTAATTCTGCATCTATAAGTCCACTAAAACTCTCCTGGAAATTGTCCTCAAGTCATGTTTCCTAGTTTTAGACATTCACATATACCATCTTCATGATTTTTTGCATATCCTCCTATAACAATGCATATTTAGTACTTTTCTTTGTACCGACTCACTTCTTTACGTAAATTTATTTTGAAATATTGTTGTTATTATTGCCGTTAGTGGAAAACTAGTGTTCTCCTAATATACCTTGAAAGAAACAAATAGTTAATAAAATTTTAAAAAATTGTAACTGTAAACTGCCTAAAACTATATCCTATACTTACTTGGGTGAATACTTGTTCACATTTTACTAGAAGGCAAGAAATAAATTATTTTGTTTGTTAGAATAGGTAGAAATTACTATCTTAGCAATATTTATAACCACACAAAAATGAGGCAACTATAACGTATTTAATCCCTGATATATTTGTAGGCTTTGCATCGTGATTCAGTGTAAGATGAGCAGCAGGGATCTGCACAGTTGGTTGGGAACGGTTTTGTCCTGGGGCTTGTGGTATCACTGGGATGCAAACTCTGATGGGAAATAGAGGCCTCTCCTTTCTGCCAACTCTTGGGAGAGCCAAGGAAGCCAATACTTATAAGAAGGATGATAATAAAATACAGAACATACCTTGTTCCTACCTGTGAAAATACCCTACTTTTAACAATATGAGACACCATATATATGGTTTCTATGCTTAGCTGTTTTGAATCTTTCATATTCTTAGTCATTTCTTTATTATAGGCTCACTTCTCTATGCTAATTATTCTATTGGGGTGGAAATATCATAAATGTTCATTTCAACAGGATTTAGAATACACGCATATCCATTTGAAAATATATAAACAACAAAACAAATACTAATATTTCTTAGGTGCCAGACACCCTGTTAATCGCTTAGCATGGATTACCACAGTCATCAGAACAACCTCATTTTATGAAAACATGTTTATAAACAAAACAACTATTAATATTTCCTAGGTGCCAGGCACCACACTAATCACTTAACATGGATTTTCACAGTTATCAAAGCGACTCCATGAGACTGGCACTGCTATTATCCCCACACAGGCTAAGTGTCTTGTCTAAGAGCTGGTAAGTGGTAGAAATGAGACTCAAATCCAGATCACTCTGACTTGAATCCCTGTCTTTTAACTATGATTTAAGATGTCAACCTAATATTCTCTTATATCTCCATAATTCACAAATAATCTATAACAGATCCCAGCTCTGTGTCTAACCAGCTCTGAAACATTGAGATCTCTCTTGGTCCTAAATGATTACTAAACTTCCTTTAGCCAAGACAGTCATACATTAGCAAAAACCTCTAGCTAGAACTGCACTTTACAAATATTATCTAACCTCTTTTTCCTTTGCCTATGAAACAGAGTGAACAAGCAGTCAGTCATACACTGATGCTAGTGCTCTGAGGAAGTAATTAATAGACTGAAATAGTTGTAATCAATCTAAACATATATTTAGTTCTAACTCTTGGACTTCCAATTTTCTATCTGCATGGTCAAGTATGTTAATGATAAAAAGACTTCCCAAAAGAGTAGTACATTTCCAACTTCTAATGACCCTAAAATATTTAATTAGGTAATTTTTAGCTTTCTTCTTTAAATTAAAGGCAAATTGTTTTTTTTGATATTTTTATTTGCCTTCATCTGTCTTCACCAAGGGAACTACAAATGGGCAAGAAGGAAATAATATGATATGACCCATCTGTATAAATTACTCAGAAACAGGAAAGGCTTCCTGTTTCCTGGTGCAGCATAAAGGACCAAGAAGAACTCAGAATCAGGATCTGGGTTCAGGTCTCCTGCTACTCGTGACCTTGAGAGAACCACCAACCTGAGCCTCATCTTCTTCAGTCAAATCATTGTCAAGATCCCTTCAACTCAAAAATCCTATGACAGGGCAATATATAAAGTGAAAGAAATGCAAATGAAATGTAAATTAAGATTTTCTCCTTTTCAATGGTTACTTAGCACTTCCAGCCCATGCCATGAAGCTAATATTGAAATAGTTTCACTCACGTGCTTTGCTAAGAGCATAAAGGACTTTCTGCTACAAAAATTATAAAGCACCCAGGCTATGGTATATGGGAATTTTATTTCCTTAAAACTGACAAGGTTGGCTGGGTGACTAAGGCAAAGCATAGAGGTGATCAAAGCCTTCTATTAGTATAATAAGCCATATCCATATCTCTGAATAAATGGGACAGCTATCTTAAAAATTACCAATGTCATTGTTTAAACAATGTTTTCTAAAAATAGTACATGAGTCTTGAGTTTTTAATTTGTTGGAATAGTGTTCCTAGACATGAATTTCAAATCTATAGAGACTTGAAAGAAATTTAATTAAAGGATTGAAGATAACATTCGTTACAATACTATAAGAGATACAATGGCTATAATTCTCAAAATTGTATTGGATGATTCTGAAATAAGATAGCCTTTCAATCATATTCATTACCAGCAGTTTTCTAAGAATTATTAATCATATCATGTTTGCCGTGATGAATTAATTTAGCAATACAGTGGTATCTGTACATATTAATATGAATGATGCCACTTCGGTAGATTACATTATTAGACACGAGGACACATATATAAATATTCGAATTCTTTGGGTTAGCCATTACCTTTCACTACCAAGTTTCCAGTACTGCTAGCAGTTCCAAAATGGTTAGTGGCTATACAGGTATAACTCCCAGCGTCTGATTTAGTAACGTTGATGATTCTGAGGTTTCCATCTTCAGAAATGGTAATTCTGAAATCAAAGTAAATGAACCAAAAATGGTGAAATTTATCTCATATGACCTATTGCAAATTAGTTCTGTCATTCTGTCATTGTTCAAACCATAAATCATTGCTACATTATTTGTAGTAAAGATGACAGCCTCATCTTTATTTAGGGTATTTGTCCACATATACATAAACATAATTGAGACATGTGACTTGTTTAGTGTTTTTAATTCTTTTCTTGCTAAAATGGTCTCAACAGTCAGTTGGAATAGCCATTATAAATATTAGACAGGTTGTAACGATTTCTCTTTGGTAGCTCTAACCACATTAGGCAAAGGGAAGGCTTACGGTAGATCACCATTAGTCTTATAACTGCTAATAAGGAATACGAAAAAATCCCTTGATTAATCAATTTAAGTCTTTTCATTGAAAGTGTTTTTTTCTAAATGAGAGCCTTAAATTAAATGAGGTATTATTAAGCATATTTATTTCTGAAATATGTCAGCCAACACATTTTTAATGAGATGTAAAAACTGAACTTAAAAAAAATTAAAATATTCCACGACTCAGCGTGACTTTGGCAGAAGAGCAAATGTGGATGGCAAACCTCAGGCCCCACAATTAGAGACAAACATCTACTTTCTGCAGGGAAGAAAATGTTTTTGTTGACAGATGCAAAATCTGGAAGAGGAAGAATTTTGAAGAACTCTGTTTTCATCATGACTACCAGAAGAGAAGTAGGAAAATACAAAGATGAATAAGACACACAGCTTGGCTTAGAGGCTTGTCAGAGAAGTAAAAAATGTACACAGATAGCTCACTCAAGGTAAATGTCTGTTAAATTTCTCTTTTATTTCAGATCTGCTCACATCTTTCCATCCCTTTCACGCCCTCCTTCTCACCTAGTCTATCAAAACAGCCTCCTAATTGGCCTGCCTATTTCTACCCTTGTCCCTCAAATCCATTCTTCAGTCAGTGGCCAGATGATCTTTTAAAATTTAAATCCGATTATATCACTCTCCTGGCTTAAAGCTATATCCTTGGCTCTGCCATTGCATTCTGAAAAAATTTCTTGCTGGAGCCTTATTATGAAGCCTAATGGATCTAGCTTTTTAAAAAGCCTCTCTTGCTTACTGTTTTGTTCTAATCTTTCTACCCTTCGATGAACTCTAGTCACACTGGCCTTCTGCATATTCCAGAGTATTTGAAATCCTTCCCACTTCAGGGCCTTTGCACTTGCTCTTCTGCTTGCTTTGAACACATTTCCCTGTATCTGGACATAGCTGTCACCTTCTCACCTTCAGGATCTCAGTGTAGAGGTAGCTTTTCCTGATAGATCTCTCCCAACTCACTGTTTACGGTGGTTCTCCCTGTCTCCCTGTTTTCCTGCAGCCACTTTATTTCTTCCCACTAAATTCAATCAGGAAATTTTATTTGTTTGCTTCTTAGTTGTCTTATCACATGGAATGGTAGCATCTCTGAGGGAAGGGATGGTGTCTGTCTTACGACTGAACCTCCTGGGTCTAGTACACAGGATGGCGTGTAGTGGATACTAGAAATATTTCTTAAGTGGCCGAGTAAATACATGAATAAATAAATAACCTAAGGGAAAAATCGGTAATACGTTGTAGGAATTCAGAGTGGTTGAACCACTTGGCACTAGTGCTATACTTAACAGAGTCCTTTCAAATATCTGAAACAGGGGTCTAGGATGGGCAGAGCCTCACTTCATAGAACTTTTGAGCAAGCATTATAAAAACACAGGTGAAGATGTAAATGCGCTGGGTTGCAAATGCTGCATATACTTTTTTGAAGGCTCTTACAGATGGAGAAGCTACAGTCTTCCTGAAGACCCGGTCCAGATCTATGACTCAGTCTGATGAGAGGGTATGAAGGTGGAAGAATTCTACAAAGAATTTTGGAATCAGAGGGATGGGAGTTCACATTCCAGAGCTGTGGGTTCTAGCTGTACCACTAAAGACAACTTACTTAACTTTCTCAGTTTTTACTTCCTCTTCTATGAAACAGAACTAACAATGTCCATCTTATAGATTGATAGCAAGAATTAGGTAAGATAGGGTCAGTAAGGTTCCTAGAGGTTTCCTGATATTTACTAGGCAGTGGTTCTCTTTCATCTTTAAAATTGTGTTTGCGAGGCTGGGTGTGGCGGCTCATGCCTGTAATTCTAGCACTTTAGGGGGCTGAGGCAGGAGGATCACTTGAGCTCAGGAGTTTGAGACCAGTCTGGGCAACATGGCAAAACCCTGTCTCTACAAAAAACACAAAAATTAGCCAGGTGTGCTGGCTTGAGCCTATAGTCCCAGCTACTTGGGGGGCTGAGGTGGGAGGATGGCTTGAATCTAGGAGGTGGAGGTTGCAGTGAGCCGAGATGGCACCACTACACTCCAGCCTAGGAGACAGAGCGAGACCCTGTCTCGAAAAAAAAAAAAAAAAAAAGTATTCTCTTATTTGGTCATTTGTATATATAGGAAAAATTGGACAACATCATTTTAATATATTTTCTTTTAATATAGTAATTACATCAGCCTTCTGCCTTCTGTTTGTATTTTGACTGTTACTTCTGACAATTTGAAATCAATATGCAAATTAACTGAGTCATCCCGAATCAAGGTACAAGAGGCAGACAAGGCACAAGGGCACCTGTGGTTGGGCAGTTTGTACCTGCTGGCGGTGCCTATGTTGCTTTCTGGTAGAGGCCTGGCGTTGGAGGTCTTGGCCTTTGGGCTGGGGTGACCCATGCTTCTGGTGGAGGCAAGGGAGCCGAGCTGGAGCCATGGCCAGTGAGGTGGTAACTGCTAGGCCTAACCATTGCTGTTGTTGAAGGATTTGCGGGTCATTATATTTTGCAAACCAGGAAGCATATGGAGCCTCAGGGAAAACAAGTTTTTCAAAGTCTACTGAAATCTGCCCCCAGTGATGGCTATTACAGAGGTGTCTGAACCCAAAGTGACAAAATGAGAAGCAGAGGTGCAAGTCCTCCTGCCAATAAAGAAAGAATAAGAGATGCTCATAAACAAATTACTCTGTTAAATCACATCACTCAGATAAAGGAGAATGTTCTTACATAGCAGCCTAAATCTATGAAGCTAAACATTTACTAGAAGATCAAGGTAAAAAAATAAGTAAATGTATGATGAATTTTCAGTTCTTATTAGTTTACACAGATGATTACCAACTTCTCATAATAAAACATCTCAAATCTACAATTAAAAAAATAATTTAGCGTAAGCTAAATCCAAGCTCTGGCTAAAAAAAAGACACAGACAAGAAGGCCTTTTGTTCATTCACATCACAGCTACGCATATAACAGTTGCTCAGTAAAGACCATCTGATACCTCATTTGCCAAGGAGCAGATGCACTGACAAAAACAGAGTGGTGAACAAATCTTAATTACCTCAATAATAACAAAAATAGCTTTAAAGGAGTTAGTCACATTCCATTTATAAAATAATTTGCTAGAAATTGTGAAACACTGGCATATGAGAATTCAATATGTAAGGTGACATTTGTGTTTTATGTACAGACTTATCTTTCATGAGGTAACACTGGCTTGGAGCATATTAAACATTCTGAGGGGTGAGATGACTCTTTAAAAGCAAAAACACCTATTAATAACTTATACCATTAAAAACAGTATCACGATCATTCCAAAAACCTAAAGCCATCGCCTGTATCAAACTCTGACATGCTGAAGGAAATGAATACGGAAACAAGCAAAGGACTTGTCATCAGATTACTTGGATTCTAGCCTTGACTCTGAAACTTGTCAAGTATATGGCATAGCCAAGTTACTTATGCAAGCTCTGAGACAGAGTTTCCCAACCTTGGCACTGACGACATTTTGGACTGAACAATTCTTTGTCCTGGGGGGGATAATGGGCACCATCCCTGGCCTATACCCACTGGACTCCCATAGCTCTAACCCTTCCCCACGTCATGACAATCAAAAATGTCTCCAGAGATTGTCAAAGATACCCTGGGGGTCAAAATCACCCCATTTGAGAACTGCTGGTCTAATTCAGTTTTTAAAATCCCTTCTTCTATAATGAGATAAGATAGGTGAAAATTTCGTTAACTTAAAGTGCTTCACACTCTTCAAATGTTTTCCCCACCATCATTTCCATCCTGCTTCCTGCTTTTGGTATCTGCATTGCATAAAAGCCAGCTAGCTTTTCACAGTCGTAGTAGAAGGCTCTCTTTGCCCCTTGTCCTCAGAGTTTCCCTATCCAATTTCCTATGGGCCTTGTGAAATTACAAAATAATTTTTATAAACTATTATACTATTCATTTTAAATATTTCAGTGCCTGATATTGGTTTAGGGTCTCAACTCTCCCACTGTTATTTGCAAAGAGGTAAGTAAGAGAGGTAAGACCCTAACTGTTAGAATTCCAGATGAGAGAAAGACAGTGAGGGAGATCATTTGTAGAAGGGGTAATTTTCAGTAGTCTTCATTAAATCACAACATATTGCTGTGACCGCTTATTCTTACTATTATCCAAATGTGGGGGTAATATGAAGTTTGATAAACTATTCTTTGGAGAAACTCAACCACTTTTTTATACAGCAATATAGTGTAGTAACTAAGAACATAAACTCTGGAACTAAACTGTCTAGGCTCAAATCATGCTTCTACTACTTAGAAGTTGTGTGACTTTGGGAAAGTTAATCTCTCTGTAACTCAGCTTCCTTGTTTGTAAAAATGGGATAATAAAAGTAACTATATACATCTCATAGAGTTGTTGTTAAGATGTGCGGTGCTTAGAACGATGCCTGACATGTAAAATACACCAGGCGGGACAGGTGCTTGGGCATATGTCAGTGAGACACTCATGAATAGACCAGAGTTAGCCACATGTTCTATTAAGTGAAGCTCTGTGCCTTCCTGGACCCACTGTTTCAAGCAATTACAAAGGATTCTGTTAAGACTAAGACAACTGCTGAGTAGTTCTGCCACTCTGAAGTCCTACAACACATTATGATGCCTCACAAAGCATATGGGTGACACCAAATAGACACAGAAGGGGGATGATATATTGAACCCATTTATTCATAGTTCTTTACTAAATACCTCCTATATATTAGGCTTTGTGCTTTTTTTTTTTTTTTTTTTTTTTTTTTTTTTTTTTTTTTTTTGAGATGGAGTCTCGCTCTGTCACCCAGGCTGGAGTGCAGTGCTGCGATCTCGGCTCACTGCAAGCTCCACCTCCAGGGTTCATACCATTCTCCTGTCTCAGCCTCCCGAGTAGCTGGGACTACAGGCACCCGCCACCATGCCCGGCTAATTTTTTGTATTTTTAGTAGAGACAGGTTTTCACCGTGTTCGCCAGGATGGTCTCGATCTCCTGACCTCGTGATCCGCCCGCCTCGCCTCCCAAAGTGCTGGGATTACAGGCGTGAGCCACTGCGCCCGGCAAGCTTTGTGCTATTTTTTTTAGTGATGTGAAAATTATTGTTTTTGTTCTCAAGCTCATAATAAATCATTACTTTTGATGATTATATATCTAGAAATAATGCCAATGTGTTCCATACAATAACATACACATTTCTATAAGCACACAGTAAAATGAGCATTACTGTTTTCAATGGGAAAGCTGTTTGACAAACTATCTAGGTATAAAGATGGGCAGGGACCCAGACCTGGCCAGTCAGGAGACCCTATTCTCTTGTCTATAGTGATGGGTGTAGAAGCATGCCATCAAAACCAGGAGCTCTTTGAGAAAACAATCTCTTTCTGCTGGGATTGCTAAATTTGGAAGATGGGAATCTAGAATTGTTGGCAATTATTTTGCCTACCATATAGAGAAAGCATGCCTTAAGGAAGCCATCCAAAGACAAACAGAGCCCAAGAGAAAGAGAGAGAGAAAGAGAAGCAGAGACCTTATGACATTTTTGAGCCCATTTCTGTCCACGGTGGAAGTCAACACCTTGGACGCCCCAGTTATATAAGCCAATAATATAAGATGTTAGAAATTGAGTTTTCAGCCCTGACAACAGGAAGAGTGCAATCTTTCCAAGAAATTGCTGAACTTGTTCAGGTGACGGTGGTAGTAAAAGTAGAATGGAAGGAATGGATTCTGAAGATGATTCCGTGATGACTGCCTTGATAGAACTTTTCGGTAGAAGATTGACGAATGCTATCTATAATGGAAGAATAACCACACAGTTCCGAATATGAAGAAAAAAGCACCTGACATTTCTTCATACACAGCTGTATCACATAATTTTGGCTATATTTTTCTGCATATAAAGGCTAAGTATACAATTTGACCTGTTGCTTTTAATGTGTTTTATGTGATTTTTTTGTTTTTTGAGACAGAGTCTTGCTGTGTCACCCAGGCTGGAGTGCAGTGGTACGATCTCGGCTCACTGCAACTTCCAACTCCTGGGTACATGCGATTCTCTCGCCTCAGCCTCCCTGATAGCTAGGCATGTACCCCCACGTCTAGCTAATATTTTGTATTTTTAGTAGAGATGGGGTTTCACCATGTAGGCCAGGCTGGTCTGAAACTTCTGACCTCAAGTGATCCGAGGGCCTCAGCCTCCCGAAGTGCTCAGATGCCAGGAGTGAGCCACCACACTCGGCCAATGTTTTATGGGATTTTTATAAGCCAGAAATAAGCTATAAAGCTAGCATTCGGCCTTGGGGTACAAATTTGGCTAGCTCAAGGAAAAATTTGAAATGCAACTCAATATAAATACTTAGATATTTTCTTCCTTTCCATTTGGATCTTCTACCAACTTAGAAAAACGGTTTTTCCACTAATATTACATTCTTTTTTTTTTTCATGAATATAGTACCTAAATCCAGTCCAAGGATAGTGATACAGGAGTTAAGGAGAAATTATTTAGGCAGATAGTGAGGGTACGGGAGTCCTCGGTAAGGTTTTCCTTTTTTTGTTTTTTGAGACGGAGTCTCGCTCTGTCGCCCAGGCTGGAGTGCAGTGCTGCGATCTCGGCTCACTGCAAGCTCCAACTCCTGGGTTCACGCCATTCTCCCGCCTCAGCCTCCCGAGTAGCTGGGACTACAGGCGCCCGCCACCACGCCCGGCTAATTTTTTGTATTTTTAGTAGAGACGGGGTTTCACTGTGTTAGCCAGGATGGTCTCGATCTCCTGACCTCGTGATCTGCCTGCCTCGGCCTGCCAAAGTGCTGGTACTACAGGCGTGAGCCACCGCGCCCGGCCCAGGTTTTCCTTTTAACGAAAAGCAGCCCCTAAATCATTTTCTTTTCTAACAAAGAGCAGCTTGTAAAATCGAGCTGCAGACATAGACAAAGCAAGCTGGAAGCGTGCATGGGTGAATGCTGGCAGCTGTGCCAATAGGAAAAGACTACCTGGGACTAGGCATGTTTAAAATAGTGGCTCCATCGTCCCTTCTCTTTGCCAGCCACGTGTACAGCAAGAAGCAGACAACAGGGTGGTGCTGGCCAGGCAAAGACCTCATTTGCATAATATTAGGGTGGTCCAGCCAGCTTCCCCACGAGTTATGTAAACGTCACACCTGGTCTATCCAATCTTTGGGCCCCATGTAAATCAGATACCGCCTCCTCAAGCCTGTCTATAAAATCTGGTGTACTCCAACACAAGCCGGAAGTCCCATTTGAATGTTCCTCTCTCTTGCAGGAGAGGGAGCTGTTCTTTCTCTTTCTTTTGCCTATTAAACTTCGGCTCTAAACTCACTCCTTGTGTGTGCCCGTGTCCTTAATTTTCTTGGCATGAGATGTCAAACGTCGGGTATTACCTCAGACAACAGCGCCGCTTTAATAGCTTTATTTTCATGTTTGTTTCTGGATGAGATTTCAAAGTTTCCTTTATGGTCCATCTCATCTTGGTTTCCTCAATTTAGACTACTGACTGACTTGTAGCTATTAGGGTGATAGTGAACTTTGAGCTCCTCCTAATACTTATGAATAGTGATGGAGTAAGATGAAAAGAATTGAAAATGTAAATCTGTTCTTGGCTTAGAACAGGTTAGTCCTGACCTACCTGTGGCCCTTTTTAAATTATTGGTGGCAACAGAGAAAAGCCAAAGGTGATAAAGCAGCAAGTAGTACAAATACAGACATGACACAAGACTTAATTTTCCCTACATGAAAAGAGGTCATCTAATTCACAACACAGTAAATTACCTAGAGCATAGAGAAGCAGTTGTTCCCTCACTGTCATTTGGAGATTTTGGATCCACAGAGGATAGGAACAAATCTGGACTCAGGAGATAAATTGAATCTATCTTTCTTCACATGAGGCTCTGAGTTGCAGCCATTGAAAAGTTGACATTGTCAGTCCTATAAATCAAAACCAGTCTGGGGACACAGGACCTTTAAAAATGCTGATCTTTTCTTTTGGGGGGGTCTTTAGTAACACATGATGAAAGCTGCCAACTTCACTCTATCACCCAAAAGAGGAGGATTATCCCAAAATGGAGACCTATGATTTTTCTGAGCAGTTCAGCAGGAAGCCTAACTGCTGTAGAGGGAGACAGCGTATCCTTGCTTGCCTTTAAGTCACACTGAAACACTTCCTTAGAAATAAATCCCTTCAGAATACAACTTAGAAAACCACTTCTCTCCTTCTGCAAAGAAAGAAATTATGGAGTGATCATTTCCTTTCAACAAACAAACAAAATACACAAAAAAGTGACAAACTGTTATGTTAAATTTTAAATCATCTTTATTATTGTTAGATCAAGAATAAAATAGCTCACTTAAAATTATGTGCAATTAAAAAAAAAAAAAACTCAAAGGGCCTTAAAAGGCTTCTACTCTCTTTTATACATGATTGGTTCCAGAAAACGTGTTTGAAAGCTGAAAGCCTGAAAGTGAAACAATAGATTTACACATTACGAGGGAGGCTAAACTCCTGAAGAGCTAAAATTTATTACAGAATCCCAAACATAGTTAAAATAATTACTGCTACTGTCACCAAGTAGCCCCATTTTTCTAAGATGGTTTAATTATTTTTTTCTCTCTCTTTTCTCTTCTCATTCCCCTGGTTCCCCACTTCCTACATAGCCCTTTAGAAATGCAAATATAGCCTTTTACCTCCCCTTCACCAGACACTCCCTACCGGGCAAGTTCATCTAACTATGTGCTTAGGCGCCCCAGAAAGAAACTTTCCCCCACCAGGAGGCTGCCTCAATTTTATAAAACTCCCTCCTACCAGGTGACTGCCTCAAGAGATAGGAAACTCCTTCCCACCTGGTAAGTTTGCAGCCTAGTCCTGTCCACAAAGGTGCCGGCAGTCACAAGCTCGAACACCTCGTAGATAAGCCACCAGAGCTATCACGTTTTGCTTGCTTCCTCCTCTACCTTTGAAAAGTACCCGTTTTCTGTTCCAAAAGTGAAGTGGTATACTTAAGGCAGGACATCTGTATTTCTTTCCCCAAGCTAGCTTTGGAATAAATCGCTTTCTTTATACCAGACCTCACTCCAGTTAATTGAACTCTGCAAGGGGTGAGCGACTAACTTATATTTCGGTAAGACTACTTCTCAGCTTAAGCAAACTGGGAGGATGGCAGAGGGGAGGATGGCAGAGCTGTCACAGGAGGCCTGGCTCCAGGAAAGGAAGACTGCTGACCCCAGGGGCCATCAGCGATGCCCTAGAATGAGGGCGGTTAGACAGGCATCCCCCAACCAAAGGTCTCACGTACATCACAAGGCAGGACAGAATTGGGCACGTGTCAGCGAGCCTGTCATTAATAGACCAGAGGAACTTCACAGCCACAGATGAGCTTGCTTTTTCTACACAATTAAAATAACAATCTAATAATTGTATGATTTCATATAAAAGCCCATTCCTGGCTAATTGTGACATATGGGAAGATAGGGCAATACTGGCAACATATCCCCTTAGGGCACCAATAGGCTGGAGGAGACGGGCAGCAGCCCTCTTGAGCAGATGGTGGGTTTTCTAGCTCCCGTCTATGCCTGGCTTGAACCTCTCTTTAATGTTCCTACCAGGCCCCTGCAGGCCTTTGAGACTGTGAACCCTGACTTTAAACCAGTAGCAGCATGTGCCTGAGTACATGGGGCCGGGATTTAGGGTAGCCTGTGGTTATGAGGCCACGATCTATCCCCTCTTCAATGTTTCCACTCAAGACATACTGGACAGAGAGAACAGAGCAATGCAGTGGGAGGGGACGATGGGTGTGGTGTGGTAGTAGTTTCCTATGGCTGCCATAGCAACACACCACAAACTAGGCGCTTTACAACAATAAAGATCTATACTCTGGCAGTGGTGGAGGATGGCAGTCTGACATGAAGGTATTGGCCAGGTTGGTTGCTGCTGGAGGCTCTGCGGGAGAAACCCTTTGGTTCACTCCCAGCTTCTGGCGGCTGTTGGCCCTTTTGTTTTTTGGTGTTCCTTGTCTTGCAGAGGCATCACTCCAATCTCTGCCTCCATCGTCACATGGTGCGGATGTGTGTCTCTTTACATTGTCTTCCCTCTGTATCCAAATTTCCCTCTCCTTACATAAGGACATCAGTCATTGGATTAGGGCCTATGCAATCCAGTATGATCTCATCTTAACTTGATTACATCTGCAAAGGGCCCAAATAAGGTCACATTTTGAGATTCTAGGTGAATATGATTTTTATAGGGAAACTGTTTAACCCATAACGGGTATCAAGAGAGGAAACCCCCCAGGGCTGTTAGACCTTGTTTGAAGCCCTTAGACGAGGGGCAGAGGAAGTGATACGCAGGAGGGGTTCTGCTTTTGTGGGCCTGGCACCACCTCCCATGCCCACTGCTCAGCCTCCTTCCAGCCTGTAGAAGGCTTGGCCTTTTCCCCAACAGCAGCTAACAGAGACTTGCAATTATTGCTCTCTCGGTGATATAATAACAATCAAATGAGGAGTATAAAAGACAGTTTGGGGGTGGTAATGGGTAATGTATCAAAGAATAAAAGTCCAGTAGGAAAAAAAAGATTAGGGCCTGCCTGCAATTTTAATTTCTTCTGTAATTAACCCAGTTTGTTGGTTGGATTAAACTACATCTCTCATTTGATCTTTTTCTTGTTACTCTGGCCAAGTGATAAATATTTACTTTGGTATTAAAATTATAACCAAAATAAGACAGAGGAGGATCTACACCAAAATGGCAACCTATGGTATTCTAAGCTGTTCTGCCTGAAAGCTGAACTGCTTATGAGAAAGGCATTGTCTTTACTTGCCCTTGAGGCAAAAGCAATACAGCATAATTTTGGAATACAATGCCCAAGAAATAGTCACAATGTAGAAGGAGTAGAGAGGTGACAATGAAGAGACAGAGATAAAGATTCATATATTCAACCTATCAACAGGAGAATTAGCCTGTGACTGCAAGAGCTGACATACGGATACAGTACAGGGGTCTCTGGCTTTGTGCCAGTTGAGAAATTAGAAAAGCCTGGCAGATTAATTGGCATGGGTAGGCTGTATGCTATAGACCTACCTGATAGCAAATAACACCAAGACTTTTCTCTGAAAAGAAAAAAAAAAAAAGACTTGTTTTGGTTTGAATTTCCTTGCCTATCTCTTTTCATAAAATTCAAAAGGTATTTTAACTTTTAGCTGAAATTTGCCCAAGCTTACATACTTGATTTCAAAAGATACGTGGAAATTCTCAGCATGATGGGAAGGAATTAATTATTTTGAATTATAGAAAGAAAGATTGTTTTGTGGTAATTGCAATTTACAAAGAGTCAATTGAGACCTCTAGAAGATGGCTTTGCTCCCCATCTTAAGGAAAAAAAGGTATTTTGGATAACAAATTTAATGTAGGTCAATAGGAAGACACCTCCTCCCGGGGTAATTTCAGGCAAACCTGTCATTGACCTTTCCGTGTAGTCTCTGTGGTGGCAATAGACATCACTATTGAACAGACACCCTGGTGACAAAGTTCCCTTAGAGATAATTTGCTTTCTGTTGTAAGATTTGGGTTTAATAAACTGCTGAACAACCTGTGCATTTCAGGCCACCTGAAGAACAAGCTGCGTTCAGACCCTATTGCCCTTGTCTGCAGCATTGCTCAAAAGAGAAAATAAACTTGTGTTTGTTTAACCTGGTTTGATTCAGGTTTAACTTCCTCTGAACAACAGTTTGAAAGCCCTTTAAAATAACCTGGCAATAACTCTCTGCCTGGGGCTGGATGAGTATTAAAGATCACAGAGTTAATTTTAATTGTTCTTCGTGACACAGTGCATGATGAACATGAGAAATGCTTTTCTTGGGCTGGTAAAATTTTGTGATTTTATTTATTCACATGGTAAGCATATAACACTAGAAACACCATGTCTTTGGGAAAAGGAAATAAAGTAAAGGACATGTTTGGATGTCATTTTGCCTAAAATTTGTTTCTTAAATTGCTATATTTCATTGATGCAAGATCTCCATGTTTCCACTAATATAAGATTTAGAATTCCTTTCTTCTGAGAATTTAGGACCTGAGACAATTTCAACATAATTCCATAAGGCATTGTGAGGATGAATGGGGGTAAGGACAGGAAAGTAATATTATTTAAAGCAATATTATTTGTTATTTTCTATACTTCCATATACTTTTACCAAAGCATCATAATAAGTAATATAACTTTTATAATGAGAAAAAAACATTAAAATATATAAAGCACTCAGGAAGCTTTATATAACAAAATCAGAACAGCAGAGTAGCTTGTAAAAGAATAGTTTAATAACAAAGTGCAGCTGTCTCTAGAAATAATTAGAAATAAAGAAGACGTGGACAGAAATGGACCAAGAGACCCAGAAGAAAAACTGTAAATATACTAAGTTGAGTATTGGGCGCATGGAGATGCTTAAGAAGTTTATTAAGCACTTACAACATCCTATTGGGTGCTGTTGGCTGCTTGCATTGATTATCTCATTTAATCTGCACAATTCTGAGGAGTATCATTATCCTGATTTTTCAGTTAAGAAAAATGAAATCCAGAGGAGTAAATTAAAACATCCAAAGTCAATGTCATTTACAAGAAATAGAGTGGAGTTTTGAGCTCAGGGCTCACTAGAGAGCCTGTACCCTTCCTACCATGCTATCCTGCAGTGTTGGAGGGTGTAGGAAAGAAATAAAACAAGAAGTAAAAAATGTAACCACATTTAAGAGATTTTCTTTAAATTTACCATTAGATCTTTGGTTATAATTAAATAGTTCTTTTTTTTTTCTGTTTGCTTTCTAATTTTACTTGTTGAAATAGCTTTTCCTAATATTGAGAAATATGTGTCCCTATTAATGTGTCTGAAAGCAGAAGCAAAAGTAAAGAATATGTGAAAAATAACTTGAAGTTGAAATCACAGAAGCTTCCTTTACCACTTGGTAACTAAAATGCCTGGAAGACAATATTAATTATTAATTAGAAAGGGGGGCCCACTATACAGAATATATAATTTAGTAATGAGAAGAGGTTTCTATAAGACAAATAGCAATATTGGCCATGCCAGAAACAAAAAATGTTTTAATTTTATTATGCATCCAATTTGCAACTCTTTGGTGATGGCAGGATCATGCTTTATTTGCTTTAACCCCTAATACCAGAACTTCATAATATTTCTAAGAGAGAAAATGAAAGTGGAATCTACTAGCTCATTCACTATCATGATAGAACACCACTGTCACGGTCCAGTTAAAATCCCCAAGGTCTCTCCCTGTCCCTAAAACAGCTGCATCTTTGCCTTCTGGGAAGCACAGAAACTCAGCATCACCAACAGTCATCCATTCTAAGCTTTCCTGAACTGACGTCTCTCCATTTCGGCCACATTGATGTACTACAAGACAGCCTAAATCTTTGCCTCTTTATCTGCTAGACGTGTGACTTGGGAGTCTCAACCCCTCTGGGCTCCAGACTGCCATCTCTAAAATGGGGGTCATAATTAACAAGCACCTGAATTTCATAGGTTTTTTGTGAGAAGGTTAAATGTAAAAATTCCCATGAAACATTTAAGCCTGTGATGGTGCATGGTAAACAGCTGGTCATTGTTAGCTGCAAAGATCATTTCTGTTATTATTTTCAGTATCATTCTAATAACCAATAGTCACAATATTTTTTAAATGTTTCAAAGTTCAAAATTAAAGAATAAAGGAAACTTGTTGCTATGATACATGGAAACCAGTATCTACTTGCCATAAATAGTGGTAATCATAAAAATAAATGTGATAAAAACCCACCTAAGGTATTATATTCCAGCTAGGTAAACTTGTCTCCCAGGATTCTCAGCCTAGGAACTACTTTTTTTGTTTCAGTAAAAGAGGGATTACTCAGGATTTCAAAAGTGTTCAGATATGCTAGGACCAACCATGAGTTTCCCCTTGATATTCTCAGAAGGAGTGTAAGAGAACTATGTTGCTCAGTGCTTTTTAATGTCTGTATACTGTGTACCATCCAAGATGATCTGAGTACTTGGAGAAGTGCCAATCTTGTACCTTGTGAAACACACATCTATTTCAACCTTTCTCCCATGATCAACTTCCTCTTACAATGGTATGAATAAGTATAAACTGTGTTGGGCAAATCGCATAATGGCCAATTCATGACCTTCCAAAGCTGCCCAATCTATTCACATGGCATTGATGTTACACTTCCTCAATATATCATCACCCCATTTACTCAAATGATTTCCAGAACTCAAATCCCAGGTCGTATCCATCTCTCTGTCTCCCTTTCATTTTATACAGTCCTTTATATACAAACAGGCACACATTAAATATGTTGATTATTGGATTAAAATTCATTCAGTCTTTAGAATTTTAGAGACATTGATGACAATTCCTGGGATTAGGACTGATTTCTAACCTTTCTTGATGTGTGGGTAGAGGTCAGAGATTACTTAGTTTTCAGAAGCAAATTATAACATTCTCCCCCAAAATGAAGCTATGCACAATGGTTTTGAACACTTTCAGGCCTTCGGAATACTCTCCACATCACAAAACTGAATAGAGAAATCAGTGTCTGGGATAAACAGAGATGTCACCAAAAATTTTAGTCTCGAGGTTGTGTCAGCTGTATTTACTTTTTCTGTAAAACTCAATAAAGCCTGCTATGTGCTTAAGTTAATACCTGGGTGTTCTCTTCCCAGGGATATTATTTTTATGTTTTCTGTACCTTCAGATCTGTTTTGCATAGGAGAAACTTCCATGATCGACTCAAGTCCTTACAGCAATCCTCCTCTCGTTTCTAAATAATTAGACTCAACTATTTTCTTCCCTAGGTAGCAAAGAAAGCGATTTCATTTCAACGAAGAGCCTTTATTCTTTTCAGACAAACCATCTAAAAAGAACTGTGAAGTCGCACAGGTAATGGGTTCCAATAAATAATTCTCATGATGACAGAACATTTAAGGACTTGATACATGGGTCCTCTCCTATTTAATAGCCCAAATCTACAAGGGCCTTTTCCTAATTCCAAGGGGAAGTTGATGACCGAAAAAGAGAAGAGCTTAAGAAAGGAGCAGGAAGCTCTTACTATTAAAAATGTCTTGGTGGCAAAGCAGAAGATAGTAATTTAGATGTGACAGTGATAAAGGGAATTTGATAAGGATATGAAGGGGAGGGGTTTAAGGAGAACAGCTCATTGTGAACCTGACCTACTTAAAGCAAAGAAGAGGATAATATCTGAAGATATTGCACTATGTATATGTAAAGGAGTTTTCTGGCAAATCCTCCTGTAATCATCAGCACACTACATTTATTGAAAAATCTGGTAAATGGGGCTTTTGTATAACTATTAAACTCAAAAGAACTATGAAAGGAAGATAGTGTTCTGAAAACACTGATAACCTCGAGCAACAAACAAAATGTGCTACAACTGTTTCCAAATAATCCACAGCAGCAAATTATTCAAATTGGATCCCTATAATCAGTTTAAAAATGAGATTGGTTAGTATTATCCCTAACGAATCATGCTTTGTTGCACTGTTGAAGTGTTCAATATTTCAGATCAAGTCATGCAGAACTGTTAGACATGTCTACATTGGGTAAATATCGGGAATTTATTAAAATCTTTGAGTGTGTGTGTCTGTATGTGTATGTGTAGGAGTGAGTGTATGTGTCTGTGTGTGTATGAGTTAGCTGCAACATTAAGGAGTACAATAATTTTTAACATATAAATGTTACAGTGCTATATAAGAAAATGATGTTAATAGCAAATTCACTTTTTAAAAATTAGGTAACCTGAATAATAAGTGATTTAGGGATACTCGCTTTGTAGTGGTCACATAGCAGAGGGAAACAAAGTTGAAAAGAATATAAAACATCAGGAGGTCTGTATAATTAATCAGCAATCCTACAAAGTATGCCATAAATTAGAGCTGTAATTATACCACTGTGCTTGGAAAATAGGAGGCTGGATTTTTATATAAGCATTCAGGTTTATTTCTGAATACCTATCTCCAGCATAATTTTTATATAAGCATTCAGGTTTATTTCTTAATACCTATCTCCACATAATGTAAAGTGCACTTCCGAAAATGTGGCTATGAGAGTTAATGCTTTCATTGCTGCTATTTACAACCTAATTTGCAAATGTTTACAGCATCTTCATAGTCACATTGCAGTTAAGTGGAAGAAAGAAATATCTTGCCATTCTTGAAGTTCCTGTCAAGAAAGAGAATCTTAAAAGTCACTAGAAGATAAAGTTTTTATGGATCTGAAATTTGCTGTGAACCATATTCCTTTTAGGAAAAATGGTATAAAATTTACTTTTAAAATACAGGTTGTTCCTTAACAATTTTCAACTCTGATCCTTTCTATAAACAATATACTTTAATGTATCTATTGGTACTGAATTATTTATTCCAAAGGTTCTAGAATTCTGCTTATTGTTTTTCTGTTAGATGTAAAGATTTGCATAGTTTGAAAAAAATGTTTTGTGAATATAAATTACAATTTGCCAGGTTTCTTGCCAGCTTATGGTATACCACTGAATTCCAGATCATTCACTAGCATTACTCTTCTGATGAAAGAGCAATAAGAAAGGCCAAATATATATATATATAGATAGATAGATAGATAGACAGACAGACAGACAGATATAGATATAGATAGATAGATATACAGTTGACCCTTGAACAACACGGGATTGAAATACACGGGTCTGAACTGTGCAAGTCCACTAATACACACATTTTCTTCCACCTCAGCCTACTCAACTTGAAGAGGATGAGGATAAGGACCTGTATGATGATGCACTTCCACTTAATAAACAGTCAATATATTCTTCTCTTCCTTATAATTTTCTTAATAACATTTTATTTTCTTTATTGTAAGAATACAGCGTAGGCTGGGTGTGCTGGCTCAGGCCTGTAATCCCAGCACTTTGGGAGGCCGAGATGGGCAGATCACCTGAGGTCAGGAGTTTGAGACCAGCCTGGCTAACATGGTGAAACCCTGTCTTTATGAAAAATGCAAAATTAACTGGGCATGGTGGCGGGCACCTGTAATCTCAGCTACTCGGGGGGCTGAGTCAGGAGAATCACTTGAACCCAGGAGGCGGAGGTTGCAGTGAGCTGGGATCACGCCACTGCACTCCAGCCTGGGCAACAGAGTGAGAATCGGTCTCAAAAAAAATAATAAAGAATACAGTACATGATCCATATAACATACAAAATATGTGTTAATTGGCTGGGCATGGTGGTTCATGCTTGCAATCGCAGCACTTTGAGAGACTGAGGTGGGTGGATTAGTTGAGCCCAGGTGTTTGAGACCAGCCTGGGCACATTGTGAAACCCCATCTATGCAAAAAATACAAAAATTAGCCAGGTGTAGTGATGTGCGCCTGTAGTCCCAACCACCCGGGAGGCTGAGGTGGCAGGATTGCTTGAGCCCAGCAGGTCGAGGCTGCAGTGAGCTGGAATCAAGCCACTGCACCACTCTAGCATGGGCAACAGAGTAAAACTGTCTCAATTAAAAAAAAAAGTGTTTATAAACTGTGTTATCATTAAGGCATTCTAGTCAATAGTAGCCTATTAGTCCACGTGCAGTGGCTCATGCCTATAATCCTAGTGCTTTGGGAAGCTGAGGCAGTAAGATCACTCGATCCTAGGAGTTTGAGACTAGCTTGGGCAACATAGCTAGGCCCTGTTTCTACAAAAAATATGAAAGAATCGGCCGGGTGTGGGGGCATGCACTTGTAGTCCCAATTACTTGGGAAGGTGAGGCTAGAGGATTGCTTGAGCCCAGGAGTTAGAGGTTAAAATGAGCTACGATTATGCTGCTGCTGCACTCCAGCCTGGGCGACAGAGCAAGACTGTCTCTCTTAAAACAACAACAACAAACAACAACAACAACAAAAACAGTATGCTATTGATAGTTAAGGTTTTGGGGAGTCAAAAGTTATATGTGAATTTCTTTCTGTGCAGAGGGTTGGTACTCCTAACCCCTTAGTTGTTCAAGGGTCAACTGTCTGTGTGTGTGGGTGTATATATCTACGTACTCAATGCCTACACAGGGGAAGAGTCTGACTGCAATCTGCTTTTGAGTTCTGACACACATCCAGCCGCTCTCTGACCATCATGCTCCCATGTGGCCTCTCAGATAAGCCCCAGTTTATTAGCTTTAATAATTGAAATCATACTCCTAATTTTTTAGCCTTCCCCAACAATAAAATAAGAAAGTAAAAGTCTGTCATTGTTGGTCTGTTCTATGTTTTAGCCTGTCCATGACCAATCCACAGATATTTTTTGAGTACTTGCTATATAAAAGGCTGTGTGATAACCACTACAGGGGATTCAAAAGGGAAGAAGCAACGTCACTCTGATCACAATTTTCCTGTGGATTGGACATCTACTGTATTGCCTGCACAGCATCCATTTCTCTTTGTCTAGGAATAATAATAATAATAATAATAATCCCAATTTTCCTTTGGGAAATCATGTCTCCCCACTTTCAGACCATGTACTTTGGGTGGCTGTAACACCATTCTCTGGCTGCTGGGGTGTTCATGTGACACAGACATGGCCAAAGATAGAGCATCACACACTCCTGGTTAAAGCGATTGGTTCAGGAGTGGACACCTGACCTAGCCTAGACCAATCAGGATAAATGTGTGTCATCCTAAGACATTTGTTCCAACAACTGGAAAAGAGGTATATGTTTTCTGCTGGGGTTACTAAGGTGGTAGATAATCCGCTAGGGGTCATTTGTCGTTTCACCAGGGAATAGATTGGCTAAGAATGAAACCAACAAAAATGAAGTCTTGATGATATTCCCTTAGCACATACAGCAAACCCTGAAATTTTCAGATACGTGAGTCAGCAGATTCCCTTTGAAATATTATGAAAATAATGTAGAATGAGATGATGGTGATAGTTGCAAAACTTAGTACAATTTACTAAAAATCATTGCGTTGTACACTTAAAATGAGTGAATTTTATGGAATGTAAATTATACTTCAATAAAGTTGTCAAAAATGCCTCATAAGCCAGTTTGGGTTGGATTTCAGTCATTTGCAACCTGAAGAGTGGTGATGAATACACAGTGTCACTTGTGAGACAGTGTATACAGAGGAAACATCTGTGTGTCCATAGATGATGCATCAAATGGCTGAAACACCAGAAGAAGGGGGTCAACATGGGTGCCCATCCTGATTATAACTGTCCACCTCCTTGTTTGTCTCCTCACCAGTCTATAAGCTCATGCAATATAGTCCTTTTGCTCTCTGTGTTCAAAACCTAGCACAGTAATGACTCAGAGAGGCTGTAAACAAGTTTGCTCTGGTGGTGGTGGTGGTGGTAGTAGTGGTGGACTCTTCTTGTGACTTCCCTTTTAGTGGCTGATCACAAAAAGTTTTTTCTGACTTACAATACAATTATTCAGAGTTCAGGATTCATCTTTAGTGCTATTTCTGTTTTTCAGAAAATTCAGACAAAAAGTTACTTAACAAGAGGAACTCTGGATGGTCGAGTGCATCAACCAAACTGGGAAAATCCCTCAGATAACTGCCAAGTTCTTCACCTCACTTTGTCTGTGTAGCTATAGTCTGTGGATGGACTATACCCTATATACATTTAGGTTGGCCTTTCCACATTTTTTTCCTTGGTTTTGATGCGCTTCTTTGGCTGTTTAGGCATACATCCAAAGCAGAAAATGACAGATTCCGATACTTATCTTACTTTTGAAGAGGGAGCAAAAAGCACATTGTAATCAACTTCCAAGAAACTTAAAAAGTGATTTTTCTTGTGAGGAGAAATATGGTCATGCCCACAGATTCTGTGCTCAGTTCAGCTGCTGACAAACCATTTTTGGAATGTTCTTGAGATTAGCACAAAAAACAGCAAATGCAATCTCAGCTTATTTGTTCCAGCTGATACCATCTGAACAGAAGCCTGAAGGCAAGGGCTTTTGAGATAAGGCAGACTTCCCTAACTTTCAACTGAAAATGGTCATGGTTCATAGACAGATGACCCACCCCACTGTTAACTGGCACAGCATGAAGTACCAAAGGCGGCACAACTTTGTAACTTTTGTTTTAAGTAAAATCTCAACCAAAATCATTGTCATTAAAAAAAAAAAAAAAAGCAAACAAAACTCCTCTGAAGTAGGTATTTGAAAAACAAAATGCCTTTCTTTCCAGATTTAGACTTCAAGAATGTGTTCATATACACACCAGTTTCTACTGAATTCACCACTAACTTACTGATTAATCATGGGTAAGTTGTATAGTTTTTTCCTCTGAAAAATGATATGGAAACTGCCATTGCAAAATTATAACTGAGACAGTGAAAAGCGATCTGACCTAAACAGCTCCATCTTGCTTCTAACCTCCAAGCTGTCCTTGTTCACTCCTGGGCATTGGGATGGAAACTAAGTTTGGGAGGAACTCAGTTTATAGTTTATAGTTTAAAACAAAGACAATAACAGCCCTTTCCCATAAGAAACCCCATTCTTGCCTGGGGATTAGACCCCAGCTAATTTGTAGGCTAACAAATTAGCCAAAAGATTAGAAATTATGGTTTAGGAGTCGTGAGGCCAGAGGCTACAAGATTCTTCCCTCCCCAAACTGCTCTTGGGGATAATATCACTATTGTAAAATCTAAGACCAGTGCTTGAGATATTTTGCACACCCTGTACTCAGTGGATCAGCTGGGTCCACCCAGATCAATAAACTGGCTCATCTGATTTTACAGCCCCCACCCAGGAACTGACTCAGTGCAAGAAGACAGCTACGACTTCCTATGTGTTCATCTCCAACTCAACCAATCAGAACTCCTGACTCACTGCCCCCTGCTCCCCACCAACCCACCAAATTATCCTTAAAAACTCTGATCCCCCAATGCTCAGGGAGAATGATTTGAGTAATAGTAAAACTCCTGTCTCCTACATAGCCAGCTCTGAGTGAATTATACTTTCTCTATTGCAATTCCCCTGTCTTGATAAATCTGCTCTGTCTAGGCAGCAGGCAGGGTGAACCCATTGAGCAGTTACAATATGGCTGAACTTAGTGTCTTCTGGCTTTAAAAGTCCACCAGTCAATATAGTCAAAGCTCAGACATTTTAGCAAAAGGAAATATAATTTGGCTGATTAAAATAATCTGTCTATGTAGAGAAGATACAATGCCTTTTATTTATTCTTTCTTCATTAAAAATGTATATTTAATTACTATGGGTACATAATAGGCATATATATTTATGGGATACATGTGACATTTTGATACAGGCATATAATGTGTAATGATCCCATCAGGGTAAGTGGGGTATCCATAACCTCATTTATCATTTCTTTGTATTAGGAACATTCAAATTTTGTGCTTTTAGTTATTTCAAAATATACAATAAATTATTGTTGATTATAGTCACCCCATTGTGTTATTGAATGATAGATTTTCTTCATCCTGTCTAACTACATTTTCGTATCCATTAACTATCACCCCTTTTCCACCCCTCCCTCCTTCTGGTAATTGTTATTCTACTTTCTGTCTCCACGAGTTCAATTGTTTTAATTTTTAGCTTCTACATGTGGGTGAGAACGTGCAAAATTTGTCTTTCAGTGCCTGAATGCCTTTTATTTTGTACAACTGAAACTAAATTCAAATGATCAATTGTTTATAGGAAACCTATCCACTAGTCCTCCAAAAATCCAAATATGTCTAACTGAGATTTATACTAGCTATCAACTGTAAAAAAAAATAAAGTTAACTGAAAAATTGAGATTCCCGAACAGTTAACAGCCAATATTTATTTTTAAAATTTGATACTAGCTGGTTTAATCCCCCTTTCCTTTCTTCCATCTCTCCTTCTTTTCATCTCCCATTCATTCAATGGCTAGTAGTGCTCACTACCTATGGTAGTGTCTCAGTCAATAAAGATGAATTGGAAATAACCCTTCCCTTTAGGAAATTCACAGTCTGGTGAATTTCCACTATCACCACCAATAAATATGAGACAGATAAAATAATGTGGTTCCCTGAAATGATATATGTATCTATAGAGTATCCTGAAAACATAGTAGAGGTCCTGGGTGGGGATGAATCAATGATAATTTTTCATGGAGATGAACTGATTCTTAAGGGATATGTAGGAGTTAGATACATACAGGGGACGACATGCAGAAAAGGTGGTAGCTCATTGTCAGAGCATTAACTGTGAGGCAGAAAGCGGGGCTGGTGGGTTCAGAAAGGGGTCAGGTCACAAAGACCCTTGCCAGTCACATAGGAAGCAAAGACTTTATCCCAGGATAAGAACTTAAGGCATGGGAGTGATATCATCAGATTTACATTTTGGAAAGATCATGCTGGTGAATGAATGAGGAAAATCAATTTAGATATAAGAAGAAGCCAGCGGAAACCAGGCAGAAAAGTTCCTGCAAGGATCCAGGCACATGCTGTCCAAGAGATGGCTAAGCAAATGTGGCTACTTAAACTTAACGTTAAAATTAAGGAAAATTAAAATTTCTCTTCCTCAGTTGCGTTGGTCACCTTTCAAGTGCTCAATACCCACATACGGCAAGTGGCTACTGTATTGCATTAGCACAGACATAGAATATTTCCATCACCAGAGAAAGTGCTTCTAGACACTGCCAGACTAGACAAGAGAAAACCTGAACTAGGGCAGCAGTGGCCAGGAGGAGCACAAAACAATACAATTTAGGAGGAACAGTTAGGAGGAGAATTAATTATTGATTGGATAGCGTGAAATTTGGCTCCGATATGCTTGTCTGCAATGAGACAAAGAATGTGGGAGGAAGTTTTGTATGACGGTGATGATCAGCTGAATTTAAGTTTATTGATTCTGAGAGCACAGAGGTAGAAAATGATACCTAAGATAATGCCTTAATTCTATAATTTCATTTTTTAAACATGGCACACCGTAATAGAATCACAGACCACTGGAGTTGGGAAGGGCCAATCATTCCATTTACACATCAGAAAACCTGGTAAGATCTTTTTCTCATTCACTGCTGTATCTTCAACCCCTCGAGTAGGGCACGATGGAAGCATAATTAAATTTACTGTGAATGAGTGGGTGAATGTGGTCCAGACAGATGATGTGAAGGGGAAACAACTGCAGTTGTGGAAGGAGAAACTTGGTTAAATTTCTAGTTGTGCGACTTCAATTAAAGGTGTCAGTTTTCTCAACTTCAGTTTCCTCATCTATACCTGAATAATTGTGTCTTTGTAGGGATTTTTAAAAATTAATTTACAAATAAGTTCTTTGAAAACTACAAAGTGCTACACTTGCTTACAACTGGTGTTTGCTATTATTATCCAGGGTTATCTAGTTCCTTACTTAAAGTTTGGTTTGAGGTCAGCAGCTATGTCACATATGGGAGCTTATAAGAAACACACAATCTCAGGCCCCATCCCAAACTTTCTGAATCAGATTCTGCATTTTATTAAGGTTCTTAGGTGATTTATATGCTCCCAAAGTCAGAGAAACACTGAACTACACATTAGGAGACTGGAATTTCACCTCAAGTCTTCCAATTTTAGAGATCAATGAATGGAAGAGTTGACAGAGTTACTAAGCAATTTGGTGAAAAACATGTATCATTTGAAGTCTGATTTACTCACATTGGATATTCATAATTAAACTGATGGCCCTAGTAAATTGCTAGATCTCAGTCTAATTTTCTTATGCAGAACTAGTCTCAGTGGTGGCTAAAAATTTCTCCAATGAAATTGCCGATTACTTTGGGTGGAGGTAGAGATAAGATGCCAATTTCTTTTCCTCATGATAGGGAATTGAGAGGAAAAGCTCACATATTGTGTATCAGTCAGGTCTGAACATAAATATCCCTGAAATATAAATGTCCCTATGAATGCTCAAAAACACTAATAGTGCAAATATGGTATTGCATTCATGAAACATATTTGTAATAAGAACCTACTATGTGTCAGGCAATGTACTAAAGATGCAATAGTGAACAAAACTGATACGGTTGCTCCCTTCATGAAACTTAAACTCTATTGGAAAAGACAATTTATTCTGTTTATGACCATTCTTCAATTCACTAATTCAACAAATACTTCCTGAGCATCCACTGTGGGCCCTGCACTCTTCTGGGAATTAGGTATCCAACAATAAATAAGACAAATAATGCCATTACTCTTAAGGATCTCACATTTCAGTGGAAGGAGAGACTAACAATAAAGCAAATAAAGCAAATATGAATGTGATAAGTTAGTGCAGTAATATGTGCTAAGAAGAAAATATGGACAGTCTTATGATAGAAATGGACTTTTGGTGTGTGTTGGGGGCACAAAAGATGATGGAATTTCTTTAGGTTAAACATGGAAGGCCTCTCTTTGTATTACTTGAGCTAAGATCTAATCGATGATAAGTAGTGGTCAGACAAAGAATGGGGAATGAGAGAGAACATCAAGTGCAAAGGCCCTAAGGAAACAGCAGGATTTGTGTTTTCCTGGAACAGAAAGGCCAGTGGGATGGGTGAGTGGAGTGGTAAGAAATGAGATTGGCTGCTAAGGTTTGGGCTAGATCATGTAATAAGAAATTTAGATTTTCTTTCTAGACCATCTTGACGCCAAATAATCACATTCATAAATGTGAAATTATATCATATGAGGTACTGTAAAGGAAAAGTGTATAGTATTATAAATATCTATAAAAGGGAAATTGAGTCTCAGTAAGAGGTAATACGAGCGAGGTCTGAAGGAAAAGGAAGTGTTAACTAGGCAATAACAGAAAGTAGAAGAGTGCATTCTAGGCACAGGAAGAGATATGATAATGATGGGGGCAGATGTGGCATAGACTAGAGAAACGGTGAGAAAATTAATTACTAGGTTTTAGGTGACTTTAAACTCAGTCTGACTCGATGGGCAGATGAGAGTGCCAAAAACATGAACATAATCCTGGGCAGCATTAATAGATATACGGCATCCAGAATGCGGGAGGGGATAACCCCATTCTACTCTGCGCTGATCAAACTGCAGCTAGAGCTACAAGGCACCACCATTTGAGAGGGTCATTGAAAAAATTAACACCAACTAAGAGGGCAGCTAAGGACACTGGATGATTCACAGGAACAAGACGGATGGGACTCAAAGCCACTTCACATGAAGATGAAAGAATGGTGTTCAACATTATTTTAATTGTTGTTGTTTTCGCCTACTCAGTATCCATTTTCCCGTTTTCATAGTACTCATATGTTCTTTTGAGGATAGCTGTTCTCACTGGATTCAATCTGGTAAGGCTGTGGTCAGAGGCCCTCCCTTTCCCTGTGTCTTACAACCAAAGCTACAATAGTCATACATAACTCCTTCCTCCTGGAACAGCAGGACAAAGAACCTGATGAACTCAGCAGGGGCACCCTGATCAAACTATTCCTGTAAATATACAGCTTCTGCCTTTCCTGTTTCCTAATCCCAGAGGGACACCTTAGATTCATTTAGTTTCAAAACTGCTTCTTCCAGGGGTTTTCTAAGTCCCTCATATCCTTCCAATAAAATTCCTGTTTGCTTGAGTTAGCTAGAGTTATTTTGGTTAACTGCAACCCAAGAATGCTGACACATTTAGCCTGGTGAACAAAGAAATGACTTTGGTGAACCTGGGGACAGAAGAGCTGCTGTCTTTGAATATTCGGAAGAGTGTGGCAGAAAGGAAACCTGGGATTTCCTGTGCTGCACCAGGCGTCTGGCTTAAAAGTGAATGGCTCTATCTAGGGATAAACATTTTATTACATAAAAATTCCCTAAGGGGCATAATTCTCCACAGAAGTTTCTATTACTGGGAGTGTCTTTGGCAGAAGAGATCCAGATAAGTTAGGTTTTTCCTGGAGGGAATTCAAAAATCATATAGGGTTGACCTAAATAATTTTTGAGGTCCAGAGAGTCTATAAGTCTTGGGGTTCAAATTACATCTTTCATATGACTTAAAATTTCAAATGTAATTGTCTTTGACATGTTTTTGACAAGTCTATTTTCCCCAAGCTTAAAAAGACTTTGATGAAGAAGGAAAAGGCAATGGATTTTTATAGGAAGTGCCACTGAAAGCAGGAACACAAAAATTTTGAGTATCAAATGGATTGTAGAAGTTAAGACACACTTTCTAGAAGAATTCCCCTCTACACAGTGTTTTTCAAAGCTTATCTAAATGGATGGCTTTGTTTTCGCCCTCAAAGCATTGCACCATGGCTAAACTCCAGTCTGCTTATTTCATTCTCTCTAAGCCCTGTTTAAAGCATTTTAGATTAATAATAGCCTTTGTTTCCCTAGCCATTAAGCAGTGTTGTTGTGTGTGACTTCAAAGGATGGCTCTCTTCTAATAACAAGGTGGTCTGGTTCAGAGGTGGGTATGTTGTCTCTAGCAGGGATTTAACAACATTTGATATAACAGGCAGTGAGGAAAATAAAAATATCTTTATTTTTATGTAAGGTATGCTCTCAAGGGTTGTCATTTGCTATAAGGAGACAGTCCTATAGTTTTTCAACAGTTGCTGAAAAACTACTGTACAAGACACTGTCCATTATATTAGCAGATATCCCTTGTCTAAATATCTGTATCAGTTAGCTATCACCACATAACATACAACCCCCAAACTCAGTTGCTTAAAATAACAAGACTTTTCATTGCTCTTGAGTCTATGTTTCAGCTAGGTGTTGGCTGGGGTGATGAGGGGGACTAGGCCATTGTCTCCTCTTCATTCAATATTCAGTAGGCCTTTTTTTTTTTTTTTTTTTGTGAGATGGAGTCTCGTTCTGTCGCCCAGGCTGGAGTGCAGTGGTCCAATCTCGGCTCACTGCAAGCTCCGCCTCCCGGGTTCACGCCATTCTCCTGCCTCAGCCTCCCGAGTAGCTGGGACTACAGGCGCCCATCACCACGC
This sequence comes from Homo sapiens, assembly GCF_000001405.40. Lineage (NCBI taxonomy): Eukaryota > Metazoa > Chordata > Mammalia > Primates > Hominidae > Homo > Homo sapiens. The sequence continues at coordinate 2,961,088 of NC_000003.12, read as the reverse complement.
CCGGCTAATTTTTTGTATTTTTAGTAGAGACGGGGTTTCACCGTGTTAGCCAGGATGGTCTCGATCTCCTGACCTCGTGATCCACCCGCCTCGGCCTCCCAAAGTGCTGGGATTACAGGCGTGAGTCACCGCGCCCGGCACAATAGGCCTTTATCTTGTTCGCATGGTAGCGAAACGATTTGAAAAGCCGCAAGGGGTAGGCTCCAATGTGCAAGGACTTTCAAAATCATTTGCTTGCATCCATTCTACTACCATTTCATTGGCCAAAGCAAGCAGTCTGGCCAAGTCAAGAGTGAAAGTGGGAAGGCACTACCAAAGGACATGACGCAGGACATGTGCAAAGCAGGGGCCATTACTGCAATCAACCTGCCCCTGGATTCAACTAACACATTTAATGTATAATTTAAAGTCAGGAGAAAGTTGTCTCTCTTCAACACCGTTTTTCATATAATGAACTTTATTTAACAGCTTGCCGATTTCTCTTTTGGCTCAGAATCCTAGGAAACTCAAAACACTAATAATACTAACTAAGTCATTATTAAAGTACACATTCCCCTTCTTCTACAGGTCTAAATGTTTTATTTTAACAGGCCTATTATATATAACTTGTATTATAAGCAGCCTCAAGTGTTTAGCTTTTATTTTTGATTTTGAGAGAGACAGTATATTAACCAAAAACAAAAAACAAAAAACAAAAAAACTCAAAACCTGTATTTATCTAAAGTATGGCTCTTGCCCGTGCGGTACCTATAGACATGAGAAATATCTGCAGACAAGAAAAGAGAGAAATGCTCTTTTAAAGGGGCATTAGTCATTATTACATATTACATTCTCCTGGTTCTAACATGAACCAAAGTGACAACTGTACACCTTGACAAAAGTTTTCCAGGGAATTATCTCAAACCAATTTTCACTAGGGATGTAGCCTTTTACAATCTCCACAGGTTCAAAAAGAGGAATATTTAAAATTCAGAACCCACACCTAAGAAGGTGACAGACGTTAAGAAAATTCAGCTGAAAATGAAGTTCTTCATTTCATTTTGGAATATTTTCTTCTAAAGATATCATGAGACAGATTTCAAAGGACTTTGAAGATAGAACTGCAGTGTTTCATGCCCATATGATTGAGTCCAGGAAATATTACCTGAGTCTTGGCAGCTGAATTTGAAATGCTGACTTGAAATGTTTTCATTGAAGTTGTACCAACATTAAATAGAACTAGAAAGTTATTTAAGCTGGTTTTAACATTTTCTTATAAATTTCCTCTTAACTGACAGCAAACTCTCATACCTAGGGAGACAAAAACTTAATAGGTGCTAAAAGTCTTTGGGGAAATTTACGTCTGGAATAAACTAGGGGATTTTTACAGATCCCAAACTGTTTCTGATGAGTAGAAGATTTTTTTTTTTGAAAAATCAGTCACTTAAAAATTTAGTATGATTCTAAAAATAAAAAAACAGATTTCTCAATTACATGTGCTCTGGGCTAGATATTAATCTAATGGTAAGGAAATAATTTATATTAAAATAATAATTAGATGGTATATACTATTTCTAAAGCCAAGGGTAAGCTCCTCAATGATTTTTTTTCACAATATGTTGATAGGCATAATTATGAAAAGGGCTTTCAAAGTTATGACCAAGAACTCATAAATACCTGTGGAGACTTAAAGACTTTATGGTCTTATCATACTGAAATGCAATTAGGTGTTTACATTTTTAAAGAGCTTTACACAGACGCTCTATAGATAGCATAAACTGGAAATAGACTGCCTTCTGAAAACTTGCTCTGAAAACATTATCTGACTCTTTGTTTTTAAATATATTTTCCCCTAGAAGCTAATTTCCTTGACCTAAAAGGACTTTGCAGGACTATATTCTTTTCCTGATGTCAAAAAATTGCTGTAGTTTCCTGTAATAATATTTATTTCCTTGCCCAAAGGAATAGTTTATAGCTAACCTTAAGTGCTTACATATTTTACTTAGCACCGTCTGGGGAAAGGCTCTGACATAGACACTGAGAGCTTTGCTTTCAATTTCTGCCTCAGTTGTTCTCATTGTATATGTGTCTTTGTATATATGCAGATACTCAAATGACTACTGACCCTTCTGTTCCCTGGAGGCACGGTTTTTGTCAAACAAGTTATTTGGGCAAGACAACTAGCCAATGGAATGCTATTCCATCTTTCTGTCAGTTGCTCTGGAGTTATAAAGGGATCCATAAGTTCATAAAATCTAGACTTCCTAGGTTGAGCATTAGTTCCCTGGATTACTCATAGCATACCCAGAATACCCCTCTCCAACCTTTCTACAAATGTACTGCTTACTTATTACGTAAGAACCTCTTAAGTGTTGCCTCTTTTATGAAGCTGTCTCTGCTTCCTGCAGCTGGAAGTCTTTCTGCCTGCCCTGCATTCTTGCAGCCTGTGATTTTACTGCTACTTAAGGGGATTCTTGCTTTCTGTATTGTATTATAATGCTTACATTTTGTAAGCTACTTGGGGTAGAACTTATCTGTCTTATTTTTAATCATAGTTGCACCAGGGAAGCAATCACCGGGATAATTCAAAAAAATGCAGATTGTTTATGCTAACATTTAGAAGAAGCACATTACAAAGGTAGCAGGCAAGGTGCTGGTTGGGCTGCCATGAGAATTCAATAAACTGAGTTATGCCAGTGAATTTCCATGGTCCAATATCTAGGCCTCACCCTGAAGGTTCAGAACTTACCTTGCCTGGGTCATTTTGATTACTTAAAATATATAAGAACTAATGAGAAACTAGTATATAAAATGGGGTGCTCACTTATTAATGTACCATATGAAATAAAACTGCCATTCAGCCAGTTTAACTGGCACTTTCTTTCCTCATAAACCAGTGTTTCTTAATTGGAGGCAACAATGCTTCTTACAGCACGTTTGGGAAGCATGGAGATTTTCTGTTTGTCAGAATGACTAGGAATGCCTGGGCCTAGAGATGCTACAGTCTTGCAATATGTGGAAACATCCATTTAAAATGCAACAGCCTCCCATCAGAGAAATACTAAATTAGAAATCCATTAGACAAATCAAAATATCATCAAAAGGCCAGTCACAGTGGCTCTTAGAACTACCAGTCAACCCAGGAATCCCATTACTGAATATATACCCAAAGAAAAATAAATGGTTCTACCAAAAAGACATATGCACTTTACGTTCATCGCAGCACTATTTACAATAGCAAAGACATGGAATCAACCTGAGTGCCCACTGATGGTGTACTGGATAGAGAAAATGCAACACATATACACCATGGAATACTATGCGGCATATAAAAGAACAAAATCGTGTCCTTTGTCACAATATAGAGGCAGTGGGAGACCATTATCCTAAGCAAACTAACACAGAAATAGAAAACAAAACACCACATGTTCTTATTAGTGGGAGCTAAACATTGAGTACACATGGACATAGAATGAGAAAAACAGATGCTGGGAACTGTTAGAGTGGGGAAGGTGGGGAGGGGATGTGAGCTGAAAAACTACCTATTAGGTGCTATGCTCACTACATGCGTGACGGGGTCATCTGTAGTCCAAGCCTCACCATCACACAATATACCCATGTTACAAACCTGAACATGTACTCTCTGAATCCAAAATAAAGTTGAAATAAAAAAAGAAGACATGTAAATGGCCAAAGGCATATGAAAAGGTGCTCAGTATCACTAATCATCAGAGAAATGCAAACCAAAACCACAATAAGATATCTTCTCACACCGCTAAGAATGACTACTATGAAAAAGACAAGAGACAACAAGCATTGACTAGGGTGTGGAAAAAAGGCAACACTTGTACACTGCTGATAGGAATGTAAATTGGTATAACCATTGTGGAAAATAGTACGGTTGTTCAAAAAAAAATTTAAATTAGAACTACCATATAATCCAGCAATCCCACTTCTGCGTATATATCCAAAGAAAATGAAATTAGTATGTTGAAGAGCTATCTGCACTCCCATATTCATCAGAGCATTATTCACAATAGCCAAGATATAGAAACAACCCAAGTGTCCATCACGGGATTAATGGATAAAGAAACTAGTAAATATGTACAGCGGACTATTACTCAGCCTTAAAAAGAAAGAAATCCTGCCATTGCAGCAACAAGGATGAACCTGGAGGATGTTATGCTAAGTGAAATAAACCAGGCACAGAAAGACAAATAGTGTATAATGTCACTTACATGTGAAATCTAAAAAAGTAGAGCTCGTAGAAGCAGAAAGTAGAGCCATGGTTGCTAGGGGCTCTGGAGGTAGGGGAAATAAATAGGAAGATGTTGGTTAAAGAGTATAAAATTGCAGTTATAAGATGAACAATTCCGGGGGTCTAATGTACAATCTGGTGATGGATGCATTAATTAATTTGATTGTGGTAATCATTATATAATATATACACAAGTCATGTTGTACACCTTGAATATTTAATTTTTATCAATTAAATAATTAAAAATAAGAAATAAAATTAGCATCATTTACCTATTAAAAATAAAAAAGAAGTAACATTCCCATCATTTATTAACTTAGATGGGAGTATATATTGCCCCTTTGATTTTTGTCTTTGCCTATTTTCCATTTTTTATATCTTTTTTACTGTGGTAAAATATATATATAACATAAAAAATGCCATTTTAATTATTTTTAAGTGTTGAATTCAGTGGCATTAAGTACAGTCACACTGTTGTGCAACTGTCACCACCATCCATCTTCAGAACTTTTTCATCATCTCTAGCAAACTCTTTACCCATCTAAACAATGACTTCCCATTACCCCCTTCCCATCACCTTGTAACCATTATCCTACTTTCTGTCTCTATCCATTTGCCTATTCTAGGTACTTCATATAAGTGCAATTATGCAATATTTGTCCTTTTGTGTCCAGTTTATTTCATTTAACATGATGTTTTCAAGGTTCATCCATATGGCAGCATGTGTTAGAATTTCATTCCTAGTTAAGGCTGGAAAATATTCCACTGTATACCCCAGTTTGTTTATTTATTCTTCTATCAATAGACATTTGGGCTGTTTCCACTTTTTGATTATTATGCATAATGCTGCAATGAACATGGATGTACAAATATCTAGCTGAGTCCTTGCTTTTAATTCTGGAGTAATCTCTACAAGTGGAATTGTTCAATCATATGGTAATTCTACTTTTAATTTTTTTGAGGACATGTCATGATGTTGATGCTGAATCATTTTACATCCCCACTAGCTGTGCAAAAGGGTTCCAATTTCTTCACAATATCTGTCACTTTTGACCATTCCTTCTTGTTCAAACAGTTGTGTCCAGCGTCCATTAGCACTATATCCAATAATAGCCACTTAAAAACCTATCCCTCTTTCAGCCTCTGCCATGAGATATTAGTAGGCTCCACTACTAAATGTTGGCATGAAGCACAGGGCCCAGGCTTAAATTAATCCCAGCATTTCATGTCTTCTGGCTATAGTGATTAGTTAGGGATAATTATACGACTCAATCAGAGTCAGTAAGCTACAATGAGACTTTTCCTGGGACTTTCTGGAAAATGATTCTCACTCTGTCCTTCTGGAATTGAATATCTGAATATTTAATGTCTAGAGCTGCTGCAGCCATTTTGTGGTAATGAGGATGACACCTGTCTGAGAACAGAGTCAACATGGTGGATAGAAGAGATGAGTTTGTGTGTATTTTGTCACTCAAAATCAGAAAAGGCCTAATAAACACCACGTGACTGACACATGCAATTACGATTTACTGTGCTGCTAGTTCAGTCATGCTAATAAATAAGATTTAGGTGCACTTTAGCCTTGAGTCTTGGGAAATAGTTTATTTTTATGGCTGATTTTGCATCTAATCTTGCTCATTATATATGACTTTTAAAGTTCAACTGTAAGATTTTGGTGAGCACCTGGCTGTCTCTTCTGTCTACCGTTTTTTAGTGGTCCATTTAACTTTGTAATGTTTCATAAGACTTTTCATGGCAGACTTGCCCTCTTGACTATTTCTGCTTTAGCTAATATTAAAATGAGGTTGCGCTGCCAGATAACCTGGCTGCTATTATCCACCACCCATTTCTTCCTTCAAAATATTCTAGGTGATTGGGGTGGTGCGGGGCAGGGGGCAGGGCGTAGGGAATGAGACTACGGTTAAACATTAGTTTTATAACATATTTAATTCTGACAGTCAGAATCTTATAGTGAGAGAAAATGATTAGAGAACAAAAACCAAGATTTTAAAATCTAAACAAAATTTTCCAGAGACAGAAACTCAAAATTAATACTAGGCAGACAGGATGAAAACACTAGAAAACTCCATATGGAATTGTGGTAACCTGTTACTAGGTCCAGATTGCGTGACTACCAGGTTATTGCATTGCAAGATTACATGCACTAAAGCTGTAGGTCTTTGCTATCCATTCCAGGCTTAAAAGGTTCTGACTTCAATATATGAACTGCCCTCCCCCTCAGTGAAAGGGGGAGAGAAAAATCAGAGATTGTTGGCTCTATTGATTTGGATGACACATGTTCTCTGAACCACCGAGAAGGATTCTCTGTGGACTGAATGAAATTCAAAGGTCAGAGAAAAAAAACTGATAAATATAATTGCAATTTCTTTGCAGCACCGTATTTGATGGCAAGACATTTGACACAATGACAATTTAATATGTGGAAAAAGAGAGAAAGACCAGACATACTGTCCATCGGTAGTAACTGATCTTTTGCAAGTTCCCAATGGGCACTGGAGGACAACTTTCATAAACAGCTTCTTCCTAAAACCTAAAGGGAGAAGGTGAAAGACCTTGTTCATTTTGGTGAAGTTTCCTCTTTCTCTCCTGAGGACAGGCTGACATAAGGACATCAAGCAGAGGCGTCAGAGGATGCTGGGTGATGTCTAGGCAATCAAGATAAGGTTTCTGAATGAAAACTCAATTTCCCTTAGGTTAGGTTTACAAAGCTGCAATTATCTTGTGTGACATCTAAATAAATCTCCATTTTGGAAACGATTATGCATATTTTAGAAAAGTTGATTTGGGAATTAATGATTCAGAAATACTCCATTCCCTGTTTAGTATGAAAACCAAAAGGTGATTCCTAAGAATTGACTTAATTTAGAAAACTTATTTCCTAGATAATTGGCCCTAAACATTTTATCTAGATTCTTAGCATGGTACTTGGCAAATGATGTAGTCACTAAATAATATTTGAATGAATGAATCGGTGCATTAATGACTCAATTAATCAATGAATCCCTCTAGGTGATTCAGAGAACACGTGTCATCCAAATCAATAGGCCCAGCAAAGCTTCACTGCTTTCCTCTCCTTTCACTAAGGGGGAAGACAATTTATATGTTGGAGTCAGGACATTTTTGCCTAGGATAGATTGCAAAGACCTAGGTAGGTGTTGAATATATCATTCAATATACTCAAATTCTGGGAGAATTTCAGGCTGGAAATATAAATGACTTCTCCAGTGTTTAGGTAAGTTGGAAGGCTATAGACTAGAGGAAGACACCAAGGAAGAAGGGACATATACAAAAAAGGCCCAAAAACTGTGCCCCGGGTCAGTTTAGAAGTTGTAGAATGGAGGAGGACCCAATAGACAAATGGAGAAGAAGTGGCCTGGATGGACTAGAAAAAAAAAAAACCAGGGGCCTATGCGGTCCTGGATGCCAAGTGAAACAAGGATTTCAGAGGGAGGAGCGATCTACCGCCTGTGTCAAATGGTGCTGAGAAATTGAAGAATGGAAGCTGGTCATTAGAATTAACAATCTGGGGGGAATTAACATTCACAAAGGTCATCTCAGGGCAGTTGGAAGGAAAGGCTACCAGTTAGGGGAGCTTGGTAGATGATGGCACCATTCATAAAATGGTGGCACACGGTGGAGACATGTTTGAGACAAGGGCAAGACATTGAGATCAAATCCAAATGTGCTGAGTTTGAGATCAAGCAAGATGCTTCATATAGTGGACACAGTTTATGTCGTTTTGAAGTCAAATAACCTACAGATGAATTCCAGTTTTGTCACTTAGTCATCTCTATGTCTACGATTAAGTTAGTTGATGTTGATGAGCTTTAGTTCCTTCAAGTGCAAAATGAGCAGAATGACAATGAGCTGGAGAGTTTGGGGGAGATTTATACAAGGTACAGTATATGTAAAATACCTAGCACATATTAGGCACTCACTCAACAAATCCTCGCTGTTGCTATAACCATGTTGGTGAAGATGCCCAAAATACAGCTGCTTGGTAATTCCCATAGTTGGTATTGCATTCTAATTAGAATACTAGAGATTTGATGCAATTGATGTGAACTGTAGTAGATTAAACAGCAGTTCTAAAGAAGAAACTGAACTGTTCAAAATTAAGTAATAAATATTTGTAGTGAATTGACAAAGTCATACAATGCCATATGATTGCGCCATAAAAAATAAAAACATAGAATGAAAATGTTATATTCTTCAGTAGGGAATGGTATCTACTATATACTGTCAATCAAAGAGTCAAATAATAAAACAATAAGGTATTATATAATTTCATTTTGAAAAAATGCACATAGACCTAAAAATGCATGTAACAAAAACTCTACAGTGGTTAGAGGTTAGAGCCATATAAAAAGCACTTTCCCATCTAATGAAATCTGAGCAGAACATTGCAGGTGTTTCTTATTAAGTCCATTTTAAGTACAATAAATTAAGTGACTTGCTCAAGACTACATAGATGGCAAAGCTCTGGCTCTGATGCCATTCCCCAAATCTAGTCCTTTTTATGGTACTGTAGTTACCTCAAGATCCAAGAGAGTCTTGGACTAAGAGTTCAACATACATAGGGAGCTGTGAGTCCAGACAGGTTCCAACTATATCCTAGAAACCATCTCACTAAGGCTTTCGATAAGGCTGCTTTGGGAGAAGGTAGATCTTATGCTCATCCTCTTTCTTTTTCTAAGTATTTCTGCCTTTGCTTTAAAAAGCTCCATACTACAAGGGCAGCAGAACTTTTCACCAGAATTTGGGGCCTCAGGCCAGGGGTAGTAGAATGGCCTCTCTGTGTTTACTGACTTTTAGAACCTTCCTGGCACCTGGGTATAGAGTTGGGAATCACCTAGGTCTTCCTGTAGCTGATGTTCAGTCTGTAAAGCTTCCTTTTAGTTTATCTGTTTTTCTAAAAGCCTTCTAGTGCAGGGATCCATGACACACAGGCTAGTTTGAAGGTTAAAATCCTGGCAATCCAAAACAAAACTTCTTTTTTTAATAGTGCATTGAAGGTCACTAGAGGCAGACATTCCCACATACTATGATTTTTGACACCTGTAAAAAGGAATTTGCAATGAAAATATCACCAGTGAAACTACTGTGGAGAGATGAGCCACCTTTGTTTTTCTGATATACACATATGAACGACTGAAACCTTCCTTGTAGGACCTTTTCATCTGTAAAGTTAAAACACTTCTTGGAGTCATGGAGAAGACAGTAAATATCTATGTATTACCAATAAGTTTAGACGAATTATGCACGAACTAAATTTACACAGTAGTCTAGAACAGGGGTCCCCAACCCCCAGGCTGCAGACAGACTGGTACTGGTCCATGGCCTGTTAGGAACCAGGTGGCACAGCAGGAGGTGAGAGCCTGTGAGCAAGCATCACAGTCTGTGCTCCGCCTTCTGTCAGATGAGCAGCAGCATTAGATTCTCACAGGACAGGACCTGAACCCTATTGTGAACTGTGCATTTGAGGGATCTAGAGGTTGCATGCCCCTTATGAGAATCTAATGCCTGATAATCTGAGATGGAACACTTTTATCCCAAAACCACCTCCCACCCCACCCGCCATCTGTGGAAAAATTGTCTTCCACGAAACCAGTTCCTGGTGCCAAAAAGGGGACCACTGGTCTATATGACTTCCCTTTTTGAAAGTAGAGGGAAGATTCATTGTTCGTTATTTATTATCAATGATAACAACAAAAGACACAATTCTAAGCTTCTCGTGGGTTACCTCATATAACCCTTTCTAAGATGGTTACCATTATTATCACCATTGAACAGATGGGGAATTAGGTTTCGAGAGATTAAGTAACCTGCCCAAAGTGATACAGCTAGTGAATTCATTCATCATATATGTATTTAATGTCCATTATGTGTCAAGTACTATGCTAAGTGCATAAGATATGACAATGATCAAGATAGGCAACTCGTGTTGTCATGAAATGTAAGGTCTAGTATAGGACACAAATTCTAAATAAATAATTTGAACTTCAGATGTTATAAGGATAAGTTCATGGGCTGTGGAAATAGAGATTAGATTATCTTGGGATTCAGGAAGGTCTCCATATAGAGTTAAAACCAATTCATCAAAGAATGCTGGGATATCTTTTCATCCTCCACATTCATAAAGCACTGACAAGGGAGCTCAAATGAGAGTCTAGGTGAGTGGCCACACGTTGCCTTCTCTATTCTTTCTCAGCTTATGCAAGACCATCTGGGCAATGCGCACCATTTTGCTGGAAGAGGACCTAGTCCAGCATCTTTGGGCTCACATGTCATGCACAGAGGTAAGCAAATAACCTCATCTGGATGTCACTATGACAGGGACCTGCTACTCATCACAGACAGTGGCAGGCCTAACTGCTGAGCACAAGATGCTTATATAACAAGCTACCGATGTGTTTGGGGCTTCCCAAACTCATTTGGCAGGTTCAGGCCCATTGTCCAAATCTCCTTCAGCAAGAATCAATGAAGCATGGACATACAATGACTCATTCTGGGAGGATGCAGATGCCAGACAACCTGAGTTTGCACAAAGGCAGCCAAAATGTTTCAGCCTCCAAATTTCAGCAACTCCCATGTCAGCACATGCCTGTGGGAATACACAGCATCCCACTCCAGTGCTAGCTACCCTTCGAGGAAACAGGGCTCTCTGGAGGGGATACATCCATTTTAATTCCATGAGTCTCTGCAAGTCCACATGTTCGACAACTCCATTAGTCATGGATAAGGTACTTAATCAGGTGGGTAAGCAGTTAAGCTGGATGCAAACATCTTTGCGAAGCAAAATGTTTCAAATTGCTCCCCTTCCTCAAATTGTAGATATTCAACTTCTTAAGTTGTTTTATTCAAATGGGATAAGATATAATTATTTTTAACCACTAAGATGAACACCCAAATGCCATTAAAGAGTTACTTTTCTAAGTTAGATTTAGAGAAAAACATACAAATTAAAGATGTTCTATCTGTTTGCCTATATCAGTTAGGGTTTGGGTATTGTAAGTAACTAAAATAGACCAAAGTCTGTTTCAAAAAAGCAAAGTTAAATTATGCAAAATGGGGAACTTATTGAAAAGATATGGGGTAACTCACAAACTGAAGAAAAAGCAGAACAAATAGGGCTTGGAAAGGACAGCAACCAGTAGTAGCTCTGGGGGTCTAGAGAGTAGAATTTAAGGAGCAATATCCCCAGGGAGCTGCCACCCAATGTCTCTGCTCTGTGTCCTGCCCATAGGAAAATTCTGATTCTTGAAAGAAGGAGAGGGTCTGATTGGCTTAGCCTGTGCCTTCCCATAACCCGGTCCACTGGGTAGAGAACAGCAGAGCACTTGGCACTGAAAAAAGCAAGGAAGGGTGCAAATAATGGGAAAAGGCCCTTCCTGAAAGCATCGCTAGGGTGCTTCTTTCAGACAAAGAAGTACTAGACGTTAGGCAGAAAAAACAAACTTCATAATATCTGTATTCTTTCTGATATTATTTCATCTATGAATCCAGTAGGAATTCAGCTAACTTTCCATCACACTCGTTTTGGTTGGCATGACAGGAGCAAGGTCTTTTTTGAATGTGCTTGAGGTCTCTCTGCAAAGACAACATTTCAGCTGAGATATGGGACAAGAAGGAGCTGTTCATTAAAGATCAGGGAAGAAAGTGTTTCAGTTAGTGGGAAAAGCAAGTGTAAAGGCCCTGAGGCAAAAAAGAGCTAGATGTCACTGAGGATCTGCAAAGCCGGTGTGATTGTAGCTAAGAGAAAGAGCTAGCTAGCAGCAGATATGGTCAGAGAGATAAGTAGGGGCCTGGCTATGTAGGACACTGCAGGATATGGCAAGCAGAGACTATTTGAAGTGAATGGGAAGTCACTGGAAGGGCTGATTAGTTGTCTATTTTTGAGCAAAACAATATCACTGAGCCTTAGTTTATTTTACCTTTTTAAAAATGGTCTAATACATAACCCCTTATCAAAAACTCTCAGGGAAAGTTGTGTTTTGGCATTCAGGATTTTGAATATTAAAAAACACCATAGTATATTTATTTTATATAACATCCCAAGAAAAGTCTGGTGTATGTAGTATCTCACAACCCAATATATTATTATTTCTGTGATTCAACATGGGGTAAATAAAGACAAAGTCTATCAATAGCCTCAGTTTGGTTTTGCCACCAAATGAGTTTGCTCCAAACCTGCCAGAAATAAACAAATAGATTAACAAGAGAAGAAAAAAGACAGAAAAATATTTTTTTGTTTTCAGAGCTTTTTGGATTTCAAAGATATGGATACAGGATTGTAGACCTATGCCTGCAGATACAGATTTTCCTGCGAGCCTAACATGCAATGGAGGGTCAATAAATACTTGTTCACTCTCCTTTCTCTGTTACCACCACCACTTGCCTCTCAGTCACAACACCCAAGTTCATCAAAATGAGTACGAAGCACTCCTACCCAGCACTTTTACTATTTTATTTGTTCCACTTTGCATCACAAACTTCAGTTCCCTCCTTCCTCTAGGCTCTGTAGGCTTGAACGTATTGTAGGTTTGTAGATCACAGAGCTTGTCAGGTCTATAGTTTAATGGGGCCAACTGGGAACGCTACCGCCAACAAAATCCCACAAAGAGAACAAACCTTCCTAGAGTTTCTAGGTCAGAACCTACTCTAACAAAGTGAGCTATGAAAGTGCCTTTATATAGTAACTTGTTTAATTAAGGTAACAGATGTTACTATTACACAAGTCCTAGTGAGCCACTATTTAATTGGACACTCATTCACATGGCTTGTGACTGGTAAAAACCAGTTCAAAAAACCATTTCCCTCGTATGAGTTTTTTTTTTCCCTACAATTAAATTGAATAAACAACGCACCCAGCACATATTCATTTAATAGAGACAGCTTTAATGGCACAGGGTTTTAATATGAGCAATAATGTTAGAACAGAATAATTTCCTGGCCTAAAAGGCAAGTTTAATTCTCCGTTTTATCTACCAGGCACTAAGTTAGGCTGACAATCAGCTGTGTAGGAAAAATTATAAAGAAAACCCTCACTTGGGTGTTGTTAGATGTCTGGTATCTATAATGGAAGAGATAGGGATCTGGCTGTAGCTTTTATACTCAGATTTTAATACAATCTGGGAAGAGGGTTAATTGACAACCTGCCATTCACGTCAGTATGACAGAGCAAATGAAGACAAAAAGAAAAACAAAAAACCAAAAAATAACAAGAGTAGATTAGTACAATCTCCAGGGAAGAGAAAACACAGAGTTTCCACTATTAACCATTCATGGTAAAATAAAAAGAACACTGTACTATTATAGATGTGAGGAACTAGGTTCTTGTCCAGACTTCACAGGTAGTCTGAGGGATTTAAAACCTTCTTCTCCTTCTGAATGATCATTGGTAACATAAAGGGATAGAGCTAGATCTAGATGTACAAGCACTATTGCCTATAGGAGGTAAGCAGGTCATAAAAATGAATGAAGCTGGCAAGAAGGTTTTCATGACATGCTTTGCCTGTACACAGGAAAATTTGTTATGGGGCATAAGAGAACATATTCTTTTCCTGTATTTTCTTGAAGTGTGTGGTCTTTTTGACTACATTTTCTTATTTTCACTCTTTGATAGAGAAACAGACGCAAAAAATATTCTGCTTTTATTTTTACTGTAAGAAAAACTACAATGCGAAAACAATGATAAGCAGCAACTGACACCACATCTTAATTTGGGATACAAGGATTGTATGGCTAACTGAAGATTTCATGTTTTTGCTAAAAGGATAACTCTTCTTAGCTCTGGATAAGTATTGCCATACAGAAATGCAGGCTGGCCAGGGGCAGTGGCTCATACCTGTAATCCCAGCACTTTGGGAGGACAAGGTGGGAGGATTGCTTGAGCCCGGGAGTTTGAGACCAGCCTGGGCAACAAAGGGAGACCCCACTGCTACAAAACGTTAAGAAATTAGCTGGGCATGGTGGTGTGCACTTGTGGTCCCAGCTACATGGGGGCTAAGAAGGGAGGATTGTTTGAACCCAGAAGTCTGGGATTATTGCAGTGAGCCATGTTCACGCCACTGCATTCCAGCCTGGGTGACACAGTGAGACTCTGTCTCAAAAAAAAAAAAAAAAAGAAAAAAAAAAGCAAGCTGTCTGTTGCAGATCCTTCAGTTTTTGAAGAGATGTCCGAAGTCTGGATTATAGGGCATGTACCAAATTATAAATGTTGGAACTTAATTTTAAAAAATTAAACGTGGAGCCAGCTAATATACTGTGCTTGCCAAAGAAAGCTCATTTCAGTGAACCCTTGGTTGGATGATTTTTGGAACCTTCTGGTGGGATTCTAAATACTCTTCTTGCTAGAAAGCTTTATTGCTTTACAGTGAGACATGACGTTACATGAGCATATACACGTCAATAGTTAATTATGAGACATGTCATGAATCATCTAACCTCAGTTTTACCATAAATGTAAAACAAAAGTCCTGGGGAAACCAATAAATCCCACGGCTTGGAAAGCCACGCATGACAGAAAGTTCAGGAGGGATTTTCCAAAGCATCCCCTTGCCTGAGATTCTCATACACTCCTATTGACCCTCCCTTCTCCCCTTACCTCTTCCCCATCCCCACTTCCTCTGACAATCAGTGTGCAATGAACCATTTTCAACAATAGTGATATGCTGCATCCCCCAGGGATGGCTGAAAACCAGAGTTTTCAACTGGTAGTTGAAACCCACTCATCTGTTTATCTCTAAAGTTTCATTTAGCCCTGAAATCCTAATAATCAGAGATTATATTAGCTACAGGAAAAGATATACATCCTTGAAAGAAGATGAGACTCTCTGGACCCTACTCTTACCTAATATGACATGCATCTATAAGTTGTACAGAACATTTCCACATTAAAATCTTCTATCTCACTTTTGAAAAATTCCAAATGAATTTGAATGCATAACTATATTGTGATGTATATATAATGGGTTCTATTTTTCTAGCCCTTGATTTTTTAGGTTTGACACAAATCTATCCTCTAGGCAATGGCCATGTACTAACTTAGGCTAATTAAAGTGTCCTTCTTTCCTGCAACTCAAAGCAGAGAAAAGACACTGACCCTCTTGCATAAAAAGTCATAGGAACTAGGCGAAGAGGTGGTTTTATTGATCTGATGTCGAAGTTTTTTATTTTCTTCAGATTTGCTTTCTTCCTTTCCTTCCTGTCTCCTCCCTCCCTTCTTTCCTTCCTCAAATGAAGTTACTGACAATCTTTGACAAAAAGTAAGCAAGAGAGGATAAAGGCTGAGAGGGGGAGGTGCCCAGACATTTTAAGAGAGAGTGTCTGTGGAAAAGGAAAAAGGGAATTCATAAAATGGAGAGTCCCCAAGGCTAAAAATGGGGATACTGTCTAGGTCATATTCCCTGAGTCTGCTTTTTGAGGGGAGGATCGGAAAAAGGAAATGAGGCAGAGGAATCACACTGCGTTCCCTTGCCAAGAAAGAATCAATTACAACTTATGCTTTGAACATGATGAGAAATTCAGACAGATTCCTCCGGGCATCCTGTTGAAGACTAATTGGCTAACATAAGACATTTTTTTAAAAATAATGAGTAGTTCCAAATGTTTCTTCCTATGATAAGGGTGCCATACAGTCATCTCTTATAATTATAGGAAAGAGTACTCTACCCAGATTTCCCTCCTTCAGGCCAAAGCATTCTACCTCCAAAAACTCTGCCCAAGAATATGGGGCAGCTTAAAGCTGTGTCGCTTACTGAATTACCCCCTGAAACGGGGAACTGCCTCCACTAAGCTTATACCCCTTATAGGTGATGATCTGAGGCCCATGACTGGCTGATCCAGGGATTTAAAGACCACATTCCCTTGCCTCAAGGTAAGACCATTCTGAAGGGCTATCTGAGCTCCAGAGCTCTCAGTGGGACTAGCTGAAATCCCAGTTGCAACCAACCTGTAGGACAGTTTCTCTCTCTGCTCATTTCTGCCTTTCTCACTTCCCTGCAGGTGTATCCTCAGAGAGCACTCCCCTATAAACCTTCTGTATGCAACCTGTCATCTGAGTTTGTTTCAGGACACGCAATCTAAGGCAGTAGCAGTAGCCTTAGACAAGGTTCTGGTAAAGTTCAAGAGAGCATTCATGTTATTTTTTACTTCAGTTGCCTCAAATATTTGTTAAATAAAGGCAGAGGCTATCATTTGAAATTTGAAATTATTCCTGTTAGTTTTCTTACATTTTGCTTTGCTGTGTTTTCGGTAGGTGTTTAATAGAGTCTAGTATTCAAGGAGAGCAAAATGTGTGACATATTCAAAAATAAATACAAAATGGTTCTATGGAGGAGCAGAAATAATAAAAGTTTCGTTACCAACATCATGGAGCTCAACTTTTCATGATTATCAGAAAGAAAATGAATGCAGTCACATGGAGGAGGAGCCAGTTCAAGGAGTTCTTAGACTAGATGCTGCTCTTAGCTTTAAAATTCTACTACTTAGATTTATTTTTTAACTCTGTGCTATTGTGCTTCCGAGAATGAAATGGTAAAAAAAATTTATGCTCTAGTTATCTCAAAATGTTGCTGTTAATATAAAATTTAATAAAGGAGGTGTTATATTTCTGTTGGTATTTGAGGGTGTGGAACAAAAACCAAACCAAACAAAGCAACACCAAAAAAAAAACCCCCCAAAAATTCATTTTTTCTCTGAACCATGACCTTGGCTTGTGATTATGTTTGAGTGATACAGGTAAAGGTTATTAGAGCTACTGAGGAAAAATTCATCAATGGATTTTTATTTTTATTTTTTACTATGGAACTACAATTCCATTATTATATAATCACATATACAAATACAAACATCTGTAGGCAAAGTGCATCATATGGGTATCTGTTCCCAGCATTGCAAACACTTCCAAATCAATTGCTAGGGAACTGTTTGTGGCCATTATAAATATTACCAGCCATGGCGGGTGGATCACGAGGTCAGGAGATCGAGACCAACCTCGCCAACATGATGAAACCCCATCTCTACTATAAATACAAAAATTAGCTGGGTGTGGTGGTGCATGCCTGTAATCCCAGCTACTGGGGAGGCTAAGGCAGGTGAATTGCTTGAACCAGGGAGTCAGAGGTTGCAGTGAGCCGAGATTGCACCACTGCACTCCAGCCTGATGACAGAGCAAGACTCCGTCTCAAAAAAAAAAAATATATATATATATATATAAATATATTTATATATTTATATATTACCTAGGAGTCTAAAAATAAACAAACAATCTAAATAAAATTTGTGTCTCTATAACCAAGTATTCACTAATCAACATGAAACGCTGGATGTTAAATCAAGAACGAAGATGGTGCAATTGCTAAGAACCTGCCGAGTGTTCCTTCTCACTTGACTGTGCTCTCTTTGCTTCTTCCACACTTGAGGGAACTAGAAGTAAAGTCCTGTTCTCCCTGGGCTAATTGCAGGCTTGAGTTGTTCATGCTGTTATGCTATATTGGGATAGCTGGTTTGCTTTCGATTTAGCTATTCAGTTTTAGGTCTAACAGCCTGTGGAAAAATACATCAGGAAAAACTTGAGACTCTCTGTAGCTTTTACCCAGCCTTCTTTGTTGTTGACTTTGTGGACAGGAATCAGTTGTGAGCTAAATGATTCTCCTGCTTGCTGATTCTCCCAAGGAACTTGCATCTTTGTTCCACCCTAAAGGCGGCATTCTGACATTTGCCCTCACGTTTCTCTTTGCCCTACTGTATAGTATACACCTCATCTAGATTGGGGACACACAATAGGTGCACTCCCTATTCTTTGCCAGCAATTATAATCTTGCATTTCCTTCTAATCCGTCCTTATACAATCATGGTTGTGAAAATTAATCATGGAATTCCTAAAGTAAATAAAGTCTTACATCCACTTAGAGGAAAGCTTTCCGAAGTTTTTGCTCCCTGAAACCCTAGTCCCTTGATGTATTCTGTGCAGCAAAATTGATTTCCAGATAAATTTGGGAACCACGCTTCCTGAAGATTATCACTGTAATCAACATATTAAGGATTCTGAGACAGTCTGCAATACAAAATGTTTAAATTGTACTTCTTATACTTATTTGATTATAGAACACCACTTTATACCCTATACATCACCTCCCACCCCATCTCAAGAACTCGTGTTGGGAAATATTGATGTAGTATTTACAACTGTACCCTTACATCAAGCTTCACCATTAAAAAGCTCTATATTTGGCCCTACCTCACAGAAGTTAATTTACTAAGGTGTCCTCCATCACCACATGATTTGCCAAATGTATGAAAATTATAAGGCACATCTATGAAATCTTATATCAACTGCAGTAATTGCGTCTCATGAGGAAGGTTTTGCTAAGATTTTACTATTGGACAAACAATTGTTTTTAATTTTATAAACACGATAATTATAACTAATTATGTTTCTTTCTTTGATTGGGTAGCAAGACAGATACAACCAGACCTGTGAATTATACTGAAAGTATTTCTATGTGCTAATTTTATTGCTGCCATTTTTATTTTTCTACTGACAATTCTCCATTATTCCAACTCCCTAAATTACTTACTTTTATCTTTACTATTGCTTTTATTTTTGGAGAAGTCTCTAGTCCTCGTGAAAAGAGGCTGTAAGTCCATTGATTTCTTTCTTCATTTATTGAACACTTATTGACTAAAGCCCTAAGTTGTATTCCAGGGCTAGTGCTGGATAAATAGTGGTGAACGGAACCAGGTAGATCCTGTCCTCACACAGCTTACAGGCCAGTTTAGGAAGGCAGATAACAGTCAACTCAATGAAAACATAAATATGGAATTACAAATTCAGAAAAATGCAAAGAAGAAATTGAAGAGGAAAGGAGGCACTGGTGTTATAGTGAGAAGTGCGGTATACACGGCCTCAGACCTCTGGCACGTACAGGTAGGGAGAGGCAGTTGAAGAAGGAGTTAAAGATGTAAGGGAGGGGAAATGAAACAAAACACAAAAATAATACAGCAAGGAGCCAGACCATGCCATACCTTGTAGGTTGTGTTCAACAGCTTAGCTTCTATCTTAAGCATTTGTGATGAGATTTGATTTCCATTACCATTCTGGCTATGGTACAGAGAACACATTGGAAGGGAGCGAGTATAGAAGCAGAGCGACGCGTCGGGGCTACTGCAACCATCTGGACAAGAAATGAGGGTGGTTGGGCCAGTGCACCAGCAATGCACATAGAAAGAAGGAGATAGATTATGTTCTTTGGAAGTAAAGTTTTTAAAATTTATTGATGCATAGGATAAATGGGGTGATGAAACAGAAATTAGCAGTGATTTCTAGGTTTCAGGCTCAAGCGATCAGAGAGAGGTGGTGTATAACTGACTAAGGTTCAGGGTGGAGACTGGTGGCAGGAGTGAGTTCCTTCTGAAGAATGTTAACCATACATTGCTCAGGGGAGAATCCTGTACTGAAGACACACATTTCAGGGTTGTCAGTACACACATGGTGTTTACAGCCATGGGAGGGGAGGAGATTGCCTGGAGAGAGAGGGAAAGTAGACAGAGCAAAGGAGGCAAAGTGGATGAGGAAGATGCAGATGTGCTGGAAGGAACAATCCAATAGGAACAGTAAGAAAAGGGAGAGTCTGATGATGTAGAGAAAGAGCAGGAATGATTGAAGGAGGGAAAGTCCTTGAGAAAATGAGAAAGGATAATAGTAATTTTAAATTGCATTGTTTTCCTTCTGAGTTGGAACACATTGCATTCACCTGAAAAACATCTTTCCTGATATTAAGAGCAGTCAACCTCATTTTTTCTATAACAATTTTATGCATCCTTTGGAACAAACCACCTCTTTTGGAATAAAACCCTTTAGAGCAAATCAATATGTGGGAAAGTCAATGTGTGTGGAAGCAACTGAAAATATAAAAAGCTCAATTCAAATGTTATTTCTATCACATTGACCATAAAACACAGTCCAGGCCTCCCTTTTGCTCAAGTGCACAATCACCCCCATGACCAGACTTTCAGAAGATGACCTTGACTCTCATATTATTGAGATTGAGGTCAAAGGTATGTTATATGAAATTCCTCAACTCCTTTTACCCTTAACTTCTCTGAGACTTTACTCATCTTCTCTTCCTACCCACAGAGAACAGAGGTTCCTCATCATTTCCCACAATAATTGATTTCTAGTCCATTCTTCTGCTCTCTCCTTGAGAATCATCTCCCCTCCCTTACATCTTTAACTCCTTCTTCGACACAGTGTGATTTCCCTCAAGCTATAAATATTCCCCAATCTCCTCCATCCTAATGAGATCCTTGCCACAAATATGTCACTCTCTTGCAGTATATCTAAGCTTCCGATTCCTTACCTAACACCTGCAAAAAGATCCACTGCATCTGGCTGCTTACCATGCAGCCTGTACAGCTTTTGCACTTATCTAAAGTATTTATTTCAAGGTCACTTGTGAATTCATTGTCACCAAATATATATCATTTGTGGTCTCATCCTGAATGACTTTGTGGCCACACCTGGCATTGTTGACCACTGTCCATTCATGATACCTAGAATTTCACAGCAGCCCTATTTCGTGGTTCTCCGTTTAGCTTTCTGACAACTTTTTCTGTTTCTTTTTCTCTTTCATGCACACTCTGCATAAATCAGAAGAGTCTGTCCACAGCCCTTTTGCTTTTCTCTTTTCTCTCAATGAACCTCCCACACCCTTATTACTTCAAAAGTAACAATTTGGAAAGTCATGTTTCTCCACCTGATCTGTCCCAGGGACTTTAAACTGGCGTGGCCAACTCTGAGCTGCATATGCCCACAGCTAGTGGTGTGCTGTCAATGTTTACCACAGTGGCTCTGGAAAAACTGCCCTTGAAGTGGGCCTATTTCCATGGTGTAAATATTCTGCCGATGGCTAACATCAAGCTATGAATGTGAGCTATCGCTGAACAGAGAGCTGGGAATGGATGTGCAGAATCCACTCTTTTGAGCCCTTGCTACTGGGCTCCAGCACAACAGTGCAGGATAAGCTTTTCAAATTCAACAAACCAACACTGAACTCTTCACCTACTGAAGTTGGGTACTCTACTTCCAGAGATTACAAATAGGCATTAAGAAACCATTCTTTCTTTATGGTCCCATCTTTGTTTTATATTTAGCAGTTTGGGTAAGTGATCTTGCTTGGAGGAATACATCCCATCACATAATGCATCTTACACAGAGCTGCTTTCAGCCTTGCTGACTTACTACATGTGATCATTTTTAGGGGCATGGAAGGTTAAAAAATTTATCCTAATGTCATCAATTATTTGTTTTCTTTTAAATTTTAACTCCTGTTCCATGATATAATCATGTTGTTTCATGTGGGAAGGACAGCTGAATTACAAAATATTACTTATTCTAGGGAGAATTGTAGGAGGAATTGTGTACATTAACACCCATGCCCATACCCCCCCACACACACCCACACACACCTACTCTATTTAATGGAGTCTTTTACCCACCACCTGGATTTCTCATCAGGCAACCTATAATTCTACTATATGTACCCTCTAGGTGCCATATGTTGTAATTATATAGAAAGCCAAGTGTTGCTCTAATTAGATCATTTGGCAAAAGGGATTTAGAAACATCATGATGGATATTTACTAGTAGAGATCTAATTAACTCTGGCATATCTGTGACTGAAATATGAGGAGAAAACTCTATAATGGAAATATAGGGGTCAAACTTAGTATATGATCCCAGACCTTCAATATTTACATGGCATCAATACATCTAAGAAGTCTAGCAGATTTTATTTCTAGAGATGACAAAGTTAGGAGGAACCCAAATCATCTGCCTTGTCTCTACTGAGAAGGCACAAAGCACTGCCTGTCTGGTTTTAATATCCAGTCACATCACTTCAGTTCTAATTGCTCTTAATGACATGCCACTTTGGTTTGAATATTTTCATGATCACTTAACTCCACTTGATGATACACAGCTATTTTCTCTGAACAAAGGCACGGCTGAGGTAGTTCAAGGACTTAATTTACCTCTTCTCCAAAGGGTTTACATGGTTCTAACCCAGCCCTGAAATCAGACCATCCTACCTCTCTCCCTCTCAGGAAATGATAAAGCTATGGATCTGAAAGCTGCCAGTTTATTACTGAAAATATGAAATGAGTAACAGGAAAAGCTGCTATGCCAGTCCTATGCCAGGGAGGTAACGAAAGCTTTATCTCCCTTTTAAAGCTTAGAAAGAAGCATCTAGTGCTTGTTCCTTCCTCAGGCAAACCTGGTAGACATAGATGCAATGAGTGAGACCTAGATTTGAATTCCAGATTTAACATTATCAAGCTTTGCAACCTTAAGTAAGGTAAATAAATTGCTTTCTTCCAGCCTTGGTTTCCTTATCTGAAAGATGGAGTCCCAATAATAGGACTGATCCCATAACATTTTTACGAGGATTAAAAGAAATTAAGCAGAGGGCATAGTAAAGACTAAAAAAAAAACAAGCGCTGGGTGTTACTATTATTATTGACAGATGGGGGGTTGAAAATGCTCATTTTTTTTACAGAGATAAAAATGGCCACAAGATAACCATGAAATACAGGACTAGAGCCAAAGTAATAAGTAACCTGAATCCCCAAGGATCCCCAAAGCCTCAAATGTATTCAAAAATACATTAGTGATATAACGAGAGATCAAAGTCTCATTTCTACTTAATGGCTAGAGATTCCCAAACTTCTTCACAGTTAAGCTGACTCACCGTGTTTCTGGCACTATTATTTTATATTCATTCATATTATTTTACAGTGTTAATCAACTCTAGTTAAACCTGTAGCTTCTTCCTGTTGATGTTTGTCCTTCCACCTCTTCCATCTAAATGCTACAGATGGCAACTCCTCCCCCTGGCTGAGTCCCTCTCTTCCCCTCATTTCTTGTACATGACTTGCTGCACGTACATGGGCTCCAGCATGGAGACTTCTCCCTTCCCTCTCTTCCTCTCTCTGTGGAGCATTTTCTTTCACAAAGGCTTAAACTCACTTCCTGTTGGAAGTCGATTTTGGCAGACTCTGCCTGACTGAGAGTCTCTTCCCAGTCTGTTCCCTAAGCACTGCTGTGGATTCTGTTTGGACTATATTATGTTAATTTGTGCTTCACTGGTGGTTTCTAAATTGTTTGATGTGTGTATACATGGTCACAGTAGCTGAATTTTATAAAACTCTAGAAACCAAGTCCTGTGATTGCTGTCTTCTCTTTCCTTCCCCAACGGAACTAGACCATTCATAAATATTTATCAGCATAAACTTAAAGCACCTGTATAAAATAGTCCACGTAAAACCATGGATCCTCAACCAAGGATGGAGATTTCCCATTACTTCATTTTTTTACTGGTTGTTCAGAAATATGGGGAAGATGACCAGGTATCTACTTTTCTCTCCACTGCCACCATCCCTCACCCTCTGTGTCTTCACATTTAAAGCTCCCTTGGGCTCTGATTTCTCCAGGGAGTTCAGATTTTGGGGGCATGAAAAGAAGTTCTTCCTGGCAAAAGTTGGGAGGTACTGCTCTAGAGAGCAAAGTGAGATAATTCGGACCTCCCACCAAATTCACTTCCCCTTTGCTTTGCATAAGACGGACATGCTGGAAGTGACAATTTAATCAAAAGTGTAAGTCACAAAGAACAAATAAAAGGCACAGCAAACCAAAAACAAACAAAAAACCCAAGGTGGGGGAAGATCATGTTACTATGAAGATGTTTTAATACCCCACATTTCCAGAAATGTACCATGAGTTAGATCAGAGTTTGGCAAACTTTTTCTGTAAAGAGCCAGAGAGTAAATATTTCAGGCTTTTTGATCTGGGTAGGCTCAGTCCCACTTAGTCAATCTTGCCCTTGCAGTGTAAAAGCCGCCAGCCACAGGCCATTTGTGAATGAATGAGTATGGCTGTGTCCTGTCCAGTAAAACTTTATTTGTGGGCACTGAAATTTGACATCGGCATAATTTTTACGTGTCACAAAATGAGATTTTTCTTTTGATTTATTTCCTACCATTTAAAAATGTAAAACCATTCTCAGCTTGCCAACTGTACAAACACAGGTGGAGGGTTGGATGTGGCCTGTGGACTTAGTTTTTCAAGGCCTGGATAAGAGCATTTCAGGGAAGGAGAACAGCACGTTCTCAGGCTTTGCAGCAAGAGGAAGAAGAAGCCATTTGAAGAAAAGAGAGAAGGTCCGTGTGGCTCAAAAACTGAGGGTAAAGGTGAGTGAAGTGAGACAGCTGGTAGACAGCAGGCAGGAGCCTGAGTAGCATATAGAGCCTTACTGGTCATCTCATAAGACTTAGTGTCTATCCTGAAGTCAATGGGAAGCCACTGCTACGTTGTCATACCTGAGTGTGCATTAAAATCCTATGGGAAACAAGTATTCTGATTCCTGGGCCCCATCTCAGAATTCCCGAGAAAGCATCTTTGAAGATGGAGAGTGGGACTCTGCTTTCTAAAACACATCTCAGTTGATTTTGCTGCAGTCAGCCTGGCACTGAGCTGCAGACCTAAATTTGGGAACAACCACTGGATCTTTGCTCTAGGAATGGAGAAACACTGCCTTAGGAAGTTGAAATGCTTTCCCAGGTGGGTGCATGGTAAGTCACGGCAGACACTACCTGAGTACAAACACTGAACTCAACCGATGGAGGACAGGAGATAACTTAAAAGGAAGTGTGAAGCCCCAAGACAAAATCATTACTTCACTCTGTTTCCCAGTGAAATGCCAGCTTCTTAGCTTGCCATGGAATGCTTTTCTCAACTGGATTCTGAGAGATGTCCCAGTTTTATCTCCTCCTGCTCAAACCTTTCACTCTACTTTCCTTTCAAATACATTTCTTTCCCGCTGCTCCTTGCACCTAAATATACTACCACCACCTTCTCCTCAATCCCCTCCAAGAATCAGACGATTTGGGTTGGTTCATTCATTTCATACAAGAACATTAGTGTCTATTCTACTCTAGGTATAGCACAAGGAACTGGGGAACCTGTATGCTCCAACACAAATGGCACTTTTCAGCATGGCCCTTTCAGCCTCTTAGGGAAAATGAACATTAATTAAATAACCAATAGCTGTAAATATGAAGTTTATAACTATGATAAGATAAAAAAAAGTCTCTGGTAAATCATGGAAGAAACTGTTTCGTCCCTTTTCCGTGACACATGTAGAACCTTGATTTAAATTAGGTTATGTTCATAATCTCAAATACATCTTGTACCAGGGAGATACGTGACAGATATTCATTCAATTGAATTTCTCAGAGGTTTATTGTGGTAAGTTTCATCTTGTAGAAGATTTGGGTGAGGGCTGGTTCCAATGAAATCATTTAAGAGGTTGGTTGAATCATTGCAAAATTCACACAAGAGACAATAAGGCCTGAAAACCAGGGGAGTGGCAAAGGACTTACTTGCAAGGAAGGGATTAATATGTGAGACACTTCAAAAGATTTTTTTTTGAAAATCAAATGTTACCTTTAGATTGGACACTTTTTAAAAAGCAGCTTCATATACAAATTCCATATATATGTCTTGAGTTATATAACCACATGTATGTCTTCTGGTATTACTATGCCACATGACTAGAGCAAAGGGTCAGACCCATCTCAGGTAGTCACCGGATTTAGTCATCATTTTAACCCTGGCCATAAAATAACATGCCATACTATACCCACATAGAAAAGGCTTTGGCTGAGGGTAAGTTTATGGGGTCTCCCAGAGGACTGGGCCTGTGGATTCTGACAAACATTTTTAAAACACCAATCTCCCTAAACACTTTTGCAACTGCACTTCAGGAGAGCTCAACGCCGTAACTATTTTATCCATGGCTCTAGGAGAGACAAACTGAAGTAACGGCAAGAAGTTCTAGGTCTGAATTTGAAGAGCGGTATAAGCTCTCTTTCGTAACTGCATGTGCAAAATTAAAATGATAGTACTACCAATAAGCAGGGCAGCAGATTCTAACTAGAGCAATGACGCTCCTGTTGCTTTGATGTTGTTTTGCCTACAAGGCAGGATTTCCATTATTATGGAGATGAACTGCCTCTAATTATTGCAATAACATAATTGTTCCCCAGGGCAGAATTCCTAATAACAGAGCTTTATAGCTCTGCAGCAACTGTAAGAGATATCCTGAGGGCAGGTTTCTCATTAAGAGCACATATATAGACACTCTGCCTCCAGAACAGAGACAGAATGCCTGAAGCAATAAACTTTACTTTCCACACCAGGATTCCATCGGCCTTCTGGGCAAATACCTGCCATCACATTTGCTTTGCCTCCCAGACTGCCAGCGTCTTTGGACCTGGGTTTCACACCTTGTGTGCAACACAGAGTTGTGCAGCCCTGCACTGGGATTTCCTTCCATGTCTTACATGAATTTCAACTCTTCCAAAAGCCTTTGGGAAGAGAGGCAAATTAGGGTTATGATCCAATTTCACTTTGGAGGCAGATACCAGTGTCTATAGACAAGACACATGAGCATGAATTTCATTCTTATTTCAGTTGGATATTTTCACAGAATGCTAGACTTGATCTGATTACACTGCAGGGGTCAGGCAGACCTAAACATGTATTTCGGTTTGGCAAGACATGCCTAAGAATATGGATGTTTATACAATTTTATTGTGTCTTCAAAACTGGTCCACAGTGGCCTAAAAGTACTCTGCCCAAGGTAACGTTAAGGTTCCTAAATCCAGCAGTCATGCTTGCACCATTATTTTTTTGAGGGTCTTGGAAGCACCAAGCGCTTACTCCTTGTTGCACCTTTCTTCTCCCTTGGCTTCTGTTTGTTACTTTCTCCTAGATGTTCTCCCACCTCTTTGAGTCTCCTTCAAACCTCCCAGCAGGCGTGGCTTCCGCTCATTCTCTGAATGTGTCTGTTCCTCAGGGTACCTTCCTTTGAGCCATAGATGTTCTCATTCTGTAGAACTCTCTCTGGATGAACATATGCACTCCAATGCACTCCATGGCTTCTTATCTACTGATGTCTGTATCTCTGTCTCTATTCCAGAACTCAGATCTATACTTCCAGTTTCCTATTGGACACTCACATAGCACTTATGCTATGCCAGGCAGTGTTGTAGTGTTAAAGAACGGAATAAAACATATACAGAAAGCCCAATAGAAAAGGCCTTTCAAAATGGAAGAAGGAGGCAGAAGAGAGGTCAGAGTGGTGGGATGGGGGAAGAACTTGCCTTTACTAGCGTGAAAGAAAATAGAATCTTGGGACTCCAAACTCACTATGCCAAAGAAAAAGTTAAGCTTGGGAACTGAGTCACGCAACACTGCTTTCCTTTTGTTCCCAGACCGATAGCTGTAATTTCACAACCCTGTATCACAGCCTCACCCATAAGCCAGGTTCCCACAATGACAGAAGGCCACGTATCTCCCCAGATGGCCTGCGTCACAAATGAAATTCCTTGTGAGCCCCTAAATCTTTCAGGATACATATCCCCTGTATAAACTAGCCCTAAAACCAAATTCCGTTGAATCTCACCCTGACAACGTCAATTACCAGCTTATCTTCCCACGGAGAGGAAAAGGACAAAACCAGAAATTATCCCTTGGCTGACCCTGCGACGAATGCATAACTGACTTTTTCCTTGATGCCCTCTTTTCACACGTAAAATGTACATTTCCTGAGGCCGATCACAGCCTCATAAAAATGTAACCATCTGGGCCGGGCGCGGTGGCTCACACCTGTAATCCCAGCACTTTGGGAGGCCGAGGCGGGCGGATCACGAGGTCAGGAGATCGAGACCATCCTGGCTAACACGGTGAAACTTCGTCTCTACTAAAAATACAAAAAATTAGCCGGGCATAGTGGTGGGTGCCTGTAGTCCCAGCTACTCGGGAGGCTGAGGCAAGAGAATGATGTGAACCCGGGAGGCGGAGCTCGCAGGGAGCCGAGATCGCGCCACTGCCCTCCAGCCTGGGCGACAGAGCGAGACTCCGTCTCTAAATAAATAAATAAATAAATAAATAAATAAATAAATAAAGACTGTAAGCATCTGCATCTTTGTCCACCCTCCCTCCTTTTTTTTCTCTCTTGCTTGCTCTTTCCCTTTTAAATACTGAAAAATCCTCAAACCCCCTTTTGGAAGAGCACCAGTAACAGATGCTCCAGTGACGTATGTATTTCCCAGCCATGTCCTCAACCCTGGCGAAATAAACCTCTACCGATTAAGACTTGCCTCCCTCACTTTTTCATTAAGCTCTGAAGATGGAGCGAAGGGACCACGAGCCAAGGAATGGAGGTGACCTGTAGAAGCTGGAAACAGATTCTCCCCTAGAGCCTCCAGAATGAGTGTATCTCTGCTGAAGCCTTGATTTTAGACCAATGAGGCCCATATCAGAATTTTTATCTCCAGAACTATAAGAATCTCAATTTGTACTTATTTTTTATTTTTTATTTATTTTTTGAGACGGAGTCTCGCTCTGTCACTCAGGCTGGAGTGCAGTGGTGCAATCTCGGCTCACTGCAAGCTCCGCCTTCTGGGTTCACGCCATTCTCCTGCCTCAGCCTCCCGAGTAGCTGGGACTACAGGCGCCCACCACCACGCCCGGCTAATTTTTTTGTATTTTTAGTAAAGAGAGGGTTTCACCGTGTTAGCCAGGATGGTCTCGATCTCCTGACCTCGTGATCCGCCTGCCTCGACGTCCCAAAGTGCTGGGATGACAGGCGTGAGCCACTGCGCCCGGCCTAAATTTGTACTGTTTAAGCCAAACTCCCACCCCCCACCCCGGCCACACACACACATGCACGCACATGCAGCACACATTTCTATTCTCATGGAATTTACGATCCAATGGGTGGAGGGTGGAGAAGATCGATGATAAGGTTAAAATGTGGGCAAGGTGTGGTGGCTTCTGCCTGTAATCCTAGCACTTTGGGAGGCTGAGACAGGAGGTTTGCTTAAGGCCAGGAATTCAAGACCAGCCTGGGCAATAATATAACAAGCCTCTGTCTCTACAAGCAACAAAACGAAACAAAACAAAACAAATTAGCTAGGCATGGTGGCATGTGCCTGTGATCACAGCTTCTCAGGGGGCTGAGGTGGGAGGATCGCTTTTGCCCAGGAGTTCAAGGCTGCAGTGAGCTATAATCTCACCACTGCTGTCCAGCCTGGGCAATGGAGCAAGACTCTGTCTCTAAAAAATAATAAATAAATAAACAATTAAAAGTTAATACATAGTATGTGGGATGGTGACAAATACTATAAAATATATAAATTAGGAAAAGAAGGTGAGGGTTTTACCATTTTAAGTATGTTACTGGGAAAAGTGTCTCTGAGCAGGTGACACTTGAATGGGAATCCCCGTTTGAATGACGTCACCACTTGCAGGCACCTCACATTCAACATGCTAACAGTAACCTCTTTATTTGCCCCCTCTCAGTCTTGCTCCTTCTCTGTTTACTACTGCGGCAAGTGGTATTAGGAACTGCCATTCGTCAGTTCCTAAAGATGGGATCCTAGGAGGCATTTCCTCTTTTTCCTCCTCCTTTTTTCAATCCTTCTACTTACTAGGTCATTAAGTGTTTTCAGTTCTACCCTTTAATAGTCCGTATATCACCCTTCTCTCTTTCACTCTCAGGAGACTGATGTGATCCACGTGTTGTGATTTTCTTCCTAGACTGCTACCTGGAATTGCCCTCTCTGCATCCTCAACCTTGCCCTACCCTGATTCCTTCTGCATGTTGCAGGCACAGTAATTTTTCTGTAGCATGCATATGACTGCACACTCCCTTGCATAAAATCCTTCAATTCTGTCCATGGTCTTCTGATTCAAGTCTAAACTCCACAGACATAAAATACAAGGCCTCCACAATCTATCGCTGCCCTACATTTTCCAGTAGTCCTTCTCAATACATCACCTTTATAACATATGCCTCAGGATTGTTGAAAAATTTATATTGATATTGTGCTACTGGGCCTCTGCGCTAGTCTATGAGCACCGTGAGGGCTAGCTAGGTTCATGTCTCCTTTTTTTTCTCTCTCTCTAGTGCTAAGCAAAGGTAAATACCCAGTGAGTGCTGCATCCATGGAATGAAACTGGAATTGGCTAGATTCACAAAACAGAGTCATGCTGCTGTTCTAAACCCAAGCCTGCGACATGCAGACTGTAGGTGTGAGATTCTTTTTGGAAAAATTCAGTGGCGTACCTATACCTGCTTATTATCCATTTGCTTGACATAATGTATTAGTCTAATATTTAAAAGGGTGGGGGGAAACCCTTAAGCATAAGAATAAGAAGACTTTATTTACTCAACATTAATGAGAGTGACAGTTTATTAATTTATTTGGCTTCGGTGAAAAGTAAAATATTTTGTCTCAGTGATTTTTCCAGACAACTAAACTTTCTTGTCTAAGCACCACATTAATTTTTAAAAATAAACATTGGCAGGGAGTGGTCTTTCTATGTTATATCATTCACTTGCTTGCCTTACTAATCCAAACTCGCTGAAGGTCATTTTTTCTCTCTAGTATAACAATAATAATCATCATCCTTTTCTGTGGAGATAAATAAAGCTACTTTTTCCCTTATTAAAACCGCTTGGAAATGACCAAAACAGTGAGAGGATGCCAAACAACGCTGTCTGAAGAAAATCAGATACAAGGGGGACATCTGGGCTTAGAAAAGAATTGAAAGAGAACATAGGGTAGCCTCCCAGTATAGAAAGGGAAGGGAGGGGTGGTGGAGAACAATCTGATTTGTCAGTAAAATTCCACAAAGTGAAACCAAAAATGAGTGGAAGTTGCAAGGACATAATCTAACAATTAGTAAGGTCTCCATCATTATTAGTAACCAGGGAAGGATGTGGGCCCAGCCATTGTGGGGATCCCTGCCCTGGCATGGAAGATGGGCTCTGTAATTATGGTGGGAGTTTGGCATCAGCCTCTGCGCAGCATCCATTCCCTCTTCTTCTGGTGATAGCAGCTCGATTTCTTTGGGAAAACCCCTGTCCCATTCTCAGTCCATGTGGTTTGAGATGGGCTTCCCCATGTGCCTCTTAGGATAAGCACATGACTCACGTCTGCCTGATCAGTGGACATTGCGATACATTGGAAAAGAGGGTGAGTACATGGCTCCAGTAGTCATCCTACTAGCAGGAGAGGAGAGCCTGTTGGAAAAGAAGCCAAAACAGCCAAAGGTGCAGGTGAGACAGGAAGAGAGCGAGACAGAGTCCTGATGATACTGTGTGAGCACCTAAGCCCTGTCATACCTGCAGTTGCAATCCATCCTGGATCTTCTCAAATACATGAGCCAATGAATTCTCGTTTGTCCTTTTGAGTTGGGTTTCTCTTACTTGTAACCAAAAGCATCCACCCTGGGTTGATACAATTGTTGTATAGCTCCTTATAATCCTAGGATTCTAGGATTTTTATTAATGATTCTGCTATTTCTGTATTTTAATGTTTTTGTTTTTAATAGGTCAACTTCAGTCTTACCTGCCTCAAAGTACCTTCTGTCTAAAAACTAACAGTAAATAAAATAATCAACCTTATTCAGTTAGTAGGCTTAATTCCTCAATTCATCCAAATGATTCCAACTGCCTTTATGGTGACTAGAGACCTCTCCTGAGGACTAAAGCTCTTGAGCTGTGTGACAGGTCTTCCCTGTTTTAAATGCCTGATATTGCCTACACTGATTGCTGGAGACACACACAAGACAATAAGAAATGTTTTATGTTTATGGATATTCTGCTTACCCAAGAAGAATGCTATGAAATTACTTGACTTTTCAATCTTTCATTTAGATGCTTGGATTAACATAGATAAGGCTAGTGTGAATATGCTGTATATTTCCAAAAGAATGGGAAGCCAAAACAATAACATATTTTAAACATATTTTTAAGATAACGAACATGTTAATGTTAAACCAGTGTTTCTGAATCTATATCCACTTAGCTAACTACAATATCACCACATGGTTAGATGAGACAAAACCTTTTTAATTTTTAAAATATTGCTTCTAATACCACTACTGTAAACTCATTTGTAGGCAGTTGATTAATTAAAATTGAAATTAAATGTCAATAAGTAAGAGTTTAGCAAAGTCTTTCAAAACACAGAATCTAGGCAGAACATTAATAAAAGGGGCTTGATCATAAAGTGTTGTTTCACTGTGTTATGCCAGTATTTTTTACTTAAGGGATTAATAATATTTTTAATCAAAGGTTAAAGACTTGCCTTTTGTTTCCTAAGATTCTACATCTGAAAAGAGAATTAAGGCTAATGAGGCAGTGCATTAGAAATTATTACTCAAAGCTGTGTAGTCAAAGAATTTTGCACTTCATGTTGGTCTACCAGGTCAATCCTTTCCCAAAATAGGGGTTCTAAAATTTTTTACTCATCAGTTTCATCTACAATTGCTTTTTCTCACTCATCCACTTAATTTTCCCTCTTCTCTATCAGAAAGAAATGAGAAAAATGGCAGAATCTCTTCTCTGCCAATGAGAAAACAATCATAAAATCTTTCTTATTGTTCACCCATTTCAGAAACTATGAAATGTTCCACTTCATGTTCTCAGAAGTTAAAAACCCGTGGCTCATGAAGTAAACTTGGTCTATAAGCACACAGTTTATATTGTACATCATCAAAATAAAAATTAGTTGCTGACATTTAAAAAATGGAAGCTCAAACAAAAGTCTAGATTTCTAGTTTCTCTTGAAGAACAAGAAGATGAGCAGGCACCTGACCTGTGTCTCCATATGGCTGAGTGGCAGGTGTCTCCCTTGGATGGGGCAAACACTGAAGTCCCCAGCATTCCCCTATATACTACACCTGGCCAGTTTTTTAATGCATTTACATTAACAAAATCATCATATCTGGTTAATACATTCTGAGTGAGGTGGGAACGAGGATCAGAACTGTGAGAACACAGCACTCATGTGGAGAATAAGTGCTAATATTGATAGTTTGGGACTAGCCTGCTGACAGAGAAGGTGGAGGCGATAAATAGCAGGAATTAGGTAATGATGGGGAGTTTCCTCAGTTTAAATATATATTTTAGTGCAAAATAAATGTTGAAGCATATTTGGACCTTATTAGTCAAGTCAGGAATAGATAGAATGAAATCTGGATAAAGACAAGCTTTGTGGTAAGTCAAGTGGTGGAAACAATCAATTAAATTCACATATCATATAGAATTCTTGATACTGGCATACTATTTCCCCAAAGGTAATTTAATTAGCTTGTAACAATGGTTAAGCTGTAGCAGTTGTAAGCAGTCATTAATACTGTTCAAAATATTAGGTTGTCTCTTTTCTTCCAGGCACATAGCAAGATTATATTTCCCTGCTGAGTTGCAGGAACATGTGACCTGTTTTGGCCAATGAAATGTGAGTGAAAGTGCAAGTGTTGCACTTCTAAGTAGAGGCTTTAAGAACCCATGCATGTTTGGCTCTTTTCCTTCTGCAATGGCAACGTCCAGAGCATCTTGGTCCACCAGGCTGGCCTTAGAGAGGAGCAGAGCCACTACCAAACCCCTGATGTACACTAGGTGCAAAAGAGAAATTGCCTTTTGTTGTTATAAGCCAGAACTCAGGGTTGCTTGTTACAGTAGCATAGCTTAGCTTCTCCTGATTGACCTACAGTGTTATTATAACTTTATTCATTCATGATTTTTGACATGTCTAATACCCATATTATTATTTTCTTAGTGTCATTTTAAAATTAAAACTTTTAAAATGTAGCCTTATTCTGAGAAATACATGTGGTACATACTAGTTATATTTCAACTATATTAAAAGTAAGTACATAGCTATTAAAAGTAATCTCACGTGCCACATTTTAAGAAACACTGAAGTAAATAAAACAGAAAATGAATCTCATGTTGATGACTGCAAAATAAGCAATTATGCTATTGATTTTCAGGTTTGGCTACAAATTTGAATGCCATGTCAACATTCAATGAACTACACTGCTTTCTTGATACACCAGAAATCAGAAAGGGATGTATACCACAAATTTAATACATTTGTTACTCCTTAGTCCATAGCAAGTGTTAAAAAAAGTATGAATACACCATTTATAAACCATATCAGGTTTACATTAAAATGGACAACACCATCATCATCAGGTCTAATATGTATATGCAAATCCAAAGGTGTACAGGTGTAAAGGGTAGATACGTACACATTTTTATAGGCTTCCTTCTTGCATCCTTGAGTACCTGACCTTTAGCATTAATTAAAATCATTATATATACAGCTGGCAAATCCTGTCTTATAGGTGACAAACAGATTCACGCATAATTACCATTTTGCAACAGATTAAGTAGATTATAGAAAAAGGTAGGGGATATTTTACAGGGGTGACAGCCAAGAAAAGGTCTTAGAGACACCTGCCATTTCGTGCAAGCTAATGTAAAACCTCAAATAACTCCTATATATTTGCATTGTATACACTACATGCATTCTAAATGTAATTCATGTATAAGAAATATACAGATGAAGAGTTTAGATATTAGAAAAAAAACCTGTTTTCTCAAAAATATGTAGTTGAAATAAAAAGCATAACACTCTGCTGTTTGAAGTATGAGTTTTGAAAAGAATGAGTTTTGAATGAGTTTTGAGACAGCCTCAAAAAAGGAGAAACTAACAGGAGACATAATAGCCACTGCCAAATAATTGAAGGGTTGTCATAGCAAATAAGACATGGGCTTATTTACATATACCAAAGGACTTAGGATGGGGAAAGGTGGGGAAATCTACAAAAATTTCAGGCTTAAATTAAGGAGGATGTTTCTAACTGTTCATCTTCAGGCAGCTCTGGCAGTCTTCAGCGGGGATCATGTGATCTATCTCTGCACGGAGTGCTTTGTAGAATTCCCAAATCCAGAAGGACTATAAAGATCAATAACTTACCACTCATCCTTCCAAAGCTTCTGTTCTTTTTTTAACACTTAGTTCAGGAACAGCAGATAGTCACCCCACCTTCCCCTTAGAATTATTAATAACAGACCAACACATTTTTACAGGTTAACCAAATATTGAAAATAATTCAAGACAGTACCTTTCATTTTCTTTTAATATATCCCTTCCTTTCTTCCAGGTGTAAACAGGTTTTGGAGACGCTTTTGGCTTACACTCA
Organism: Homo sapiens; assembly: GCF_000001405.40. NCBI lineage: Eukaryota > Metazoa > Chordata > Mammalia > Primates > Hominidae > Homo > Homo sapiens. The sequence continues at coordinate 2,925,701 of NC_000003.12, read as the reverse complement.
ATGACAACTTCACCTCCCACTTTGACAAGAGTTACTCTTTTCAAGAGTGTTCTTGAAAAATCTGGACCTACAGCTGAAAGACAGTACAAAAAATAATTATTATGCAAGACAGCCTTCCATGAGATAATTCCTTAGTCTTTTTCTTTCTTTCTTTTTTGAGACAGAGTCTTGCTCTGTTGCCAGTGCAGTGGTGCAATCTTGGCTCACTGCAACCTCCGCCTCCCGGGTTCAAGTGACTCTCCTGCCTCAGCCTCCCTAGTAGCTGGGACTACAGGCACGCATGACCACGCCCAGGTAATTTTTGTATTTTAGTAGTGATGGCGTTTCACCATGTTGGCCAGGATGGTCTCGAGCTCTTGACCTCGTGATCCGCCCGCCTCAGCCTCCCAAAGTGCGGGGATTACAGGCATGAGCCACCACACCCAGCATCTTTTTCTTTCTCTAATACACTTATTGCTACCTTGGTCATCAAAGGGAGGAAGCTAATTTTTTTAAAGTATGTAGCACTGTATGTTTTGATGGATTTAGTAAACTTTGAGGTATAATTTGCATTTGGTAAAAGGTACATTTGTGTGTGTACAGTTTGGTGAATTTGGTATACACCACCATGAAGATCAAGACACAGAATATTCTCATCTCCCTGTTGAGGGACTCTTTTAAAGAAAATTTATTGTATGTTCAAGTGAACAAACATTTTAAAATTTCAGAAAATTGAAAGGGAAAGAAACAAAATTAGGAACGCCATAAGATTTTTTTTTTTAATTGTGTAGGTTAAAGCATTTGCTCTCTGATATGGTCGCCACCTCTGCTTTGTCCCATAGCACTCTTCATATATATCTCTATTAGAGAACATGCTGAACTGTCTCTATTGTCACTCTCCGTAAGCTTCTTAAACACAGGGTTTTGTTTAGCTTTTCACTGCAAGTGCCCAATGCAATGCTTGGCTCATTTAGGAGAAGCTGTGACTTGTTCTTGGAGTGTAGGTGTTGAGATAGCTCTATTATATGCTCACCACTAGCGTTCTAAAAAATTCACTCATGCTAACACCAGTAACATAGTCCTATGGAAATACTATCAGAGAATTATTTCTTTCCTAAAACAAAAGATACATATTTGTATTCGCACAAAAGTAAAATAAAAGACATTTTTCCTGGAAAATATCTATTTTCTTCTGAGTTAATTGAATTAATGTGCAAGAAGAGATTTTGGAATGGAAGGATTCATTTCTTGGAATCTTAATTTTATCATATTTTAAAAGCCTGACTCATTGCAGTTTGACCTGGTGGAATTTAATATTTAAGACCATGTTGAATGTAAAATTGAAATATAAATCACAAATTACTTAAAGGAGAACTTGAGGTGTGTGTTATGTGAATGCGGGGGCTTGGGGGGTAATGGGGGCCAATTTCTTAAAAGTTCCTAAATCATAGGCTAATGATGTTTAAAAATGAAAGTAAGCTTCAGTGGAAGCAAGTCAAATCTTGATTACATTCTTTTGTTGTGGAAATACTTTCGGTAACTGCCTAGAAACAAATAAAGATGGAGAGGTCACTTTTTAATAGGGCCATGCAATGTACACCTGGGGCTGGTATTCTCATGCGAAGGTAAAATTTTAAAAATGAATCTAGTAGGCAATTGATATCTCAATCTGTTTACCTCAGATTTATGAGGGAAGTCTATAATTCTGGGAGTAATTCAATGATAATAAGTGCAATTAATAAGTAGAGTGCAAGTACAGATGTACAGATGTTTTTGCTTTAATGAGATAAACGCATTTCTTCTATGGTCTGCAAAATCATGCAATAAAAATTGTAGGGTTTATGAAAAAGATAGGGTCAGGACACCTACTCAATATTTATGTAACGAGAACACTACAAAAACAATAACCATCCTAGTAATTATCAAACATAATTAAATATAAACATGATTAAAAAGATAAGTTAAATTCATAATAACTACTACAAAAAATACAGTGTATGTGTGTGTGCACATGCATGAGAAGGTAGCTTGATGGAAGAAAGAAGGAAGAGTTGAGATTGCTAAGCTATGAAATAAGTGCAAATTGCAGAAAGATTGAGAATTACGCAATAAGCACTCCCATGTTGGAGTACGTGGCCACACTGCACCAACAGGAAGAATGTGGCATGAATGGGAATCATGTGCAGTAGGTATTTTCCCTTGGCTAGCTGTGTTAATCTGTGTTCGTAGGCTTTGTGTTTGGTTGCTGCTACTTAGTAAAATACCTGAACAAATCCAGGGTCTATGTTATACTGACATCATTCCCCTACTTACCAATCCCATATAAGCTAAGTCACAGAAAAGTGTTTCAGCAGAGCAAACTCAATGCAAACCCCTGAACTGACAGAAAAATGTAAAAAAAAAAAGTCAGGTATTCTTGAAGTTTTTTTTTAAATGATATTTTGTGAAATAGAGTTACAAATCTGTATCATATAAAAATCCCTTCTTAAAACTGTATCTTTCTACACATATAATTTTATCACTTTAGGCGGACATTTTTCATCCATTCAGGAGAAATTCTGCAGTAGCATTTGAAATGAGTTTACATAAATCAAACTGTGCACAACACATGGGCATATTTGTCAAAAAACTACATTTTGCTTTTACAGGATTTGAAATAGCATATCAGACACACAGAAACCAGAAAACACACCTTTCAGTTTCAAAAGCATTTGTAATGTACTATTGGTGTGCATATAATCTTTTGGATATCTTATCGAGATAAGACTGGCTGGAACATCTTTCACTAATTAAAATGGAATTAAAAATTCAAGGCCGGGCATGATGGCTCATGTCTGTAATCCCAGCACTTTGGGAGGCTGAGGTGGGCAGATCACATGAGGCCAGGAGTTCGAGACCAGCCTGGCCAACATGGCAAAACCCCGTCTCTACTAAAAATACAAAATTAGCTGGGCGTGGTGTTGCACCTCTGTAATCCAACTACTGGGGAGGCTGAGGCATAAGAAGCGCTTTAACCTGGGAGGTGGAGATTGCAGTGAGCCAAGATCGTGCCACTGCACTCCAGCCTGGGGGACAGAGCTAGACTCCGTCTCAAAAAAAAAAAAAAAAAAAAAATCAAGTTCTTTTCTTTTGTTAACTCAATTTACTTAATTAGCTTCTGAAGTTATCTAACCCTGCAAATTTATCAGTTGTAACCATAAACTGTGGTACTTTTAAGGGAAAATTGTCAGAACTCCATCAGTTTTTGAATACTTGAGCTATTAATGGATTTCTTAACATTCTCCCATTTTGTGAGCATCTTTTGCACCAGAGATGCTGTTCAGCTTGTAGGATGATCCTTTTTCCTATTTGTACCCTTTATTCTCATCCTCAAACACTGACCTAGGGGAGGTTTGAAGGAAAAGTGAAAGGGACCTGTTCTATTTGACATTCACAGGTAATGAGGTTTTAAAAGTTATTGGTAAATCCCCAGAAGGGCACTATTAGAATCTAACCTTCGCTGGCACTTAAAAAATTAGTGCACATGGAAGTGAAACTTCAGTAGTTTCTAGTAGCTCAGAACTGTCAAATTGCCCCTTATGTCTGAGAGTAGCTGAGATACTGGGAGCTCCTTATTTGCTGTATTTAATATACTTAAATGATAATATTTCTCACATGCACTGCTAGAGGGCACCACTCCCTCAGTATTAGAATGAACTGTATTATGGGTCCTCCTCCATGTGAGAAATGCAACTTTTTATTATTTTTCAATGATCTTTATTAGATTATCTATGAGAAGCATCTGGCTGAGAGAAGCCCTCTATGTAATTCACAACTATTTGTTTTTAGTTAGTTAAATGAATTTTGGTCATATATCAAGGGTATTTTAAGTGGCCAATAGAACCCCTCAAAAACTTAAAAGTTTTTTGCTTTAGTGTCATTTCTCAAGAGAAACAGTAGAATGATAGCTCCTTAACTAGATATGCAGTGGCAGTCCTATTTGGGAAATATATGGATGTGATGTCTTACTACATTATTGAAGAAGAAAGGATTATTGTGTAATGCCAGTTCTATCACAGTCTGTGATAGAAGCATCACTGGGAACACTGCCAGTTGATGGAGAATATTAAGGCCAGCTTTTTTGGAAGTTCAGCATTTCTTATTACTTTAACCGTTGTCTACTTTCTTTAACTATTACCTCATCATTCCCTAAAAACAAGCTTAGAGTAAATGCATTAATTCAAATCTTTTCACTACTGAGGAGAAAATATTGGTATCAGATTATGAGACCCCAAATTTCTTTTGGCCTGTTGGATTGCTATCTAGAAAGAAGGCTACTGGTAGAAGATTTCTTCTTTCTAGGTCCACTGTTTTAGAATGGCTGATTCAAAAATCAGCCTTCTCTGAGGTCAGGTGTGTTGGCTCACGCCTGTAATCCCAGCACTTTGGGAGGCCAAGGCGGGAGGATCACTCGAAACCAGGAGTTCAAGACCAGCCTCGGTGACACAGTGAGACTCAGTCTCTATAAAAAATAAAACATTAGCCAGGTGTAGTGGTGAATGCCTGTAGCCCTTGCTTCTTGGAAAGCTGAGGTGAGAAGATCACTTGAACTCAGGAGTTCAAGGCTGCAGTGAGCTAGGCTCACACCACTACACTGCAGCTTTGGTGACGGTGAGACCCTGTCTTTTAAAAAACAAGTCAGTGCTCTCTTATTATGAATGATATTCACAAGGAGACTCTCAACACAACTCTGAAGTAGATGATTTTTCCATTTTGATGTTAGCATGATGTGCCCCTTCTAGTGTTCCTAATATCCATCCTTCTATTGTTTCGGTCTAATTCACTGAATGCCCTGTTTCCTGATGGCTCTAATAATGCTTCTTCCACGGGCAGCTCTTGGGTTTAAAAACTCCTATTCCTTTGGGCGTTATTATGAAACAAAAGAATTTTACAATCATGAGATTATTTTGAGGATTAAATAAAATAATACATGTATTGAACATAAAGTACTTAGCACAGTATTTGATCCAGATTAAGAACTTCATACGTCCCCTCTCCACTGCTATTTCCACTACTGCACTACCCCAGTCACCATTATCACGGACTTTTCTTCTGCTGAAAATTTTCTTAGAGTCCGAGAAACACATCATTGTTTGAAAACAGAAAATGTTTATTTTGAAATAATTATAGACCCACAGAAAGTACCAAATATAATACAGAAAGGTCCTGTGCATCCTTCACCCCGTCTCCCCCAATGGTTACATCTTATGTAGATACAGTTAAATACAAAAACAAAGAAACTGATACTTGGTATAATGTGTATGTATCACACATGTAGACTGGGCAAAAGCACCATGGAAACTGAGATAGGGAACTATTCTATTGTCACAAGGATCTTCCTCTTGCTTCCCCTTCACAGTCATATCCAGCCTCCTTCTACCTCCCCTCTGTAACTCCTGGAAACCACTGACCTCTTCCCATTACTATAGTTTAGTCATTCTGAGAATGTTTTAGATACATATGTGTGTGAGAGAGAGTCTGTGTGTGTGTGGTGTGTAATCATACAGTATGTGACCTTTTGGAGTTTTTGTTCCTTTTTCCTGCTGAGTATTACATGCTGGTATGGATAAGAAATACATCTTCAATATCGGCACTTCGGGCTCTATGAAAACTGACAAATACTTTGAGCACGGGAGCCATTTCAAGATCTCTCATCTTTCTCTGCCAACAAGTAGGATTAGGTATGGCCTTTTATTTTTTTTTATAAAAGACTTGAAAACTCAAAAATCAGTTACATAAACATAGGTGGAGGTTTTCTCTTATTCCCAGAAAAATATTTTAAAGACATTTTAGAACATTATTTCTTATATAATCAACATGTTGATTAAAATTAATTCTTATATAATGCTTTAAGTAGGGCTTCAGCTGCTAAATTCTTGTTAACCTCCTTTGACCCATCCTATCCATATAAAGATAATAAGACAGTCTGCATTTTAAACACTCTGTAATCACATCGACTTTCTTATATCAGTCCAAATTGGTGATATTTCATTTACATGTCAGTGTCTTAAACTCTTATACAAACTCAAGTCCTTGGTTATGCAGGTAGTGTACAGTATGCGAAGTCTGCTAAATGAACAGAAGAGAGTCATTAGACTATGATAGTGAGAACCCTAGAATTTCAGTAGCTAGGAAATAGTAGCTCTTGTTATTAGCTATTATTAGAACATCAGTTCCTTGAAGGCAAGAATATGTATCCTGGATCTGTATATCCCTTGGGCCTGGCACGGTGCTTGATACAAAGTTGATATTTAATCAATGAACCTATTGAAGAATTAAGTCAATTTTTAAAAAGCAACGATCTGGTTTTTTTTTTTTTTTTTTTTTTTTCTGAGACAGAGTCTTGCTCTGTCACCCAGGCTGGAGTGCAGTGGTGCAATCTTGGCTCACTGCAGCCTCCGCCTTCTGGGTTCAAGTGATTCTCCTGCCTCAGCCTCCTGAGTAGCTGGGACTACAGATGTGTGCCACCACACCTGGCAATTTTTTTTTTTTTTGTATTTTTAGTAGAGATGGGGTTTCACCATCTTGGCCAGGCTGGTCTTGAACTCCTGACTTCAAGTCATCTTACTGCCTTGGCCTCCCAAAGTGCTGGGATTATAGGCGTAAGCCACCATGACCAGCCAAAAAGCAACAATCTTTCTTTTGTCTGACTTCTGGCATAATTCAAGTAAGAGCCTCTTTCCCTTTTGTGTATTATAAAAAAGTTGATAATCAATATTTGATGAATGAATGTATGTTGCAGGAAAGAAATCAGGGATTCAGTTCAAAACAGGAAATTCCCGTCTCATGAGGCTTTGCCTGAACACTACATCTCTTTCTCCCCTTCATATAGGGTTATGAATGGCTTCGTGAACTTCCAGTCCTGTGTACAGGACATGACATCCTCTTTGGAGTTGTACCTCAGTCTAATGAAACAAATTATCCAAGAAATACCACATGGGCTGTTTATACTACTAAATCATCTGAACTGGTGTGATAGTAAATGTTTTACAAGTGGCTCTCTAAATAAAACAAAACAATAAAATAAAACACCAAAGAATTTGGTTTGTAGTCCTTGCCAATTTCTGTGGTGTAAATATTCCTACCTTGGCCAATTTCAAGCTATCAACATGAAGTCACTGAACGCTGGGTTGAGAAGAGATACATAGAATGAGCTCCTGCTGCTGAGCTAGCTCTAGCAGCTAACCGCCTTTCCCTACTTTTCCCACAACATGTACTTAGGAGAAGGTAACAGGGCAAGTGCACCCTGGAAGTTCAGCTTTCCCCAGATTTGGGTCTTGTTCGGCAGAAGCACATGGTCTCCTCTTTCCTCCCCAGTATGTCCAACAGCTGACCCAGGACTGAGAAGGTAAGAACTTCACCTTGAGTTTACTTGCTCAAATAATGTGTTCCCTGAGGCTTTGTGAGACAAGTTATCACAGCAGTTTCATGCACTTCAGTGATACAGGCTCTATTCTAGACATGCAGGCTCACCAGAACCATATTACAATGTAGAAGAGCTATGTTTATGCAATGCGGCAGTGACTGATATCTTGCTTATCATGCTCTTTCAATAAAGCACCAGAAACAGTTTTGCAGGCAATGAGAGCATATATTTTGCCTTTGTGCTATGTTCATTTTCATCACATTCAAAAGACTTTACCAAAAGCAACACGCCTTACACTAAGTACAAATGACTTTCTTTAGGAGTCTAGAAGAACCATGGTCTTCTCATGCTGGAAAAAGAAGAGATGGAATATTGTTGGTGCCAATGCTCTTCTTCTGTTAAAAAAAAAATGCCTCACATGACTGATAGAGGTTTTGTTGGGTCATGTTGCACTCTTGGATAATGTAGCAATGGAAGCATGGATTAACTGGACACAGGGTCATTATACCAACAGAACAGTCCTGTCCTCCTTCCAACCTCTACACAATCTTATAAGTTAGAAAGGTACTCTGCTGTGATGGCTTAAGAATGGGTAAGAAAGGGATCTAGAAAGCAGATTACAGATCTGTGGCACCTCAAATAAACTCAATTTAATTGACCATAAAAATCACCAGAAGCTTGTTAAATGTACACCCTCCGGAACTCCATCCACTACAAGACAGAGAAGAGATCTATGATTTCACAACTTTTTGCCACTGAAAATGTGATCCCTAGAGCAGAAGCACTGGCATCACCTTGAAGTTTGTTAGAAATGCAGAATTCCAGGCCCTACCTCAGACCTGAAATTGGAATCTAAACTTAACAAAATTCCCAAGTAATACATATGAGTCTTCAAGTTTGAAAAATACTGCTAAATCTTCTATTTTTTAAATTGTGGTAAAAAGTACACCTCTCCGTCTCCGTCTCCCTCTTCCTCTCCCTATTCCGCTTTCCACCATCTCCCCCTCTGCCTCGTCTCCGCCTCCCGCTTTCCACGGTCTCCCTCTGATGCCGAAGCTGGACTGTGCTGCTGCCATCTCGGCTCACTGCGACCTCCCTGCCTGATTCTCCTGCCTCAGCCTGCCGACTGCCTGCGATTGCAGGCGCGCGCCGCCACGCCTGACTGGTTTTTATATTTTTTGGTGGAGACGGGGTTTCGCCGTGTTGGCCGGGCTGGTCTCCAGCTCCTAACCGCGAGTGATCCGCCAGCCTCGGCCTCCCGAGGTGCCGGGATGGCAGACGGAGTCTGGTTCACTCAGTGCTCAATGGTGCCCAGGCTGGAGTGCAGTGGCGTGATCTCGGCTCGCTGCAACCTCCACCTCCCAGCCGCCTGCCTTGGCCTCCCAAAGTGCCGAGACTGCAGCCTCTGCCCGGCCGCCACCCCGTCTAGGAAGTGCCACCTAGACGTCTAGCGCCACCTCTGCCTGGCTGCCCCGTCTGGGAACTGAGGAGCGTCTCCACCCGGCGGCCCCGTCTGGGAGGTGGGGGGCCCCTCTGCCCGGCCGCCCCTACTGGGAAGTGAGGAGCCCCTCTGCCCGGCCGCCACCCCGTCTGGGAGGTGTACCCAACAGCTCATTGAGAACGGGCCATGATGACGATGGCGGTTTTGTCGAGTGGAAGGGGGGGAAGTGTGGGGAAAGGAAAGAGAAATCAGATTGTTGCTGTGTCTGTGTAGAAAGAAGTAGACATGGGAGACTCCATTTTGTTCTGTACTAAGAAAAATTCTTCTGCCTTGGGATGCTGTTAATCTATGGCCTTACCCCCAACCCCGTGCTCTCTGAAACATGTGTTGTGTCCACTCAGGGTTAAATGGATTAAGGGCGGTGCAAGATGTGCTTTGTTAAACAGATGCTTGAAGGCAGCATGCTCCTTAACAGTCATCACCACTCCCTAATCTCAAGTACCCAGGGACACAAACACTGCGGAAGGCCGCAGGGCCCTCTGCCTAGGAAAACCAGAGACCCTTGTTCACTTGTTTATCTGCTGACCTTCCCTCCACTATTGTCCTATGACCCTGCCAAATCCCCCTCTCGGAGAAACACCCAAGAATGATCAATAAATACTAAAAAAATTGAAAAAAAGAAAAAGAAAAAAAAAGTACATAACATAAAATTTACCATCTTGACAATGTTTACATGTACAGTACAGTAGTATTAACTATATGCACACTTTTGTGCAACTCATTGCGAGAATGTTTTCGTTTTGCAACACTAAATGTTGATACCCATTACCCAACTCCCCATTTCCTCCTCCTCTCTCCCAGCCCCTGGTAACAACACTACTTTCTGTTTCTATGAGTTTGACTATGTTAGACATCTCACAAAGTGGAATCATGAAGTATTTGCTTTTTGTGACTGGCTCGTTTCATTAGCATAATGTCCTCAAGGTTCATTCATGTTGTAATACATAACAGAAATAATAGTCCATTGTATGTACTTAAACACATTTCCTCTATCCTTTCAACTATCCATGGACATTTAGGTTGCTTCCACCTCCTGACTATTGTGAATAATACTGCAATTAATATAGGTGTGCAAATCTCTCTTCAGGATGCTGTTTTCAGTTATTTTGAATATATACCAAATGTTAGGATTGCCAGATTATATGGTAATTCCATTTTTAATTTTCTGACTGTAAAGTGGATGAGTAACATCATGCTTAGCAGTGAAAAATTGAAAGCTTTTTCTCTAAGATCAGAAACAAAGCAAGGATGCCCACTCTCAGCACTTCTATTTAACCTAGTATTAAGTCCTAGGCAGAGCAATTAGACAAAGAATAAGTAAGTAAATAAATAAAAGCCATCCAAATTGGAAAGGAAAGAAGTAAAATTTTTCATATAAGGCTTTCATTAGGTTGAGGTAGTTTGCTTCTCTACTTTGTTGAGTGTTTTTGTCATGAAAAGGTATTGAATTAGGGCAGGCACAGTGGCTCATGCCAGTAATCCCAGCACTTTGGGAGGCCAAGGCAGGAGGATCACTTGAGGTCAGGAGTTTGAGACCAGCCTGGCCAACATGGTGAATCCCCGTCTCTACTAAAAATACAAAAATTAGCCAGCCATGTTGGCATGCGTCTGTAATCCCAGCTACTTGGGAGGCTCAGGTGGGAGATACGCTTGAACCCGGGAGGTGGAGGTTGCAGTGAGCCAAGATCACAACACTGCACTCCAGCCTGGGCGACAGAGTGAAAAAACAAACAAACAAAAAAGACATGGTATTGAATTTTGTCAAAAGCTTTTTCTTCATCAATTGGAACGATCACGTGGTTCTGGTCCTTCATTCTGCAGTATATTATATTAACTGATTATTGTATGTTGAGCCATCTTTGCATTTCAGGTATAATTCCAATTTGACATTGTGTATAATCCTTTTAATGTACTGCTGAGTTGAGTATGCTAGTATTTTGTTGACAATTTCTAGATCAATGTTCATCAGGGTTATGGTCTGTAGTTTTCTTCTGTCCTTGTTTGTTTTTGGTTTTAACATAAAGCTGCGCTTACAGAATGAGTTTAAATGTGGTCCCACTTCTTTAATTCTTTGGAAGGGTTTGGGGAAAACTGGTGTTAATTCTTCTTTAAGTATTTGGTAGAATTCTCCACTGAGGCATTTGGTCCAGGGATTTTCTTTATTGGGAAGTTTAAATTACTACTTCAATCTCCTTGCTAGTTCTAAGTCTATTCACATTTCTATTCCTTCAAGACTCAGTCTTAAGCAGTTGTATGTTTCTAGCAATTTATCTACTTCTTCCAGGTTATCCAATTTTTCAGTGAATAATTATTTATAGTGGTCTTTATACTCTTTTTATTTCTGAATCATCTGTTTCATGTCTCTAATTTCTGATTTTACTTATTTGAGTACACTCTTTTCTCAGTCTACTACGGGTTTGTCAATTTGGTTGATCTTTTTAAAAATCAACTCTTGTTTACACTGATTTTTTTCCTAGTATTTTTCTATTCTATATTTCCTTTATCTCTGCTCTAATATATATTATTCTATTACTTCTACTGATTTTTCAGTTTTTAAAATCTTTTTCTAGTTGCCTGTGGTGCGAAGTTAGGGCATTGACTTGAGATATTTCTTCTTTTTTAATGTAAGCATGTATCATTATTAACCTCCCTCTTATTACTGCTTTTGCTGCATCCGTAAGTTTTGGTATGTTGTATTTTCATTTCCATTTGTCTCCTGATATTTTCTAAATTACATTGTGACTTCTACTTTGACCCATTCATTGCTTAAGAATGAGTTGTTCAATTTTTACATATTTGTGGATTTCCCGTTTTTCCTCTGCTATCAATTTCTAGTTTCATTCCGTCATAGTCCGAGAGGATATTACGTATAATTTCAATTTTCTTAAATCTGTTAAAACTTATTTGTACCCTAACATATGGTCTCTTTTGGACACTGTTCCATGTGTGCATGAGTAGATTTCATATTCTGTTGTAGTAGAGAGCAGTGTTCTTTATATGCTTGTTAGGTCCAACTGGCCTACAGGGTTGTTCACATCCTCTGCTTCCTTATTTGTCTTTTGTCTGACTGTTCTATCCATGATTGAAAATAGAGTATCAAAGTATCCTACTATTGTGCTGCTATTTCTCTCTTCAGTTCTGTCAATGTTTGCTTCATACACTTGGAAGTTCTAATATTAGGTGCATACAGATTTCTAACAGTTACATCTTTGTGATGAATCAGTCCTTTTATCATTATATAATGTTTTTCTTTGTCTCTTGTGACAGTTTTTGTCTTAAAGTTTATTTTGTCTGATATTAATACGGTCACCCTTGCTCTCTTTAGGTTCTGGTTTGCACGGATTATTTTCCTCTATTCTTTCATTTTCAGCTTGCGTGTAACCCTAGATCTAAAGTGTGTCTCTTACAGAGAGCATATAGTTAGATCCTGTTTGTTTTTAATCCATTCAGTCAAGCTATATCTTTTAATTGGGGCATTTAATCAATTTATGTTTAAAATAATTAGAGATAGGGAAGGGCTTACAATTGCCATTTTGTTCATTTGTTTTATGTATCTTGTAGCTTTTGTGTTTACCCTTTCTCCTCTTTCTGTCTTCAAAAGAGGAGATTTTTATTCCTCGATTTTTATTTGTTTTAATTTTTATTTATTTAATTTGTTTATTTTTGAGACAGAGTCTCACTCTGTCATCCAGGCTGGAGTGCAGTGGTGTGATCTTGGCTCACTGCAGCCTCCGCCTCTCGGGTTTAAGTGAGTCTCCTGCCTCAGCCTGCTGAGTAGCTGGGATTACAGGCATGCGCCACCACATCCAGCTAAACTTTGTATTTTTAGTAGACATGGGGTTTCACCATGTTGGCCAGGCTGGTCTCAAACTCCTGGCCTCAAGTGATGTGCCTGTCTCAGCCTCCCAAAGTGCTGGGATTACGGGCGTGAGCCACTGCACCCAGCCTTGTGTTTCCTTTATTTTTAAAAATGATATGTTTTCATTCACTGCTCATTTCTCTTCTTGTATATTATATAGATATTATCTTTGTGGTTACCACTGTAATTATATAGCACATCTTAAAGTTATAATAATCTATTCAAGCTGGCAACAATTTAACTTCAATCATGTATAAAAACTATTTACATCCTGCTGCCCCACTTTGTTACTGATGACACAAATTACCTCCTTTTATACTGTACAGTTATTAACATAGATTTATAGTTACCTTTTATACTTTTTAAAACATTCTATACCAGATTTTTATAAAAGTGATTTTTGTACCTACAATATTACAGGATTTTATATTTGTCTGTATGTTTACCTTTATCTAGGAGTTTTAAATTTTCATATAGTTTTGTGTTGTTTATCATCCTTTCATTTCAACTTGAAGGACTCCCTTCAGCATTTCTTGCAGGGTAAACCTAGTGGTGATAAACTCATTCAGCTTTTGTTTATCTGGGAAAGTCTCCACTTCTCCCTCATTTTGGAAGGACAGTTTTACCGGATATAGTATTCTTGATTGGCAGCTCCTTCTTTCAGCACTTTGAGTAGATCATCTCTCTCCCTTCTAGCATGCAGTTCCTGCTGAAAAATCTGTTGATAATCTTACAGATGCACACTTGTTTGTGATGGGTTGCTTTTCTCTTGCTGCTTTCAGGATTTTCTTTTGGTCTCTGACTTTTGACACTTTGATTATAATGTGTCTCAGTGTAGATCTCTTTGGATTCATCCTAGCTGCAGTTCTTGAGCTTCTAAAATTTGTGAATCCATTTCCTTGCTCAGACTCAGGAAGTTTTCAGCCATTTTTTCTTCAGATAGGCTCTCTGCCATTTTCTCTCTTTATTGTCTGCAAATTACATAACACTTATATTGTTGCACTTGATGATGTCCCATAGACCCTTCAGCTTTCTTCACTTTTCTTATTTTTTCCGTTTTGCTCCTCTGCCTCAATAATTTCTAATGTTCTGTCTTTGAATTGCTGATTATTTTTTTCTGTCTGGTCAAGCCTGTTGTTGAATCTCTCTAGTAAATTGAGTACTATATTCTGAATTCACTTACTATATTCTTCACCTCCAGAATTTCTTTGGGCTCATTTTCATCTTTTATCTCGTTGATACTCTCATTTTGTTCATGCATCATTTACCTGATTTCCTTTAGTTATCTATCTGTACTGTCTCTTAATTCCTTGAGCGTCTTTATGAGAATAATTAGAATTCTTTGGTAATTGATATACCTCTGTTTCTTTAGGGTTGATTTCTGTAGATATAATTTGTTCCTTTGGTTGGGCCATGTCTTCTGGTTTCTTTGTGTGCTTTATTATCTTCTGCTGGAATTCTGGCATTTAAAAAATCAGACACTTCTCCTAGTCTTTGCAGTCTGAGAGCAATCAGTCCAGCTAGAGATTCCGCAAATCTCTCAAGCCTTTTCTGATGATGCATCTTCTCTGGGCTTTTGTATGTAATCCCCTAATTGAAGATTTGTTGGTTTCTACTCAGGAGCTTCCCTTGGTGTCTTTATCAGGTACTGTGGACTTTCTAGTGCTGCAGGAAGCATTAAATTTCCCTCTGTTGGTACTGGACCTCCCCTAGTGTCTGTGGTACAGCCTGATACCAGACCAAGCCATGTTGATAAGACTTTGTTCTCAGGGGGCCTCCCACATAGCCCAGTTTCTGTCATCACTTAGATTCAGGCAAAACGGAAACCACTCCCTTAGGTAGTACTTCCCCCTCAAAAGTAAAAACACTGGATATACCTTCCACTCTTTTCTTTCCCTCCCCAGCAAGAAATTAGGAATTGGAAGTTTTCTACTGATAGCTCTGTGCTACGCTGTGGGGAGTGGGAGGTGCTCCAGCAAGCGAGTGCCATAAATTTTTCTACAGTGCTTTAATGCTATTGGCTTTACACTTGACTGGAGTGCAGAAATCTCTTAACTGGTTTTATTTCTTTCAATGGCAACTGGTCCATTGGGGAAAAAGGGTCTGGGGCTTCCCTTTTGACTATCTTGATGAATCACCCCCCACTACCAAATCTTGAATGTCAGTCTAATTAATACTCCTTAGATTAGGCTCCCCAAATGCAATCAATTTTGCCAGAAGGTGGTGGAGGGGGAAAAATAGTTACTTCATTTATTTATTCATTCACAAATTCAAAGAACTTGGGGTAGATAATGGTAAAAGACATAAAGTAGTAAATACATTTACAATATGACTCAATTCAAACAGGGGAAGGGTAGAAAACAATCTCACTAGAATTAATACAATAGAGTTAAATTAATCCCAGACTGGGCAAAGAGAAAAATAACATATTTCTTACTGACTGATGAAAAACTTTGCCTCTTTACTAGAAGATGCAAACTTTTCTTCTTTTAAGAGAGAAGTTCTACATTTTATGAGAAATTTATTGGAAATATTTTTATGAAAAGGACTAAGGACTTCAAGATGGATCATCTCTTCACAGCAGTTTTACAGAAGATTCAGATATTTTGGTTATAGGATTGTATATAAAGTATTAATGCTCAGTGATGCCTTAGGCTGCATTCTAGAGTAATATTTTAAACTCTGACTCACTGCATTTCTTTGGGGGAATTGATGTAAGGGATGATCATAATATTTATCATAATATTTATCAGCTTTCAATGTCTCCCCTCAGTTGGCTTTAACTACCAGAGTCATGCCATGCAGCACTTTAGCTCAAGCCTCACATGGTAGTCTGTCAAGACATTCTGTGTGCTTTATTCCTATTCACTCTCTTGTTGAAATGGGGCCTTCAGCCATGGTTGGAATCTCTGATGCCTGCTCTTTCTCTCATACAGGGGTACTTCGGATTCAGAGTGCTTTTTGATCCAAAATCAGATGTTTTGGTAGGGAGACTATGTTCAATTTTTAAAAACAACAACAAAAGCCCTCTGTGTAGGACAGATTTCCTATTTTAGGATAGTGGTTCTCAAACGGTGGTCTTGGATAAGCAGCATCAGCATCAACATCACTTGTTAGAAATATAAATTCCCAGGCCCCACTCTAGAGCTACTATATCAGAAATTCTCAGGGTAGAGTTCAGCAATCTGTGTATTAACATGTCCTCTAGATTACTGTGATGCACGATAAAGCCTGATAATCAATATTTTAGGAAAATTCAATGGCTTTTTAAACCTGATCAATTAAAGCAATAGTTCTCAAATTCTGTTGTTCTTCGGAATCACACCTGGGGAGCTTTAAGGAAAAATGCCTGGGTCCTAGGATCAGAGACTGAATTAGTTGATAACGAGTATGGTATGCCATCAGGATAGTAAAGAGTTCCCCAGATGATTGTAATCTGCAGCAAAAATTGAGAAGCACAGAACTGGGATTTACTGGTGATTTCATGGCTATCTCTAAGTGTTTGGTATGGATACTAAGAGAAAAAAAAAAAAGCCCAAACCTTCTTATATTGTTATAAACACCTTTAGGTTTGCAAAGGCTTTCACGTGTAATTCTGTCAGTTTTCACAGTAAGATGAGTAATGACATCCTCCTACTACTGGTACGTATATGATCAATAACTTGATAAAGACACCAAATTTGCTTTTGAGAGCCAAGTGCACAGCTCCCCTCTTCATGACAACTTAAGTAAAGCTCTTGCCTGGATGACTGCAGTTGGGTAAGAAAGGCATGTGTCCTCTCATTCGATGCTGATCACACTCAGCACATCTGATTATTTTGTAACCTGGCTCAACGAGGCAGTTGAGAAATCAGATGCAGATGAGCACTTGTGAAAGTCCCTATGAAATAACTTTTAGTTTAGCCTTAATGTTTTTCTAATTTGGGAGCCAATCACCTGGGTAGATGCCAAATTAACCAGATAATCGCTCAAGGTTGCACCTCACTTTAATTGGGCCATCAGTTACTTGATGGTATTTGAGTGTCCTGCCAGGGTCAGATGTGTTCCACCACACAGGCCAGGAGAACCCCCGGGATACTGAACCATTAGACATAATTTCCTCAGGATAGAAGCTACTTCTCCTCCATTATACAGTCCTGGAAAAGTCAAGTCATATTCAAAAGACCACTGGGCAGATACCCACTCACCCTTAGGGATGGCTCCTCCCACTGTAAAATCAAAAAACTTTTTTCACAATATTCTCACATATATAAGCAAAATCAAAGATTTTTGACCCCCACCACTTCTGGAACCCCACTTAAGAGGTAGCTTAGGAAGTGATTAACATGGAGATTTTTTAAAAAGCTAGCCTCATTATCTCAAGGTGGAAATGGGTCTGAGGTACAGTTTATGTTCCAGAAATCTCCCTTCTGGATTAGACTTAGGCTAGACTTTACCTAAGACCCCATCCTTGTTTGGTTCCTCCTTCTTCCTTATTCTGCTTTTCCTTACAGGTTTTTCCTGGAGAACACTCTTTCAGTGAATTGCAGATACCTGAATACTTGCCTCAGACTTGCTTTGGAGACCTTAGCTATCCTCTATATTTACCCAATGATTTCAAGTTTGGCAATTTAATCAGCAGTCCCCATCGCCAATATGATCATCTGAGTGGACACAAATACTAAACATGGGTAGAACTATTACTTTAGAAAAGTTATTTTTTCACCAACAAAATACCTAACTTAGTTATCTTTACTTTTTAAGTTACGTATAGAAGATTCAGTTTCCCCATGATTACAAGACTCTATTTACTCTAATTGTAATACACCTTCATGAGTGGGGGAGAGGAGTGGAATGATGGTTATCACCCAGGGAGTTGTACAGCACCTCAGGGATGTCCACAGGGATATATCCCACAAGTGAATCTCATCCATGACTCAGGCTAAGACAGCAGAAAAGATCTAGGAGGAGTTGCCTTGGGAAAAAAATAAACTGCCAATTGTCATAGTTCAGTCACAGACAAGGACACTTCCATTTGATGTACTCATAACCAGGCCTACCAATATACTGACCTCAAGATAAAAGTCTCTCTATGGCGTTTGCCCATCCAGTGAGTAAATCACCCAGCACACAGATTAATTATTTAGCAGTTTAAATCCATTAAATAGACATGTTACATACACATTAAATACCAAGACAGAACACATAAAATAAAACCAAGGGAAAAACCTATTAAATATATGCTTCCTAACCATCTCTTATTCATGACCGTAGGGCTATCACCCAACATTAAAAGGAATCTCCTCTATAGCATTGGAGGTTCCTGATATTTAATCAATAGGTGGAACCAACATATATATTTTTTCTTTCTTATACAGATTATCAAGAGATAATTTTTTTTTTTTTTTGAGACAGTCTCACTCTGTCACCCAGGCTGGAGTGCAGTGGTGCAATCTTAGCTGACTGCAACCTTTGCCTCCCGGGTTCAAGTGATTCTCCTGCCTCAGCCTCCCAGATAGCTGGGACGACAAGCATGCACCACCATGTCCAGCTGATTTTTGTATTTTTAGTAGAGATGGGGTTTTGCCATGGTGGCCAGGCTGTTCTGGAACTCCTGACCTCAGGTGATCCACCCACCTTGACTTCCCAAAGTGCTGGGATTACAGGCGTGAGCCACTACACCCGGCCAAGAGATAATCTTAACAAGAGATTATCTTGTTTCCATTTTGTTTCTTTGTTCAATTCAGCATCCTCATGATTCTAGCATAGGTAATGACAATTTAGTTATTTGATCCAAAAGAGCCAAACTATTCCTGCTATATAAGGAACAAAGTGACTTGTGGAAAACAATCATATTATGTCTTACCCAAGTTAACCAATATTAATTTCTATGTATCTTTAAATAGGCAGATGTCTTCTCCCTTATTCACTTAAGAGAGACTCTACGGGTTTACACACTCAATCTTTAACTGCCCTTCAATTTACCTGAAATATATTACTGGGAATTTTTGGAAGGGAAAATGGGATATTAAATAGGGAACTTGCAAGCTTGTCATTCAAGAATCTCCAAAATTGGTCCTTAATGACTTCTCCATCTTTCTTTTTCTTTTCTCTTTTTCTTTTTTTTTTTTTTTGAGAAGGAGTTTCACTCTTGTTGCCCAGGCCGGAGTGCAATGACACGATCTTGGCTCACTGCAACCTCTGTCTCCCGGGTCTAAGTGATTCTCCTGCCTCAGCCTCCCGAGTAGCTGGGATTACAGGCATGCGCCACCATGCTCGGCTAATTTATATATATATATTTTTAGTAGATATGGGGTTTCACCATTTTGGCTAGGCTGGGCTCGATCTCCCAACCTCAGGTGATCCGCCTGCCTCGGCCTCCCAAAGTGCTGGGATTACAGCTGTGAGCCACCGTGCCCGGCCACCATCTTTCTTTTTCAAGTTTAAATTTTCCGATATATGCTTTATGTATTTGAATCAAAATTTTTATTTTTTTTATTATTTTACTTTTTAGATTGACAGACACAATTGTATCTATTACATACAACATGTTTTGAAGTATTTATATACGTTGTAGAATGATTAAATCCAGCTAGTTAACATAAATTACCTTATATAATTATCATTTTTGTGGTGAAACACTTAACATCCGCTCCCTCAGCATTTTTTGAGAGTACGATATCTTGTTATTAACTATAATCATCGTGTTATACAATAGAGTGCTTGAATGTATTTGTCCCATCTAACTGAAGTGTTGTATTCTTTGAACGACATCTTCCCAACCCTCCCCCGCCGATTCCCCCGACCCTGACAACCAGCATTCTACTCTATTTCTTTGAGATAAACTTTTTCAGATTCTACTTATGAGTGAGATCATGTGATATTTTTCTGTGCCTGACTTATTTCACACAGCACGATGTCCTCCAGGTTCATCCCTTTTGTCACAAATGACAGGATTTTCTCCTTTTCTTTATGGCTACATAGTATTCTACTGTGTTCACATATACCAAATGTTGTTTGCCCATTCATCCACTGAGGAGTCAACAGCTTTAAAAAGCACTGAAGATTCTCTATGTGCAGGAAACTATCCCAGATATTTTATAATTTTGAGCCTTTGTTCCAGCCATTTCATTCTGATCTGGACTATTCTTTGTGTTTGTCAAAATCTAAATTGTTCAGGGCTTAGCTTTCCAGCCCAGCCCCCTAGCCAAATTCCCTTTCCTGAATTCCTGCAAGCCTTACATTTTTACAACTTGTTTGGCCTAAATAATTTGATGACATGCCTTTATTGTTCTTATGTGAAACATGGTTAAATAATTTCTCAGGCATTTTCATTTTATCTTGACTGCTCTACTGCTATAGTCTGAATGTTTGTGTCCCTCCAAAATTCCTATGTTGAAATCCTAACCGCTAAGGTGATGGTACTAAGAGGCAGGACCTTTAAGAGGTGAAGCCCCTATGAGGTGAAGCCCTTCATAAGGGTGAAGCACCTTATGAATGGGATTAGTGCCCTTATAAAAGAGGCCCAAGAGACCCTCACCCCTTCTGCCATGTGCAAACACAGTGAGAGGTTGGCAGTCTGCAACCCAGAAGGGGGACTTCACCGGAACCCGGCCATGCTGGCACCCTGGTCTCAAACTTTCAGCTTCCAGAACTATCAGAAATAAACATTTGTTGTCTATAAGCCACCATGTTTGCAGTATTTTTGTTATAGCAGCTTAAACAGACTAACACTTCTAGTTTGCTGGCGTCGGGAAACTTAAGAGCTCAGATCAAAAATTCATTTGTAATTAGACAGTTCCAATTGGAAATGATTTTTAAATAAACTCCTTAATGTAAAAGTTGGAACAGTGATTCCCAGCTAACAGGCCTTGAATCCTAGTACTAGAGGGAGAGAGGGGAGGGCTGTGCAGAGTGGTTTTAAGCCATTATGCGTACACATACGCATACACATATATTCTGTTATTTTCAGCTATGGGTAGGCACTCTAGATATAAATCATTAAGCAGCTTTTCTCACTTTGTTGGAGTCATTTGTTTCTATCAAATTTTCTTATTTTAATAAAGGGATCTACAAAATCTCTTAAAATTATAAAAGGGTCCCTAGACTGATAAATTGGCTAGCGCTCATATAGAGGGTTTTCAGACACTATGATTCATTTCATTAGGCCACATCTCACTTTTAGCTGTTCTTCCAACTAGCTGATATAGAGTAGAGTAGAGAACACACTTGTTTTGGAATAAACTCCTAAGCAATCCTGCCATGGTGAACTGTACTCCAAAAGACTCAGTTCCAAGTACCAATAGTTAGCAAATCCGGGCAGAAGGGAATCATCATATGTGTCCTGGAAGGGGTTGAAAATTATTGTTCCTAATATTTATAGGGTGAGAAGTATGTGTGTTTAGGATTCCAGTAGGCCTAGCCATGCTGATGCTATCTATGCCAAGAGCATAAAACCATTACTAGGCCTCTTTGAAAAAGGCTCCATCCCCATGAAATCTCACAATCGTTATCTTTGATAGGATTTGAGTCAGTGCTAACGAACTTAGTGAGAAGAGCAGTGTGGAAGTTTTTCTTTCTTTTTATTTTTTTACATTGCACAGAATGGAAGTACATTCTACTTGAGAACATTTACTTCTATATGCAAGATTTACATGCTAGGCACCAATGAATGTTTTTCATAAGGGAAAGTCAGGACTCTGAAACTGGACAATTTATCAGAGCACGTGAATTAGCTCCTTTGTGTGCTGTTTTTCTCTTATTCATAGTCTTCCATTATGCTCTCACCAAGGAGAATGACTACTGAAAGCCTCTAAAATAGGAGGCAGTTCCCAAATCATTTGCATTTGTTTTTGTGTTTTCAGTTGTCATTATCATCTCTTCTTTTATAATAATAGACAAATTCAAAATTTTTCTACAGGATAATGCAAGCTGTTGGTCTTAACTTTTTTTTTTAACGTCCATAGATTTATCTTTTCACTCAACTATGTTTTCGATTCTTTACTGACCTAATCTATTAATCCATTTAATAAAATAATCTCTCAATTTCTTCCTTCATTTAACACACTCATTCATTCTTACATTCATTCAATGTTTATTGAGTGCATACTATGTGCTTCAATACTGTATTAAGTCCTGGGAATAAAATGATGAATTGAACCAATTATGATCCTTGACGTCACGGGGAGGTTAAAATGCAGTGGAAGAAAAAGATAGAAAGATCACAAAAAAAAGTGTAAACTGTAACTGTGGCATCTTTCATAAAGGAGAGGTAAAAGATAGTATAAAAATCTGTAATAGGAATAGTTGACCCAAGCATGACTTTCTGAGGAAGCACCAATGAAGATGGAAGATGCGAACTGAGAAGGAGTTACAGAAATGAAGAGGGGAAGGAAAAGCGTTTCAGGCAGACGATGCACTCAGTATGTACCAGTGGCCTGCAGAGGACGGGAGGATGGTGAGTATGCAGAACAGAAAGGTCAATGCAGCTGAAGAGGAGGGAGGAAGTGGCACACGATCAAACATGTAGTTGGAAGAAAGATCATTAATGCACAGTCTGGAAAAATTCAGATGTGGAAGAGCAGGGTTTATTCTGTCAGCTGTTCAAATAAGCCTTTCCAAACCAAGTCAGCTCTTATTCCCTCCAAGCTCAAGTTTGCACCAAATCAGCAGCAGACTCCAAAAAGCATCTCAAAAACTTTGCTCAATTTAGAAGTGCAGTCAATAGAGGAATAAAAATGAGTGCCAAGGGAAGCATGGTCCCCATTGTAAGCATCAGAAGAGGCGGATTTAGAAAGCGTTCTCTTGTTATTGTTTATAGACTTGCTTATTACTTGTTTCTTGAGTAGCATCTTTGGCCTAAAGATTTCTTTACTCCTTTTCTTGGATTGAACATTTATGCTTGGCAAAGAACAAGTTAGTTTAGTGATCTAAAGAGTTTTAATTTTTTTTTCTTGCCAGTATAAAGACTCACCTATAACACTAAGCTCTGCGTTGGAAAAGATAACTCCATGTTTATTCTCTGCCAAACACTGATACATGCCAGCATCTGAGAGGTTCACTATTGTTATGTTGAGTGTTCCTTGCTCAATTTGAATTCTATCCTGTGAAAGAAAAGAGGAACATAAAAACAATGACCTTCTACAACTGAGACTTTAAGGCAATTTTACCATGTGTAATATCAAGGAAGCTTAATGGGAAGAAAACAGCCATCATATAAGCAATTTACATAACATGATCTATTTATCTGTCAGCTAAATTTGTAGCAGGTCAGATGCTAAATGGAACAACCAGTACATCAGTTGGTAAATGGAATTTAAATTGTAGGATTCTCTTGAGTTCTCATTGATTTAATAGTGGAGCCATTCAGATTAATATCCTCTCTAAATAGAATAACTTGAAACTTAAAATGCTTTTTCACTTTAAGGCTTTGTACTGACCAGAGTTAGGGGGTTTCGGAAATAAAACTAAATTTACTGTTTAGAGTGCTTAAAACACTCACATTTTGAGCAGGTGATACTTTGAAGGTTAATAGGATTACAATCTTGGATGAAACAGAGGCAAATATTTAATATTGGTTGAGGTTTACTAAAAAATGTAGGTATTAATAGTTTAATATTCCCTTAGTTTATTGCTGTCAGTGGTGTGATTTAAGCTGAGGACCATCTGGTGGCGGCCAATCTGAAGGGGGCAAAGTTAGTACGTGGCACAGGAGATCCTCCTTATTTGTCACTCTGAGGATATACAACTTATGTGTCAATTTTCATAAGTATCAAAAAGGATCTCCTCCTCTCCAGGAGACCTGCCATTCTACATATATATAAAGAGGTACTAGTTTTCTGTTTGCCGCAGGGTTGTGAGTTAGCTGAGTGGACACTTTATTAGACTTTGATCAAATCTAGATATTCATGTTCCCTCACATTAAGAAACAAGCCCAAGTGTCCCACAGAAATGATAATTACCTGTTTTTGAATAAACCCAGAAATTGACCTGCCTAGTTTTAAAACTTGAAACTTACATTGGTCTCACTGAGTTCACTCCTCAGGAGGCTGATCCTCAAGCAAGGGACTCAAATTCACTAGATCATGGCATCCAGACAGTGAGACACCAGACCCTTCATCTGTCATAATTGCCTCTGTACCCCCACCTAATTCCTTCCTGCACACAGCTGCATCCCTTCCCCAGCTACATAAACTCCCAATTTTAGTTGGTTGGAGAGATGGATTTGAGACTGATCTCCCATTCTCTTTGACTAAAGCACCTGAACAAAGCCTTATTTCCTGGCAATACTCACTCTCTCAGTGATTGGCTCTCTGCACAGCAAGCAACAGGACCTAGACCAACTCCCTGGCATTTTGGTAACAATTACACAAAAGAAGGAAAATACCAGTACCTAGGTACCTATACCCCTGCAATTTGTCTGAGTTTGGCTTTTATAATTGACAGAATCATGGACAAGCTGGAGCCCTTCCAGCAAATGGAGAAGGTGCATGAGGCAGGGGGTGAGTTAGGCAAAACAGTCCCCTTTCTCTTCCTGTCATGTAAATTCATGTGAGGGCCATTGCTCCGAGCAGGCACTCTTTTCTGGGTGGCCTACTGGAGGAAGAAATCTGAGCATGAAAGACTGCCTCTCAATTTGGAGCCTGAGGAAAATGTCAAATTTCAATTAATATTTGAGGTTCGGCAGGAAAATACATAAGGAAAATTAAATTGGACACAATTGTTCCTCATTCTCAGGGTCTCCGCTCTACCCCTGCTTCATTCAGATTTCTTTGTCAGAGTGTTTCTCTATTTAGATGGATATCCTGTATTGTGTCAATGCCCCTTCTCTTGTAGTGGATGCTGGAATGTATGTTCCTTTGTATCTTAGCACAATTTCATGTTCCAGACCTTTTGCATAACTTTCCCATTATAAAGTCACATATGTTAATCTTTGAAGACCACAGATCTAGTGCAAGAGCTTAATTGAAAGCTGGAGAACTGGATTTAAGTGCACTTTCTATTTATCAATTGCATTCACTCTCACTTTTTCCACCATAATGCTGTTTCATTGCATATTATTTTAGAAACAATTCACCATTCTCCCGTTTCCACGGCAATGAGGCTATATTAAACGTTATAGTCAAGACTAAGGCACAATTACCATTAACTTGCTTACCCGAGTTAGCAGAGGTTCGCCATTTTTTAGCCACTTGTATGTAGGCTTAGGCCTTCCATTTGCTTTACATTCCCAAAAGACATTTTCTTCCATGGCCACGTGAATATCATTTATTTTTTGAATCCAATTAGGTTGAGCTATAGGCATCCAAAAAGCAAAGAAAGGTGTATATTCAGTGTGTACTCAATCTATTTTTATCATATTCAATCAAAGGGCAAAAGTACACTTATAATAAAATTCCTTTTCCAGATGTTATGCAAATAACAAGACTGGGGAGACATTCAGGGAGGTGCCTATACCCTACTCTGAATACCATTTTTGTGGTTCATATTGTAGTCTTTTAATCGCTAAATGCAAAATGGATAAAACTACCAATATCCATATGGCAAAATTAACTGTCCCTCTCCTGTAAGTATCTATTATTCCTTTTTTCCTTTCAGTAGAGAATATCTTCCCATCACCCCCCCTCCCACTTTTAACCAGGCTGGTATATTTCCAGGTAGGCACTACATTTGCCAGATTGCTTTGCAGCTAGAGGTAACTATGTAACCAAGTTCATGCCAACTGTATGTGTGTGAAAGTGGTGAGAGCAACTTCTGGGTTATTCACTTAAAGATATTTTCCGTAACCTCTTCTTTTTCCCTTCACACTGATTGGAAAAGACCAGCAATTGAAATAGCCTTGGGTGCAGACATGGAAGCTACATAGGATGAAAATGCTGACCTGTCAGCCTTGGACCATGAATGACTGTGTGGAGCAAAGCAGCTCCACATCCACCTGCCATTTTTGAGGAAAATAATGTGAGAGAGAAATAAACTTTTCATCTAAGCTACTTTATTTTGGGGCCTCCTTTGTGAGAATAGCTTAGCTTGTCCCTCACTAATATACTTCACTCCCACATGTTGTATAGATCAATTTTATGATTCCTTTCTCCTTTAAGACTATCATCATTGTTTATTATTGATTTCGTATTGATAGAATGTTATCTACAGGAATATGACCCTAGAACCCCAAATCTTTAAATGAGTTCTGATTTTTATCAAACCTCCTCAGGAAATCAAGTCCTGCCCACAGTCTAACACAAGAATTCAAAGTAGCACTTAATTCCCACATTGCCCACTGCTATCCACTACCCCCGCTGCCCAAATGATAATACATTTTCTGTACTTCATTGAAGTCACATTTTCTTTCCTTATTTTCAATAGATATAAAGACAATGTTAATTCCATGTTCCATAAAAAGTCTTCATAAATATCAAATCTTGCCTCAAGCACAATTCATGCCATTAAGAATAATGATAAACATATTCAGGTAGAAGACCTTCAGCCCAAAGTCATGCAGAAGATAACCATAGCTGTCATTCTGGAACTTTATGTGTTCACAGGGCATTTCTACAGGGTAATGCCTACCAAGGTAAACCTAATAATCAAAGTTGATATCAGTATTTAATTAGGAGATGCTACTCATTATTCTTAACATCTCTTCCAGCTGACTTGACCTCAGTATCTTCACTCAACAATGTTTCAAATCATCCATAATTTTAATTCAAAAGGAAATTGCTACTGTTGAGGCCAAACTGTATTTCACCTTTTCAATAATAAACAAAACTAGAAAGACACTCAACAAATCACTTAACCAGCAGAGGTCTCTAGGCCCTTGAATAAATGCTGCTTTTTTCTTTTCTCATCTATAAGCAATTTTATGTTTTTCAACGAGCAAAACACAGTTTTACAAATCCTCTACTGATGGGATGATGCATTGCTGCATATGAGGGGAGGCCAAAAGGGTCAACTTCAAAAAAATTTAGAACATCAACAAACATCAACTTGAATGAAGGGTTATAACCTACACCCTTAAAAGAGCTGCAAGTCTTCCTTGTTCTTTATCTTCCTGCTGCTAATGCAAAGGAAGCTAAAAAGGTTCTCTGCTTGGAGAATTTGATGGCTAATGCAGTTGCATGCCTGATTTCACATTCAACCTGCTGAATATTGACCCCTACAGAGTCCATGAAAACAAAGCAAACAAGAAAAGCCACAGAAGTATGTGAGGAATATTAACAATGAAGCCAAACTTTTGAAAGAGAGTGAGGAAAAAAATGGAAGGGCAAATGTAACTTATGAAGCAATGTCAAGTTGAAGTTCAAAAAGGAAACATCAAAATCACATGCAGAGAGAGAGATTTCAATGTCATAGATTTCCTGTAACACTTGGGCTTTCTTATTGCTTTTTTGCAAAAATGCAGAAAGCTGGAAGCAAAACCTTGCAATCTCAAGAAGCAGGTGAGGCAGAGAAGGGAGGGACTGGAGAGAATTTTGAAAAGGCCTTGCAAAGCTCTAACTAGTTAAGCACTTCTGAGGGCTCATTCTGTCTCTTCCCACAGGGTTATGGAGGTCAAGGAACCAGATGAGAATACTCAGTGGTAGTTATTTGTGCGGGCCAAGGTGAAATCAACAAAAAATTCAGTGTCTGTGGGAGATCACCTGGCACTTTCTTTATTTTTAAAGTAAAATTAATTCATAGAAGACAAATTTGAACTGATATAAACATATTCCTCTCAAAGTGAATATCTGAACGTGGGCCCATGAAGATCAGAAATGAAGTATCATATTATATATGTGACAAAGAGAGACAGTCTATCTTAACACGCCATTTGCAAATCTACAGGGCAAAAGCCCATGTAGTAAACGTTTTCACTCCTGCTCACTTAGATTGGATGAATCATATCTAAACGAGTGAGTTTTTCAAACTAGAATAAATGAAGTCATGTGCTTGATGAAAATGACTCATGTATCTCCATATTTGGGGGGGGTTACCTAGTTCAAAGTCCTTAGATAACAAAAATCCCAGTTAAGCATATTATAAGACACATCATTAGCCCCTCCCCTTTTGTGATAATGCATTGGGTACAGGGTATTTATCGCCTAATATCAAGGTTCAACTATATTTTACAACTCCATGTCTAAACACAGGTTGAACATCCCTAATCTGAAGATCTAAAATCTGAAATGCTCTAAAATTCACAAGTTTTTGAGGGCCACCATGATGCCACAAGTGGAAAATTTCACACTTGATCTCATAAGACTGGTCATAGTCAAATACAGTGAAAACTTTGTTTCATGCATTAAATTATGCAAAATATTAAAATGTTGCATAAATTACCTTCAGGCTGTGTGTATAAGGTATATCTAAAACATAAATAAACTTCATGTTTAGGCTTGGGTCGAAATATTCCAAAATCCTAAAAAACCTAAAATCTGAAACACTTCTGGTCCCAAGCATTTCAGGTAAGAGATACTCAACCTGTATCAACTCAGAGGAAGGCCTGAACAGGTTAGTTCAATACTATTATTTCAGAAGCCATTTCTAAATGTCTTTTTTTTTTTGTAATATATACAGAGCCCACATATTAAGCAGAATTAAACACATTCACATATTAAAAGAGAACCATCTGTTTTGAACTTCCATATTCTTTCAAGATTTGAAACAAAAGAATTCTTCTAGGACTCCTTAAGTATTGTTCTCAAACTACAAATTCAAATATAATGTTAAATGCTTGTGCTGGGATTTGACTCTGTGACACACTTTGTCTCTTGGATAGATAAACAATCTCTTCATTTCAATCTTTTGTTCAATAACTGCCAGAAATGACCTAAATCAGCGTTTGTGTATTCCAGCCACTGGAATTGTACAAGCATCTTATCCAATAATAATTTATATTGCAGGCAGATATAATTTAAACTCAGTGGGTCAAACAATTCTCAGGAGTATTTGGCGCTTCGATTTTCTAAAAACAGAAATTTCTAACTGAAAGAAATGCCAACATATGCCTTAGGCCTTAGAAATTTAAAAATATAAAAGAAAGGATGTGATAGCAAAAAAAAAAAAAAAAAACCCTCTAAATTACTATTACAAAGATGACCTGTAGACATTCACAGTTATTTCTGGTTGCGGACACAATTTTGGAGAAGATGAATCATCTCCAGGGAATGCGGGAGTTTCACTGACATTGCTGAAGAATTTTAATGATAGTAGACTTTATGAGTCTGGAGATAATTACTTGGCTTTAGTTTACCACCTATATACATAGATGCTTCCCAAATCTCTATCTCCTGCCTGGGATTCTTATGCAATTGACAGAATCATCAAGAAATTCTCATATTACCTCAAATTCAGTGTTCCTAGTATTGGCACGAGAAATAGTCATTTTCCAATGCTACTTAAGAGAGTCTTCCAGTTTATTATTACAGTCTTCTCATAAACCCCTGACTTCCAGTTGGCAGAAGTCACTGAAAAGAAGGACCAGCTCTACAAGAAATATGCATGTTGGATTTCAGGGCAAGGTCCATCTTTGGTGTTTGTTCAGCACTGATAATCTGTGCTTCTCTGGCTTCAGACTCTCATCCACTCCCCACACACCAATCAGTCTCCTTACAGGGGTCTTCAAACTCAATTCCATGAAGCTCTGAGGGTTCTTGGAAGGCACTCCCTTCTACATTCATTCAAATTCTCAATATTTAACACAACGCAAGGCTGCTTCCTTGCTGCAGCCTTGCTTTGTATTAAATATTGAGAATTTCTTGTGAAATTTCATGCTAAAAAAAGTACCTTGAGAAACATACACATACTTTGCTGATACTGGCTGATATCTTGTATTATAAGAACGGCTTTGGAAATGCAGTCTGGGGATTGGAAGCCTGTTTTCTCCTTGAATTCAGATTCGTTTGGACCTAATGATGTCTAACACTCCTTTTCATTTGATTTGATTTGATTTTTATTTATTTATTTTTTTTGAGACAGAGTCTGGCTCTGTCGCCCAGACCAGAGTGCGGTGGCGCCATCTTGGCTCGCTGCAAACTCTGCCTTCTGGGTTCACGCCATTCTCCTGCCTCAGCCTCCCGAGTAGCTGGGACCACAGGCGCCCGCCACCACGCTCGGCTAATTTTTGTATTTTTAGTAGAGACGGGGTTTCACCCTGTTAGCCAGGATGGTCTCGATCTCCTGACCTTGTGATCCGCCCGCCTCGGCCTCCCAAAGTGCTGGGATGACAGGCGTGAGCCACTGCGCCCAGCCCCTCCTTTTGATTTTAATAAGTGAAACCTTTAGCCTTTAGATTGTCTCTTAAACCAACAGGATTCATAGTTCTCCTAGTTTTTCTGTTAATTTGTACTTCATTCACACACTCTTATTTATGGCTTCTTCATCTCCACATAAGTTACAACTGACTTGCTTCTGGCAATGGTATGGGAGATGGCATCTCCCATAGGCCAATCCTTTTACAGATAGCACGGATAGCAAGGATAAACTCAAGTTCAGATATAAAAACCAACTATATGAAGATACACTAGAAGGCAACTCAAAGCTGGCATATTTCTATTAATAGGTATTCATGAATACATAAAGCAAATATAACTGTAGGAAGTAATCTGTATGCGAGATAACAAGTAAGATTTCTGAATGTGCTCTGCCTCCTGTAAATGTTATGAAAATTAGGAGAACATTATCATTATTTCATATCTTTAGGTTAATATTGAAAGTCTTCTGCCATCTGACCAGGTGTGGTGGCTCATGCCTGTAATCCCAGCACTTTGGGAGGCCGAGGCAGGTGGATCATCTGAGGTCAGGAGTTTGAAACCAGCCTGGCCAACATGGTGAAACCTCATCTTTCCTAAAAATACAAAAATTAGCCGGGCATGGTGGTGCCTGTCTGTAGTCCCAGCTACTCAGGAGGCTGAGGCGCGAGAATCACGGTGAGCTGAGATCGTACCACTGTACTCCAGCATGGGGGACAGAGCAAGACCCTGTCTCGAAAATAAATTAACAAATACATAAATGAAAATGAAGTCTTCTGCCATCTGATTTTACCTACATCTCTTACTTTCTGTCCAACTATGCCCATTGAATTCACAGCTCTTGGTGAATAAGGGTCTTTGTCCTCCACTCCAATAAGTCAGTTCAGAACTTTATAAATGAGTTATAGAATAAAAACATTGTAAATCAGCAATATGTGGATTTTCAAAAAGGCTGTTGGGCCCGATTTACTCAGTTATACCCAGATCAATCAAGCTATGACTCTAACCTTACACAGATTCATTTCTCTATATTTCTTTCTTTTATTTTTTTAATCTTCAAAGCCTCTACCTAGTGTTTCCCTCAATCTGCTCTTACTCAGCTGAATCCATCCCCTTCTCTTTCCCTTATACACCTTGAGTTCAGTCCCAAATGCAACCAATAATGGAAACTACTAATATATGGAATATCTAATCAGCTTCACTTTATGCACATCATTTCTAAACCTCATAATAATATTCAGGTTAAGTAGACTTGTACTCATTTTATAGGTAAGGCCCAGAGACATTAACATCCAGATTCAGAAAGTAGCTCAGTTAGCAATGGTACACAGGCCTGCTTGGCTCCAACATCCATTCTCTGTCCAGAGCCTCTCAAAAAATGTCCAACCCTAACACAAATGACAATGGTAGCATTCTTTTGAATGTATCCTTCTTAAAGTGCAATCTAAGAACCATTGTAGGTCCCCAGGTTTCCTTAAGAGAGTCCATTATGTCCTCTCTTTCCAATTATATATGTGTCAGACCATATTTTCTTCATATACTTCAATCAAAACAAAATATCATGACAGACTGAATACAGAAGTATATAGGAGAATGCACTTTTATTCTAGTAAGACAGACATTACAGAGATTTGCAAAAATATAAACCAAGCTACTCTTTTCATTAAATATTTTTATTTGGAAAAATATAGTCAGTTTTCTTATGTTAATTATTTCTAACATATACTGGTTGTATTTTTGTTATTTTAAAGTAAATTAAGTTCTAAGTTAAATTCTCCATTTAAATTAATTATATGGCATATATGGGTAGATATAACTCACATAAACAAAGGCTCTTTGAGGTATCCAATAATTTTTCAGGGTAAAAAGGAGTCCTTAAACCAACAGTTTGAGCCCTCCTGCTTAGACAAGCAGAGGAACTTCTAGATAAATGAATCAACTTAAGCAAAACCTCCTATAAGTAAATTTAAACAATATTCATTGGTGAATAAAAAAATGTAACTGTGACATTTTGCCTTCTCTGGGACTATAGAGTGAGATGACTTGAATTGCATTTCAATATATTGTCCTTGATATGACTCTTTTTTTCATGGCTTAACGTTTCTTATTAGGTGAGGACTTTATGCCTCCACTCCTGTATTAATTCTCTCTATTATTCGCAACGTTTGCTTAATGCGTACCCCTTAAAAACTGTAGCAACATACTTTATTGGAACTATCAGATGAAAGAAAGAAACAAAAATTGTTGACTTTATCTTAAGTGACAGGGGAATTGAGGGTATCAATATCAGTTCTGTCTAGGACAATTAAGCAAACTATTGCCCTACTGTGAAATTACCTTATGTACTGTGTTCAGTCTTTGGTTACTCTGTCCTTTAAGCTTCTTTGCAGGGCTGAATATTATCTTGTGATCACATATACATAGCACATCCATGGGGAATTAGTATGCTCTGCTGTAAGATGCTTAAGTATTCATTTATTGATGACCTTAGAGATACTCAAACACCATTTGCAGTGTCATCAAGCCTACAGTTTTGCCTTTAGAGGCAAAGGACTGTAGCACAAAGGCTCTAGACATTTAGTCTTACATGTAATTTGAAGAAGAAAAAAAGGGTTTTTTTGGACTCAATAACCAGGTGACCAACTTAGAAAATAGAAAGTGAAAAAGTCAGTTGTTCATCCAGATGTTTTCATTTGTGACACTGGTAATGGAAAACGCAAGAAAGAGTATCCGGATGATTGATGGATTTTTTTCACCTTACCTATTGTATTAAAATGTTGTATTGGCAGGAAAAGTAACACAGGTAGAATAGCAGAAAAAAGCAGTTCTAGCTGTGATTCCCATTCACTGCATTACCTTGAATAAGTTATTTTGTATCTCTGGATCTTATTTTCCTTAATTATAAAAATCAAAGGGTTGGCCCCAGCAGTTGCTTCCAGCTTAAGTATTACTGGATTCTGTGAAATACAGCCTTGTTTACTGCTCAAATATTAGATTCCCCATTTCCTAATTATGAAGATGGTTTAACTCTCATAACACCTGTTACAAAGAGAAGAAACTGTACAAAGATATTAAATATCAGGCTCTTGTAGTTCACACTTCATTCTACTAAATGATGACTATAATTCTATCAGTCTTTTTGGGCAAAAAGGAAGTGACTACAGAGACAGAATGAAGTGCAAAGATGAATAATTACCAAGTGAATTAAATACATTTTATATTTCCCTTTCCTTTCTTCAAAGATAATTGCCTTAGCGCTCTCATTCTACTTTGTGTAGACTGGCTAAAATGCCTGATGTGACAGTAAGCTGTTAGCTTTCCAGAGTAGCAGGAACACCTTCTCTTGCATGTCATTTAATCTTCAGCTTCACAATACCATGGGTGGACAACCTAAACATAGAGCATTCTCACTATGTGGTTCCCAGACAAGCAGCATCAGCATTACTTGGGAACTTACTAGAAATGCAAATGCTTGGTTCTACCCTGGACTTACCAAATCAAAGCCTCCATCTGGTATGTTCCCACTGGGAACATAGAACGAGACCCAGAATTCTGTGTTGTAATAAGACTTCCAAGTGATTGTGATGCACACTGAAGTTTCAGAACCTCTAGCAAAGCATTCGAAATCTAGCTCTGTTTTTTACTGTATAAACTTAAATCAATTACTTTAATCTCTTTGGGACTCAATTTCCATATCTATAAACTAGACAGATGTAGGAATGAAATGAGCATATCCTATTGGCTCTAACTCCAAAATATATCTCAAGTCTCTCCATTTCTCTTCCTCTCTTACGTCCTAACCAACAATGTCTCTCACCTGGATATTGGCAATGGTCCGGCTTTTGCTCTTGGTTTCCAATCATCCATTCACCACAAAACAACCTGAGCGGTCTTTTCAAAACATTAATCAAATCGAGTCACCCTCCTGCCTTGAAATGCTGTAATGGCTTCCCATTTTACTCAGAGAATAAAACCCAAACTCTGTGCCTGGCTTACAAAGTACTGCAGTCTGTCACCTTCCCAAGTTTCAAACCTTTGCCCCTTGCTCACTATGATTTAGTTAACACTGACTTCCCTGCTGCATATCAAGAAAGTCAAGTAGTTTTCTGCCTCAGAGTCTTTGCACTTCCTCACCTTCTGCCAGCAATGCACTTCCCCTTGAAAGCCTAGCTCATTTTCATCCTTTAGGTTTTGGGTCAGAGGGCAATTCCCAGACAAGTCTTTCCTGACTACTTCATCTTATGAAATCTTTCTCTTGCTCTCAGCTACTTTCTATCATATCAAATTATTTATTTATTTATTTATTTGAGATGGAGTCTTGCTCTGTTGCCCAGGCTGGAGTGCAGTGGCACAACCTCGGCTCACTGGAACCTCCGCCTCCTGGGTTCAAGTGATTCTCCTGCCTCAGCCTCCCGTGTAGTTGGGACTACCGGCATGCACCACCACCACACCCAGCTAATTTTTATATTTTAGTAGAGACGGAGCTGGTTTCGAATTCCTGGCCTCAAGTGACTCACCCACTTCGGCCTCCCAAAGTGCTGGGATTACAGGCATAAGCCACTGCACCTGGCCAATCAACCTCATTATTTTCTTTATCACTCTTACCAAAAAATAAAATTTCCTAGTTAATTTATTTGCTTAATAGTGCATTTTGGTTAACTTCCAGTAAAATATTAGGTCCTTGAGGGCAGGGATTTTGTCTTGCAGCCATAGTGCCTGATAATGTCTCCCACATGGTAGGCAATAAAAAAAAATTTGTTAAACAAGTAAATAATGTATTAAAGTCATTTTGGAAAATGTTTATCTTTAGTAACAGAGATCCATAGCATTTTACCACTGAAAATAAATCTATTTTTAGGAAGTTTTTAATGCCAAAAACAGACTGAGAAAAGTAGATTCAACTAGACCGTACAGGTTATAGCAAAAACAAATTGGGAAGATGGGGTAGGGTAAAAATGTTCTATCTCTGAACTTGCTTCAGTTCTTCATACATACCAAACATGAGTAGCACAGGGTAACTTAAAGACATGGCTACAGTAGGGACAAACCAAAGGGCAATAGGGCTTCCATTATTCAGACACTGGGAACAATCATCATGCCTAGTAGGCTTTTGAAAGAAGGCAAAATGGTTTTAATGCAAAATGGTTTTAATGCAAGAAGGAAAAAAATTGCCATTTTGCCAACCCTGAATAGGAGTTAGCACACTTCTGGTTGCTGAAGTGGAGAGCTGATGAATGCAATAAACAACCTGGAACCCAAAGAAGCAGGTTTCTAAGCTCAAACCCATGGTTTATAATTCCTAGGTTGTAAGAAATTCTTGTCAACAAAGACAGAATGTTCATGGATAAGTGACTGGGGTACTTTCTCACCTTTTATCATCTACATGGTGATTTTAATTATCATAATTCATTTAAATTGGAGACCTATGCAGCTGGATATTAGGAACACAGCACTGGGAAGACCCAGACCAGAAAAAAGTGAGAGGAAAAAAGATGACAGCCAAGTGCTTATGTATAATTAAGCTCTCCTGTGGCTGTGACAATGAAAACAATTAGATAATTTTTGTCACTGATGTGCTAGATGAGGAAAAACAAAAGAATAAACATAAATGCAATAGCCAAGTGCTGTGGAAGTCAACTGATCTGACAAGTTTTTAACACCAAGCGTGGCTGACAAGTGAGCTAAGGCTGAGTTATCTTCAGAAAGCAGGCAAATTTTATTTTATTCTGCTCTTTTTCCCATGCATGGCTGCAGATAACTCCATTTAAAAAGGAAACATTGTTAGAACCTGATTTTCATCTCCAGGGCAGGATCCCTGAAAAAAACATTTCCCTGCACAGGGCTGGGAGCCAGTGACAAAGTTGATTTTCCATAACAGTAATCCTGGAGTACTGTATTTCCAGTGCAGGAAACCTCTAACCCACAGGAAAGCAGTATGCCGACCCCTGGTTGCAGAAAATTTCATACCAGTTTAACATACTGAGAGCAGGAATTTCAGTTAACAGAAAATCATGAAAGTTAAAATGACTTTATTCAATTAGTTAAGCTACTCAAATAACATTTAGGAACAGCCACCACTGAACTGAAGAGACTATTCAACCAAGAAAAAAGAGAAAATGTTGGCCAATTATCTGAATATTTACAGATTGTTCCTATCTGATATAGAAAAAATAATTATTACATTGGTGAGAAAAACGAGCCCTACACAGTTAAAAATACACAGCCATAGCATCTCACTGAATAAATCTGTAATTTACAGTCTCATGATTTTGCAGTCAGTTAACTGTGGTGTCTTTTGCTTTACAACCCATCAACTAAGATACCAACTATGACAGTTTAAGAGGAAAGCAAAGATTAAATATCAAGTCTGTCATCTGGCATGAGGAGAGTCAGTCCTTTAATATTCTTGAAGACAGACGAATGATAAAAGAGAAGTGCAGATGTATTCAAACAGCTACTGCCCAGCTCATCAAGTGAAGTATTAATACTTTCTACAACTCTGTGTGTTCTCTCCCCTCAGAAGCTGCATCAGGGGAACGTGAGTCCAAAATGAAATGCTGAGAGTCACTTAGGGGAGGTCATTGAAGGCTGGCTCATAGTGGAAATCTCTGCCCAGTTTCCAATCAAGATTTAAAAAATGTTACGTGATTATCGATCAGAATTCTTTGGCCATAGCTTTTTCTTTTATTCCTTCCTTCCTTCCTTTTTCCCTTTCCCTCCCTCCCTCCCTTCCTTCCATTTCTTTCTTTCTTTTTGGAAGGGAGAGCTTTATTAGTCTGCCTGGTGGCCATTCTGACAGGCTAGGAAGCGTAGCCTCCCTTGGCCAGAAGCTGTAAACAGGCACTTCCAAGGAGGAGCAAAGGGAACAAACAGGAATTTGTGCTGAGTGGAATGGCCGAATATACATATTTAATAAGCTACAGGAGGAATCATGGATATTTATGAAAGAAGAAACATGTGCATGTGCAACTGAGTTTCATGGGTTCTGTGTATGAAATATACATATTTTCATATGTACATAAATATGTATATAAATATGAATATATGTATATTTCATACACAGAAGCCATGAATTTATATACATATTCATATGTATATAAATATGAATATACATATTTAATAAGCTACAGGAGGAGTCATGGATATTTATGAAAGGAGAACCATCTGCATGTGCAACCCTTCATGGGTTCCGGGTATGAAAAATGGCAGTATTAGCATCTGAGGGTGGAGGTTTTGGCCCTGTGATGTCAAAAGGTAGACCAGAGGACATGAAACCCCTCACGGCACATCCTCCCTAGAATGACAGAACCATTCTGTGTTGGTGGTCTCTTATCAGGCAAAAAATAAGGGGCAGCATCAGGTGCATGGTTGATGTCAGTGATGGAGTCTTTTCAAAGGGCTAGATTGTGTTTAGCCCTTAGGGAAGAAAGGCTCATTGCGGTTAGCAAGGGAGCAGGTATAACTAGATGTGTCTGACATTACCCTCCCATCATGGCCAAGAACTCATTTTTCAATGTTACTCTGGGCCCCCCCTTAGCCAAGAGGGGTCCCCTTCTGTCTACTGGAGGGCTTAGAACTTCGGTCATATCTTAAAACCAAAATGCTTTGGAAGAAGAATTAGTGAAATAAATAGACTTTTGTGGGATCAATTACTGCAAGAAATAAGAACATTTAAAGCTTTTGCTACAACTTGCCCTACAGAACTACTCTCATCATTTTAATATGCATTGTTGTTTGTTTAAACCATTCTTAAATAATTATCAATCTATAGTATTTGTTTTCTGTATCCCAGACAGATGGGATTCTGGCATGCTCCAATTTGGCAGAACTCAGTTTGCTTTCAAAATGCCTATCCAATGAAATCCTTTTCGAGATTTCAAATCAGTATCCTAACAGGGTTTCCAAGATGGTCTCAATAATGACCATGTGCTAGTGGTTTTACATTTATATTGTTTGGATCAATGCTGATGATTTGATTGGAATAGGAGCAGCTGCACATAAAAAGTCTTTGGGGTGAGAGAGATTTGTCACGTTCCACTCTGATAAGAACTAAATTTGGACAGTGTGCATTTTGAAATGTTCATGGTACCACATTAAATTGCTAACAAATAGGAGCAATTACAAAAGATTAGCACAAGCCTCAAATCAAAATTCTAATGAAGAAAAGCACAGAGCTTAAAAAAAAAAAGATAAATCAGGAGTAGGAATAATAAAACGTTTCCTGTGTCAGGTTTACAGCTTGATGCAAAGAGGAAAAACAGACTTCTTTGCAAGTGTGTTCACACTAATACCCATCCTCCAAACACATCAGCCTAATGTCTTCCTCTCTGCTCCGTCAACACCCTTGCCCCCCACCCTCACTCTCCACACCCAGAATCAACCAGGGCTGATTATGGAGCAAACCATGAGTTTCACACAGTCCTATTCTGCACCATCTCTCCCAAAATGCCTGAATGCCTCTCAGCTTATGATTTCAATATCAGGAAGTTCTGTAGCACTATAAATGATAAACTGAAATCATACACTTACCATAGAAAGTTAGCTGTCCCCTTGCTACATTTTTCCCTCTGGAATTTTCAGCTACACATTCATATAAACCAGCATCCTCCTGCTGAAAATTAGGGATCTCAAGAATTCCATTTGACTTGTGTCTTCTGGCTTTCCTTGCTATTGGCTTTCCATCAGCTCTTCGCCAGATAATAGTTGGTACTGGACTGATAGCAAGAATAAAAAGGAGTGAATCAAACTAGAGAAAACTGGACCTTTTATCTGAACCTAAACGCTTCCTTCTTGGTTCTACACATATAAGGTTGGGTGTTTTGCAAACTTCATTCATTCCTCTATCTCCATTATAACTTTAATCATATCCACATCTCTAGCATTACTTATTTAGTGTTCTTAAAATCAAATAACTTTTCTTAACTTTCAATAAGGTGATCTGGCAGGGTGCAATGGCTCACATCTGTAATCCTGGCACTTTGGGAGGCCGAGGCGGACAGATCACTTGAGGTCAGGAGTTTGAAACCAGCCTGGCCAACATGGTGAAACCCCGTCTCTACTAAAAATACAAAAAAATTACCCGGGCATGGTGGCAGGTGCCTGTAATCTGAGCTACTCAAGAGGCTGAGGCAGGAGAATCACTTGAACCTGGGAAGCGGAGGTTGCAGTGAGCCAAGATCGCACTACTGCACTCCAGCCTGGGCGACAGAGCGAGACTTTGTCTCAAAAAAAAAAAAAAAAGTGATCTATCTCCTATACAATATCATCATTGAAATAAAAACAGATTTTTATATGTTATATATGTTTCCTCATATGTTTTTTGCTTTTCTTTTTTTTTTAATATATTTTTTTTTATTTTGAGACGGAGTATCACTCTGTCACCAGGCTGGATTGCAGTGGCGCAATCTTGGCTCACTGCAACCTCTGCCTCCTGGGTTCAAGTGATTCTCCTGCCTCAGCCTCCCAAGTAGCTAGGACTACAGGCGCCCGCCACCATGCCTAGCTAATTTTTGTATTTTTAGTAGAGACAAGGTTTCACCCATACATGTTTTTTTCTAAATAAAAAATATGAAAATAAAAATGTTCATGTGCATTTGTGGCAAATTAAAGATAGCTGCAAATTCTTTCACATTCCTCCCATTGAGATGAGGTCTATGGCCCCTCCCCTTGAATCTGGTAGCGCTTTTTAACCACTTTGACTAATAAATAAGACAGAAGTGATGTTGCAGGATCAAAGCTCAGGTGTTAAGAAACTGGCAGCTTCTGCTTTCTGTCTCATGGCAGCCCTGAGCTGTCCTACGAGAAGAGTGAATACCTTGAGACCGCCAGGAAGGAGAAGCCGTACGTAAGGCTTCCAGATAACAGTCTCAGTGACACCAGCCTTCCAACGTCCCCAACAAAATACCAGAAATGTGTGTGAGACTCTTGTGAGCTTTCTAGACCAGTTCATCTGTCAGCTAAATACTACTGAAAGACCTGAAGGATGCCACTAAAAGCAAAAGAATCAGCCAGCCAAGCCCTGCCTGAATTCTTAACCCACAAATTGTAAGATATAATAAAATTCTGGTGTTCCCTCTAAGTTGGTTATGTAGCAATAGATAACAGAAACAATATATTTCCATAAATCTATGTACCAACAATGCAAGTGCCCTACTTTGAGAAATATCCAAATAATGAATAAATGATAGTAGAAATAATGAGCTCATAAAATTTGGGAGACACAACCTATTGCTGACATACAGGAAGGGTTCACTCAAGGTACATTCTTTTGGACAACATGGTTTTTCTCCTTGTCATTTATATATTGAGAACCTTACCAACTTACAGCAGTCCATTTGCAAGATGGGTTGGGGAAACTTCGCTTAAAATAGTGAGAGAAAGAAAGATGCCATCTGTGAGGTCTTTATGTACTCTCAAGGCATCTATCATCCTACTGCCATAACTGTTGGAACAAATCTTAAATTGCAGAGAGGGCATCATTGAATCTGCAAATCAATGGTTTAGTGAGCTAACCACAGCTTTTAAGATTGTGGCTGCCTGGCAGGGGATACAATTATTTACTTATTTATTTTTCACAAATACACACACAGAGAAGTAATTAGACTAAAGACTTGCTAATCTTCTCTGGGAAACCTGAGATGGTATTTAAAACATTAAAGCCATCAACTCTACTATATTTGTTTTAGAAGAATTTAAGTTCGTTAGACAGACACTAACTCAAAATGCAGAAAAGGTCTATGAAAAGTACATAATCGGTGTCTTTATACTGATGAGATATGCACTTAATATATGCCTTTAAAAATAACCATACTGAGATGTAGTCTTCCTGCTCTTAAGTGGGCAGTGATGATGTGTTTCAGCAGCTGGATGTGCATACCCAAACATTTCTGTGTAGACTGAAGAAGCCAATTTGGGATTTTTGTTTTTATTCCAGCACTATTCAAACAGTGTGAATAGAGTTTAATTCATAACCCCC
Organism: Homo sapiens; assembly: GCF_000001405.40. Classification (NCBI taxonomy): domain Eukaryota; kingdom Metazoa; phylum Chordata; class Mammalia; order Primates; family Hominidae; genus Homo; species Homo sapiens. Next base: position 2,884,778 of record NC_000003.12, on the reverse strand, counting down.
TTTGAAGTGTGAACAACGTGAATTCTGCTCTTTTTCACAGATGATTTTTCAAGGTGTCATCTTAAAAAATTCATCAAATGTATATCTAGACTACCCAGTTACCTGCTCTCATCTTTAATTTCATATATATAAATGCTTATACACAAATACTTTAAAATAAAAATAAAAAGTGTAATCATATTATCCTGTTAGCAATCTGCTTTTGTTCTCTTAGCATGGGCATTTTCTATGTCTTAAATGTTGTTTTGCAACTTGACTTTTAATGTCTGTAGAGTGTTCAATCCTATAATTATGTCTTAATTTATTTAATATGATAAGTTTTCAGGACATAAAAAATTACCACTGCATTGTACTGTACCAAAGTAAAGATACGACTGTAGCTTATTTGTCACGACTTGAAAACACATGGAAACCAAAACAACCTTTCTATTAGAACCGACAATAAAATGGAAAAAGGAACCTCTTCTATGATTGCTGTAAAACACAAAAATCATAAGAAAAGAGATTACACGCTGATATAAGGATTGGTGGAGTTAGTGTTGCCTGGCTCAGTGGCTAGGGACTATAATCCCAGCACTTAGACGAGCAAAGGTGGGAGGATTAGTTGAGGCCAGGAGTCCAAGACTAGCCTGGGCAACATACGCAGATCCTGCCTCTACCGAAAAATAAAAAAAAAAAAAGTTACTGTTGTTGCCTTAGTCAACATTTGGGCGCAGGAAAAAGAGAGTTAGTAATGGATTCGTCAGATAGATGGGGCTGGGCATAAAGATTGACACGGATCATTAAAATCCAAAGAAGATGTCAAAATTCTCACTTCAGATAATAGTTTATACTGTTTATGCCAAATCTTTATTGCTGGTTACTGGCAAATAAAAATCCCAAATGATGTGCATTTCATGTTCTTTATGCTGTCTGATATATTCTGTAAGGAAAAGTTAGCTAGTTTAGAAGTAGGCTTTTCTCAAGGAAGTCCACACTGAATAATAAAGTTGTAAACAATATTTGGACAACTTTGTAAAACAGACTCTCTTAGAGAACAACACGTCTTACCTATCTCTAGCCAGAGGAGAAGGAAATCCAAAGTAGAGAGAAGAGACTGAGAGTTTAAAAAGAAATTCAAGAAAAGTCTGATGCATCCTCTATAAACTGGGGCCAAAATGAAAGTCCGTATTTTTCCACATAGTCAGCTTAACTGTACCTCAAGTGGAGGCCATTGTTTTCCTGTCATTCTGGGTTAGACAGCATGCACATTACAGGTCATGATAATAGAACAAAATACTTTTTCAGAATTGCCCATTCTCCTTTCCTTTGTGGTCATGTCAGTTGTGGCAGCCTAATCCTTCTTGCACCATTACATGTCCTCTCTCCATGGTGAGGGGCAGAATCCAAGATGCATACACAGAATTACAAAGAGAAAGGCTTCACTTGCTTTTCCGTCACCTCAGAAACCATCGCTGTGAACAGTGCAAGAAAAACTCTATACCTGCTCAAGCTGAAGGGAGGATGAGAAGGAACGCAAACCAGAACTTACTTTCCTAAAGCAAAGCATTCCAGCTTCACCGTTGCTCCTTTTGCAGTCGGAACTGTTTCTGGGAACTGCACTTCTATTTTGGGCTCATATTCACCCATCACTCCTGTGAATAAATAAAGGGGCTAAGTCTTGGAGATTCTTTTAAAATGTATAAAATGTAAAACTCATTTTTCTGTTAATGCAGAATGCTTATACACATCATTATGTGCACAATTAATTCCTTCATTTAAAGCAGGTCCTATCTCCAGCAGTCATGAATTGTGGCTCTTCTCCCAGTTACTGCTACAGAAAAATTTGTGTCGCAGAACCACACCATTTGCCTGGATTAAATTCTCCATGCATACAACTTTGCCCCTCAAAAGTATTGTTTTAAGGTAGTCTTAAGGAAAAAAAGGAGAAGGGGATGAAGTGCTAGTCATCAGGAAAATTAAATTATCTCTTTGGAAGTATACTGCAGAAAAATTTGTAAGATTTATTAATAAAAGTACTCAAAAATACCTGCATGCTTAATTATGTCTATATAATAAAATAATTCTTCTGAGTAATCATTCTGTGGCCACAACTTTTACTTTCATTTCCAAGGCCAATATAAATGAATCATAAATTAGTATATTCAAGGTAACATCAAATGCCTGTATTTTTATTACATTTTGGACCTGTGAAAAAAGAATAACAAGATACAGCTACAGAAAACATTTAAGTTACACCTACCTTGCCAATGGCACACTTATTTGGAGGGTCATATTCTCCCACTTTTCCTATATCCCGGAAAATGACTCTACAATTATGCCCAAGGTAACACAGTCTAACAAACTAAGTCCATGCTTTGCAATTAAATACTTATCAGTTATTTCTTTCTTCCTTTTTCTTTTTTTTTTTTTCGAGACGAAGTCTCGCTCTGTCACCCAGGCTAGAGTGTGGTGGCAGGATCTTGGCTCACTGCAATCTCTGCCTTCCGGGTTCAAGCGATTCTCCTGCTTCAGCCTCCCCGAGTTGCTAGGACTACAGTTGTGCACCACCATGCCCAGCTAATTTTTTTGTATTTTTAGTGGAGACGGGGTTTCACCATGTTGGCCAGGCTGGTCTCCAACTCCTGGCCTCAAGTGATCCACCTGCCTTGGCCTCCTAAATTGCTGGCATTACAGGCATGAGTCACTGCTCCTGGCCTTATCAATTATTTCTTATCAATACATGCTTGACTCAATTTGCCACTGCTCTAATTGTTCTAATACATTTATTCTTATTCCATCTCTGATCAGTTTTTATGATCTTTGATTCAACTGTGCCCATAAAGAGTTTGGAATTACCTGGCTTACTATAAAAAGATAGGGCTCTCCATTTCATCTCTCCTTTAGGCTTCCCATAGTCAGAGGAAAAAGAGACTGAACCTTAGAAGGAAAGGTTAAAGACAAAAAATGGATGGGGGACAGGTGCAATCACAAAGAGAAATGATTTCACTCACTGGATGGGGGACAGGTGCAATCACAAAGAGAAATGATTTCACTCACTGGATGGGGGACAGGTGCAATCACAAAGAGAAATGATTTCACTCACTGGATGGGGGACAGGTGCAATCACAAAGAGAAATGATTTCACTCACTGGATGGGGGACAGGTGCAATCACAAAGAGAAATGATTTCACTCACTGGATGGGGGACAGGTGCAATCACAAAGAGAAATGATTTCACTCACTTCGCAGAGGTGGGCCCTTGCCTGTTTTTTTTTTTTTTTTCTTGAGACTGAGTCTTGCTCTGTCGCCCAGGCTGGAGTGCTGTGGTACAATTTTGGCTCACTGCAACCTCCGCCTCCCGGGTTCAAGCAATTCTTGTGCCTCAGCCTCCCAAGTAGCTGGGACTACAGGCACGTGCCACCATGCATGGCTACTTTTTGTATTTTTAGTAGCGATGAGGTTTCACTATGTTGGCCAGGCTCGTCTTGAATTCCTGACCTCAGGTGATCTGTCTGCCTCGGCCTCCCAAAGTGCTGGGATTACAGGCATGAGCCACCGCACCCCACCGAGGTGACCCTTTTCATCAGCCATTTCAGAGTTTGAGAAGCATCAAGAGGATCTCCTCAAACTGTGAGAAACAGAATCAACCCTGGGTGTCTGATGACTTACAGTCTAGCTAACTTTGCTATAAAGTATGTTGTCAATAGTGCAAACTCGAACATAATAGTTCTTCTTCTTGTTTTCATTTTTCTTCCTTTCCTGGAATGATGAGGAGTGTTGGATTTGGAAGGGACCTTTGATATCATTTGGTTCAGCAACCTTAATCTGGGTATTAATTTCCTCCTGGATGCACATTTTTCTAAAGAGAGGATCCACGGCTAGCAACCTATTCTTGAAGGGACGCTTATCCCTCCATAGGTTAAAAATCACAGTTCTAATCTATCCCTTTCTTTTACAAGCAAGGCTGTAATCTCAAGAGTTAAACGGTTTATCTTTAGTCCCACAGAAAACCAGTCGGTGTTGAAACTCAGGCCCCTGACTCCTCATCTTAATCTCTTACGAAGGCCTCTCACCACGAAATGAATAACACTACAAAAGTAGGTTCAAATACATTACACTCATGCTTGACATGTTCGGTTACAAAATTATTCCTCCTTTCTGGGCTAGCCTCTGCTGTCTGAGTTCTCTTGCCCCTGAGTCTGGGCTGGCCTTTCTTTCAGCATCTGCACAAAGCTGGCCTGGTAAAGACTCAGTGCATACTCACAACAACATTCACACACAGCTGTTGAACTTGCTAACAAACAGCCCGTACCGTTGAATCATCATCCCATAAATATCAGTAGTATGACTTTGAGCGCAGTGAGCAAGTTAACACCTTTTAGTGCTGTGTATATGGCTGTATACTCTGAGAGCAGTGTTAATTAAAAAGAATTGCCTTGAGAGAAGGAGGTCTTTCGTCTTCCCAGGAAATCAAGACAGCCTGCCTTGCAGTGTATCATGTGTTAGAGGGAGATGAGACAATAAGGTTAGAATACAAAAGCCAAGGAGGTCTTAGAAGTGGTCAGGTTTTTTCCCAGCCTCTCTCTGTCTATAAATATCACATATAAAATTGTGTTTATTTAATCTGATCATGAAAATTCCACCAAGGAGCAAATATATGTCACACAACCTTGTTTGAAAGAACTAAAATATCACTGGCAACGCAGAGATGCAATGTCCCAGATCCCTGAACTGTTATCTCCGCGTCCTAAAATCCTATCTATTTAGGCCCAAACTGAACATTTTCTCTCCCAGAATCCTTTACCTACTTACTGCCTGCCTTTCCCTCTCCTCTGTAGGCCCTACTCTCTAGCCCACAATGGTCTTTAAATGACCCAAATGATAAAAACTTCTACCTTTGTCTGTTTCCATTGATAATTTTTTTTAAAAAACAAGTTTTTAAGGTATAATTTACATACTAAAAAGTGCACCAATTTTAAGTGTGCAATCCAATGGTTTTTAGCAGATTTGCTGAGTCATGCAACTATCACCACAATCTAGTTTTAGAACATTTCCATTACCCCAGTAAGATCCCTCATGCCCATTCACAATGAATCCCCATTCCCAGTCTCAGCCCTGGGAAACCTCTAATCTGCTTTCTGTCTCTGTACATTTGCTTTTTTTCTGAATATTTCCTATAAATTAAATTGTGCAATATGTGGTCTTTTGTGCCTGGCTCCTTTCATTGAACATAGCGTTTTCGAGATTGATCGATGTTGTAACAGGTACCAGTAGTTTGTTCCTTTTTATTGCAGAATAATATTCCACTGTAGGATATGCCACATTTTCCTTCTCCATTCGCTGGTTGTATTAGTTTCCTAGAGATGCTTTAACAAAGCATTACAAACTCAGTGGCCCTAAGCAAAAGAAATTTATTCTCTTACAGTTCTAGAGGATAGAAGTCATAAATAAAGGTGTTGACAGGGCCATGCACCCTTTGAGACTCTGGGCAGAATCCTTCCTACCTTCTGGTGGTAGCTGTCAATCCTTGGCATTCATTGGCTTATAGTCATGTCAGTCCATCTCTGCCTCGGTTGTCACGTGACATTCTTTCTGTGTATGTGTGTCTTCCCATTGTGTTCTTAGAAGGACACCAGTCATATTGGATCTATGGCCCATCTTACCCTACCATGACCTTATCTTTACTGATTACATCTACAATGACTCTATTTCTAAATAAGGTTACATTCAGGGGCACTGGGTATTAGGACTTCACCATATCTATTTGAGGGACAAAATTCAACCCATAACACCAGTTGATGGGCATTTGGGTGGCTTCCACTTTTAGCTATTACCAATAATGCTTCCATGACCATTTACTTGCAAGTCTTTGTGTGGGCATATTCTCATGCCCACACCAAGTAGAGTTATTCTCTACTACTGTCTTGCTTGCTTCATGTTACTTATCACAATTTATAATTCTCTTGTTTATTCATGTGTTTAGTGTCTGCCTTCCATTTAGATGGCAAAACATATTACACCAAATAATGCGTCTGTCTTTTTCATAGCTATATTCCTAACTTCCACTGCAGGCTCTTCACTTGTAGGTGTTCAGTGAGTAACTACTGACATAAAACATTTTACATATAAACTTCAGGGTACCTCTTAAATAGCAATGCTGTTTTCTATCATCTTTATAGCTAGCTAGCTAGACAGACAGACAGAAAGACACACACACACACACACACACACACACACACACACAGAGAGCATCTCTTCTGTTGTTCTCTTACCTGCTTTAGGGATAGAAATTCTTCTCATTTTTTTCTGTATCCTTCACAAATCTTAGCCCAATACCAGTAATATGGGAAAAAATGTGATGGGTAAGGATTTGTTGAAGGGAGGAAAAGATGTAGGAATGCAGTGTTTATGCTGTGATATATAATAGCCATTAAGTCAAACATATACTTCTTTCCAGGCATAGAAGTCATTTATTAAGTATAATTATAGCTTCTAGTACAAGTTCACTCACTTAAGATCATTCTTTACTAAAATGATCTGTATATGTTGTTTATCTAGTCACACAGAGTGAGTGATTTCTGGATTGATACACAGTGATCCATATTTATGGCTACAGGAACGTGAATAACAGAGTCATCAGTAATAGATTAATGTGTATATATGGCAGTAGTACAGTACATAAAGAGAAGGATCAGAGATAGAATGGCATCATTTCACTGCTGTTTAAAAATTTTTCACTGTATATAAAGATTGGCCTAGTATTAAAGTCATAAAAACAAGAGAAGCAATTTTCTTCAACAATATTATGAACATCGTTTTGGAACACCTGTGAACTGTTCCATTTAATTTGGTTACAACTAGCACAGGATATGTTGTTATTTGACTAATTTTTTTATTTTAACTATTTTGGCCTTTACTTTCTGCATTAAATTTAAAAGCTGTTTCCTTTTTTGTTTTGTAAGAAATGAAAGGCCCCTTAAAATAAGAGTGCATTTATCAAGTCATTCTGCTGACCACCTGTACGCTTTTGCAATTAATTGGTGCACAGCTGCTCTAGTGATTTACAGAAGTAGGCTAAAAGAGTGCGAACATTGATGGAATTGCTCCAGAACCCCCTTTTCATCTTCGAACTATTAAAAAAGGTGGGAAGATGTAAAGACCTACCCAGGTCTACACAACCAAGGCAAAGTAGAAGTAAGGAACACATATAATTTAGTCTAGTTCAACCAAAATATACAACCTCAGCCATACTTTTCTGCTATATGAAATACATGATTTGCCTGTAAAGACAACTCTTGCTTTCAAATCTAAATAAAAACACCTAACATAATTTTATGCATAAAGTAAAAATGTCTTAATTCATTATAATTCATTGCCAACGTTTTATATTCTTTGGAGTAAGAGAGATACAACAATAGTAATGAAGGTTACGGCACTTGAAATTCCATATATCAAAGTCTTTAGAAGACAGGGGCTTAGTTGTATTAATATTCCAATAAATTAAATAAGTAAATATTCATTTGACACCAATAATAAGCCATATGCAGTGCCCACAAATGGGGGCACACTGTGGTAACACAGATCTGATCCTTATATTCATGACATTCATAGGCTACTCTTTTTCAGCACATGGCTTAGTAATGGGGCACATGCAGGCAATAACTGTTTATTGAATAACCAAAAGAGGTGATTTCATGAGGAAGACACGGTTGGCAGTTCTTAAGTATTTTTCCTAAAACAATGGTTCTCAAACTTGAAATCAACTGAAAGGCTTGAGTTTCTGATTTAGTAAGTTGAGATGCAGCCTATGAATTTGCAATTTTAAGAAGTCCAAGGTGATGTTGATGCTGCTGGTCTGAAGAATACACTTTAAGAACAACTTTCCTAACTATGAGCAAAAGCAAGAAGTTCCACCTAACATTAATAAACATATCTTAAGGGCTAGTCATTGGGAGAGTACTAGCAATGGAGTCCCAACTTGAGGGACCAAGTCCATCCAGAGTCTGGACTCTGTAGAAGAACTTGTGGCAACTGTATCTCCTTCAAAACCTGGACAATTATTAAAGTTGATGCTGATGTCTGTAAGAACACAGAATTTAACAAAACAACTGGCAATTTAGAGAATATGAAAGAGAAATCAGCAACACATCGTGCTTGTTTAAGTACAATTTGCAGAGACTCTGTTGGCAGAAGGAGACCAGTTTGCAGAGTTGCGTGCCATAAGATTTTTGCCAACACCTGCCTTAGCTGGCATCTGTGCTTACTAAATTTAACTACAGAAGGGACATTTACTAACTTCCACAGAGTGGGATTTTCTCCTGAAAAAAAAAGGCAAAAATTGTTTTATGAAAAGTTCCACATTGACTTTCTTGAGAAACAAGTCATATGATGTATATATCACTAACCTAAAAACATTTGGAAATATCCAATTAGTCACACAAATTCACCTGACTGAGTTTACCATTTTGCCCTTTTGAAAAAAGGCATGTTTTCCCCTGGGTTGAAGGAGATATATGTAGTCTAGTGGACTGTCCAAGTTATCTTCTCTACCACCACCACCATCCAGTAGGTGAATTCCCAGAGTATGGGGCAACAACTGTTGAGACAAGAACCTCCCCACTGCTGAACAGGAGAGGCAAGGTATCTCAAGGTGTCACATCACCTCTTACAGTCAAGGTTTTAAGGTGTCCTCAGAAACCTGTGAGAGATGAAAATAAATCTTATGATTTGACTTTAATCAAACCTGCACCACCTTCCTTCCTTTTCAATATTGAAAATGCAGAGATAACCTTTTTCAAGAAGACTGTCTCATTTAAAGGCAGAGAGGCCAAATACCTCTGCTTGCGCTGGACGGTACTGGTTTTCCTGAATTCCTGAAGTAATGAGCTAATAGTTTCCAGTTTGGGCAATTAGTTATAATGTCATCTTTTAAGCCAATTTTCACCTTCCTTCAAGGAAGTACTCCTATGTTTTTCCTACTAAAAAGTTATCCATGTATCCATGTTGTATTGAACTAAACACTCTATCTCTGTACGTGTTGGTCCCAGTTCAAGTCTTTGGAGCCACAAATAACAAGTATTTTAATGGACAGTCTTCAGATATTTAATGATATCATTTTGTCAAGGGTTAACAAAGTTTTTTCTGTAAAAGGCCAGAAAATAAGAATTTTATCTAGGTTTTGTGGGCTATACAGTCCCTGTTACTGCTCAACTCTGCCATTGTAGCTGGAAAGCAGCCATGGCCATAAGGTAAACAAATGGGAGTGGCTGTGTGCCAATAAAACTTTATTTACAAAAATAGGTGGTGGGCCCATAAATACTAGTTGGCTGATCCTTGGCTTAGAGGAAATGCAGAAGATAGCAAAGTTTGAGAGAATCAATAGAATCAACAGACAAATTATTAGAACTACAAGAAATTTCAGCAAGCTTGCCAAATACTGAATCACAAGAATAACAGTACCTTCCATATATAAGCAACAACTAATTAGATAATGTGATTAAAGATAAGATACAACTGTCCGGGCATGGTAGCTCACATCTGTAATCCCAGCAGTTTGGGAGGCCGAGATTGGAGGATCACTTGAGGTCAGAAGTTCGAGACCAGCCTGGCTAACATGGTGAGACCCTGTCTCTACTAAAAATACAAAAATTAGCTGGGTATGGTGGTACATGCCTGTAATCCCAGCTACTCGGGAGGCTGGGGCAAGAGAATTGCTTGAACCTGGGAGGCAGAGGTTGCAGTGAGCTGACATCGCACCACTGCATTCCAGCCTGGGTGACAGAGACAGACTCTATCTCAAAAAACAAACAAACAAAAACAAACGGATAAGCACAACTTACTGTAACAGCAAAAATGATAGAGAATCTAGGAATTAGCCAAGAATACCCAACATTTCTATAGAAAAATTATTTACAGAAACAGGCCACAGGCAAGGTTGGCCTGTGGGAAAGAGTTTGCCAATTCCTAGTTAAAACAAATAATCTGCCTGCTGCCTGGAATTATTTATTTTATCTTAGATTGTCTGACTCTTCATGGAAGTTTGGGTTGATTCCCAAGACCAGGCCCGGTTTCTTCACCCTTAAGCTGTGATTCTACACCTAATTTCCCTGTACACTTCACTGCTCCAAGGTAGTTCTTACCAAAATTGAAACTGAAGTGAATCTGCTTTAATTCTCTATTCTCCCCTGAGTATGGCCCCACTCCTGCTTCTAACTGCAATTAGGCTTCTCAGCCAGGCTATAATCCATGAGGGCAGAGAAGGACTTTTGCATCTCTAGAGACAAGTAGAGAACAGATACTCAATGAGTATTCGTTGGTTAAATGCATGATCAAAAGAATGCCCCAAGTCAACTCAATTCTAGGCTAAACACCTCTGCTTCCCTCTTTCATTTCAAGTCCCTCTATAAATGTATTATTCAGAACTCAATTCAATAATTCCAGTAAAGAATGAAACTTTAGACCCTTCATTAACTTGGAATTCTCTAAGACTGTAGGTTCCCACAGGCTGAAATCATGTCTTTTTATTTCATAGTGTGCCACACACAACGAGCACTTAACAGATGCTTTCTAACTGAGTAGCCAAATGGCCATCCAAGACCTTTAGCCCCCATGGACCTGAAATGGAATTGGCTATGCTAGAGGTCTAAAGATGACTGCCAAGTTCCTAAGCTTGTCAAACCTTCAAAATACACAGAGCCATTAAGATGCTATTAAATCAGATTAGCAATGGCAGTTTAGCAAAATATCTCACATCCTTTAGTCATTTAGATGTTCTCCTCATAAAACATGTTTTACGCCCACAGATCCTCAACTGCGATGTTGTCAGAGAATTAAAATCAAGACATGATTGCTGTGACAAAACCACACAAAGGTTGCAATTAGAAGTGAGAGTAAAATAAAGCAGTGTTTTGGTATAAACTCTAGATCTTAAATAATATAAAATTATGTCTAAGTGGAAGGCATATCTCTACCTGTTGCCTGTCTAAATGCCAGGTCTTCAATAAAGGGTTGTAGATCACGTCTCCAATCTAGAAGAGATCTCCTAAATGACTGGGTTCAAAAACCCACTAGGTTAATTAAGTGGCCTACAAATAAAGCTCCCTTTTCATGAAGAAAAATAGTGGCTGTTGATGCCCAGTTGAGGATCTAATGTAGCATGGAGCAGTATTAGGAAAGTTTACAGTGACCAGTTGGCAAGACCATAATGGAGGATGCATGATGCTGCAACAAGAATATTTCAGAATCTTTTAGTTTTCTGCTTTCTATTTTAAAGGTCTCCTTTGGTCTTAAATTTAGAAGTTTGTGGGGAATGTAGTCTTCTGAGCCACTAGGAGGTATAATGGTCACAGAGGTGAAGGCTCACAAAATGGCGCACTGTGGCCTGAAAGACTGAATGCACCTAGTTTTCTGCAGGGATCAGCTGTCAGCATTGATGAGAAATCGGATTCAATGAGCAGCATCTGTCTGTTAAACCTGATATTATCTGGCTTGGGCAAATGTTGAGATTGGAGTTAAGTAGGCTAGAAAGTTGTGACTGGAATCCTTGAAGACAAGAAGAAGAAACTTTAGATAGAACTTATTATAAATCACCCATTTTGCATAGCTGAGAAGACTAAGGACCAAAGAAATGGTAATGATTTGTCTTATGAGAGCTGCTGGTACGTCTGGGACTATACTCCAGAATCCCTTTACTTGCCCTCTTGACTTTAGTCCTGGACATGACTAAAAGTTGTGAAACTGAAGGATGCTGAGGTCATCGTTTGGGCTTTTTCCTACTGGGTGAAAGCTTGATTTAAGATGAGAAGATTAAATACTTCAATGCTGCTCTTATTCACTGTTTTTCATGGCTAAATTAGGCTGTGAAAAATGAGTGAGGACTTGGGAAAACATGGTCAGGTATTTCAGTTATATTTGAGAACATACATAAACATTTTAAACATTTTAATTTTATACTGAAGTATAATAAACATTTAGAGAAGTTAACTTTACATTTGAACCCCCAAAGACAATATATCTGGTTTATATATACATACCTATATCCAAAATGTATATGATTAACAATGTATGTAAATATAGAAATGGAGGAGAGAAAGGGAAAGAGAGACAGAGTACAGAGAAAGAGAGAATTTGAAACTCTAAGATAGGATAATCTCATTGTTCCTTGTTTTGTAGCATCTCTTCTATGTGGAGTTCCAATTCGGGTTAATATTCAAAAATATTTAACAATTACTGTGCAATGCATGGACCTATCAGACAGACACAGGCTATAAATTGCTCAACATTCATCTTTGTTCTAATAAGCAAAATTTAAAAAACAAAACAAAACAAAAAAAAAACCTTCCAAACCTTCCAAACCAGTCCCCAACCAGTCTCCAGGAAAACAGAAAAAAAGGCAAAGGCTAAACAATGAATTTTCATGCTAAATGATTTCCCTGTGTGTGTAATGTAATGTGCATAAACAGTGTAACAGACATTATCTCATCTTCTCAAGACTGTCCTAATCTCTGCTAATTCTTTTCATCTTAAGCCATTTTAGAGAGAGCCATGTAAGTGGCTAAAGACAGAAGAGCCAATATGATTATCATCGAAGGCTACTATTTCTTTAGTAGTTATGCTATATGAGTGGTCTGTTACCTTTGTTTATGGAAATTTAGGGATAACTCTTTGAGATCTGTGCAGGAAGCATATAACAGAGCAGGCTCATCACTATTTATAACCAACAGCTGTGCTAATAAGGATCAATGGACTACTTTAGTACCTGTACTAATAATAACCATGATGTATTCTTCCCAATTATACTTTCTCCCTCTCATGGTTCCTAAGCAACAGGTGTACTTTCCCAAATCAGTTATCTTCTCAAAGCAGATTTAAAAATATCTGGATAAATAACTATAAACTCTGATAAAATCTGTTCTCACATATATCTACCAACTCATATTTTTATGTGTCCCAGAAGTGAATACTGCAAAGTAATATAGTTATTTGAAATAATTCTCACTATAAAATTATCAAAAATTATAAAGCAAAAGAAACGAAGCAAATGTCTAAATCTAGAGCCCAAACAGCCTTTTCTGAACCTCAGTGAAATAATATGATGATCAGGGACCAGGAATCTGTCCTGATGCCATTTTTCTTATCCGAATTCTCTGATCTTCAGTTCCCTTGTTTCTCAAAAAATAAAGATATAAAATTGCATGATCTCTAAGTGCCTATTAGGTCCAATAATCTTTATCAAACAATGTTCTAAAAATTTGAAAACTCTATGTTTTAGAAAAGTGAGAAAAATAATGACAAGCAAAAAGAAAAAAATAAATCAAAATTTACCACTAAAAGTTAAACCCTTTAGAGTTTAACATCGTTAGTCACTTTGGAGAGTATTATTCCACTTTTCCCTGTCATTATCCACTATTTTAAAAAAGAAGAATAATATGATCTATACACTATAGTAATCTGTCTTTTAAAAATATAATTTGTTGAGCATATTTTAGGTAAGAAAGTTATTGATGATATACTTCTGTTTTGTCACTGTTCAAAGTACTTTCAATTATGACACATAAAATAACTATCTGAGGTAGATGTTGTTACCCTTATCTTACTGATGAGAAAACTAAGTACAATGAGGTTAAACTGACACATTCAAAGCCACGTGGCTAATAAATGGTGGGGCTGAACTCTGCCTGGACTGCTTGGCTTCGGGATCCTCATGGCTTGTGTCCTTACCTCCTGGCCCCACATAGGAGACATCATCTGAGATGTAGGAAGGAGTGAGCCATGTGAAGAGCTGGGGAAAAGGGAACAGGGAGCCCCAGGGTTTTGCAGGACTCGGGTGAGTGGTAAATGGTCAGTGAACAGACATGAGACTCATCACACCTCATTTGTATTAGGAACTGAGCCAAGGTTCACTGTTCAACTTTTATGACTCACTGTGGCCTTTTGGGTACAAATAAGAAATCATAGTCCAGACTGCTTAGCTGAAATGCCCAAGAAACAAGCTGAATATTGGGGAAATACAGTTCTGCCAGCTACATGTGCTCTTAGCAAAGTAAATGACAAGTCTAGCAATTAGTTCAGCTCAGGCTTCAAACTCCTTTGCCTTGCTTTTTTTCCCTTTTCTGAGGCAGACAGAGGATGTGAAATTTTGAGTGTGCTTCAATCATCAAAATGATTGTACAAATTCTATACTCACCTTGCACTTACCAGTCTAATATACAGTCACCAAATCCCAGATCTTGAGGAGAGAGAATTTCATTGATTTTACTGTCACAGAATAGATTTTAACAAGAATGTCCTCTTTATTTTGCAATCTCTTCTTGATTTGTATTTCCCCTTTTCTCTCATCTTCAGAAAACAGCTAATTTAATAACCTATTTTGTGCTTAGTAACACAGTTTGAGTGTCCATTTTATATACTCCAGTGTAAATGGAAAAGACATGAATTTTCACCATGCAACACTCATGGAAATTAAGAATGAGTGGGCATTAATGGCTGAAGAATGAGATCTTTAGTCTGCTAACTTTGTGATAAAATATTTTAATACAAAACATTTGTCATCTCTATGAAGATATACCAGACAAATCAAGATAAATCTAAAAGCCAGGGAAAAGGCAGAGTTGTTGCCAGTTTGAAGTGTACATGATGATTCTGGAGTGCTTGTGTTCCTGAATGTTTGTTTCTTGTTTTTTGAAGAGGCAGTTCTGTGTGACGTCTGTCCCTGGCTATGTCACAGTATATCAAAGTCAATATGTAATTACATCCATGACTTGATAGACCAAAACAGATAATACCACTGAACAGATATTCTGGCCTAAGTGCATTTGGGTAGAAGCCACAGGGGCTGTATTTTTAAGAGATTTCTTACAAAATGCCACTGGAGCATATCTTTTGAAACTTTCTTCATCTGTCAGTCTGGAGAGATAGCACTGATAGCTTTTGACAGAGCTAGTACCTTACTTACTTTTCTCTTTAAGCTGATAAGAATTTTCAGTTTTATTGAATATAATGTAGCTTAATCCAACATATTAATTTAACATTTGCCATGTGGCAAGCACCGTGCTGGAGCGCAGTACAAAGTCGGATGAAAACGCTGATCTTTCCTTGATCATAATGTGAGCAAGGTGGGGAAGGCAAGCGGACAAATATGAATATACCAGATGAATGTTATTATAGAAAGATGGCCAAAAAAGCACAAAACAAATAATTCCTCCTGTTGCCAAGGGAGAAGTTATGTATTTGGTTTTACAAATAATGTTTAAAATAGTATTCTTGATTTTTCCTTTGCTAACCTGTGCAGTAAAACCATTTCAGTAAAGGGCATTCCCATACACTCAGCTGCTATGCCAGAAACCTATGTGTCATCCTTGATTTTCTCTTCCACTGTCTCCCACATTTAAGGAATGATCAGGTTCTCGCAGCTTTACCAGCAAACTATATCCTGAATCCATTTCTCTCCTTCTCTGCTGTTACCCCCTAGTTTCACCCCCCATCATTTCCCAACTGAATTAATTGCAGTAGTATTCTGATTGGATTTCCAGTTTTCACTATTGTTTTCTGAAAGTCCGTTTTCCACATAGCAGCTAAGCAATCTTCTTAAAAACATAAATCACTCTTTTGCATACAATTCGCTAACGGCTTCTCGCTGCACTCGAAGTAAAATCTGCTAATTTCTCCTATTTCTAATTAAGATTAAAACTCTCTTTTAACCTTAATTCTATCCACCCTCCTACCTGCTCACTATGCTTCAACCACGCTCAACTGTTCTTCGTGTTTTCTGAACATGCTGAGTGCTTTTTTTCAGGCCTCAGGGCTTTTGCATATGATGTTAACTCAGCCTGGAAAGCTCTGCCCTCTGATCTTAAGAGGGCCGGTTTCTTGCTATTCAGATCTCAGCTCAAATGTCCCCTCCTTAGAAAGGCTTTCCATGGCTGTCTAAAGTAGACACCCACCACCCCCCAAACCCACCACAGAGCTGCTATTTTATCATACTGGTTTACTGGCATCTAAAATAATAGGATTTTGGTTTTGTTTATGTTTGCTTGTTTCTTTGTGTCTGCATCCCCCAGGAGAATGCAAGAGCCTCCTGTTCACCAGCACTCAGCATAGTGGCTGTCACACAGGAAGTTCTAAATAAATGTATGTTAAATGGATGAATAAATGAATGGTTAAAATCTAAATTATTTGCTCAAAAATTCCACAGTGTAGTCTATGTAGAAAGGATGCTCAGACCCTCTCTTCAGAGCTGCTTAGTATATAAAATACTTTGTTCTGGAAGGTTCAGGTTCAGAGCATCACTTGGGCACAAAGTTCACTGACAAAACACAGGGAAAGAGTAACAAACTTGGGGAATAGAAATCTGAGTTCCCGTCTTGCATTTGTCAAGTTTTTCTTGTATAAATTCAGATAAGAGGTGTTACAGTATAATGCAACGAAGCACTGTGAGGGTTTAAGATATCAGGCTCTGGAGTCAGTAAGACATGGGTGCTGGGTGGAAATCTTGGAGCCATTAATTTTTAACAAATGTGGCTGAGCCCCAGTTTCCCCGTCTGCAAAAGAAAATGTTTATCATATAATTGATTGAGATTTAAATGAGATAATTCACATATAGTTCTGTGCACAGTGACTAGGCACATATTAAGTGTCAAGTAGATGTTTCCTATTAATGTTTTTGGCTGATGGTATCCTCACTTGTGTGATGGGTCTCGTCATTCCTGTTCATAATAGAAGATCTGAATGTGTACTAGACAGTAAAAGGATTTAAAAAGAATAGAAACCTGAACATGTCTACAACGACTGCTTAAATCATGATATCAGCCCTTGTTGAAGGGCTTAATTATGTCTTTGTTTGAATTTATTCAACAAATATTTATTGAGAATCTTCGATGTACCAGTTGCGAAACCAGGTGCAGCAGAGGTGGCTGTGAATAAGGTACTACATATGCTTTAAAAAGGCAAATTGCTAGTAAGACAGACAGTGAAGAACACAGACAACTGTGATGCAGAATTATGAGATCTTTTGGGGTATGGTCGTAGACTCGATACAGTAGGTACCTGACGCAGCATGGTTGGGTGGCAGGGTGAGCAAGCAGAGATGGCTTCCTGGAAACAGTGACATCTTTAAAGAAACTGGAAGAACCAGTATCAGTTTATCCAAGGGAGAAGCTGAGAGGATGGGACTAAGGAAAGGAGGAGCATTTCAAGAAGAGGGAACAGCATATATAAAAACCCGTGGTGGGAAAGGGCATGGTACTCCTAGAGTCTGGCATACACGGCCGTCTTTACAAAGTACACAGTGATTTTTACTACACATTGTTAAGTCATTTAGGTAATTAAGAATATATGAATTTCATATATTTTCTTGAAATATTCTAATAGTGTGGGGAATTAAAATTTCTGTCTCAAACAAGCCTTGTTATGTCTACATTTCACTGTGGTGGGAACTATGCGTTCAGTACTGTACATCCAGAAGTTATTTGGATAATTGGACACAGAATACTAAATTACACAGAATTGATTAATGAGCTAATTGTTCAACCTTTCACTTCATTCTGACTGTGTATACAGTTTAAGTGGGAGAGAAACAAGAAATACCTTCCTTTGTTATTTATATTCACCTAAATCCTCATTCTATTCCTGTTGAGATTAGCAATTAGATTTCTAATTAGTTTTCCAAAATGGATTCATGGGTTTATCTCTTACACAAGTGGAGAAAATATGGGTACCAAATATAGGCTGCAGTAAACTTTTCTTACATTTAATTTAGACAACAAAGCTTCATGTGCCAACAACATAACATACCTCCACATTCATCCTGTGATTGCAGAAACAAAATTAACAAAATTACTTGAAAACTCACCATCATTTCTCAATATTAGTGGTGTAGGTGGCCCCAGGACCTTGTGGTTTGTCACGGTATTGGTAACCACACAGGTATAATTCCCAACATCTGATTTTTCTACTTTGGCAATATACAGATTCCCAGTCTCTTGAGAAACAAAGCGGCGATTATCCTGATAGGAAGGGTATTCATTGAAGATCCAGGCATAACTCAGCTCTGAAAGGAAAAAAATCTTCATTACAAATATGTCTTTTGGCACTGGAACTCTACTGTTTTCATGAAAGAAATGATCAGGTTAAAAATGTATACATTGTTGTCCAATGACTCTTTTTCAGCCCACTAAATACAGATAGGAAGTAATCACAGTCCCCCGTGGCATTTTACCAGCCTTTCTACTATCAGTCAATAAGGTTTTATTTCCAGAGAAGTAAAAGATACACTGATAGCTGATTAAGCGATGTCCAACCTCTTTAAGTCAAGGGCTAAGCATTTATAGTTTGCTAATCAGGTGTCAGGCACTATGTAACATGTATTGAGTAATGCTCAAATTACAGACCCAGGGTGCCTATAATCTTGATATAGTAATGCTGGAAGCCACCCTGGAAACTATTTAGATCATTTCTTTTGTTTTATAGATAATAATCATTATATTACATCATAATGCCCCATACTTGCATAGCACTTTATGCTTTCCAATATATTTGATAGTTTTATTTCCATTAACTGAGAAACGGGCACCTAGGAACAGAGTAACTTATTCAAATTCTTAGCTCTAGTTAGAAACAGAATAATTCCTGAGTGTCAATGCAGTCTTCTCCCAATGCCTCCTACTATCAACTCAAATTTTTTCTTCTCACTTGTGAGGTTGAATACTTTTCCATCATTTTAGTAAGAGAGCAGTTTAACACTGTGGCAAACACTCATTAAGTATACACTGACTGACTAGTTGACTGATTCCACAAATATACATCCATATTAAAAAAAATTAGATCCACGAGGGAGTGGATATGAGATAGTGATAAAACAGCAACATTTTCACACACCCTTATCCCATAAGACCAGTGGGATGAATTTCATAGGCAGTTGTATCAAAAATGTTCCTTTGAAAGTTCTAACTTTTATAAGAATTAGGTAAATGTTTTATGAAGGACCACATGAGCCCATGCTTTCCATTTCAGAGAAGACCACTAAATGACAGTGAGTATAAATGATTTGCTGCAGTGAACTATTGTGCTCCAAGGAAATCAAACTGCTTCAGCTCCAGGCATTCCACGATTCCTCTCTTTAAAGTGTAATTTCCAGATTTGTCCAAAGCTGGAGAAGTGATATACTAGCTACTGGCACTGAGTAGCCAACATGTCCCACTTTATCTTCAAAAATTACTTTGTTGAGGGGAGGGTAAGGGAACAACTAAATGCAATGGGGCCTCTGGTTTCAGAACTAGTTGACTGAGTTCTTATATGTCACTTTTTCATATGATCCTGAGCTAAAGTCTAAATGTATAAAGTGTCCTTGGAAAATAGCAGAAAGGTCACTTCAGTTTTGTAGAGAGAACGCTAATTACTGTAAAAGGCATTTTTTGTACTGTAATCCTTCAATGTGTCCCAATTGTACTTGACCTTAACAACTGAATGTGCAACAGGAAACATATTCTGCCTTAAATCCACTGTTTACGCACAAAGGAGGGGTCATGCACATTGCTTTCCCTTTATCACTGGATTATAACATTTCCACATGTATTATTTTAGAAAGATATAATTATGTTTATATGAGAATGGCTAATCATTTTATTTACGCATGTGCATGTCATTACAAGTAACCCCATGCTGGTGTCAAGAGGATACTCAGTGTAAATATACAAGTGCTTTCCAGAAAGCTTCCTCAAGAAACTAAAATCTGGGGGAGGAAAAGCCCCTATAATACATTGTGAAGAAGTACTATCCCGTATGGCAGGCTTTCAACAAACAGCATCGCAATGCAGTCCTTACATACTCAACAGGTGAGTTTCAAGCAAACCTAGTAATCTATCAGCACCTAAGCTTTCTCCTATGCAAAATGAGAAGATTACCTATCCCCTAATTATTTATAAGAGAGTTTTAAGTATAAATTAGCACCTCCAAAGTCACATGATGGAAGTTAGAATGTAATTTACCAGCACAATACTAATCAACTCACATTTCTCCAAGGAGAGTTGGAATCAAATACCGGAAACTTTTTTTTTTTTTTTGAGATGGAGTTTTGCTTTTTGTTGCCCAGGCTGGAGTGCAGTGGCACGATCTTGGCTCACTGCAACCTCTGCCTCCTGGGTTCAAGCAATTCTCCTGTCTCAGCCTCCCAAGTAGCTGGGACTACAGGTGCCCACCACGACGCTTGGCTAATTTTTGTATTTTTAGTAGAGACAGGGTTTCACCATGTTGGCCAGGCTGGTCTCGAACTCCTGACCTCAGGTGATCTGCCCTCCTCGGCCCCACAAAGTGCTGGGATTACAGGTGTGAGCCACCGCGCCTGGCTAGGAAATGATTTTTTTTTCCCTGCAATATTTTTCAGAACTCTCAGTAGTAGCTACTGGCTGCAAGGCTCTCTGAATTCTGCGGGAGGCTCATTTAGCAACCAGAAAGTCGATATTGGGAAAATGGCATCTGCTTCATTCTTTTTCTAATTGGAGAGGAACAACAACAACAACAAAGTAAGACTAAAGTTCAAATCTGCGTTATATTAGGGAAGCCATTTAAACTTCATGTTCAGCTTCTTGGTCCATAAAATGAGGACAATTTTAAATGTGATGCAGGTAAGTGGTGAGCAACCGATTATGTGAAAGCACTTTGAATTCTCTAAAGGGCTGTACAGATGTTAGTTATTATTGGTGTTGCACTTCAACAGGTTAATCATTATAGAAGTAAAAACTTTTTTGAAAATTCAATTAACATGCTATTTGATCTAATTAAAAATAGGTTGATTCCTTTGGTTTCACTGCTTTTGTGACTAAAGTAACTTAGTGAGAGATGCAAACAACCGGAAGTGCCTCCTGCAGCATTTCCTAAACAGTGGTCTTTGATGATTAATTCTTTGTTTTCTACCCCCACCTCCCTAAAACTCAAAGGGTTACATGATCAAATTACTTTGAGAAGTACTGGATTAAACAAAGTAAAACGGAGTTTCAACTTTTTTCTTTCAGGACTGGCAAGAGATTTTGTCATGCCAATGTCCTTGAAACTCCTTAGAGAGTGTTTAAGCATCCAAACTTATTTGCTCATGGAATTACCACCACCACAACCATCTAACCCCCACAGCTCAAAAAACCTAGTTTGGGAAACGCTGTACCAATTAGTTCAATTCAAAAAACAATAAGTAAAATATACGGATTATTAACTGTATTACTTCAGTTTCTACAAAATCATTAATATTAAATAGAACAACAGAAAACAACAACAAATATTGAATTAAAGTTGTAATGTTTCCCCAATTGTAATAACAATATAACAGCGTAACCATTTCTTATGCTGAAAAAAAAAAAAAAAAAAAAGAAGAAACCATAGATGCCAAGAAGAGCCTCAAACAGAAGATGCTAAGGAACCTAACCAACATGGTTCAACATCTGACATTTGTAAATACTGTGGAGTCCTGAAGTGGGAAGGTCAGCAGAAAAGTCTTGGCTGGTGTACTGGTGAGAACATGTTGGCCTAAGCACTAAGCTCCTAAAACAGGGGAAATCTCTCACCAAGATATTAACTTAGTTTTTTTCACGATCAAATATCACCACCTGGAATATTGTATTTTTATTTGTTTATCTCTTCAGGGCAATCAGGAAGGAGCAGGAGGAATATAATGTAATGAGAATGTAGACATCAAAGCAGGCAAAAAGTGTAGTACAACTAAAACATACCCAACAAATCGCTTGTCCTATTTCTTCATTTTAAAGATAAGAAAATTCTGAGGTCTAGAAAGGGTTAGGCTGGAGCACCAAAAAGGGGTGAGGCGGACTATAACCTACTCGTTCTAGCTTAACTCTCATTCCAGTGTCCCATCTAGGACAAAGTAAGAGCTCTTCATATTTGAAACCAAGATCTGGTATTTTTATATCGCTCAATATACAATTGAGATTTCCCTTAAGAACCAAAATCTGTTTTTATCAGAGCAAAACATTAATCCATTGGGTTACATGAAGCACTATCAACATTCTGAAAAATAAAGCCAAGTAAATAAAACAAAATAAACTTTTCTGTGCTGCAACTCGCAAAAGTGTATCCTACTCAGTTTGATTTCCTTAGGGACTTTCATGCAATATTTATACTTACTCAAACTTGACAGATTTCTTTTGATAAGTTTTCACACACTAATTGCTCTGGAAGTGACAGACAGTTTCTGTCCCATTGGCAATTTTTAACAACTGAGTAAACAGATACTTGGAATGCAACATATTAAATGGATTGTGAAACTTCTGGGGCTCAACTGAAAAATACTGAGGCTAGTTGTATTGTGATACTCATTAAAGAAGAAAGGCCTAGCAATGGTTTTTTTGGTTTGCAGCATCCAAATCTATTGGAAATTAACTCTGAAGCTCACTTAATTGGTTCTTTTTTCTGTATCTCTAAGCCAACAACAAATGATGTATGGCTCTTATTTTTAAAAGAAGACACCAATCAAGCAATTTTCAAATCCAGGTACTCATTGAACAGATTACACAAATGATCAATCAGAATTCTCTGGATGGTTGCTCTTTAATTGTTCTTGACACCAATTTATTTCTAGAGCTATATTATGCTTCGTTATGTTCTGAGTCATATCCCAGTAGTGGCAAAGATGTCAGTTTTCAAAGATGCCTTTCTTAACCTCAAAGTTTTAAACCTGAAAGGGCTCTTAGTCCAACTTTTTCAATTTTACATATCAGGAAACTGAAGTCTAGAGAAACTGTATGAGTGGATCATGATCACACATTTGACAAGTGGCAGGGATGGGACTGTGGGGTAGCCCCAGTATTCAGAAGAGCTGATTCTGTTAGGAAGCCATATGTTCCTTTAAAAATGTATTTTGGAGCCAGAAGAAATCAGTTTTCCTTATCTATAAATTGGGGGAGTGGGATTACATGATGTCTCAGTCTCTTTCATCATTCCGTACATTCTATATGTAGATCATCAAATCCAACATGCTCATTTGACAAATAAGGAAAGAAAGATCCAAGGAAACCCAGTAACTTGCTAGGAATCACAAGGGTAGTTACTGGCAAGGTCAAGAACTGGAACACACACGTGCACACACACACACTCTTATTTATTTGATTTAAGCTGCGTTGTGTTTTGTAGAAGGAAGATATTAGAGTTAAGTCAGGAGACATGAATGGTAGTCTTTGCATTATAACAAATTTTGGCTTTAATAAATGATTTTAACAGCATGATAGAGTCCCCTTACCTTTAGATAGTTTTATCAATATGTATCCTGTTTTTTACACAGTGTTTGTGAGGTTGAATTTAAATGGATATATAATTCTAAGAAAGTAGATGTGAAAAGTGTATTTTAAGTGATTTCTACAAATGAAATGGGTAAAATGAATGTATTCATTGGTTCCTTTGTTGGTCAAATATTTACAAAGCATCAGTTGTTTGCAAAAGCACTGAGCTCAGTGCTGAGATGGAGAGGTGTGCTGGAGAGCAGTTACAAAGACAGGGGTTGGAATTAGTTATCAGTGTGCTGAGCAAAGGGAAAAATGGCATAAGTCCATGGAAAGATCTCTGGAATTGGTGTCAAGAGACATGAATTGAGTCTTGGCTTCGGGATTTAATCAGCAGGAAAGTAATTTCTATTCCTCAGTTTTCTCATCTGAAAAATAGGATAATTAAAAGAATACCTTCCCTGCCTAAACCAAGAGTTACACCGATCACCAAACATATTAATGTAAATTCTTAGAGTTTCTTTTGGCATTTTTTTCAACAAAAATTATCTTTTCGTAAATGGATTGATACCTTGTCTTTCTCTGACCTTTGCGAAAAAAAAATGTTAGAAATTGCGAGCAACCCAAAAATTTCCCTGAGAAAGTAAGAATTATACCAGGAACTGCAAGAATTAAATAGCACTGATGATTGTGCACAATAAACAGGTAGCAGGAGAAGGCAAGAGTGTTTGGTTTCAGAAGAAACCAAAACCACTCATGTCATATGAAAGAGCTCTCTCAAGAAGAGAATGACCAATAGACTTTGGATTCTGAGAGAGGGGGCCTCTGGATGACATTTTAATTATACTAAGACACAGAATGATAAATATAAAGTCATATGTGAGCTGTCATCCAGTGAACAATGCTTGGGAAACAAGAGTGGAGGGGCAGTGTCTTAGATGAGTTGAGATCTGAAGGTGTGGAAATGGGAGAGATATTGTACCTCTATTAATTAGAAGACAGACTAATTTGTATTTAAACCTATAATGACGGTAATGACCCTTTGCAGCTTAGGTTGCTGAAATCATGACTGTAGCTGTCAGGACCCCTATTAGGAATATTCTGTGGTCCAGAGAACTTGGTTTAGACAGGTCCCAAGCAATGAGCAGGACCATCCAGGGTTCAGACACTGCTTTCATTTTTTATTAGTGCTGAGTAGAGCAGGGATGACAGATATCTGTCACTTGGACCACCAGTCGCCACTCCTACACCCATGGCTAACATTTATAATTGACTCTGCCAGACACAGACTGAGAATCATTCTCAGTACAGTGTTTCAGGCAATTACCTCCAATCAATTTGTGTTGGCACATAAAGTGAAAGCTTTTCACCGTCTTTGCAGTACTGATTTTGGAGAAATGAAATGGTGCCCATATGAGGCAAGGATTAGATAAGGCCTAGTACTAAATCTCATCCAACCTTGTGCCAGGTATTTCTAAAAATAAGCCTTCCAACTAAGAGACTACTCGCTTTGTTCAAGATATTTTTAGTACATGCTATTTACTCGCTCAGATGTGGCAGTGGAGGTATGGAAAAGCAAGATGGCAAAAGGTGCATTTTCTGGTCAGGTATATGGCTCTTGAATATGTTTGAGTATGACTTATAACTTCCCCCTCTTACATGTAACTTCTTATTTTCTTGCCTCTATTTTTTGGGGGTAAATTGAGCATTTTTCTAGGGTGCAGATTTTCTTTAAGAAATTGTGGGTGGAAGTTACGGAATTTAACTTGAAAGTAATTTAACTCATTGTTTAGACAATAAGCCAAATATGAGTATATGACAAAATAGGACATACAACTTATATGATTTTTAAAGGCAAATGGAAAGGCTTCAACAAAATCTTGTATTTGGCAGTGAATGGCTTCAGCATATAATTCTGCATTCCCTGTCTCTCCTCTGCTCTCAGAACTGTATCAGTGAGAAAGTTTGAGAAATATTGCCTAGATCTGGAGTCAGTAAACTTTGCATCCTGCAAGGGAAGAAGTCATTAAAAAAAAAAAAAAACCAGGAAAGCATCCTTTTTGTTAGCATGTTCAGACTGGAGTGGAGGCTGAAGAGTGACAGTGCACAGGACAGACTGAGACTGACAAGTGGATGTGTCTGTTATAGTTTCCCTATATTATGAAACTGAAAATCCAAAGGCAATGAAATGTTGAAGAGACGTATCTGCACTCTCATGTTTATTGTAGCACTAGTCACAATAGCCAAGATATGGAATCAACTAAGTGTCCATCAGTGGATGAATGAATGAAGAAAATGTGATATATATACACAGTGGAATAGTATCTAGCCATAAAAATAATAAAATACTGTTATTTGCAACAACATGGATGAACCTGGAGGACATTATGCAAAGTGAAATAAGCCAGGCACAGAAAGACAAGCAGTGCATGATCTCACTCACATGTGGAATCACAAAACGTTGAACACATAGAAACAGAGAGTAGAATTGTGATTACCAGAAGCTAGCTGGGGAGCAGGGAGGTTGGAGGAATGTTGGTCAAAGAATAAATAATTTCAGTCAGACAGAAGGAATAAGTTCAAGAGAGCTATTGTACAACATGGTGAGTATAGTTACTAATAATGTATTCTATTCTTGAAAATTGCTGAGAGTAAATTTTCAAAGTTCTTGCCATAGAAAAAATGGTATGTGAGGTAATGAACATGTTAATGAGCATGATTTAGCCAATCCATAATGTATACGAATTTTAAAATGTTGTATGCCATAAATATATGCAATGTTTATTTGTCAATTAAAAATAAATAATAAAAAACTAAAAATCAAATATATATCTTGATATTGGGTTTTTCTTTTTCTTTTTCTTTTTTTTTTTCTGAGACAGGGTCTCACTCTGTCACTCAGGCTGGAGTGCCGGGGTGCAGCCTCCACCACCTGGGTTCAAGTGATTCTCCCATCTCGGCCTCCCAAGTGGGACCACAGGCGTGCACCACTGTGCCTGGCTAATTTTTGTATTTTTTGGTAAAGACAGGGTTTCACCATTTTGGCCAAGCTTGCCGTGAACTACTGACCTCAAGTGATCTGCCCATCACAGCCTCCCAAAGTACTGGGATTACAGGTGTGAGCCACTGTGCCTGGCCTTGATATTGGGCTTTTCTTGAAACAAACATAGTCCTCAAATATCAGTCCTCAAAAGCAGTCTGAGTGATACAACACAATGTCCACTATAACAAGTGGTTCTCAAATTTGAGTAAGCATCACAATCACTGGAAAGGCTTGTTACAACACAAAAGGCTGGATCTCACTCTTGGAATTTCTTATTCTGGAGGTGGAACAGGGAGGGACAAGAATTGCAAGTTTCTAGGTGCTGCTGATGCTGTCGGCCTGAAGACCACACTCTGAGAAACACTGTTTTAAAAGGTTTGGATACATTAGGCTCTCATTCCATCAGGCAAATGATTGTCAAAGGTGAATAGCAGCTTTCCACTGAGGAACAGGCACTCAGTCTCCAGTTTGCCATAGCCTCTACCATTCCCTACTCCATATACCAGTCCTATATGAATCTATAGGCAATTTAGGTTGTAGCCCCTGCTTTAGGATACAGACACAAAGATAAATAAATGGAACTGACCCTTAGTTGCATACTTTTGTTGGTATAAGAATGGTGCTGAAGAAAACAAATATAAGCTAATATGAGTATTTTGATGGGATAAAAGTGGGGTGCTGAAATCATACAGAACTGACATTAGACCCTTGCCTGACTGTGACAAAGAATGGCCCAGACTAGCATGGGCAACATAATAAGACCACATCTCTACAAAAATAAAAAATTAGCTGGGTATGGTGGTTCACACCTGTAGTCGCAGCTACTCAGGAGTCTGGAGAGGCTGAGGTGGGAGGATCGCTTGCGCCCAGGAGGTCAAGGCGGCAGTGAACCATAATCGCACCACTTTACTCCAGCCTGGCCAACAGAGCAAGACTATGTCTCAAAAAAACAAAACAAAAAATAGATGGCCCAGTCTGTTCAGTGTGATCAAACCATCAAACCAGTAAAGCCATGGCAGAGAGATGCAGCTGAAGTGGACTATGATGGGCAGATGGAAACACTGTTCATGGGGGATAAAGAATGTTTCTTTCAGCTATTTGTTAAAAATTTGGTATTTTAAGAAATCAAAGGTATCACCATATTTTACAAAGAGCTCAAACACACAAAGCTCATTTTAAAAGTGTTAATCCCTTGAAGCATGGATACCCTTTGACAGCCAAGTATAGAATACTTTCAGATAATGTGGAAAGCACATAAAAGCTAAAGAGACAACTATCAAAGTTCAATGCCCAGTCTCAGAAAGAATATGGCTTTTTCTCAAGTAGCAGGAGAACAGAACAAAATCACATGATACAACTCTTTCAGCTCCACACTTATGCCCGCTTCATACAAGCCCTGTGGTTTGATCCCAGGTTCTCTCTAGGAAGGAGTGTGGGTCCCATTGCTGGGGAGAAAATCAGCATCCAAGTCCTGTGGATTCGAATTCCATAGAGGTTTTTTGTCTCACCGTCATCTGTCACTGGCCTAAGAACATCCTGCTCTTTTGCCTGTGTCAGGTTCAGTGCCACTGCAGGCCAACCCATACAACGCTGTCAGATTAATCCTACCAAAGGGCAGCTTTGAGTCATGTCCTTCCTTCCCACACAAATCCTCTGTGAGTCCCACTGCCTCCTGGATAAAGTAAAATGCATCCAGCTCACATTCAAATCCTTCCATAACAGGACCCCAAGTTACTTAATTTTAGCTTTCTACTCTTTACTCTTTGTTAATGTATACTCTTGGGGAGGATCCCTCAAGCGAGGAGTTGCAAAACTTTAGGGAGGCTGAGTAAGGGCATCCGTGATTAATGGATTCATACAATACATAGTATTCCTGCAGGGGTCGCTTGTAGCTGCAAAGAGAAGACACAGTGGGAGGGCTGTGCCCGTCCATCTGGGCTTTAAGCAGAGAGCTCTGTTTTTGAAATTTGCACTTCCCCACGAAATTGTATTTTAAGAAAGGTTTATACTGCTAAGAAGGGTTGCTTAAGGTATAGTGGAAAAATAGTCACTGATCCCCTTGTGTGCCGGGTGCTTTTCAGTCCCTCTGACAAGGCTTGTGCACTCTCTTCTCAGGACGTGTTTCCCTGCTTTACTTATCTCAGCCACCACCTTTTGCAAAAAGCCATTTCCTGACCAGGAAAATTACATGTGGTCTCTCCTCAACAACAAAATAAGTGTTTGTTTCTTTTTTGCCTCGTAGCAACCAGCCCATTATTTCACACGTTGAAATTTGTTTGTAACTGTATTAGAATAGTTCAGTTGCTCATCTCTCCTCCATCTTCCAGGCTTGAAGACTGCTTGTGGACAAGAATACATATGGCCAGAGAACATACACTTTACTTTTGTGAAATCAACTTACTAAGCATTAGTTGAATCGAAGTGGAATTCCAAATGCCAGAAGTTTCCTGGAGCAACAGTATTATTGCTGAACTCCAGGCCCAAAGTGTTAGTTGAGAAAGAAGTCGCTTGTAAATAAGAAAGTATATCTCTTTCATCAGACCATTAATGGTAAATCAAATTCACTGAAATCAGAGGAGGGAAAAAATAACAACAAAAAAAACCTCTGGACTATCAAAATACATGTTTTAAGTCAGAATGAGTGAGCCCCTTTCGTTAAAAATCCTTCCCTTTCCATTTATTTCTGACTCTGGTGCAGTTTTGCTGAGTTTACTAAGACAGAAAGAAAATATGACTGACTGGCCAAGAATGAGAAGGACTCAGTAAAGGCAGAAAGGAAAGCATGCAGCAGCGAAGTTAGTCCACCTGATGTGACTTACGCTAAATGACATATGTTGATGAAAACTAGAGTTACCAGATGACACCCGTGTGACCTGGACACAGGTCAGATCACAGTTACTCAAAGGTGACAGGAACACCTGGACTGAATAAGACATCTCTATGCACAAGGAAAGTTAAACTGGATCCAGTGAGCCAGATACTTTTGTTCACCTTACTAAGTAAGCCTCCATCTCCATCAGCAGAACCACAACTTTCCTACTTCTTTACATTTTCAAAACACTTTTATATCCATTATCTCATTTGGTGCCTCTGACAATTTTTAGAAATAAGTAGAATAAGGATTAGTTCCATTGGAGAGACAGGGAAAGTGAGATATAGAAAATTACATAAGCTATTCCAAGACCACAAAGACTATCAGTGGAATTAGATTTGGGATTAAAACAGACATCTCTTGAGACCATGACAAAGATTTCTTTTCCTATGCCAGGAGCCACTGCAACTGAAACCTCCAGCTTAACTAAGCCAATGACATGGCAGTCCAGCAGTGATTACCCTGACTGATGTGCCAGGCCTGTGGTTGAGGGGGACTGTGGTAGGGATCAGGACAACCTTGTTTTCTTTTGTATGCCACAGTATTTAACCCCATAGCAACATTCAGGAGTACTGAGAATTTCAGGGAACTAGGTGACCAGTTAAATCCTGAAATATCAGTATTGTACGGGTCACTCGTACCATCAGCACTTAAATATATTTCGTAGGAAAATTTTGACTGGACAAATCATAATTAATAGAAATTTTGCTTTTTCTCACAGCATAATCAAAATCTGTCTTCTTACTTTAAGCTAAGCAATTTCTGTGAAGAAAGAAAAAAGAGGATTCAATATGGGAACTAAAATGGATTCTCAGGAATAATGAAAAAAATGTTGAATGGTGGAAAATGTCAGTTTAACTCTAATTATTTACTTTCTTTAAGGCTTCAAGCAGTAATATGACTGACTGAGCAAGCTTTCAAGTAATATAATCAACTCCCACACAAGTTAACAACACACAACCTTTTCACCAAATTATTAAACAATTCCACATTCTCCTTGATTAAACTTGTGATCTAAAATTCAGACAACTGACATTTAAATCACGAGCACAAATTAACCCTTAATCAAATGTGCTAAGAAAATACCAATTTTCAGCCGGGCAGGGTGGCTCATGCTTGTAATGCCAGCACTTTGGGAGGCAGAGGCAGGCGGATCACTTGAGGTCAGGAGATCGAGACCAGCCCGGCCAACATGGAGAAACCCCGTCTCTACCAAAAATACAAAAATTAGCCAGGCGTGGTGGCAGGCGCCTGTAATCCCAACTAATTGGGAGGCTGAGGCAGGAAAATCTCTTGAACCGGGGAGGTGAAGTTTGCAATGAGCCGAGATTGTGCCACTGCACTCCAGCCTGGGCAACAAGAGCAAAACTCTGTCTCAAAAAAAAAAAAAAAAAAAAAGAAGAAGAAAGAAAAATAAAATGCCAGTTTTCATTATGGCCCAAGATGCTTTTCCCCGCTTCCCTGCGTCTTGCTAATGCTCCTGTGAAACCAATAACAAAAGCATTCGGTCTGTTGGTCTGTAAAGAATGGAACTATCCTTTTCAAAATAAAGGTATTTTGTTCTTTTATTTGGACCTTTAAAAACAAAAAAGACCATCACTGGCTGCAATGGTCCGGTTCTGCCTTGAGGTGCAGTGAAGAGGACTAGATGAAAGATTAATCATCTATGAGTTTGGCTTTATTACCAGGTTTGCCAGAAAGGCACTTTTCATCTTCTTAGCAATGCTTCGTCAATTGGTTTTTGGGGAACGGCAGTCATCATTCCCCCAAGGCCAGCATAGAGATGGGAGTGAGTCACAGGAGACCAATCATACCTCAGGACACAGTGATTGGTTCAGTGAGGATCACATGACTTAAATCAGCCAATCAGAGATTTTTAAAATTCAAACTGAACAAACAGGTCTTTTTTCCTCTGGTTTCAAGACGCCAAAACAGAGAGCGAGCGCAAAGTGTCCATGCTCATGTCTAATGTATTTTTGACAAGCTGGTCTGGGAGAAGAAACTAGGACTCAGAACTGACAGGCAGAGAAGTGAGTACATGTGGTGGTTGAATTCCTCAAGAAAATCTACTCAGAAGAAATATTCTATTCAGGTAATATGCTTTGAAAAAAAATCAATAAATTAGGCCAGACACAGTAGCTCATGGCTGCAATCCTAGCACTTTGGGAGGCTGAGGTGGGCAGATCACAAGGTCAGGAGTTCAAGACCAGCCTGGCCAATGTGGTGAAACTCCATCTCTACTAAAAATTCAAAAATGAGCTGGGCGTGGTCGTGGGCACCTGTAGCCTCAGCTACTTGGGAGGCTGAGGCAGGAGAATCGCTTGAACCCGGGAGGCGGAGCTTGCAGTGAGCCGAGATCGCACCACTGCACTCCAGCCTGGGCGACAGAGTGAGACTCCGTCTCAAAAACAAAACAAAACAAAACAAAAACAATAAATTCATTTTATAAAAAACTCCCTAGTGGACACTGTTCTTTTTTTTTTTCCGTCCCCTGTGATAAAAAGTATCTGAAAAATTTCTTAATATAATATAAACCCTTGTCATTTCTTTTTCTCCTTAGAGACTTATTTTACCTTCCTCCATTTACTAATGGCCCCTTCTTACCATTGTTCCTAAGCCCCACTTGAAAAATAGTTGTATACTAATTTCCTATCCATCTGGTACCACTTAAAATAGTTCTGCGTAAAAACTGGTTCTTAGAAATGGTGGATTCTTCCCAATGACTCTTGTAATTCTTTGAAGACAATAACACAAAGACTTGCAAGAAAAAAGTCAGCTTCAAGAAAAATTAAAGGAAAAAAGTGGGCATCTGATGATTACAGCTCTTTATGGGACATCTAGGCAAGACCATGCTTTGTTCTATTTTAAAATAAATATCTTTACCTTGGGTGTGTGAAGTATTATTTATAACCGGTCAAGTATCTACTCTAGAACTTGGGGTTAGACGTACATGGTCTTGAAACCTTGGTTTACCACTACTTTGTGAGCATGGAAAGTTACTTAACATATCTAAGACTCAATTTTCTCATCTGAAAAATGGAGATAATAATAACACACCATAGGAGGGTTGGGGGATCACGTGCAATACTGTAGCCAAATTGCTACTTATAATCAGCACAGTGTCGAGCACATGGTAGCACTCAATAAATGTTAATGTTTATTATTATTATTGTTGATAAGGCAAAGATGGTGAATAGAATCATTTGATGACTTACATGTTCCTTTAAATTTATTCTGAAGACCCATTCTAAATCATCATCTACTTAATATTATCAGATCAGGTCAGAATTTATAAGGAATAAAGCTACCCTAATATCTTATCATAGACAGTATTTTATTTTCCTAAAGTTATTTCCATTTATGTTACTTCATTTGACTCATCTCTTGGAGCTAATAATCCTGCTTTCCAGAAAAGAAAATGAGGAAGAGAGAAAAGGTGACTCATTAAAACTTAACATTAAACAAAGCCAGGCCAGAAAATTAAATCTTGTGATCATGTATACAGTGTTAGCATGCTTATTATGCTAACAAATAGAAGTAGCAAAAATTATAAAATTAATATGCTCTCTCACTTTCAAAAAACTGAGATCTGGGAAGAAACTGGGAGTGCAGCCACGAGGTAGGGTGTGGCCTGGTAATAAACAAATGCTGTAATTGAGAAACTTAGCAACTAGATTTTACTTAGAGTTCATGTATTACAGATTATAGCTGAAAGCATCCTAGGAAAAAATCTGTTCAGTTCTCCTTTATTAGAAGCAGAGAGAACTATCTAAAGAAGGATTAAATACTTTCTTGTTTTATTATTTTTTCTTCTTCTTTTTAGTTAGTAAGTGATTAGGGCAGTACTGAAACCCATCACCCTGGATTTTTACCTGATGATCTTTTCTTTTACAGTGCAGTGGAAAAGGCAGTAGGTAAGTAGGTATCTTCTGTCTAACTCTGTGATCTTGGCCAAATCACTTAATCTTTCTAAGCCTCAGTTTTCTCACATGTAAAGAAGGGATAACAACCCCCACCTTAGAGGTTTGATGACCAAATGAGACTATGCAAGTAAGAACACTTTGTAAACAATAAAACGCCAAGCGAAGGTGAGAAATCATTAACAGACAGGGATTGCAAATAGACTCCACTACAGAGTCCTTCCTAACTGGCATTGGCTATCCAGGTGCTGTGTTAGGGTTTTGAGAATGCCAGAGACTCAGAGGAAAAAGGAGTTTTAATTGATCTATGATAACTGCCATCAGAGTAAGACAGAGTACTGGAGACACGTGTGGCCAATATTTAGGCCACTGCTTCTGCATAAATGAGTAGTGGTTTTAGGATAAGGAGAGGAGAGTGCCTGGAGAGGCATATGATCAGAGGCATAGTGTTTCACTTCTGTGCTCTTAAAAAATGCAAAAGTCTGTCAAATAGATATTGAAACTGCAAACTAACATCCACGAGAGATGGATTAAGATGATTATGACATAAAAATTTACACTTGCAACTGTATATTCGCCATAGAAAATGCTCCCTTTATGTGGATGCAAATAAGTGTTAATTATCCCTCTGTAATAGTGGCAAAACAATACATAACTGATGTTGTTAACTTAACAAATACATTGTACCCACCTTCGATTTCTAGCTTTTTGTCTGTCACTTTAAATTGGCTAACTGTTTGACAGATGTTCAATAATTGATACAGCTTATCTTCCTCTCTCAGGCTCCCTTCCTACTCAATTGCCAGCATTTCTAGTTGCTACAGCAACTGTAAACATTAATGATTATTCCAACACATCAAGGAGATTGAAACACATTCTTAAGTTAAAAGTTTCCCCAGGGGAAAAAAAAATCCATCTCTGGCAAGATGGAAAATATTATATGATTTAAATTCCCTGGTTATTTTATTTATTACTGAAAAATACACAAATCTATTTCTACAGGTTCGCATAGGTAATGACTTTTCTCTCCCATCTGACTAACAAAGAGAGTCATGGGAAATTGAGAAACTCTGTTTTCTCCAATGTAAGGGAGGAAGAATTCATCTAGATAAATGATAAATAAGGAAACCTGCGGGGGAGTTTTGAAAGCAACCTCTTAAAGTCTCACATGGCACAGAACATGGTTTCGCATGATCTGGGTGCAAGCTGAAGTCCCTCCATGTAAAGTCTCAGTGGCTTCAAGAGTAAAATTGGGGTGATGGTATCTGTCCTAACCATTTGTGTCACCTTAAACTGAAAAACGTAAAAATAAATAAACAAATACATGAGATCATTACTGTCATTTCTTAAAAAGTGAAGAGTCTATCCTTGGAAAGAAACTGGAAGTAAGTGGAAAGATCTGGAAAATAGCTGTGTTCTGTTTACCATGCTACTGTAGAACATTTAAAAAGTGATTGCTGGCCAGGCGCGGAGGCTCACGCCTGTAATCCCTGCACTTTGGGAGACTCAGGTGGGTGGATGATGAGGTCAGGAGTTTGAGACCAGCCTGGCCAACATGGTGAAACCTGGTCTCTACTAAAAATACAAAGATTAGCTGGGTGTGGTGGGGCGTGCCTGTAATCCCAGCTATTCGGGAGGCTGAGGCAGGAGAATCACTTGAACTCGGGAGGTGGAGCTTGCAGTGAGCTGAGATTGCACCACTGCACTCCAGTCTGGGCCACAGAGCAAGACTCCGTCTCAGAAAAAAAAAAGAAAAAAAAGTGATTGCTAACATTTTCCAAAATGGAAACATTTCATATAAGATTCCACACATACGGCTTCTCATGAAAAACCATGAGACCAGGCACTACTGAACCTGTATTTCTTCAAGGCAATAACTGGTCTGAGATGAGCAGTGACTGGCCTGTTTAAAGGAAGGCTGTGGATCTCCACCTGACTCACATTATCTGATTCATTTACATTCTTACCTGCCTGGCTGGCCATAGGAGACAACAGAGTTTGTGAATTCTGGCTGAACCCTTTTCATATATCACGTGCATTCCTAAAGCAAATCCTCCTGACGTCCATCAATCCCAACCTTATTGTATCCCTTGATCTTCTTCTGTAAAGTAGGGAACAGCCAATGTTTGGGCTCAACTTCAGTGGAGAAGTGCTGGATAAGTACTTCTTTCTGCTCCCATCAGTGACTGCCTAGCCGTTGAGGTCCAATGACTCACTAAGGCAAGCTTAAATGGAAAGCAAAAATCCAGAAGTCACCAAAATCTTGTTTTCCTTAATGCCTAAGGTTTTCCCCTTCTTCTTTAAAAAAAATTAGTGTGGCAAAATACATATAAAAGTTTACCATTTTAATCATTTGTAAGTGCACAGTTCAGTGCCACTACATCCATTCCCAATGTTGTGCAACTATCACCATTATTCATGTCTAGAACTTTTTCATAATCCCAAACTGAAACTCTGTATCCCTTCTGCCTGGTTTTAAATTACTCATTCAACAAATGCTTCATGTGGGCCTATTAGGTTCAGGCATTCTTCTTGGCACTAGGGACATAGTGGGATATATTCAGCAGAGATACAGTTTTAGGAGAATCAAGTTTCTTGAATCCTGCTCATGTTTCCAGGACAGTGGATCTTGTTGTACATGGTATACACCTCTCACATCTAGAAATAACTCTTCGGGATGGGATCCTGGGGTGCAACCCTACTTTACAATAAGATGACAAGTAGACATCATTTGTTTTGGGTGCCTAGCTTCTCCTGACTTGGTAACCTCATTCTAATCTTTTTTAAAATCAGGAATCATTTCTCCCCGACTCTTAGTAGATGCTATACGAGTGAGGCTAATCTCCGTTCTGGCTCCAGGAATAGACCTATGTCGTCTGGCTGCCCAATCAGCATTTTCTATCCAGCACCACCCTCATATCCTCCACTCACCATAATTGGTTTAAGAGTGGGCATATGACTCAAGTTAGCATATAAAGGCCAATTTTGAAGCTTTTGCTAAAATTACTGGAAATGAAGCATTTTCTCCTTCCCGCTGAGTTACCTTGCAGTGAGAGGCAGCTTGTGAAAAGCAAATTCAAGAGATGATAGAGAGATCCTAACACTATCATTTGGGAACTAAAATCTAGTTGTAGTTAATAGGACTTTTATGCCAAAAAATTCCCGTGTTTATTTAAGCTCATTTGAATTGGATTTTGGCACTTGCAACCAAAAGAATCCCAATGAACAGAACACTTAAACAACAGACATAGCACTGAAGAGTATTACATAATCTTAACAAGCATCCAGTGGGAACCAACACGGGGACTTCTGGAAATGTGTTTTCAAACTCTACCTTCTCAATTCTATTGAAAACAAAACCAACCCCCTTGTCCTTCCATGAGTCCTGCTCTGCCCTAACATATCCCTGGAATCTCTGCTTTAATTCTTCCCCAGATTTCTACTCAGCCTCACTGTAAGTGAAAAACACATGATTTAAAAGCCTATGCTAACATTTTATTTTTTTTTTGAGACAGGGTCTCACTCTGTTGCCCAGGCTGGACTGCAGTGGCATGATCATAGCTCATTGAAACCTCAAATTCCTGGGCTCAAGTGACCCTCCTGAGTAGCTGGGGACTACAGGTGTATGCCACTATGCCCAGCTAATATTTTTTTTATTCTTAGTAGAGACGAGGTCTTGCTATGTTGACCAGGCTCCTGGGTTCAGGCAGTCCTCCTGCCTCAGCCTCCCGAAGTGTTGGGATTACAGGTGTCAGCCACTGTGCCCAACCCTGTGCTAGTATTTTAGATACAATACCACATTTGCCAGTTGTTAGCTGTGTGGTCTTGGGCAAATCACTTCAACTCTCTGAGTTGTTTTGGGTGTCAAGTCGGCCCCGGTAAGAGCATGTGGGCAGGGAAGACAGGCAGACTGGCACAGACTGGCATTCCCTAAGAGTATCTCTATAAATGATCTGTTCTGATGCATGGTGGTGGACATTCAGGAGAGGAGCAAAGGGTGGGATGAGGGAAAGTGTTTCCCAATAAAAGCTCTGAGCACGAGCATTCAATATTCCCCTGATATTTACTAGGCAGTCATGTGTCAGCACACTGTGAGTTTGCACAGGACACACACAGCAGGCAGTAAACCACAAATTGCCTGGTTATCCTGTAAAGAAGGACGTGTGCCTGCAGCAGGGCCGGGGCTAAGGTCTGGCACAAAGTCACAGCCAGCATCAAAACACAGAGCTATCACCTCCTGATGTGCCATCTTCAGTTGTAAAGGACAAGATACATATAATTTTAGCATTCTTGCAACACTTCAGATCACAAATTGCTTGGTGAACATTGATTAGTTGACCCTCTTTGATGATGCCTGACCCTAGAGGCACTTATTTAGCTTGTGGAAGGAGTCTGAACTTTTTTTTCCTCTTCATGAGCTTCTTAACCAGGATCTGATGAGCAAGGGGTGATCTCAGTCTTTAGCTGACTCTCTGCTTGTGGATGATTACAAGGGCCTCTTACTGACCTCTAAGGGGATGGGTGCCAAGGTCACAGTTTAGCTATTAGAAAAAACTGCCAAGTCTATCTTTTTTTTTTTTGCAACATTTGCCTTTTCTCTCCTGATAATGACAAAAAGCTGAACAAAGTAAGGGTGCACTCACAAAATTCAGCCCAGGGAACTGTGGTCAACAAGCTGAGAATATATAAGAACAGGAATGGACATATGAAAGGCATTCATTTATATAATACTTATTTATTTATTTATTTATTTGAGACCGAGTTTCACTCTTGTTCCCCAGGCTGGAGTACAGTGGTGCGATCTCGGCTGCAGCCTCCACCTCTTGAGTTCAAGCGATTCTCCTGCCTCAGCCTTCCTGAGTAGCTGGGATTATAGGCATGCACCACCACACCCAGCTAATTTTGTATTTTTAGTAGAGATGGGGTTTCCCCATGTTGGTCAGGGTGGTCTCGAACTCCCAACCTCAGGTGATCGGCCTGCCTCGGCCTCCCTAGTAATAATCTCTAAGTAAAACTGGCATAAACTGGTTTGGGAATAAAAATCAGTTATTCTTGGCAGTGTACAACTCAACAGCTATGAACAGAGGAGTCCAAATTTACTTGAGAATAGCAATATTTTTAAATGTGTGCCACTGAATACTGGTTTAGTCCAACATAAAGAGGCATACATGATAAAATCATGTGGACAAATATGTTTGGGAAATAACCAGTGTTTTAATCTCTTCTCATGCTGCTAATAAAGACATACCTGAGACTGGGTAATTTATAAAGGAAAGAGGTTTAATTGACTCACCATCCTGCATGGCTGGGGATGCCTCAGGAAACTTACAATCATGGTGGTAGGGGAAGTAAACATGTCCTTCTTCACATGGTGGCAGGAAGGACAATGAAAGCGAAGGAAGGGGAAAGCCCCTTATAAAACCATCAGATCTCATGAGAATTCACTCACTATCATGAGAACAGCATGAGAGTAACTGCCCCTATGATTTAATTACCTCCTACCAGGTTTCTCCCACAACATGTGGGGATTATGGGAACTACAATTCAAGATGAGATTTGGCTGGGAATACAGCCAAATCATATCAACTGGGTTGAAAATGCTGGGCAGATTTCTTTACTACAGGATTTCTCCAAATCTTATTAGCATTGTAAAATCTCCAAGAGGAGAATCCAATATTCAGCATTTCCCAGATCTATTTAATCAAGGACCTGCTCCCACACCTTCTTAAGGAAGAAGGGTTGATTACTGAAGACAAAAATGGCATCTCTATGATCACACTGTCATAATAATTCAGATGCCATTAATTAAAATACCTGATTAGCTCAGCTGCCTTTAGTTGACATCTATTTTGAAAAAGCCAAGTTATGAAAGATCTAAATGAGATGTATAGGAGAAGAGGTTTGAAAAGGTATTGTAGCATCAAAGCTAACAGCATGAACCTTGAAGAAGGCAAATCTTAGTTCTCTGAAAACAGCTCAACTCCACGTCACTGACTCTCTGTTAGCCTCATATGTAGAATGGGCATGCTGATTTTACTTTACTTCCAGGATTGATCTGAGTATTTTACCTCCTTTGCTGTTCTCAACATGTCTGTAATGAAACTGCAATCTCTACTCTTGAAAACTGTTTTCAAACCATGTGAAAAACCCGCTTGTCCTACACTTTTGGGACCTAGAATTAGTTGGTAATTTTAAAAGTTGCTAGAAGTGGGAAACCATAAAGTAATGCCATATGTATGTCATAAACATTTTATGAAATTTATCATAACATATAGTTTATATATTTATATATAACTTATCTTTATTTACTAATAAAGTAATTTATTTTTAGGCAATTAAATTTATTATTTGTCAATATTTTCATGTAAGAACAATGTAACTCTTACCTTTTATTTATTTTTAAAGTTGACAGTGGACTAGGGTTGTTATTTTCACATAAGCTACGTTCATCATGCATTGACAACTCTCATTTACAGTTTTGGTTTCCTTACAAAAGAGTTGTGACAAGATCTGAGTACAGAATTATACTAGAGTATGAATTATAATTGTCTTTTATTTAAAAATAAACTTGTATAATTGTCCGTAGAACCTTTAATTTTTTTATTGGCTTGTTTTTCTTGAGTCTTTTCCAAAGGATTGCACCTAGTTTTTGCGGAAATGACAACTCTTGCCTTTTGAATTTTTATTTCATTAGTTTATATAATATTTAAAGTTTATAATTGTAAGTGAAACTGGCATAAACTGGTTTGGGAATAAAAACAACTCATCCTTGGCAGTGTCCAACTCAACACCTAGGAACAGAGTGCTCCAAATTCACCTGAGCGTAGCCTACCAGCCATGAACCTTCAGCTTGCCACAGGCAACAGTCATTATGCATTACGGAAGGAATGAAGAGACTGTTTATCCAGAAAGTCAGTTAAAGGGTGGTGGGTTGAGAGAGCCTCTATAATGCTTTAAAATAAGCCATATTCTGCTTTATTGTCCCTTAAATAGACTCTTGCTGATTAGACCATATAATTTTAACTAAAAGTCTCTACATATGCTTCCTATACAGGCATTGTTGGTTGACTTCTAATTGTAGTTGATTCCATTAAGAGAGAGTAATGGTGGAATTTTGCAGGTATGATGGCAGACCAATACAGATAGATAAGGGGAAAGAGATCGTTTCTGTAGGTGTCCCTCAATTACATAATATGGGTAATTGCCCAGTCCATATGAACCAGTACATTTTAAACTTTTCCATCGAGGCGTCCTTACCGGAACAGCTGAGTGAACACACACTTCTGAAGGGTCAGAAGGCAAACCCCAAAGCAGCCTACTGCAAGCCTTGAGACTTATATTACATATTCATTCTACTTCTGAGTTCTACTGCACAATATATCTATGGTGACCTTAACATAAAATGCTTTAAAGTACAACCGTGAAATTCTGCAAATCTGCAATAAATATAATTCTCAAAAAGGAGTATTATGTCACACAGTACTACATGCGATTAAGAACAAAGCAGTGAAAGCGATGGAGAAGGATGGTGAGTACTATTTGAAAAATATCGGGAAGGGGTGGAAATGAGCAGAGATTTGAAATGAAAGAAGGTTGCAAGCCACGAGGTATCTGGGGGACTCACATTCAAGGCATGGGAGCAACACTCACAAAGGCCCCATTGCTAGGAGGGACGTGTTTCATGTCTTTGAGAAACAGTATATGGAACAGAAGGATGGGGGTTGTGGGGACATAATGACGGACAGATGGCCAGGGGCCAGTTTATGGGGGCTTCTGGCCAAGGTGAGAGGTTTGGATTTTTTTCTGAGTGAGAAGTAAAGCCTTTGGAGGGCTTTTGGCCAGGGAGAAATGTGAACGACTTACACTTAAAAGAGTCACTGTATTAGGCCTTTCCTGTATTGCTATGAAGAAATACCTGAGACTGAGTAATTTATAAGAAAATTAGCTTAATTGGCTCATGGTTCTGCAAACTGTACAGGAAACACAGTGCTGGTATCCGCTTCTGGGGAGGCCTCAGGAAGCTTTTACTAAGGTGGAAGGTGAAGCAGGAGCGGGCACTTCACATGGTGAAAAGCAGGAGCAAGAGATGGGGGGTAGGTGCCACATACTTTTAAACAATCAGATTTCACGAGAACTCACTGTTGTGAGGACGGCACTGAGCCGTGAAGGATCCACTCCCATGATCCAATCACCTCCCACCAGGCCCCACCTCCAACATTGGGGGGTTACAATTAAACATGAGATTTGGGCAGGGACAAATAATTCAAACTCTATCTATCACCCTGGCTTTTATGTAACAAAAGGCTGGAGAAACAGGAATAGAAGGAGGGACACCAGTTAGGAAGCTCTTGTGATCAAGCCACTTACGATGGGAGTTTGGACTGGGGTTGCAATGGTTGAAGGTAGGGAGAGTTGGTTTGATACAGGGTATGTTTTGAAGGCACAGTGGTCAGGATTTGCAAACAGATTGAATGGTGGCATGGAAATAAATAAATAAATAAAGACTATCACCCAAATTTCAGTCTTGAGCCACTGGATGAATGGAAGTGCCCTTTCCTGTGACTGGGA
This sequence comes from Homo sapiens, assembly GCF_000001405.40. Lineage (NCBI taxonomy): Eukaryota > Metazoa > Chordata > Mammalia > Primates > Hominidae > Homo > Homo sapiens. The sequence continues at coordinate 2,843,178 of NC_000003.12, read as the reverse complement.
AAACTATAGGAGAATAAGATTTAGGAAGAAGATCAAATGCTCAGGTTTAGTCATATTACCTTTGAGATGCCTACTGGACAACCACGTGAGAAGATGAGCAGGAAATGGATATGTAAGTCAAGTATTTAGGAGGGAGAGGGGCTGACAGTAGGTATTTATAAAATATCAGTATAAAGATGGCATTTGAAGCCATTGGACTGGATGAAATCACTAGAGAGCAAGTATACAGAGAGATAAAGGCCTGGGTCTTGAGCCTGAGGACACTTATACTTTACTTTAAGAATATGAGTAGATGACAGGGAAATGAGAAGCCAGAAAAGAAAAAAATGGAAAAAAAAAGAAAATGGAAATCCAGGGATTTAAAGGGGGTACCAAGAGAGTTATAGCCCAAAAGCCACAAGAAGCAAGTATTTGAGAAGTTTAGAGAGAGCAGCTGTATTGAATGCTGCTGATAGGTCAAATACTGTGAGAACTAAGAATTTATCATCAGCTTTAGTATTGTGGACATCACTGAAGAGAGCTACTTTTGTGCAATTCTGGGGAAAAGTCCCAATGGACTGAGGGTAAGAGTCCGTGAAAGAGAAGATGTAGAGATGACTCTTTGGTGCAGTTTTGCCGTAAGAGGAGCATAGAAATTGAGCAGTGGGAGTTTCTTACTAGTTTAAAGCAGGAGATGTTGCCACATTGTTCCGATGCAGGTAGGAGTGATGTAGCAGGGAAAGAAAATGTATCTAATGCAGGAGAGAGGAGTAAAACGATAGCTAGAGTGAAGTTCTTGAGTGGGTGAGAGGGAATGCAATCCAGTGACCAAGAGGATGGGGTTGATCTTAGATTGGAGCCCTGGAAGATTTTGTGTTTGGGTTGAGTGGGAAACACAAAGAATCCACCACCACAGCTACTGCCCAAGATAAAGACACCAATATCTCTTACTTGGATTATTGCAGCATCTGTTTCAAGGTTCTCTTCACACAGCCCTGTTCTGCTGCAACCCATTACCTGCACTCTTTAAAGAAAGAGTGATATATAAGCTCAATTCCTAGAAGAAGAGCTCATGGCTTTCCGTTGCCCTTATGTTGAAGAACACACTCCTTAAAATGGCTTCAACAATGCTCATTAAGAATATTTTAAATGGTGATGAAGGCTCAATATTTTCTCTTCAATAACATGTTCTTGAAAAAAATGGGGGCAGCTAGCTTCATTTATTTATTTATTTCTGGTTTCAATCTGTTTTAAAATCATATATTTCAATGTGACCTAATTAATCCTTTAACAGTCAGCTTTCAACACCTTTGATCAGCTTCTTACTGTGATATAAAAGATTAGATCCTACTCCTAGGACTAAATCTCTTACCAGCCATTTCCCTGGTGAAACGTTTAATATTTGTGGTCAAGGGAGGAAGAATAAAATTCCTGAAAATGATCATGTTATCATGAGTGAAACATATTTTTAATAACTTCAAGGCACAGCTACTTTCAACCTCGTCCTTTCTATTCCTTACGGACTATACTTCTACCATATAACAAAGAGCCTCTGACCCACAAAAAATTAAAAGATTTCTTCACAAAGGGTTGAGGAAATAACCAAATCCCGAAGCCAATGGCCAAATATAGTTTGAGGGTTGGAGCCCGATTGGGAATAATAAATTAATCTCTTTATTGATGGCTACAAATGGAACCCTTGACTCGGTCTTCATAAATCTGTAGATAATTATAGTGGGAATATTAAAATGAAAATAATCCTAATCCTCTTTTATTTGTAAATGTACCACATTACCTTTTCTCAGTTGTGATGGTAGAGTTGGAAAAATAAAGATATATGAGTGATTGTAGGATATAATAATGTCACAGTATGAGGCAATTTCAGTTAGGGTTGTAGTAACTCTAACTACATTGGAAACTTTGCACTATATATTAACACATCTGAAAAACTGGGTTAAAAGTTAAAATCCACCCAGCTGTAACTCTTTTGATCCAACTTCTTTGGGCAATGCAAACAAAGACAGATATTTTGACTTAAATTCTATGAGAGTTAGCATTAACCCTCAGATTATCTTCACTGAGAAATCTAGTCCAATGATGAGATTGGTATCAGTCATGTATGATTTTGAAGATCCTTGACTTTTTTCCTCACTCTTTGATTTCATATGATAATGCAGAATAGAGAAGGAGAAAAGCTGATGGAAGAGAAACAAGTACCCTGGCAATGAGCAGAGAAACAGGAAGCATCACCTCTTTAGCAATTAGAAAAGATTAACAGTATCACAGAAATAGCTTTTCAGGTGACCTTATGCAAGCCTTTCACTTAACACAGGGAGGTCACACAGCAAATTGCTAGACTACTATTAATAGAACCCAGGTCTTCTGTTCTCTGGTCCAGTATTCTTACTCCAGTAGTCTCGCTTAAAAATTGGGAGACTAAACATTTTTTAAAAATCTAGTCGTCCAGCTTTTATTTTTTTATTTTTATTTTTTATTTTTTGGAGACGGAGTGTCGCTCTGTCGCCCAGGCTGGAGTGCAGTGGTGTGATCTTGGCTCACTGCAAGCTCCGCCTCCCGGGTTCCCGCCATTCTCCCGCCTCAGCCTCCCGAGTAGCTGGGACTACAGGCGCCCATCACCGCGCCCGGCTAATTTTTGTATTTTTAGTAGAGACGGGGTTTCACCGTGTTAGCCAGGATGGTCTCGATCTCCTGACCTCGTGATCCGCCCGCCTCGGCCTCCCAAAGTGCTGGGATGACAGGCGTGAGCCACCGCGCCGGCCCCAGCTTTTCTAAAAGAAGGAAGAAGGTGGAGGAGGAGGAGAAAGAGGAGGAGAAGGGCAAGCAGGAACAAAGGAAAAGAAAAGATCTGAGTTTATACTCCCATATGACAACAGTGGGTAACGGGTTAAAATTCTCTCTCTCTATGGAGAACTTTATCTTGGGTTAACTTTCTGGCTTTGTTACCCTGGAAACCTGGTAAGGTGAAATGTCAGCCACATAAGCAGGCTATGTTGTTATAAGAATGACCCCGGATTGGTAAGCTGAATCTGGCTGGAAGGACTGCAAATGAACACATCTGTTGAGAAGTTATTGGGTTGGGCTTCCCTGAGTGTGGTGACTCATAATGAGGAGGCTTGACCTGGGGATTTTGGAAGCTGTGCCTATAGGAACGTCACCAGAGATCTTGGCTCCTATTTAAGACATAGACCTTCTAAATCAGGAGACTCTACACTTAGCTACACAAGTTTAACTTCTTTGCTCTTGAAATAACACTTGGGAATAGAGAAAAAAAATTTTAAAAAAGTCCCTAGATTGCTATTCGGACTGTTCCAGGGATTCCCATTGAAGACCAAGGCCTAGTACTGCTCTGCGGGCATACACTGTGCTCGGTCTGTAAGTGAATGAGATGTCAAGTGTAACCCATGGAAATCAAGTCAGTTTGATTGTCTAGTTGACCCTAAGAGCACTCCCTTGGGTGCACTGTAACCAACAATGCCCTGCCCCTTATTGATGAGATGTGTACTCTTTACTTCCTCAGGGTCTTCCCAACCCCTATTATCTTACATCTGGTTCACTTCAATTCAACTGCAGTGCAGTCCTTGAAAATTTAAAAGCCCTGTTCTAAATTCCAGGTGGGGTAAGTAAGTTATTTCTACAGTAACTTGACAAGGAACCTATCAAGAGAAGCAATAAACCCCTCTATATTTAGAAGCTTCAGAGGTACAAAAATCACCAACAGCATCCGACCTCTTTCTGTTGTGATTCCCACTGTCTTTTTTTTTTTTTGGTAAAAGCAAAAAACTTGCCATTCTGACCCAGTGGGCTTCCAATTTTCTCTTTCCTGCCCCCGCTTTTTATCTGCATCTAAGGTATATTAACAAACAATCCAGCCAGAATCTTAAAGGCACTTGTGATTTACTTCAGAGAATTCTTTTTTAAAGCAATTAATTGGAAAATGGATCTTGAAAACACCTTTAGCTATTATATCATATGGCAATTCCTTTGTAGATTTGGAAAAAATAACGTTTTCAAAATAATTGGCCTCTATTTCCAAGGTTTTGACATAACAATTAGGACTATATCTCTTAAATAAAAATTGAAGGTGTATGTCAAGATTTTTTTTTGTAACTGGTTACAGGCTGTCACCAAGCTAGAGGAAGGAGGCCATTAGTACGACATTCATCATTCAGTATTTCCAGGAACTTCATTTGAGATAATAATCTACCTGCTTTAGTTTTCATGAACCCCCTATGAGTTACAGATGCCAGATGTCTTTTCTCTGGCTGTCTCTCTGATGACAGGCCTAGTGGCACATAAAAGCAAAAGCGGTCGGTGTTGGGGAGGAAACTCACAGCTTACGGCGGGACAGTCCATTATTAATGGAGAAAGTCATAGAGTAGTTAATGTACGGATGTCAGACTTTGCAACTTTCATACAGTCCCCTTGGGAAGTGGTGCTGACAGATGTGTTGAAGGCAGAACTGCAAGCAGAGCAGATAGTCAGCAGGGAATCATTAGTCTGCTTCAAGAGCTGGGGCTCCTGGGTGATTAAGAGGTAACAGCTTACCAGAGCCATGCATAAATTACACAACCCAGGGTCAACACCCAAAATGCTTAATTTTTTTTTTTTTTTTTTTTTTACAAACCATAGGGTCTGAATGGCAAATATATTCTATAAGTCTGGCAACAGAAACTCTTAAAACTTCAATATTTCTCTCATCCATGCTCTATAAAAGCAAATTGATTCTACAATTAATTTATCCTGGAATGCTTCCCAGCTTCTATTGGAATAGGAATGTGGTAGACTATATGTGAAAGGGTGACCAGAAGAGCCCTTGGACTTACTCAATAACTCACATTAAAGATACCTGTATACAGTAAAGATGAGAGTTTCTAAAGCTAGGATTATGGAGGATTAATTTTAGTCTTACCCAGTTTTATCTTTTAATGGGTGCCTTCATTCGCATTCTTTACATTTCAGTATAGCCGCACGAAAGCTTATGTACTTTAAGCTTTATGGATCTACTTAGATATTCAAACCAGAGAGGTCACATGTGGTACTTAACAGTGGAACACCTTCCATGTGGTTTCTTGAATGAAACTGCTCATGGTCACAAAACTGACAGAACAGCATTCTCTGTCTTCCTGTAACACACTTAGCCCTGAACCTCTGCATTTAATTCAGACTCGATTCTTAATTGTTTATGAGCTATCTGGAATGCTAGTACATGATGAGATGACTTATATTAATTGCATTTTTGCTGTTAAAGATTGCTGCTGGGTACATGGGACTTTGTTGAAAATAAAAGGAGAAAGTCTACCAGTGGGAAGCAAATTTGGTATGGTATCTGCTACCAACTAAAGCATGACATATTTCAGATCACAGCCACTTGCAGGCTGCGGACCACTGACTCTCCATCTTCCCTCTACATTTTACTGGCTGGTTTTTAGTGACAAACACCACATTTCCCCAGTTGAGATAAGTATGGAAATGAAAATAGAAGCTGTGTCAACTTGAATTTAAAGTTTTGTAACCTGAAAATGAACTAGCCCTCTTAGCATAATGCACTCCCCCTCAAGCAATTTTCTTAACTAGGCTACAGTGCCATTTGGGAACGGGGGTGGTTATATGTGTATTTTTTCATTCCCTGCAGAAAGCCAAGTAGTCTGACCGTTGCTGTGTGCAGATGAAATGCACGTCACTGCACACTTGCCCCAGTAACACCGTGAGGGCCTGCCACTGGAGATTCAGAACAGCTCCAGGCAGGAGCAAAGCGGATTACTGCCAATCCAGGCATTTTTAGTGATACCCATCTCTCCAGGCAGGAAAGCAAGGACAGCTATTTTAACTTCAGTATCTGGAATGATTTTCAAATGAAAAAAGAAGCAATAAAAGAACTACGTGGTTTGCAGGAGACCAATGTGTCCATGTATGGTGGAAACTCCTCCACATAATGCAAACATCTTCCTCCCCGAAAGGCTAGTACAAAAAATGCTTTTTTTGGAAAAAGAGGTAATTAACAACAGAGAACCATGTAAGAGCTGAGCTGGAAGCCACCTTAGAAATCACTAAATTCAACCATAGAAACCATTCTTTTAACATTTTTGTTACATATATTTTCTAACATATTACAAATAACAAAAGTAGAAATCATGGTATAATGAACCTTCATGTATCATCACCCAATAATTATAAACCTTGTTTCATTCTTGTTTGTCTTTACGTCCTCTGTTAAATATAATATTGGCTGTCATTAAGCAGATTATAGAAGTATCTTTTTTATTATTATACTTTAAGTTTTGAGATACATGTGCAGAACATGCAGGTTTGTTACATAGATATATATGTGCCATGATGGTTTGCTGCACCCATCAACCCATCATCTACATTACGTATTTCTCCTAATGCTATCCCTCCCCCAGCCCCCCACCCCAGAAGTATCTTTTTACTCTTCATTATGTTTTTATTTTTTAATTTTGTTTTTGTATTTTTAATCTGTAATATGGTATATTTTGAGCAAATACTTATTTTGGCTTATTTTGAGTTACCTGTACTTTTAAAACTTCTATCTCATTTTATATACATGTCCTAAAGTGTTTTTTCATGAATTGTTGAGTAATGCCATATTTACTTAATGTCTCAGGTATTTTTCTCATCCATAAAATGGGAATACATAACACCTAAATCAGGTTTTTGTAAGGGTTAAATGAGTTAATATATGTAAAACTTTTAAAATAGTGCCTACATGTATTACCCACTATGTAAGCGTTACCAACATTCATAAATAAGAGAGAGGCATTCCCTTTTTGCTGTCTTTGTCAAGTTCTAGTGCCAGGATTATTCTCATTCCATAAAATAAACTGGTAGCTTTTCATCTTGTCTTTGCTGTGCCACAAATTATTTGGCAAGAGAATTACATTAAAACTTTAAAATATTTTCTTTATAAAATGTATAGACCAGAGAACTTGGAGAGAGTAAATCTTGACAACTTTCAATTCCTTCCATAATAATTGGTATGTTCATATCTTCTACATTTTCTTGGTTCAATTTTGTTATTTATATATTCTTAATAGATAATTCATTTCATCCGGATGTTTAAATGATCATAGAGTTGTCTGTAGTTTTTTAAATGATTTTAAATATTTTATAGAAAATTATATGCTCTTTTTAACTTATCATTTTGCCTATTTGTATTTCTCTAGTTTGTTCTTGATTAGATTTGGAGAGAATATCTCATATCTCAAAGCTCCTCTTGGATGTCTCTCTATATACTGTTTTCTAATTCACTAATTTTGAGTTTTATCTTCTTTCTTTCCATTTCCCCTAGGTTTGTGCTATGTTCCTTTGAATTGCATGAGGTGAATACTTAAGGTACTGATTTTGATTTCCAGGATTCCTTATACAACAAATTTAAGGTTATTAATTTGTTTCAGGGTATACTTTTCATAAATTGTACAAGTGTAGATATGTTTGTTCTCATTTTTTTCACTTTTGAAAAATATATTAATATGGGTTTTATCTTTTCTTTGACCCAGTAGGTATCAGAAATGTGATTTGAAATTTGCATGGGACGGTTTTTAAAAAATTTGTGGTGTTGTATAAAATTGACCTATAACTAATTTCTTATTTAATTGCATTATGGCGGAAAATAAGGCCTGGCCTATATAATTTCAATTTTGTTTAAATTTTTTTTGGCTGAACATGTAAACAATTGAAATAGGATTTATGGAAGTGCTTAAAGAGAAAATACATAAGTATGTATGTTTACATTAAGAAAGGCCAATCATTATTACATTATTCAAATTCTTTATATGCTTATTTTTATTGACTTGACCTATCAAGTTAAGTAACAAATATGCATTAGTAATTTCTCCTTGTATTCCCAAACTTTTAGCTTTATATACTATGACTCTATGTTTCATGGTGTTTAAAATAATGTAAATGGAATGTCTTCATTGTGGTTTGTGTATTTTAATAATAAAAATTGCCTTTATCTGCCGGGCGAGGTGGCTCATGCCTGTAATCCCAGCACTTTGGGAGGCTGAGGCGGGCGGATCGCGAGATCAGGAGATCGAGACCATCCTGGCTAACACGGTGAAACCCCGCCTCTACTAAAAATACAAAAAAATGAGCCGGGCGTGGTGGCGGGCGCCTGTAGTCCCAGCTACTGGGAAGGCTGAAGCAGGAGAATGGTGTGAACCCGGGAGGCGGAGCTGGCAGTGAGCCGAGATCGCCCCACTGCACTCCAGCCTGGGCGACAGAGAGAGACTCAGTCTCAAAAAAAAAAAAAAAAAAAAAAAAGGTTGCCTTTATCTAATTTAATGCTTTTGTATTTGAATAATGCTTGGTCTAAAACTAATAATTCTGCCCTCATTTATTTTTCTTTTTAAAATCTGTTTTGTTGGTAGTCTAGGTATTTTGTATCATTGCATTTTGTTTAGATCATATTTTTAACTCAATCTGAGGCTCTTATATTTAAAATAAGTTGCATTTCTTTATATTTCATAAGCTACACACACTCATATCTGTCATATTTCTATACTTCATGTATGCTTTTTTGCTCATCTTTATTTTGAGTCTCTGGTTAAATAGATTACAGCTTCTTTGTTGTTGCTGTAGTTTGTTTGTTTTTTGAGATGGAGTCTCGCAGTGTTGCCCAGGCTGGAGTACAGTGGCATGATCTTGGCTCACTGCAAACTTCGCCTGCTGGGTTCAAGCAATTCTCCTGCCTCAAGCCTCCCAAGTAGCTGGGATTACAAACATGCACCACCACGCCCAGCTAACTTTTTAAATCTTTAGTAGAGATGGGGTTTCACCATGTTGGCCAGGCTGGTCTGAAACTCCTGACCTCAAGTGATCTGCCCACCTCGGCCTCCCAAAGTGCTGGGATTACAGGCGTGAGCCACTATGCCTGGCCACAACTTCTTTGATTTTATTGTCTCTAGCAACTTAGATGGTACATATCCCATTTTTATTTCTTACATCTATGCTTTCTTTATTTTTTTAACAAAAATTGTGATATGTTTTTAATTATTATTTTTTATTTATCTTTTTTTGAGACGAAGTCTTGCTCTGTTGCCCAGGCTGGAGAGCAGTGGCGATCTCGGCTTACTGCAACCTCTGCCTCCCGTGATCAAGTGATTCTCCTGCCTCAGCCTCCCGAGTAGCTGGGACTACAGGTGCCCGCCACCATGCCCAGCTAAATTTTTGTATTTTTCTTTTTAGTAAGACGGGGTTTCACCGTGTTAGCCAGGATGGTCTCGATTTCCTGACCTCAAGTGATCCGCCTGCCTTGGCCTCCCCAAGTGTTGGGATTATAGGTGTGAGCCACCTCGCCCAGCCCAGTTGTTTATATTTAACAAATTTATGTGTCATACACAAACATAACAGAATATATGAGCTACTAGGAGTACAGGTCATATGCTGAACCCAAGTAAAGTTATGTCATTGGAATTATTTTTTAAAAATTTTCCAAATCCTTTGAATATATCTCTGGAACTGTGTGTAACACCATGTATAAAACACCAAGTGTTTTTGTGGCAGCTCCCAGTAAACATCCTTTCTTCTTTAATTATTAAAATAAAAAATACCATAATTTTTTTTCTTCCGCTCAAACATGAGAAAGTACAATATGTTTTTACTATTAAAAGGATGATGAACTCACATGGAATGGTAAGTATGTGATGATATTAAACAATAAAACAATACATACACACTGATGACCTGTCTTTACCAATTACATTGATTACATATGGGTTGGAACTTTACTACCTAATTTTTATATTTATGAAGCTTTCTGATTATTATACTTTCATTTTATGTTCTTTATAAAAACTTACCTAGTTAGCCATGCTTATCACTAATTCAATTTGCTACAATGTTTATTTGGCTTTTTACTGAGTCTGCATTGCAGATTTTAATATTTCCATTTCTCATCATTGCCAGCTCCCTTCAAACCTCAATCTGCATTGGCGGCAACTCTCTTTTAACATTGGCATCTTTGTTTCATAGAATCCATGTTTTCTTGTACTTGACCAAAAGCACAGTGGAGATGCATCCATTCATTTTCTTATATTTTCTTAAGGCGTTCCTTCCAAAGCATTTTCATTCTATTTTGTTTTGCTTTGCATCCTTAGGCAATGTCTGACATTTCCCCTCCTTCTCGATCACCAAGTAATTTTTTTTTATCACTAAGTATTTTCTCAAGTCATCATGATAGTGTAGATTTCTTATTTTATTATTCATTTACATAGTGTAGATATTTTATTTTTTATTTAACTCTATGACTTTAACACATCGGTTGTAATTCTATCCCAGCCTTGGTTTCACCAGCTAAGAATGGGTGCATCCCACCATTTCTATAAATTGACTGCACGGGGCTCCCAGAATCTCAATTTTTAAAACTTAAATTTGAGGCAATTTGATAACATTTTCTGTTTCCAACTTACTGGTGTCTGGCTATCATTGATTTCATAAGATTTTGAGGAACAAAAATGGAGCTTTCTATTGCTTCAGTCACCACTTTCACAGTAAACTGAAACACCCTTCCCCATGTCCATACTCATGTGCCATGTTGGCTTCTTTTGACAACCTCTCCACTCCAGACTTACATACAGCTGTTCTGTCTATAATACTCCTCCTTTCCTTCTACTCTCTTGTCCTTCAGATCTAAGCCACAGAACTACTTCTTCAAGGAAGCCTTCTCTGACTCCCCAATCCACATGATGTCCTTCTATTTTACATGGTCACTGAACCCTGTTTTCCTTTCCCTCACCCCCACCTCACAACCAAGAGCACACATCTCAGTATGATGATTTCATTACCCCGCTCCTCCCTAGCAGACCTGTAGGCTACATGGCAGGAGAAAACATTTTGTTTTGGCCCACTCCTATATCTGCCCTGTCTATGACAAGGCCTGGTATCTGAAAGGTTCTGCCAAAATCTCCTATTTTTACTTTTTAAAAGAAATCTATTCCTTTAACCTTGAAATCCTAATTTACATAATCCATTAGAATCCAATCATAAATTTCATTCATCACAACTGTGTCCATTGAAGTAAACTGGAGTTGTACATTTAGAAGGAGTGCTGGCTTGCAGAGACAGTGAACAAATTCTCAGGGTAGCAAGAGAAGAAGGTACATGAATGTCTTTCTCATATTTGGGTACTAATGTTAGAGAGCTGTCATAGCTACCTCAGTTTGCAGTAAGTGGAGAAGGAAGAAACATAATCCTTAAATCAGCCACCTTTTGTTTTTAAAAGTCCTTTCATCTTTTCAAAAAGCATACTCTGGTTTGCGTGAAATGATAAGAACTGGGCTTCAAACACCTAAAACTGAAGCATCTTGGCATTTCCCAGGTGTTCCCTAGTGTATGTGCTGATTTGAGGGAATGAGAGGATGTGTAAATTCCACACTACTTCACAAAGTAGAGATTCTTTGGATATTTCTGAAATGCTACGTTATCAACTGCAACTGTCTTCCCAGCTGTGCCTGCCATATGGATTTGTGAAGTCCTATGGAGTGTTTTTATGACACAACTCCTTTCCAGGGGTTAATTGTGACAGTGAAGATTGTGATAATGTGTTAACCTGCACCAGATGATGGGAGAAAAAGAGGGTGTGTTTCGGCTGGAGATGGGAAGAGCTCTCTTGGCTCGGTACAAAGTGGCTGCCCATTGTTTTGTTAGCAGCACCACCTACTTCAGATATCACGAACATTCTCTCAGTCTCTGAATTAAACATTAAACATTTCTTTGAGTTCATAATGCAGACAGAGTTGGTCTCTCTGTAAAACTATTATGCTTCATTTGGAACTTTGTATTTATTCTATATATCTGCAAATGTCAAAATCATTAGTGGATATGGAGAACTGCAATCAGTTTGATTGATTTGAAAAGTTTTTTATCCATATTGTTTGTCATTGATTAATATACAGATACTCCAGTAAATCACTTCCTCTTAAATCAGTATTTTGATATTACATAGAATCAAAAGCTTTAATCCTACCCTCATACAAAATGCCATGATTTATTCCTTTGTGTGTGAAACTGAACTTCACTTGCCTAAATGTATAGTTTTCTCTGGTCTTCAATTTGGCTTTTTCCAGTTATTTTGTTCCTAATGTCTGAAAACCAAACTGAACATGTTAAAAAATATATCAGAAAAATTAACAACTTCTTATTTGTGCCTAAGACTCCTAGGTTCAAAATCCCTGAGAGTGGTAAATATCCATTTCTGAGCCTTCGATTTCTGAGCTCCTAACCAGAGTCTATTTCCAAATTTCCAGGACTCAGTCAGCATTTCCTTATTCTATGTACTGCATCATTATCCTGCTTAATTCCATGTAACATCCTGCTTAATGCACTGACCTGAGAGAATACCTATTCATTGCTAAAAATGTAGCCAAAGCACCACTCATTCCTTTTTCAGCTGAAAAAATGAGATTCACAGGGTATATTTCCAGCAGGCATTAAAACAAGAATGGTGCCCGTCTATCCTGTAGTGAATGTCCACTGGATTATTTATGAAACGCTCAGCCAGATTCATGTTGTTGAAAGCTCAGTGTTGATCATTTGTTCTCTTCTGGCTAGTACATCCCTGGTAGCACTCTCCTGGATGTGTAATGTGTTTTTCACATCTCCAGACTCTTCATGTCCCAACCTATGTTCTAACACAATGTCATCCTTCACTGCTTTCTGGGACAGGACAACTCCAAAAGAAAAAGCTCTGCATGTGGTCCAGCTTTGTCAAATGATCACAGTTTGTAGATCATTTAGCCTTATGGATCCATTCTCATTTTCCAAACATTATTTCCTTTCGGTACTAATGTGTTTGGCCCTTACTCTGACATCAGTGGCCTCCAGTTCTAAGGATCAAACCTGGAGATAATCTTTTTAATTTTTTTTGGATGTTTAAAAAGAAAATAGAGATGTACTCAACTTGAATTGAAATCTGTGTATCCACAAATACAGTTACATAGTGCCTATCATTAAAGTACACACAAACTAACTGTCAGGAGAGAAGCTGGGTAATTAGGGGCATCATTAAGTTCTTGGTTTCTGCCCAATAAAGCACATAGAAACGTTTGCACAAAAGCAAGTGAGGAAAAAAGGAGACAGAAAAAGAATTTCCTGAAATTTATTTCTGCTATTTTTTAGCCAAATTATTATTTTTTTTCTGAACAATAAGATATTTAATTAACTGGTATTTATTAAGTAGCTGAGTCTATTTCTAAGTGCTATGGCCAGGAACTTGCTATAGCTGTAAAAACAGCTTAAGCATCTCTCTTACTAGAACTAAAAAAAGAATTAAAGTAGAAAGTATGTAGCTACTACTCCTAGGGAACTCTTCTTAAAAAACCAGACCACCAATTCTCTACAAGGTTACTTTAAGAAACTGGAAGCTCAGCTATAAAAAGACTATAATTTTTCTATGACCAGGAAACGTTCGTTACTTATATCAACTTATTTTTTTCTACTCATAAGTGTATAGTTGTTGACATCTAGGCATTCAAAAGTATAGTCATGAAACATTCAAGTTGTTTTAAAAAGAGTTGACAGGAAAATTCAAAGGCAAAAAGTATGTCAGTAGCATCACAGAATATACTTCACCAATTTCAGAGATAACTGAAATCAGAAATATCCACCTCACTTCTTCTTGTCATATCTGGTAGAGGAGAAGCAAGTCACTCCTGTAGACATGCCAGGCCCCAATTCCTCCCTTTTGCTTCTTTTGCTGATTCTTTCTTTGAGCTAAATGATCTCATGGATGAGAGAAGTGGAGCCTGCCTTTGGTGTAGTGAGGGCAAGCACTCCCTCCCAGTGGCCTATCCTCCTAAACACGAAACACTCCACCCAGGCCATGTGGGTCAGATAGTTTATCACAAGTAGTCCCTGATCAATGTGGCTCTCTTTTTCTGTTCAATGGGTGAAACAGGAGGCTTAATGAATGCAGAAAGGCATCACCTTATAAACTGTTTTACATTATTCTATGCTGATTAAATCAACTAATGCGCTGTAACCCCCTCTGATTGGCAAACGGGGAAGAGAAAAAAGGGAGGAACTGGCTGATTACATTTCAAATAAAGGAGTCCAAGTTCATATCTTTCAAAGGAACACAGTCAAGAGGCAACAGACAAGATCGCCTTAAGAATATTTAATTCCTGGATGGGCACGGTGGCTCATGCCTGTACTCCCAGCACTTTGGGAGGCTGAGGTAGGAAGATCGCTTGAGGCCAGGAGTTTGAGACCAACTTGGGTAACAAAACAAGACCCCATCTCTAACAAAAAATAAAATAATTAGCCTGGTGTGGTGGCTCATGCCTGCAGTACTAGCTACTCAAGAGGCTGAGGTGGGAGGATTGCTTGAGCCCGGTTTCAGGCTGCAATGACCCATGATCGTGCCACTGCACTCCAGACTAGGTGATAGAGTGAGATCCTGTCACAAGAAAAACAAACAGAAGAATATTTAATTCCTGATTTTTTTAAAAAAGGTATCTAGTAGTCTATGATGTTGATTAACCTATCACTAACTAAATGTTAAGCTTTCCCCTCTGAATTGAGATAGATATCTACTTAAGTGAATATATAAAGTTCCTCTGTTGGGAAATGGAAATCAGAATGCATGTTTCATAGAAATTATATTATAAAAGGTGGTTTAAACCAAGTTTGGCTGACCTCAACATTCTTGGAAAATGGCATAGTAGCAGTATTTCAATGCCACTCCCAACCAACATTTTAAACATCATTTTGTAAGTTCCAAGACCAGATGACGAGATCCTACATTTTGCCTTATTACAGGACCTTTTCTGAATCACTGATTTCCAAGACGGTCAGTGTTAACCTACTGGACACCTGTGGCTTTTAATTTACTTGCAGGTGATAAGGCATCTCTCAGGGAAGTCGCTTCTCAGGTGACATGAAATTGGTATCAAAATGCAGCTCTCTCAGTGGTGGCCAAGAAACAAAGACTCAGGACCTAAAACCATTAGCTATCATTTGTTATGTGTGTTTTTAAAACTAGGATTATATTTGGGCACTTCTCTCATTATACACACACGCACACACACACACATACACAAACACACACAGAGAGAGAGAGAGAGAGAGAATGAGATGACTCAAGTGAAATGCTGGGCCCTTCCTTGTTCCCATATGTACCTTCAATCATGTTCCCAATATGACCAGAAAAGGTGATCAATACTTACAGCACTATTCTTATAGCTTTTTATGACAATTAAGTGATTGTTAATTTTGTAACCATTTAAAAATCTCACATTTTGCTTTTTTTAAGCTGCCATATAAAAATATGTTTAAGACAACATTCTTCAGTCTATTAAAAATATTCTCAGCATTATTTCAGCAGTATTTTTAAAGTCCTGCATCCGCCTAAGTCTACCTAGTGCCTTGTTTTTCTAAGGAAATGAAGTCCGGGCACATACTGTACACGCTAAATAGAAAATGCAAATATAAAGAATCACACAGGGTTTGGCTTATGAGAAGACTATTGGTAGAGTTTACCTTAACTGTAAAGTCTTTAATAGCAATTTTCAAATGTTAGAAGAATGGCTAATAAAGCCACAATGCCAGAGCATAACCAATTTATGTTAATAATAGATGTAAATTCCATATAAATCTCTTGGGAGATATATCCGAAAAGTATCTGCCTACATAAAAGTTGTTACATGAATGTAAATCAAGAATCACATATCTCCAAAGATGAGAAATTCTCTGATTTAACTTTGACTTCAAGCTTAAGCAAATGAAAACAATCAAACCCAGCCTAATTAATAAAATCAGGAGTGTCTGGAAGTTTTAACTGTGCAAATTGCTGCCACATTTGTTATGTCTTTTCATCCTCATAACAGATTTGAAAAGTTTACAGAACAAAGATGAATTCAATTTGGTTGGCATTATAGTGGTGTTTGAGGACTTGAAAGTGATGCTAGGAACCCAGATATGGGTAAGGAGAGGGAGCCTGAAAAAGGTAATGAGAGAAAGTAGAGGGAGTAAGCTGGAAGTACAGGGACTGCTTCCTGAGGAAAGTGACCAGTCGTCCAAAGCACAGTTGACAAACCTAGGACCCAGCCAGGCAAATGTCAATAGCCAAGGAGGTCTGATATGATGCGTGGGGCCCAGTAACTAGACTTCCTAGACTTAAGCAATACTTAGAATGCAAAGAATACCATGTTATGGTTGGAGGTTTAGAGTGGGGTTAAAATGGGATTTCATGCGCCTTTGGGTAAGAAATGAGGACAACAGCTAAGCTAAGTGTCTGGACTAAGGAGGCAGCTGAAAATCTAAAATTATATAAAACTGGTAAACCCAGGAACCAGTTTGGGGAAGAAGATGAGAATAAGGTATTGAATGTGGAGTTAGGCAGAGTTGGCAACTTGACTTGAATGTGGACATCTTGAAGATTATTCTGGGCATAGAGGCTGCTCACTTTTAGCACAGTAAGATTCGTCCTGGCTCAGTGACCTGTCAGCATAGTTTGGACTAAGTAAGAAACTGGGTGAGTCTAACTCTGAAGGTGATATCTTAATAACGAAAGCTGAGTAGGTGTGGGAAGACAGAAACAGAAGTCATATGAAGAAATAGGGCTCAGAGAAGTTACATAATTGGCCCAAGACCACATAGCAAGTTGATGGGAGAGCTAGGACTAGAACACAGATGTCCTACTTTCACGCTTTTATCTCTGTCCTACAGTAAATACAGCATGGTCCAGCTGAAATAACCATGCTGTGGAAAGGCATGCTTGCTTCTTTTAAGGGCTGTGGTTATAATCTGTATGGGTATGTCCACGTAAAATTACATTTATGGAACCCTGGAGAGGTTTGCATATAGAGACGTTTTGCTGGGATAAGTCCTACTTGATTTTGTAATGCAGGGACTCAAGTTTTCCACCCTGGCTGCATATTAAAATTACCTGGATGATGCCAGAGGATCCCCTGCCATCAAGAAACTCAGATTTAATTGACCTGGGGTGAGCGCCAAAGAACCACTGACACAGAAAGTACAGTACATGTTTCCAGTTTTTCTGCTATATACAAATAAAAGGGCGCATTCTAGGCAACAGTAACTCTTATTCCTGCCATTGATTAGAGTGTGCCCTCCATAATCTCTTTGCTTCTATTTCCTTATCTATGAAACACATGTCCTTACTTCTTATGGGATTATTGTGAGGATTCAAAGATAATATAATATAAATTAAAGCACTATAAACACTATAAAGGACTCTACAGATGTTCGTGTTCGAAGGTCCCTGGGTCTGATGCCCTGTGGATAGGATCCAACTCTAGTGGGGATGTGTTCTGTGTAAAAGAAAAATCTAAAGATGAAAATTTTAGCTAGTTTCTCCAAAACCCGTAATAATGAAAATAATCGCAGAATCAGAATCAGGTGGTTTTCTTTTTTAAATATACTCTGGGAAGCCATACATTCACCAATAACAATGTAGGAAAGCTGGCTGAATAGAAAATGCTACTTCTGGGTTTTGTCTGTTTGTTTGCTTTTAAGACAGGATCTCACTCTGTTGCCCAGTCTGGAGAGCAGTGGTGTGATCATAGCTCACTGCAGCCTTGAACTGCTAGGCTCAAGGAATCCTCCCACCTCATCCTCTCAAATAGCTGGGACTAGAGGCACACACCACCACACTTGGCTAATTTTTAAACATTTTTTTAGGCTGGGTGCGATGGCTCACACCTGTAATCCCAGCACTTTGGGAGGCTGAAGCGGGTGGATCCTGAGGTCAGGAGTTTGAGACCAGCCTGGTCAACATGGCAAAACCCTGTCTCTACTAAAAATACAAAAATTAGCTGGGCATGGTGGCATGTGCCTGTAGTCCCAGATACTCGGTAGGCTGAGGTGGGAGAATGTTTGAACTGGGAGGCGGAGGTTGCAGTGAGCTGAGATCACGCCACTGCACTCTAGCCTGGGCGACAGAGCGAGACTCTGTCCCAAATAAAATAAAATAAAATAAATTATTTTTTAGAGACGGCCTCACTGTGTTGCCAGGTGGATCTCCAACTCCTGGGCTCAAGTGATCCTCCTACCTTGGCCTCACAAAATGCTAGAATTATAGGCAAGAGGCACTGCACCTGACCAGAATGCTACTTCTGAGTATGAGTACCTAGGAAAAGCCACCCTTTTCTTAGTTTTTCATTTCCTTTATGAACAAAAACATATAAAGTCAAAGCTAAAGCCTAAGGTAACTACATTTTATTTTGAATTATTTTCAATTGGCCAGTGCAGTGGCTCACGCCTGTAATCCCAGCACTTTGGGAGGCCAAGGTAGGCAGATCACTTGAGGTCGGGAGTTTGAGATCAGCCTGGCCAACATGGTGAAACCTCATCTCTACTAAAAATACAAAAATTAGCCAGGTGTGGTGGTGCACTCCTGTAATCCCAGCTACTTGGGAGGCTGAGGTGGGAGAATCAGCTTGAACCCAGGAGGCGGAGGTTGCAGTGAGCCGAGATTGTGCCATTGCACTCCAGCCTGGTTGACAGAGTGAGACTCCATTTCAAAAAATAAGTAAATAGATGAATTATTTTAAATAAAAATTTCACATAAGGAATGCTCAGCCCTTCGGCTTGAGTGATGTGGAAATCGAAGCACTCCATCTCAGCAGGGCTGGACCTGGGCTAGTTCTGTAGATGATCCGTGTGAATGGACCTTAAATCTGGTGCTGCCTCAGAGTGAGCGAGTCAGCTACAGTTTTGTTTTTGTTTTTGTTTTTGTTTTTTTTGAGCCAGAGTCTCGCTCTGTCGCCCAGGCTGGAGTGCAGTGGCGCGATCTCCACTCACCGCAACCTCCACCTCCTGAGTTCAAGCAATTCTCCTGTCTCAGCCTCCCAAGTTGCTGGGATTATAGGCGCACACCAGCAGACTAATTTTTGTATTTTTAGCAGAGACGGGGTTTCTCTATGTTGGCCAGGCTGATCTCTAACTCCTGACCTCAAGTGATCCACCTGCCTCGGCCTCCTCCCAAAGTGCTGGGATTACAGGTGTGAGTCACCGCGCCTGGCCTGTTTTTTTTTTTTTTTTAACAGCCTTGGGGACCCTAGCCCAGATTTATGGAATCGGAATATGCTTGTGAACAGGTTGGACACCTATGGTTTTAACAATTTTCCCTCCAGATTCTCAAGCTGTCAACCCTCACTGCCCAGAGGTGGGGTGTGCGTGGGAACCACAGCTATGACTCAGGGCATCTCACACTTCAAAGTGCATATGATCACTCGGAGATCTTATTAAAATGCAAGTTCCAATTCAGTAGGCTGTAGTGGGGTCTGAGATTTTACCTTTTTATCAAATTTCCAGGTGAGGCCAATGCTGCTGGTGCTTGGACCACCCTTTGAGTCGCAAGCATCTTGGTGACATAAAATGAAGGCATGAACAAAAACCTCTCTTGATGAACAGTTTGTGAGGATTTTATTGAGGAATAAACTAGAAATTTTCGTATATTGGAAGGAAGAATCTCAAAGTTCCTCTGTTCTATTCCTATTTAACGAGAGCTTGGTTAAAGGTCATGAATTCCTGGTGCCCAGTGACCCTGGAGTTGGCAGAAAGCAAAGTGGACATTCTGGACCTCAATAATTTCTGTGTCTAATAGGAAGGAGCACCAAGGATAGCCAGAGTCCATCAAAGTGATTTCTATTTTTTGGTGTTTTCTTATATTTAATGGTAAAAATCTATGCAAAACCATCACATCTGAATTCATACATATAAACCAAGAGATGACAAAGAGGCCACACATAGTGATTGGTAGAGTGCTGGAAATACCTGCTGACTGAAATGCTTTTCAAAACAGATTAATTGCTGCTCATTTCTCTGCTACCCTAAGAAGGTCTGACACCGCACAGCTTTCGAAATAGGACATGCAGCATCCCTTACAATGGATTTCATGCCATTACTCAGTACCCCACTGATATAATAAAAGGCTGACTCATTTCCCTTCCTCTGCATGATCTGTTACAATGGAAACCAGGAGACCATATGCTGGGTCTAAAATGCTCAGTATGTCCAGCAGCTCACAGTGATTCTTCTCGCTTTAGGGTGACACACAGCCCGGAAAAACAGTGAGAGAATCACTGCCGTTCAGTTGCATTGGAGGCTTTTGAGAAATTGGAAGGATTTCATCAGATAATCATTGTTTCCCTTGTCCAAAACTGATGGATGTCTGAGATGCTCTTTTATAACCTTGAATATCTTCTTTGTTCTTTTCTCAAAAATTTCTTAGCCGTGCCTGCTTTGCCCACAGCGTTAATGTGCACGCCATTTCTAATAGAGCTTATAATAAGAATATTTATTTCCTTGTCTTTCACCATCAAGATTGTCAGGAATGTCAGCACAGCTCAAGGAACTGGATTTCAGAGCTGCTGACTGCTGCCAGCAGAGACAACTGCATTTCAGTAGATGTCTATGGAAATTTTTAATCTATTTCTCTGTGGGAAAGGGAAAGTAGTCAGGTACTTCATTGCGTAGCAGCACAGCATCACTCCATGTGTTTTGCCTTTCCTAAAGAGATCATTATATCGGACAGTGGTGGTGTTTTTCTTAATATACCTACAAGATTAATTTTTAGGGTTGCTGCCATGT
Source organism: Homo sapiens (assembly GCF_000001405.40). Lineage (NCBI taxonomy): Eukaryota > Metazoa > Chordata > Mammalia > Primates > Hominidae > Homo > Homo sapiens. The sequence continues at coordinate 2,822,607 of NC_000003.12, read as the reverse complement.
GATGAAAACTTAATGCAATGAAGGTAGCCTGCAGAAGAAATTAGTAAAATCTTCCATTTTTATTTTGATCAGATTCCATATTAAAAAGAGAAGTGTTAGTCTAAGTGAACTTCACCTGAATCTAAATATATGTCCACAGTGAAGTGGTTTTCTCATATAAAGGACAGGCCTTCAATAATGCAAACACACTTGATAAACAAGATGTTTAGCCCTTATCGAGTTATAATTATGTGTTGATAGAATCAATAGGGATTTGAGAGACTTCTTTTAATCTCTTCATTTTATAGACAGGCAGAGTGAGGCATAAAGAATTTGAAGATATTTTCCCAGTATCAAATAATGATTTGAAACAGAACAAGGATCAAAACTCATATCCCAGAGTCCAAATTCAGTGCTTCTGATACTAACTTGAAAGGAAAATGAAATCCTGAAGAATAATCCCATTTTCCAAACACAGACCTCTGAAATCAAACCTAGATTTTCTGTCAGTCTTCAAAAACCAGAAATCCTAACAATTCCTTGTCCCTGATCCAGACATAGAGGGGAACCTACCTCTCCCACCTCTCCTTCGTATTCAGGATGCTTGAAGTACATGCCTTTTAGCACCTTTACTAATTGTTATTTTCTGCTGGAAATGTTAGCTCAGAATTAGATGAGAAAGAAAACATTACAACTTTTGAACAGAGGACAAAAATAAAACAGTGTTTTTCAAATTCCAAATCTAAAAGTTTGTTCTTTTAAACATGTGGAAAGTCAAACTGAAAATTAAGGCAATAACAAGAATAGCAGATATTGAACTAAACTTCAGCCTGGATTTCCAAGGGTAGAGTTTATCAATCTTGTCATTACAGACCTTAGTGGAATCCTAATAAATATTACTACTTATTAAACCTCCACACTACTGAATCCCTTATGTGCAGTTATATTTGCCTTTTAGTCATCGTAGTTCCTTTTAGCCGACACTGCAAGTTGCCTACACATCTCTCCATGTTCTCCCTTACTAGTAAAATTATGATATTTTCCAGGGCATAACACATCTGCGTAAAATATTTGATTTTTCAACCTCCTTTGCCACTGAGGTGATCAATGACATGGAGGCAAAGTCCTCAGGCAAAGAAAACTTACGATAATAAAGGTAAATTGAAATGGACAAAAACAAGCAAAAACAAATCATTGCCTTTTGTCTTTGCTTCTTCCCATTTGATCTGGTTTGGAATGCAGACTTCATGCCTCATCCATACCACATGCTAAGCACTTCAGAGAAGAATCAGAGAAGGGCATGAGTCCTGGAAGACATCCTCTAGAAGCTGTGCTAGCTTTAGATTGTATATCTTTGAAAATCTTGCATGCCAGCCAGGTGCAGTGACTCATGCCTGTAATCCCAGCACTTTGGGAGGCCAAGGTGGGTGGATCACTTGAGGTCAGGAGTTTGAGACCAGCCTGGTCAACATGGTGAAATCCTATCTCTACTAAAAATATAAAAATTGGCACGGTGGTGGGTGCCTGTAATCCCAGCTACTCGGAAGGCTGAGGCATGAGAATCGATTGAACCTGGGAGGCAGAGGTTGCAGTGAGCCGAGATTGCACCACCACACTCCAGATTGGGTGACAAAGCGAGACTCTGTCTCAAAAAAAAAAAAAAAAAAGAAAGAGAAAATGTTGCATGTGAGAAAAAGAATATAAAAGAACATTATGAGCTGGGTTTTCAGTTAGTTGCAGTCAAGTGCATTCCTAACTGATCTAGTTGCTATGAGTCTCCACAAAGTGATCGTAGATTCTATGGTCAAGGAACTTTTGTTCTTGGTCTGATCCTGTGATACTGTGATTAATAAGAAATATATATATTTGGTCTGCATCCCAAAACCCTTGTAATTTCCTGAGTGATATTGCTGAGAAGAATGTCTTTTGTTATTCATAAATAGGCCCTTTTCAACCATACTTGAGTTTATGCTAATTAGGTGACTCTTGGTGAGGCCCCTTGATTGGTTGTCAGAGGAACCAACCAAATAATTAAAGGGTTGGAACTTTCAGCCTCCCCATTCCCCACTCTTGGGGATGGGAGAAGGGCTGGAAAATGGCCATCAATTACAATGGCCATAGATTCGATCAATCATGCCTACACAACGGAACCTGCATAAAAACCCTAAATGACAGCGTTTGGAGAGCTTCAGGGTTAATGAATGCATCTACATGTGGGGAGGATCCACAAGTCTAGAAACTCCTGCATTCACAACCCTTCAGACCTCACTCTCTCTATATGTTTATCGGGCTGTTCATACGTATCCTTTATAATATCTTTTATAATAAACTGGTATGTAAGTAAACTGTTTTCCCTGAGTTCTGGGAACCATTCTAGCAAATTATGGAAGCCAAGGAGGGAGTTATGGGAGTCCCACTTTATAGCCAGTTAGTCAGAAGTGTGTGAGGTCAAGGACTTGAAAGTGGCATCTGAAGTGGAGGCAGCCTTGTGGGACTGAGCCTTTATCCTATGAGTTCTGACACTAACCATCCCAGAGTAGTTAATGGGGTAGTTACTGTCAAAATGGAATTGAATCGTTGGACAGCCAGTTGGTGTCCAGAAGATTGGAGACTTGGTTGTTAGTGTGGAAAAAACCCATACATTTGGTGTCAGAAGTATTGCGAGTAGACACAGTTCACAGACAGTTCCCAGACCAACCAGGAGATGAAATGAAGTAGGGCCATCTTTTTTAACCCAATCAAGTTGTAAGAAGTATGAGTCGTTTTAATTACACTGCTTTACCAAGCAACAGCATTATGATTTTGATCGACTCAGGTGTCTTTCTTCTTGTGCCAGGTACACTGCAGTGGGGTGGAAAATTTGCACAATCTGGTATTTTCCTGTCCTAATGATGGGAGGCATTCACCGTGGTTTTTCCTCCACATGGAGGGGCTTTGGGAATCTCTATAAATGACACTGTGCACTCAGCTGGTGTCAGGAGGGAGAACATTGAGGAAGAAAAATAACAGAGAGTGAAGCATGCATATGTCAGTTCATTTATATGTACCTCCAGAATGGGGTGGCGGGCCACACAGTAGCACCATTCCTTGACCTCGACGGACAGACACAGTGCTTCTTGTTCTTGTTTTAAAGTTGTCAAGATCTGTTGGGAGAAATATGGGAAAAAGCATTTAAACTTTAAAGTCCTAAGATATCAAGGGAGAGTACCACTATTTCAAAAGAGAATCATTCTGCTCAAAACTGCGTTGGTAGCACCCATACCGGGGGAATTCAGGAGAGCTTCTTTTCATATGACATTGTCCCATCCTCCTTGATTTTATGGTTATACTGTCCACTAAAATATCTACTTACCACACGTGCCTATTTAGATTTAAAATAATTAAAATTAAATACAATTTATAATTCAGTTCCTCAGACACTAGTCACATTTCAAGTGCTCAGTAGCCACATGCACTTAGTGATTATCACCTTGGCCAGCACAGACACAGAAGACTTCCATCATGCCAGGACATCACATTGGATAGTGCAGGTCTAGGTGAAGAAACTGAGGTTTAAAGATGTTAAGTGACCTGCCCAAGACCTCTCTGTATTTAAATATCATTATCAGAATGCAAACTCTTGTTTTCTGATACAATTCTGTTCACTTCACAAACCATTCTATCATATATAATTATACTTGTCTCTCCATATATACCCAGAGTGTGACTGTCTCTCTTTATATACAAACACAACTCTATATAAAATGTATAAATAGACATATATACAGACACACAATTGTTTTAAAGTTCTTGTGGTGTAGTTTGAAATATTTAGAAGGTACTGTTCATGGTTCTTTTTAGAAGAATGTTTTATTACCTCAAAAAGGTCAAGTCTGGTTAGAGAGATAAGACATTTATAAACCCAAAGATCACAGTATAAGTAAATAGGCAGTTACAAATACAAATGAGTTAATATAAGAAATATGTCTAATAAAGTGAGACATATTATTGTTCAAGAAACGTTTTTTTCTTCCACCCTCCCAGATGTAAATCCTCTCAATAAGGAGTGTGTTAAGTGCCATTTCGTTTTTTGTTGTCTATTACATTTGATTTAATAACATTTTATTGGATTCGGGGACTTCCAATTCAAGTATGTTGTGCAGGGTTGCAAACCATCTGGCTGTGCACACTAGAGCAGAGTAACATTTGTGGATGATTTCCTCCATGCTGGCCATTTTGGTAAGTATTTTATGATGATTATCTCATGTACTCCTAACAACAATTGGGAAGGCTGCAGTTACAAATTGGAATGTTTCTACACTCAGGCTTAGTTTCAAGGAGTGCTAAGGATATTTAAAAAGTTACATATAGACATGTCTTAATTACCAGATTCTTCTGGAATTAGGGACATTTTAAGTTTGTACATTATTGTCTTCATCACTTATATATTCATAAAAACTCCATTAAGTACCATCTGATTTTGCCAACTCAGAAGGCAAGCATTGTGAGAACACAGCTTCCGTCCTGTTGGGGCTCAAGCAGGCAGGTCTGACACATAACACCTAATCAGAGCAAACCAAAGACTGCCAGGTTTGGGCTGTGAAAAGTGAACATGAAGGACACACACATACTCTGCACAAAACAAATCAGTGCTATGATTTGAATTACATTTCTGATGTAATAAACTTCTTTTTATTCAATGGACACCAGGTGAGGGTAGAACATGGTATTTTTCTTGTCTTTATGGAAATGGTCTGAGATTCCTTCAAAAGGAATTAAACCAGGATTTTAAAAACTGTGTTATGGAGTTAATATTTTAAACCATTATCCCTAAAAATAACACTGAATCAGTCTGAATTGTCACTTCTGCATATAGGTTCTTAGAGTAAGTCATCTACATTTGTGCACAGATATCCCATTCAATTTCCAGAGTTGCATGAAAAATTAAGAGCTGATAGGTAGTAGAGATCACGTATCATCTAGGTAAAACCAATCATGGTTTCTGATTAGAGAAATAGTATTAAGAAATGAGAAAGAAAATGAGAAATATGGGCAATGATTTTTAACTATCCTTCCTGAGCTTTAAAAAACTGTATTCATGTTTTTTCCTTCTTAGTTTATGAATTCATTCACTTCTACAAGTTTTAGGCATTTGAAGTGTATCTCATTAATCTGGTATTTGAGAAAATAATCAGAAACGTTTATTAGTCATTAATTGAAATAGATTCCAGATGATAAACCCTACCTATACAGCAAATGGAAAGACTGTATTTGGGTAGATCTGAGTTTGAAAACCATCTCTGCCACTTATTAGCTGTGTTGACCATGGGCAGGTCTACATACCATGGGCAGGTCTTAATTTTCTCATAAATGTAACGAGAATGAATGTTCTTTGTTTCAAGTATGTAGTCATTATGTTTCTTCTGTCCATTGCGAATGCTGTGATTTAGTGCCAAAGCATATCCCAAACATTGCAACTAAGGAAAGGTTTCTAATAGCAAACGCACACTAGAGCAAGCTGTAGATGTGAATCAAAGGACATGATACTTATGCACATGTTTAGGGAAAGATTACATGCCTCAAATTGTTCTTTTCAGGTATGAATATCTATCCAGATCCTAACAGTTAACAACATGATACTTTTCTAAGTCAAGAGCTATGTGTGTAAATGGGTATTATGTCAAAGTTTGTACACTCATGATTAAGCCTTTACCAGCAATGTTTCCACATATATTTTTATTTATTTATTAAATTTTTTTCCTTCAGTTATTGGGATACAGGTGGTATTTGGTTACATGGGTAAGTTCTTTTTTTTTTTTTTTTTTTTTTGGAGACAGAGTCTCACTCTGTTGCCAGACTGGAGTGCAGTGGTGTGATCACGGCTCACTGCAAGCTCCACCTCCCAGGTTCAAGTGATTCTCCTGCCTCAGCCTCCTGAGTAGCTGGGACTACAGGCATGCACCACCACGCCCAGCTAATTTTTGTATTTTTAGTAGAGACGGGGTTTCACCATGTTGGCCAGGATAGTCTCGATCTCTTGACTTCATGATCCACCCGCCTCAGCCTCCAAAAGTGCTGGAATTACAGGCATGAGTCACCGTGTCCAGCCATGAGTAAGTTCTTTAGTGGTCATTTGTGAGATTTTGGTGCACCCATCACCCAAGCAGTATACACTGCACTATATTTGTAGTCTTTTATCCCTTGCCCCACTTCCCACTCTTCCCCCTAAGTCCCCAAAGTCCATCGTATCATTCTTTTTTTATTTATTTTATTTATTTATTTTTTTTATTTTTTTTGAGATGGAGTCTCGCTCTGTCGCCCAGGCTGGAGTGCAGTGCCACGATCTCGGCTCATTGCAAGCTCTGCCTCCTGGGTTCACGCCATTCTCCTGCCTCAGCCTCCCGAGTAGCTGGGACTACAGGCGCCCGCCACCACGCCCGGCTAATTTTTTGTATTTTTAGTAGAGACGGGGTTTCACCGTGTTAGCCAGGATGGTCTCGATCTCCTGACCTCATGATCTGCCTGCCTTGGCCTCCCAAAGTGCCGGGATTACAGGTGTGAGCCACTGTATCCGGCCTCATTGTATCATTTTTATGCCTTTGCGTCCTCATAGCTTAGCTCCCACATATCAGTGAGAACATACGATATTTGGTTTTCCATTCCTGAGTTACTTCACTTAGAATAATAGTCTCCAATCTCATCCACGTCACTGCAAATGCTGTTTATTCATCCTTTTTATGGCTACATAGTATTCCATCATATATATATATATATATGCCATAGTTTCTTTAGCCACTTATTGATTGATGGGCACTTGTGTTGGTTCCACGATTTTGCTATTGTGAATTGTGCCACTATAAACATGCATGTGCAAGTATCTTTTTTAAACAATGACTTCTTTTCCTCTGGGTAGATACTCAGTAGTGAGATTGCTGGATCAAATGGTAGTTCTACTTTTAGTTCTTTAAGGAATATCCACACTGTTTTCCATAGTGGCTGTACTAGTTTGCATTCCCACCAGTGGTGTAGAAGTGTTCCCTGTTTACTGCATCTACACCAACATCTACTGTTTTTTGATTATGGCCATTCTTGCAGGTGTAAGGCGGTATCACATTGTGGTTTTGATATGCATTTCCCTGATCATTAGTGATGTTGAGCATTTTTCCTATGTTTTTTGGCTATTTGCATATCCTCTTTTGAGAACTGTCTATTCATGTCCTTAGTCCACTTTTTTGATGGGACTGTTTGATTTTTTTCTTATTGATTTGTTTGAGTTCGTTGTAGAGTCTGGATATTAGTCCTTTGTCAGATGTATAGATGACGAAGAGTTTCTTCCACTCTGTGGGTTGTCCGTTCACTCTGCTGACTGTTCCTTTTGCCATGCAAAAGCTCTTTAGTTTAATTAGGTCCCAGCTATTTATCTTTGCTTTTATTGCATTTGCTTTTGGGTTCTCTTGGTCATGAAATCCTTGCCTAAGCCAATGTCCAGAAGGGTTTTCCAATGTCATCTACTAGAATGTTTATAGTTTCAGGTCTTAGGTTTAAGTCCTTAATCCATTTTCAGTTGCTTTTTGTATAAGGTGAGAGATGAGGATCCAGAGTCATTTTATCTCCAAAGCCTTGGTACTTGGGTAATGATCAGTAGCAGCAGGCATTATGAGACGGAATATACATTATGGATAATGCTCTGTCACTGTGGCCATCACACTAATAGCAACAATAGAATTGACTTGCAGACTATATTGCAGTCATACCATGTGGCCAAGTACTTTTCTTATTTGATCTCATTGAATTCCATTACACTTTAAACTCCCAATTTATAGGTGACACAGCTGAAGCTCACGGAGGTGCAGCACCTTCTTCACGTGCCTAGGAAGTGGCCAGAAGATACAAACTCATGTTTTGTCTCTCTCCAAAGTTACTGCTCTGAAGCACCATAATCTGTGGCATCTTCACTGATTTCGTAAAGTCAGTGAAAAAGAGCTTTCAAATCAGTTACTTGCCATGCCAGGACACAAAAACGTTCATTTAAATAACATTTACACTCAGTGAATATGGAAAGAAATCCACATTTCAACACATAGTGTGATGGGTTGGTATAAGTACTTTGGTTTCAAATCTTCTATTCCTCTGCTTTTCTTTGTGGTTGGGCACTCAACATGGAGATTGTAAATGTTAGGTGCAAAGTGTGAAGTTGAACAAGGAGAAAATAAACAGAAACAACTCTATTAAGAAGCAGGATTGCTGCCTTGTTAGGAAGGTAGCTAAACAATTACACTTGGCTTGTATTCCGTTTAGCAATTGGTCACCAAAGATAGTATTGAATAAATAATGTGTATGTAAAACAAGGAATTAACATCCGTGCACCATTGTTTCTCAAAATAGCCTGTCTTTCAAGCTTTATATGTGGTTCATTGACATGTGATGTGTAGATTTTTAAAAAATAAATACCTCTACTTTTTGGTGTTGATTTCATTTGTCAGCATTTTACATAACTTTTTCCAACAGCCATGTGCTAAGGATTGTACAATTGTGTGGCAGATGTGTTTTCATATCATATTTGTGAAAACAGCTGTCCTTTATTCTCCTATGGAATGTAATACCTGAATTTCATTTTAAAATGAGATTAGAAAACATGCTATAGTATTTGGAATGTGTTACCTCATTGAGACCAGAGAGGAAGTGATTTAGCAGTTACATTCCTGGAGGAGTGGACGTGTACAAAAGCCTTAAAGCTGCAATATGCTATCAATAATAAAAAGTCTTAATATAGGAAAACATTTGGAATTCAGGCCATGGAGTAAATTAGAGAGCAAGGGGAAAATGTCCACGTATTTTTTGTCTGGGAAATTTTTAAATATTTAGAGCTGGGGAAGAAGTATCTTACCATAAATACCTGATTATAGTCTAGAGGATATAAAATCAAGAGGGTCCAAGATCTCTTTTGAGAAGTAATAACAGTAAATAAGAAAGAGTAATTTATTTAGGTCATAATTAATGGACTAGCCATTACACATATGGACAGGAAGAGCTGAAGCTATTCACAGGGTGGGATGACTCAGAGGAAGGTATAAAAAGTTTAGTTTTAAAATGGCCAGGAAAGGTTAATGAGATAATATCACACATCATAGTTTGTTAAGAATCCACAGAGAGAAGGGAGAAAAGAAAAAAAGGAAAAATGATACAGTAACCATGCATGTAATACATGTATTATTTAATGCAAGTAAAAAAATACCAATTCACTTTTTTCCTGACTTGGGTAGACCTGGATTCTATTAATTCTCCCAGGTTGGCCTTAGAACAAGAAATTGTCAGCACCAGTTCCCTTTGTTATTGCTTCCTTTTAAAAGACGCAATCAGTAAGGAGATGAACATCAACTTGGAAAAATGGTCAAGTGATACATTTGTTATGAATATGATCTCCATAATGATGACTGCACCATTTATAAAAAGAAGTATTTTTGGAGAGTAACTTTAAAAACTCACTATCATGCAGCAAATTTAAAGTTATGTCTTGACTCTCTGCCATTTGCTCCCTGTGTGTGTGTGTGGATGCACACTTTATGGTTTCCTGGATTGAAGAGACTTGTAGTGAAAATAAATCGAAATTTACAAAACCTGAGTTTCAAAGTCGTATTTTTGACATTCTTTCCATTTAGGAAGAAGGAAGACTGGACTTCCCTGTAAGAGAGTATATAGCAAGAGGAAGAACTGCCTGATGGTTTAACACCCTGGTTTTGGAGTCAGAAGGACCTGAGTACAAACTTAGCACTCTTACTTTCTACCTGTATGATGTAGGTGAGTTAGTTAATCTCCTTGAACTTCAATTCTCACTTCTAATGTCAGGACAATAATTCCTGTCTCATAGGACTTTCTGAAGATTAAGATCATGCATGTAAAGCACTTAAGATGCTGCCTGGTCCAAAGTCAGTAGTCTATAAATGTTAGCACTATCAGTATGACTTTTGAGCATCCAAAGGAAAGTTTACAGAAAGTGACTCACTGGGAGAACTTCCACCGGATAAAGTAACATTAGAGTGGCCAAGTCAACACTACTGTGGCAAAAAAACAAAAAAACAAAACAAAACAAAAAAAACAAACCTGATAAGACTTAAAATATATCCTCTTCTGCTAGTCCTAATTATGCTTTCAAGTCAAGATTGATGCTGAAGTGAATCAGATATCTTATCCTTTATATTGCATGAACTGTATTCTTTATAACACTTATATTTAAGATATACGCACTATACCCTGGATTCAGATAATTCTTCATGAGAAATTCTTCCTATAATCTTCTGGTCTGAGAATGCTTGTGTTACTTAAAAATATTGTTTCTATACAACAGTAAAATTGATATTTGTCTACCTTTTTAAAACTTTTAAGTTTAGGGGTACATGTGCAGGTTTGTTACAGGTAAACTTGTGTCATGGGGGTTTGTTGTACAGATTATTTCATCACCCAGGTATTAAGCCTAGTACCCATTAGCTATTTTTCCTGATCCTCTCCCTCCTCCCGCCCTCCACTCTCTAACAGGCCCCAGTGTGTGGTGTTCCCCTTTATGTGTCCACGTGTTCTCATCTTAGCTCCGACTTGTAAGTGAGGACATGTGGTATTTCGTTTTCTGTCAATTTGCTGAGGATAACGGCCTTACCTTTTTTAAAGGATGTAAATATATGTGATTTTTGGCTGGGCACAGTGGCTCATGCCTGTAATCGCCGCACTTTGGGAGGCCAAGGCAGGCAGATTGCTTGAGGTCAGGAGTTCGAGACCAGCCTGGCCAACACGGGGAAACCCTGTCTCTACTAAAAATACAAAAATTAGCTGGGTATGGTGACATGTGCTGTAGTCCCAGCTGCTCTGGAGGCTGAGAGGCAGGAGAATTGCTTGAACCTGGGAGGCGGAGGTTGCAGTGAGCCGAGATCGCGCCACTGCACTACAGCCTGGGTGACAGAGCAAGACTCCGTCTAAAAACAAAAACAAAAACCTGACATTAATTACCCCAGTTTGTTGGCAGTCGAAAGTAAGGGACTAGGAGGTCGGGCACATATGTAGTCCCAGCTACTCGGGACGCTGAGGCAGGAGAATGGCGTGAACCCAGGAGGTGGAGCTTGCAGTGAGCTGAGATCAGGCCACTGCACTCTAGCCTGGGCGACAGAGCGAGACTCTGCCTCAAATAAATAAATAAATAAATAAATAATAAAATAAAAATAAAGTAAAGGACCAAAACTTTTTTTTTTTTTTTGACACTGAGTCTTGCTCTATCGCCCAGGCTGGAGTGCAGTGGTGTGATCTCAGCTCACTGCAACCTCTGCCTCTTGGGTTTAAGTGATTCTCCTGCCTCAGCCTCCAGAGTAGCTGAGATTACAGGCACCTGCCACCATGCCCAGCTAATTTTTGTATTTTTAGTAGAGACAGGTTTCCCACATTGGCCAGGCTGGTCTCGAACTCCTGACTTCAAGTGATACGCCTGCCTCGGCCTCCCAAAGTGCTGGGATTACAGGTGTGAGCCACCGCACCTGGCCGGGACCAAAATCTTATGCTAGGTCTAATATTCCTAAGTCAATGTACCCTTGAGATACAAATGACTCATTCACAGAAATGACTTCTGATCTTTTTTTTTTTCTTTTTTTTTTCAGAGCCTCTAATTCTGCAGCCATGAACATCACTATGGAAATCCTTAATACACTTATTTCAGAGTAAAAGGGAAAGCTTATTCAGAGCTGTCCCAGGTGCTGATTCCAGCCCTCACAGTGTTCTCTCTCCAACTGCCTGAGTTTTTTGTCACCCTCTTCGGTCATACCAAATAAAACCTTACAATTTAGATATTACTTTGGAATTACAAAAATATCATTTTAAACCATAAATACCTTCTTCAAAAGTATGACCTTGCTATTAATCACTTTCAGTGAAGAGTGAATTAATTCAATCAGGTTGCTTTCACTTAACAAGTAAGTAAGAGCAGTATGGAGTCTTCAAATGTGAGTTTTGAATAACCAAAGAAGAATCAAAGGAAAATTTAATCTATGAAATAGTGGAGAAGGCAAAATAGCGCTGAGAAAGTTCAAGAAGGATAATGACTTAAAAAACTGGATGAGGAAAGTGGTGTGTGGAGACTGCCAAAGACAAATTTGCCTAGGGTCAGCAATCCTCTATTTAGCAAAATTGGAGGTTATTCTCCTCTTTCTCTTCTTGCACCACATTACTAGATCACATATCACTCTTTGTTTCCAGGAACAAAACCTAGGCAAGAATTAAAAATAGCATAATCAATATTACATGTTAAGAAGGCTTCTTAACTTTGGCAATTTAACCACTTTATAAATATTATCTATTTGGAAGAATGCTAAGGCCAGTTCCATCCAGCTTAGCTAAATGACACAATTTCTCAATTTCTATGTATTTATTCATTCGGTCTTCACCACGACTCTTTGAGGTGGGTTCTATTACTATTCTCATTTAATAGAAAGAAAAATAAACATCCAAGAGCTTAGATTAGAATCCGGATTTTCCCGACCCAGAAGTCCCTATATATAACTTCTATTCTATATCAAATTAAATAACAGGGATGAAACCATACTTTTTGATGGTCTGTTTGACTGTCTGAGACTCTCACAGTTTTTCACCCCTCAACTATTATTTTCTTGACTTTACAGAAAATAAACGTTGCTTGGCTGCCCTTTTCTCTGGGAGCTTACAGCGTTCCTGATGGCTATTTTTATTTCTCATTTTAGTTCTTTCCTTTTCCTCATTTCTTTGACATACTCTATTTTATCTAGACCTTTGTGCTATTTAAGAGGCCAAAGAACAACTTAATTTAAAATGTCTGAGTTTCCCTGTGTGTTCCACAAAAAAGTACACCTATCTAACTCATGAGGTTACTACAATTAGTGAGATATGGCACCGTTAATAATGTTGTTCTCCTTCGGAGACGGGTGCCCTAACATGCAAGCTATTATTACCAGCATTTTTCTCTACGGGAGCTCATCTCTTTTCTCATATCATCCTGACTCAGGAGTGTTAATGGTTAGGCAGCTGCATTCTTTATCTTTGGTTTCATACTTACACAACACAAAGAGAAACAAAGGTTTCAGAAGGCATTTGGCCTGGTCAATTTCAGAATAAAATATGGACCCTTCACTGTGCTCTGCAAAGGCCCTTCAGGATCCAGCCCCTGCCTACGTCCCCAGCTTTGCTCCCTGCCACTTCCCTCCTTACTTAGTTATACCGTAATGGCCACATTTTGCTTTCTGTTCTTCAAACACCTTGCAGCTAACCCAGTCTCAGGACCCATGTCCTTGCTGTTCCCCTTGTTTGGAGTGCTCTTTCCCCATTCTTTGGCTTATCATGTTTAGCCTTTAGGAACCAACTCAAATGACCCTTCTTCAGAGCAGCATTACCTGAGGGCTTAAGTAAAGTCAACCGTGACCTGACTCCAGTTACTCTCTGTCACATCCCCTCTTTACTACATCCTTCCCAGAAATCACCACCGCCGCCATCTGCAACTACGGTTCTCATTTGTGTACTTTCTTTTTTACTGTCTCCATTGCCTCCCCAAATAAAAGCTCACTGTGGGGCAGGAATCTTGCCAGTTTTTATGAGGCTATAGCCAATGCCCAAAACAGTGTCTGATACATAGTAGATACTTAATTAGTACTTGTTGAGCACTGCTGTTCTTCCTGTTTCACAGGCTGTGGTGGTTGGTGAGACCTGTTGGACTAGGGTGAACTTTCTTGTATTTGTCCTCATGACACACTGCTTTCCAGCATCTTGGCTACAAAGGACCTTTGTATGCTCAATAGCCAGGGAAGCTTTGGAGAATAACTTCAAGAAAAGGTGTCCAATCAAGGGCATGGAGCCACCTACTTTCCCGCATCCCCATCCTTAAGTGGAAAGCTAAGAGATAAATTAAAATTGGAATGTAATCAACATATGAACTGGAGTTATTGCTTTGCAAAATAAATACTCTCCCACCCACTCGCCCACTCACCCCTGCCCCAGGGAATGCCAGAGATGATGAAAACATGAAACAACTCCTTGCAAATTGCATGGGCCTATTATTTGTGATTAGGGCTGTTATCAGCCAGTCAGTGATATATCATACAATTATCTTTTCTTCATCTAGTGTGATAATTTTATAACTGATAGACTTATGCTCATTATAGCTTTGACAGAAAGAAATATGATTCTTCATTTTGAATTTTACTTTATAGCCTTTTTTTCTCCCCAATGAAAATTAAAATTAGCAGGTTGTAATTCATTGTACCAATCTTCTTAATAAATAGGCACCTTAGAAGGCAAATCAGATACATTCAAGTAACACCAGAATGAATATTCTCTGAAGAAAATGCTGAAAAGTTATGCATCAAGAGGCCATGATAAAGTCAGTAATCTACAGAAAAGCCTTGGAAACATATTACTAAATGGAGACATAAGGACCACAGTTCATGATCAAACCCCAGAGACTACAAATCTACGAGCCATACAATTGGTCATGAAAAACCCTGCTTCAAAGTGAAAGAAATCTCTTCATCTCAAACTTTTTCATTCAATTTCTTTTCTTTTATTAGCCTTTCAGGAATATAAACCGAGGCAGTGAACTCACTACCAAATTTGCCTAGCACTTAGTGGTAGTGGATACGATGTCTCAGGAAAGAGGCGCAGTTTCTCACTTCCTACTCGCAAATGAAACTAGATCGATGTTCAAGTAATTATACCTTCTCTTAATTCTATCCAAAGAGTAGGTATTTTTTTCCTCCAAGAAGCTTGGGAGGAAACTGCACTGATCCTTACTTTACAAGGAGAGGCAGATGTTATCAGTACTTCCTGGCATCCATGCTCTGCAGAAAAATTTTGCTTTCAAAGCTAATAGAAGACTCTTCACTCTGTACTCAGTTTCAGGATTTTGAACTATTAAAGTAGGGATTGCTGGACTCATTAAAAAATGCCAGTCATGCTTAGACTCATTGCTCCTAAGAAACTGGACATGCTTTGCATCATAGCTATTTTAGGGAAATCAAAGGTATGGGGAGTAACAGCTTTGTTTCATCACTGGCTCAACGAGGGCTGTTTCTCTTCTCTTTTCCATCTTCTTTGAGTATAAAGTGTATCTTGGGATACTGGATGCTGAATTAGCTGTATACCAGTTAAAAATTTTTAAGGGCAAAAAAAAAAAAGTTCTGTATATAAATGAAATTCCCAGATGAGGAGCAGCTGTTATTTATGTTGAATTTAAGTTGCTTCGGCAACTTCAACCATATATTTTTATCTCATTTAATTACAGTTTTGAAAATAAAACCATCGTCAAATATACACGCAAGCTACGTGTTCATTCATCATCGATTTAGATTTTGCAATGGGTGCTGTTTCCCTGTTCTCATTTTCACAAAGAAGAATCAGAGATAAGGCTGCCGTGTGTTAAACCTGTCAGTTCTTAGAAATGCCATTGCTCATGCCCCTTGCTCTTAAGTGCACTTTGTGGTAGTTAAGAACCAACGAAGATTCATTCAGTACCTACAGTATGCCTACTATCGGCACCTATCATGATGCCAGCCACTGTTTTAGACACTGGGGATATATCACTGACAAAACAAAACAAAGCAAAAATCTCTCTTCTCAAAGAGCTTAATGTGGGTAAGAGATGACAAATAAAATAAACAAATCACACATAGTGTCGTTGATGCCCACTACAGAAAAATAAGCTAGAGAAACCGGATAGGGGATGTTAATATGAAAATTTGAAAAGAAGAAGTAATATAAAAGTAGAACCTTTCTGCTTTCCATCCTACTTCTAAGTGTGGGAGGATAAATCACTCCCCCCTTTGCCAACTCAGCTCTCGTCCCCCATCGAGGCTGCCAAGAAGGACGTGAAGTAGTGCCAAGTGACACAGCAGTCCTGATTTAGTTTGGTACTTTCTTATTTATAACTGATGTGGAAGTCATCTTAGTTCATGTAACACCTGAGGAAACTAATAAATAAGCATTTTCACCTTATATCTAAAAGTTAAAAACAGCTCCCCAGCAAAACAAAACTTCTAAGCTGCTGAAGAAGTGGGAGAAACAACTGAGGAGACATATGAAATCCACACTGATTTGATAAGAGAAGACAATGAACAAACTAGCATGGTGATCATCTGTGTCAGCGATGGATAGTTACTGTTTTCTGCCTCTGAAATCCTAGGAAGCCAGAGGATTTCAGTTAGGAAGACCTTACCATCCTTTGTGCGGCCTGACAGCCCTCCCTTCGTCAATATTACTTGTGGTGCCATGTGTGGAAGATGTTGTGAGGAATGTGAAGATGAATCCAACATGGTCCCTGATCTCAAGACGTTTACAATCCAGATATGATACGCACATCAGTGGCTCTACTGTAAGGTGTAAAGAAAGTATGTAGAGCATTGCTGTAAAAGTGTTTAGAGTAAATGCTGTAGAGTATAAGAAAGTGCTATGAGAGGCTGGGCGCGGTGGCTCACGCCTGTAATCCCAGCACTTTGGGAGGCCGAGGCAGGCGGATCCCGAGGTCAGGAGATCGACACCATCCTGGCTAACAAGGTGAGACCCCCGTCTCTCTGAAAATACAAAAAATTAGCCAGGCCTGCTGGTGGGCACCTGTAGTCCCAGCTACTCGGGAGGCTGAGGCAGGAGAATGGCGTGAACCCGGGAGATGGAGCTTGCAGTGAGCCGACATCTCACCACTGCACTCCAGCCTGGGCGACAGAGCGAGACTCTGTCTCAGAAAAACAAAAACAAAAACAAAACAAAACAAAAAGTGTTATGAGAGTAGAAAAAACAGTCTGTACTTTTTGCTGGCGGTGATCACCCAATCAACATTCCATCTGCACAGACTGTGGACCCAGAACAATGAGGATCAAGGGACTTGAGTTTTCAGTTTAGCTTCCGGGATAAAAACCTGGCCAATTTCTCCCCCTTTGGCATCCACGACCTGGTTCCTCTCAATCTCCACCTCGGCCCTGCTCACTGCCCCCATTGTTTTCAATGCAGGTCAGTGTGCACAGACAGTGCCAAGGTACAGCCTCACCTCACCACAAGGCACAACTGGATTCTCATGAGAGCTTTGGCATCAAGTGAGTTTAAGAGAGTTACTCAAACCCAGGCTATCAATATTGAGACTACTCATGCTCTGGGTTTCAAAAATATGAGCCAAGCTAATATCCAGCTACATTCTCATTTTCCATGTCAGAGCACTGGCCTGTCATCTTTCCATCGTCACAACATTGCTCCTGAGATCATTTTCTATTCTGATTTCTTTGGGTTTGTCTTTGCCTTGCAACTTTCCTAGTGCAGTTTTCAGCAACTGAATTCTAGCACAACTCCAATTGCTCTTCTATCACAAGAAACTTTACAGCTACAAAGCTCATGTGGCACTTGAATTGCCACAGGCTTCTTAAAAGATTGTAGATGAAGCAACAGTGATCAGGATGCTACACAGTGCAGCAACTGATACTTTTTTTTTTTAAGACAGAGTTTTGTTCTTGTTGCACAGGCTGGAGTGCGATGGTGCGGTCTCGGCTCACTGCAACCTCCGCCTCCCAGGTTCAAGCGATTCTCGTGCCTCAGCCTCCCAAGTAGCTGGGATTACAAGCTCCTGCCACCATGCCCGGCAAATTTTTTTGTATTTTTAGTAGAGATGGGATTTCACCTTGTTGGCCAGGCTGGTCTTGAACTCCTGACCTCAGGTGATCCGCCCGCCTCAGCCTCCCAAAGTGTTGGGATTACAGGCGTGAGCCACCACGCCTGGCCGATAAAGACACTTTTCAGTGTCCCTAAAATAGCCGGGCATGGTGTTGTGTGCCTATAATTCCAGCTACTTTGGAGGCTGAGGCAGGAAGATTGCTTGAGCCCAGGAGTTTGCAACCAGCCTGGGTAACACAGAGAGACCTTGTCTCAAAAAAAAAGTGCTCAAAATATGTGGGTGTGGTTGGGTGAGCTAGTGAAGATATTCCAGATCTCAGATGAGGTATCCTGGTCCTCAAGTGATAGAAGAGCAATGCTCACACCTTCCTTGCTTAGTTGTATGTTAGCTAATTCAGCCACTTGTAGGTTGAATAGTAGTATTTAGAGCTAAGATTTATTGAGTTCTTCCTATGTGCTAGGCATTATCCTAAGTGTTTTTCACATATTAACAATACATAAAATCGAATCCTCTGAACAATCCCTAAAGTGGGTAATTTTATATTCCTTTTTATAGATAAGGAAACTGATTGCTGAACAGCAAAATAATTTGCTCAAGTACACATTGTTAGTAAACGATAATGCCAGAATACTAACCCAGGCTGTCTTGCTCCAGATAACCTGATGGTTTTTCCTCATTTTAAATTTTTTATTGTGTGACATATTAGGCAAACAAAGAAAACAAATAATGTTTATGCAGAGTTACAAGAATACTAAAGTGCACACCTGTGATCCTAACACCCACTGTAACAAATGAAGCATTGCCAGTAATGTTGAAGCTTCTGTGTATTCCTCCCTGACTATACCCCCACTGCTGATTATTTTGTTTGTCATGTGTTTTTTCTTTATGGTTTTTATCATACGTGTGTGTGTGTGTGTGTGTGTGTGTGTGTGTGCAGACATATATATATATATATCCCTAAATAATGTATTGTTCAGCCTTGAAATTAATTTCTACTTCATAAAAATGGAATTGTACTATGCATTCCTCTAACACTTGCTATTTTTACTCAACATGATTCCTTTGAGACTCAGTCTCAATGGGTGTAGCTGTGGTTCATTCATTTTAATTGTGTGGTAACGGTTCTTCATAAGAATTACTGCCGGGCTTGGTGGCTCTCACCTGTAATCCCAGTACTTTGGGAGGCCAAGGCAGGTGGATCACCTGAGGTCAGGAGTTCGAGACCAACCTGGCCAACATGGTGAAACTCGTCTCTACTGAAAAATACAAAAAATTAGCCAGGCGTGGTGGCAGGCACCAGTAATCCCAGCTTCTCTAGAGGCTGAGGCAGGAGAATTGCTTGAACCCAGGAGGCGGATGTTGCAGTGAGCCAAGATCACGCCACTGCACTCCAGCCTGGGCGACAGAGCGAGGCTCTGTCTCAAACAAAAAAAAAAAAAAAGAATTTACCACAGTTAATATAGTTAATATATTCTTTCCACTGTCCATCAATAGTTCTTTTCCCACTTACTTGCTATTATAAACTAAACTGATATAAAAAGCCTGTGTCTTACACATATTTTCAAGAGTTTCTTTGGTCTACAGCCTGTATATTTAAGAGTGGAAAATACAAGTTTAGATTTATAAGTTCACAAGATATTTACACAATCTGTTTTCTAAAATGGCTGGGACAATTTTCAATCTTTTCTCCCTAAATGAGAATTCCTGTTGTTCCTCAACAATACTTACTATTTTAGTTTATGTCAATCTGGTGTCTGAAATGATAATTCATGATTTCTAATTTGTATCTCTTTGATGATTAATAAAGTTGGTTTTTCATATATTTATGGGCCATTCACATTTAATCATTCTGAAAATGCCAGTTCATATCATTTACCCAGTTATATAAAGGATTTTTATTTTTCTTACTGACTCATTGGAGTTCTTCATTCACTTGGGAACCTCTATTTGTTACATTTTTACAAATATCTTTTCCTACTATATCTCTGTCTTTTTCACTCTCTGGTATTCTTTGATAAACGACAGTCCTATGAATGCATCAGTCTTTTCTTTAAGGCTAACATTCTTAATTTCTTACTTAAGAAACTCGTCTTTATCCTGAAGTCATAAAGATATTCTCCTACATTTTTTTTTCTAAAAGTATTAAAGTTTTGTGTTCTCATTTAAGTCAAGTCATTTAAGACAATTTGTGTTCTCAATTGCTTTCAGCCTCAGCACCATACTGCCGGGTGTCTACAGTCAATTTACATTACTGGCTGTAGTTATGTTCTCTGCAAAGTTGCCCCAAGCACTGAATTAGTGACTGCTAAACCGTAGGGGAAATACAGGGTTAGGTTTCTGCGAGTCTCTGGTCACACCATTTTCATCAACCAATCAATACATAACCTTGCTTTACTTGTTTCTGTTTGAAGACATGGTATTTAATACATAATGCTGACTCATTGACATTGAATTCGTGGTCTGAAAGAAGCTCATCTGACACGTATTTTTTCTGTAAGGCACGATTTTCTTATGCTTATGAACACTAGACAGCACCTCGGTGCTATTCCCTTGGGCTATTTTAAACAGTGAAATCACCAACAAAAAAGCAAAGAAGGCAAAACAACGTGCCACTAAACAGACAGCAAAAAGCTCACTTGTTTGTACACCTAGAGCTCAAACGAGAAGGCAGAGTGTCACTTTGTTCAACCTCAGCTGGGAAAATAAGTGTTGGGTGACTTAAATATTTTGCTGCTCTTCACAAGTCCACAAATGACCACAAAGACTCCAAAAGGATTGATGTGAGGGTTATCGATAAATTTCAGGGATGGGCACTTGGTGGGCACTGGATACATGTTACTGGTAAATATAGTGTCTTAGCCCATGCTTCAGGCATAAAAATGATTATGAAAAAGATGATAATGATGGTAACAATAATAATTTAAAATGATAATAATGGCAAGAACAAAATTAGAAGTAGTTGTAATAATAATAGTAGCAGCAACTAGACCAATAATGATATGTTTCCTTACATTTTTATAGTACTTATTTTTAGCAAATAGAGAAAACTCCAACATTTTTACTAATAACTCATTTGATTAAGAAAACATCTCAGTAAGCAGACATGGATGGCATTAAGTATAAACTTTAATTGTAGAAAATATTTGAAACTCAGAAAAGTTAAGAGGTTTGCTTAGAATTAAACCTCTAATAAGTACATTATCTAGGACCAGAATAAAAAAACACTTTCAGGGGAGACTACAATCTCCTTGAGGGCAAAAACAACATCTCATATTTCCTAGGCTCCCAAAACCTACCTCACTGTCTGACAGAGTAGACATGCCATGAAATTTTATTCTTAATCACGACAATGATACAAGCAATGCTATACTGGATTGAAGAGCAGAAGCATGCTATTTTAAAACAGGGACCCATGTTTTAATAATGCTTTATTTTTCTCCAAAGAATATCTTCATTATTTTACCAAGATGCATAATAGGGAAAAATTATCTTATTTAATTGACATACTGTGCCTACAGTGATGTGTGAGGCTACAAAGATTCAACAACCTGGTTCAGCTATGTTATTACTATTGCTCCTCTTGATTAGTGTTAATTGGAATATTTTAATTGATGCAATGTTTCACTGCTTTCACAGCTTGAGTGAGCTGAAGTACAGAGAACAATTTTTCAATAATGAAAACTAACAAAAGCTACCCTGATATTACTAAGTTCTATATGGAAATACTGTGACAAACAGACATCACAAATTCACTGAACTAGAAAATGGGATAAAAACCAGATTCATTCATTCAGTTCTCTTAACATATGTTCATAAAGCAGAGTCCAGATCTTGCTTTAAGGTCATGGAACACAACAATGAACAAAGCAGACAAATACTCCTGCCCTTGTGGAACTTACATCTGATCAGGTGAGGCAGGAAAATAATACCATGATAAAAAGTTAAATGACATAGTGTGTTAGAAGGTCATGCAGTGGTAATGGGAAAAACAGAGTAGAATCAGAGGGATTGAGAGAGCTGGGAGTAGGAAGGAAGGCTATAATTTTTAAAAATGGACTCTGGGTAAGTTTCAGGAAGTAGGTGCGTTTGAGTAGAGACCTGAAGGTGGCAAGGGGTTTAGCCAGATGAATGTTTACGGGAAAACATTCAGGTAGAAGAAAGGGCTCTTAAAGACAGGATTCTGAACATGTTTGAGGAATATCACAGAGCCAGTTTGGCTGGAACAGAATGAATAAGGAAGATAAAAGTTAAGACATGGAGTCAGGGAGGTATTGGGACAGAGAGGGGACCTCTATAAGATCTTTAGTTCCTAGTCTGAGTCAATATGGAAGCCACTGCAGGTTTCTGAACAGAGGAGTGACATGGTTTGACTTACAGTTTTGTAGTTATTCAACTCGATTCTCTTCAACCAGAATGATTGCTTATTACATGTCTGGCAGAGAACTAAGAAATGAAAGTTGCAAAGATGAATTAAGATAAAGCTCCTGCCCCTGAAGAACTCCTCATCTTGTAGGAAGATGTGGACAATTACCAGATTCAAAACAGATAATAAGAACTTTAGTGGTATGTAAACAAAATGCTGTGAGATTACAAATGAGAAAGCAAATTATTTTCTTGCAGGATAAAAAATAATAAGAAAGTACATAACATGCAGTCTAGACCCGAAAAAAATTAAGATTTTGAGAGAAGAAAGAAGAAATAAATCGAATGTCAGGGTAAAGAACAACATGCACAATGACGAAAAGGCATTAAAAATATGCACTGTGGTATCCAAAGCAATCTACAGATTCAATGCAATTCCTATCAAAATACCGATGTCATTTCTCATTTTTTTTTAAATCTTAAAATTAATGTGGAACCAATAAAGCAACCTGTGGAACCTGAATAGCCAAAGCAATCTTAAGCAAAAAAAAAAAAAAAGTAGATGGCATCACATTACCCAACTTCGAATTCTACTACAAGGCTATCAGTAGCCAAAACAGCATGGAACTGGTATAAAAATAGACACATAGATCAAGAGACTAGAATAGATAACCCAGAATTAAAGCCACATACCTACAGCCAACTGAGGTTTGACAAAATTGACAAAAATATACACTGGGGAAAGCATACCCTATTCAGTAAATGGTGCTGGGAAAAATGGATTGTCATATGCAAGAGAATGAAACTGGACCCCTATCTCTCACCATATATAAAAATAAACTCGAGCTATGTGAAAGGCTTAGTATTACCTACTATGTACCCATAAAAATTAAAATTAAAATTTTTTTCTAAAAATACATGTGAAAAAGTTATGACCTGAAACTATAGGAGTTTGAGGCCAGCCTGGCAAACGTGGCGAAATTCCGTCTCTACTGAAAAATACAAAAATTAGCCGGGCATGGTGGCAGGCGCCTGTAGTCCCAGCTGCTTGGGAGGCTGAGGCAGGAGAATCGCTTGAACCCCGGAGGCAGAGGTTGCAGTGACCCGAGATTGTGCCACTGCACTCCAGCCTGGGTGACAGAGTGAGACTCCATCTCAAAGAAAAAAAAGACCTGAAACTGTAAAAATACTAGAAGAAAACCTAGGAAAAACTCTTGAGGACATTGGCCTATGCAAACAATCCATGAGTAAGATTTCAAAAGCAAATGCAACAAAAGCCAAAATAGACACATGAAACTTAATTTAAAAGTTTCTGCACAGCCAAGAAATAATCAACAGAGTGAATAGACAATCTGAAGAATAGAAGGAAATACTGCAAACTATGCATCCAACAAGGAACTAATATCCAGGATCTTCAAGGAGCTTAACCCAACAACAACAACAAAAACCTATATAACCCTACTAAAAGGCAAAGGACACAAACAGACATTTTTCAAAAGAAGGCATACAAATGGACAACAAATATATGAAAAAATGTTCAACATCACTGATCATCAGAAAAACACAAGTTAAAATTATACTGAGATATCATCTTACAACCAGTCAGAATGACTACTATGAAAAAGTCAAAAAAGAATATGTTGGTGAGGATGCAGAGAAAAGGGAACATCTATATACCATCG
Source organism: Homo sapiens (assembly GCF_000001405.40). Taxonomy (NCBI): domain Eukaryota; kingdom Metazoa; phylum Chordata; class Mammalia; order Primates; family Hominidae; genus Homo; species Homo sapiens. Next base: position 2,798,955 of record NC_000003.12, on the reverse strand, counting down.
GTAGGAGTGTAAATTAGTACAACTCTATGGAAAACAGTATAGAGATTTCTCAAAGAACTGAAAATAGAACTACCAATTGATCAGGCAATCCCACTACCGGGTATATAATCAAAGGAAAAAAAAATCATTATATCAAAAGGATACCAGCTGGGTGCAGTGGCTAACACCTGTAATCCCAGCAGTTTGTGAGGTTGAGGTGGGTGCAGTACTTGAGCTTAGGAGTTTGAGACCAGCCTGGACAACATGACAAGGCCGCATCTCTACTAAAAATACAAAAAAACAGCCAAGTGTTTTGTTGCGTGCCTATGGTCCTAGCTACTTGGGAGTTTGAAGTGGGAGGATCTCTTGAGTGCAGCAGGCAGAAGTTGCAGTGAGCTGAGATCGCACCACTGCACTCCATCCTGGGTGACAGAGTGTGACCCTGTCTCAAAAAGAAAAGAAAAAGATACCTGCATTCACATATTTATAGCAGCCCTATTCACAATAGCAAAGATATGGAATCAACCCAAATGTCTATCAACAGATGATTGGATAAAGAAAATGGGAGATAGATAGATAGATATATAGATAGATAGATAGATAGATAGATTTATGTGTGTATAGATATAGTATGTATATATACAGACTATATAAACATAAATATATAAACATATATATATATACACACACACACACACAATGGAATACTACTCAGCCATAAAAAAGAATAAAATCTTGTCTTTTGTAGCAACATCGATGGAACTGAAGGCCATTATCTTAAGAGAAATAACCCACAAGCAGAAAGTCAAATACCACATGTTCTCAAGTGAGAGCTAAAACGTGTGTACATATCAACATAGAATGTGAAATAATAGACACTGGAGAGTTGAAAGAGTGGGAGGGTGGGAGGGATTAAAAAAAAATACTTAATGGGTACAATGCACATTATTTAGGTGATGGTTATACTACAATCCCAGACTTCACCACTACAGGATATATCCATGAAACAAAATTGCACTTTTACCTTCTAAATTTATACCAAAAAAAAAAAAAAAATACTCAGTGTGGTCATCAAACAGTAGTAAGGTATCTGCACAAAAATAAAAGACATGAAGCAAGAAATGTGAGTAAGGGTCATAGTGTAACAGACATTGTTAACACCCTAGAATTTTACTTTGTCTTCCACAGAATAATCTTACTAAACAGGAATGCCTTACAAATATTTTATGATTAAGTTGTGAAAGGTTAAAAACTATATTGAACTCTTGGAGATTCAGTTCATTCTGCACAAAAAAACTTTGCAGTAAAGGGACTTGTTTAATCTAACATCTGGGCACTGAACTCTTTGGAGTTTGCTTTTGTTTTTGTTTTTGTTTTTGAGGCGGAGTTTCGCTCTTGTTGCCCAGGCTGGAGTGCAGTGGCGCGATCTCGGCTCACTGCAACTTCCGCCTCCCAGGTTTAAGTGATTCTCCTGCCTCAGTCTCCTGAGTAGCTGGGATTACAGGCGCCCACCACCACACCTGGCTAATCTTTGTATTTTTAGTAGAGACAGGGTTTCATCATGTTGGCCAGGTTGGTCTCGAACTCCTGACCTAGGTAATCCACCTGACTTGGCCTCCCAAAGTGTTGGGATTACAGGCGTAAGCCACCATTCCCAGTGTAGCTTTCTAAATTAACATTCTGGTCTGGGAGTGGTGGTTCACGCCTGTAATCCCAGTGCTTTGGGAGGCTGAGGCAGGAGGATAGCTTGGAATTCAAGACCAGCCTGGACAACATAGTGAGACCCCAGCTTGACAAAAAATTAAAAAATTAGTTGGGCATGGTGGTGCACACCTATAATTCTAGCTACTCAGGAGGCTGAGGCAGGAGGATCACTTCAGCCCAGGAGTTGTAGGCTGCAGTGAGCTTTGATCATGCCCCTGCCCTCTAGCCTGGGTGACAGAGCAAGACTCTATCTCTATGAAAACAACAACAATAACAAAACATTGGGCAGGAGCAGAATTCACCAGTTTGGGAATACTCTTATAAGCAACAAGGGCTACTGTAGGAATCTGAGTATGAAGTAGGGGTGGGGTACTGAGCAACATTATAGTATCTGGGTTTTGGAAAGTTAACTCTTAAGGAATGCTATAAAGTCAGGATGACTACTTTGGGAATACAGCAATAGAATAGGATGAAGCTAAAAATAAATGCAAACTTAGTTGTCACCTTTCCCTTAATCTCTCTTCAAGAAAACTTTAAAGAACACCGGATCTTATGTAAGGACTTAAGCAATTAACATTTCTTCCGATAAGTCTCAAAGAAAAATGCTACAACACAATGTGAACTGGTAATGTGTATTCATCTTTATTCATAACAGTGGTACTAGCCTAAATTAGATTTCATTGAATTAATGTAGCAGTGAGAAAACTTGGGAGTATATTTAGCTTGTGTATTAAGTACGGGTTTTATTTTTAGATTCTAGCTCTTCATTTTTTTCTTAGAGAAATAAGGGCACATTAAAAACCGTACCATAGAATTAAAAGGAATATTGAAAAGTGAATCTAATCAAGTGATATTTTTAGATTAGGGTATGCCAAAAGATTCTGCTTGCTTGCCTTTAAAAAACTTCAAATTCATGTCATGCCATACTGATGAGTGCTTCAACTTTTCACACTTTGGTTTCCAGAAAACCTTCAAATATAATCCTTTAAGAAACATCTCCCACTAATTCCATTTTAGTAAGAACTGCAATGATGAAGGAAGGTAAAAGCTACCAACTTCAGTTGGTATAAGTTATAGTGTAGCTTGTTGAAGTCCCTATTTTTTGGTCCAAAACCAAGTATTTAACCTAATTAAGATGCACTTGGATTTAATTTAAAAGAAAGCAACAAAGACAACCTTAACCTTTACATCTTACGGGTCAAGAAAGTCCCAATCAACAATTCTCTGTGAGAATAAAAAATCCTGTTCTTTTCTCCAGATATTTCTGTGATTAATAAACTAGACATCTAAGAAATGGTTATTTACACCTTCTGCAATCATGAACACATTAACATTAGGTGTAATGAAAAGATTACTCACAATCAAATGTTATATATTTTTATTTCTTTTTGCCTTGATCACATGTACCTATTTTGGATACAAGACAAATTTGAATCAAAAGATACCCATTTGTGGCTGGGCGTGGTGGCTCACGTCTGTAATCCCAGCACTTTGGGAGGCTGAGGCGGGTGGATCACCAGGTCAGGAGATCGAGACCATTCTAGCTAACACGGTGAAACCACGTCTCTACTAAAAATACAAAAAATTAGCTGAGCGTGGTCTTGGGCGCCTGTGGTCCCAGCTACTCAGGAGGCTGAGGCAGGAGAATGGCGTGAACCCGGGAGGCAGAGCTTGCACTGAGCCGAGATGGCACCACCGCACTCCAGCCTGGGCGACAGAGCGAGACTCCATCTCAGAAAAAAAAAAAAAAAAGATACCCATTTGTTACTCTAATATAAGACTGCTAAGACGAAAAAATGATGCTTCTCACCATTTAACAGAATAGATTATAGAGTCCCTTCCTCCGTGGGAATGTCACTGGAGTTGTGAGAAAAGGGTATTGGGAGCTCACCAAATCCCAGTTACACAAGTTCCTTTCCATGTTTTTTGGAGAGAAGAGAGGGGATGGATGTTTGAACCAATGCCACCAGGAAAAGGTCAGAGCCTTTCAGGATCAGGGTCAGCCTGTCAGGTCCAATTTTGGTATTTAATCTGCCTAATTTAGATTATTTGCTCATGACTGTGATACTTTCAAAACAGTAACTTTTTCGGGTTATTTAATCATTTAAATATTCCAGTGGGTTTGATAACTCTTACTAAAACTATCAGACCATAATAAAACTTACAGAATGGAATTACATATATTACACAGGAACCTTCTTAACCATGGACAGAGAATTATGGTATTTTAAAGTGTTATGCAATGAATGTTTGTCCCCACCCCACCCCTCAAATTCTCTGTTAAAATCCTAACCCCAAAGTGTATCTGGAAGTAGGGCCATTGGTAAGTGATTAGATCATGAGCATGGGGCTCTCATGAATGGGATTAGTCCCCTAATAGGCCCGACAGAGCTCCCTTGCCCCTTCCACCACGTGAGTGCACAGTGACAAGATAGCAGTCTGTGAACCAGGAAGTAGGCCCTAACCAGGAATTGAATCTGCTTGTGTCTTGATTTAGTACTTCCCAGGCTCCATAACTGTAAGAAATGTATTTCCTTTCTTTGTAAGCCCACAGTCAATGGCAGCTTACAGCAGCCTAAACAGAATGGAAGATGTAAGTTTTCAAAGGACTCAAGAGATGACTTATTTCTATCTCTAAAGGAAGTTGAAGCCTTGAGCGGTCAAGTGATATGCTTAACATGCCCTATTTGAGGTACAGCCAGGGTTAGAACCCAAGTCGATACTTTCACTCTTCTTCTACTCCACTGTCTTATGCTATGTTAACAGTTTTTGCAAAGTTTGTTCTAAAAACAGTGCTTTTCTATGAACAAAAAAAGGGATTTATTATCAAGAGACTGGGAGTTACTATTTATTGTATCTCCTTTTTGGGACTATCCAACATACATTACAGCATCAAAGACTCCCAGAAGTCTTTTAGAAAACTAAGATGTGAACTGTTAATTGTTGATCTCTCTGAGAATCAGTGTCCTTCCTAAGCATACCCTGAGAACTGCTGCAGCAGAGCTTCCTGCCTGTAAGTCTTTTTCTACTGATGGATCGGGCACCAGACATTTTTTGCAGATGTAGAAACATTTCTTTCATGATTTAATTATCTTTGAGGCTCAGAATCTGTAAAACATGGCACATGGTTTTCATTATTTGTTCCAAACTATTAAAAGAGATGAATGAACAGGAAAGCATGCCTAACAGATATGGTGAATTTGAAACATGTTAAATTTCCTTATGCTGTAAACTTTATGCTACAAATGTCACCACCAAGAAAAATATGCATGGCAGTACATGTTTTCATTTGGTATTTCCAACTAATCATGGCCCACTAGTAAAGTGGCAGGCAGTAGTTGGTCATTTTTCTCAGATAGGAATTTGAGTGATTCATTCTCAAAGATTCTTTCATAGGAATGGGTTACTAACTGAATGCTATGTGGGCCCTTTTAATGTCTCAGAATCTGAAGTTCCACATGATTTTGTTTTCTTCTCCTTATTCTGTAGTCAGTAACTGTAATCAAGGCAAGAAATGGTTACTTTTTCTGTTATTTTTCCTAGGTAGCATGGAATAAGGTAATACGATACTGGTAGCAGCAGTGAGGTGATTGTCAAGTTCTGGAAATGTGGCTATTGAAACAAATCATTTTTCGAAAACGCAATTAAGAAATGATACTATCAAAACATCCCTCAAATAGCAGTGATTAAGAACTGAAAAGAAAAATCACTGAGGTTCTTGACAGCTTCGATGCTCTTTCATTAAACCAAAACCACGTCATATTTCATGAAGGCAAACATCCGTAATTAAGGGACAAAAATCCAGTAAAACTCAAAGTTCTTTGTTCCATTATAGATGGAAATAAACCAAGTGGTTGTGGGTAAAAGCTAGAAATGGAGAAACATTACTACATTACCAGTAGTAATAGCAAGGTCTTAAAACTTGTTTTTGGACCTCATCTGACAAGGTCTTACAAGTTAATAAGAAAGATTAATAGACTTTATGAATAGATAAGGTGATTAACCAGCCTTCATATAGCTTTGGAGAAACAAGCAGAAGCGTGATAGGAATCGAGAGTGAAGAGTGTGAACTTTCTTTCCAGCAAGCAAACCTGTTTCTATTTCGGATGAAGCTAATTGTGAATTTGTTTTCATTTGAACTCTGTCTTCCTGTTTTGAGCATTTTATACAAGGTTAGCTTTCTTCATTTCATTGCCTATCATGTGGAAATAATTCAGCAACTGAACTTGCTGCTCCTCAGCAACCATAATGGAAACAATAATACTTCCCCAAGGAGGTTACATGTCTCAGGTCATGGGTGGTGTGACAGAGATGTCCCTATCTTTTATGAAAGCTAAGCTCTGCTTTGCAAATCTTCACTCATCAGAGGAATGTTTCCATAAATACTGGTATTTGAGAATGTGTATTTTGAAAATGCAAAGTATAAATACATCTTATATAAAATTTGAGGGATTTATTATTACTATACCCATTTCAAAACAGCCTAAACTAAGGATTTCTCTCTCCCACCCTATTCTCTCTCACAAGGGTGGGAAGATACTGAAGTTATAACAAAACACCCTTCAATATTAGAAGTGAGTGCTAAGTGAATGGAATTGGTTTTGACAGGTGTCTGTTAGCAAGACGGTTTCTGTAGCTGATTCTTTCTGAAGGACTTCCACATTCAGTGGAATAATGCTATCAAAAATCTGAGTGCATTTGCTAATTCAATTGGCTTCTAGCATTCTTGCTTAGGAAGCTCACAGCCAGAATTAGTACATATTCAGCTGCAAATGAAAAGATGTGTGTACCAATCAGTTTTAGATACTTTAAAAACATCTCACTCAAAACTAAGAGCAACATTAATATTCAAGCAAATTATGTTATTTCTGTCAAACTAGGAGGATCATGGATCTTGAAATGATTCATCTGTGAAATAAAGATTATATATTAAGCCATTATCACGAAGATTGTTGTGTAGTAGAAATTCCTATTATTTGATTCAGACAGTATAACACTTATTATTGTAAAAACATCCAAATTAGAATCCTTGTCAGGAAAACATAGGGATCATGTAAAAATATGGGTTAAATAAGGGCCCCCCGAAAGAATGTCCATGTCTTAAGTGCTGGGATGCATGAGTGTGACTTTAACTAGGAAAAGGGACCTAGGCAGATATAAATAAGGTTAAGAGTTTTTAAAATTAATTAATTTATTTTAAGTTCAGGGGTACATGTGCAGGATTGCAGGTACACAGGTAAATGTGTGCCACGGTGGTTTGCTGCACCTATCAACCCATCTCATAGGAAGGTAAGGATCTTGAGATAAGGAGATCATCCCGGATTATCTGAGTGGGCCCTAAATCCGATGACAAGGGTTTCTAAGAGTGAGGCAGAGGGAGATTAGACAGACACACAGAGGAGAAGGCAATGTGAGGACAGAGGCAGAAACTGGGAAGATGTGGCCACAAGCTCAGGAATGCTAGGGCAGCCATCAGGAGGTGGAAGACGCAAAGATTCTTCCCTAAAACCCCTAGAGGCAGTGCATTCCTACTAAGTTTCGGGTATCTCATCTCTAGTCTCTAGAACCGTAAAAGAACACATTTCTTTTGTTTCAAGTCACCAAATGTAGGTCAATTTATTACAGTAGCTGAGAAAAGTAATACATCAGGCATCAGGTTTGCATTCTTCTTGTCCATGAACTTGGGTGAACTCTTACTATGTTTGTATAGAGCTCAGTTTCTAAATCTTTTTTTTTTTTTGAGACAGGATCTCACTCCATCACCCAGGCTGGAGTGCAGTGGCACAATCACAGGTCTCTGCAGCCTCAACCTCCTGGGCTCAGGTGATCCTTCCCCTTCAGCCTCCTGAGTAGCTGGGACTAGAGGTACACGCCACCATGCTCAGCTAATTTTTTGTATTTTTTGTAGAGACAGGGTTTCGCCATGTTGCACAGGTTAGTCTCGAACTCCTGGGCTCAAGTGATCAGCCCGCCTTGGCTTCCCACTGTCCTGGGATTACAGGTGCGAGCCGCCATGCCCAGTCAGTTTCCTCATCTTTAAAAAGTGATTTCTGAACTAAATAATAAAAATAACAATAATACCACCATTATTTGCATAATTCCTTACAGTAATCTTGTGAGTTACATGATAAAACTCATTTTAATAATCTCAGAGAGGTCAAAATGGCTTGTCCTTGTGGAAACTGAAATTCTGCCGACTCAAATCTTGGTCTGCCTTTGTTGTCTTCATCCTTCAGTGTATAGTAGGTTTAAGACACTGTAATTACTCTTGTGACACAGAGTTTACAGGCTAGCAGAGAAGACAAGTATTAAATAAGCAACCAAATCCAAGCTCATTTGAACCTTATCTAAACAAAAGTAATAATATCTGTCATGTCTGCAAAATGGTGATGGCAGATGCTGATTATCATCAAATACTTATCAATTTTATGTGCAAGATTTGCATAAAAAATAAGATCATTTTCCTTGTAACAGAAGCAAGTCAAGGAAATGCACAAGTTATGAATGGCAGAAAAAGATAGCTCATTGGTCATCCTCTGAACTGCTTTTACAGAAGGTGGATAGGTCTATGACAGACATCAAACTTGCCCTGCTACAACCAAAGCAGTTGGATAAATTCATGCAACACTCACAGAAAATAAAGTGATTTTCCTGGACTTAGGACTTGGTGGCTGATTTGCCTGGCATGTTAAACAGAAAGTTCTCAAGCAGAACACTGCACAGCAAGCTTGTCAGCTGGGGGTCCCAGTGACACTGAGCACATCTGCCTACTTAGGCCCTTACTTTGCTGTGCTTGACTGATTCTGCTCCTTTCCCTTCTGAGGAGCTTGTGAAACGACTATCCCTGAAGATCTTTCAGAAAAAATAGCAAGCATCTGTCCTAGATGGCTGGGTCATTTACCTGATGGAAGGCAGCAAGCTGGCCCAGAGGATCTCTTGAGATCCACTATGGCTCAATGCCTTTCTCTCTCCAGTTCACTTCACCACAACTAATCCCTTTACATGGCCCCAAATACAGAAGAGGGAACCTCATCCAGGTGAGGCAGTAGCACTCAGAAGATGAAAATCTAACAAACTCAGGTTTGAATTCTAACTTCACCACTTACAGTGTGACTCCATATAAATTACTTCATTTGACTTCATCTTGGTTTTCTCATTTTAAAAAGAGATAATAATTTTTCCCCTAAATAAGAAGTGAAATTATGCTTGTAAATTGTGTAACGTGGCATGTGGTAAATGCAAAGCACTAAATGGCAATTGCTGCTATTATTAGAATCATCATTATTACTAATTGTACCTTCTCAAAGAAAGAGCTACCTTCCTTGGATACTCTACTAAATGGCTAAACACCATAAGCACTTTTCTAGTCTATTGTAACCAGAATTAAGGGCCAGTTCCAAACAATGGAAAACTTTACCCTTAATCTTGCAATCAGATATATACTTTTCCAGGTCTCCTCTAATTTAGCTTTTTAATTTTTTTTAAAAACCTCTCTACATTGTTCTTTGGGTTATCCTCTATTTTCTACCAAAATAAATCCGAGGCCAGGCACAATGGCTCACGCCTGCCATCATAGCACTTTGGGAGGCCAAGGCAGGTGGATCACTTGAAGTCAGGAGTTTCAGACCAGCCTGGCCAACATGGTGAAATTCCATCTACTAAAAATACAAAAATTCACCGGGCATGGTGGCGCAAGCCTGTAATCCTAGCTATTCAGGAGGCTGAGGCAGAAGAATCACTTGAACCCGGGAGGCGGAGGTTGCAGTGAGCTGATATCACGCCACTGCACTCCAGCCTGGGCAATAGAGCAAGACTCTGTCTCAAAAGAAAAAAAGAAATCTGAGTTGCATCCACTTTGGCAACTAGGTCAGGGCTAAGCCTTCTCAGGCATGGCAATTTCCTAATAATGAGGGTGCATAATAATAACTAAACATAATTCCACACTTTACATGTGTCATATCTTCAATTCTTGCAAGTGCTCCTTGGATTAGGAATTACTGTTTTACAGGTGAGAAAACAGATTCAGAGTAAAGGACCTTCCCAGAGACACACAGGTAATAGGAGAAGTCAAAATTTCAACCTCCACAATCTGGTTCTAGAGACCAGTATTTCATTTGCTATGCTTATTTTGAATGGTCAGGCAAATTCCTAGGGCTCCCGAGATCATTTCATTAAGACTGAATGCAGCATCTACATGGTAAAGATCCACCTGATTATGTAGAGCCCCAGAGGAAATCCTCAAAGGCATAAAGAGAAAATAAAATACAGGGGAATCCTTAAAAGCATCAGGAGAAAAAAAAAGACAGATAGAATCAGAACTTTTTTTCTGTTTTTGTGTCTCTTAGAAGATTGATATGCTCATCTATGTAAAGACCAAAGTCTTTGACTGTTATATCTTTAAAAAAGAAAATTTTTCTTGTCATTTCTTAAACAAATACAGAGGTTATCCTCTCCTGCAGGCCCTGGGGTGTCAGCAGGGTTGCAGGGCTGGCTAGGGGGATTGGGTAATTCTAATAAAAGCTATTCAGCTATTGAGCTTAATGGTGTTTCCATTTAAGGGTTGGCATTCTAATGACTGTTTTTTAGAGCCTCTGAGGATAAATGCTTTTTAATTTGACCTTTAGAATAGGAGTCTTTATGGGATTACAATTTAATTGGAAAAGAATTTAACAAGACAGTATATTTTTCCAAAGATTGTGGAGAATACTTAGCCAAATAATAGTATTTAAAAATTATCATATCATAGATCCTTACGTATGTATTTTTTAAAGTTTGCTTTTGAACATCTTAATTCAGTAAGAATGTTGTGAATGGGCAGTTGTGTCATATGAGAGATCAATTATTTCTATCTCCAAATTCTATTTTATCATGATAGTATGAAGTAATACACATTCCATCAGTTTATATTCCATTGGGTTAAATAATTCCAAATTATATCATACAGTGAAATGAGTGGGTGTCTGCAAAATGGAAGGCCACAGGACACAGAAGACAATTCACATTTCAAAAATCCATTTCCCTTGGGTGCCTGAATTACTTCTCTCTTCCCAAATGTCCACTTGAAATTAATGCTTAGAACTATGCCTGGTACATGGTAAGTACCCAATACACATTAGCTATTTCTGTTATGATGATGATGTGATGGTATATAGTTGTTACTCTTATGATTACATTATATATTATTATTAATACTATAGGCCGGGCACGGTAATCCGAGCACTTTGAGAGGCCGAGGTGGGCAGATCATCTGAGGTCAGGAGTTTGAAACCAGCCTGGCCAACATGGTGAAGCCCCGTCTCTACTAAAAATACAAAATTTAGCCAGGCGTGGTGGCGGATGCCTGTAATCACAGCTGTTCAGGAGGCAGAGGCAGGAGAATCACTTGAACCTGGGAGGCAGAGGTTGCAGTGAGCCAAGATCGCACCACTGCACTCTAGCCTGGGCAACAGAGCAAGACCCTGCCTCAAAAAAAAAAAAAACAAAAACCCACAAAACAATATGGCAGGACTGTGTGATAAGTACACTTTGTGCATGAGCTAACCTAATGAACCAACAAAGTATGCGCTATTGCATCCCTGTTTTACAGATGAGGAAAAAGACTCAGAGAAGTTAAATAACGTGACTGTGGTTAAATAGCTGGTAAGTGAACTAGACTAAATCTGAATTCAGGGAATCCAATTCCAGAAAATGCAATTCAGTCATTACAGGATTCTTCTTCCTCTATTATTACCTTGTAAAAAGTTCGGACACTGACCAAATAAACACTATGGCTTTTATAGCAATAATTCCGGTATGTAATGATCACTATATATCTCCTCGGTTTACTCCTTAAGTGGTAAACTAATTTTGGTCAGATGCCTTTTATATTTATTTTATTTTATTTATGTATGTTTTTTTGAGGCGGAGTCTCGCTCTGCTGCCCAGGCTGGAGAGCAGTGGCATGATCTCGGCTCACTGCAACCTCCACCTCCTGGACTCAAGTGATTCTCCTGCCTCAGCCTCCCAAGTAGCTGGGACTACAGGCGCCCGCCACCACGACTGGCTGTTTTTGTATTTTTAATAGAGACAGGGTTTCGCCATATTGGCCAGGCTGGTCTTGAACTCCTGACCTCAGGTGATCCACCCGCCTCGGCCTCCCAAAGTGCTGGGTTTACAGGTATGAGCCACCGCGCCTGGCCGATTTTCTTAAAATACCTTCAAGTTTTTGTTATTCCTCTTAACTATTAAGATCAAACTGTATGTTCATAGCATGAACCAACTATACCAATTTCTAACCCAGTTTTTGCATGAATGAGTGCCAAGAAACAATAGTTCAAATAAAAAATAGAACCATTTGTATAAATTACTGAGGTTACTTACTGCATTTGAGGTTAATATTTTATTTTTGGCCTCAAGAGTGACACCAGATTTCACTCTCCTGAAAAGCTGCTCTCCCTGACCTGTGATGGTGGTCACTATACCATTCAATTGCACTTCACAGAAATGGATCTAATAATTTTAAAATACAGAAAATCATGAGCAAAAACCATTCTTTCTTGAAAGCTGAGCCACTCTTGGCTCCAGTAGAAGCTTTTTAAAAAAATTTCCAGAACATGATAATGACTTTTAAAATGATAGAGATGGGTTTTGATAGTTACCAACACTGTTCATTATTTCAGGTAATCAGGAGATGGTGGTGAGGGGTGAGAATCATTTTCTTGTCTTTCAGGTCTAAACTCAAATTGAAATGGGGCAGTTCCCTTGATCCCTTCACAGGACTTGTGAAGGGGTAGCTTGCTTACGCAGCCCACAGATCTTAACCCGTTGAGGGTGAGGGAGCACGCAGGTAAGCAGGTGCAGAGGCTGGGACAAGCACTTCTGGGCAACTGGCAGGAGCAACACTCTGTGCAGAACCGCTGTAGCATCTAGGGGTTGCCTGTGGCCCCGGAGCCCCGGAAGGTATGTGTTACAGTGTGCTCTTTTAGCTTTGCTGTCCGTGGACACTTTAAGTGTTAAAACAACTCAGTGGAGGGTCAGTGTGACAGCCTCTTGCACCTGCACTCAGGTCCTTGTCCAGCATCCAGGAGGAATGAGGTCATACAAACAAATTGGAGGGTGGTGAATGTGGAGGCTTTTACTGCCAATGAAAGTGGCTCCCAGCAGGAAGCGGGGGCTGGAAAGGGGATGGAGGGGAAGGGTTGTCTTCCCCTGGAGTTCGGCTGACAAACTCCTCTCTAACCATCCCCAGCCCAAATCCTCTCCGATTGTAGTCTCCGATGCCCAGCTGGTTCTTCACCTCTCAACGTTCGGACACCTCTTCTCTCCTCTGCCACGCCTCTCTGCTCTGCCAGTGGGGTCTGCGGTTTTTATGGGTACAGGATGGGGGGGCGGGGGGGGGCAGCGTGGGCCAGGGTGGTTCTGGGAAAGGCAACATGTGGGTGGGAAAACAGGAAGGCATGTTCTCACTTTGGGCCATGAGTCCAGGCTTGAGGGTGTGGCCCTCACTAGGGACTGCCCTTCTACCCAGTATATCCCTGTCTCCTGTCCGTATCACTTCAGCAGAGCCGCCACATGGGGTGGTAGCACAAATTATGCAATGTAATCCTGCCATCTGAGGGGTTTTCCTGACCACTCATTGTCGAGTTTCCTTCCAGTTCCCATCTATCACAAAACCAGTTGTATTTTCACTGTAACTTGTTTGTGTTAAACATTTGTGATTATTAGTTTTATATGTTAATTTGGGCCAAGGAGTGCAAAGCTTAAACATTATTTCTGGATGTGTTGTAATGGTGCTTCCAGATGAGGTCAGCATTGCAATCAGTGGACTCAGCAAGGTAGACTGCCCCCCAACTATGTGGTTGGCATCATTCAATCCACTGAAGGCCTGAGTAGAATGAAAGAGGAAGAGGAATTCACTCCTTTTGCTTCCTGCCTGCCTACTGAGCTCAGATATTGCTCTTCTCCTGCCCTTGGCCTGGAATTTACACTATCAGCACCCCTGGTTCTCAAGCATTCAGACTTGGACTGGAATTATAACACCAGCTTTCCTAGGTTTCTACCTTGCAGGCAGAAGGTCATGGGACTTCATACTCCATAATCATGTAAGCCAATTTATCATATTAAATCTCTCTCTCTCTCTCTCTCTCTATATATATGTGTGTGTGTGTGTGTGTGTGTGTACGCATGTACAAATGTGTACTTATATACAAATAGAACACATGTACTTGCCCATGTCTTTGACTAGAAGAATGAATAAATAAGACTGCAGGGGGTTAGGGTGTCCAGGGCCAAGAAGGCCAAGTTTTCAGAGTATATCCAAGCAGGAACTACTCAAGTATAATTATCCAAGTACTCAAAAAGAAAGAACTCATTAGTTTAAAATCTTCCCTATACTCATACCAGCACTTACTTCTGTAGGAGAAAGGGAACTAGCGCTTATTGAATACCTTCTATGAGCCATGGTATTGAATTCTTAAAACCATCTGGTCAGGTGAGTCATATTATCTCTTTTATCAGAGGGGGAAATGAAGTTCAGAGATTAAATACTTGCTCAAAGTGAGATGGCTGTCAGGTGACAAGCACAGCTGGGATTTTAATCCAGCCAGGTCGGCCACCACAACTCTGCTTTTTCTAGGTGACTGTAATGCTCCCACATTATTTAACTTAACTTCCAGCTTGATGTTCTTTCAGTGCTGAAAAGAACTGCATTCATCACATGATCTTTCTTTCCTTAGAGTGCAGTTTTGGTTTTACAGGCATCAGAGTATGGTTTAACTTTGAATATTATTTCTACCACTTCTTAGTTGTATGACTTCAGGCAAAGACCTTAACTTCTCTAAAACTCAGTTTCCTCATCTGAAAAAAGGGTCTAATTATATTCTCCCTATATTGTGTTTCGAAGATCAAACGGATGTGGAGGTGCGCAATAAACAAAGTTGAGAAAATCAGCCCAAAATGTGTTGTGTTTGCCTAGCATAATGATTAAATTGTTTTCAAAACAGTATAGGCGGTAAGGGAGAACACATGAGCTCCAGTCTACCATAATATCCACCTGTCTCTTTTGGCCTTGTATCCATTCCCCGTTCACTCATTCATGTTACATACCCGGTCCCCACACACGTTTGAGTTTCTCATTCCTGAAAGAATAGTAAAAAAGGCTGGTTGCTATTATCCCAATTTTCTAAATGTCTATATGTAGAAATTTCAGCAGGTAATATAGTAAAGATAACCAATCTGTACAATCTAACATTTGAAATCATAAAAGAATAGTCTATTCCCTGACAAATATACACCCAGAAGACCAGAAAGGCTTATGGTTAATAAAAGAGTATATTGACCTTTCCTAGGGAATTATGCATGGCACCTTTATTACAAATATTGTAAATTGAAAACGAAGCAAGAAAATTATAGGGTTCAACTAACTAAAGAACGGATTCATCATGAACATTCATTAAGTGTCAACCTGGTGGATTAGGAACAGCAGCAATTAGCCTGCAGTGATCAAATGATATTTCAAAATGCCGAAAATGGATTCGTCTTTACGTTACAACTCTTCTATAGTCTTGAGTTCAAATGCTGTTTTATAACATGAGAGACATGAAATTTGTTCGAGATTTTTCTAAGCACTGCAAACATTTCACCACTAAAATACTGTTAGTTTCAATTACTCTAGAGAAAAGTTTAGAAGTTAAAAAGTTTAAAAGCTGGATCCTGCTGAGAAAAAGCCTGAATCCTGCTGAGAAAAAACACAATTAGTTTCTAACTACTTCCTTTGGCTCCTACTTCACCCCCTTATTCCTTCTGATCCATTGATCCCAGTGATAATCCAATGAACTGCCTCTGGAGATAAAGGAGAGACACCCTGTGAAAACAATAGGTATAGTGTGGAGAGGGACAGGAAGTCCTAATAATAGCATTCAGACTGCAGCTAACTGCTGTGACCTTTTTCAAGACGAATTATCTCTAAGGCCTCAATCTGCCTTACCTTTATTTTTATTTATTTTTTCGAGACAGAATCTTGCTTAGTCACCCAGGCTGGAGTGCAGTGACATGGTATGGCTCACTGCAGCCTCCATCTGCTGGGCTCAAGTGATCCTCCCACCTCAGCTTCCTGAGTAGCTAGGACTACAGACATGTACCACCACTATGTCCTGCTAATTTAAAAAAAAAAAAAAATTAGTAGAGAGAAAATCTCACTGTGTTGCCCAGGCTGGTCCTGAACTCCTGGCCTCAAGTGATCCTCCCACGTCTGCCTCCCAAAGTGCTGTGATTACAGGCGTAAGCCACCGCACTGGCACTCCTCACCTCTAAAGTTAGGGAACTGGACCAGTATTCTCTAGGATCCCTGACATAGCTAAGTAAATTTATGGATCAGGCCAGGAGACCCAAGAGAAACACAAAACTCATTCCGGGTTACTCATTGGTCCTAAGATTATGATCCCCTTGAAAGCACTTCATAAACATTAAGTTGCTTTTCCTCACCACAGGGCTCCAGGATACATGCCTTCTTTTTCTTTTGTTATACATTAAATAGCAGAGAAATAAAAGCAGTAGCTTAGCCTGAAAGCCCCAGGGAATGGGCACTGAAAAGATTTTCAAAGTGAAGTTGTTACTAGTTTTCGATCCCCAAACTGAATCATGACACCTGGTCTCCTGTTCGCCCGGTGGTATATCACAACTTCTTAGAGAAACAGCTATAATGTTCTGGGACTTATGCTAATTCTTTGTTAATAAGGAAGGTGGGACCATTTAGAAACTGTGGTTTCCTTCCCATTAAAACACACACACACACACACACACACACACACACACACACACACACACACACAGAATAAGAAGGTAGGAATCAGTTATGGGTATGTATTACATTTTCAAGTCTTCATCGCCACTAGGAAGCTCTTTAGTGAAAAGATGCAATCATGGAAGGCAGACTGAAAGGGTTCATACAGCATGCAGAGGTATCTTGCTATAAACCACAAATAAAATTCTAAGGCCCCCCCCCACCTACCATCTAAATGGACTTCCTCCTCAACCAGGGCTCTTAAAACGTAACCTGAAAGACTGATTCAGGCCAAGAAGGGAAGCTGGGGTCAGACATGCCTCTTTATACTCTTTATACCTCTCCGCCATTAACATCAACACAGACTTCAGTCTGATAAGAAACATTTTACAGCCTGTTCTTTCTGAAGCCTGCTAGCTAAAAGCTTCATCTGCATAATAAAACTGGTCTCCACAACCTCTTATGGCAACCCAGACATTCCTTTATATTGTTTAAATTTACCGGTGGCTCATGCCTGTAATCTCAGCACTTTGGGAGGCCGAGGCGGGGGGATCACGAGGTCAGGAGATCGAGACCATCCTGGCTAACACGGTGAAGCCCCGTCTCTACTAAAAATACAAAAAATTAGCCGGGCGTGGTGCGGGCGCCTGCAGTCCCAGCTACTCGGGAGGCTGAGGCAGGAGAATGGCGGGAACCCGGGAGGCGGAGGTTGCAGTGAGCAGAGATCGCGCTACTGCCCTCCAGCCTGGGCGACAGAGCGACACTCCGTCTCAAAAAAAAAAAAAAAAAAAAAAAAAATTTACCCAAAGCCTGGAAGCACCCCCCACCTTTGAGCTGTCCTGCCTTTCTGGAGGAATACAATGTATTTCTTAAATGTATTTGATTGATGTCTCATGTCTCCCTAAAATGTATAAAAGCAAGCTGCACCCCGACCACTTGGGCACATGTTCTCAGGACCTCCTGAGGGCTGTGTCACAGGCCATAGTCACCTATATGTGGCTCAGAATATATCTCCTCAAGTATTTCAATTAATATATTAACATTCAAATAATATCTCTTCAAAGAGTTTGACTCTTCGTTGACATTGCTCACTCACGCATATATCCTTAGCATACAGCTTAGATCTCATTCACAGCATAGTATTATGCTTGCTCTTTTTCCCATTTTTTAAAAACTTTGCAAAGCATTTTACATTTGATTTGTTAATGATGATAAACCTGCAAGATGGCCAACTATTTTCTCCATAGTTTCAAAAGGAGGAATGAAGAATATAGATGAATAAAGACTATAAATGGTATTTATTGAATTCAGTGAGTTTGAGCTTTCTGGAATTAAGATGAAAAGCATCTTTATTCCTCGTTTAGGTGGATACACTGTTTCAACTGGTCTTAGGGCATGTTTGTTGGTTTCTTTCCTTTTCATTTGAACCTCACCACTCCATGTATATTTCTTTTTATTTTTCCCATTTCTACTGCTTTGAGATTTTTGGCAGGACCATAGTTGATTTGCCTCCTGCTTTCCTAGAGTTCCCAGAACAGTCTCATGTGCTCAAGTGGTATTTAAATGTAGAACAAAATATTCTACTTAACTTGGGTTTGGAATTGTGAGAGATATTTACAATCAGCAACGAATTCACAATATCTAAAACGTATAATGCAGGGATGCTAAAGATAATTTAATTCTCTATGACCAACAGCATCACAACTTTACCTCTCAGGAAATGAAAATGTATTATTATAGATATTAAAGTGGCATTTTTTCATCCATACGGGCGTGGAATTTTAAGGGCATGCGTATGTACTGGGGAATAGCAAGGACTACAAACCCACTTGCCCTTAAGGGTCAGAAACAAAAGTTAGATGAGTGAGGTAGGCTAGCGTGATTGCATATTACATGTAAGATCAAAGTAGTAGAAGAACAAATCCATGTGGAGGAACTCAATGGCAGACATGGTTGCCAGAAATTCCATGTCTTTAAGAGAAGCTTAAAATCCAGATTATTTTCTGGAGAAACTACTTAAAAAATATATAGTCTTTTATTCTTATGTGGAAGCCAAAGAGAAAATGCATAAAAGAGAACATGCCTCTATATTGAGAGTTGGAAGATCCAGAGCCTTTTAGAGATTTTAAACATGTTTTTAGGGGAACAGGGCTGAGAGGGCAAGGAATCCATTCCACAGAGGCCAACAGGCACACATGATCTCCTATACTGTAAAGGTCCATGCAGTCAAACACTAAATGTCTCGTACCAGAAAAGGCATTAGTAATAAAAACTGTGGTGCTTACTACAGCTAAATTGGAAATACTTTATATCATTCTGTTTCAACATTTGGCCCTCACAATGTAGATTTGCAGGACAACTAGTTTTATCTTATTCTTATATGTAACATCTGTTGGGTCAGAGTACACATCAGATATACACACTAACTTTTTCTCTTTGATCACATGTTGCCCATTACAGCTGTGGGATTAAGACCTCCCCACTACTTTTATCCTTTTATCAGTGAGTACTTAAAATGATAATGGTCAGTTAGTTCTTCAAATAAATGAATAAATTAACAAATTTCTTATGTCACTATCTGACGTTGGTATGAATTCTTGAGAGTCAATAGTGTACTAATTTGAAATAACGTATTGCTACTCTACTCTATTAGCCAATTATCTTTATGAAGGCTTTTAAGGATATCCTAAGAATTTTCCCCCTCATTTTAGGACTTAACAATCATACAAATCACCACCACCACTTATTGTATGGCTTCTAGATACTTCAAATACATTATCCTGTTTATTGCCCATGTGATGTCACAAGGTATGTATTAATATCTTCATTTTAATATTCAGAAGGGAACACTAAGCTTTTGAGGAAATTAAATGACTTACACAAAGTTCATCACATCTAGTAAGTGATAGAGCTACCATTCAAACTCTTATTAGTCTCACTCCAAAGTTTCTACTCTTCAACCTCTCTTTCCATCCAACATAATAACTAAAAAATAAAATAAAATTGATTTCTAAGTAATAACCAACTGTGGCTCATGCCTGTAATCCCAGCACTTTGGGAGGCCAAGGCAGGAAGATTGCTTGAGCCCAGGAATTCAAGACCAGCCTGGGCAACATGGTGAAACCCAGCCTCTACAAAAATAAAAAAATTAGCTAGGTGTCATGGTGTGCACCTGAGCCGAGATCGCACCATTGCACTCAAGCCTGGGCGACAGAGTGACCCTGTCACAAACGAACCAACAAAAACAAACAAACAAACAAACAAACAAAACAAACAACACCACAACCTGAAAAGGAAGCCATTAAATATTGGTCTAAGATTCAAGCCATTTCAACATCGTGATGTTATTAAAATCATTGCTCTAACTACCCTCCCCCCACCAGATAAAAATCATAAAAACGTGGCTTGCTTCCTGAAAATGCTTTCATTGTCAGCTATATATAAAACAATTACTTTGTTGATCATTTCATCATCTGAAGGAAATAAATGCTACTATGGGGCATTAAGAGGCTAACACAGTAAAGAGTCTGAGCTGCAATTATAATTTGTTTCTTAGCAACTAATAGCAAAAGTTATAAAGTTGGTTCTAAAACTGTAAGAGACAGCATTACAGCCCTGGGAATATTGTGACAGTCCTTAACAGTATAATCTTGTGAGTAATTTGCTTTTGATATTATCATAAGATAAATTATTTTGGATCTGCTTGGTGAAAGCCCTAAAGAATTCTCATTAAAAGTCAGCTATTATTATGTGTGTTGTTTTCTTCCCCTCTCTCCCCCATTATGCTGAACCCACTGAATTGGTTATTTCATGCATTATAATAAGTTGGATGGAATCAGTATGATAAGAACAGATTCCTTTAATAACTAGGAGAAAGGAGTTCATCACTATAATAGTTCCATTTCCTGTCTGAAACAGCACTTACTGAATGTAGTCATGGTTAGAGTAAATTAAAATTTTTATAATGAATATGAGTGAGAGCAATAGGAATTTTAAAGAGTTCTATATGCTGTAAACAGAGAAAAACAGTAGTGAAATTTGAGTGGCTTTGGGTCTTAGAGCTTAGGTGATTTTCTGGTGAGAACTTGCTTTTAAAAAATCATGAGTGGCTCATGTTTTGAGAACATAATTTAATTTTTTGGCCTACAGGAATACTATTCTGTAATTTACCTCAAGATCTTTAAAACAATTGTATCATGGTTTTCTCTTATACATACATGGATAACACAAAATATTTCTGGGACAGTTATTTCTTTATTTTATTTATTTATTTATTTATTTATTTATTTATTTATTTATTTGAGACGGAGTCTCGCTCTGTCGCCCAGGCTGGAGTGCAGTGGCGCGATCTCGGCTCACCACAAGCTCCGCTTCCTGGGTTCCCGCCATTCTCCTGCCTCAGCCTCCTGAGTAGCTGGGACTACAGGCGCCCGCCACCACGCCCGGCTAATTTTTTGTATTTTTAGTAGAGACGGGGTTTCACCGTGTTAGCCAGGATGGCCTCGATCTCCTGACCTCATGATCCGCCCACCTCGGCCTCCCAAAGTGCTGGCATTACAGGCATGAGCCACCGCACCCAGCAGTTATTTCTTAAAATTTAGGAAGGTACTGTCTACTGAGAAACAAAACTATTGGATTATAATACAAAGACATAGTAATAGGTTAAGTCAATAAAAGAGAAATATATCTTTTAAAAACTTTCACAGAGAAAAGGATACAATTATTTGGTTATGCATGTTTGGAGAAATATGCTGGCCATATTGGAAAGAATTTGTGTCCTAGGTAAAAGGACATACATTAGAACTGGCCACTTGAGGGTATCTTGCGTGAGATACCTCCCAAATAAACCAAGAATTCATGACTCCATTTTTCTTGTTACATGCTGTGTGGCAGAACAGCAAAGCCTACTCTCCTGGCTACTTTTAAGGTGACTCAGTTTATAGTAACTGGAGGATCTGGTGCCTTGATTGGTCTTTTGTCCTTTGCTGCTACCAGAGAGGGTAAGGTCACTTGACCTGATGTTGGATGGGTAATCCATGCCAGGTACATTAGCTAAAGCAAATCTTTATTCAGTCGAAAACATAAGAGCAAATATATTCCCTGATAGAGCCTACAAACACACTCTTAGAAGTATTAGTTGGAGAGCCGTAGATGGGTAAGAGTAACTCTCATTGTTTTCCATCTTTCTTTACTAAATTTAGTGGGGGAAGCATAATTAACCTGAGATAGATATGGAATATTGAGTAGTCTTATAGTTTCCCTCATGTTAGGGGTATTAATCATGGGTTATACTAATTTCTGTTTAAATACCATAAAACACAAATGTGATTTTCCTGAAAGCACAAAGGATCCTTAAATTCAAAGATGTTAGCTGGGCGTGGTGGTGGGCGCCTAGAATCCCTGCTGCTTGGGAGGCTAAGGCAGGAGAATTGCCTGAACCTGGGAGGCAGAGGTTGCAGTGAACCAAGATTGAGCCACTGCGCTCCAGCCTGGGCAATAAAGTGAGAGTCTGTCTTAAAAACAAAACAAAACAAAACAAAACAAAAAGATGCATGGTGTCTCTCCTGGAATACAAATTAGGGATTTTCAATGTATTTTATATGCATACCCACCCTCACACAGAGTCTCTGCATCGTATACCTAAGATACATAAGATGTTTGAATGAAGGGGGTATGTCTGTTTCCATTTAGCCCACATTTGTAACTGAGGACTTTGTACTCTACGGGCTCAGCAAAAACTTATTACATAAAATTTAGTGCAGTTAAATTTAATCAAGAGGAACCTATAGGTAATCAACAAATATTTATTGATCATTGACTTAATAACAAGCTCTGTGCTGGGACCCAGGGAACCAAAGAGGAGGAAGACACAGTCCCTTTCCTCAAGAAGTTTACAGTCTACCAATTCTACCAAGAGTAGAGGGCATGTCACACAAATTCACGTGTAAAAGAAAATGGATAGTCTATCTATTAGGCCCTGAGGAATGTTGACTTTGGAGATCAAGTCACAGAGCTTGACCTCTTAATTACTGACTTTCTGTTATAGATTAATTTCCTACCTTATTTCCTTATTCCTGGCTCAGAGGAGATGGCCCTGAGATAGAGGACCCCTTGACTGAGACAACAGACCCTTTGACTATTACATCCTTCATGTGGAATATTAAATATACCTAAATATTCTTTCCAAAAAGAAAAAAAAAAGAAACACTTATATTCTTTCCAAAAAAAAAAAAAAAAAAAGAAACACTTATAACCAATCAAATTGCTGTTAACTATTCACCAATCCTGTATGGAAAATGATGTAATCCTGCTCATCTTCCCCAGACCTTGCCAATATAAGAGGGGCCCTCAAATCTCCCCACTTTGGAGCCATGACTCCACTCTTTTAGAGTCTGTGTCCTTCTGGGTGGCCATCCTCAAACTTTGTGTTCAAATAAGTTCAATAATCATTTCACTTGAATCCGGTTATTAAGGTTGACACATGCAATAAATATGCTATGACATAAGTATGTATAAAATGCAAAGCGCAAAGGAAGAAGGGGTCAGTTCGGGCTGAAGAGCAATACTTCAATCAACAAATATATGTTAACTGCATATATGGGTCAGGTCCAATGCTAGGTGTTGGTATTATAGCACCGAATATATTATAAAAGGTTCCCGCCCTCATGGAGCTCATATTGTAGTGAAGAAGACAGACAATAGCTTAGTAAAAAAGACAAAAAATAGATAATCAAAGAGTGATAATAACTGCTCTGTTGCAAAGTTTTAAAACATTATATTACAGAAATTAAATGGGCTGGGTGTGGTGGCTCACATCTGTCATCTCAGCAGTTTGGGAGGCTAAGGCAGGCAGATCACTTGAGGCCAGCAATTCAAGACCAGCCTGGCCAACATGGTAAAATCCCATCTCTATTAAAAACACAAAAAATTAGCTGGCTGTGGTGGTGCGCACTTGTACTCCCAGCTACTCTGGAGGCTGAGGCATGAGAATCACTTGAACTTGGGAGGCAGAGGTTGCAGTGGGCCGAGATCGTGCCACTGCACTCCAGAGTGAGACTCTGTCTCAAAGAAAAATAATAAGAATAATAAAATCAAATAAAGAGAGATTAAATGATGGGCAACAACTTCCTAGAGGGTGGTCAGACATGGTATGTTTCCATAGGAACTCTATGTACAGAGGAGTTTTGCATGGGGAAGAGGGCCATGGTGGGAGAACACGGGAGGAGAAGAGATGAGGCTTGAAAACAGATTCATAAGAATGAACTGGCTGGAAATAAAAACACTAAGCAGTATTTGAATTCTGAAATAAGCCAATGCAATTCCCTAAAAGAGTCCATGTGAACATTTAATTGTTACAGTCACTGTACAAAGCATATGGATCAGATCATACAAGATTAATGCCTTTAAGATGCAAAAGCAAACCATCACTTATGTCTGCTGGAAAGTCATGACTGTCCCACAGAGCATATGATGAATAAAGAGCACCAGCAGGCTGCTGGGTGAACGTTATAAGCACAACTAGCCTTTTGCGAAGCTGAAATCGCTGTCCGTGCTTCCAAAGAAGAGGACTGTTCAGGCTATGGTTGAAAGGGAATTGACATAAGAATCCTGGAAATCTTGCAAGTACAACAGGCTATTTTGTAAACAGCCTCAATGTGCATCTGCTTTATGTTGTTGATGGTTAATACAAATAAGAAAACAGTATTAAATAAACATCTTGAAACCAAATGATGTTGTCTCGTGGGATACAGTTACACAATGGTTCCAAAACTGCTGTAACAGTCATCCTCCTGCAGTCTTTCCAAATGAAAACAAAGAGACACTCACTAGCCTGAAGGAGTGTTATTCTATTTGCTGTCCCATCCTGCTAGGTCTAGTATGCAGTTCCAAAGTTCAGCTATTCTTGAAGGTTTTCCAAAACTGAAAATACATAAGCTATCAATTGTTTTCTAAAGTTCACAGGAGCTAATGGAGTGAAGAGCAACCATTATTTTTCAGTCAATTATTTGTAGAGGAAATGGGTCCCTCCTTCATTTTGATGCACACAAGGAAAGAAAAGTGTTTGGTTACTTTGAAAGTAGAGGAGATAAGTGAGATACCATAACATAAAAGTGACGTGGAAGAGAGAAGGAACAATGGCGGTAGGAAAGGTAGGTTGATCAGAAGGCAAGAAGATTGGCAGATGAAATGGAGATTGGGGTGGGGGTAATGCAGCTGACATATCTTTTCTTTTTTTTGTTTTTGTTTTTGTTTTGAGATGGAGTCTCGCTCTGTCACTCAGGCTGGGGTGCAGTGGTGCAATCTTGGCTCACTGCAACCTCCACCTCCCAGGTTCAAGCTATCCTCTTGCCTCAGCCTCCCGGGTAACTGGGACTACAGGTGTGAGCCACTGCACCCGGCCTGATCTATCTTTTCTGGACTAATATTTGTCTTGGTCAAAAGTCTACTAAATCGAGGCTGGGCATGGTGGCTTATGCCTGTAATGCCAGCACTTTGGGAGGTTGAGGCAAGTGGATCACTTGAGGTCCAAAGTTCGAGACCAGCCTGGCCAACAGGGTGAAATCCTGTCTGTACTAAAAATATAAAACTTAGCCAGATGTGGTGGCGGGTGCCTATAATTCCAGTTACTTGGGAGACTGAGGCAGGTGAATTGCTTGAACCTGGGAGGCGGAGTTTACAGTGAGCCAGATCATGCCACTGTACTCCAGCCTGGGAGACAGAGGGAGACTCCGTCTCAAAAAAAAAAAAAAAAGTCTACTACATTGAGATGAAGGCTTCATTATTACTCAGTGCCAGAGTTTGGTAACCCCCTAAGCCTGTAATGCCCACAGGGTGTTTAGAAAAGGTGACATAGTTGCCATCCATAGACAAGGAAATCTGTCTACAGTAAGGAATTTCGGCCTTACTGCACAAATTCAGGAGCAGGAACCCAACCGAACACCTAGTCTCATCTTCCTCTAGAATCCTACATGCATTACTTTTCTGAGGTCTTCCTCCAGTTGCCAAGTGTTCTCCATGCTGCAATCAGTGTGTTATGGAAAGTACCCCGTAAGAATGTTGGATTCCCTTCCCTACCCACTACTTATCAGAGCAAAATGTAAAACAAAACTTAAATAAGTTAATATATCATTGAATAAAACTTGTACAAACTTTATATCTAACAAGTCAGTACTACTACCAACTTATTAATAAACCTTGTGTCTTTAAACTTTCTCTTTCAGCCTATTAAAATATACAAAAATTTTGTCAACCTGAAAAAATATATAAAGCAACACTTCTTTGACTCTACACTCCCTTCAGCTGTGCACTTCTCTTTCTCTTTCCTTCTTCAGGTATACCCTTGCTTTCTCTACTTCTTGACTTCCCATTTACTCTGCAACCCCCCCCACCAAAAGATTAACTAAAGCTTATTACTCTACAACCCCACTATCTGGATACTGGCCTCAGATCTCCCATGAAACCGCTCTGGCAAAAGTCAATTCCATGTTGCCAGATCCAGTGGGCATTTTTCAATCCTTATCTTATCTGATTTCTCTGTTGTACTGGACATTTTCAACTGCTTCCTGAAAATATCTGCTCTCTATCCTCTCCTGATTCCTATCTCTTCTCTTCCTCCCTCTTAGTCTCTTTTGAGGGCTCTTTCAACTTCACCTACCCTTCAAACACTAGTTTTCACCAAGGTGCCTTTGCTTTTCTCTCTTTTTTGGATGATCTTATACATTCTCATGATTTAAAATCTAATCTTTATGTTCATGTCTATTTACTGTAAACCTTCAGCCCTATCGATGTAGTATTTCTCATATATTCAACTGCTGAGTATCCTACAGATAAGGTGACTTTACATTCTAGTTTTCCTGAAATAATTGAGGTTTACATTTATTGTCCTGGCAAAATTATTGACAGTGGCACTTTTCACACTCATAAGAATCCAGGTTTGTGTGATAAATCACACAACTTGGTATGTCTTAAAGTAAATTTGCCACCTCTTAATCTCCAACCCTAACCTGATTCCAAAGTTAGTCAATGATACCCCACCATCCAAGACATTAGACTTTAAAGTCATTCTATGATCTTTTTTTTCTTTCTTTCTGTACTCTTTACTCTCAGTCTCCGTCCCTACCTTCACCCAAACCATCCAACGAACCTTGACGATTTCACCACAAAAGTATTTTTCAAATATGCCTCCTCTACTTTCACTGCCTTTGTCTTAGGATAGACTCTTATTATTTCTTGCCTGCGATATTGGAAAGCCTTCCTGTTTTTCCAGATGCTGGTATCCTAGTGCCTTAAATGCCCATTCCAAAATGAAGCCACAGTAATCAAGTTCTAAAATGCAAACCTGGTTATACCACTCTGCTGGCTTAAAACCCTTTGAGATCGTCAGCCACCAAAAGATTAGCTAAAGCTCATTACCATGTCAAACAAGGTCCTCCATCATCTCCCCGCCTTAGCTCTCTCTCTCTCCCCTTGTAGCCTCCCACTCTCCAGTTCATATTTGACAACCTTGAAACATGGAATGTTTCCATGTCCCGTGCATATCCATGAAGATTCAGGCTTTGCTGTTCTTGTCGCATGAAACACCCTGCCAGCTCTCTTGGCCTCTTTAACTATCAACCATCTGTCAAGACTCTGCTCAGTCACTGTCTCTCTTGGGGAGCCTACTGTGTACCCCAGGACGGATTACATATTGCTTCTCCATGTTTTCATTACATACTGTGCACACTGCTGTCTTTTCATTTACCACATAATATCCTGGAATTAATACTGTATGTCTTTCTCTTCCACTAAAGTACAAGATCTTCCTTATTTATTTTTACTCCTTTCAGATTTTTTTCTTTAGATCTTTTTCTATTATCTTCTTTCAATAAAGCATGCCTTATTTTATATAAGACATTTACATAATTGGAAGAAAATATGTCAACATACTTTGTCTCAATTGGTCCTTAAAATGGCCATTGATACTCACATCATCCCCATTATACAGAGAATGAAACTGAGACTCAGAGAGGTAGAATGATTTGCCAGAGGTCACATATTGGAGTGATATGTGTGAGAGAGAAGAGGTAGCCATGTAAATAGTGTGGGTAATTCTGCCCACCATGTGGCTTGCTTGATCAGTTTCCAACACTGCATTAGAGATGAGGGACCCAAATCTCTTTTATTTTTCAGTTTCAATTTTCACTGGCTTCACATAGAGAGAGTACCTTCCCATGTTGTAGAGTATTTAAAGATACCCACTTCTCATGCAATGTGGCTCTAAACTTAAGTTAATTCTTCACCTGCTTTTCAACCAAAGAAACAATTACTTGTCTGTTCCATCCTCGGGGGAGAGGTGGCATGCCTATCTCCCATGGGTATGTATACTTCCAACTTAAGAGAATTCTGAGGGTAACTTTAATGACAGTCATTTTGCTTTAAGTGCTGACTTTGGAAACAAATCTCTGTGAAGATGCATGAGGCTCCATGTTGCTCTTTCCATTTCAGACCACTCAGGGATGCTAGACACTACCAGTGAAGGGGAAACAGTATTTTTCAAGCACATATGCACCCCTCTCTGAATTTTTAATAGAAAAGCAAACCAAAAAATGAGGAAAACACAGTAAAACACATTGTTACTATCACCTGGATATGCATTGTGTGTGTTTCTGGGAGTTATCTGCCATGCTTGGTAGCAGAGCCCCTGAGCTATGCCTCAAATGGTAACTGGTCTCACACTGAGCATCTCACCATACACTAAGCATTGCCTGTCAACTCTTGCTATTCCCACTGCGTCAGCTTTTCAAACAGCAGTTCTTAGCCACATGACACTTAGATTTACATTCCTTTGCTCAGCCTGGTCCACTGATTATCTCTAGCCCTGGATAGTTTCTGTTTGTTTACTTTCCTTAATCCTTACGGGTCAGTGCAGTGATGCATGTGTAGAAGCCAGGCAAGAAAGATCTGTAGAAAAAGAGACACTATTTTGCAGAGATCTGAAGCTTTTATGATACCTTTTCTTTGGTAGAGCCAGACTGATGAGGGATTTTATAACAATGCACTTCCTCTCTTGGGATGAAGGAAGCTGAGGGCCCTTGGCCCTCCCCCACCAGGGAAGGTTTGTGTGTGCAAAAGGCAATACTGCCTTATAGCAAATGGTTTTAAATCTCTAACATTTTCCTCCAAAGCTAAATAGAAAGAGATGGAAGAGGGCCGGAAACGGTGGCTCACGCCTGTAATCCCAGCACTTTGGGAGGCTGAGGCAGGCGGATCACGAGGTCAGGAGTTCAAGACCAGCTTGGCCAACATAGTGAAACCCCGTCTCTACTAAAAATACAAACGTTAGCCGGGCATGATGACGCGTGCCTGTAGTCCCAGCTACTCGGGAGGCTGAGGCAGTAGAATTGCTTGAACCAGGGAGTTGGAGGTTGCAGTGAGCTGAGATCACGCCATTGCACTCCAGCTTGGGCAAGAGAGTGACACTTCGTCTCAAAAAAAAAAAACAAACAAACAAACAAACAAAAAGAGACAGAGAGAGATGGAAGAGAAGTCACTCCTTGTTCTTCAGCAACAGGACATAACTAATCTAACCATGAAACTAGCACAGGTGCCAAGGCCCAAGAGATGGCCTCTAGGGAATGCCATAAGAGGCTGGCATTGATTCCTGAAGATAGTTAGCCTGTCTTGCTGCTATTTTTGATCTGCTTGTTGTAGACCCTTGGCTCCGCTGATGATTTCTAAGGGCCTGTGCTGCAGGCAAGAAGCATTTTTACTTGCCACCCATTCTATCATCTGTATGTTGTTTTTTAAAATCCTGGTTTACAGAGTGTTGGATTTAATGGAGCAATAGAATTTTAAGGGGAAATATGAGATGTGTGTGAAACCAACATAGGTGTTTCTAACTATGGATACTAAAAGTTACCACCAGTACCACCACAATTTTCTACCATCATCAATACATAAAAGACAGAACTTTTCAACGTGAAAAATTACAGAAAGATAGTATCAACAGAAAAACTGTCCTTTAATTGACTAAACACTGCCTTTTGTTTTGTTTCTGTTTTTTTTTTTTTTGAGACAGAGTCTCACTCTGTTGCCCAGGCTGGAGTGCAGTGGCACAATCTCGGCTCATGGCAACCTCTGCCTCCCGGGTTCAAGTGATTCTTCTGCCTCAGCCACCAGGATAGCTAGGACTACAGGTGTGCGCCACCACGCCCGACTAATTGTTTTTGTATTTTTAGTAGAGATGGGGTTTCACCATATTGGCCAGGCTGGTCTTGAACTCCTGACCTCATGATCTGCCCGCCTCGGCCTCCCAAAGTGCTGGGATTACACGTGTGAGCCACCGTGCCTGGCCACCTTATTTTAATAATGTAGTGCATATTTGCGTAGACTGGTGGAAATTTCAGTATAGGTAAGTTTTGGGAACCAGCATTTGAAGGTGTGCTCCCAAAATATCTTTTTCACAAAATAAGACAAATGTCAGATACCTACTAGTAAGGATGTGTTTCTTTGGCTTCAGGGTGGACCCCATTTTAAATGAAGATATGGTACAATGAAAAGACTTCAAGACTTGAAGTCAAAAGTCTGGGTTTTGATCCTCGGATCTGTCCCTTAATGGGATCACGAACTTGAGGAAGTCACTTCCTATTTCTGAGCTTCACATTCTACATGTGTAAGATGGGGATGGTGATGATGATAAATCATACCTCACAGGCCTTTGTAAAGACTAAAAGATAAAACAGATTTGAAAGTACTTTCTAAAAAGGAAAACGATATAGACAACTTAACTATTAGTTATTTTTTTCAAGGCATAAAGTGCTGGCTTGGATTATTAAGGAGAAAGTGAAGCAGTAGACACAGAGGACCAACCCACTTTCTGTGGACACGGTGACAATTTCCTGAGGAAATGTTCCTGCCTCAGCCTAAGTGCCATTATAAAGTAGATAGGGGAAGTCATCAGGACTGCTGTGGAGGTGGCTGGAGAATGAGCTCCCATTGGTCCACCATGTTTAAATCACAAGCTCTCTACAGCAAGCTGAACAAGACTGTGCTACAAATCTAGTAAATACTTCACCAATTTCCTTGTTTCTACCAATACAATTTCAGCTGAAAGACAATTTGTAGTTAACAAATTTAATATTGAGCCAATTAGTCAGATTACCTACCTGCTAACTGTAGCCACATTGATTTTTGTTGAAATATTAATTATCCAAGATAAGATTTCCTGCTTAACCTTCAAAACAAGCTTAAAATGCACTATTTCACATCATTACCAAGGTTAAGAGGAAGATGCTTGTGATGTGATTACAATTTATATTACCGGATTCGCCATTCATTTCAGAAGCATCGAGGCCACCTGGTCAAATGAAGGATACATTTGTGATGTTTAATTTCCAGCAGGAAATGGCAATGACACTCAAAGCAATAAATATGAAGGCTCCACAGATGTAAAACATTTGTTCATCTCTAACTGCCACTCTGACCATTTTACCTACATTTCTGTAATTTAAAAGCCTCAACCAAATGTAACATTTATATGCAAATGTTTTCTAGCCTCACCATTTGGTTGGCAAACAGCAGATGACCTTACACGCCCACTGCTATGTGACAATATTTTAAATTCTGCCTTCTAACCACTTAAAGGAAAAAAACACAAAAATACTGAGAAGGTGAGCTATGTAAGAAGCTTTTATTGAACACCAGCTGCCTGTGAGCACTGTACTAGGTGCTGGGTTGTCAGGTTAGCCACAGTTGTTGCCACTGATGAACTTCCATTAGAGACTTTGCTTCTTATTATCGTAAGACGTGATCATAGAGAAAATCTGAGACAGAAAGGGGATCAGAATTCACTGTTTGGGATTAGTTTGGTACGCTCAAGTAGAACATTTTTCTAATCGGCTGTGCATTTTCCACCATGAGGTATTCCATGGACTCACTGTTATCTCTATTGTCTGTCAATGGGGCAACTAACTGAAAATTTAAAAAACAAAAACAAAAACAAAAACAAAAAAGCCCACTCACTCAGTAAAGGTAATAAAGAGCACTTATATAAACTTCCTTTTTCAGGATACACTAACTAGTCCCTGATTAGCTGAAGCAAACAATTCGTTTATTTTAAAAATCAATCACAAAAAGCAGTTCAATAAGAGGAGAGAGAGAGCTGTTACTCAAGCATGTCTACATACCTCTGATCAAAAGGGTGCACTCACACCAATCACTTGATAACAAAAGAAATAAAGTCTTTGGAAGATCACCCTCCCCCTCTCCCCAGATCAATATCACTTCCAAAAGGAAAGCACATTCATCTTGTCTCTGAATATATTTTGCATGTTTAGCTCTAAAGTGTGAAGACTTTCAAGGTTGCCTTTCTTACCAGCTTCTCTTTGTCACCCTCGCTTTTACATGGAATGACTTATTAGCCTGGTATATTTTTTTTGAGATCTAATAAAAAAACTACTTTTAATCTCACTTAATCCATGTGATACACCAAGACCATTTTTTCTAGTATTGCATCCTAGTGAGCTTTGACTTATCAAGTCCTTACATCAGCTCCAAGTTGCAGGTCACTACCATTCCATGCCCTATAGTATTTAATCTCACTTTCCACCTTTAGCTTCCAAACCAACATGGACTTTGTCACACAACTTCCAGTTTAGGTTGAAGGTCATCATCTGGTCATTAATATTGCTGTGTTCTCAATATAAAAGAGACATATGGCGAATGTGTCCTTAATTCTGTTATTTCGTTGTGCTCTGCTACTATTGCATCTCCTGAATTTTTAATTTTTTATTTCCATAGGATTTGGGGGAACAGGGGGTATTTGGTTACATGAGTAAGTTCTTTACTGGTGATCTGTCAGATTTTGGTGCACCCATGACCCAAGCAGTATACGCTGAACCCAATTTGTAGCCTTTTATCCCTCATCCTCTTCCCACCTTTCCCCGCCGCGTCCCAAAATTCCATTGTATCATTCTTATGCCTTTGCGTCCTCATAGCTTAGCTCCCACTTATGAGTGAAAATATACGATGTTTGGTTTTCCATTCCTGAGTGACTTCACTTAGAATAATCGTCTCCAATCTCATCCAGGTTGCTGCGAATGCCACTAACTCATTCTCTTTTTATGGTTGAGTGGTATTCCATCATATATATGTATACCACAGTTCTTTATCCACTCACTAACTGATGGTCATTTGGACTAGCCTGATTATCTAAAAAATGTATCTAACACTGTGTGTGAAGCACTGGTGGAGTTTCTAGTGGGACTGACAAAGCAAAAGGTAGACTTATAGATAAAATTATAGATGCGATCAGGAGAAAGGTGAAGGAAATCCACAGGGCATTGAGAGAGGCAGTCACTGAAGAAGGCCACATTAACCAGAGTGGCAGAGACAGGTGATATTTAAATTTTGAACCAAACCCCCAAAGGAAGCCCTATTGTGACTCTGGGCTTTAACTCTGATTTGGAAAGAGTGGTGATGAGGGATGCCTTCTCAAGGGCCATCATAAAGTAGGATTCATTTGGAAATGCTATAGACAGCTGATCAAATTCTGGAAGGCTGTTCCTCTCCCACTGCCCAAATCCCTAAGTTCATGATACATTTTCAAAGCTGGTGATTTGTCCTTTCCAGCACCAACAATGTTAGTTTCTGTGTGTGTGGGTACAGTGTCATCATTGAAGAAACAGTCACTAAATATTTATTTTGATCAGTTTTAGGTTATTACTTGCTATGTATTTCTTGGCATATGAAGATTTCTTGAATAAGGAATTAGGTTTCTCCAGGTGGCACTTGCTTTATCAATCTGTAGGATGCTCTCTGAGGGCACCTGTTTTATAACTAGAAACAAAGACGACAGAGGAACTTATATGTGCAGCTATTCACAGGTATTAAAAACTCTAAGGCATATAAAATATCTAATTATAGCTATCCCATATTTAATTGATGATTAATAATTTAAAATTATTAAGCAAAATTAAAAATACACAGCAGGCTAGTAGAGCAGTATTTGATTAGCTGTCTAATCCCAGGAAAACAAATAGTTTCCCTTTTTACTACAGACCAGGTACTTCACATATGTTTTCTAATTCTTAAAATAACTATGTGAGACATACTCTAGGAAGGGGAGCCAGGAGAAATGTCTTCTTAACCCGGAAAAAAAGCACTATCAGCATTACTTGAGCTCCATTCTCTAGCACTGTCGGTTAAGTGGGCTTTTCCTGACTTCGTTAGCATCTTCAATCTCATCCTTTCATCTCCGTGCAGAAACTCAGTGACGACAAGTACGAGTGGTGATATTGAAACCCTATCCTCTATCTCTTTGTACTACACTCAGCACTGCCACTTACTGGCAAAAGAACAAAACACGGCTTCACCTTTTCACCTATGGATGCAAGTGGAGTTTAGTTGACAGTACGGCATTTAGAAATTGAGTCTGGGTATTTTATTACCATCAAATTCTAAACTCAGTTTTGAGTTTCTCAAACAAATTATTCCCTCTGACGGAAATGCATTTTCACCATAGTAAAAATATCAGAAAGCCAGTATAGTGTGGTGATTAATAATTCAAGTACTGAAGTCAAATTACCTGGAATCATACCCTAGCCCTTCAACTTCCCAGCTGTGTGAAGTTTGGCAAGTTATTTAATTTTTTTATGTCTGAGTTCTCTCCTTCGTAAAATGGGAACATCAAGAGTACAGGTGTCTAGTGTTGAGGTAAGTATTAAAAAAGAGAATTCCTAATTTAATGGCTGGTACATGCAAAGCAAGTGAGAAGTGTTAGCTCCTGTTATTGTTACAGGTGGATGGTTGACGATGTGTGAACTGATGATTAGACTTACAGAAAGCTACTGTCTTGCATACCATGTAGACTTCAAGACACTGAGCATGCTTAATGGGACCATATGAGAATTTTCCTAATCTTAAGTCAGTAAAGTGACACGCTTAAGCATAGTGGCCTCAGTAAATCTTGAGCTAAAATGCAGGACAAACTCTCTTCCCTTTTCTTCCTCCCTCCCACCACTTTCTGCTCTGCTGCATTCAGCCTTGCTCTGTGCCCTCCAGCCACACAGGCAGGTCTTCTTCGAATCCCTTGAAAATACCATGCTCTATGCCACCACAGCACCTTTGTACATTCTGTATTTTCTGTCTAGAAAACATTTCCTTTTTAATCCTTACTGATCCTTCAGATCTCAGTTACAATCATTTTCTTAGTGAAGTTTTTCTTAATGCTCTCTATGTTAATTTCCTTTGTCACAAACATTATAGAACCACTACCATTTTCTTAGCATTTGTCTCAATTGGTGATCACATATTTCTAGTGTGATTACTTGATGAACATTTTCCTTCCATACTAGAACATGAACTAGTTAAGATGAGGGACTGGGTCTGGCTTTGTTTATCTGCCCAGCACAGAGTAGGCACTCAGAAAAATATCTGAATGGATGAATGCTACAGTCTATGTTTTCTCCTCACTTGAAATGTCTTGCTCTTTTTTTTGTATCCCTCCACTTTATACCTCTCCTTAAACATCTAAAATACTATTTTAAAATTCATATGGAACAAAAAAAAAAAGCCCGAATAGCCAAGGCAATCCTAAGCAAAATAACAAAGCTGGAGGCATCATGCTACCCAACTTCAAACTATACTATAGGGACACAGTAACCAAAACAGCATGGTATTGGTACAAAAACAGACACACAGACCAATGGAACAGAATAGAGAACCCAGAAATAAGACTGCACACCTGCAACGATCTCACCTTCAACAAACCTGACAAAACCAAACAACGGGGAAAGGATTCCTTATTCAATAAATGGTGCCGGGATAACTGGCTAGCCATATGCAGAATATTGAAAGTGGACCCCTTTCTTATACCATACACAAAAATTAACTGAAGGATAAAAGACTTAAACATAAAACCCAAAACTATAAAAATTCTGGAAGACAACACCTGGGCAATACCATTCAGGACATAGGCACGGGCAAAGATTTCATTACAAAGACAACAAAAGCAATTGCAACTAAAGCAAAAATTGACAAATGGGATTTAATTAAACTGAAGATCTTCTGCACAGCAAAAGAAACTATCAACAGAGTAAAGAGACAACACACAGAATGGGAGAAAGTCTTCGCAAACTATGTATCTGATTAAGGTCTAATATCTAGCATCTATAAGGAACTTAAATTTACAAGAAAAAACCACCACTTTAAAAAGTGGGCAAAAGACATGAATAGACACTTTTCAAATGAAGACATACATGCAGCCAACAGTCATATAAAAAAGCTCAACATCAGCTGCGTGTGGTGGCTTACGCCTGTAATCCCAGCACTTTGGGAGGCCGAGGTGGGCGGATCACGAGGTCAGGAGATCGAAACCATCCTGGCTAACATGGTGAAACCCCGTCTCTACTAAAAATACAAAAACAAAATTAGCTGGGCGTGGTGGCACGTGCCTGTAGTCCTAGCTACTTGGGAGGCTGAGGCGGGAGAATGGCATGAACCCGGGAGGCGGAGCTTGTGGAGAGCTGAGATCGAGCCACTGCACTCCAGCCTGCGCGACACAGCGAGACTCAGTCTAAAAAAAAAAAAAAAAAAAAAAAGCTTGACATCACTGATCATTAGAAAAATGCAAATCAAAACCACAATGAGATACCACCTCACACCAGTCAGAATGGCCATATTAAAAAGTAAAAAAATAACAGATGCTGGCAAGGTTATAGAGAAAAATGAAGACTTATATACTATTGCTGGGAGTGTAAATTAATTCAAGCATTGTGGAAGACAGTGTGGCGATCCCTCAAAGATGTAAAGATGGAAATGTCATTCGACCCAGCATTCCCATTACTGTGTATATACCCAAAGGAATATAAATCATTCTATTATAAAGACACACACATGTGTATGTTCACTGCAGTACTATTCACAATAGCAAAGACACGGAATCAACCTAAAAGCGCATCAATGATAGACTGATAAAGAAAATGTGGTACATACACAATGAGATCATGTCCCTTGCAGAGACACGGATGGAGCCATTATCCTTAGCAAACTAACGCAGGAACAGAAAATCAAACACTGCATGTTCTTACTTATAAGTGGAAGCTAAATGATGAGAACACATCGACACATAGAAGGGAACAACAGATACTGGGACCTATCGGAGGTCATAGGGTAGGAGGAAGGAGAGGATCAAGGAAAATAACTAATGGGTACTATGCTTAATATCTGGGCTATGAAATAATCTGTACAACAAACCCTCATGACACAAGTTTACCTATGTAACAAACCTGCACGTGTATTCCTGAAATTAAAAAGTTGAAAAATTACCTTATATACAAACACTACTTTTAGGTCAGCTCTTCATTCCCGCTTTTCTACTGCTTATTCTGCCCTTCGTTCCTTCAAGACCTTCAATCTTCCTAACATTCACCACACTTGAGGTTACTTGTTCAATGTCTGTCTTCCCTACTGGATGTAGACTTCATATCTGTCTAGTTCATTGATGCATTCCCTGTGTCCAACGCATTGCTTGCTATCCAGTTGGTATTCATTAAATATTTATGGGAAGAAGGAAAAATAAACAAAAGAAATCTCCATACTGAGTATGGATAACTCAAGTTTTTACAGCACATTTGCCCAAAGGTACTTGATTATTCAAACATAGAGGAGAATTAACAAGTTCTTGACAGCATCAGTAATTAATTAATAATAATCCCTTCTTAGAAATCTCAGGTGATTACTGACCTTGAATTTTATGTAGGATAAATGGCTGGTTAGAGTAAAATGAAGCTAATATCCTAGACAGAACAACTGCCAACTGTGTTTGAAACCTCTGAACATCTACTATGTACCAATGTTTAATACCAAGTAAAATATAAAAACATGGATCCAATTCAGTTCTCAGGGTGTATGTGGACCAGTGAGAGAGCCAGACAAAACTATACCCTGTAATTATCATATAGCATAATAAATACTAGAATACTCACAGACAAAAGAGATAAGAAATCAGAGCATTCACATGTTAATGTACATCTACATGTGACTAGGTGAAAACCTGTTCAAATACACACACACACACACACACACACACACACACACAGGTTACACTTACCAGGCATATTTAATCCTCACAACTCTGAAGGATACTATGTAACTTAAATAATTCTCAAATACTATCATTATGTCCATTCAATAGATGAAGGCAGCAAAATTCAGAGGGGTATAGAAACTTACTGAAGGTCACAGCCTTTCTGTGGTCCTAGATAAAGGGAATAGCAAGTACAAGGCCAACAGGAAGACTGAAAGACCTAAGAAAATTTAGGAGAAATTATTTATTACAGAGTACTCTGGTAGAGATAGAAAAACCGCCCATTTAAAATAAACCTTGGGTCAGTGTCCATTGTTCTTAGAAAACGAGTACAAGGTGGGCCTTTTAGTTATGCAAATATACAGCAATTACCTCTCCACTGGTCTTGGAAAAGTTAGAAATGGAGCCCAGCTGGACAATGTTAAATGGTCCTCTTGCTTATTTAACAGTTCTCCTAGGATTTTCATGCCTAGAGAAAAATATTTCTTCTCTATGGATTTAGATTGTGCCTGGCCTGTAAAATAGTGACTGCTGTTAGGAAATCACTAACATTCTTGTTTGAGTGGTTGTTTGCAGACAATAGAACTGAGACCCTGAGAAAAGGAGTAAGGACAAATGAGTTCTACCTCAAATTTGGGGAAACAGTGGATTAGATTGTCAGGGCTCCAAATGTGTGGTTACCTAAATCAGACAGCCCAGAATTTATTGATATTGAATTTTATATTACATATCCAAAGGCAGTATGTTTTGCTTGCAGGGAATGTAGGATAGAGTCCATAGCTCATGCGATGTGAGCATCATATTTCTTTGATCTTAAGGTACTATTAACAGCTGCCTCCCAATTTCAAAACTTACTGCAAAGCTACAGCAGTCAACACAGTGTGGTACTGGCCTAGGGACAGACATATAAATCAATGGAATGAAATTGAGGGCCCTGAAATAAACCCTTACATTTGAGGTCAACTGATTTTCGGCAAAAGTGTCCAGACCATTCATGAGAGAAAGAACCATCTTTTCAACAGATGATATTAAAACCGATAACGTGCAAAAGAAAGAATCTGAAAAAAAAATCATTCTTTTGAACGAATACTTCAACGTATACAAAAATTAACTCAAAATGGGTGATAGAGCTAAATTTAACAGCTAAGACCATGAAACTCTTAGAAGAAAACATAGGAGTAAGTTTTTGTCACCTTGGATTAGGCAATGGTTTCTTTGATGTGACAACAAGAGCACATGCAACAAAAGAAAAAAATAAATTAGATTTTACCAAAATTAAAACTTCTGTGCTTCAAAGGACACCATCAAGAAAATGAAAATACAACCCAGTAAATAGAGAAAATATTTACAAATCGTATATTTGACAAGGCGCTTGTATGAGGAATATACAAAGAAATATTATAATTCAACAATGAAAAGATAACTGGGCAAAGGATTAAAAATGAGCAAAGGATTTGAATAGAAGTGTCTCCAAAGATGTAGCAATAGCCAATAAACATATGGGAATATGTTCAACATCATTAGCCATGTGGGAAATGCAAATCTAAACCACATGAGACATCACATCACACTCAGTAGGTTGACTAAAACTAAAAAAGCCAACAATAGCAAGTGCTAGTGAGGATGTGGAGAAATTATAAGCCTTACATACAGTTGGTAGGACTGTAAAATGATACAGCCAATTTGGAAAATAATTTGACAGTTGCTCAAAATGTTAAACATACTTTTTTTTTTTTTGAGACAGAGTCTCCTCTGTTGCCCAGTTACTGTATGTTAAACATACAGTAACTCCACTAGCTACTCCACTCCTAGGAATATACCCAAGAGAAATGAAAATACATGTGTCCGCAAAAAAACCTGTATATGAATGTTCATAGCAGCATTATTCATAATAGCTAAAAAGTAAAAAGAACCCAAGCGTCCATCAACTGATGAATGGGTAAATATAATGGAGTTACATCCATATAACTGCATATTCTTTAGACCTAAAAATAAATGAAGTACTGGCTAGGCATGGTGGCTCACGCTGTAATCCCAGCACTTTGGGAGGCCGAGGCGGGCAGATCACCTGAGGTCAGGAGTTCAAGACCAACATGGTGAAACCCTGTCTCTACTGAAAATACAAAAATTAGCCGGGCGTGGTGGCAGGCACCTGTAATCCCAGCTACTCAGGAGGCTGAGGCAGGAGAATAGCTTGAAGCCGGGAGGCAGAGGTTGCAGTGAGCTGAGATCGCACCATTGCAATCCAGCCTGGGCAACAAGAGCAAAACTCCATCTCAAAAAAAAGAAAAAAGAAATGAAGTACTAATACACACTACGACACAGATGAACCTTGCTAACATAACTGAAACAAGTTATAAAAGGCCACATATATTACGATTTCATTTACATGAAATGTCCAGAATAGGAAAATCCACAGAGACAGTAGATTAGTGGTTATCAGGTCTGGAAGGAACAGAAAGTGACTGTTAACGGTTACAGGTTTTATCTTTAGGGGGATGAAAATGTTCTGAAATTAGACAGTGGTGACAGTTGTACAACTTCGTGAATAAACTAAACATCACTGAATTGTACACCTTAAATGAATGAATTGTATGGTATGGTATCTTAACAAAGATGTTACTAAAAAAAAGTATGGTACTGGCTAGGTGCAAGGTGGCTCCCGCCTGTAATTCCAGCACCTTAGGAGGCCGAGGCAGGTGGATCACTTGAGGTCTGGAGTTTGTGACCAGCCAGGCCAACACGGTGAAACCCCGTCTCTACTAAAAATACAAAAATCAGCTGCGTGTGGTGATGTGCGCCTGTAATCCCAGCTACTCAGGAAGCTGAGGTAGGCGAATAGTTTGATCCTGGGAGGCAGAGGTGAGCCGAGATCCCGCCACTGCACGCCAGCAGACAGAGGGAGACTCCGTCTCAAAAAAAAAAAAAAAAAAGTATGGTGTTGAAAGTAAGAGGCAACACCTTCATAATGAGTTTTTTTCTAGGTGAATGAGAAAGACTATATGGAATATGCACCTTTATTGGAGGGCTCTTCCTAATAGAATATTCTATTTCTTTGTTTAAGGAAATAGAATATTCAAGAGGAAATATAACCTCATAGGCTGGTAAAGGCCAAGACATTTCGGTTTCTCTTATATTCCTTCATTGGTTCATTCAGCTTCATTTATTCCACAAATATTTATTCAGCACTTATCAACATTCATTATCACTTAACAGCATTTATTCGGCATTATTCAGCATTTGAGAAGAAAGTAGTCATTGCGCTTAGAAATAAGAAAAGCCATTTGTTGACTCCCTCACCTCAACATATACATTACTTATAGGACTATATAAAGAAGGGCCTTTAAGATATAATTAATCTAAATTTTATGAGGTAGAGCTAACAGATTACCTACCACACTAGACTGCATTCAATTTGAGGGGAAAAAAAAGTAGAGGCTATGAACAAATGAACAAATCTGAAATGCTAATGACAGATAACAATGCAAGTATTTAGGAGCAAATTAATACTCTAATCATAATTAGTGTGTACCCTAAATACATATTTCAGGGATAAATTACCTTCAGTGCCATCTACTGAGAGTTTAGTGGCTAGTTTGGAATTTAATCTTTGGTGAAATATGTAACAGAATAATTTAGTTCTTGGGAAACACACACATCTTTTCATGATGCCCTTGAATTTGAGATTTAACCTCTGAACCCTAACGCATACTTTTTTCTCTAAAGTGAATATATATTATAGACATGAAGTAAAAACTAGCTAGCATGGTGCATAAAATACATGACAGCTAGAAGGCAAATGCCTTGTTTATGTTAGAGCCTACTCCGGGAAAGGTGCTGACTGCGAAGAGGACGGAAGCTGGCCCTCACTAGCACAGGGACTTTCTGGGGCTAGAAATGTCATAACATCAACGATAACATCGCTTGAGAGACCACAGTGGAACGGTTACAGCCACAGGTAGGTCAGACACTCTAAACGTGATAATAGCCAGTTTCTAGGGCTTTAGAGTGCCAGACAAAGAGGTCGAATTCAGGGAAAATGACCTAGAAAACGGAAGAAGTCCAGAGAGCGGGACTCAGGGCCAACAAACTACTCCGCATCACTTCAAATCATTGCCCTATGGAGAAAGGGCCAATTCTGCCTATTTCAGAGAAGGCCTGCAGAGGTCTGTTCCAAGTGAGAGGTAAAAACATACCCGGGAAAGGGAAAGGTTACCCTTTGAATTTTTTGCAGTCCCCATTTCATTATCTGGTCAAATCATACTTTATAAAGTTCAAAACTCTGTTATGCTCTCCAGGGGAAAATGCATAGTGTGAGACAAAACTTGCACAGATAATCCTACATTTGATAGAGGCCATTTCTTTAATACTTTTCACCCTAATACAGTTAAGTTACAAAAGCACCTGATTTTGATCTCATTCAAAGATTTTTTTAAAAAATTGATCAAAGTGGTCAGGAAAGAAATGAAAAAGAATTGTGCATATGTTGGCCTGTTTGTTTCCTGGAACCACTGCAAACAAGTTACCACAGATTGAATGGCTTAAAAAAAAAATTTATTCTCTCGCAGTTCTGGAAGCTAGATACCCGAAATCAAGTTGTCAGCAGTGCTGGGCACCTTCGAAGGCTCTAGGAGAGAATCTTTCCCTGCTTCTTCTAGCTTCTGGTGGCTTTCAGCAATCACTGGTTTCCCCTGCTGGATCATTCCAATCTCTGCCTCCATGGTAACATAGTCTCTTTCTCTCCTGTGTTTTCTCCTCACTCTCTTATGAGGACACTTGATATTGAATTTATGGTCCATCTGGGTGATTTTGGAAGATGTCATCTACTTAATTACATCTGGAAAGACCGTTTTTCCAAATAAGGTCACTTTCACAGTTTCCAGGTAGACACATTTTTTGAGAGTTACAGTTTTAGTCTGTTAGGGCTGCTATAACACAATAGACTGGGAAACTTAACAGAAATGTATTTCTCACAGTTCTGGAGGCTGGGAAGTCCAAGATCAAGGTGCTAGCAGATTTCTTGCCTTGTGAGGGCTCTCTTCCTGTTTCACTGACTGCCACCTTCTCACTCACATGGCAGAAGGAGCAAGGGAGCTCTTAGGAATCACTTTTATAAGGGCACTGATCCCATTTACAAGGGCAGATCCCTCATGACCTAATCACCACCAAAGGCCCCACCTCCTCATATGATCACACTGGGGTTAGGATTTCAACATAGGCATTTTGGAGATATAAATATTCAGTCTATAGCAGGTACCATTCAAATCACTATAGTTAGTCAATTAGATTCTGACTTAACCACAAGTGAAAATATATGTACTACAGCACCATAACCTCTCAAATGAAAATTCTTGAAGAAAAGGATATTGATATAATTAGAGCAATTGTGACATTTTCAATCATTCAGAAAGTGGTCTCCCTTTTCCCCGAATGGCAACACATGAATGTTGACCTTCAGTGCCTAAAAATTAAACTTAAAAATGATCAGAATTATTTTAATATTTGTTGACTGAATTACTCATAACAACGAAACAAAAAGGAGTGATATTTTAGTACCTTGGTTTTTTTATGGTGATACAAAATATTAATTGTTCTCTTTTAGCCTTCATGTTTTTTAAAAGTCTGATGAATCTTGCTTGGATCCCCATCAGGTTTCATTCGCCAATTTTCATATATATATCATACTCTCAGAACCTTCTTGAATTTAAAGCAATCTCTATACTTCATTGATTGTCTTATGTCACAAACTGCTTTTTATCAGTCCCCAAACTGGACTGTGGGATGACCAAAAGAAAG
Source organism: Homo sapiens (assembly GCF_000001405.40). NCBI lineage: Eukaryota > Metazoa > Chordata > Mammalia > Primates > Hominidae > Homo > Homo sapiens. The sequence goes on along the minus strand of NC_000003.12, from coordinate 2,755,654 downwards.
TATACATAATAAACTATTAATAATAGCTACAATTAACTAGCATCTGTACTTTAATAGCTCCTAAGATTTACCTTGTGAAATTTTCAATAGACACCCATTATCACCATTAATGTCTTTCTGTCTAGTACTATACTCAGTGGCAGAAACTATCATTATTTCAGAAACTCAGCAAGTTTGGGTTTGACTTCTTCTACCTATTCCAATAAAAGTATTTACCCTTTTATTGAAGATCAAAGCCTTCCATTGAAAAATATTTTTACTTTTGATACCCAAATGTTTCTAAAGTTGATTACATTTCAGTTGATCTAAATATTCACAGATTATTCATCTAAATAGTCATCCATCCACATTTTATCGCTCAGAAAAAAAGTTTGCCTGTTTAAGCAGCTTTCCAAATTAAAAAGTAGTCAGGCCAGTTATGAGTTTAGCCGTGTATCAAACTCCCAGCTACTGTTCTGATCGACTGCACATTTTACTCATTGGCTATGAAGGATAAGCTAGTTATTAGATATTAAAAGCAATGAACATTTGAAAATTACCGTGAATAGAAGCAAGGATCTGGGCTCAAAAATCAGGTTGCCAAAATTCCCAGTGAGAATACAATACATTCTCAGTTTAATAAAGTTTTCTATCACCACCACCACTACCACTACCACCACCATCATTACAGTTGTCAGAGTGTGCCCCAGTTAAAGAGAACTCAGATTAAGGCTCGCTGTAGTAGTCATAAGAAAGATCTTTTTCAATGAGACTATCTAATCAGTTGCTGTTTATTCAATTGATATTTTCACCATAAAAAATGTTTGCCACTTAACTGATAAGGCTAACTTAAATTAACCTCAGAATGGAGTGATTTATTGTGTTACATTACTCTCTTTTTAAAATTTTTTCTTTTCTTTTTTTTTTTTTCACTTCATTCCGCAACAGCAGAAGAGTTACTTTATTCATAGATTGCTTGCTTGAAGTCACAGGAAGGCCAAAATGAAGTGGCTTTTGTACGTAAGCACTCCTTTCACTTAACATCTCCATTTTTCCATTTTTTAAAAATACTTTTCATCTTCTATGCCCTTCCCCTTAACACATGCTCAGAGGGTAGAGATGTAGGGCATGAATGGTGTATTAGTCTAGTTACTTTCCTCATCTTAAGTGAGGTATCCATAGAGGTAAGCATAGATATCACCCATTTGCTTCCTCCAGAATAATACCACCTTGCCCATGACCATGATAATGCCAGTTTCCCTACAGCAGGCAGGTAGCCAGATTTTGTTCAAAGATTTAATTTTACCATTAGCAATTTGGAAGTACTTATGTATGACTTACAGTCATCTACAGCCTGAGATGATGAGTAGCTTAAGTCTTTTGCTTTGCAGATCTGAACTACTACAAGAAAGTGAAAATTCCAGGATGAAGGCCCCAAACAATGTTTATAAAGTAATCAGTTTGACAGGCTAAAATCTGGAGTCATTAGATATTAAGATTATTCTCTGGGAAGCTCTTCATAATAATCTACATTTAAAGTTCATCTTTCTCACATGTAGGGGAGAAATGATATGGGAGTAAGAAGCTTATACAAATATTTCATTTACTGCTTGGGGATAAACAGTTTACCAACCAGTTATTCACCATAAAATATCAATATTCAAAATGCTTTACAGCCTACTTGCAATAAATTGGAAATCTGCATCTTAACTTTTAGAGCAGAAATATTGTTATTAATTATTCTCATTATAAAACCTGAAACCAATTATATTAAAATTAGAGTCCACAAATTTATGTATAGTCATTGCATGTAACATTATGCTTTTAGATGTTCACAGTAAATCAACAGTATGATGGCATCAAGAATACCTACAACTAAAAAATTAAAAACAAAAGCAAATATATGATGGATGTACTTACTATATCAAAGATTGTTAATGCAACAAAAAATTCAAGTTTGTGTACAAAGGAAACATTTCACCAACCACCCAAATCTACGGATTGAACATAAATTTCACTGGTAAAGTGTAGTTTTTCACAGCATAAGGGAAGCCATGCATGTAAAATGCCATATAACAGGCATCTGCTCAAGACTCAGGTGACCAGGTTCCTATGCTGGTCCCTTCTCCCACTGCTGTATCCTTGGTGAAAGTTATTTCACATCATTAATTTTCATGTTCTTCACCTATAAAATAAAAGTAATATCTGTGCTTCATTGGGTTGTGTTGAGAACTAAATGGAATAATGCTTCCAAAGTGCTTAGTATAATATCCAACATAGAGTATTCACATTATAACATTTATTATGCCCTGACTATTTGCTAAACAATGATCTAGGAGTTTAACAATTATTAATGGATTTGATCCTCACAACAAAGGAGGTAAACAACCTGGGGCAGAAAAAAGTACCTTGTTCAAGCTCACGAAATTATAGAAGCTGAATTTGAATCCAAGGAGTCTGACTCCAGGGCTTGTGCTCTTATCAACTATACTTAGGTATACAATGGTAGTTATTCATGTGATCCAGCAATTCCACAACTGGGTATATATTCAAAAGAAAGGAAATCAATATATCAAAGATATATTGGCACTTTCATATTTATTGCAGCACTATTGACAATAGCCAAAATATGGAATCAACCTAAGTGCCCATCAATGGATGAATGGATCAAGAAAATGAAGTATACATACATAATGGAATATTATTCAGCCATAAAAAGAATGAAATCCTGTCATTTATGGCACCGTGGATGAATCTGGAGGACATTATGCTAACTGAAATAAGCCAAGCAAAGAAAGACGAATGCCACATATTCTCAATTGTATGTGGAAGCTAAATAAGTTGGTCTTATTTAGTAAGACAGAATTAGAGTAGACAGTAGAAGAGTGGTAACTAGAGGTGGGGAAGGGAGGAAGAAGGATAGGGAGAGACTGGTTAACAGACAAAAAATTACAGCTAGATAGGAGGGATAAGTTCTTGTGCTCTCTAGTACCACAGGGTGACTACAGTTAAGAACAATTTACTCAGCTGGGCACGGTGGCTCACGCCTGTAATCCCAGCACTTTGGGAGGCCGAGATGGGCAGATCACCTGAGGTCAGGAGTTCGAGGCCGGTGAAACCCTGTCTCTATAAAAATAGAAACATTAGCTGGGCGTGGTGGTGGGCGCCTGTATTCCCAGCTACATGGGAGGCTGAGGCAGTAAAATCGCTTGGACCCGGGAGGTGGAGGTTGCAGTGAGCCGAGATCGTGCCACTGCACTGCAGCCTGGGTGACAGAGCGAGACTCCACCTCAACAAACACACAAACAAAAAACAACAAAAAACCAATTTACTCTAATTTTCAGAAGAGAGAATTTTGCATGTTCCCAACACAAAGAAATGATAGTTTAGTTGCATGAGGTGATGCGTATGCTAATTACTCTGATTTGATCATTTACACATTGCATACAGGTATTGAAGTATCACACTGTAACCCATAAATACATGCAGTTACTATGAGTCAATTAAGTTTTTGTAAGTGATAGTTATTTTAAAAAGACAGGACATGGAGGGACAGAAAGGGGAATGGAAGAGAGAACAGACAAAAAAACACAGAAGCAGTTATTGTATAACTTTCCTATGTTGGAAATGATTCTGGGATTTTACATATGCTTTACAATGTAATCTTGCTAACAACCTTAAAAGGGAAGTGTAGTGGTATTGAGAAGCTGGAGTTCTAGAGACACAGGACACATAGAATGAAATGGAACAATTAACGACATTTGATTCCCTCTAAACTTAGTCAATATAACATCTCATCTTCTCAAGCCCACATTCCTAAGTTAAAAAAAAATGAGGATTTGTATTGTTTATGAGTGTAGGGGTGTGTACTGAAATTTATTTTTTTAAAATAAATATCAGTGTTTATATGACAGAGAAAAGTTGCTGTGTTGAGTGACTGTGCACAAAGATCCTCAAGCAGATTTAGACCGGGATGCTGGGCTGCAAAAGTGGGCAGCTAGGGTGATGGAGCTATAGCACTTCATTCTGTATAGACACAAGCTCTGGAAACATCCCCTTCGTTAAGCTGTGCAAATAACGAACTGAAATCCCCTCCTCTTTAGGCCTTATCTTCTGATTTATTCGTCTATGGAAGAACTTTTTGAAGTATTCAACTTGGTTTTGCTCCTGGACGAAAGGGAGTGTAGAGTGAATGAAGGTTGGGGAGGTATGCTTAAGCTCAAAGGAGCTTTCCTTTGAAACACTTCATGAAGCTGTGCGTAGTCTCAGGCTGACTTTCCAGGGTAAAAGCGAACTTTGAGGGCTTGTTTGATTCATTCCATACATGAGCATCTTTATTTTTTTTATTTTTATTTTTTGAGACGGAGTCTCGCTGAGTCTCTCTCTGTCGCCCAGGCTGGAGTGCACTGGTGTGATCTCGGCTCACAGCAAGCTCTGCCTCCCAGGTTCAAGCCATTCTCCTGCCTCAGCCTCCCGAGTAGCTGGGACTACAGGTGCCCGCCACCATGCCTGGCTAATTTTTTTTTTTGTATTTTTTTAGTAGAGATGGGGTTTCACCATGTTAGCCAGGATGGTCTCAATCTCCTGACCTCGTGATCCACTCGCCTCGGCCTCCCAAAGGGCTGGAATTATAGGCATGAGCCATCGCGCCTGGCCATAAGCATCCTTTTAATGTGGGCCAACGCCTGCCACACCAATAGAAACACTTATAAGGAATTAAGATGTCAACTGTCTTCTGTATCAACCTCAAGGTGAGAATGCTTGCTCTCACCTCCAATTCACTCCAAAGGACCATCAGAACGTGCTTGACTCAGTGGTTCAACTCATTCCTTATGCCCCACACATGGCATGATGACTTTAATGTCTAATTCCTATTCATTCAGCAACCATTATTTCAAGTTTATTAAGTGCCAGGCACAGAGGATCTAGTCAATCATATTTGTAGCCCTAGGTGAAATAGAAGGGCTAAAAGGTAGAAAGGGTATGGTAGTAGGCTAAGTGACAGTGAGGGGAGTGATTGCTGATGGCTTAATGCTGCAGAGAGACTGAAAAACAAAATGTGCTCCCAATTACATTACAATAATGTATGCTTATCCATATCTCATCAAGGGGGACTTAAATTATGCTATCCTTATTTAATCAAAGAAGGATTTCTATTTTAAATATATTGACTTTAAAAAGTGGGAGGAAGAGCAAGTTCTTAGTGGTCTCATCTCTAGTTAGCTATAAATTTTGCTTATGTGAATTAATTCAACTTAAAAATGCTAAATGCTAATACAAGACATGACTAAGTTCTGTGCACAAAAGCAGCATGAAAACATTTTTAATAATCAATAGAAATAATGTCTACCTTATAAGACTATCTTCTGAATAAAATTATAGAAAGTATGTAAATGAGATTTGAAAATTGTAACATGGTAAATAAAGTGAAGGTTGTTTTTCTCATAAATTAGAGTAAATCTAAAGCAAAGTAGGGCCAGCATGCATGAAACTGGGAGCTGAAGACTGCCTTTCCTTGGCTCTGTAGCTTCTTAACTATGTATTAACAATGAGTAATTCCGTTACTCTAATCTTCAATTTCATTTTTAAAAAGATACAGGCCAGGAGACCTTTAATGTCTTTTTTAACCATAAAATTGTATGATTAAAGAGGAAGAAATATTCTCACTTGCATGGTATAGTGCAGTAAGTGTGGCCAAAAAGCAACATTTTTTTTTCCTTCAATGAGTATGACAATACGTGGAGTCAAAGAAACTAGTAACATTCAAAAGATGTCACTGTCTTGCCTCACTTTTATTAATTCACTGAAGAAAAGGATTTTATCCTAATCAATTGAAAGTGAATTCTGAATATAGGCAATGTCTTTTGATTTTCTTTTAATTTACAAAAGATAGGGAAAAACATCTAGAAACTATGGATCAATGATCAAAAAGATAAACTCCAGAAAATTACAAGAATAGAAAGGGTGGGTTTGGGTATATAAAAATACATCACCCTCAAATTAACTTTATACATATATTTTCTTTGTTGTGTTACTGAACAGGCACGTAACACAGGAATTCCTTTATTCAAACATATAAATGGCTAGGAAATAAAAGGATGGACAAGATAGTCTCAGTTCTCTTAAAATATACGTTCTGCCATAGGAGTGAAATAATAAATGAGAAAAAAGTAAATACACAATCATTCTAGATTGTATTAAATTCTGGTAAATGAGCTGGGCAAAGTGTAATCTCACCTTGTTGGGAGGCTGAGGCGGGTGGATCACTTGAGATCAGGAGTTCGAAACCAGCCTGGCCAACATGGTGAAACCCCATCTCTACTAAAAATACAAAAAAAAAAAAAAAACTTATCTGGGCATGGTGGTGTGAGCCTGTAATCCCAGCTACTTTGGAGGCTGAGGCAGAATAGCTTGAACCCAGGAGGTGGAGGTTGCAGTGAGCTGAGGTCGCACCACTGCACTCCAGCTAGGGCGACGGAGCAAGACTCAGTCTCAAAAAATAAAAAAACAAAAAATTCTGGTAAGTGAAATAGAAGATACTGTTATGTAAAAGTAGAGGGCTGGAGGAAGGTCAGCAGAGAGGAGGAGAAATGATGGAAATTGCTTGTTATGTTAGACAGGGTGACACGGAAACTTTCTCTCAGGAGGTCATACCTAAATTGAGAAGTGAGGATCATAAGAAGTCAGCTGTGTGAAAGATCATGAGAAAAGCTGATCAGGCAGAGGGAACAAAAGTATCAAGATCCTGTTGCAAAAAATAGTTTGTCATTTTTGAGAAATTAAAATGAGACCATGGTAATGAGTTTGAGATTTATTCTAAGTACAGTAGAAGGCATAAAGCAGGGAAGCGGAATGATCTAATTTACATTTTTTAAAAGATTACTCTGGCAGTTTTAGGATAAATGGTTAAGGAAAGGCTCAAGACGATGCAGACGGAGCAGGTAGGACTGGATGTTGCAGAAACAATACATGTTGATTTTAGCAAGGCTTTAGCAAAGATTCTCACTACTTTAAAAACACGTGGATGAAATTGGAGTTCGATTATAGTATATTTGGCTAAATTTGTAGCTGGTTGAACAAGAGTGTCCAAATAATATTAAATTAAAGGTTTAATTTCATTTTAGTGGAAATTCTCTAGTGACATGCTGCCCTGTCCTGGTCAACATGTTATATCAATTATTTGAATGGAGATATGCTTATCAAATTTTCTGCTGACACTAAACTAGGAGAACAATCATTATGTCTGATTGAAAAAAAAGACTTAAAGCAATTTCAGATATGATGGAACAAAGGGTCACTACTCAGAACATGAATTTATTAGGGGTAAATACAATATTCTGAATTTAGGTTAATAAAACAACGTGGTTGGGTAGCACTGGATGAATAGGAATTTATAAGAAATACTTTCTCAGATTTTACATGATTATATGTTTAAAATAAAGTTGCAATCTGGGGCTGGTACTTAAAAATGAAGATTAAATAAATATTATTGTCAGCTTCATTAACTGAAAAAAGTTCACATCATGAGATACTACTGTCCCCAGTGTCCTTTGCAAAAGTTAAGACACATATATGGAATTCTGTGCATTTCCATAAGGCTGCAATAGATGAATTAACATAATTGAGTGTGTTGTGAAGAAGATGGCTGTGGATTAATTAATTGGGAAGAAAAGAATTATGGGACAAGGGACATGATCATATCTTCACATATTTGAAGAGTAACCAGCATCTTTAAAGTAAGAATTGGGAGTGAATGTGATAGAAATTGAGATATTTGGCTCAATTTTAAGAAAGAGATGTCAAGTTTGTTTTTGTATTTTTGAACAAGTAGAGCAGTCTGCTGTGGGCCAGGGTGCCTCGTGATGAATTGGTGAACTTTCTGTCACTAGAATTTTTCAAACCAAATGATGATCAGCCAAGGATTTTGAGGGTGGGAGGAATGCCTACATCACACATGAAGTGGAATGAGCAAAGTGGATTCCATTTCCTGGTAGGTCCTCAGGTCAACCCACCACGAACTGAGTGGTAGAGCTTTTTGTTTGTTTGTTTGTTTTGTTTTGTTTTTTGTTTTGGTTAAACTATTCTATGTAAATGACTGTCCTTGAATATGAGATTCTATCTTTCTGATGTTTTGGTAGTAAAATGCCCGGTCTTTTACAAAAGGATAATCTTAAGAGCTGGTAATTTTTTTTTTTTAAATGTAAGCTGTCAATAAAGAAGTTTGGGTATAGTATTTTATTTTTTATTTTTATTTTTATTTTTTTTTTTAGACGGAGTCTCGCTCTGTCGCCCAGGCTGGAGTCCAGTGGCGCCATCTCGGCTCACTGCAAGCTCCGCCTCCCGGGTTCCCGCCATTCTCCTGCCTCAGCCTCCCGAGCAGCTGGGACTACAGGCACCTGCCACTGCGCCCGGCTAATTTTTTGTATTTTTAGTAGAGACGCGGTTTCATCGTGTTAGCCAGGATGGTCTCGATCTCCTGACCTCGTGATCCGCCCGCCTCGGCCTCCCAAAATGCTGGGATTACAGGCGTGAGCCACCGCGCTGGCCCAGATACAATATTTCCATCTCCATTTTTTTTTTTTTGGTGTTATACTGTGTTAAACATTTCCTACACTATGACATCCAAAATTCAAAGAATTACAAGATTTACTAAATAATGAGATTTTCCCGTACTCTGAGAGTACATGATCCTATGGTTATTTCCAAAAATTAATTTAGCAAGATTTGTCATTACTAAAAAATCAATATAGATACAAGACTTGTATTAAACCAAGAGAAAGAAACACTTTGGTTCTGTTACATTCAATCACACATATTATTCTCCTATTATTCTAAACACCTACGAATATTTAGAAGACTATCTCAAGAGACATTCACTAACAGAATAATCCTGGAATCTCGCATATACATAATACTTAGAAAATTCATTTCCCAACTTATAAAAATGCCACCAAATGGCATTAATAGATTAGGAACTGGATATTAGGTATATTGGATGTTGAGTTCCTGGAGAGGATTTTGTTAATGAGAATATTCTACAGTGTTACTGCCAGCAGACTTTATGAAACCTTTGGCTAATGCCAAAATTCACTGCTATATGAGTTGGGATTTCACACAAGGAAATATATAATCACATGCAAATACATAAACCCTTAAAAATGTAGCTGAACCTCAATCCTCAAAGGTGGCTATACCCAAATGTATGCTAATTGCTCTTGCCTATGGATTTTATTTTCAAATTGTGATTTCTAAATTCCACTTTCTTTCATATATTCATGGACTTTTGTTAAATGGTGGTCTTAAGACACGGTTATTTGTTTTTTTAAACATTTTAAGCTGGAAATATCAAAGGTGGATAACACTTTGTCTCCATGTTTTTGTCATTATTACAGTTGCTTTAAATTTTTTCAACTCTGTGAAATAGGAAACAATTAGAGAATTGTAGGATTAATTGACTACTGAGTTTTTTTCCAACTCTCACCTTTATCGTTAAAGTATTTCTCTTATTGACTCTACTAAATTACTGGCAGCTCAATTGCTCGCTTATACACATTCTATTTAAAATGTGTGTGTGTGTGTGTGTGTGTGTAAAATTTGTTCAATTGCTTGCTTATACACATTCTATTTAAAATGTGTGTGTGTGGGTGTGTGTGGGTGTCAAATTTGTTGTTTACATAAATTTATACATGTGTCAATCTCAGTGTGTGAATTTATTTGTATATAAAGAAAGCATCATATAATCAAATTATCATACAATCAACTATCTCAATCCTTATCGAAGTAGAAGAATACATCTTCTCACTTAGATTTACAGTTTATCCTACAAATAAAATTGTTTCCAAAATGTGAAAAAGAGTAAAGATGATCATGTAACCAATTAAAATCTAGTCTCTAAAATGAAACTGCTATAAAAGCTTATTGGTATAATGGTACACAAACTGAAAGCAACATTTGCAGCATTGTATAATTGCTACTTACAAGCAAACTGAAGCTTTGCTTCTCTGCTAACAATTGTTCCAAACGAGTTTGTCGCTGTGCACTGGTACGTTCCAGCATCTTGGGTTTTATTGGGGTTATTGATCAACAAGCTCCCTTCAACAACACTGTAGCGGAAATCCATACCAGTGTCAACATCTGTTCCATTTAACTTCCACCTATAGTATAAAAATGCCAGTAGATAAAGTCTTGTCATATTAATCAATATTTCTGAATTGTCTAAAATATATAAAAACTATAAATAGCATGAAAAATCATTTGTGACTTTTGTAAAAAGCATGATTAAGAAGTTAGAAATGCTCTACCCAGCAATGGTGACATCTTAAGTGCTTATATGGAAAGAGCATGTCTTTTAAAGTAAACAATGATATTAAAATTTTTTTAATATCATTAAAATGTTCTTCTGACTACTTATGATGCTACAAACACTTCACTGTTTTGAAGGCGGGCCACAGATTTCTCATAGCACCTGTGCAGCTTTCTTCAAATGGGGCTCCTCAGTAAAAGTCCTTCTAGTTTGCAATCATTCTTTAAATAGGTCTATACAGATGACAGCATATACTATTTCCAGGTAGATTGCTAAGTATCTGATGAAATTGCAGCAGAGTTGCTTTGATTTGGTCCTTAATATGACTGCAATGGCTGGCTGCAAAGCAGAGGAACTATTGATCTTGAGCTGCTGTGGGGACCAAACCTGCTTTAACCGTGGATCACTTTGAAGAGCTCCTTCACCACCGGCACACAAACATCAATCAACCATCCCAGCAAACTGCAGATTAGGCTATTAGGTTATCGGGGCAAAGACAGGTTTTTTGTTTTTTGTCCTTCTGTTTATCTACCTGGATCACCTATGTATGTGACTAGAGTATTTAGCCCAGTAAAGCAGGTTTAGTGGGACCCACACATTTTAACAGCGAAGTTTTGGTAATAAGACCTATGTTTTTGTTTTTATTTCATTTTACAACCAATACCATTCCAAAGAGTGAGAGCTTCTCTTGACCAAATCTCCTTTCAGAAGTCATTTAAACACTTCAGAACGTTTGCACTAATATAACTCAGTCACTATCCGATTCGTTTACCCCCACAACTCTTACACAGAATATTAACTAACGAAAATAGCATAGTAGGAGTTTGTGAATTACCAAGAGTATCACAGCAGCATTCACACCAGAATGTTAAAAATTAAGAGATACAGCAGCACAAACAAAACTGATCCAAATCCATAATGAGAGTAAGGAATGAGAGCCATTAACCTTATCTCCTTTAAATAGTAAAAATCACCATTTAAATATTTGTGTGTGTGCACATGCACATTCACTGTGTATCATCTTATAACATTCTTGGGTACTGTGGTTGTCTGTACATAATGTAAAAGGATTTACATGAAAAAAATGTACGTGAGTTAGTTTCAAGATTTTGGATGTCTGGTATCAACAAAAGCAAATATACAGAAGGGTAATCCCTTCTTTTTGTCAAGACCTCTGTCCCACTTCAAAGCCATTTTGCAGTGACACCCCTTTCAATGAAGTCTTCCTTAGTATTTCTAGTCAAAATTAACCAAAGATGATTAAGCACGGTGGCTCACGCCTGTAATCTCGGCACTTCGGGAGGCTGAAGCAGGCAGGTCTCTTGAGCCCAGGAATTTGAGAATAGCTTGGGCAACATGGCACAACGCTGCCTCCACAAAAAATACAAAATTTAGCCAGGTGTGGTGGTGCATGCATGCTTGTAGTCCCAGCTACTCAGGAGGCTGAGGTGGGAGGACCACTTGAACCTGGGAGATTGAGGCTGCAGCGAGCCAAGGTCACACCACTGCAACTGCACTCCAGCTTGGGCAACAGAGCGAGACCTCATCTCAAAACAAAAACAACAAAAATTAACCAAAGCTTTGTCCAATCTCCTACGGAATTGTCCATGCTCCTTTATGTAGGAATGCTGCTTTTACTGTAGATAATTTACCTAAATCACTTTTGTATTCTCACTTTAGCCATCTAAAATCTAACACTCTCATTGTGCTCCATAAATGCTGGTTGAATTTAATTAACTAAATATTTCACTTCTTTGCTGGATATTTTAGCTTTGAACATCCACAATTTATGAAGCATTCCAGCACACTACCACATAGCAACACATGTTTATTCATGTCTTTGAAATGTAACAATTTAGAAACAAGAGAGGTAAGAAAGGTAGACCAGGAGCATGAAATAGAAACATGAGGTACCTCTTTATGTGTTTGTATATAAGAAGATTGGGATTAGAAACTGACAATGTTTTTAGTCTCCACAGTAATTCTCTGTGCTCTGACACAGACAAGAAAGTATAATAAAGACAGAACAGCCAGGTTATATTCTAGCAGCTCTATGTGCACATGAATCTCTAGAACTGACTGTCTGCCCTAGACATTTTTTTTTTGAGTCAGCTGATCACGTCTTGACCATAACTCTTACTTCAAATGATAGTAGAGCAATTTAATATGACAAATCTAAGAACTCAAAAAGGAAATCGCAACATAATGTGAGCTGCAAGCAGAGTGTGGAATTTAGGAGTGGGGCCATGTGAGTCTTTTTAGAAAAGTGGTTGTGGGCATAATGAGAGCTCCTCTGTAGGTTTTCCTACACTAGTCATCTCAACTAAAATGCTGTGCAGAAAGTCCATTAATCTACTTTATCGCCTGCTTTTACATACAAATAGCAAACGAAAAGGGATTATTTAGAAAATAAAGTGCTTTCTCCGAAATGCAGTTGAGTCTCTATTACAAAGCGCTATACCAAGTTTTATTGCAATGCAGTCACTGTTCATTCCAATTGAATGTGGATTGCACTGAATTTCTTATCTCACTGTATACTGAAACACGCTTGAAAATTTCACAATTTACTTTCAATGTGTGAGGAATCTTTTAAGTGTTGGTAATATAGAGGCAATGCTCATTTGGAGCCAATAGAGATTTTCCCAAGGGACAAGAGAAATTTGTGAGTCTCATAAGCTGATTTCTGAATCATTTGAGGAACCACGACTCCACTCTCTCCAGAGAGTGGGGTTGTGCACAACCAAACACCGATGCTGTGACACTCTGGAGGGTAAAATGCTGTGGCTTTGCTGGGAGGGTATCTATAGGATTCGCTGTAGCAAAATCCTCTTTCTTTGTTGATGGTGTCAACTTGGCACTAAGGGAAGGTCAGGGCATTTATGACTTGGAATTTGTTTTCTGCCAACTCAGTTGAATACAAACCTCAGCAAAAGTACTCCGACCAAGTGAGTGAACATTTCTTCTATCTGGAAAGGGATGCTGAGTGCATTAAGTAATGTCATATGTCCTTAGGGAAGTTTAATATAAGGGAAGTTGGCACAAGTTAAAACTTCTTAAATTTTTCTGGGTCTGGGTCAATCCTTTCAAAATTGAGGGGCAGGAAACAATGAAAAGAGAAGGCTCAGTTGAGGGAATAAACACAAAGAAGAGAGGTCAGTTGCGGTGTCTGAGGAGAGAACCTAGTGCTGAAGATCCCCATGGAGACTCACTTCGGAATTTCTTCTACTTGTTCTTCCCCCTCAAATTCAGCCTGAAGACTGAAAAAGTTCAGGCAGAAAGGTGTCTGAAAATACTTGATCTCTCCATTCTTTGTCTTGCTCTTTCTTTCAACAAGAGGAATGCTTTAGCTCCCAGGTACCAGTCTGCTATTATGTTACAGAGACACTGCCAAAGGCATAAAGGCAAGAAGTATACTGCAATAAATTGCTAGTGCATTTGATTAAAAAGTTTTGTTCTCAGTGTTTCCTGGAAATCTAAAAACATAATAGGTTTCTGTTTCACTGCTTGCTTTAAATAACAAGGCAAACTCCTATATCTAGAAACACAGTGTTACAAAAGCAATGTTAATTAAAGGTCACAGTTTGGGGGAAAACAAAGCAGCACTTGCCAAATTCTGCTGCAAAATGTGTTTTCATTTACGGCTAACATCTGACCTTACACTTGGCTACGCAAGGCAAACAAGGACCAGTTAACTCATCATGTGTGTACCTAACAGCCGTTGCTTCCTGCATTCTTTACTACACAAAGTATTTAAAAATCTTTGATTTAGCCTTGGGTTTAATATATTCTAGGGAGAGTAACTATTCATTCTGGCTTGCCCAAGACAAGTGCTTGGTTTACACCTGCTGTCCTAGAATAATTATGAACAGCGGCCTTCTGCTTTAAAAAGTGACCTCAGATGATAAATTACATGTTCACCCTAATTATATGGTCCATTAGAGAGTTGTTGTTTTCTTACTTTCTGGAATGCACTTCTTTTCCTTATCCATGTGATGAAAGAACCATTCACCCTCCAAATATATTAAAATATCTCCTTTTCTGTGAAGACTTCAGTGACATCTACCTTCGCCATCCTGAATTAGACTTTCTTTCCTCCAGAATACCTAGAACTTGGTCATCCTTTACTTGTAGTTACATCATTCTACTCCAACTACGTCCACATCTAGGCAGTCCTCAAATTAACAGTACTAGTAAGCATGTTGTAGAGTTGATTAATCTTTGAATACTCAGACCTAGCATGCTGACTGGTACATTGCAGCTGCTTAATAGAGTGGTTTAAATACTTTGTCTATATGACGTATTTTTCAGAATCCTAATATATGGGCTAGTTCAAAGTAGAGCTGCAAAGGCTGAATCTTGGATGAAAATTCTGTTATTTTCTTTCTCTGGTGATCTTTAAGCCAATTCCATGTGCCCTGGAATTCTGTTTGAAAAACACTGGTGAGGTTTGAAGGATGAATAATGAATATGTTTGATAAATGAACAAATGGATAAATGAGCATGTAAAGTAAATTCTAAAATAATATCCACTATACTAATACTGCCGTCCTTTAACTTGAATACAATGTCCTTTACCCTCTGCCTATTTGAAAATTACTTATCTCAGTTCATATCCCATTTCTTCTGAGAACCCTACCTGATGACTCCAGTCTCTCCTAAACTATGACATATATATTTGTTTTTTACATAATATTAGATAGTAGTTGTTAAAGTTTTTCATTATCAAATTTGAATAGAGGCATAATATTTATAAGATGTATGTAAGTTATAAAAATCATAAGCCAATGAAGATCTGTGTTTAAAAGTGATATTATTACTTTAGAAGTCTGCTGTATCTACTTTGATTATACCACTCCTTCTTAATGGTTAATTATAATCTTTAATTTTGGCTTTTCCATTCCCGTGATATTCTTTATAATTTTATCATGTATGTTATCATTTGAAGGAGTTCAGAGCATGCCACCCAAAAATATGCTGCTCTGGCATACTGACTTTTATTTATTTATTTATTTAGAGACCGGTTCCTGCTCTGTCACCCATGATGGAATGTAGTGGTGCAATCATAGCTCACTGCAGCCTGGAACTCCTAGACTCAAGCGATCTTCCCACCTCAGCCTCCTGACTAGCTGAGACTACAGGTGTGCACCCCCATGGCCAACTAATTTTTAAATTATTTTTGTAGAGATGGGGGTCTTGCTATGTTGCCCAGGTTGGTCTCAAACTCCTGGCCTCAAGCCATCCTCCTGCCTCAGCCTCCCAAAGTGTTGGGATTACAGGCGTGAGCCACTGTGCCCTGCCTATATTGACTATTTTGAGTTAAAGGTACTTGGGGGAAAAAAAAAGGTACTTGGAAAACAGCAGGTACAAGACGACCACTTTCACCTTCATTCTTTTTCTAAAAAGCAAGGATAAAATCCCCATGCCAAAGATGTCCTTTCTATATTAGAAGGAAAGTAACGTTCTTTCCATCAAGGACAGGAAGTTGAGACAGAGAAAACTCTGTCCAGACCTTGTTAAAATATTTTCTTCTAGCTCCCCACATAACTTAGTTACTTTTTCACAATTTACTACTCTTTGTCCAATTCAGTAAATAAATGTGCAACGATAACTGCATCTCTGGGTTTTCATTTTCTTATGAAGGCTTCCTTGCCATGTAAAACTTGTATTAAATAAATATGTTTTTCTCCTTTTGATCTGCTTTATGTTAATTTAATTCTCAGGCTTAGCTGAAAAATCCTAAGAGAGGAGGGGTAAAGTTTTGCTTCCTCTGTTACTTCCTCTATACCTTGAACAACCACTCCATCTCAACCACTTTCAAATTTTATGAATATGAAATTACATACTATGCATTTGGCTGTGAACTGGTTTACTCAAAATTATGTTCTTGAGATCTACCCATTTGTTGCAGCTGTCATTCATTCATTTTTACTACTGTATGAGGTTACCTTGTACGAACATACCAGGTTATGTGTATTTGTGAATATACTATGAACATAATCATATACACTGGATCATAGAGTACGTGCACCTTTAGCTTTACTAGGGAGTGTTTTTTTTTTTAATGGCTTTTACCAATTTAAATTGCTACCAGCAGTGTTCAATCAAGGGTTCTGTTTGCTCTTCATCTTCACCAACAGATTGTCAGTTTTCTAAATTTGTCAATCTGGTAGTTTTGAAAGAGTATGTCGTTGTAGTTTTAATTATATATTTCTGTTCACTAATGATATTGACAATCTTTTTATGTTTACTGAATTTTTGGTTTTCATTTTCCTAGAAATACTTGTTAAAGTGTTTAGCTAATGTTTCCACTAGGTTGTTTTTTACATTCTGTTTGTGGAAATTCTTTAAATAGTCTGGATATGAATCCCTTACCCATAACAAATATACTTAAAAATCTTCTTCAAGTTTACAGCTTGTAATTTTGTTTATTTCAGTATATTCTATTGAACATAAGTTTTCAATATTAATACAGTTAAATATTTTCTTTTATAAGTTGTATTTTTTCTGTCATATTTAGAAAATCTCTTCCTTCCCCAAAGTCATAAATATGTAAACCCATCTGCTTTTAAAAGTATTGCAAATTTCCCATTTAGGTCTTCTATACACTCGGAATTGATTTTTGTGTATGCTGCGCAGTAGGGTTCCAATTTTATTTCTTTAACCATATAGACAATCCATTGTCTAGTACATCTTTTAAAAATTTGTTTCTAATGTTGTCATGAATTTTAACTTTTCTTTTTATCTTCACAAGACAGTATTCTTTTTATTATTTTTATTGTTCTGTGCAATAAATTTTTTTGTGGAATTACTAACATTTACCATTTGCTTTACTTATTTATTCTTGTAGCTCAGCTCTTCTATCTGGAATCATTTCTCTTCCACCTCAAGTATGTCTTTTAAAATTTCCTTTAGTGAGGGTCTGCTGGAGTCAGATTTTGGTTGCCGTCTGCCTAAAAATGTAGTTATTTTGTTTTGCTTTAAAAGAAGTATTTAGGCTATCCATACATTTGACAGTTTCTCTCACTGTACTGAATATTTTATCTTCTGTCTCCTGATTTTTTGTTGCTATTGAGAAGTCAGCTGCCAGTTTGTGATCTCTTTGAATGTCATCTGTATTACAAGTTTGGTTACTTTTATGATAATCTGTTTGACTCGGTGTTCTACCATTTCACTATTTTAGATGTGGCTTCATTTTTATTTGTACTGCTTGAAGTGCATTGGGCTTCCTATAGCTACGGCTTGAAAGTTTCAATTAGTTTGGAAAATTCTTAGCCTTCTCTTTAAATATTGCTTCTGCCTCAGTCTTTCTTGATGCTTCTTCTGGAATCCTGAGTAGACATTTTTTCTCTCTTTCTTTTTAAAGTATTTTGCTTCCCTTTGTCTCTTTCTGCTGCCTCTGGAGGATTTCTTCAGACCTATCTTGCAGTTTACAAATTCTTTTCGGTTGTATTTCATCTGCTACTAGAACCACTAAGGTTTAATGTTTGAAAGACACAATTACCTGTGCTTTTGAGTCTCTTTGGAAGTCAAGCTTATTTCTTGTTCACATTTACTGTAAAGATGTAGCCCTTGTATCCCAGGTTTATTCTGGGAGATGTTCTCATGTTGGATTCTCCTGTGGGTTGTCTAGGCTTTGTCTTGTGACCTCTGTTCTCTGAAGCCATGAAAACCAAAGCTCAATTCATACTTGTAGTTTATTAACATGAAAACTGTCTTTATTGTTCAGCTTACTTCTTTCGGTTCCAAACCCACTTACTTGTAGACTTCTGACATTTCTTACTTTCCTGCCAGTTTACTGATATAGTTTAAAATATGTTTATTAAGTTAAATATATGTGGTTATGAATTGTTAATGTTTTCAAAGAGAAAGTCAATCAGGATATTTAATTCCCAGCACTACGAAAAACAGAGGTTGGGTACTTAGCTTTTCAGGAAACAATCATCTCCTTAGACTTTCAGGATATCTATGATGCCTGTCTAAAAGCTCTTTACGGGCTGGGCGTGGTGGTTCATGCCTGTAATCCCAGCACTTTGGGAGGCCGAGGCGGGCAGATCACTTGAGGTCAGGAATACGAGACCAGTTTGGCCAACATGGTGAAACCCCATCTCTACTGAAAATACCAAAATTAGCTGGGCATGGTGGTGCAAACCTATAATCCCAGCTACTCAGGAGGCTGAGGTGCCAGAGTCCCTTTAACCCGGGAGGGGGAGGTTGTAGTGAGCCAAGACTGAGCCAATCCACTTCAGCCTGGGTGACAGAGGGAGACCCTGTCTCGAAAAATAAAAATATGGCTGGGCACAGTGGCTCATGCTTGTAATCCCAGCACTTTAGAAGGCTCAGGCTAGCAGATCTCTTGAGGTCAGGAATTCAAGATCAGCCTGGTCAACATGATGAAATCCTGTCTCTGCTAAAAATACAAAGATTAGCTGGGCATGGTGGCACACATCTGTAATCCTAGCTACTCAGGAGGCTGAGGCAGGAGAATCACTTGAACCTGGGAGGCAGAGGTTGCAGTGAGCAGTGGTCGCACACTGCACTCCTGACAGAGCGAGACTCCGTCTCTAAATAAATAAATAAATAAATAAATAAATAAATAAATAAAAGCTCTTGGTCCGGGTGTGGTGGCTCACGCCTGTAATCCCAGCACTTTGGGAGGCTGAAGCAGGTGGATCACCTGAGGTTGGGAGTTCAAGACCAGCCTGACCAACACAGAGAAACCCTGTCTTTACTAAAAATGCAAAATTAGCCGGGCGTGGTGGTGCATGCCTGTAATTCCAGCTACTCGGGAGGCTGAGGCAGGAGAATCGCTTGAACCTGGGAGGCGGAGGTTGTGGTGAGCTGAGATCACACCATTACACTCCAGCCTGGGCAACAAGAGCAAAACTCGGTCCCAAAAATATAAATATATAAAATAAAATAAAATAAAATAAATAAATAAAAGCTCTTTATGTAACCAGCATTGTATAAGTATTTGTTGATTTTAATAACAGAAACTATATGCATGGAAACACATGCTTTTACATCAACAAACCTGATATGAGGTTTTGGATTTCCTTTAACTTCACAATTGAGCTTCACTTTTTTCTCCTCAGAATCCAAAGGGAACATTACAGGACTTGGTTCTTGAATAAAAATCGGGCCATGCAGTGTGGA
Source organism: Homo sapiens (assembly GCF_000001405.40). NCBI lineage: Eukaryota > Metazoa > Chordata > Mammalia > Primates > Hominidae > Homo > Homo sapiens. The sequence goes on along the minus strand of NC_000003.12, from coordinate 2,736,219 downwards.
ATCATCTGAAATGAGAAGAGAAAATGTCCAAAATGAAGAATCCCTTCCAAATAGGAACAACAACAGGAAACAACAACATAAGGAAAATAATAGAAAGAAATTAACAAAAAATAGTAAGGCACAACAGGCTGTGTTTCAGCTTCTAGAAGAAAATTTCCCATTGAAGGTTAATCTTCTGTGGATTATGATGAAGTGAAAATATAAGCCCTCTTATTTCACATTGGTCACTAATTTTACTAACAACTTCCAGGCGCAGGCTGCTTGACGTCTCCCTTTCTCTCTTCTATGTATTGTTCTGCTTGTCTTTAGCCTACCCCTTTACTTTGTGCTTCCCGTATCCCTTTTGTGCTACTGTCATTGTGGATGGCTGTCTAGTGTCATAAAGCTAACATTTTTTTCTGTGCTGTAATGAGATGATAAAATTAGAAAGAAGCAAGGACGATACTGTAAATAAGTCAATAATGAGTAACAGCTCCGTATTGCTAATATACACAACACTTCCTCAAAATGACTATGTATGCAAATAAAGAACAACCTACAGTCTTTATTCTCACATTATCTGCAGCGAAGGACTAGGTTCTTTGTTTTCCCAACGTCTTATGAAGCCATATATGGTCTACCTTGCATAAATGTCACATAGCCTGTACCACAGATGACTCAGTAACGCCCAAACTGGTCTATAACAGGTGCAATGATTTGAGTCCACTGATTATGTGCTTGGATGGTGAAGCCATGTTAAACAGCCATGCATTTCTAAGTGCTTTCTCTCAATAAGAGAAACTGGATGCATGAGACTTATTTTGTCACGGAGCAGTAACAAAGTTCAAAGACTGGAATGATCCACAAACCATACCTTAAGTGGCAGTGTCGAGTACACATGCTTCTAGACTATGCACACAATAAATATTGTTCAAAATGCATCTCGCCGCTTACGCCCATGGAAGTGATTTTCGTTTTTCAAAATCAAGTTCAAATTCTTTTTCCTGGAAGACTCTGCTAGACCCTCAACCTTTTTCTTTAATATAATTTTAAAACTATATTTCCCAAGACGCTTATCTTTTTCTACTAAGTGCACCTAACATAGAGTACACTTTATTTTCCCTTGTTTGGATTATAAGCTCTTTGAAAGCATGACTGTATCTTACCTATTTTTGTATCTCTTGTGGTACCAAGTACAGTGGTATATATAACACACGGTGATCAATAAGAATCTGCTTTACTTTGAAGTATTTTTTTCAATTTTTAATGTATTCAATTAGCTTACTTAGGCACTGCCTGATGAGTTTTAAGATAGAATCACCAGAGGCTATGATGTAAAGTTATATTAAATATCACCCTGCAACTGGCAGTCCCCTTATATGTGATTATTTTGAAGGGCAAGAATTGCAACTGCTATCCTGGAAAAACTTCATAACCAGCCTTTTGTTGATAGGTGATAGGATGAGACTGAATTCATTCAGGTGCATCAGTGCTGAGAAAAAAGAATAAAGTTGGTTTGGGGATCTAGGTGAAGCCTGGTAAGGTAATTTCTAAGGCATTTAACATTTAACTCAGACAAAAAAAAAAAAAAAGCACTTCATGCTAAGGTTGAAATAGAAGAAAAGTTAAGAAGACAAAATGACCAAACAGAATTCTATCTTATTACTGGGGACTGAGGACGGCCCACGATCTTGTTGTGAGAAAGAGATGGGTGAGGATTCAGAAAGACCATGGACTGAGTTTCAATGCCTTGGGTCAAATACTAACTCCAGGACCTCAGGAAAATCACCTAGTCTCTACATGCCTGAAGTGTTTCATCTATAAATCAATAAGATTAGACTAGGCCAGTGATTCTTTATCAGTTAAAAATGGGAAAACAGGCTGGGCATCGTGGCTCAAGCCTGGAATCCCAGCACTCTGGGAGGCTGAGGCGTGGAGGATTGCTTGAGCCCAGGGGTTCAAGACAAACCTGAGCAACACAGGGAGACCCTATCTCTACCAAAAATTAAAAAATTAGCTGGGCTTGGTGGCATGCGCCTCTAGTCCCAGCTACTCAGGAAGCTGAGGTGGGAGGATGGCTTGATCTGGGGGGATCAAGGCTGCAGTGAGCCATGATCATTGCCAGCAGGCTCCAGCTTGGATAACAAACCAAGACGCTATCTCAAAACAAAACAAAACAACAAAAAACAAAGACAGGGAAAACAGCCAGGAATATTTTCCCATAAACACACATGTACCTACACATTTAATTTGCATTCAAAGATGTCATGAATCATATCACCACTACCACTGTCTCTCCTTACTCCATTTATAAAATACCACATCAATAAAAAGTTAAAACAACCAAAAAAGAGAAGATTTATGAAAGCACACAAAATAAAATCATGGAATAAAAGTACGCAGACATGGCCAGGCGCGGTGGCTCACACCTGTAATCCCAGCACTTTGGGAGGCCGAGGTGGGTGGATCATGAGGTCAGGCATTTGAGACCAGCCTGGCCAACATAGTGAAACCCCATCACTACTAAAAATTCAAAAAAATTAGCCGGGCATGGTGGCGTGTGCCTGTAATCCCAGCCACTCGGGAGGCTGAAGCAGGAGAATCTCTTGAACCTGGGAGGCGGAGTCTCCAGTGAACCGAGATCACACCACTGAACTCCAGCCCAGGCGATGCTGTGAGACTCTGTCTCAAAAAAAAAAAAAAAAAAACACAAACATGCACTTTAAAAAAAAAATTTGTGTTTAAAGTTGGATATTTCAAAATCCAGATATTTACATTTCAATTTCAGATTTTTAACAATTACACAGATATTTTCAAAACATATTTAAGTACTGGTCAAATGTGAGCTCACTTCAATGGTAAAGAATTAAGTGATTTTTGGCACATCTAGGTAAATGAAACATGTTATTCGTCAAGATCACTAATAAAGCAACAAGTTTGGTGGATTTTCTCTAAGAGAGAAATATTTCCATTGTTGTCCCCAATTCCAAAATTATGTGTGTGTATATATAATATCAATCATCTCAATTCATTGGTGTTCCCTGATTTGAATTTCATACAGAAATATAGAGTCTATTACTAGTTATTCCACATAAGAATAAAACGTAATAATGATTACTCAGGATGCAGCTGAGAGACTGTGGATTAACATCTGTACTGTTTCTCAATGTAGCCATGCAATATTTAAATAACAAAAAGATATTTTTTCTGTGTATTTTGTAACAAGAATTGATAATAATGATGCTTTGCATTCACTATAAATAATGCATTCCATCTAAAGTTTTTATTTTCTCATAGTTAACCAAGCTCACTGCCTGAAAATTAACATTAGCATAAAGGGAATAGTATTTCAGTTCTCATCGAAGGAAATCCACAGGCTTTTGTGCACGAGCTATTTGGGCTCACAAAGATGAAGGGAGAAATTTTAGAAAGTTTAGCTATCAAGGTATTAAAAAAAACCCAGATATCCTAGCTTTTAAACCTTCGGACCAGGGTTAACAATGTTTTTGAGAAAAAAGAGCTGCTTTATTTCACCAAAACCTTGAGGTGCCTGGGTGAGACAAAGAGTCCTGAGAGAGGCGTTCTGAGATGAAACAGGGGGAGAGGCATCCCTAAGTTTGTTCTATCTCTGTGTGGCAGCCACAAAGTGACTTTCAAGTGTCTTGAAGGCACATACAAAAGACTGCATTTACCGTTTTCAAAGCCTAGAAGATAAAGTTCATCTTTTTTTTTTTTTTATCACAGTAAGTTGTTCTATGTAACCAGAAGAGTGGCTGTGATTTTCAGTCTAAAGAGGTAAAGAGCATCGCAGCAAATGACAGAGGACAAGATTTAATAATACAATGCGTCTCCGAGTTAGACTGTAGACCACCTGCATTATTATCATGCCATGCTTGTTTTATCAAACCTCAGTCCAGACTGACTACGCCAGAAGAATCTGGGGTGCATTAATCTGCCCTTTAACCTAGCTCTCTGGGTGATTCTTCTGCACACTGAAGTTTGAGAACTACTAACACAGATCCTTCTATTCCTGGCTCTCCATTTCCTAAGAACAGAACATCGGCCAACACCGGTTTTAGACCCACTCCTAGACACATTTTTTTGGGGGCAAAGTCTAACCAACAAATCTTTGCTTGATAAGATTTAGAGAGGTAATTTTAGCACATGCCTGCCTGGACTAATAGTTGAGAGGGAAGCATCCAGGAACAGAAAGTTATAAAACTGACTCACATGAATGTGTCAAGGCCTAGGACTGACATAAACTAACTCTTTCTTAGAACACTTGTAGTTGAACTCCAGAAGCTAATTGTGAGACACCACCCTCCCCAACAAGCACTGCACTGAATTGACAAAGAGCAGGCATCCTTAGAGATCACAATAGTCCACTGACCTATAGTTATAGTTTGTCTTCATTTGTATACATAGCATTTATACTGTAACCACTACCATTTATTTATAAGTAATGAATGTCTTCTTATTTGAGTGACAGGATGTTGGGATTAATGTTTTTACACTTGGGTCCCCAAAAGGGTGAGAGTCGCCCCAGGGCATCATCTGCCTTGGAGAAATTAGGGGCATGGGCTCACATTATTAGAGGAGGGGAAGGCAATGATTTTCCACCCTTCTAGGAATTCCTAAAAATCATGTTAAGAGGAGGAATGAGGAATGAGGGAGTGAGCAGTAAGATTGCCAAGAGCTCACCTACAGTCTTGTGGATTCCAGACCATTGATCTGACACACAGCTTGGAGGATCTAGTGCAGGCACCAATACTGTTACATCATGATTTCATGATTTCCTGAGTTTGTTTCTCCTTGGTAACTAGGTACCTGCCAATCAGTCACTAGGCTAACTTCTATCAGACTACCAGTGTTCTGCAAAGTTCCATACCACGGTAATTATCTTGAATTAGGATGGATAAACCCATCTTCATAAAGGGAAGGGAGAAGACTAGGCTGAAAAAATCTGCTTTCATGCTTCAACAAGGAGTGGGAAATCTTTGGATTATCAGAAAAAAGCACAGATTTCATGACCAGAAACAAGGGTCCCAGAAGTAAAACATAGTGTCTCTGGGCTAATCTGAAATTTTTGGATTACTGAAAGAGATGCACAGAATCATAGAATTTTCCATTAGAAAATATTATTTAATATTATTTTCCTAGGTTACAGAATAAAAATGACCACATCTGTAATGGAAACAAAATATTTTTTGACTTAAAAAAAAAAACCCTCTAAGAAAAAGAGTAATAAAGCACCTCTCCGCAGCCGGGTGTCACTTAATTTATTTGCTGTATTGGAACATCAATGATCTCTATTTTTTTTTCTTTTAATTAATTTGGCCCACTTCCACATTTTCCTGAACTTCCCTCCCAGGCAAGCAGGATACTACTCAGGCTGCTGGAAGCGAGGCTGGGCAAGAGAATCTGAATGGATGGGGCTGGGCTGAGGCTGAGCAGAGAAAAATAAGCCTGAATCTCAGGTGATGGTTAACTCAAGGAAGTGAGGCAGATGCCCAAATATCAAGCCCACAGGAGCAAGTACAGAACAAAATCTGGATTCCAAGGGAAAGGTCAAAAAAAGATAACACGCATAAAGCAGGAAGCTAGAGGGTGGGTGGAGCTAGGAAAATTCCACTGATGCTAAATGTAGTTTTTTGGTTTTTATTTTTATTTTTACAGGGCATCTGTGAACAATCCTAGGAGCTGGACCAAGTCAGGCAGTAGATCTAATCTCAAAATAAACATTTCATAGAAAGCAACATAGTAAAAAGGTAAGTCAAACTATACCTAAAATAATTATTTCTCAAAGTGTGTCAAGAAACCTCCCGGCTGAAACAGGTGAGCATCCCTCATCCAAAAATCCAAAATCTGAAATGTTCCAAAATCCAAAACTTTTTGAGTGCCAACATGAGATAGTGACACCTGTGCTAGATGATTCAAAGTATAAACTTTGTTTCATGCACAAAATTATTTAAAACATTGTATAAATCACCTTCAGGCTATAGGTATAAGGTATATATGAAACATTAATGATTTTCATGTTTAGACTTGGGTGTCATCCTGAGGATATCTCATTATATATATGCAAATATTCCAAAATCCACTGCCACCCCCCACAAAAAACCAAAGTCTGAAACACCTCCAGTCTCAAGCATTTTAGATAAGGGATACTGAACCTCTATGACCTTAGCTAAGAGTGCTTGTTAACAGGTAGATTCTTGAGTCCCTCCCAGACCTACTGGATTCTAATTATCAGGACTCAGAAAACAGCATTTGAGCAAGCATCTCTTGATCTTTATGCATTCTAAAGTTTATTTTATTTTATTTTTTGAGATGGGGTCTCCCTCTGTCACTCAGGCTGGAGTACAGTGGCTTGATCTCTGCTCACTGCAACCTCCGCCTCCCAGGTTCAAGCGATTCTCCTGCCTCAGCCTTCTTAGTAGCTGGTATTACAGGCGCGTGCCAACACACCTGGCTAATTTTTTTTGTTTTTAGTAGAGACGGGGTTTCAGCATGTTGGTCAGGCCGGTCTCGAACTCCTGACCTTGTGATCCGCCTGCCTTCGCATCCCAAAGTGCCGGGATTACAGGCATGAGCCACTGCTCCTGGCCTATGCATTCTAAAGTTTTAAAACTAGTTATGAATTGAGCACAGACAACTTTCATTTTTCTTTTCTCTTCTTTTTTTTTTTTTTTTTTTTGAGATGGAGTCTCACTCTGTTGCCCAGGCTGGAGAGCAGTGGCACGATCTCGGCTCACTGCAACCTCCACCTCCCAGGTTTGAGCGATTCTCCTGCTTAGCCTCCCGAGTAGCTGGAAATACAGGCGCCTGCCACCACGCCCGGCTAATTTTTTGTTAATTTTGTGTTAGCCGGGATGGTCTCAATCTCCTGACCTCGTGATCCGCCCGCCTTGGCCTCCCAAAGTGCTAGGATTACAGGCGTGAGCCACCGCGCCCGGCCACTTTCATTTCTAAACAGGTTAGGATCCCAGTGAAGAAAAACTACCCTGCAGAGTTCTGTTCTATGTGCTAGATCACTCTGCGGCTACTCCGTGGGATGAAGGCCACATTTCGCCGCATGACCCTTAGAACAGCACCCTTTTCTTTTGCTGGAAGTATTTCCATCTGTTGCAAATTCAACTGACTCTGTTGGGAAAGAACAAAAATGCAATATTATGATTTCATCTTAGAAAACTACAAATTCCAGGTTCAAGTCTACTTGTCATTGCTGTGGTGTTCCCAGGTGTTGCACCTGAAACTTGTTTAAGCCCTTAATCCTAATGGCAGGTATGAAGTGCTGCCATAACAGCCAAGAACCCAGCACTGTGATATACAGTCAATCTTCCCATGACATCAAATGGGCTATTTGATTAAACACCTGGTCTTGGGTAGAAACACTTCAAGAGCAACAATTTTCACTTGGGAAGTAAACTCTAGGACACCTAATGGGGAACACAAGGGCTTGAATAGAAGCTTAGAATACCAGCCAGGGAAGACTGCATGGGTTTAGATATGAGTTGTACCTGGGTCACATCTGGAGGGTAGGTAGCTTTTTGCGTTATGCATGCACAGAAGTAACCTGGTGCAAACCAGAGTGGCTTTGCCTATATCCTGCAGAGCCCTTGACCAATCAAGAGAGTAAATGCTCCGTGTGTGTAATCAGTGGGAACGTGTTGCTTTATCAGATTGCAGAACAAAGTCACCAGGGAAAAGGAAGGGGAAGTTCTGCTAAGCTGGGTTGTTGGGTGTGCTCTCAGTGTCCTGCTCATATTTCACTTTCTCCCTCACCACTCACACCAAGGGGGAACCCAATGGGAAGAACCATTACTCTTTCCACCACCAGCATGTTCCAAGAAGGGCACACGTAGGGCACACTGTGTCCTGCTGGCTGTGAACCTTCTCCTCCAGGCTTCCTAATGATTAGGGAAATGCATTTTGGCTAAAAAACTGTAAGATCAGCAGCATCTCTGTGGATCTAAATTACTCATAAAACGTATGGGCAATAACCTAAGGAAATTCACAAACAAATGAAATACTGTAAGAGTGATTTTCCTGAGTGCAAGAATTCCTTTAAAATTCAATCACTGATTGTAGAAATGATGATTGGACAGCTGTCACACTATCATTACTAATACAATTTAGTGTTGTTAGTATTTATAAGACAGACAGCAAGGCATGTTCAAAGGCCTTACCCAAGTGCCTACTTGAAAAACTGGCCAACACACAGCGTTTCTATTGAATAAGTATTCTATTTGGTTGTTCAGCTGAATAGAGCAGAGGCAAAGCAAATATTAGAGGAGACAGACATGCCTGCTTAAAGGATAAACATTACTTTCATTTGTCATTGCTTCCGCCTTCCTTCTTTTAACCCCTCAAATGAGCATTTTAAACAGCAAGAAACAGAGAAGTCTACCGACAGCTGGTGTATGTCTGAAGGCACAAAGTGAAAAAAATCCAAATGAGAAGTGAACTCTTCTCAGACGATTTCTTTGTTCTCTTGTTAACAAAATAATGCTGCCGCCATCATGCATTTGTCCCACACATAATGAAGCCCTAATCGTTTGTAATGCCAGATCTTAGAAACAGTGGTAGGACGGGGAAGTGCTGGGAGCTAAAAAGGGTCTCTCCTTGGGGAAAAATTGTGCATTGCTCGAGGATTTTTAGGCGTGGAAAAGAACAGCCGTGGGGCTGTATCAATGTATCCTACTCTGACCCTGATCTTAAACCTTGACACATTCCAGGAACAATGGATTAATGACTCTTTTAAAAATAAGTAATTGGGTGATACTGACGCCAAGCCCTAGTTATGACAAGAAAGAAGCATTTCCAACAAATGCAAATACTTTGTAACTCATTTGGAGGCAAAAACTGACCTGAACTGATGGGAACTGATGGGAGACTATTTATAGACTCAATGTGAATATTCATATGCTTTGCTGCAGAATTAGAAATGCGTTTGATTATGCAGTGCTGACCCAGACTCAGCTGGGGATGCTATTATGTAACACTGGGCATGTTTTGTGGGCTATATTTCTCTTCTAAAATTACAAACATTTTAAATTCTCAAACATTTCTGACCCAAATGGCTTCTGATCCGAGTTTCTGGGACTAGATTGGATTCCAATTCCAATATTACATGGAGGCGACATAACCGTGTGCAAAGCAGACATTGTCCTGCCCTCATGGAATGTTTACTCTAGAGAGGACTAATAATAGTTATAGCTAACTTCATCTTTTTAATTAATAGAACTTTATTTTTTCAGAGCAGTTTGAGGTTTACAGAAAAATGGAGCAGAGCACAGAGAGTTTGCCTACACTCCTTCTCCACACAGTTTCCCGTATTGTTAACATCTTGCATTCCTGTGCTGTATTTGTTACAATCGATAAGCCAATATGAATGCATGCATATTAACTAAAGCCCACAGTTCACATCAGGGTCCATCACGTATTGCACATGCTGTGGTCCTGGCAAATGTATTAGGACATGGATCCACCATTACAATATCACACAGAGTAGTGTACTACCCTAACAACCCAGCGCTCCACTGCAGCAAACTTTCCGATTTATATTTAGGTGCATTACTGTTTACTCATGAGAATAAAAGCATAGAAACATACATGTATAAAATTGATTGGCTTTAGCTAGAGAAATGTAAATGAGATATCAGGGTCACTAATTCACTCAATGGTGCTTCCCTACTGGCATAACTATGTAGTAGACATCTGTGATTTTTGCCTCAGTATCCACTGCTCCTCATTAGGTAAGAGCATTCTACTCTTTCTTTGGTGAACCAACCCTCCTACTCTTTCAACTCAAGTGGTTTGGATAGACTAAAATCCTCTGCACAGGTCAGGAGTAGCAGATGACACTGCTTAGCATTGATAAGTTATTAATACTTATTTATACATTATCAATTGGCCTGACCAATTAATATTCCATTTTCTTGGTTAAATTGGTTCCCATGCATGGGTGACCAAAGCCTGGCTAATGAGACTCCATTGCAGGACTTTTCATAAAACTACAAGGAAAAAACCCTTTTGTAGTCTAGAATTGCTTACAGAAGGAAGCCTGGAGCTTCCAAAGACTCCCACATAGAGAGAGAGAACCTAAAAAGAGAATGAAGCCAAAACAGAAAAGAGCAAAATTAAAGGATAGGGACAGACTGAGTTCTGATGGCATCGTTTCAGCTCTGGAACAAGTTCCGTCCCAAGCAAGCTTTATCCCTAAGATTCTCAGATATGAGAGCTAATGATTGCCTTCATTTAAGCAAATCTGAGTTGCAGTTGTTATCAGCTGTACCTAAGAAACTCCTGATCAACACTATATGCATAGAAAGGTACACACCAATTTATTCAGTGAGTTATTTCTTCATGTCATTGGTCTTCGTTCTATTCTTATTTCTTTTTGACATTTCTCCAAATGTACTTGTGTGTGTGTGAATACATACAAGTAAGACTGGTCTTCAGCAATGTGGCAGGCAAAAGCCTTCTCTCTGTGGACTTACTGTTCATTTTTGTGTCTGTACTTCAACCTGAACACCACCGGGATCAACTACTCCCTAAAAATCTGCTTCCTTGAACTGTACCCCTTCTGGTATTTCTGGATGCATATGGAAAACTCCATCATGTGTGTTGTCCAGGCCCTTCCCCACTACAGGACAGTTTCTTGTTGTAAAAAAATATATATAACTACAATCTAAGTCATTCTGGAGACTGTTAGATTCAAGCTGGAATTCATACACTTTAATGGTGGCCTTTTGAAAAGACCGTTAACCAAAAGCAGTGCTAATGCCTTCAATATGCATTTGTGTATTCTTTCTACGCATAAAGAATCTCCCAGAGAGCCAGTTAAAAATGAGGACTATAGGATTCCGTGGCCTTTCCCAAACTTTCTGATTACATAGATTTGGGGACGGGGTGCAGGCATATGCATTAGAATGTTGCACCCTGGGTTACAGATGCAGGTGATCTACAATCATGAGCCACTATTTAAGGAGGGCATAGAAGGGTAATTTCAGCAACCACATCAGGCTGTTTTAAGCACCAGGTGGCTGCCAGAGCTGATAACCAAGGAAAAAAGAGCACTTGCATGGCTCTGAAATCAAATGCTGGAAATGCCTCTCTTTTATGCTCTGAATGAACAGTGTCTCCCATTATCCATGCTCATAGGGATATATTTTTCTGTTTAATAGGAGGTATAAATGATCTAGAAGATCTGCTTTGGCTTCTGACGCTTTAGTTGTCATGTATTAAGAGTACTATAATCCAGAGTTGTCCAACCTTTTGTGGGACTGGGAGAAACCACCGTTTCTTTCCCCAGCTATCTCTCCAACGCTCCCAAGAGCCAAACCATCCTCCTTCTCATCTAAACAAAAGTACGACCAAAGTGGAGAGGTTGCCCTTTCTACGTTCAGTCATAATTTCACAGTTTCCTGGAGACTATCTGTTTTAAGCCCTTCTGGGGTGAACTGCTGTTGTTTTTAACTCCCCAGTGACACCCTCCGTTTCCCACTGACATTAAACTGCCCAATCACAGAATGCCTGCAGGCAGTACTTTCATGTTATATGCACCGCAGCTCCTCAACTAATATTCATGAGCCTTTGCACCTGTCTCTTTGGCAGCTAAAGTACCCTACTTCTGTCTTTCTCTAAATGTTTCAGGTTTGTAATTTGGCACATAGTGAATGCGTCAATATATATACTAGGAAGCGTGAAAGGGAGTAATCTGAAAGCTACTCAAGCAAAACTTGGAGAACATATTTCTAACAGGTCCACTAAATTTGAGTTTGGTGTGCTTTTCTTTCTGGTGTGAAACTATTTTAATTATTTTTCACATTGTTTCTTAGGAGATAGGGCTATCATGATGTCTACAGTGAAGTTGGGAATGAGAACACAATGTAGATAAAGTTTATGGCAGGTAAGGGGCTCCAGATACGGTTCTTCCTGGTGGGACATTGGTATTTTAATTGAAAGTTTGTCGGGAAATCCAAACCAGACATATGTTCTACATTACCCACTGACTGAAACTAGAAAGTCCTGTCAGAGAAGGATAAACAAAGCCATAATCATTCAACTTAGGCAGAGATTTGCTCAGCTTTGAAAAAAGAGTGTTTACAAAACTACAAATCAACTCTGACTCTCCCTTCCTCAAAAGATAACCCCTATGTATCCTCTTTAGAGCCATGTAAAATAATGACAATAATAACCATCATTTACTGAGTACATAATAAGGTTAGGCTCTCTACAAAGTAAAAATGGTTATTGGGGGCTGGTTCATATAACCCACAGACAAGAGCTATGCTCTTCCTCATTTAATGATGGAAAAGAGAGGCCTGGAGACAGGCCACCGTTATAAGAGGCTGCAGAACAGGGACTGAACTTGGTTTCTTCTAAGATCAGAGCCAAGTACTTACTGGCATTATGATACACTACGGCAACTGCTCTCTATGATTACCAGCACCAAGTAACACATGAGATTCTGGTACGCTGAGCACTATGGTTTGAATGTGTGTGCCCCCTTCAAAATTTATGTTGAAACTTAATCCTCAACGCAACAGTATTTAGAGGTAAGGCCCTTAGGAGAGTGATAAGGTCATGAGGACTCCTCCCTCATGAATGGGATTAAGGCCTTCATAAAAGAGGCTTCAAACAGCATTCAACCCTCTTGCCTTTTTGTCCCTTCCACCGTGTGAAGACACAGCCTTCATCCCCTCTGGAGGACGCAATAACAGGGTGCCACCTTGGAAGCACAGAGCAGCCCTCACCAGACACCAAACCTGCCGGTACTTTGATTTTAGACTCTCCAGTCTCCAGAATAGTGAGAAATAAATTTCTGTTCTTTATGCATAATATAGTCTCAGGTATTTTGTGATAGCAGCACAAATGGACTAAGGCTGTGAGTAAAATGGCATATTAAATGTGAGTGAGTTCAGATTTTTATCAAACCCCACTTTTTGAGGCGAGTAAACAAAGGTTTGCAAAGATTAGGTGGTGTATCCAAAGTCACACAGATACGCAGTGATGGAGCTCTCACCAGAATCTTGATTTTCCAATTAAAAATGAAATGTTTTTCATAGTACCTGAAGTTTCCTCCCATTTATTGTTTGGATAACAGTAAAACTGGTCCACTTTTACCTAGAAATATAGTGGGAAAGAATGATGGAATCATCCCTTAGGAAGAGAGATAATCTATTTTGTCAATATTTATGTCTTGAAACTTTGGTTTAGAAGGAAACAAGTGAAAGTCCATTTCCCTTCAATAGACAGCAGAATGGATAAATGTGATTCATCATATGCCACACTTGTTACCAATTCTTTCAAATTACAAAGTTGTTCTTTTTTGGAATTAGCAGCATATTGATGTACAGAAGGGATATTCTGTCCTAAAGTATCCTCTATAGAAAACATTATAAAAGAGGGGATTTATAACCTTTCAAAATGACAAGCATAAAATTTGCACCAATTATTGGGCATTCTGCCTTTTCTATGTCATTTTGTCATAAGGTAAAGTGGCATGCACACTGATTTGGGCAAACACAAAGCAAAAACCCTTTCTGTGAAAGGATAAATGGCAGCAGAAAAAATGCCATTGACTTGAATTCACAGGCTTATCAAAAGAGAGGAAAAAAACGTTTTCTTAGCTTTCTTAAGATGAGGTAAAAAGCACGTCCATTGAGTTGTTGGGTCTTTTGAATAAGTCATCCACCTGTCCTCTTCATTTCGCTATCAAATGATCCTCAAATCCCTTCCCATACACCTCTAGCCACAGAGAAGGTGGATGACTGTGACCTTCTCTACCTTTATTGCAAAAGCATCTGCTTGCTTGAGAAACATGTCAACTAAGTAAGAAGTAACTGACAGGGGATAATGGATTAACATCTTTCATTCATTCAACAAGTATTTACTGAGTACCCACTATGTACTAGACTATTCACACTGAGGATAGACAGAGAGAAGTAAACACACTGTCCAAGGAGCTCACATTCTAGGCTGTGGGAAGCAGATTAAGTAATTTACATAGCTTGTTGAAAGGTCATTCGTATTGTGAAGTTAAGTATATCAAGAAAGGGAATAGAGAATCTAGGAAGAACACTGCAATTTTAAATAGCGTCTTAGTCTGTTCAGGTTGCTTTAACAAAATAACATAAACTGGGTAACTTCATAACAACAGAAATTTATTGCTTACAGTTCTGGAGGCTGAGATGTCCAAGCACGAGGTGCTGGCAGATTTGGTGTCTGGTGAAGCCCACTTTCTGGTTCATAGAGGGCACCCATTTGCTGTGTCCTCACATAGCAAAGGGGAAAGGCAGCTCTCTGGGGCTTCTCTTACATGGGTGCTAATCTCATTCATGGGGGCTCTGCCCTCATGACTTAATCCCTTCCCAAAGGCCCAACCTTCAGGGTTAGGATTTCAACATATGAACTTAATGGGGACAAAACTTTCAGACCATAGCAAATAGAGTTGACAGTGAAGTCCTTTCTGAGAAAAGGATATCTGATCCAAGACTTGAAGGAGGTGAGCAGGCAAACCCTGAGGCTATCACTGATAAGCACTACAGGCAAAAACAGCAGTAACTGACAGAGCCCTGTAGCAGTAAGAGGGTGCTTAGTGTGTTTGCAACAAACAAATTCTCTCTCTCTCTCACACACACATACACTCACACTCACATATGCACACAGCAGTAGGTGTGCCTTCAGTACCATATGCAGGAAGAGCAATGCCGGACATGAAATAGCAGCAGTGGCATCAGTATATCATGTGTCAGTGCTTAATACTTCCATGTTCATGGCAGAGTTCCCCAACCCACACTGTATAAGCTAAGGCAGGTATTATTTCTGCATCCTAACTTAATGACAAATACAGTGAGGCCCCAAAAGCCTTGGTTACTCTGCCACTACCATGATTTGTTTCTTTTTCTCTCTCTTAAGGGATGCAGATAGAATTAGAAAACTGATTCTAAACCAATTATCTTGGCTGGGCGTGGTGGCTCACGTCTGTAATCCCAGCATTTGGGGAGGCTGAGGTGGGTGGATCACCTGAGGTCAGGAGTTGGAGACCAGTCTGGCCAACATGGTGAACCCTCATCTCTACTAAAAATATAAAAATTAGCCAGGTGTGGTGGCACATGCCTGTAATCCCAGCTGCTCGGGAGGCTGAGACACGAGAATTGCTGAACCTGGGAGGTGGAGGTTGCAGTGAGCCGAGATCATGCCACTGCACTCCAGCCTGGTCAACAGAGCAAGACTCTGTCTCAAAACAAACAAACAAACAAAAAAAGAATATGCTAATGTCTATAAGCTATAGGGGTCAAAACCACAGTGCCTGGGTTCAAAATCTCAGCTCTACCACTATGCAACATTGAGTGAGTTACTTAGACTTTGTGCCTCAACTTCCTTGTGAAATGGAGCCCAGTTTATAGGATGTAAGTGTTAAATCCCTTAATATATTTAAAGTGCTGAGATTAGTTTCTGGCACCTAATAATTCTTACACAAGTATGTAAACACAAAATGTCTTTAAATTCTTTAAAGTCTATAATGCTGGGGGAGGGGAAGTGTTTGGCATAGGAAGGAGAATGCACCCTTGTTTCTGTTTAGTGTTTATCTAATAGATAGGAAGACACATGTGACTTTCTGTGGTCTAGATGGAATAAGATCTTTTTGAACATAAATCACCATGGACACAAATTTTTTGCCTCTAGGAGAGTAATAAAGTGAGCAAGCACATCTTTCCACCTTTGCCCTCTCTTTCCCAAAACTGATGGCTCAGTTGGGTACATAAAAATTCAGGTGTAAGTCCCAGAAAACCTACCTTTAATCTTCCCCAGGTCTCTGAACGAGTTATGCTCAATGTTCAGGCTCAGAATAGTTTAGACTATAAAAGAAAGCCACCTTCAGACAGGGCTGGAAAGAGGGTAGGTAATGTCTACCTGCATTTAATAGGGTATAAAAGCAGTATAAATCCCTTTGGTTGGTTTCTGGCTTTTGATGTCATGGCATCTCTATCTCATTGACATCAAAAAGAAGCAAAGTGTAATGTAGCAAAAAATAGGAAATATCTGTATTTTTGTCAGGCAACAAAAAATTCCCTATAATGAAATGGCCTTTCCTTCTGCTTTCAAAGCATTCTGTACACCATGATACTTACCCTAGTCACACTTATAATACTTTACTTACTTGTCTATTGCTTGCAAGCTCTTAGAAGATAGACACTTGAGTTAATGTGGTCATTGTTCCCCAGCTTTTATCATTCTTTCTGCCACACTGTGGATATCTGATCCATCCTTAATGAATGAGTTAATGAACAAACAAAACAACTTGGAATGTAGAATAAGCTGGTATATAGCAGAACTAGGGCTGAACACTACATATCCTGATTACTTGTCAACTATTGTTTATAATAGAACCTGGTTCTTCTGGAAGGTCTTTGAGAGAACTAGCTGAGGCTTAGCCCACCAAGAAAGTCAATTTTTGAATTTTCTATGTAAATTAACTTTTCATTCTATTTCAAAAGTGAAGTCTTGGCCCAGCGTGGTGGCTCACGCCTGTAATCCTAGCACTTTGGGAGGCCCAAGCAGGCGGATCGCCTGAGGTCAGGGGTTTGAGACCAGCCTGGCCAACATGGTGAAACCCCGTCTCTACTAAAAATATAAAAATTAGCTGGGCGTGGTCACTCAATGCCTGTAATCCCAGCACTGTGGGAGGCCGAGGCAGGTGGATCACCTGAGGTCAGAAATTCGAGATCAGCCTGACCAACATGGTGAAATCCTGTCTCTGCTAAAAAATCAGCTGGGCATGGTGGTGCATTCCTGCAGTCCCAGCTACTTGGGAGGCTGAGGCAGAAGAATCACTTGAACCCAGGAGGCGAGGTTGCAGTGAGCCGAGATCATGACACTGCATTCCAGCCTGGGCGACAGAGTGAGACTCTGTCTAAAAAAAAAAAAAAAAGTGAAGTCTTGTCCTTATGAACCTTGTTTCTAATGTTCTAATGTTAGGTCACTCTATGGAGAAATTGTTCCTTAATCATTCATTCATTGACTAATTCAACAAATGTTTTCTGAGTACGTACCGTGTTTCACATGTAGAGGATACAATAGTGAAAAAAGATTGACAAGGTCCCTCCCTTCCTTCATTGAACATATCTTCACTGACAAGCTGATGGTTAGTAACTGAATTTTTAAAAATAACCTAATCTGGACAGATCTAAGACTTATCTAGTCCAGTAGTTCTTAATCATTTTTTAAATTAGAGAACACATTGATAAGTAGATGGGGGGAGTTAATATGTACATGCAATTTCAGGGGCTTCAGACACCTCCCTGAAGATAATCTATGGATTTCAGGTTAAAAATCCCTGATCCAATTTGGGCCCATCATTTTGCATATGAATGTGCATATGTCTACATTTACTTTAAAAACAAAAAGTAAAATGTTTGGCTTATAGTAAAACTTTCACAACAAAATATTAACTATTTAACTAGATAAGTCTCTTCAGGGTATTTCAGGGACTTGAGAAATTACAGAAATAAATGTGAAAATGAAAGAAAGTTAATAATTACAGTGAATTTTTGTTGTTCTCATTTAATAGCAAAAATAATAAAAAATACACTTCAAGCAACACAACTATCCTTCCCTACTCCCAGGAAATAAATAGAAAACTACTGGTTGTGTTAGAAGCCATAAAAACATTAAGTGAAATATAACCAACCTTGTCTGGGTAATGACTATCTCAAATGAAAACCAACCATTCTTTATCAAACCTTTGGGATCTTGACACGAAAAGCATCCTGAAGTAGGATCTGAGCAGTTGTTAACATTTTCTAAAAGGGAATTCAGGAGTTGGCCCTTGTCAGTTAATATGCTTCTACTCTGGGCAAAATATCCAGCACATAATAGAGATATTTATAAATATTCCATAGATAATTACCAAAATGTGTGAAATATACTTTCCCAACATAGAGAAATCAGTATGCTATCAACATAGCAAACGTTAAAGGGTTAAAAAAAAAACCAAGAAAATGTATGCATATGGTGATAATATATATGAGGCTATTTTGGTCAATGAGAAAAGCCTAGTGATTTGAAGGATCATTGATTAAAAATAATAATTATAGCCAAATTTTTTGAAGTGCTTAAAATGCACAGAATGGGAGAAAATATTTGTGAATCATGTATCTAATAATAATCTAGTATTCAACATATGAAAAGAATCTTACAACTCAATAATGATAAAACAACTCAATTTAAAAAATAGGTAAAGGACTTGAATAAACACTTCTCCAAACAGAGATGTATAAATGGTCAATAAACACATGAAAAGATGCTCCACATTATTAGATATTAGAGACATGCAAATCAAATGAGATAGCACTTCATACCCAGTAGACTGGCTATTAAAGAAATACATACCAAATACCAAAACAAAAAAACCCAGAAAATAAATGATGGCAAGTATTGGAGTGATTACATGAAGTCAGAAGGCTCAAATGTTGCTAGTGGTAATGTAAAATAGTGTAGATACTATGGCCAACAGTTTGCAGTTGCTCAAAAAGTTGATCCAGAAATTTCATCCCTAGGTATATACTTGTGTTAGGAGTCCCCGAAACCAACCCCAGGTTTGATGTTTTACTAGGAGGATTCACAGGACTTGGCATATATTCATACTCACAGTTATGACTTATTAGATCATAATGTAAAAGGATACAGAGAAAAATCAGCAAAGGGAAGAAACACATGGAGTGAAGACTGGAGGAAATCAGAGGCAAGATTCCCAAGTCTTCTCCCAGGAGATGCACATAAAACAGCAATGAATTATGAAAACACGTGTGAAAACGCCAGCCAAGGGCACTTATTAAAGACTAGTACCCGGGGTTTTCACTGGGGGCTGGTCATGTAGGCAGCCTCTGCTTGACATATACCAAAATTCCAGATTCCCAGAAGGAAATAAGGTGTTCATAAAAAACCATATTATTTGCACAATTTAGGAACAGTGAGCCACTCTTACCAGTTAGGGTAGTGGGCACCCTACTGAAATCCAGGTTTCCACATGCCAATAAAGGGCCAACCTTTTAAACCAGGCTTTTCAAAGCGCAGCAGTCAGGCCTGTTAACTCTTTTTTGCACAATACCCAAGAGAATTGAAAACACAGGTCTGCATAAACACTTTTACACAAGTGTTCATAGCAGTATTATTAATAATAGCCAAAAGGTAGAAATAGCTCAAATGTCCATTGACTGATGAATGGATAAACAAATGTCATAGATCAATACAGTGGAATATTATTCATCCATGAAAAGGATACATGTGACAATAGAGATGAATCTTGAAAATATTATGAGAAGTGAAAGAAGCAGATACAGAAGGTCACATATTGCATAATTCCATTCATAAGAAATGTCCAGAATAGGCAAATACATAGACACACAAAGCAGACTAGTAGTTCCCAGTATATGAGGGAAAGAAGGTGTTGGAAAGGGCTACTAGGTGGTAAGGGGTTTCTTTTTGGGGGTAATGGAAATATTCTGGAAGTGGATAGTGGTGATAGTTTCACAAAATTGTGTATATGCTAAAAAGAACTGATTTATACATTTTAAAACTACTAAAATGGTAAAATTTAATAGAAGAGGCATATGGAGTGTATCTCTTCTCCAATAAAAATAATAATTATAGCCAATTTTTATGAAGTCCTTAAAATGCCATGGGCCACAGAGAATGGGAGAAAATGTAAATCATTTTCATGATACATGACACATACATAATCATACATCTATGAACTACCCAGTTTACAGTATTTTGTTATGACAGCTCTAGCTGACTAAGACAGGGACTACGCAATGTGCTTTACATAGAGTATCTCACTTAATCCTTAAAACAATCTTGTAAGATAAATCCCATAATAATAATATAATAATATTAGATATATCATATAATATACAATAATGATATATGATAATGCTGTGCTTTATCTCAATTACAATATATTAAGAAATGTTAATAGAAGTTATATCTTTGAGTTAAATTTAAACAAGTATATGTTTGGTGAATTTAATTGGTATATTAAAAAATGGTCAGCTGGGGCAACATGGTGAGACCCTATCTCTATAAAAAGTGAAGAAAGTAGCCAGGCATGGTAGCGCACACCTGTGGTCTCAGCTACTCAGTAGGCTGAGGCAGGAGGATCGTTTGAGCCCAGGAGGTTGAGGCTGCAGTGAGTTATGATCATGCCACTGCACTATAAGCCTGGGTGACAGAGTGAGACCCTTTCTCGAAAAAGAAATAAACAAATAAAATTAAAACATGTAATGGGGATGGCTGTGAACTGCTGTGAACTTAACTGTGTTCACCTAAAATTCAGATGTTGCTATCCTGACCCCCAGTATGCCTATATCTAAAGTAAGGAAGTAATTAAGGTTAAATGAGGCCATGGGGTAGAGCCTTTGTCTGACATGATACTGTCTTCATAAAAGGAGATACCAAAGAGCTCGCACTGTCTCAGCCATGTGAGGACACGGCAAAAAGGCATCTGTCTGCAAGTCAGCATGAGAGCCCTCACCAGAAAGGAAGTCAGGTGGCACCTTGATCTTGTATTCCTCAGCTTCCAAAACTCTAAGTAAACAAATTTCTATAGTTCGAACTACCCAGTTTATGGTATTTTGTTATGACAGCTCTAACTGACTAAGACAGGGACTTGAAATGTGCTTTGCATAGAGTAGCTCACTTAATCCTTAAAACAATTTTGTAAGATAAATCCCCCTGATATTCCCTTTTTTACATAAAGGGTTAAGACAACTGATTTGCTAAAGTAACAGGTAGGACTTAAACAGAGGTTGCTGATTTAAAAATCCATGCCCTTAATCATACTCCATACTGCCTCACATTATAATGATGCTATGAAGAAATTTCCAAATTATAAGGCTGTATAATGTAAAATAGGCTCCTGGCTTTTACTTTCCTTTACATATACAATTTATCCCTTTACATATGTATTTTCACAATTCATTTTCCTTTTATTATGTTGTTTTTCAGTAGCTGCTTCCTTTAGAAGGTTTTTAGAAACATACAGTTTTCTACTGGGTACATAAAGCGAATTATTGATTCCTTTCCTGGTGGAGATCACCCTAAAGCAACAAGTAGAATGTAAAAGGGAAGTGAAAGCTCTACCATAGATAAAAACAAGAGATATCAACAACCTTGAAACACGATATATGTAGAAAGCTGCCAAATGCTGTTGAAGTCTAATTGGAGTTGATAAAGATCTTAAAAGCACTTGAATATCTCAGATAAAGCAAGATAGTACAGCCTTCCAAAGCAAGTTGCCCAACCAATGTTATGAATACTCTCGAACTGGGCCCAGCGTGGTGCCTCATGCCTGTAACCCCAGAGCTTTGGGGGCCAAGGAAGGAGGATCGTTTGAGCCCAAGAGTTCAAGTTTACAGTGAGCTGTAATAGTGCCAGTGCACTCCAGCCTGGGTGACAGAGCGAGACCCTGTCTCCAAAATAACATAAAAATACATAAATAAACGACGACATTTTCCTATACCACTCCCAACCCCGACGGGAATGAACACAGGCTGAGTAAGCTCCCACTGGCTGTCTCTGGTTCTGTTCTGGTTGGTTTTCTCATTGAGTACTGCTTGCCTATAATTGCCTTGTCTTTGGGGCTGAGTACTTGTTTGGTTTGGTCTTTGGACCATGGGTTCCTTGGCATTGGCAGCCTGGCTTACTCCACAGGTGCTATCTTCCTCTTTCACTCTTAGGTTCTTTTTTGGCATAGCATCCAATCCCAGGCAACCCAACCAGTGAAACATCTCCAACCCCAACACTTCCCCACTTGCTCTTGCTTATATAAAGTCACATCATTTCCTAGGGCTACACATAGATTTTTCTACAGAACAGTATGAAGAACTGTTTGGAATCATACATGTCTGAATTTAAATCCCAGCTCCTCTATGTCTAGCTATGAGATGTTAGAACCATTACTTACACTCTGAGTCTCACCTGCTTTATAAATAGTACTGAATAATATTTATTAATAATACTGATTTTTTTAAAAAAATTGTTGTGAAATTTAGAGAACAATCAGATAAAAGTCCCAACACTGCCTGGCCAACAGGGGGAGCCCATTTCAATAATGAGTGATCACTACTATAATTACTAGATTGCTAGTGCTATTATGATTATTATTACTAGTTCTGTAGAAGGATAAAATCCACAATGGTAGTGAAAATAGCTAACATTTAACGGCCATGTCTCCATGACAGGCTTCTCACTAAGTGCTTTACATGCATTGTCTCATTTCAACCATGATGAAGGTATTATCATCATCTGGATTTTACGGATCACAAATCTGAGACTTTGTGAACACTTAAGTTCCTTTCCCAAGGCAATATGCCTAAATGACAGAGCTGAGAACAAAAATCCAGGTCTGTGAGAATCTAAAGCCTATTGTTTGTACATTCATTTCAGATTTCTTTCTTTCTATAATTATTTCATTATCTCTCAACATTCTCATTTTACAAGTGAGCCTATTGATTAGGTTCAGGACACGCTACCCCAAAATATGGCATATTGTCACTTCAGCAAACAGCAGAAGCAGGAAGGTCTTTCTAATCTCCTCCTGTGGTTCTCCCCTGAAGCAGGACATAAAAGATTTTCTGACCTTCATCTAAAGTAGGTCATAAGACCTGCATTCCAGAGGGGTCCTCCCTATATCCAGAGGAAAGGAATGAAGGTAGAGACTCTAAGGAGAAGCTGAACAAACAGGCCGTGCTAAGTTCCCCCGTTTATTTCCTTTAGATCATGCCCCTTTTTGTTCAATCATATCTCTATACGACTTTCCACTCTTCATCAAATGTAAACATAAAAATAGTTTTCCTTGTGTTTAGAAAAAACTGAAACAATTTTCCCTCTGCTTTCACACCACAGCAATCATCAACACAGAAGACTTCTGTGACCAAATGTGTGTGCGTGGGAGGGGGTTTCTTCCCACCACCAAGTGAGCAATGAATTCTGCAGCAGATACCACTTGGGGGTCCTTCTATATCATTTTGAATATACCTGGTCAGATCTCACAGGCTGAAGACTCAGTCCCCAAAACTGCTCCCCCACTTCAGATATCAGTTGCAAATTTGGGCCTCTGGAACTTCTGCCTGACTGGCTTCAAGTTGAGGTTCCCATGACCCACTGTGGGTTCAATTAATTTGCTAGAGTGGCTCAAATAACACAGGGGAACGCAATGTTTGCTGGTTATCATAAAGGATATCACAAAGGATACAGATGAAGGCATGCATAGGGCGAGGTATTGGGGAAGGGGCGTGGAGCTTCCACGCCCTGCTTGGGTGAGCCACCCTCCAGGATCCTCCATGGGTTCAGCTTTCTGGAAGCTCTTTGCACCCTGTCCTGTTGGGTTTTTATGAAGGCTTCTTTACATAGGCATGATTGGTTAAGACAGTGACCACTGGTGATCAGCTTGACCTTCAGTCCCTCTTCTTTCCCCAAAGGTTGGGGTTGAAAGTACCAATCCTCTAAGCATGACTTTGTCTTTCTGGTGACCAGACCCATCTTGAAGTGGTCAGTCAACATTAGCATACAGAAAAACAGCACTTTGGAGATTCCAAAGATTTTAGAAATCATATGCCAGGACATGGCATGAAGACCAAATATATATTTTACAACATTACACCCTGTTTATTTAGGTCTTCATTTCTGTAGGCTTCAGTATTCCATAAAACTTATATTAAATAAATCTGTATGCTTTTCTGTTGTTAATCTGGTTTTCTGTTACAGGGATCTTAATCATGAACCCTGCAATGGGTGAGAAAAAGATGTTACCTTTTCTCCTCTATACTAGCTAATAGAATTTTATCTCCCTATGGCAACTAGCACATTGCTGGACTTTCAATAGTTGTTCAAGTAATAATTTATTTTCGTGGCTATATATTTTTAAATTGAAATTAATATCACCATATAATAATGCAGAAGACTTTTTAAAAAATCACTTCTAATTTCACCTCTTTAACAGATACTTTTGGTGTTTTCCCTTCCAAGTTTTTGCAATTCAACTATAAAAATAGTTATAACAATGTGCATACAATTTTATTTCAAGTTTTGCACTGATAACAACTTTCCATATTTCTACAGAGCCTCCATAGACTGCATTTTTAATGAATGTATATTCAGTAAATGCTGAATGGTGATTCATCTGTCATTAGCAGCCAGAGTAGATGAACCCAGCAGCCCTCTGATAAATAAACTATCCCATAAATAACATTTTTTAAAAAGTCTTAATATAATGAAGGAAGAGTTTTAAAAAAATTGTTGCATATTCATATGCTCAAAAATATTTGTACCATATACAACTGGTAGATAGGCTCTGTCCCTAACTAATGATAGGACTTGTACAAGTTACCCTTGGTGGTCTTTGAGACTTTATTATAGAATGAACTGGAATTTATATTCTCCCTGAGGTTTTCACAAGTTTTCTAATTTTACTATGAGTATTGCCTGGTCCCAGTTCTGATGCTCAGCAGTTGGGTGACTAGACAAGTCTCCTTGCTTATAAAGAGGTGATACTAAATGAGTAATTCTCCTTCTGCCATGTTAATCCTCTCTGCGTTTAGCATTTCTGGTTTGAAGAGTGGTGCTGATGGAAACCCCCTTTTTGTACGTTCAGAGGCCTTGCCATCATCCTAAATGTCCTCCAATTCTTGATGTTCTTCTTCCCTCCTTCTTCCTTCAGAAAAGTAGGGAATTTGGAATATATCATATCTAAAGTCTTATGCAAACTCTGACTCCAAAAATACCTATTTGTGGCTGGTGTCTGCTTTCATATATTTTAAATGAGTTTCTAACATTTAAAAGAAAAAAGATTCATAGCGGCTCTTAAAAAATCAGGAGGCTTTGTAACACTCCAGCATTCCCAGGAGGCAGAAACTGGCTGGAACTCACTATGTGCTGACTGTGTGAGATTACCCAGGCACTGACCAAAGTCCTGACCGAGTCTCCATCACTGTCTATGATCTCCTACCTAGCCAGCTTCACTTATTTCTTTTCTGTATCCGGCCCCTGTAGGCATCTGGGTTTGTGACCCTCTTGCTGTGTGTGACACTATGTTGCCTGAGGAAGTCATCAAAAACTGACAATGATTCTGAAGGCCAGTGCTTCAAACAGTTCATTCAGAAAATATTAGATCTCTACTTTGGGCTGATTGACCCTGACTGGAATCCAATTCCCAATTCCACTGGTTTCATACCCCTGCCATTTTATTGATTTAATGCGCATTGTCCCTGCTAGATAAAGCTGACTTCTCTGCTTTGAAGCTTGGGGTCAAGTACATTTTCATGCTGTACGTTAAAAAAGGAAGACACTGGCCTTCTTTGAGAGGGAACAACTTCCTGTGGAGTGTATGGAAAGCCTTTGCCACAAGCAAAGGTTCAAATAGAGCTGTTCTGTGTGTTTACTTTGCATAAACTATCACTCAGAAAGCATTTTCCTTTGTAACAAACTTTATGAAATTATTCATCAGAGGTAGAAATGGCCTCAATTAGATAAAAGAAGTGAAGCATTTAATTAATTTGTGACAAGTCCACGGGTGGCCAGAAAAATAAAATCATATCTAAAATTAGTTGAAGACAGACCACAAGATTGGACACTTTCTCCATATTAAAAAAAATGCAATTGACACCTTTTAACACTTGTCTTTTATCTGTCTAGTAACAAAAAAAATTAGTTTCCTTAGTCAATGCAGGAAAACAAAAGACCAGGTTATAACTACACAGAGCTTTCAGGAAAAGGAAATTGCACTAGTTATGGAAACAAGAAATTCTGGGTGCAGCTGTCACTATTAAAATACAACAAAAGCCAGAATAAAGCTGCCACAATAATGCACAGTTAATATTATTCCTGACTGCTTTTTCCTTTGCCTCTCCAATTGCTTCTTACATTTGGCCAAGATAGGCAACCTGTGAAGTGCTTTACACACATCCTATACAGGATGGGTGCCATTAAATTATCTGGAGTTTTCTGAGGCCTGCAAAACTAACAAAATCACTCTCACAGACTGCACAACTAAAAACCAAAATTGCTCACATGTAAAGTGATGCCCCGAAATGCTCATAAGACATTTTCATTAGATAGCATGTTCTGTATTTACTAACTGTGGTTCGAACTAATATTATACCTAGTGCTAATAATTTACTTTTTAATCAGTGCCTTTTCAAGAGGAAAACTAATGACATCTATAGAGCGACAATTTAAAATGTTAACAAAGGAGGGTTTCAGCAATAAGCATTAAGTGTGGAAACATGCTCTTTGGAGTTTATTCTTATTTTTTTTTTGTATTTATATGTTTGAGACAGGGTCTTGCCCTGTCACCCAGGCTGGAGTGCAGTGGCGCAGTCTCAGCTCACTGCTGGACTCCCGGGCTCTCCTGGCTCAGCCTCCCAAGTAGCTGGGACTACAGGTGTGCACCACCACGCCTGGCTAATTTTTGTATTTTTAGTAGAGAGAGGGTTTCACCATGTTGGCCAGGCTGATTTTGAACTCCTGACCTCAAGTGATCCACCTGCCTCAGCCTCCCAAAGTGCTGCGGTTACAGGTGAGAGCCACCGCACCCAGCCACATTGTGGAATTTAAATGATTAATTATTAAAAACATTTTTCAATATGTGAAATTGTTCATTTTATGGAATTGGAAAGGAGACTGGTCTAGAAGTCTGGCATAAATCTTTAGCCTGAGGCAAACGATATAAAACCCTGTAATTGCGGGGATTAGGTTTCAGTAGTTCCCATCCCCCATTGCACACGATGATCACCTGAGGGAACTTTGAAAATCCCTGGTGCACAGGTTGTACCCTTACCAATCAAATCCTAACCAGGCGTGAGACCTACGCATCAGTATTTTTTAAGGACCCCCAGATGATTCTAATATGCAGCCAAGGTTGAGAATCACACTGTACTAATTATAAATTCAGGTCTCTTTCAAGATTTAAAAACAAAACAAAACTATAAATACATTCTTTATTCTAAAAGAAATAGTTATTTTTACCAATAAAATTTGGTTTTGTCTGTTGTAAATGCAATATGCATTTTTGCTGGATTTTCATCAAATGGTAAGGCTTCATTTGTAACGATCTAGCTTAAAAACTCAGCCACCGAGGTCTAAATGAAATTCAGTGGCAGCAGAGGGGGGATGGTCTATGAGATATCTGAGAAGAGATATATCATGTATTCTGAAGATCCAAGTAGCAACGCCCATTAAAATACGTACATGGATTTCTGCAATGCGATATCGACACAGGAGATCATCCATACATGATTGGGTATACACTTAAAAGTTCTCTTATTACAATATTTTACAAAGGAATGGAGAGTTTCCTTTTTAAAAAAGATTTATCTTCAACATAAAAACTGCATTTGTGTACTTATTATAGAATAATAATGTTTTCATGCTAGGAAAAAATCCTATCATTTTCTTCTGGGCAGTGTGTGTGTGTGTGTGTGTGTGTGTGTGTGTGTGTGTGTGATGCGCGCGTGCGCGTGCCTGCGTGCATGGACGTGCTCTCTGGGTAGGAGGGAATGGATTGCCTCTCTAGGAAGTACATGAAGGTCTCCAGATTTAAGGTTTTGAATATTCATGATGTGGGACATCAGGCCACAGTTTTAGAGCCTCAGTCCCATACCAATGGGCTCCTTTATTAAAACTTCACAGTTTTGTCACTGAAGTGATTGCTTATCTCCCAGAGCTTCCGCACAGCAGCTAGAGATAACCTAATTCTCTAAAATCTAGAGAACGTATCCCCTCCAAGAATGGACAGAGTCTCTTACGGTAATCCTTTATTCCTATCTTTCCAGATAATTATAATCATTTCTTGTGGTCCATATGGGTTACCTTTTAAGTCGTATTTGGATGTAAATGATTACTTTTTGTTGGAAACCCCATTTCTTTTTAAAATGCCATTGTATCATCAGCAAATGAAGATATCTTGTCATCATTAGTTTTTCAAGGTAAGTAGTAAAGCTCAGAATTATATATTTTAACTTCATGTCACCAGCCTTCATTTTGAAGTAAATAACTATGAGATTAACCCATTGAAACTTTGAAATATAATACAGGCCAATCTTAAAGATAATGTATTTGATCAGCTTCCTACCCTGAAGGCAATTGGTTAAATTCATATTTTGTTTTCTCAGCATCCAAAAGAACCAATAATAGAATGAATTGGTATTATATAAAACAAGTAATCATTTTTAAAATTCTACCATATATCAAAATGACTTATGGGAAGTAATAGTAACATATTATAATTTATTGGATTCTTTTCAGACTCATTTCATTAGCTTAAATTATAGCTAAATATTTGCTACCTTACTCGCAAATGCTTCAGCACATGACATCTAGTCAGAGTTGTGAAAATTCAAACATATTTTAACTTATTTAAATGTATCAAACAGAGCCAGGTGTGGTGGTATGTGCAGCACTTAGGGAGGCTAAAGGGGGAGGATCACTTGAGCCCAAGAGTTCGAGGTTACAGTGAGCTATGATCAAGCCACTGCAATCCAGCCTGGGTAACAGAGCATGACCCTGCCTCAAAACAAAAAACAAATAAAACAAAAGAAAAAGAAGCATCAAACAATATTTAATTAAGTTAAAATAACAAAAACTGCTAACTTCTCTTCCCTGCCACTGCCAAAAGATAAATTCTAGTGTGTTAGCAATATTAGGGGACTTTCAATTTGAAAAGCAGATGTACACCTGGCTCTGCTATCAACCAGCTGAGAATTCTTATGCAGCTATCTGTACTACCCCTTTGGAATTAAGAGTTGAATTAAATAGTCCTAAAAGATTTTTGAATTTAAATTCCTATAATTTCAAGTAAAAACAAACCACAAGGATATTTACCAAATTGTAGGTGAAGTTTTCTGTTTTTTTTGGGTTTTTTTTTTTGAGACATGGTCTTGCTCTGTCATCCAGGCTGGAGTGCAGTGGCGTGATCTCGGCTCACTGCAGCCTCAACCTCCTGGGTTCCAGTGACTCTCCCACCTCAGGCTCCTGAGTAGCTGGGACTACAGGCATGCATCACCATGCCCGTCTAATTTTTTTGTATTTTTTTTCTATAGAGATGGAGTTTCACCATGTCACCCAGAGTGTTCCTGAACTCCTGGTCTCAAGCGATCCACCTGCCTCGGCCTCCTAAAGTGCTGGGACTACAAGCATGAGCCACTCTGTGGGACTTGAAGTTTTATTTTATAATTACATACACACACACACACACATACACATAATCTAGTGCTTCCCCATGCCAGTTACACTTCTGGGCACTTTGAAAATGTTAACTCAAATTTCATTACAATTTAATGAGTGTTTATTTTACAGGTGAGGAAACTGAGGCACAGAGACCTTAAGAGACTTGTCCAAGGTCATACCAGGAAAGATGAAATTTAAATTTGGTAGGTTGGCTCTGGAATCTACGTGATCTTTTAGTTCTTACCCTAGCAATTTGTTATCAAAATTTTTAAACATGCAGCAAAGTTAAAAGAGAATTGTTCTTTAGCACCCATCTACCCAGTCATATAGATTAAGCAGTATTTTGCTATGGCAGGTGACATTAAATAACCATAGGTAGCTCACCCGAGAAACAAACTGTTGCATTTTTCATTTGCGATGAAATATCCACCCCACTCTACCTCCCCAATATTACATAAAGTGTGCAAACTATGTGGTCTGATGTGATGATGCAAGATATCACTCTCTTTTGCAAATCGCAAATTGCAAATGTGACTTCAGAGTCAAATTATAATACTAAAAATCAATACAACCACCTCTATATGCTGATTCATATTTTAGAGCACCTTCCTTAAAGTTAACAAGACATCCTCATGCATCATTTTTCCTTATGTAATCATGCTACTATTTTCTCAGAAATGACAATGGAGTGTAGTCTGAGTGGATGGAAACCAGGCAGATTTCACTGATCATAGTGTTGGGCATAAACCACAGAATGTATTAACACAAAATACATTCTATTGTGATGTCCAGGCATTATGCATTATGTCACTGGGTTTTCCCCCTATTCTATAAAGCGTATTTTAAAAATGATTTTCTGTAGTCATTTGGCTATTCTGCTAGATTAATAGATGTCTAATCTCTACCAAAGAAGATGAGAACTTTACACTTAGTGTTTTAAAAGCCTATATATATATGTTTGTGTGTCTATCTATATAAATATGTATATTTATATATATTTATTTTTATATATTTATTTTATATTTTATATAATATATATTTTATATATTTATATATTATATATTTATTTATAAATTATATATTACATATATTTTATATATAATATATATTTTATATATTATATAAAAAATATATATTATATATAAACACATATATTATATATTATATATTATATATATTTATTATATATTATATATATTATATATAACAAATATATATTATGTATTATATATAATAAATATATATTATATATTATATATCATATATATCATATATATTTTATATGTTGTATATATTATATATTTTATATATTTATTTATATATAATATACAATATATAAATATATATAATATACTTTTTATATATAATATATATATTTATATATTATATATAAATATATAAAATTTATATAAATTTTATATATATAAATAAATTTATAAATTTATAAATTATATATATTTATATATATTTATATATATTTATATATATTTATATATTTATATATATTTATATATTATATACATATTTATATATTTATATATATATATTTATATATATAGATATAAATATATATATTGAAAATCAAATGTACACCTGGCTGTGCTATTAACCAGCTGAGAATTCTTTTTTTTTTTTTTTGAGACGGAGTCTGGCTATGTCGCCCAGGCTGGAGTGCAGTGGCACAATCTCGGCTCACTGCAAGCTCTGCCTCCTAGGTTCCCGCCATTCTCCTGCCTCAGCTTCCCGAGTAGCTGGGACTACAGGCGCCCGCCACTACGCCCAGCTAATTTTTTGTAGTTTTAGTAGAGACGGGGTTTCACCATGTTAGCCAGGATGGTCTCGATCTCCTGACCTCGTGATCCGCCTGCCTCGGCCTCCCAAAGCCAGCTGAGAATTCTTATGCAGCTCTCTGTACCATGCCTTTGGAATTAATAAATAACAAATTAATAATTAATAAATATATATATATACACACATATGTATGTCTGTCTATATATATTTAAATTGCAACACTTTCTTGAGGACTCAGATTAAATATATGTTTAATACAATGCTCCAGTTATCTTTGATCCTATCATCACTCACGCAGTGTTTAGACTGTAAGTTGAGATGGTTAAGGAAAATGTATATTAATGTTCTGTAAGAAACATAGTTTTCTCAAGACTTAAACTTCAACTGTCATCTATGGCCACTTTTAATAAGATACATTACATCTTAAAGTATTGTATTGAACATCTCTCATTTCATTTTCTGTAAATGTTCCTGTCTTATAAAAATGTGAACCTATTCATGTATTTTAAAAGTCAATCTTATGGTCTATATCTAAATCCATATTTTATGGGAGTGGGAATAGTAATCTGTTTTTGAACAAGTCCTGCAGGTGATTCTGATGCCTGTTCAAGAGAACCACTCTTCCAGCCTGTACCCTATGAAGTTCTTCCAGAAAAGGATGCCAGTTTTGTCACTGCATTAGATAACCCATTTTATCCTTTGTTTTGTCCTCTTTCTCTTATTTTCTCTTCTTTCTTCTGCCATTGGAAATCATTTTTGTTGTATTTTTTAAATTGATTTTACTTTTAGAGCCATATCGTACTTTCAATTTCTAGTATCTATTTTATTGTTATTTACTTTAAAGGGGTCTTGAAATGGTATTATGTATAAGAGGGCATGTGTTCCAGATCAACTTTTTTTTTTTTTTTTTTTTTTTTTGAAATGAAGTCTCGCTCTGTCACCCAGGCTGGAGAGCAGCGGCACAATCTAGGCTCCCTGCAACCTCCGCCTCCCAGGTTCCAGCAATTCTCCTGCCTCAGCCTCCCGAGTACTGGGGACTACAGGTGTATGCCACCACACCTGGCTAATTTTTGTATTTTTAGTAGAGACGGGGTTTCACCATGCTGCCCAGGCTGATCTTGAACTCCTGACCTCAAATGATCCGCCCGCCTGCCTCAGCCTCCCAAAGTTCTGGGATTACAGGCGTGATCCACCATGCCTAGCCCAGATCAACTTAATCTTGGAAAGAAGCCTAGTTCTTTTTTCTCATCTCTTCTCCTCTTCCCTAATAATTATATGGAGATTTTCTAGACTCAAATTTCCTTTTTCCTGCTTTCTTTATATTTACACTATCATCTTTTAAACACATTTTGTAGTGTAATACTTAGCTCTTTTATTTTCATTTTTTTTGGTCAAATAAACACATATAGGGCTATGTTTTTTCCCCCTAAGAATGGCTTTTGCATTTTCTGCCAATTTTGATGTATTGTGCAGTTATCACTGGTTTACAAGTAACTATGATTACAATTTTGTTTTCTTCTTTCATTTAATGTTTATTTAAGTTAATAACTTCTTTATGGTTTTATTTTTTATCTATAGTTTCTAGTTTGGGCCTTCTATGCTAATATGTGGAATTTCTAGATTCCTAGATACTGAAAGTTACTGAAGATTTCTTTGTCCCATAGTACCCTATATCATTTATAATGAGGAACTGTTATGATTGTTTCACATGGGCAAGTTCCATCTTCTCTGAGATTTGATTTTAAGTTAAAAAAGAATAATAATTATACCCTCCAACTAAATACATGTCTTATAAAAATCAAATGAGCTAATGGATATGAAAACTATAAACACATTTTAAAAGGCTAGGTAGTTTTTTTCCATTTCATGTAAGCTATTATATTCAGTGATGCACAAACATTGCAATATATACTCATACTGTACCATAACATGTCTAATTTATGTACTCATTCATTCAATCTTAGCTCTGCACCAGGTACTATATTAGGCATACATGACGTAAATATGAAGGGGAGACTACTCCTGCTCTGCTCTTGTGAAATGCACAAGGGATGATCTTAAGCAATTTACTAAACCTTCTCTGTGCCTCCGTTTCGTCCTCTGTAGAATTAGGATAATAAGAATAACTATTGCCTAGTGCTGTGATAATTGAATTAGATACTACCTGTAAAACCCTTGGAATAGTAACTCCCATTTCATTTGAAAACTTACAGAAATTACCAGAAGAACACATTCCTGAGAATATCAAGAAAGGACACTCTAACCAAGATAACTGGGTCTTACCCTTGGAATCTACTTTGGTACCACATTTCCTTTGAAAAGTCAGGCAAGAGACTGCTGTATACGGAACAAACTACAAAAGAAATCTCTAATGGTTTCATAATAGCCTAATGTGCTCAATTTGTGCTGGAAAACTCCTTTTTGTCCTTAGCTATATCCTTCCATACAGTTCACGTGCACATGAACGATTGCGTGAATATGCACCATGTGCTTCAGCCTCTAGGTAAGATTAATCATACTGCCCTTTCTCAGGAACACTTTTTCTTTCTGGAGGGAGCTCACCCAAAAGATGTCCTAGAACACTTTAAGCCTGGGGGTAAATGCTATCCTAACCCTCACACCTTGATAGAGAGCATCTACTACATTCAAGCTGTTTTAAATTTTGCCTAATTATCTGCATGCCAGAGGGCACAAGGAGGAACAAGTAGCCATAGCTTATGGAAGAAGTGCCGTTATGCCTCACCAACTTTGGCTGAGCACAGAATATATTTGTCATAGACTTAATATTATAATGAAAATATGCTACATCACATTTGTTAACTCAGGCCTACAAAATGATTTGTTGCTTTATCCATACGGATACTTGCAGTGTTCGTTTGTTCTTTTACCTACATGTGCCTGTATTCCCACAGTGGACATATGCTCTTTGCTGGTCATCCACTCTGGTTTCCTTTGGTGGCATTACCTCTTCACTTATGGGTGCTGTCACAGTAGGGTGTAAATCAAGATGCCTAGCTCTCCCCTAACAAACGGGTGGCCACTGGCACATCTTCAAAGTAAGTCAATCAGACATTGTTCTCTCTGATTTTGGATCCTGAGCAATAATACAGAGATAGAAAACAACAAAGCTTAGAGCCCATTCATTCTACTGGCCAGGTTTTCCTGAGAATGCTGTTGATCTTATTGTTGCCTAATACCTTTCACTCTACCCTGGCTTCTTTCCTCTGAATCTGGCTAAGATCTCCATAATTTTGGAGAACTCATGCTAACTTTTCAATCAATTCCTTTTTCACTTAAATTATCTAGAGTCAGTTTCAGTTACTTGTATCATAAAAATCCTGTTTACATTGGTGCAAAAGTAATTGTGGATTTTGCCATTACTTTTAAATGGCAAAAACTGCAATTACTTTTGCAGCAATCTAATAATTAAGGATTCCTGAAAACAGCCATGAAAGAGAAATCACAAGATGAGGGCTTAAAGCTCAGAGTGTTTATGACTTCCTAAGTCATTAACCTTGTTGAGCCCCAGTTATCTCATCTGTAAAACATGGGGTGGGGCTAAGGATGTTACCACTGCTGTCTAGCCCTATGAAGCATTTGTGAAAATGCTACGCATGCGCTGTCCCCACTGCCCACCTCCCTGTATAGCTCTGGCTCAAACCATTCACAGAGAAAGCAAAACACAAATTGGATAAGTGGATCTTCAGAACCTTCTGAATTGCAGCTCAAACGCCCTTTCATCTATGATACCCCACGCTGGGGGGAAAACCACTGCATTTTCACTGGCAATGCTCACCACTTTGTGTGCTGTTATCCTCACTTATGTCTTCTCCCTCGTTTTGCTTCATCTCCTGCTCTAAAGTTCCACAGAGGTACCATCTGTATCTAATTCATTTCTCATTTCCAGGACCAAGATCAGTAACCATAATCAGTCTCTACTCAAAATATACTGGATGCATTTTGTAGAGTGGGCTCTTCCTGCCTATGTCCACTCTACAGATGCTAAGTGGGGCAAGGAAGGCCTGAAGCAAAGGGTATGAAAAATTTCTATATATGCTTTAATAAAAATAAGGGAGTACCAGACATAACTCATATCCCAGCAGTTCTATTTAAAACAGAAAGATGTAAGTATGGAATATTATAAGAGTTTATCAAAGACACTACTAAATCAGTGGTGAAAACACTGGTGTGAAGCATTATTGTATCTATGAGCAATTTCACCTGATCCCACATCTCAACCACTTTGGACAAGCTACACAAAATCTGGGTGAAAAACAAAAAGAGAAAAATAAAGATACAGATAGAAATCAAACCAAAAACCAGACAAAACATGTTCGTTCAGGTGCATAGGTGAAAATAATTCTTATTGCATTCTATTATTATAGTCCCTGATAGAAACTGTTTGCTAAACGAAACTTCTTTCATTTTCATCAAAATTCATGGCCAATTTGAGGGAAGGTTTAATTGAATATCCTATACTGTAGGGAAAACGGATCAGTAAACTGAAGCGAACTCTTGGAATTGATCCATATAGATGATAAAATCCTTTCTTTTTTTTTTTGCCAGGGGAATTTATTTTAACTCTATCTCAGTGAATCAGATGACAGGCTAATTTCAAACCAACTTAGAAATGAATATTTCTACAAGGCAAAAATATATCAAGAGTCCTTCCTTGCAGGAATGTAAAAAGAGAAACAGAATAAATCCAGGAAGAGGTCAAAGAGCCTCTAGTCTAAGATTCAACATTTTTGCATTGTTGGAAATGATGAAAATCTCTGGATTTCACATTTGCTTACAAACCAAATCATGCATTCATTGGTCACCCTCTATTAGAAGGATAATACTGTGATGTGCAAGGACCTGGAATTCTTGCCCCATCTCTTCCTCTAAATATATAACCATAAGTAAGGGACTTAACTTCTGGATCACAGTTTTACTATCTCTAGAATGAGAGAACTGGACATGATGATCTCATAAGGTTATTACATCTCTAATTTTACCTTTGAAAATAATAGTCTAAGAACGGCTTTGTATCTGCGAAGGATTTCACATGTGTGCTAAATTTCCAGTTCAAGAGTTGCATTGCCTTCAGGCACCATGTCTACTGCTTGCTGTGTAATTTCTCTGTGGCTCAGTAGTGCATGCACTTCGTGAAAGTGGAATGATTAGGGTAGGCAGAAGGACAGGTTCATGTTCAGAGATACTCAGAGTCATAGACAGCTTGCCATTCCATCTGTTTGGTGCAGCATTATGAGAGGAGACATCATCTCCTTCATCAACTCACCCAGTGGCAGAAGCCTGCATAGCTGCTCTGAATTTGTGCAGAGATTCAGCTGTATAATACCAACCATGTCTAAAATGCCAATAATCAACACATTACTGTTGAAGAAGAATCAGGCCCATGAGGCTAAGCCAGATAATCATTAATATCTTTAGGCAACAAATATGATTCAGTGTCCAAGGTTTGCTCAAGAGGCTACACTGGTGAAACCACTGAATTCACATATTGTTAATTTCCATTCCAAACTGGTCCAAACCCAGTAAATAAAAGTGCCTGAAATTCACCTGAAGCATACTGTACTAGCCATTCGGACACTAAGCGCTCCCTGACAACACTTTGGAGTGAGCAGGGGACCAATTCTGAGGGCAACTGAGTTATTCTCCAAATGTCAGTTCCAAGCAAATACTGAAATCAACCAAAGAAGACTTAGGTGCAAATCTATTCTCAATTTACACCTGACTTTTACAAGTTCAAGTGAGTTGCATTTGAAAATGTCAGGTAGATTTTTTTCATGAAGTTGCACATGACTTTCGGGGGCACAGATCTAGTCTGAAGTGGCATTTGACAATCTAGCGCAACATTCAGGAAGGAACCGAGTGGAGAACAGCCAGGTGCCTAGGAGACAGACTGTCAGATGTGAAACCATCACAAAAACACATCAGACATGTCCTCCTGCAAATTAACAATGGTGGAAATTTCCACTCCAAAGCCCTCCCAACAAGTCTTAGTCCTCATTAATCTGAAGTTATACCCTGAGGGTGTATTTTAGGGCTGAGTGATTAGATTTGGTGACATTTTAAAAGATCATCATCAAATTCTTCCAAGCATTAAGCTAGTCTCCCAATTAGAAATAAAATACCTGGGACAGGTATACTAACAATCTAACAATCCCAGGTTCTTTTTTTTTTTTAAGACAGAGTCTCGCTCTTGTCGCCCACACTGGAGTGCAATGGCACTATCTCGGCTCACTGCAACCTCCACCTCCCGGGTTCCAGCAATTCTCCGGCCTCAGCCTCCCAAGTAGCTGGGATTACAGGAGCCTGCCACCACACCTGGCTAATTTTTGTTTTGTATTTTTAGTAGAGACAGAGTTTCACGAAGTTGGCCAGGCTGATCTCGAACTCCTGACCTCAGGTGATCCGCCCGCCTTGGCCTCCCAAAGTGTTGGCCAGGCTCTTAAAACAGACTCTGCCATGTAGAAATGGCTATTTTTACATATTTTTGCTTTTTATATCTTAAAAGAATGCCTAAATAGCATGATGAAATAGATATGAGGCCAGGAGCTAAGTAACTTCAACTCTTTTATTTGACACACACTTTCTAGCTGTACGGACTTAGAAACATATGTAGACATCTGACTGGCAAAGAACACTAGCACTGAAACTTAATTTTTAAAAAATTAATCACCACAGAGAACAGCTTCCTATTTGTAAAATAAGTACAAGGCTCAGTGCCTTCGCTGTGGTCACTCTGAGCTCTAGACCCTTAGATTACGGCGTGGTCCGCATGAAGT
The DNA here is from genome assembly GCF_000001405.40 of Homo sapiens. Lineage (NCBI taxonomy): Eukaryota > Metazoa > Chordata > Mammalia > Primates > Hominidae > Homo > Homo sapiens. The sequence continues at coordinate 2,698,420 of NC_000003.12, read as the reverse complement.
CATTTAATCTCTAAAACATAAATCCTCAACATAAAGTGCCTTGCAAAGTTCCAGACTCAGGTACAACACAGGCTTAATCAGAAACTCAAATATATAAATGGAAGGGAAAAGGGAGAGAAAATTAAATATTTAGGTGCCTCCCATGTGTATCAGCTTATTCAATTTTCTCATAGCCATAAAAGATATTCCTTATTTACAAAATAGTAAAAGTATGGATTTTATAACTTACCATGAAATAGTATGTTCTCTTGACAACCTCTCCTGACTACATCAGTCCTGTGATAATTTCTGCAACATCTGAGCAACTATAGTAGTTACTGCATAGATTAGCCACGGCGTTTTCATTTAGGAGTGAGATGATTAATTTCATGTGTTAACTTGGCTTGGCTATCGTACCCATTTAGTCAAACATCAGTCCGGATGAATGTTACAAGGTGTTTTTTGGGTGTGAGTAACATTTAAATCAGTAGTATAAAGCAAATTGCCCTGGAACCTGTGGGTGGGCCTCATCCAATCAGTTTAAAGTCTTAAAAGACTGAGATCCCTGAAGAAGGAATTCTCCCTCCAGACTGCCTTTGGACTCCAAGACTGTAACATCAACTCTTCCCTGAATCTCCAGACTGCCAGCCTGCCCTGTGCAATTCAGACTTGACAGCCCTCACAACTGCATGAGCCAGTTCCTTAAAATAAGTATCTTTTTTTTTCTCTCTCTCTATGCATCGTATCGGTTGCTTCTCTGAATAAACCATGACTAATTCAAGTGATGGAGAACTTTAACTAGCCTAAGAAAAAATATATATTGTCTGATATAATTGCAAAGACTTAAGATCCATTGTCTTTTGCTGTCTGTATTTTCAGGTAGGCTCTTCTTTGTGGGGACAAACATGGTCACTGGCAACCCCAACCTGACATTCTGCCACCACAAACATGGTAATGAGTAGGCACATCTCCTTTCCACATAGATTCAGCACAAGTTTGAGGGTGGATTTTGAGTATTCCAACCTGGATCTCTTTAAGTCTGGGAGACAGAGACGGATGCTCAGAAAAAAACAAATGGACTGCTGAAAATAGGACAGGTATAGTTCTCCAAAGAAAAATTAAAATGCTATTGCAAAAGCAGGAGAAACAGTCACTGGGCAGGCATACCACAGACATTGTCTACACAGCCCACAGCACTTAGCTAGTACTCAATACTACAGGCTCTCTTTCCAGGAGCATATGCATGATCTCCTTAATTACACTAAAAAGTTATTGAAAAGACAATTTCTTAATAGCTTGTTGTATTTCCCATGGCAACACACACTGTGAATTCTAAATTTGTCACCCTTCTTCTTAACACAAGTCTGGATGCATGAACTCAAACACCATAGAATAGGCAGGGTGAGCTTTGGTAAGTGATATACGAAACTGAATAAAGAGGAGAATAATTTTATTTTTTAATTCGCAACCTTCCGTTCCTAAGTATTCACATACTTTATTAAATGTCACCCATTCATGGCAATTAACTTAACAAATGGCTATCTTAAATTGGGATGCTCCAGACAAAGTTTGGTTTCTGGAATACAAATAATTCATGAGACACAACTCTTATGAAATGGATGTAAGCCGTTCCCTTAAATATCAATAGTATAATGAGAATCATATATGCTACTTTATTCAGGTCAGAGAAGCAATGAAGCATCCTCAAATGGCAAACCTCCATATTAAGAAACTGGAAGAAACTTGACATTGATTTATAACTATACTGTCTCAGTCCCTTTGGGATTCTATAAATAAGACCTAAGACTGGGTCATTAACAAATAATATAAATTTATTTTCACAGTTCTGGAGGCTGGAAAATCCAAGATCAAGGAGCCAGCAAGTTTGGTGTCTGGTGAGGCCTTGCTCTGCTTCCAAGATGGTGCCTTGAGGCTGTGTCGTCTGAAGGGGAGGAATGCTATGTCCTCACATGGCAGAAGAGCCAAACAGCAAAAAGCAGCAAACTTTCTTTGAAGCCTCTTTTATAAGTGCATTAATTCATTCATAAATGTGATGCCCTCATGATTTAAACACTTCCCAAAAGACTTCATCTCTTCATACCACCATGATGGAGATTAAGTTTCAACCTGAACTTTGGAGGGAACACACATTCAACTCATAGCAATGCCTTTAATGATATGTATTACCTAAAACTCCACTTCGCAGAAATTATTTGTTATAACACTTCAGGTCATTATAGTTATCAACGATGATTATTTATGATCTCTTGAAAAGCTAATATGCTGAATAAAGTCCTTGGCCGTAGAGCCAAAATTCTAATTTCTAACAAGAGAATTGGGGCAAAATCTAAGAATTAGAAAATCAGAATGTATTTACATACACACTTACAGAGATAGACACACATATACACATAATGCATACATGTGTATATACATACATACCTCACAAGCCCTATTTTCTGCCATTCTCGAGCTAATACTTCACATAAGTAACTATAGTGTCATTACCCCCACCCCTACCACCCTATACTGATTTCATACCTCAGTGCCTTAACTTCTATTGTCTCCCTTCCTATCATTCTTCTCTTGGAAAACATTTGCTCATAATTTCAGACTCAACTCTGGTGACACTTCTAAAATTCTTTCCCTAAAACCCAGATTGGACTAGATTACCCGAGTGCTCCCACAGTACCCATTGCTTATCTCTGACATGACTTGCAGCATCATATTGAAATGATCTGACAAAGTGATTGTTTTCTCCTGCCATGTATATACTTTAGGACAACAAAGATTATGCTCTGTTCGTCTTCTCTATAACATCCCTTCCCCACAACCCCCAATATCCCTCTGCTGGTGTCTATCACAAAACCTGTTACAGAATAAACTGAGGAGGACATCAAACTGACATCAGATGTTGGAACTGATATAAAATGTTTAAGAAAAAACAAACAGCAATTTGGAAACCAATTCCTTTGAAAAAGTATTTTGAGTTCTATATACTTGGTCTGAAAAAGGTGAGGCTTGGGGGTAGGGTGTGTAATGTAAATCTTCAATACTGAAAAGGTGCTGTGCATAAGAGGGGTTTACTTGGTTCTGGAGGCTCCAGTGACAGAAATAGGGCTGGCTGGAAGATGTTAGAGAGAGGCAGTACAAAGCTTACTATAAAGAAGAACTTTCCAATAATTGGGGTTATCTGCAATCAGAAGGCTTCCATTCACTCAGTAATACGTTTCTCATACACAAATCAAAGGGCCCAAATATACAAAGTCCAACTCTTTCTCTGGGGTCTGCTGTAAGATATTCCTATACTGGAAACAGTGCTACACCAGGACAGGTGCTTTTTGCCCAGCCCCTGGCATGTAATAGGTAGTCAGTCAACAGATGCACTGACTACATAAATAACATTGATATTCTCTCCAAAACTAAACATTTACCATATCAAGGACTTTCCCATTTTCTTTCTGCACTTAATTTATAAGATTCCTTTTTAAAATTTAAAACCAAACGGTTCATTTATAAGCCTTCAGGGGTAGTAAGAGAGGGGTTGAAGTATACTAATACAAAAACAAACGTTGTGAGGTCTACTCCTCAAACTACATGTTCTTTAAATTTGTATTAAATATAAATAGAACTGTAATGCTACAGCTCAGATATTAGAATAGCATTGTAGGTTTATTTAATGTTGTTCAATTTCTTTCTTTCTTTCTTTTTTTGAGACAGGGTCTCACTCTGTTGCCCAGGCTGGAGTGCGGTGGCACGACCTTAGCTCACTGCAACCTCTGCCTCCTGAGTTCAAGCAATTCTCTTGCCTCGCCTCCTAAGTAGCTGGGATTACAGGCATCTGCCACCATGCCCAGCTAATTTTTGTACTTTTGGTAGAGACGGGGCTTTGTTATGTTTGCCAGGCTGATCTCGAACTCCTGACCTAAAGTGATCCACCTAAAGTCCTGAAATTACAGGTGCGAGCCACCGCACCTGGCCAATGTTGTTCAATTCTTGACTGTCCTTTATGATTTCTGGGAATGTAAAGAAGTATAGAACACAGACTCTGCTTTAGAGAAACTCTAGATCTATAAGTACACACTGACATAAGATAGAACTCACTGTTATTCAACAAATACTTACTAATTTCCTACTTTGTGCTGAGCACTGTGCTAGACATTGTCAGCTACAGCAGAACAAAACAGCTGTGTTTGGCTTTAAAAGTGGGAATGGTAGGAGCAAGGAACTATGGGAGTTTTTAGACAAGATGGCTTCTGATGGGCAGGGGGAAAGACTTGGCAGATGAACGGGGTTATGAAAGGTAGACATTAAAGAGAGAGGATTCCAGAAACAGGCAAAGACTTGGGCAAAGGCATCCTAGCAGGAAAGTATGAGGACTGGAGAGTTTAATATAATTTGAGTATAAGATGTAAGTAAACGGGGAAGTGGGGCAAAGTCAGATTAGGACTATACTGGGAAGATGAAAGGCACCTAGAAATGCTAGGATAAGAAGAATGTGTCTAATAATAGCAGCAAACAGGAGCCACTGAAGGTTTGAGAAGTGTCCTTCTTAGAAGTTGGGGCCCAGCAACTCGGAAGGTGGAAGGCAGTGGAAATACCCTTGGGGTACAGAGACTCAGTTTATCAATGAATTCTTGTGATGTGTTTCCTAGTATTCTTGAGAGGACGATGCAAGTTCCTCGGTGTGCTCTGATTCATAAATTCTCCCAAACACTAGAACAGCAGAAACTGATTTAAAATACGTACTCTATTTCTTGGAGCAATTTCTCTTATCATTCTTTTCTCCTGGCTAACATTTATTCATTTTTTCTCTCCAGACTAAAGCTGACTTCTCCTCCAAAACCCTTTCCTGAGAGTCCAGATGGATGAACAGACACTGCTAGGTGCTTCCATAGCATCTACCACATGTTATTATTTAAAACATATTGAAAATTGAAATTTTCTATTTTGGTGGTTTTTGTCACCATCTATATGCTTTTAGAGGGTAGGGATCATGTCTTTTTCATCTTTTGTATTCTGCCTGCATCTAAACAGTTTTAAAGAAAACCTTATAAAATCAACCTGAACTGATATTTGATTTAAAGCAACTAAGACTTAACAGGGACCGGAGGAGATTTTTGTGATAACTCTGTTCTATATCTTGATATATCTGGGGATTTCGTTGACACAGAAATATGCACTGGTCAAATCTCAAGAAATGGACACTTAAGATCTGTGTGTTTCAGGTTATATAAATTTTAGCTCAAAGAAACAAAAAGCTGTAAACCAAATATCAAATACTAATTAATGATAGGCAGACTAGGTATTTAGGAAGACATATGGATATTTGCGGTTTACTTTGCAATGTATCAAAAATAAAGGTGAATTGATGGGTGGATGGAGAATGGATAGCTGGTTATAATAAAATCATGAAGGTAGCATCTCATTGACATGCATACAGGTGTTCACCATAACATTCTTTTGAATTTAATAGGTTTGAGAATTTTCCTAAGAAAATAATAGAAAAAAATTTGATAAAAATTTTAAATTAGTCTTTAAGGTTTAGTCATTAGTTTTTTTAGGCTACCATATTTTTAAAAAGTTACTCTAACCTTATGGTAAAGAAATGCTAAAATAAAAATAAAAATGAGAGGTCTTTTGTTCATTTGAGCTAAAATTTTTATACAATGAAACACAGAGATCTTAATTTTACACACTTTAGTTCAGAATTTTTCTATAAAGCTATTTCCCTTTCTTGACAGAGTCACCACAAGATTAAACGAAATAGTGTTTGCATGCGCCAGTGTGTGTGCGACAAAAAATATTTACGAAATAATTTTAAGAAAGAGAGCTGTTCATGATATACTGTTGCCGGATATTTTAGTCAAAGAAATAAACAGCAACAGGCCTCAGAAAGATAAATTTAATCCTAATTTTTATCATACTAAAAAAGATGCAAAAGGAAAAATAGAAAAGATCCCACGTGTTCCAAAACAACTGATGAAATCAATGCTCCCTCTCTCCAGCCCCAATCCTCAAGGCTTAAATATTCACTGAACTTCATCAAGGAGAAAGTAGGCTGGCAGGAAAAGGAAAATTATTGGAACTGCCTGCAGGGAGGGCATAGGTAGCGGAGGTAAAGCACCGGGCACTGTAGGTTTTCATCGCTTTTCCGAAAGGAGAACATCAAACTCTCTTAGAAGCAAAGCTGCTTCTTGCCAACTTTTCCTCCTGCTATTTGCAAAAATACTTAGTCAAGGGATCGCATTTTCAAATATTTGTGAATAAGCAGATAGAATTGCCAGTTGCATAGCAAGAAACTTAATACTTCTCATGGGTCCAAGTGTGCCACTTAAGTTTAAGAATCTGAGATTTAATTTATCCAACACACTAAATGAAAATCAAGTGGATTGCATACTGCTGCCTAACAATAACAAGGACGCAGGGTGTTGACATTCATCACACCTGCATACTCTGCAAAGCAGTAAGAACAAATGTCACCGTCCCTAGCAGGTAGGTATCCAGTTGTCTCATATGTTGACATATATTTCTGTGCTAACGAACAAAGGTCATAAATATATTTGTAATGGGAAAAAGCATGGGTTGTAGCTCAGTTCAATTATAAACAGCAGGAGAAAAAAGCTCTAATAATTGTTTATTTTGCTTGCACATTTTTGCAGCACCAAGAAACTACATCTAACCCTCTTTTGTTAGTGAGACAATTTGCTAGTCAAAATACATATGTTTTAACTTATGCATACATGCTATTGTTGTTGATAGTTATGCTAATTACTATATTCCCCTGAGGCAATGGCTCCAGGTAAATAGCGTGATGAAATATTATTGTGCAAGGACTAGATCCTGCAATTAATAGCTTCTATTACTTTCCTGTGAGTTCCTCATTCTCAGTATCCTAGTGGAGAAAACTCCCACCTTGATTTCACTCAGCTTGGAACTGAGATAATGTCCTGGAGCCACACAACAGACTTCCTGCTATTATTCCACATTGGGAGTAAAACTGAATCTTTTTCCTCTTCTTTCCCTCTACCCTCCTCTTCCTCTTTCTTCTTCAGAACCACCACCACAACCATCATATATTATACATAAAATTATGTTTCAGACTCTTTGTTATTACACCACTGTAGAAATGCTGGGTAAATTTTCAACAAACGATGAGGGCATATTATAGGTAAGGTGGTTTATAATATGATCAATGAGGAATAAAGGAATATAACTAATAATTTTGAGACGTTCTTGAGGAATGCCTCAAAGACATCAACACGTTCACTCAGAACTGAAACTGAGATATGCCGGGGTAACTGCCAATGCAGAGACAAGCCATACATATTAAAAAATAGCACATATAAAAACTAAACACTGATTCCAAATGCAAGACCTACACCAAAGATCACAAGGGCAAAGCTGATTATTTGTGATGAAGCAGTTTCTCACGTGGTCTTCCCTATACTGTATTCTCTAGGGCTAGGGCATTGACGGGCTCTTTCTGTAAAGGGCACAATAGTAAATATTTTAAGTTTTGTGGGGCAAGGGTTTTTGTTACAGCTATTCAACTCTCTGCACCTATAGCATGAAAGTTGCCTTAGGCAATATGCAAAGGAATGAGTGTGGCTGTGTTGCAATAAAACTTTATTGGTGGACACTGAAATTTGAATTTCATAGAATTTTCATGTGTTATGAAATGTTAATATTCTCCTTTTGATTTTTTACAGCTGAAGTCTTTCTTAGTCCATGTGCTGTACAAAAACAGACAACTGTCAGGATTTGCCCCCATAGGCTATAGTCTGCTGAACCTGCTCTAGGAGGTAAGGCAGACAAGCTTTGTCACTTGATGATGGATAATGACCCTTCCCCATAAATAAAGAGGATATTGTTAAGGATGGTAAAGGCAGCAACAGCAACCTCTTTCATGGATGGGATACTGATTATTTGCCTAAATTGTGATGTTGCCATTATTACCACACTTATTGATGATAAAATAAGGGTTAGAGAGTTAAATAACCTACCTAAGGTCCCATAGCTAGTGTGGGGCTACGTATCTGGACAATTTCAAAGATCATGCTCATTCTGATATGCTAAACGGCTTCTCTTAGAAACGAACACACTTGGGACTTTACTCCAGCCACCTTTGCCTCTTGATGAGAATATTCGTGGGGAAGGATGCATGTACCCAAAAGGGGAGCAATTTTACCTCTAATTACCTGTCCCAGAGAATATAATTTAACTGAAATGTTACTTGTAGCAAAATATCCAGAAGCTGTAGAATACACACTACCTGCTAATAGAATATAAATTTACTTTGGAAAACCTATTGCCCTAATATCTTATCACAGGAATTGGAGATTATAAAGACAAGAGGACATTTATTAGCTCATCTGGACCTCATAGGCTGGTATGACTGCTTTTCTAAGTTTATGTGTTCAGTTTTCCCCTGAGCAACAAAAATAGAAAGTGATGAGAAGACATATGATCTTAGTTTTTGGGCATAATGAAAAAATACACACAGACACAAACACACACGCCCCTACCTCACAGGATATGACTGGGTTTTCATAAAGAATATATGTGAAACAGTGAACCGGTAAGAATTTTTATGTATGTGCTGGAGATAGGCAAGGATTGCTCTGTGACCTTACAGAAGCCCTGGATTCGTATTGTGGTGTATAGGAGAGAGGAGGTGGGGGAAACTGGGGCCAGAGCACTACATGAAAAATGTAGGTCTCTTATATCAGCTGCTCTACTGCTAATTCTAGAGTGGATTTCAGAGAGTTTGCTCCATTCTGACCTTCTGAACCACTACTCTCCTGCAGATTAATTGCTTTCTGGTATCCATTCCCTCCTTCCCTCTCTGCCTCTGTTTCTTTCTCCTGTAAGGAATGGTAAAAGGTCATTGAAAAGCAGGTGGTCTCTGGCAAGATGCAGACAAATGGGTTGAGGCAAGTCACAAAAAAGAATGGCAAGTTTCCTCTGGACTGGGAGGAAAATGTGGTTCTGTGGGAGTCAGGCATTTGCATGGAGCCAAAATGCTCCCTCTACCATAGGCTTGCTCCATGATGTGCCTAGGGAGGTGCTATCCAAGCTACTGATGTTATAACTTCAGTGAGGATTCTTTTTCTAGTGGCAGATAGCTGAGAGCAGCCATATTTCAAGGAACCACTTGGGATGTGACAATGGGAATGTCAGTGGCAACTTTGACTGGAATTTAGATCTCCTTCCCCATTTTCTGTGTACAATGCTAGGGGTTGGGTTGGCTCCCATAAGAATAGCAAAGCAACTTCCGTAGCAACCTGGCAAGAACTGGATGGAGGTTGGCAGTCAGAACTAAGTTGCTTTCAAGGAAATCAGGAAGTGATGTTTCACACACTGCTGTTACTTTCTTATGTCTGCAACCTTTCGAACTCTCTGTCGTGTTAGACTAGATTCCAGTCTCAACTGTGGATGACTGGTGCTACATTAGACCTCTGTAATTCTCAGGTGCTACATTAGACCTCTGTAAGGACGTATCTCCTCATCTTGGACCTGTTCTGTAGCTTAATGGTTCCTAGATTGTCACCATTTGCAATGTTCTTAATGCTCAACCGTCACTAGTGACTGGGCCACAGAAATGTTTAGCTCACTGGCCTGGGTTCAGGAGATGGCTCCATGCATTCCCAGTGTGGTTACAAAGACCCACGTAGGGAGCTAAGTTTGAGAAACACTTAACTAGGGAAATGGGCATTCTCTGAAAAATATTCAGCTGGTAACTGGATGAGACTATTCACGCCTCTAACCTTGCTGAAGAGTTAACCTTGCTGGATGTTTCCTCATTATCAAGCTGTCTGCACTGATATGCTGTGTTAATAAGTGTGGGCTCAAGTTACGGGCCTTGTCCAATAACAGGAATCACATCTCATTCCAGAGTAAATATCCCTGTCCTTCTACCACCATCAAGGAGCTGTGTGCATATGATACACTTCTGTTTGTGTGTATACACATATTTGCAATTATTTTAATTCCATGTATTTGGAGTGATAAAATACAGCTTGTGTAATCGGTAATTGGCTGGTGCCGAGCCTGGCATGACTCGTACCTTTCACATCAAATGATTCCTTTGGTTCTTGGGTGGAGGGTGGTGCCTGAGGACCTTTTCATTTGGTTGAATGACAAACTGTGTTTGGGGAAAAAACTCAATGTGGTCCAAAGGAAAATACTGAAAAAATAGCTATTTCTCTCAATAGGTAGAAATAAGCAGATTATTTTTTAAAAGGCACTGTTCAAACACAACTGCAATAAAGAAGTTTATAATTCCTTCAATAACTGTATACTGTATTTTCATATTTTAATAAGTTATCAAAGTAGTTACAGATTTTTATTTTTTATCTTTTGTTGTTGTTGTTTTGATTCCCTTCCAGATACAAGTACTCAACTTTTCTGTTCAATTGAGAGCAAATATACCAGTCAGTACCTATGTTAATAGCTAAAGATTCTAAGACTTAGGAAGAACAGTGTGACCTGAGTTCTATCCTCCCTGTGATATTAACTTATTGTCAACTCTGAACAAGGCCTCTCTGAGTTTCACTGCCCTGGCCTCTTTGAGTTTCATTCTCTCCATTTGTAAAATGAATAAATAATTGGTAAGATTTCTTCCTACACTAACATTAGATGGCTTTCATCTCTCTAATAACTTGATGAAAACCCTATCAAAAAGGCACACTTTAAATTCCCATTCGATTACAAAAAATTGACTGAATGATCAGCAGGAGAGAATGAAATCAAAGGCATAGATATATGTTTACTATTGTCTATTAGATATTATTTTTTGAGACAGGATCTTGTTCGGAGTGGAGTGCAGTAGTGCAATCTTGGCTCATTGCAACCTCCACCTCTTGAGGACAAGCAATCTTCCCAAGTAGCTGGGACTACAGGCGCATGCCACCATGCCCAGATAATTTTTGTATTTTTTTTGAAGACATAGAGTCTTACCATGTTGCCCAGGCTGGTCTCAAACTTCCAGGCTCAAGTGATCCACCTGTCTCGGTCTCCCAGAGTGCTGAGATTGCAGGCACGAGCCACAGTGCTTGGCCTTGTCTATCAGATATTGCAAATTAAAATGTCTACAGAAGACAGGCTGGCATGTAAATGGGTGAAGTTGCTGAGCAGCAAGTGGTGGGAACTTCAGGGAACCAAAGAGCATGTGCCCTGCCTATAGAAGGCAATGTCTGCTCAGCTTTAGGCTATTGCCGCACTGCAGACATGTAACTCCACTCTTTTTATATCACCAACGGAAATCAGAAACACAGACATTTCTGTTAGATCTCTTGATATTTAAATGATTGAAACTCTGTGTGGACAAACATTACTAGGCTGAAGAAAAATCACTGTTCCCTATTTAAAGTCTGCCCTTTTCACAGACCAAGTCATGGCCACCTGTGGCTTCATTAACACCTCTGAGCTAAGGAATCTCAAACCTAAATCTTTAGCTTGGCTCTCATTCCTAAACCTCAGGTCATATTGTTAATGACCTCCAAAGCATCTCCACTTGGACACCATCACTTTTTGGTGGCAATGATTTGTACACTGTTTGTTTTCTCCCACAGCAGGTAGGAATTCAACCCAGAGTGGGCAGATGTCAGTATAAACTAAAACTGGCTTATAGAAGTGATAAGAAAGTCCACAGCAGAGGATAGCATGGTCAAACTTTGCATGTGCTCAGAGCACAGGACTTAGAAGTTGGGGTACTACAGCTTTAGTGAAATGTGAAAGCAGAGACCATCAAGAGAAAAGGGTGTAACACACACAGACACACAGACACACACACAAATAGTAACCATGTAGAGGTGATGAATATGTTCATTAGCTTGATTGTGGTGATCATTGTATAATGTATGCACAAAAGCAAACATCAAACAATTTTATATGTTAATTATATCTCAATAAAACTGTTTATTGAGAAGAAGGAAAAGAGAAAAAGGAAAAAGGGCATAGAGATTTGGAGCTGAGGAATGATTGCAGTAACCGGGAAACTATATCCTGGAGGAGATGGGGTGTGTGTCGGGGGTAGGGTTGGGTGGAGTGGGTGACGTGGTCACTGCCTTTAAACATTTGCTGTGATCTCTCATACTGTTAGAAGCACTGGGCTTACTTTGCTTTTTAATCCAAAAAGCAGGAGTTATAAGGAGGTAGATTTGGATTAATGTAAGGGTTAAATATTGCTAGAAGGGCATCTCATTATCAGGCTGCATGCATCATGCATGTTGCTAGCTTCCCCTACAGCACTCATCTGCTTTCTTAATAAAGGTACTCTCAAGTTAAGGGCCTTATTCAGTAACAGGACTCCCTGACCACTCCAGAGCAAATATCCTTCTTCTCCTACCAACAGTGAGGGAGCTAGTTTTCTGTACAGGATGTATTTCTTTTTGTGTGTATTCACACTTGCAATTATTTTCATTCCATGCACTCTGGGATTGAAATACAACTTGGGTAATTGGGAATTGGTTGTGCATTTTCTCCAAACAAAAATCAGTTTAGTCTGTGGTTTGGGTTTTCTCCTGCCCAAAATCACAGAGTATAATGTTGCTAACTGAAACTGGAAATTGGAATAGAAACATAATGGCAAAAAGTCCACTAATGTAAACCCAAACCACAGCCACCTGCTCTAAGGCTCTTTAATTCCTTGCTGATGTGATTTAAATAACAAAGGGAAAGCAAGGCTTTAATCTAGCAAGGAAAAACAGATAAGTGTCATGCTTCAACAAGAACAACAACAACAAAAAAAACACACTAAGAAAAAGAAAAATCCCAACACAACTCAAAAAACAAAAAGCAGTTAGGTTTTCTCATTTAAATCAATACCATGACCTATGAAGATTACTTGGGTTTTTAATCTTCACACTATTTGCATAATTGTCAAAACAGCCACATTTGTTTGGAAGGACCCTTCAATTTTTCTAAGTCTTTTCTTAGTACAAGACCAAATGCTCTTGTATTGTATGGGACAGTGCTAGCTCCTAAACTGAAATAAAACTAGATGCAAGAAAGTCAGGTAAAGAATTATACTGCTCCCTTTGGTTTCCTTGGGGATTTACGTGTATTCTTGAATTTGAAGATCATCATTAACATTTTTATCACCAATTGAAGGTAATAGAAAGTGGATTAGGACACCTCAAGTATTCACTCCCCATTACTTCTCTATTCTTGATGCCAAAGTTACTTCTCTTCAAATCTCCTCTTCAGTTCTGCAATAAAAGTTACCTTGCCTTTTTATTCCCATTACTTGACCCTGATAAAGATGATTCCTGATGTGGACATTTTTAGGTTAAAGACCAGATGGTAGCTAATGTAGACACAAGGAAAAGATGACAGATAAATATTACTGATCTTAATGTATATGTATACACATGACCAAAGCTAATTGCCATGTAAAAAAAAGCTAATCGCTAAGTAAATGTAGTTTTCATTTCACAAGAATGTAATCTTTACGTTTCACAAGTTCAGATAAGTATAAATTATCACACTGATCCCTGAACAAGGCCCTGGCCTGGCTAATTACACTTTTAAGTAAATTCTCTTCTTTGTCTCCCCCTAAATCTTCTTGCTTGAGCACTCCCGATTCCTTTTATCATTTTAATCTGTACAATGAGATGTTCATACAGATTACAACAAAACAACATGGGCAACAAATTTTTGTTAAACTATTTTAAATATGACCATAGACAAGGAAAAAATGTTGAAGCTTATGTAAGTACTTTGAAAAATAATTTAGGAGAACTAGTATTTATAAGTGAAGAGAAAAAACGTTTATTCTTAAAACAAAGTTAGCTGATACTCTTTAGCTAAATCTAGGTGCAATTTTGTCTGACTTGCTCAGGGTCCAATGTTATTAGCCCCAGGATTTATGCCGAGATCTTTAACTCAGTATTAGACCTTCAAATGCATGGGTCCAGCATTAGACTCTACTGTAGGCCACACTTAAAGAGAAACAGACAAAACTGGTCATTGGGGTCCACCTCTACCACAAACATATTTGAAAAGCATTTTATACCACTTTGTATAATTTCTCCTTTTTTTTGTTTCCAGCAGCTGGTCTGCAGAATTCATTGTTTCCTTACTCCCCTAGCTGTCCAGGATTCTCAGCTGCAATGCTTCAGTTAGGCTGGCCTATTCTGCTCCCTGCCTTCTTAGCTCTTTTTTCCTCAATGGGATTCATTCATCTTACTCTCCCCTTGAAGCCTTGCTAAATGATTGGCTTTCAAATCCCTAACTCACATGGTGTGCTAATGGATGTTAATGGCTTCCCCTTGTATTTAAATTTTAAATGGAGACTCCTATATATACACTGGAAACCAAAGGAATAAATATTTAATAGTGTGAATTGCAGGGAAAGTGGTGAAAGATGTTTCAGAGCCAGTGTTCCCCTCCACTATTCCTAATCAGATTAAACCCTGCCTGTAAGGTTGATTCTTTAAACGATAGGTAAACACCTTTCTCAAATTTGTAGGCTTAAGACTCATCATGGGGAATTTCTTTAAAAGGCTGGCTTTGGGACCTGTCCCCAGAGACTCTTTTTTGGTAGGTTTAAGGTAGAGCCCAGGAATCCATGTTTTTAAGAAGTAACACAAGTGATTCTATGGCAGGTGGTGATAAAAGGACGTTTTAAGAAATAACCACTACCTGAAAGGATATTGGAACACTCCTAGGGAAGGAACAGAATGCAAGTCTTAGATTTCTTATATGTGTTTACCTTTGCTCAAATGTCAAAATAATTAAAAAGACTTATTACCTTACTGGGTTCTTGTTCTGTTCCACAATTTTTTTTTTCTGATAAACAAGTTAATACTATACTACTGTTAATCATCATCATCTTCATCACCATTATCAACATCAATAATAATGGAAAAACATTCGAAGTGTGTTCATTTGTGTAAGGCACTGGTCTAAATGTTTACATCCATTAACTCATTTCAACTTCAACATGTGGACATGTGTTCAGAGAGACCAAACTGACTTATATTCAAGAATAAGCATGTAATTCTATCATTGAAAACTAGTATCAGGAAGACCACATCATCAACAAAACTTTCGATAAAAGCTGCTGAGACTATCCACCTGCGTGTGTGTGTGTGTGTGTGTGTGTGTACATGTGTGCAGGTGAGAGATGTGGATTTGGGCAGGGTCTATCAATCTTGTCATGACTGTTTTTTCAAGTCAGCAGCCTTATCTTTACTTTTATTCCACTCAATCTCTTCTTGTCATTTTCCCTTTCTGTCTGAAAATAACTATACCCAAGTCTGCAAAGCATCGTCTTTCTATTCCATTTCTTGTTGTAAAGAGTTTGTGACACTCTGGGAGATGGGCATGCTATAAAAATAATGGTGGTGGATTGTTTTGTCTTATAGAGAATCTAAGGAGAGAAAATGTCTCCACACAGGAAAGTGACAAGACAGATCTCAATCACTCTGAATGATGGGGTCAGTGATTGGTATGGTCTGTCCCAGTCTCTCCTTCAGTTTCAGAGTGTCAAATGCACATTTGGATGCTGGCGGCAGAGAAAATCTACTCCGTGAAGGATAAGGGCAAAATTTGTTGTTGCTAAAGGCTTGTCCTGAAATGAAACTGGGAAGATTGGGCACTTTTGTTGGATTAAGTGATGACTAATAATAGCTAAAAGGCAGGCCACTGGAAATGGACTCATGATATGATATGATACAGGGTGCAATTTTCAGTAATTAGGAATTTGATCCTTTTTGTCTAGATCTTTATTTAACCAATTCCTACCTTTCAGTCTAGATCTTTAATTAACCCATTCCAGGTATTCAAATGGAGCTACTCTCCATTTTCTATATATACTTTATACACTTTGCTTCTGTATTGTTACCTAAAATTGCCTTTGTTTTTAGCCTAGTGCATGTCCAAATTCTAACTACTCATTGAAGTGGGGGTCTGTAAACTAAATGCACGTGGATTACCTTAGAAAGAATCCATAAATTACTGAAATTAAATACAAGATGCTGGGCTTGTAAATTTTGCAGGTAAGAAACAATTATTTTCATCACATGACTAAAGGGGTCTCTGACATCCTCAGTAAAAAAAAGTTAAGAACAATTGTAACCTAGAGCCTAGTGAACGAGCCACCTTTTCCATGAAGAGGTCCTTGATCTCTTCAGCCCACAGGTAGAAAAGGTTGACAGAACCGCCTTGAGGGCAAAATCAACACCTTTCCTCACAAGATTCCTCCAAGAGATCATAAATGTTTCATGGTCAAGGAGTGTTATTTATATATTCTAGAATTCTCAGTATCTGTAGACAACAGGTACTCATGTTCTTTAACTTGTACTTTATTTTCTTGCAACACTTATCAATGGCTTTGCACCTAGTAGAGGATTTATAAATATCTGTGAATGGATAACGATTCATATTGGAAGATCAAACACAAAAACATTAAGTGAATATCCAAAAAATATCCCATTCTAGTATTTTATGTTTACAGTAACACTCAAAATGGAGGAATTTATTTGTTCCCAAGGTATCTGGAAAAATATTCATCTTATTCTTTTCCAAAATGTAAGTCATTTTTCAATTATAGCAAGATACATGTTGTTGACCAATCTAGTAATTAAGCAGTATTTTAGGATGAAGCAAATTTATGGCAACAAATAATGAAAATGGCAAATCCATTTAAGAGAGTTTATATAATCACCTGCAATAGAAACTGAGTGATTATTAGAAAATATTTCTACATATATATATATATTTATACATGAATATATATGGGGTATGCACACAAACACACACACAAATATATACAGAATATACATACATGTGTATACATACGTAAGGGGTGCACATATATCAAGTTCATCATATACAGAAAAGGTACAACCTACATATCTAGGTATTTAGGTTGGGGTCCATTGGAAAGATACGTAATTCAGGCAGGCCAGTGAGTGGCATCTACTTGTTTTTGGACCTCTAGCCATATAAGTTCTGGGGTCTCTTAACCCTCCTCTCCACCTTCTCTAAGTCATCTCCTGATCCTGTTGCTATGGCAGGTATTTGAGAGCCCATGTGCCCTTGCACTGCTGGTGAGATCACACGCTGCTCCAGGGGTGTGGCAGGGAGATGACAAAAAACATTTAGAAATTCTGTATAATTACTCAATAGGCTAATCTCTACTCTAAACTTCTAGGCCATAGCTTATGTGCCATGTTTTGGCAATCTGTAGCATCCTGCCCCATGGTATTACTAGAACTATTATCTGAGATTGTTATTAAATTAGATATTTATGTATTGTCTTCTCAGCCAGGTTTTAAAATCCTTGGGTGGCGGGCCGTATCTCGCAGGTTTTCCTGGTACCCAGAATGATTAATACAAGGCACAACCCCCATTAGAGTCTAAATAATTTTTAAAACTCAAGACTCATTTTCTAAAAGCATTCCCTATACATTTTGTATTTTAGCCATAGATATGATATTGCATTTTCTTCATAACATATCCAAGTTTAAATCTGTTTTTCTTATTATGCAACCAATATTTACAACTGTAGAACATCTAGAAAACAGAAAACATACAGAAGAAAATGGAACGTACTTGTCAATCTACCACCAAAGAGAATTAGTATTAGTAAATTACTGTTACTGTTATTTCCTTTATTCCTCTGTATTTTTACATGTATAAAACTGGTATCCAACTTTATATTGAGATTTTCATTATGTTTATATACACTGCAATCCAAGCACCTATCCATGTCATGATTCTTCAAAAACATAATTTTTAATGGATGCATAGTTTTTCATCCTATAGTTATTACATAATTCATGTAATCATTGGACTACAATTATGTGTGTAGACCGTTAATGAAGTTTGTCAAATATGCTGTGAGAAACAATTTTGAATATAAAGAATTGCACACATCTCCGGTTATGAAATATATTTCTAGAAGAGGAAATAGTGAGTCTTCTAACGTGTTTTGCCAAAAGTGTCTACCCATTTGCAGTCCTGCCAACAGTGTACAGAAAGCCTGCCTCACTGTATCCGAGCCAGGACTGAGCACCACCATGTTTTCCAATCTTTGACAATTTGCTAACATCATATTCATTTATACATCTGACTCTTGCTCATCTTGTTACCTCTTCCCAGCATGCCCTTTCCCCAGTTCTTATTTGTCCAAAACTACCTTCAAGGCAGATTTCAAATAATCTCCCTCTTTTTGAAGCCTTGCCTCGCTTGGCTGATTTGCTATGTGTTTTCACAGAGATGGGTTCATGTATCTATTACACCACATATTATAGTCTAGCTTATATTATATTTAGTTGGATGAGTTTCTTTTGTATTGTATTATAAATTGCTGAAGGCAGGGATTCACTTTCACCCAACCATCCCTTACTCCCAGAACCTAATAATACAGTGCTGGCAAACGTAATGAACATTTAATACTTTTTTAAAAAGTCAAATAACTTATAGCTTCTAAAAATATTTAATAATTCATTCATTAATCCATTCCAAAATATATTTAGTGTCAAATACTAGTTAAGCAAATGACAAATAAATGATAAGCAAAATTAGAAATGACAACTACCCTCAAGGATACTTCATTTATTGGGTGAGGCAGACAATAAAAATCCAACCACATAAATTGCAATTATAGTGAGAATGAATGATGTCAAGGAAAGGTATGCAATATATAGTTGTGGAAGACTTCTCTGAAGAAGTGACCCAGGAGATAAGGTCTGAGAATGTTGGAGGGGAAAGATTGGGTAGAAGGAACCAAGAGCTAATGCATCCTTTTTCTAATCTGGCCACTGGATCTCGCTTCTCATCCAACCAGATGACCTGCTCAGGGTGACCCCAGTATAATCCCATACATACAAAAATTGGCAAATCCATTCTAACAAGTATCCAAGGACTCTTAAAGAATAGCTTTATTCTGGCTATTCTTTTTAGGATCGAATGTCATCCATAATCATCACACTTCCATGCCCCTCAGAGACATCACATAATGCGCTGAATGACCAGAGTGCATTTGTTCACTGTCCTTTATCAACTAAGAAAAAATGAGCTTCCTACTTCTTTGTCTGGTTGATGGGCTGAGTCTCTGCCCTATTCAGTACGAGCTGCCACATACCAGACACAAATCAATATGCCCTACTCCCCCTCAGTCAAGAGATTCAAGGTATTCCAATAATTAAGCATCAATGTGTGTGCAGAAAAGGCAATATCTCCAATGATTAGTGTTAAATTTAATTAACTACCTCTAAAATAAAATGACACATAAACTTTGTAATTAAGAATAATTCTTAATTAAGAAACATTTGACAGATAGGCAGGAAAAAGAAACAGGATGGAAAACGGCTGATTAAGATGGGGAATTAAGCACCTCATTGAAGATATTAGCATGTCCTGTTTTGTGTTTATTTAATTTTCAGAACATTCAGTGAACTGAAATTCAAAACAGATATATAGGGGGCATTTCAACAGAACACATGTGCACTTTTTCAGTTTAATGTAAAAAGGTACCTTTGTAGCTAAAATGACAGCTGTACTTTTACCCCTTGATCATCCAAGTAAAGAAAAGGAACCAGTTGGGTGGGGAGTTACCTCATCTGTTGACTTTCTAGGGCAAGAGAAAAGCCATGCAGTCCTACAGACTTAATGTGGGCCTGCTTCGTAAGACATACAGCTCTTTTCCTGTCATTGGCATTTGATGAAGTTTCCTTGCTATCTCATGGGCCTGGCATTTGGAGGGGCCAAATTCTATCCGGAGCTATTTTACTTCATTCTGATAAACCAACCATGCAAAGATGGCCTGAGGAATCCTAGAAAATGGAAGATACAGCATAGGAAATAAAGCAGAAAGGTAATCTGCAAACAGGGTCACTTTATACTGGGAATATTTCTTGTGGTTCCGGTCACTTACATCAAGCAACTTCCCCTTCCCTCCCACAACCATTGCTTTCACCGCCATAGAGTAGGAGCCTAAACACAAAGATAACTAAAAGGGGAAGATAAGTGACATAAATAATGAGTTTGGCTGTTATTAAGCAGCTACCTAGTAAGATAAAGTCGAACATGTATAATATATTCACTGAAAAGAGAAGTTATAATCAATATTATTAAGGACAGGATAAATATAAACATGACCAAGGATCAAAAAAATTTTTTTACGACAGGGCTGAAAAAGAATTTCTTCACAGAATCCTGGAATTCTAGACTTTGAAGTGCTCAAAAAATCTATAGAAAGTAGTTTAACAATTAAAAATAATTACCTCTTATCCAAAAATAGCATTAAAAGAAAAATCACTACAATAAGAGTGGTATTAAGTATAGTAAGATCATCATCATCATTATATTGTGGATTGGACTACTAAGAAGAAAATGTACCCCCTTTTTTTCCTACCTTAAATTATTAATAGGAATGCCAGTCTTTAAGAAAACACTTCTGGTAAGCTTTGCTGGGAGGAAAACACATTGGTCCGCAATTCTGAGGTTATTATACACTAAAGGGATTTGGTGACAGCTAATATTCAAGTTTTCTGCTAACAGACTGATTAAATGCTTTACATTTCCGTAGTGTAAAATACACACTCTTGTGTTTATTGCAAATTGTACCGTTTCTCATTTTTTGACTTGTGCATGATAAGATGCATTGCAGGAAACCTGTTATTTTTTTTTTCTAACATTCACTCCTTTTTCTTCCAAGTTTAAGAATCAACTATTTTAAAAGTTCACTTTGACTTCTCATTGACTAGAGTGCCTGCCTGCTGCCACCACCATCTGCTGGGAATTTGAAGTCAACTGTTTAAAATGCTTAAAACAAAAACTCACAATGAACCATGCTGTTTGATAATGTTCAACCTCTCTTTATGAAGACTGTATTACTTTCCAGACATCCTAAAGCTCCTGTTAAGATAAACCAGTCGTAAGTGTGTGCTCTTTCTCTCTACAGATAGATAGATAGATAGATAGATAGATAGATAGATAGATATAGATGGATAGATGGATAGATACATAGATCTCTATATCTATGTATAGATACATAGATCTCTCTCTATATCTATGTATAGATACATAGATCTCACTGCACTCTAACCTGGGTGACAGAGCAAGACTCTGTGCCCCCCACCACAAAAAAAAAAAATCTCAATGGGTTACATCTTCAGCTGTATTCACTGGATGTCTGGTGTTCAGGATCTATATCTATATACATAGATGTATAGATATATAGGTATATAGATCTCTCTATATAGATATATATATACATATATAGAGAGAGATATATCTATATATATACACATCTATCTATCTATCTATCTATCTATCTATCTATCTATCTATCTAAAAGAGTGATCTATCTATCTATCTATAGAGAGAGAGAATAGAATCCAGTGTGCTAATCCCTGAACAGTTATCACATGTTACTGGATTTAAGTTATTTGATGTGCAGAGTATTCCTCGGACAGATACTTACTTAAAAAACCAGAACCCTGCAGGCTCTGAAGATTTCATTTACAGATTGAAAAGTCTATTTAGATGTTCCTAGTCCACACAAACATCTTTCAATTAAGGACAAACACCAAGTACTACTTAAGAATGTCATCCAGTTAGTCTTCGCTGGATGATACATGCTCTCTAATAATTTCCCCTCCACTTTTTCAAAAACTGTGTCTTTTTATATGTTTCTGAAGTTTCCAAAGAACTTGAAAACAGTATAAAGACCATCAGGAAGTTTTCCTTACTGAAACATTTTCTTCCAAATTCTGTAAATTTCAAAAACAACACTGAAAAAATTCCCATGTCGTTTCTTTCCCCTAGAATTGCTATTTTCTACCTGGCCAACTCTTGCTCATCCATTCATCAAGGTGCACTTCAAATGAGGTTTCTCCATGATGCTGTCTCCCATACCTCCAAATTGTATAGGTAGAATTAGTTCATTAATAATCAGTCTTGGCCAGGCACAGTGGCTCACGCCTGTAATCCCAGCAATCTGGGAGGCCGAGGCAGCCGGATCACTTGAGGTCAGGAGTTTGACGCCAGTCTGGCCAACATACAGAAACCCTGTCTCTATTAAAAATACAAAAATTAGTCAGGCCTGGTGGTGCACACCTGTAATTCCAGCTACTCGGGAGGCTGAGGCAGGATAATTGCTTGAACCCAGGAGGCGGAGGTCGCAGTGACCCAAAGGCATGCCACTGCACTCTAACCTGGGTGACAGAGCAAGACTCTGTGCCCCCCACCACAAAAAAAAAACCACTCAGTCGGTTACATCTTCAGCTGTATTCACTGGATGTTTGGTGTTCAGGATCTAAACATAAGTAAAATATTATCATCATGTAGGAGGGAGGGATAAAAGTGGAATAATAATATAAACAGTAATTTGTTCAGGCAGTAATAGTCCAGTGTATTATTTTAAAAGGTGAAAGATTTATACAATCTGAAAAGAAATCAGAGTATCATTATATTATTTTAAAATGGAACTTAGAGTTAAACTTCATGAATTTAA
The DNA here is from genome assembly GCF_000001405.40 of Homo sapiens. Taxonomy (NCBI): domain Eukaryota; kingdom Metazoa; phylum Chordata; class Mammalia; order Primates; family Hominidae; genus Homo; species Homo sapiens. The sequence continues at coordinate 2,675,967 of NC_000003.12, read as the reverse complement.
ATCATGGGTATTTTATCTGAGTTGTTTAACTTTTCTAAGACTCAGTTTTCTTGTTGGTAGAAGGAGGATAATAAATCTAGAACCTAGAACTTTGAGGTTGATATGAGAAACAAATGAGATAACAGACATATTAGGCTTAGCAGTGTCCAGCACAAAGAAAGCATTTCAGACATGGTAACAGTAGGAAGAGCAGCGTGTGTTCGTATTTGAGTTGCTGGTGCTGCTCTCAAGACCTGGGTCCCCTGTTAGATGCTTTCCCTCTGTTATTTTGAGTCATTATTCAGAACAGCTATTTCCTCCCATTCAATGTGTACTTACTAAGCATGTACTATGTGCCAGACCTTTTTCTAAGAGCTGGACACACAGTGGCCCATCAGTCTTTTCCTGGTCTTCGTGGAGCTTTCATTCTTGGGAAGGTGGAAAAAACAGACAATAAATGGAAACATAAATAAACAAGATAATTGTAGATAGTGATAAGCGCTATCAAAATAGGGAAATTGGGTAAGTTTTGGCTGGCTGAGAGGGTGGAACTATTTTAGAAAGTCAAAGACCTTGCTGAGAAAGTGGCATTTAGGTGAGAACTTATATGTGAGACAGAGTCAGGCATGTTAAAGTCTGGGGAAAATAATTCCAGAAAGAGAAAAGAGAGAGAACAAAAGTCCCGGAGCCTGAAAAGGCTTGGCATGTTCTGGGAGTGTGGCTAGAATAGAGATAAGAGAGGAGATGGAAGGAGATAAGGTGAGGAGAGGCAGGAAGGGCCAGATCATGTAGGGAAGACAACTTTTAAAAAATATGGGTGTTTTTCAACCTGAGGAAGCTAACTGAAAAAAAAAAATACATATATATGTGGTAAGACTGTCTCTCCACTGCTGATTGTTTTCTTTGCTGTACAGAAGCCTTTTACTTCACATAATTCCATTTGTCTGTTTTTGCTTTTGTTGCCTGTGCTTTTGAGGTCTTATCCATAAAATATTTGAAAGATAAATACCACGTGTTCTCACTTATATGTGGAAACTAAAGCAATTAATCATATGAAAGTAGAGAGTAGAATAGAGGCTACTAGAGGCTGGGAACTATAGGGGCAGGTGGGGATAGGGAGAGGTTGGTTAACAGATCCAAATTCACAGCTACATAAGACGAATAAGCTCTAGTGCTCTATAGCACAGTTAATGGTTTTTTTTTTTTTTGTTTTTTTGTTTGTTTGTTTTTTGAGACGAAGTCTCATCCTGTCACCCAGACTGGAGTGCTGTGGCCTGATCTCAGCTCAAAGCAACCTCCGCCTCCCGGGTTCAGGTGACTGTCCTGCCTCCACCTCCCCAGTAGCTGGGAATACAGGCATGCACCACCACACCCAGCTAATTCTTGTATTATTTAATAGAGACGAGATTTCACCATGTTGGCTAGGCTGGTCTCGAACTCCTGACCTCAAGTGATCCACCTGCCTCAGCCTCCCAAAGTGCTGGGATTATAGGCATGAGCCAGCATGCCTGGACACAGTTAACAATTTCTTGCATATTTTCAAATAGCTACAAGAGAGAACTTAAAATTTTCCCAACACAAAGAAACAGTAAATGTTTGAGCTGATGGAGATGCTAATTACCCTGATTTGATCATTGTACATTATATATATCAATAGAAATATCACACTGAACCCCATAAATATATGCAATTATGTGTCAATTAAAAAATATAAAAAAAAACGTGATGAGGAATTCAGATTTATGAAATCAGTTTGTGTTTAAAAAGGCTACCTTAAAAAGGCTACTTTTATTATGAGGCATATGGATTGTATGCGGTAAGTACTTCAATTATCTATTGCTTTCACAAACTACTCCAAAACTGAGCGGTTAAAACAATAATGATTTATTATTTCTCATGGTTCTTTCATCTGGGCTCACTTACGTGGCTACATTCAGCTGGAGCATCAGCTGGGCTGGAAGGTCTGAGATGGCCTCACTGAAATGTCTGGCAGTTGGTGCTGGCAGTCTGCTGGGTTGCCTCTGTCCTCTTCCACATGGGCTCTCATCCTCTGGTAGGCAAGACTGGCCTCCTGCCATGGAGGTCTCAAAGCAACATTCCAAGATGACAAAAGTGGAAGCTGCAAGGCCTCTTAAAACTGACCCTCCGGCCGGGCGCAGCGACTCGCACCTGTAATCCCAGCACTTTGGGAGGCTGAGGCAGGCGGATCACGAGGTCGGGAAATCAAGACCATCCTGGCTAACATGGTGAAACCCTGTCTCTACTAAAAATGCAAAAAAAATTAGCCGGGCGTGGTGGTGGGCACCTGTAGTCCCAGCTACTTGGGAGGCTGAGGCAGGAGAATGGCGTGAACCCGTGAGGTGCAGCTTGCAGTGAGCCGAGATCACGCCACTGCACTCCAGCCTGGGCGACAGAATGAGACACCACCTCGAAACAAAACAAAAAACAAAAAACTGAGCCTCAGAAGTATCACTTCTGCCACATTCTACTGATCAAAGCAGGTCACAAGCCCAGCCCAGACTAAGGGGATAGGGAAGTAAGAGTCCACCTATTGATGGGAAGAGCAGGAAAGCCACATTGCAAAGGAGTGTGCATTTCTGTATAGGAGGAATTCAGGGTTATATTTTGCAATCAGTCTCTGCAAGAGCGATCTAGTTGGGCCAGGAGAAGCTGGCTTAGACCCAGATGTAAGGTGATAGCATAAATCGACTGTACATAGCCACCCAAAAGCACTCCCTTTTATACCTATTTTACTGCTTCTGGGATAAAGCTTGGGGAGATGAAATGATTTCTCATTGTTTTCCAGTTATTAAGGCCAGGCATTTAAACCCAAATAGTTTGACCATAGATTGCGTATTTTCCATCTAAGAATTCTACCACTGCCCTGTATATTGTATTGACCGGAGAGAAAAACAAATCTTTGCAAAATAACATACTTGCCATTAGACAAGTACAAAAATATTTTGGAAACCGGTAAGTAGTACTGTCATTGTACTTTGAATATCTATTATTGTAGTTATCAAATTGCAATGCAATTATCTATTTACGTGATTCTCTAGCCCACTCGAATGTAAGCTCCTACTGGGCAAGGACAGATTCTTAATCCCCAGGGCCTTAAACCAGTAGCTGGATGGTTCATAGAAAATTTCTTATAACTATTACTAAACTAGTTAATGAATTTCAATGTTAAAAAACCAATTAAGGGTCCTGTCTGCCTTGAGCAATGGAAAGTTGCATATTTAAAACATTTTATAGATGGCCGAATAGGAACAGCTCCAGTCTACAGCTCCCAGTGTGAGCAACACAGAAGACGAATGATTTCTGCATTTCCAACTGAGGTACCAGGTACATCTCACTGGGGATTGTCAGACAGTACGTGCAGCGCACCAAGTGTGAGCCGAAGCAGGGCGACGCATTGCCTCACCCGGGAAGTGCAAGGGGTCAGGGAATTCCCTTTCCTAGCCAAGGAAAGGGGTGACAGACGGCACCTGGAAAATCGGGTCACTCCCACCCTAATACTGCACTTTTCTGACGGTCTTAGAAAACAGCAAACCAGGAGATTATATCCCGCGCATGGCTCGGAGGGTCCTACATCCATGGAGCCTCCCTTATTGCTAGCACGGCAGTCTGAGATCAAACTGCAAGGCAGCAGCGAGGCTGGGGGAGGGGCGCCCACCATTGCTGAGGCTTGAGTAGGTAAACAAATTGGCCTGGAAGCTCGAACTGGGTGGAGCCCACCACAGCTCAAGGAGGCCTACCTGCCTCTGTAGACTCCACCACTGGGGGCAGGGCATAGCCAAACAAAAGGCAGCAGAAACCTCTTCAGACTTAAATGTCCCTGTCTGACAGCTTGGAAGACAGTGGTGGTTCTCCCAGCACGCAGCTTGAGATCTGAGAACAGACAGACTGCCTCCTCAAGTGGGTCCCTGACCCCTGAGTAGCCTAACTGGGAGGCACCCCCCAGTAGGGGCAGACTGACACCTCACATGGCCGGTGCTCCTCTGAGACAAAACTTCCAAAGGAAGGATCAGGCAGCAACATTTGCTGTTCAGCAATATTTGCTGTTCAGCAATATTTGCTGTTTTGCAGCCTCCGCTGCTGATACCCAGGCAAACAGGGTCTGGAGTGGACCTCCGGCAAACTCCAACAGACCTGCAGCTGAGGGTCCTTGCTGTTAGGAGGAAAACTAACAAACAGAAAGGACATCCACACCAAAACCCCATCTGTATGTCGTATGTCACCATCATCAAAGACCAAAGGTAGACCTTTCCCCACAAAGATGGGGAAAAAACAGAGCAGAAAAACTGAAAATTCTAAAAATCAGCGCGCCTCTCCTCCTCCAAAGGAACGCAGCTCCTCACCAGCAACAGAACAAAGCAGATGGAAAATGACTTTGATGAGTTGAGAGAAGAAGGCTTCAGATGATCAAACTTCTTCAAGCTAAAGGAGGAAGTTTGAAACCATGGCAAAGAAGTTAAAAACCTTGAAAAAAGATTACATGAATGGCTAACTAGAATAACCAATGAAGGGAAGTCCTTAAAGGACCTGATGGAGCTGAAAACCATGGCACGAGAACTATGTGACGAACGCACAAGCTTCAGTAGCCGATTCGATCAACTGGAAGAAAGGGTATCAGTGATGGAAGATCAAATGAGTGAAATGAAGTGAGAAGAGAAGTTTAGAGAAAAAAGAATAAAATGAAATGAACAAAGCCTCCAAGAAAAATGGGACTATGTGAAAAGACCAAATCTACGTCTGTTTGGTGTACCTGAAAGTGACGGGGAGAATGGAACCAAGTTGGAAAACACTCTGCAGGATATTATCCAGAACTTCCCCAATCTAGCAAGGCAGGCCAACATTCAAATTCAGGAAATACAGAGAACGCCACAAAGATACTCCTCGAGAAGAGCAACTCCAAGACACATAATTGTCAGATTCACCAAAGTTGAAATGAAGGAAAAAATGTTAAGGGCAGACAGAGAGAAAGGTCGGGTTACCCACAAAGGGAAGCCCATCAGACTAACAGCTGATCTCTCCGCAGAAACTACAAGCCAGAAGAGAGTGGGGGGCCAATATTCAACATTCTTAAAGAAAAGAATTTTCAAACCAGAATTTCATATCCAGCCAAACTAAGCTTCATAAGTGAAGGAGAAATAAAATCCTTTACAGACAAGCAAATGCTGAGAGATTTTGTCACCACCAGGCCTGTCCTAAAAGAGCTCCTGAAGGAAGCACTAAACATGGAAAGGAACAACCGGTACCAGCCACTGCAAAAACATGCCAAATTGTAAAGACCATCGAGGCTAGGAAGAAACTGCATCAACTACTGAGCAAACTAACCAGCTAACATCATAATGACAGGATCAAATTCGCACATAACAATATTAACCTTAGATGTACATGGGCTAAATGCTCCAATTAAAAGACACAGACTGGCAAATTGGATAAAGAGTCAAGATCCATCAGTGTGCTATATTTAGGAAACCCATCCCACGTGCAGAGACACACATAGGCTCAAAGTAAAGGGATGGAGGAAGATCTACCAAGCAAATGGAAAACAAAAAAAAGGCAGGGGTTGCAATCCTAGTCTCTGATAAAACAGACTTTAAACCAACAAAGATCAAAAGAGACAAAGAAGGCCATTACATAATGGTAAAGGGATCAATTCAACAAGAAGAGCTAACTATCCTAAATATATATGTACCCAATACAGGAGCACCCAGATTCATAAAGCAAGTCCTTAGAGACCTACAAAGGGACTTAGACTCCCACACAATAATAATGGGAGATTTCAACACCCCACTGTCAACATTAGACAGATCAATGAGACAGAAAGTTAACAAGGATATCCAGGAATTGAACTCAGCTCTGCACCAAGCAGACCTAATAGACATCTACAGAACTCTCCCCGCAAATCAACAGAATATACATTCTTCTCAGCACCACATCACACTTATTCCAAAATTGACCACATAGGTGGAAGTAAAGCACTCCTCAGCAAATGTAAAAGAACAGAAATTATAACAAATTGTCTGTCAGACCACAGTGCAATCAAACTAGAACTCAGGATTGAGAAACTCACTCAAAACTGCTCAACTACATGGAAACTGAACAACCTGCTCCTGAATGACTACTGGGTACATAACGAAATGAAGGCAGAAATAAAGATGTTCTTGGAAACCAAGGAGAACAAAGACACAACATACCAGAATCTCTGGGACACATTTAAAGGAGTGTGTAGAGGGAAATTTATAGCACTAAATGCCCACAAGAGAAAGCAGGAAAGATCCAAAATTGACACCCTAACATCACAATTAAAAGAACTGGAGAAGCAAGAGCAAACACATTCAAAACCTAGCAGAAGGCAAGAAATAACTAAGATCAGAGCAGAACTGAAGGAGATAGAGACACAAAAAACCGTTCAAAAAAATCAATGAATCCAGGAGGTGGTTTTTTGAAAAGATCAACAAAATTGATAGACTGCTAGCAAGACTAATAAAGAAGAAAAGAGAGAAGAATCAAATAGATGCAATAAAAAATGACAAAGGGGATATCACCACTGATCCCACAGAAATACAAACTACCATCAGAGAATACTATAAACACCTCTATGCAAATGCACTAGAAAATCTAGAAGAAATGGATAAATTCCTCGACACATACACCCTCCCAAGACTAAACCAGGAAGAAGTTGAATCTCTGAATAGACCAATAACAGGCTCTGAAATTGAGGCAATAATTAATAGCTTACCAACCAAAGAAAGTCCAGGACCAGATGGATTCACAGCCGAATTCTACCAGAGGTACAAGGAGGAGCTGGTACCATTCCTTCTGAAACTATTCCAATCAATAGAAAAAGAGGGAATCCTCCCTAACTCGTTTTATGAGGCCAGCATCATCCTGATACCAAAGCCTGGCAGAGACACAACAAAAAAAGAGAATTTTAGACCAATATACCTGATGAACATCGATGCAAAAATCCTCAATAAAATACTGGCAAACCGAATCCAGCAGCACATCAAAAAGCTTATCCACCATGATCAAGTGGGCTTCATCCCTATGATGCAAGGCTGGTTCAACATATGCAAATCAATAAACGTAATCCAGCATATAAACAGAACCAACGACAAAAACCACGTTTATCTCAACAGATGCAGAAAAGGCCTGTGACAAAATTCAACAGCCCTTCATGCTAAAAACTCTCAATAAATTAGGTATTGATGGGATGTATCTCAAAATAATAAGAACTATCTATGACAAACCCACAGCCAATATCATACTGAATGGGCAAAAACTGGAAGCATTCCCTTTGAAAACTGGCACAAGACAGGGATGCCCTCTCTCACCACTCCTATTCAACATAGTGTTGGAAGTTCTGGCCAAGGCAATCAGGCAGGAGAAGGAAATAAAGGGTATTCAATTAGGAAAAGAGGAAGTCAAATTGTCCCTGTTTGCAGATGACCTGATTGTATATCTAGAAAACCCCATTGTCTCAGCCCAAAATCTCCTTAAGTTGATAAGCAACTTCAGTAAAGTCTCAGGATACAAAATCAATGTGCAAAAATCACAAGCATTCTTATATACCAATAACAGACAAACAGAGAGCCAAATCATGAGTGAACTCCCATTCACAATTGCTTCAAAGAGAATAAAATAGCTAGGAATCCAACTTACAAAGGATGTGAAGGACCTCTTCCAGGAGAACTACAAACCACTGCTCAAGGAAATAAAAGAGGACACAAACAAATGGAAGAACATTCCATGCTCCAGGGTAGGAAGAATCAATATTGTGAAAATGGTCATACTGCCCAAGGTAATTTATAGATTCCATGCCATCCCCATCAAGCTACCAATGACTTTCTTCACAGAATTGGAAAAAACTACTTTAAAGTTCATATGGAACCAAAAAAGAGCCCGCATCGCCAAGACAATCCTGAGTCAAAAGAACAAAGCTGGAGGCATCATGTTACCTGACTTCAAACTATACTACAAGGCTACAGTAACCAAAACAGCATGGTACTGGTACCAAAACAGACATATAGACCAATGGAACAGAACAGAGCCCTCAGAAATAATGCCACATATCTATAACTATCTGATCTTTGACAAACCTGATAAAAACAAGAAATGGGCAAAGGATTCCCTGTTTAATAAATGGTGCTAGGAAAAATGGCCAGCCATATGTAGAAAGCTGAAACTGGATCCCTTCCTTACACCTTATACAAAAATCAATTCAAGATGGATTAAAGATTTAAACGTTAAACCTAAAACCATAAAAACCCTAGAAGAAAACCTAGGCATTACCATTCAGGACATAGGCGTGGGCAAGGACTTCATGTCTAAAACACCAAAAGCAATGGCAACAAAAGCCAAAATTGACAAATGGGATCTAATTAAACTAAAGAGCTTCTGCACAGCAAAAGAAACTACCATCACAGTGAATAGGGAACCTACAGAATGGGAGAAAATTTTTGTAATCTACTCATCTGACAAAGGGCTAATATCCAGAATCTACAAGGAACTCAAACAAATTTGCAAGAAAAAGTCAAACAACCCCATTAACAAGTGGGCAAAGGATATGAACAGACAGTTCTCAAAAGAAGACATTTATGCAGCCAAAAGACACATGAAAAAATGCTCATTATCACTGGCCATCAGAGAAATGCAAATCAAAACCACAATGAGATACCATCTCACACCAGTTAGAATGGCAATCATTAAAAAGTCAGGAAACAGCAGGTGCTGGAGAGGATGTGGAGAAATAGGAACACTTTTACACTGTTAGTGGGACTGTAAACTAGTTCAACCATTGTGGAAGTTAGTGTGGCGATTCCTCAGGGATCTAGAACTAGAAATACCATTTGACCCAGCCATCCCATTACTAGGTATATACCCCAAGGATTATAAACCATGCTGCTATAAAGACACATGCACACATATGTTTATTGAGACATGATTCACAATAGCAAAGACTTGGAACCAACCCAAATGTCCATCAATGATAGAGTGGATTAAGAAAATGTGGCACATATACACCATGGAATACTACGCAGCCATGAAAAAGGATGAGTTCATGTCCTTTGTAGGGACATGGATGAAGCTGGAAACCATCATTCTCAGCACACTATCACAAAGACAAAAAACCAAACACCGTGTGTTCGCACTCATAGGTGGGAATTGAACAATAACACATGGACACAGGAAAGGGAACATCACACACTGGGGCCTGTTGTGGGGTGGGGGGAGGGGGGAGGGATAGCATTAGGAGATATACCTAATGTAAAGGAGGAATTAATGGGTGCAGCACACCAACATGGCACATGTATACATATGTAAAAAACCTGCACGTTGTGCACATGTACCCTAGAACTTAAAGTATAATAAAAAATAAAAATAAAAAAAGAACATTTTATTCCTTATGATAAAATTACATCAAGGAATTGTTTTGGAAGAAAAAGCTAACATAGATAAAATAAATCAGTAATGTCTTACTTTGGAAAAATCAACAGTGATCATAAAAGAGCCACTTATTGCACTATGATCTAGAAAGGAAAATGTTTTTTCCCTGAAACAGTTTTTTTCAATGTCTATTTTCTTAATACCAGTTCAAAATCAGATCTTACTTATAATGACCTATTTGAAGAATCATAAACCATGACTATGAAGACTTAAGCTATTCTACAAAAACAAGACTCTGGAAGCAAATTAAACCCCCCAAGGACATGAAACCCGTTATTCTAATACCCAAAATAGCTGGCAAACTGAATTAAGAAATCTAAAAGGAAGCATATTTATTGGCTTGGATAACAAGATGATTCATTGTTATGTCTCTTCTAGGAAAAGTCATAAAATAAAGTCAAATGAATTTGTTCTATTGCTAGCTTGGGTGTGATACCAGTGCAGGTGAACCTGCATGCTGCGTAGACAACTTAGGGAGTCTGAATTTTTTAAGGGTCAGATATCTTCGCCCATTCATAATTACAAGCTGTATTCTAACTTCAAAATGTGTCTATCTAAATCGATAATATCCTTTACCAAGAGATAAAATCTTTGACTAATCAAGGCAATGCCACAACTAACCTTCGAAAAAAGGCAGATGAAAGCATCCGTTCCACTGATACCACACGCCACGTTGGTAAGCACAGGGAAGTGTTAAAATTTTAGGATGTGGATACCCCATATTTTTTCTCATATATCAAGTATCCAGCTAAAGGAAAATGTGTGAAATTATTCCATTTTGCCCCACTGTGATTGATTGAGAGGGTAACCTAAGTCTCCTTATCTACCCTTATATTCTCTCCTGAGAGGGCCAAGAGTGGTCCCCTAATTAGGGTGAGGCTCATCCCATAGGGAATTTGCTATCACAAACAAAAACAGATGTCCAATTTTTTCACCCAGGTTTCTCCCAAGTGACCAGGAAATAAAAATGACCAGTTCACAAAGAGGCTCAACTTGCTGCAGAGATGTCAATCTCAATTTCTCTATGTCAATCTCCAGAGATACTAATTCTGAGTTCTTTTTGTAGCTTTATTGCTATAGGTGATCAAGTTGAAAATTTATAAAGGGTTGTTTATCATTTCATTCCCTATTCTGATTTGTGTTTGAAAATGAATTTAAATGTTCAAAATGCATCCCACAGAAAAAGCACTGTTTCCTAAACTAGTAAAGCTCATGAAAATATCCTGAAAAGATCAACTAACAGCTTCAAACTCCACTAACGTGCTAATAAAAAAGTACAAATTCTGTATAGCCTGGTTAAGAAAAGGCAACTCACAAGAATGATGCAAGACCATCTGAATTAGTATTTGCAACATTAACAAATCAGGTTCTTCTTTTGACATATAAAGGTCTTTAAGGAGGGTGTCCTACATCATCAGTCCCTTGAGGAACTGTGGATAACGACAAAATAATTATATCCCTAGAGATGAAATACAACTAGGTGTCCCGGAGAGAGCCCTTGTTTTGATGTTAGAGTGAAGAATGGTTGTTATTGGTATTTCAGAGGAAAACCTCCCCAGAAGCAGTCTGCAATAAGAACTGACATACAGATTAAAAAGACAATTAAATATTAATGAAGCCAAACCCACTTACAAATCAAATGTCGTGGAAAGGAGACATCTTTCTTCCAAAGAAAGTTGGTTTCACTCATCGCATTCTATTACTTTAAAGCAAGAAATCTGTTTGTGTCATCGCATACTAAGCATCACGCTTTGAATAACACGAACCTGACCTTTGCAAAGCAAGCTGGTTACTAAATAATGTATAACGGTGATATTTCTGCAGTTCCAAGAAAACCTGGAGAATACCTCAGATGTGAATTTAAATGTAAAATGACAAATGCTTTCCTCTGATAAGATGTGGCTGGGCTCACTTTGGGTCCCAGGCATGGCTGAAAGTCTAGATATTGACTATATAACCCTGGATAATGGGAGGTTACATGTTTATAGCTAAGTGTATTATCTTCAAGATAATTTTGATATTGAAAGAAATTTACTATATAAAACTTCTCCAACTTACTTATCATAAAATTCAATGCTAATTTACAGAAAATCTAGACTTACTTAAGGAAAAAAAATATAGGTGATGATCTAAATGCCTTAAGAATGTGACCATCTGCAAATAAAGTAGAAGTGTTTCCCACAGAAAAATGCAAATGCAATTCTGGACCAAAAAAGAAAATCACAGGATTGGTTTAGAAGCCATTGAATTTTGCCTCCAGAAGCTGGCTTAGAAGACGTATGTATTTCTATTACCCCAAACTTCACTGGTTCTACTTTCCTTTTTTGGTTTTCTTAACTGATAGCTTTGAGATATAGTTCATACACCATGCAATTTACCTATTTAAAAAGTCTATAATTCAATAGTTTTAAGTACATTCACAAAGTTGTATAGCCATCATCACAATCAAATTTACAATATTTTCCTAATTCCTGCAAAAAACCTGTGCTCATTAGCATTTGTTCCCTTTTCCCCACTACCCAACCACCCCCACCTACCTCTCAATGCCCCAGAAAACAACTAGTCTTTCTATCTCAATAGATTTGCATATTCTGAACATTTCATACAAATAGAATCAGACAATATGTGGTCTTTTTGGACAGGACTCTTTTACTTAGTATGTTTTCAAGGTTCATCTTTGTTGTAATATGTATGCATCAGTACTTTATTCCCTATTATTGCTGAATAGTATTGTTTTACAGACATATCACATTGTATGCATGCATTCACCAGCTGATGGACATGTGGGTTGTTTCCTACCTTGTTTTAAAAAATTCTTTCTTCCCTTGGTTCTCTTTATCATTTTAGATTCTTCATGGACAAATTCTTCTTTGAGCCCTTTAAATTCTGGTGTGTGGTTTTGTTCTAAGCTCTCTGCATGCCTCGATTTTCTTTCTCCTTTAGACTGCATTCATTCCACATGCTTCAAGGAAACCTACATGCTGACCACCCTCAAGTTTCAACCTCCTTCCTATACTTCAGACCCTTATGAGTTCCTCCCACTTACCAAATTCCTTTCCCAATGTCTCTTGTTTTTAATAAATCAGAACAATATCTAACTAGCCAGACATGCCCAGGAAATATTCTTGACTGTACCTTCTCTCTTCCTCACTTTTTACATTCACTGGGTCCCCAAGTCATGTATATTTTACCTACAGTACTTCTTGAATCCATCCCTATTCTATGCCATCAATTACTTGTTAGCTCATTATCTATTCCTATTATATACCATTAATCTCTTAACTCACTTTTTTGATTCTAGTTCAATGATTTTTAGATTCTTTAATAAATCGCCATCATTGAAAAAGTAAAATACAAGCTCCTTAACATAGTACAAAAAGCTCACATGATCTTGTGTCTTTATTTCCCTTTTCTTTTTTTTTTCTTCTGAGACAGAGTCTCACTCTGTTGCCCAGGATGGAGTGCAGTGGCGTGATCTCGGCTCACTGCAACTTCTGCCTCTTGGGTTCAAGCGATTCTCCTGCCTCAGCCTCCTGAGCAGCTGGGATTACAGGCACACACCATCACACCCAGCTAATTTTTGTATACTAAAATACAAATGTGAAGATGGGGCTTCACCATGTTGGCCAGGCTGGTCTCGAACTCCTGATCTCAAGTGATCCACCCACCTCAGCCTCCCAAAGCGCTGGGATTACAGGCATGAGCCACTGTTCCCAGCCATCCTGTCTCCTACACTCTTCCGCAGGTGGTCTCTACTCTTGCCATATCATACTTTTCGTAGGGTGTCAATAGTGCCATGATTGCCCTTCCTTTATGTCAACAGATAGTTGATTACTTCTGCCTGGAAGGTCCCTATACCTTCTGTTGCCTAAGTTCATATTGCCCATTGAGGTTGAGACTAGTTAGCTGCTTACCAAACCCTTTCCCCATCCTTGCAGGACCCAGAAGTAGCCCACATTTCCTAGCCTCTCTCGCAGTTAGTTGTAGTTATATGAATGAACCATTGGACCACAGGTGAAAGAAATGTATCCTCTCAGGCCTAGATCATAAAAGCATCTTGCACAGTGTTCCTTTTAACTTTTCTCTTTTCCTGTTTAGCAGCTGGATGTTGATGTCCAAAGACATCTGGAAAGTCACACACTGAAGATTAATCTGCATCCCTGAATGACTGTATGAACCATAGTTGTTGCTGCCACTCTCCTCCATTGAATCTTATATGAGTGAGATCTAAATTTCTAGTAAATTAAGCCTCTGAATTTAGGGATAATATAATATAGCAGTCAGTACTACTCTTCAACAGCAAGGTGATGGGAAATATCTTAATTTCTAGCTCCACATCCCCTATTTTTGTGCATGACACTAATTACTAAACTGTATTATAACTGTGATTTACAAGCTTATCTCTTTCTGTAGCTTGTGAGCTCTATGAATTCTGGAACTGGGTCTTTGATCTCTATAACCCAGCATCAGCTATAATATCAGCACTTGATAAGTGTTTTTTGAATGAAATTTCCTCTCACACATCTTTCTTGATATCTGCTCTGCAGGAAGGTTAACATGAATTTTTTAACAAAAGGTGGCAGGGGGTTGGGTTCTGTGTTTGTCTGAATTTGGGAAATGCTGACTTAAAAAACATTTATTACGGGTATTCTTAAAATTTCTATATGATAATGAACATCATCAGGATGATGCAGGATTTTTTTTTTTTTTTTTTTTTTTTGAGATGGAATTTTGCTCTTGTTGCCCAGGCTGCAGTGCAATGGCGTCTCGGTTCACCGCAACCTCTGCCTCCTGGGTTGAAGCGATTCTCCTGCCTCAGCCTCCTGAGCAGCTGGGATTACAAGCACCCGCCACTACGCCTGGTTAATTTTGTACTTTCAGTAGAGACAGGGTTTCTCCATGTTGGTCAGGCTGGTCTTGAATTCCCGATCTCAGGTGATCCGCCCACCTCGGCCTTCCAAAGTGCTGGGATTACAGGCACGAGCCACCACGCCTGGCCAGGATTTTTTTTTTTTAAACAAAAATTATTTGATCACAGCTTTTTTGCTTCTTTCTTATACAGCATCCTGAGAAGGGAGTGATCCATCGAGCATGTTTTGGAAAAAGCTGATCTTGACTAATATAAACATTGCAAAATCTTGTATAGAAAGTCAGAAATGTTTTATTTCAGTCCTAGATACATAAATCACAGGGTCAACTTAAGTATTCAGAGGTTGATGACTTTCTGGAATACTCATGCTAGAGGCACTCCTCCTTGGGGCTGCCTGGCTTTGGGATATTTCCCTGCCATGAATACACTTTCAAAACAACAACTGGAGACATAAGAAAAAGCTAAATCATGCTTAGTGTATTTCCTTTGTCATCTTAGTCTGGCTAAGAATTAGTTGGAAGATGGTAGCTATTGGCTCAGCTGAAGAAAAACTGTTTGGTAGTAGTAGGATATAGAGGATACTTATTTCACTGTCCCTTTACCTCCGCTCCTTAACTATAATACCAAAAAATCATGGGAAGAGCTTGAAACAGTGCTTGGCAAAGGTCAGTGTTCAATAAATATTGTTGATTTTAATTATTACCAGAATTAGAGGGGTGCCTAGTTGTGATGACCTTTAGTAAATCATTTTGCCATTCTGGGCTTGAGTTCCTTTTGTCTTTCAAAAGCATAAAGGTGGGATTAAATTGCCTCTGATTCTTTGTCCTGCTCTGACGTGCTGGGCATCAGTTGTGTTTAACTTCAATCTTATATCTGTCATTCTGGCCTTCGGAAAAAAGCATTCCTGTGTGTTCCCGTTTTGAGGATGCAAAGAGTAGGTAACCAAAGTCTAGATTATCACCTCTGGTGGAGACAAATAGAGGCAGGTATAATCCCCAAAAGAAGATAATTCAATGTTATTTCCATTTGACCTTGGAATTTCAAATGACTCTGGTGCTTTAAATTCTCTTTTTTAATTTGCTCCATACCACAGTTTTAATTGCCTGGACATATGCCAATTAATGGCAGGGTTAAGACAGGCCTGAAGCAGACAAAACCCAGAACTTGTCTAACAGACAATATTGCTCTGGATTCAAAAAAGCAGAGAAAATTTATTCAAAGTGAAGCGTCCTAGATATCTAAGGTGAACACACGCTGTTTATTTTGCGTAGTTTGCTGCTTTATCTCCTCACACATGAAATACTTGGTTGATATAACAGTGCCAGTGAATCCACCTCCCCCAATATTAGGACGTCTTTCTTAAATAAGTCCTTGCAGACTCATAACTCTATTTCTTTTTTTAAAAAATGTTTTGAGTATACTATTAGAGTTTTTTTTTTAATCATTTATAAACCATCTCTTAGACCTTGAGAAATCAGTGCGTGCTGTGGCTTTACAGTTTTCAGGATGTTGGATGCTTTCAAATGAACTGAGGTCACTCCTCACATAGATTATTCACAGTCAGAGTAGCTTGGGAAGAAATGTAAATTTCTGTGGCTGGGAGGAAATAGAGATTTGCCAAAGCCCAGTGACTGTGCATCAGATCGTCATGCTATTTTAAAAGCCAATAAAAGACAAACAGAAATAGGATTTCATGTACAAGGTATAGTGAGAAAATGAAGCTGTTCACACAATCCCTGACCAGGTTTCCAGTTCGATGTATCTGAACAGGAGCAATGTTTTAAGAAATTTACATGTTATTGGGTTTAAAATGTCTCTCAAAACTATTGTGTACATTTAGGATGAGTTCAAACATCACCACATCAAAAGAAAACAATCAAACAAATATTTGTCCATATCAAATATACCAGATATTATGACAAATTGTAAAGCATAACAAATGAAAAGATGTGGCTCTGGGCTCAGGTGACCATCTGGTATGTAGAAAGCCAAGTCAAATAAGTGAAAAGGGAAATAATAAAATTAAGGACCAACTTGAACATTAGTGTAAAAGTCGTTAGAATTCACTGATCTTTATAGGACATAAGAGAACAAAAACCTCACTGCAGACTAGGGTAATACCTATAAGATAATACACATTTGCCCTCTCTTCCTTCTTTTTCTTCTTCTTCTTCTTCTTTTTTTTTTTTTTTTTTTTTTGAGATGGAGTCTCCTCTGTCACCCAGGGTGAAGTGCAGTGATGTGATCTCGGCTCACCGCAACCTCCACCTCCTGGGTTCAAGTGATTCTCCTGCCTCAGCCTCCCGAGTAGCTGGGAATACAGACATGTACCATTACACCTGGCTAATTTTTGTATTTTTAGTAGAGACGGGGTTTTACCATGTTGGCCAGGCTGGTCTCCAACTCTGACCTCAAGTGATCTGCTCGCCTTGGCCTCCTAAGATTGCTGGGATTACAGGTCTGAGCCACCACCTGGCCTGCTCCTATTTTTAAGAAGGTTCTTACTGAATTTTACTCTTCAATAAAGAGTATCAATTCTGTCTCTAATGAGACAAAGTATGTGATTTTTTTGAACAGAGCATTCTTTCTGATCTCACTGTATTTTTAAACCAAATACAATTCATGAGACCTGAAATATTAGGTTAGTTCTGTGTGTGTGTGTGTGTGTGTGTGTGTGTGTGTGTGTGTGTGTGTCTGTTTGTGTGTGTGGGTGTGTTATTTGCATGTCCACATAAAAAAATGCAAGTAGGTATTTATTCTTATGGATTCATGATTTGCAGCTTATCCCTTTCTGGACCTAGAACCTTGAACATGCTCTATTGGAGATAGAGTGAGCTTCATTATAAAAAAAGGCTTGAAACTAAGACCCAGTAAATCAGGCCTGGGCAAGTCACTCCACCTCTCTAAGTCTCACTTACTTCAGATAAAATGTGAATACTACTACTCACTTCCCAGATTATGAGCTAATATTAAACAAAATAGACATTCTGCTGCAAATGTCCAAAAGGAATAAAGGATGGTACAAATGCTCATGGTTTGGGTATTTAAGGAAATGGGAAGGATGATTCTTCACAAATATGAAGTGAGATCCTAAGGTAACAACACAACATAGATGGAACAGACTTTAAATTTATTTGTGTGAATTTCAGTAAATCGTATTACCTCTGTGTGCTTTACTTTTCCGTCTTTGACAAATGAGAGTGTCCATGGTACCTGCCTTCATAGTCATGTGATGTAAGTATTGCAGGACTTTTCCTTAGCTCAGCTAATGATGGGGTCCTTGTCTGTCCCATGGCCATGAAAATTTAGGCTCACAGACGGTTTGAAGTGTGAGTAAGACAGGGTTTTATTGGGTGAAAGGAAGAAAAAAGGAAAACAGGGACTCTTGCTGGGCCAGAGTCCCTGACAGAGCACTTCCCACCCTGCCGAATCCCAGGTTCCACACAGGAAGAGGAGCAGCCAGGCTCCTCCCCGCTGCAAAAGGTGCGAACTTCCTGTGGGTCCACCCCAGGGCACAGGCTGGCTGGAGTTTTGCCAGGTACCCCCTCCGACCTGGCTGTCTCATAAGCACAGCATTAAATGAAATAACACATCTAGTTCACTTCGCACAGTATCTAGTATGTCATTCATAAAACATAGCTATTTACTATTATAATCCTTTCCTCTGTATGGGCAACTCATCCTCATGGCTTCAGTTACCACCTGATACATTCTATTCAGGTGTCAGAACAAGCCGGAATAATTTGTCAGTGTTATCTGTCAATGATATGGAAGGTACAGTGTGGCTGATGATTTTGAGGGTTTTATTTCATATGCCCCCACTGAAATTAAGAAAGTCACTGGTCAAAAAGAGGTTAAGAAATCTTTCTTATAAACATATATATTTTTTCTCTAGAACGATTTGCATTAGAAAACAGTAACTGCAATATGCCATTTTGAATATCTATCTCTACCCAAACCACAGAGCCATAAACATACACATCCGATGCATGACTCACCCATCTGAGAAACTGCGCATACGCACCCCATGCTAGCTAAATACGTAGGTTTACAGAATGCATATTTAGAAAAAACTAATTTACTTCCTGTGCTCCCTGTAGTCCCATCTTGTTTTCATGCAGCTGATCCAACTTTCAATTCACAAACGCAAAACCTCCTTAGAACCAAAATAAATACTAATCTTAAATTCAATGTACCCTGACAGCAAATAAGTTTGCTGTGCTTACTTCAGCATGAATAAAAAGCCCACAAGGAGACTCCTACATAAGAGTATATTTACAAGTTCCATTACCCACTGGAGAGATTGATGTAATAAACCTATAATAAAAAGCCTCATGTTACAGATTTCTCTAATGTTTCTTATCAAACAGTCTGTATTATCTTGGCTTGTGTATTCAATGTAAAATAGGTTTCCAATAAGTGCCTCGAAGCTAGAGGTCATTTTTATTTAGTTTTCTGACATGTAGGAATGTTTACAAAGACACTTTCTACCCTTAGAATTGGAAAAATATGCTTGTCCGGTCAAGTACTTCATGACATTAACCTACGTATTTATTTTGAGTTTTTAACAGTTTTCCAAGCTGTAACAGTTGGCTGTCCCATTGCATAATTTATTTTTATTGCCAAGTAGGAGTGGGTGAACTGTTCCAGATCACATCAAAACACCACTGTAATCTTAAACTATTTTTCATTATGTATAGGTTTTTCAGAGAGCTTACTCATTTGAGTTTGAAAATATCTGACCAGAACTCCCAATGAGCTATTCTCCTGAACTCTGAGGCAAACCACTTAGATGAAACTGGCAGTCCTTCCACCACAGGAAAAGGAAGACAGCTGATAAGGTACGAATAGAATACTTGAACAGATACCGACATTGGGGTCTAAAGACCACCTCCAAGTTCCAGTTGCTGCTGACTCATACACATCTGAAGAAAGATTTTTGTACATAAGCTAGTACTGCATACACATTCAGAAAATTAATTAGCTTAGACCTCCCTTTTGAGACTTGACCTCTCAATAATTTATTGTCACATTATAATTGTCACAATGTATTCATTCATTAATTCACTCACCAAATGTTAAGTTAGTCCGCATTATGCTCCAGGGACTGTACTAGAGCTTGGGATTCAAACAGAGAACAGACATAGTTGCTGTCTTCATGGAATTTACAATGTACTGGGAGAAAACAGACATCAATCAGTCATAAAAACAAATCTTTGATTACAGTTGGTGAAACATGCTCTAAAGAGAACCAGATAGGGGATCTGATGATACTTCTGGGCAATTTAATCTGGGATTATAAACATAACTGCTTTTTGCATGGGCAGAAGTAGTTATAATCCTTAGACTACATTTTTACCTTCTTATCCATTTGAATTTACTCTGAATTTCTTGGACTTTGAGTAAATTTTTCTCTCTTGGAAATATTATATGTACCTTCATTTACTATCATGCAGCGAAATGAGATTACATCTGTCCTTCCTTCCTGATAACTTTGACTTATAATTATTCTCTTTTAATTGTTTTAAAAATTCCCTAGGATGCATGGTGCTACTCTTCAACATTCTCGCCAAATACGGTTACAATTCTAATGCCTCGAGGACAATAAAACATTCTTATCTTTTCCATTCCAGAAAGTCCATTTTATTTTTGAGATATCTCTAATTATCAGAAAGCAAATCCGAAATCCAAGGTAGAAAGTATCTTTAGTTTTCACCATTTTTTCAAGTTCTATTGCAAACAAATCAGCTTCCTCCTCCATGTGATGGGCATTCAGATATTTGCAAGTTAAAAACCCAGTGGGATTATCCTGAAAGAAAGTCAAAACAGTCTTGGTAATCCCGCAGTGATTTCCATGTTTGTTTCATTAGCATCTTCTGGCAAAGAGGCACTAGGCTACTACTAGATGTCAAAATATTCATGTTCCGTCATTTCAAATAGCTCTGGCAATGTGCAATGCTTTAAGTTATTATGACTCCCTTTTCTGCATTATAGAGAAGTCAGGTATGTCACTATAATGTTGTACTTTCAGATGACTCAATGACTTATTCTGGAAACAGCTATTATTTTGCATGGCCAGTCCCTGCCAACTGCCCTGCATGCTAGAATACAGGCAGAGCAGGAAACAGAAACAGAGAAGAGACCACTAGATGAATGAGAGATAATGCTGCAGTACAGTAAACCGAAATCAAGACCCTTAATTCAACTTTTATGAGAACAGCAGAGAAACTTTCACTATCAATCTCATTCTGACAAAGGTGAAGGGCATACAGAACCAAGGAGGCAGCTTGTCATTAAAAATGTTAAAAATAGAAAGCCTCACATACATACTGAGTGATGCAATAGTGCACACAAATTCTTTAACAGACAAGACTTCTCTTTGCAGTTACAGTTATTAATCTCCCAAGTCTAACATTCCTGAACTTTCTTCAGAGTTAATGATTCAAAAGGCAACATAGGCTCCTTATTAAGATTCTGTATCACACTGGAGGGAGGAGGAATAAAACAAACATATTTTCTAAATTCCTTGAAATATCAGGATTTATATCACTTATAGGGTGGGACCCTTCAGAGAATAAGTGACTCTACGTGGCTGCACCTTAGAGAGACAAAAAATTTCCTCATAAACAATTATTTGGGGAATAAATTTTTTAAAAATCCATCTGACATTCAGAGTGAGATGCTACCTGGATTCAGAAAGTTCTATACATTCTGAAGTGTTTGGCTGCATGTAAGATGTCAAGGAGTCAAATTCCTTCCCTGTGTTATCTGGGGCATACTAGCTAGTGCCACGCAGAAGATAAGAAGAAGAAGCAAAGAAGCTGCTATGACCCAGACCTTCCAGGAAGGCCTGCAGATTCCTATTTGTTCTTACAATGTGCAATCCAGGACTCCTAACTGTATTTGCTAGGGTAAGAAAGGACTGGGGGGAAAAAACAGGCCCAAAGGGAAGCAGCATATAATATTAATCCACACTCTTCCCAAACCTTCCTTTTCTTTTCTAAACAAAGATACATTCTTCAAATACATACTGTGAGCAGGGCTGAATGCTTGTGGACTGACCTGACTAGGCTTTGAGAAAGAATAACACCATTTTTACTCATTCCCGGAATTAATACCCTTGGGTTGGCCTTATTAAGTGTTGGAGAAAAGAGAGAAACACGGTATATAAAAGCATGAGAAAAAAGGATTGTATCTTAGGATTACAAAGCACATAATTAAACTCAAATGTCTGGGCTTTTTCAATACCCATGATTACAAACAGTATAATTTTGAAAGTAGCACAATAATTAAAATGATAACATTCCCTTTTAGGCCCTTGAGATCTGTATAGTTTTCAGAGACTTCTAATTTTGAGGGGATTTTCTTAGACAGTATTCTCAACAAACAACAAAGAGGCTGGCCATGGAAAGAAACAACTGGCCATTGCCAAGGTGGTCAAAAAAACTCTTTTTTTCAATGGTATTTCCAGACCCCACTTGAATTCCTATAGCTCAGCTTTGGAGTAGAAGGAGTAAATAAAGCTCATCCCCTGAAGGGAAACACAGCAATTGCTTTCAAAAAGCAAAGCATGGAATTGGGTAAATTAGCAACTGTAAGCTCTATCATCACTTAAGTTTTGTCTACCAAGGGCAACAAAACAAAGAATTAACAACAATAAAACAACCAAAAACTTCCACTTCCCTGTAACTGTTTACAGTCCCAAACTTACTGTTTTCTAGCTGCTAGTTGGCCTTATGGAACCACTTATAACTCAAAACCACAAATCACATAAATCAAAAACACATCCTGGGTTTGGTAGAGACGAACTGGTCACTTGATCCTAACAGAAGAGAAAGCTGCAAAACAATTAGAAATTCATTCATTTAGTGTCCATTCTGGGTAAGATTTTTGAGTAGTCACTGAAGAAAAATAAAGGAAATATAAAGGAAAGAAGACTATCTTCTTGTTATCCAAACCCTCACACAGATAGAAGCAATACAAAAAGAGATGGGGAGACTAACAAAGGTTGAAGGCAGAGGTTTTAGAGAGAAAATAGGAGAAAGAAGAGTATTTCTGACTAAAATGACTAGATCTACATCAGTGAAAAGACCAATCTTTAGTTGACTTAATGTCAGGGATTTGAAACTATATTATTTGGTAAGTCAATTACTACCCTTGTGATCTTAGATACCTTACTTATTTCTCCTTTCTGAATGTCAGTTTCCTCATTTGACAATTCTCTTAAGGTATTTCTCTATGAACCCAAAATCTAAATATTTGGAAAAGAGCTCAATCTACAGCTCTGGTTAATGTACCAGTTGCTCAACTGGTAGACAACATCAAATGAACAATTACTTAAGAAACTAGTAGTTTAAAAGAGAATTTAAAACTTATTTATTGAGTTTTAAAGCAGTATGTTGAAATGTAATATAACTTAATGATTAATAAAAATAAAAAAAGTCCTTGCTTTTTTTACAATTTTTAAAAATTGTGGAGATTTACAATTTTTAAAAAAGCTTTCACATGTATTAACGCGTATGTTTTAAAATTCCCCCTTTAAAAATGATAGAGAACTGATTTATAAGCCACACAAAAAAATTAGCTTCATTAATTTATAGTCACAATTCATTTTTGACCAAAAAACAGTATTACCCAGCATGAACACCAACATTTACCATGAAATGGCTCTGAACAAGTTTCTAAATATGGAAAGCTTAGCTGTTGCCAAAAATGAAATCTAACTTCAAAGGACAAGGATTTACAAGCACTTGAAATATTCAGAGGAATAAAATAGGAGCCGTAAAGAAAATTCCAAAAGAAAAGATCCATAAGTATTTTAAACAACAGCTTAAATGTGATTGATAAGTGACCACACTGATAAGCGACCACACGTCTACGATGGAGAATACATTCACACACGAGATCCACTCTGCACTATAAAAAATCACATACCATACTAAGGCAAGGATTCCACTGAGACCTGTACTACTACTTCCTTGCTTCTCTCATCTCATTGGACAAGTCCCTGTGCTCTGGGCCCCTGCTGAGTTTTCTTTGTTATTCCTGTGTGCCTAGAAACATTGGCACCTTCTCTAGGAAGTCTTTTCTCTCTTCTCTCCCTGTCACATTCCATCTACCTCACAGACCCAGTGGGCTTTGGATTCAGTTTCAATGCCATGCCCCACAGCAGCTGCACAGCAGTCCCCTTTCATTATCTGCTGAACACTTACTGTATTTTGGGAGAGAGGTGTCTGTTTAGATTAGCAGATCCATAAGGATAGTAGTTGAAATAATAAGACTATTAGACCACTTTCCACTGGTACTACATAAATTACTAGTACTTATTTAGGCACTTTCTAAGTATCTGTTTTGTAAGTGAATGTGTAATTGGGATGAGGTTTTTATTTCCCTTCTGTTCCCAAATTTCTTGGTGTGTTATTGTGTTTGTCTGTTTCAGAGACAGGGTCTTGCTCTGTTGCCCAGGCTGCAGTGCAGTGGTGTAATCATAGTTCACTACAACCTTGACCTTGTGAGCTCAAGCAATCCTCCTGCCTCAGCAATCGAAAAATGTTGGTAGGAGCTCAAGCAATCCTCCTACCAAGTTGCTAGAACTGGATGCATGAACCGCCATACCTGGCTATTTAAAAAAAAAAAAACAACACCTTTTTTTTGGCCAGGTGCGGTGGGTCACACCTATAATCCCAGCACTTTGGAAGGCCAAGGCGGGTGGATCACCTGAGGTCAGGAGTTTGAGATCAGCCTGGCCAACATGGTGAAACCCCATCTTTACTAAAAAAAATGCAAAAGTTAGCCAGGAGTGGTGGCAGGTGCCTGTAATCCCAGCTACTCGAGAGTAAGAAGTAGGGAAAATTGCTTGAACCAGGGAGGTGGAGGTTGCAGTGAGCCAAGATAGCACCACTGCCCTCTAGCCTGGGCAACAGAGTGAGACTCCGTCTCAAAAAAAAAAAAGAAAAAAAAGAAAAAAAATTGTAGAGATGGAGGTCTCCCTACGTTGCCTAGGCTGGTTTCAAACTCCTGGGCTCAAGCGATCTTCCTGGCTCAGTCTCCCAAAGTGCTGGGAGTACAGGTATGAGCCACCGTGCCTGGCCCTTGGTAATTTTGATAATGCTACTCAATCAAAGGAAGAGCTAGACTTTTTTCAGTGTAACACCCAGATTATATGCTAAGAGGAGGCCATTCCTAGAAAAGTGAAAAGGGTGCTTGTCTTGTAGGTTCCATGAGAATCTGATCGAACCAAATGACTGACTACCTATGTGGTGTCCTTGGTGAACTGACACTATTTTTGGGAGAAGGAGAGAATAAAGGCATTAAAGAGACCCACAGATTGAAAATACAAAGGGATCATCGGGAGCACAAAGGAAGCAAGAGGATCCTAAGGGAATATTTTTTTCTACCCTGCTTGTCCCTTCACTGCAAGGAAAGAGGCTCAAAAAGATGAGATCAAAGGAGGTGGTGAAAGAATGGAGCTGTTAAATAGACTGCAATGGCCACTCTTGAATCTTTACCCTGGTAGGTCCACCATGTCTTAGAAGGCATCAGAAAGGAAAAGACCGTAACAGTCTTTTTGACATATAAACTTGTTCACTCAATGTCTGCTAGTAAAAGATGTTAATATCCTTGCGTTCCATAGTAAAGAGTCTATAACCTTTATAACAGGATTGTAAATGAATTAGATGTTCTTTAAGATACCTCCAGCCTATGAAATTTCATACATTCATAGTCTTATCTATACAGATATATCTTAAGCTCAGTTCCAGACCAGTGCAATAAAACAAATACTGCAATAAAATGAGCCACGCAAGTTTTTTGGTTTTCCATTGCATACAAGAGTCATGTTTACACTATACTGCAGTTTAATAAGTGTACAATAGCATTATGTCTAAAAAACACAATGTACATAACTTAAAATAATTTATTGTTAAAAATGCTAATGATTATCTGAGCCTTCAGCAAGTTGTTATCTTTTTGAAGGGGGAGAGTCTTCCCTCGATTAAGATGGCTGCTGACTGATCAGGGTGGATGTTGCTGAAGGCTGGGGTGGCTGTGGCCATTTCTTAAAATAAGACAACATTGAAGTTTGCTGCATTGATTGAGTCTTCCGTTCATGACAGACTTCCTCAGCAGGTAATGCTGGGATTTTATCCGCAGTAGGAATTCTTTTCAAACTGAAGCCAATCCTCTCAAACTCCACCACTGCTTTATCCACTAAGTTTACATAATATTCTCTTTTGTTGTCATTTCAACAATTTGCACAATCTTTACCAAGAATAGATTCCATCTCAAGAAACCATGTTATTTGCTTATCTATAAGAAGCAACTCCTCATCCATTCAAGTTTTATCATGATGGCAGCGATTCAATCACTTCTCTCTCTGGGCTCCACTTCTAACTCTTGTTCTCTTGCTATTTCCACCACATCTGCAGTTGCTTCCTCCATTGAAAGCTTTAAGCCCCTCAAAGTCATCCGTGAGGGTTGGAATCAATTTCCAAAATCCTGGTAAGGTTGATATTTTGACCTCTTTTCATGAATTATAAATTTCCTTCCTTCCTTTTCCCTTCCCTTTTATATATATATATATATTTATAAAAATACATATTTTATACATATAATATGAATTTATATTATATATATTTATAAATATATATATTTATATGTAAAATATCTATCTATAGATAGATATATTTGTATTTTTAGTAGACAGGGTTTCACCATGTTGGTCAGGCTGGTCTCAAATTCCTTGCCTCAAGTGATCCGCCTGCCTCAGCCTCTCAAAGTGCTAGTATTACAGGTATGAGCCACCGTGCCCAGCCACAAATTTTCTTAATGGCATCTGGGATGGTGAATCCTTTCTAGAAGAGTTTCAATTTACTTTGCCGAGATCCATCAGAGAAGTCACTATGTATGGCAGCTATAACCTTATAAAATGCATTTCTTAAATAAGACTTGAAAGTCAAAATGACTCCTGATCCATTGGCTGCAGATTCGATGTTGTGTTAGCTGGAAGGGTAACAATATACATCTCCTAATATATCTCCATCAGAGCTCTTAGGTGACAAGGTGCATTGTCAAACACAAGTAATATTTTGAAAGGAATCTTTTTTTCTGAGCAGTAGGTCTCAACAGTGGGCAGAAAATATTCAGCAAACCATGTTGTAAACAGATGTACTGTTATCCAGGCTTTGTTGTTCCATAAAAGAACACAGGCAGAGTAGATCTGGCATGATTCATAAGGGTCCTAAGACTTTCAGGATGGTCAATGAACACTGTCTTCAACTTAAAGTCACCAGCTGTATTAACCCCTAACAAGAAAGTAAGCCCGTCCTTTGAAGTTTTGAAGCCAGGCATTGACTTGTCCTCTCTACTTATCAAAGTCCTGGATGGCATCTTCTTCCAACATAAGGCTGTTTATCTACATTTAAAATCTGTTTTTTAGGGTAGCCACCTTTATTAATTATCTTAGCTAGATCTGGAAAACTTGCTGCAGTTTCTATATCAGCATTTGTTTCTACACCTTGCACTTTTATGTTAAGGAGGTGGCATCTCTTTCCTTAAATCTCATGAAGCAACCTCTGCTAGCTTCCACCTTCTTTTCTGCAGCTTCCAGGCCTCTTTCAGCCTTCACAGAATTGAAGAGAATTAGGGCCTTGCTTTGGATTAGGCTTTCGCTTAAGAGAATGTTGAATGTTGCGGCTGGTGTGATCTTCTATCCAGACTACTCAAACTTTGCCATATCAGCAATAAGACTGTATTAATTTCTTATTCATGCGTTGCCTGAAGTTGCACTTTTAATTTCCTTCAAGAATTTTTCCTTTGCATTCATAACTTAGCCAACCATTTGGCGCAAGAGGCATAGCTTTCAGCCTGTCTTGGCTTTCACCATGCCTTCCTCATTAAGGTCAATTCCTTCTAGTTTTTTATTCAAAGTGAAAGATGTACGCTTCTTCCTCTCATTTGAACACTTAGGGGCCACGGTGGGGTTAGTAATTGGCCTAATTTCAATATTGTTGTTTCTTAGGGAAAAGGGAGGCCCCAGGAGAAGGGAGAGAGATGGGGGAGAGGCCAGCCAGTGGGGCAGCCAGAGTACAACATTGATCGATTAAGTTCTTCGTCTTATATGGGTGCGGTTCATGGTATCCCAAAACAGTTACAATGGTCACATCAATGATCACAGATCACTATAACAGATATAATAGTAAGAATAAACTTTGAACTATTGTGACAATTACAAAAATGTGACACTGAGATACAAAGTAAGCACATGCTGTTGGGAAAATGGTGGCAGTAGACTTGCTCGATGCAGTGTTGGCACAAACCTTCAGTTTGCAAAAAAAACTCAAAATCTGTGAAGTGCAATAAAGCAAAGCACAATAACACAAGGCATGCCAGTAATAGGATGCTCATTTCCCAGACTGAAATGATGAAGAAGCTGGTAAAGTTTTTCAAATATCTGCAGGCTATCTGAAAATTACACAAAGGATACTGGCATTCCAAATAAAGTAAGTGTCATTAAGATAATGTTTAGATGGTGGTTCTGAAGGCAAAGTGGCATTTTGACAGGAAAAAAAAATCTTCAGAGCGTTTTCTTTGCAGTTGTTATATACACTCAGTGATGACTGGGAAGGATTTGTATTTTAAAATGGGTATGCAGCAGAACATAGCAATTTGCATAAGCGTCAACTGCAAATTACAGTTATCTTCAAATCCAGAAAGAAACTTATATCTAATTGTAAACATATTGGTTTAACAACAAAGTAAATGTCTCTCCTAAAGTGACCACTAAAGCCATTTAATATTAGTAACTGTAAACTAACAATGACCATAAAATAGAAAATGGAATTAAGATTGCCTTTTCAGTAAGCAGAGACAGCTGGTATCTCTACAGCAATTTAGAATTTACAAAATTCTTTTCCCTATCCTGTCTTAGTTTGCATCTGTTTGTGAGGAAATATGTCCCCTTTTACAGATAAGTAAAAGGAGGTCTCATGGAGGTAAAATCACTTGCCTGAGTTTAGGTAATTTGTATGTGTATATTTATACAACAAACAACAAATATGAGGTGTAAGCCTAGGTCTCTGGAATAGAGACCTAATATAAATGTTATGACATTTCTATTACATGAATCTGATGCACAGGCTATAAAAATCTGAGGGGAGAAAATAAAAGTATAGCTTTGAAAGCATGGCTGTAGCTGCAGAAAATGGGCCAAGACCTTGAGATAAGGCATAGGTTACTTATGCTATTTATTTATTTATTTATTTATTTATTTATTTATTTATGAGATGAGTTTCGCTCTCGTTGCCCAGGCTGGAGTGCAATGGTGTAATCTCGGCTCACTGCAACCTCTGCCTCCCAGGTTCAAGCGATTCTCTTGCCTCAGCCTCCTGAGTAGCTGGGATTACAGGCGTCCACAACCATGCCTGGCTAATTTTTGTATTTTTAGTAGGGACGGGGTCTCACCATGTTGGCCAGGCTGATCTCGAACTCCTGACCTCGGGTGATCCGCCCACCCTGGCTTCCCAAAGTGCTGGGGTTACAGGTGTGAGCCACCGTGCCTGGCCTTGCTTTTTAAATACCTTAAGTACACAGATATGCTTACATTTAATATCAGTTCTGAAAACAGAGCTTCAGGGTCTCTACCAGATATAAGGGAAATTCAACCTTGGCATTATGAGCTAAATTATGTTTCCCCAAATTTCATGCTGAAGCCCTAACCCCTGGTACCTTAGAATGTGACTGTATTTGGACACAGGGCCTTTTAAGAGGTAATTAAGTTAAATGAAACCTTAGGGTGGTCTTTAACCCAATCTGACTGCTGTCCTTATAAGAAGAGGAAATTTGGATACAGTCAGAGGAAAGGCCATGTGAGGATACAGGGAGAAGGTGATCATCTGAAAACCAGGGAGAGAGTCCTCAGGAACAATCTAAACTTCTGAAGCCTTGATCTTGGACTTCTAGCTTTTAGAACTATGAAAAAATTAATTCCTGTTGTTTAAGCTACACAGTCAGTGGTACTTTGTTAAGGTAGTCCTAAAACACTCTTACACTTACTAATAGATAACAATAAAGAAACTCTGATATGGGTGCCTATTCTTTCAACATGGTAACAATGATAGCCATGGTTAACATTCATTGAGTGCTTACTATGCACCAGGGAATAGTCTGAGGGTATGTATTAACCCCTTCAATTCTGACCACGATTATACGAGGTAAAAATACTTTTTATTATTCCCGAATTACACACGAAGAAACTAAGGCATAGAGAGACTAAATAATTTGCACAAAATGCTTAGCCAATATTTGAATCTAAAGTCTGGTAATGAAAATGGCCACTAACAAACATTCACTGAACTTAATAAAAATACTATGAAGTCCTAGAAATTGAATATTCATTTTGATTGATAGTGTTTATATATGTTTATTACAGACCAGATACCATGTCTGACTGAACATCTTCTATTGTTGGATCCACACTAGTAGATACTTTTATATGTTATGCCATGTGAAATTAGTCATTCTAGAAAGGCACATATTTTTCTCTTTTGGTTTTAAGGATGAGGACACTGACTCTTAGATAGACAAAATCGGTTTCCCAATATCAGAAGTGGCAAAAGAAACAAACAAATACTAAGCTCTGGTGTATCTGAATCCAAAAAGAATAATATTTGTCTACAGTATATATATTCCCACTGTGTTAAACAACAATAGTTGAAGTGATACAGTTGAAGAATAAATATAAATTATTTGGGAACAGATTTCATTTCTGTGCATGTATGTCTCAGTGTTTAAACATACTCAAAGCATGAAAGGTCAGAGGGTGAAAACAGAACCTGAGTTTTCCTTGTTTTGAATATTATTGGGTATTGAGGCAAGGACTAGCTTTCTACCATCCATTAACCTCTTCATCATGAACAAAGAGTGAACCTCAAGTGTGATATTTGGCTAAGGGCACTTTTAAGTAAAATCTTTCACATATTCCCAGTAGATTTTGTAAAGAATGCTGGGGACCAATTTTTAAATGCAACATCTTGAACAAATTACAGCAAAGAAAATTTTGAGGCCTTTATAATTTAAGTGTTATTTTTACTACTAATGTGAATTCAACCCTAGCAAATTAAAACAGGAAGAATTAATTGGATATGCAAATGAGATTATTCAGTATATAAATCTAATTACATACCAATTTGCTTTAACAGCATGAAAAAAGAATAAATTGTTCTATGTAAATTGATTGTCTTAAATAACCACCTGTAGCCCAGCAAAAATTGTCTTGGAAAAGCTATATTGTAAGTGCAGACGTCTAAGTTAATAACATCATGTTCTTCACAGATCTTGTCAGAAGAACCTCTTTACAATGAAATTTGCTTATACTCCTGATGTACAATAAGGTATTATCAGGTTTCTAGAACATAAGGAAATAATGTCACTAACTGGCTTTTTTTTTCCCCAGAGCACAATAGATTGATAAGACATGTTGATTTCTGAAACACTTAATGCTTTCACACAGACTAGACTTGAAGCCTGAGCAATTTTCATGTCTGAAAAATAAGAGAAAGAGATAGGTAAGGTGTGCCAGTCTTCGTTAATTTGGCTGTAGCTCTCCAATCAATTTAATCAAATGCTTTTGGTACAATCAAGCAATGCTCCTCCACACCCATCTTTAAATTTTTTTTCTTTGCCACTTAGTTTAGGCAAATGAGTTTTGAATATTTAACTGGGAAAGGAGGCATTAATTCATGAAGCCTGTGTCTTGGGAACAAGCAGAATAATACTAGATGTTTGCAGAATACAAGACAAGGGGTTAGTTGCTTTTCTTGACATCAGTTAGAGTCACTGCGTTTATCTCTAGATGCAACCCTAACATACACTTCAAACAGATATATTAATCTAGTATGCTCAGGGTTAGCCACAAAAAGCCTGCGCCCATTTTCAGTGATTCTTGGTCAGAGAGCCCAAATGTCCTAGTTTCTGTGACTCCTCTATAGACAGACCCTATAGGGCATGGTGAGTCTAATCCATGGACTCACTTAGGAAATCCAGTTCTTCTATAGTCTTGTGCTCTCAGGTTTAGATAGAGGTATTTTGCAGAAAAAAGGAAGGATAAAGTATACATCTGAATTGAGTGATGGATAGACAGGCAGAGAGATACAGGGTAAAGCATGGCAAGATAGATATCATCTCCCTTTTCCCTCAGCATTCATTCTTGGCTCTGAGACTCAAGAGAGTTTCTGAAAGGAGCTCATGGTGAAAGATGGTAAAAGTGTTAGAAACCTAGATGTATGGAGCTTCTGATAATGAAGCCTATGGGCAATTTATCCAAAAGAAATGTTTCTTCTACTTTATTATGAGAGCAAGTGTCACTAGACCCATTCTGAGACTCTAAAATAAAACTCGGCGATGGGAGTTGGTACTATTATTGAGAGCATCTATGACCAAGTTCCTTTCCCTTTGGAAGACCATTAGGACTTGCCTGTAGGGGCTTCCTTATCTGCCCTTCCCTACCTGGTTATTTAAGGAAGAACACACACTGGGGGGCAGGACATGGGGACAGATGCCCTGGCTCTGCGCTTGTGCTCTTAGGCAGTAGTAAATGGAATCATAAGGAGGAATGAGAGTTACTTACAGTGTCTTGGCATGAACCTGAAATCAACACCAGTCAGACTGTGGCCTTAATCTGAGTAAAATGGAAGACACGGTGGGGTGATCAGATACAAGGAGAAAATGCGTTTAAATCTGATGAGAGCAAATAAATTTGAATGAAAGGGAGGAAGCAGCTGCCAGAGAAGCTATGAAGCATAGCTCTGGCAGCTTTATATAGGGTGCCTGTGACCTCACATATAGGGAGTCAGGGAGCCTTTGAAAGAGAAACTAAAGCAATAGTGTGGTCTCAGTCTACTCTTTGTAATGTAGCTCCTAACATACAAAGCAGAATGGAGACTATCGCATCACCACTTTTATCTCCTTTATAGCTCCTATCACTATCTGAAAATATGCCACTGATGTTGGCTTGTTTATGTGTCTTCTCCACCTGAAAGGTAATCAGGGATTCCTTACCTGTATTTTTACTGCTATATCCTCAGCATCTCGCACAGTTTTGTTATTGTAGATCTATACATGCTCAGTAATGCAGAAGATGGACATGCACACAAGTCACTAGACTAGTGAACGTCGTTCAATAAGAGCTTTCCGGCTGGGCACTGTGGCTCAGGACTGTAACCCAGCACTTTGGGAGGCTGAGGCGGGTGGATCATTGAGGCCAGGAGTTCAAGACCAGCCTGGCCAACATGATGAAACTCCACCTCTACTAAAAATACAAAAATTAGCCAGGTGTGGTGGTGGGGACCTGTAGTTGCAGCCAGTCTGGAGGCTGAGGCATGAAAATTGCTTGAACATGGGAGGCAGAGGTTGCAGTGAGCTGAGATAGCACCACTGCACTCTAGTTTGGGAGACAGAGAGAGACTCCATCTCAAACAAACAAATAAACAAACAAAAAGCTTTCTAAGAGCAAATCACTATGAGATCACTTGAGAAGAGATTAATACATAGAGATAAAAGGGGCTCCATAGAGATGATAGAGTTTAGCGTGCATTGTTTAAGCCCTTCCTTTGTGGCAAGAGTTGTGTATAATGTTTTAAAAAGATTATTTCAATATAGCCTTACATCTGCCCTATGAGGTATATTTTATTACCATCCCCACTGCCCTGTAAAGGACACTGTGGTTTAGAATGGTTAGATCACTTGCATCAAATCACACAGCCTATCTGTTGGTAGATTTTGAATTGAGACCCAAACAATCAGAACAAAATATGCCCCCTGGGTCTTGAGGGGCAGACAAAGTTTCAACAAGTGGAGATGAGTGAGGAAGGAATAGCAGGAACAAAGACAGAAGGACAGAAAAATGTAAGTATCTATCTTTTAAGTGCAGAAATAAATATGTGTGTGATCAGTGAGCAGAGGGAGAGACATTAAGGAGGGGATTCATCAAATACAGGGAAGCTACACATATTAGATTTGGCTATAATACCAATATACACAAGAATGTATACATATACCTGTTTCTGTATACACATACCTGTATATGTGTACACACATATAAAAAACATGGTCAGGCAGGCAGGCAATGGCACTAAAGATGTGAGATAGTCTATATAATTTATGTGGTTTAATAGAGGAAGGAGAGTTTAATGGTTAATATTGGGTGTCAACTTGACTGGACTGAATGATGCAAAGTATTGTTCCTGGGTATGTCTGTGAGGGTGTTGCCAAAGGAGATTAACATTTGAGTCAGTGGACTGGGAACGGCAGACCCACCCTCAATCTGGGTGGGCACCATCTAATCAGCTGCCAGTGCAGCCGGAATAAAAGCAGGCAGAGTGTAGCAAGACTGAACGGGCTTAATCTCCCACCCTACATCTTTCTTCCATGCTGCATGCTTCCTGCCTTCAAACATTGTACTGCAAGTTCTACTCTTGGACCTTCAACCATAGACTGAAGGCTGCACTGTCGGCTTCCCTACTTTTGAGGTTTTGGGATTTGGACTGGCTTCCTTGCTCCGCAGCTTGCAGACAGCCTATTGCGGGACCTTATCTTGTGATCATGTGAGTTAGTGCTCCTTAATAAACTCTCATTTATACACACATCTATCCTATTAGTTCTGTCCCTCTAGAGAACCCTGACTAATACGGAGGATGTCTTCCCCAAGTTTTCATGAAATACTTTGAGATTCACCAAAGTTAAGGTGTGAAAGAAGTACAGACATAATTAAGTATATGATTCAATATGATGTAAAAATGGCTTGCAATCTGACTGGTTTTAAAAGTTGCATCTGTCAATACAGGCTATCATAGAATCCTAGTTTCTAAGCAATCTTCCTTTCTGGCATCAATCAGCTCTGGCAAAACAGCAAAGAACAAAATTTAAAAAATTCACCTCCATGATACCAAATTGCATTGTAATTCATTGTGCTGCAAAGCTTTGCCACAGTTTGGGGGGGATATTTAGAGTAATGATATATAACCAGGAATGTAGACTAGGGTCATTGTGAAGATGGTGCACAAACACATCCACTGAACAGACCATGTGAAGCAGTTGACAATAAGACAGAAAATGTTGGGAGTGGGAGGGAATCAAGTTGATGAACTTGTCATTCTCCACTGGAGAATTTATTTGCATTTAGTTGACTTATAAGATTGCTTAAATGAGATATTTCCTACAGTTATGAGGAATAAAATAATGCAGATGTTTTAATGCAAAGGCTGATTTCTGGACAATTTAAGTGTTTCCTGCTTTCACGTCTACAAAAAATGTGAATAATATGTACTCCCTGGGAAGTTTCAACAGAATGTACACCAATCATTTCAAATCTATTTACAGATAAATTCAATACAGTTTTTTTTAATACTCACATGTCACACTGGAAGCACCTATAATAATTAATGGAGCAATTTGCAAAGGCCAAGCATATGACAGCATTTAATTCTATCCATCATTAAAATGTAATGCGTTTGGTGCATTTCTTTTTTAAAAAAACATACAGTTGAAGTTGTATATAGCATTAATTTTGAGGGTATTAAGTACACTGACTTTTAATGGGTGATCTGGCAGAATTTGTCTTAGTTCCATGCCAAGGCACAATTGAGAAATCAAGGAAAATCTTTATGACCTCCCTCCAATTTTTTTCTCTTCCTGTTAATCATCCTTATTCTCTTCCCCTCTTATCCTCTGTCCAGCACTCTGATACTGCCTCCTTCAGAGAGAAAAGTGACCTGACAAATGTGACACATTTAAAAAGAGGTATTGATGAGAACCTATAATCCTAGGAATAGCTGCATTGTTAGAAGGGACTCTCTGGTTCCAAAGTCAATCAGCTACAAAGGAATTATCACAGGAGTGGAAAATCTGTCATCAAGGCTTGAATAGTGATGTTAGTATTTCTGATCATAGACCTTCCTCATACAAAGTGTGTGTGTATGTGCACAGTGTGTGAAAGATATATGTGTGCATATATACACACACACATATACACACACTCACTAGATATTAAAGAGCTGTTCTTGTGTCCAGTTATTATCTCACAGTCACTGTTTAGCTTTGTAAGTGTTCCCACTACCCAATCATCCTTTTCTTAAAGAACTGCATCAGGTAACCACTGATTCTTTACTACATTTCCCCCCTTGTTTATCGTATTCTTTCCATCAATTCACCATTTCCTCAGTATATAATCCCTGGTAGACATATTTCTGTACAAAAACTGTGTGTCTGCTTTTGGTAGAAAGCCTTATTCCTTCCATGCTAACCCATAAACAGCCTTACAAAATCTCTGAATAAAGAAAAATATAAAAAGTGCTACAGTGTTAGAGTACAGTTTTTGATCTGTTGTTTCAACAGCAGTTTTCATGTATAATATGTTGGTGTTTGCTTTTGTTACTCAATTTAGACTCTTCAACTTGTCATACTTTACCACAATGTAATGAATTCTCCAACATTGCCATTTGAGAGCTTACAAAGCTTGCATGAAAAGCAAAGCAATGTCAGATTATTCTCTTACTCATTTCTAATCCTTTAGCCCCCAGCTACATCCCCTTTAAGCCAGACAAAAACAGAATTTGTTTTACATATAAATGTTGATGATTTTCACTGTACTTTTGGTTCATTGAATTCAATTAACTAAATTCTTTAAAACCCAAATGTGTATTATGTGCCTTTTTGACAGTTCTAGCCCTAGCACGGGGAAAGGGGGTGGAAGTCAGATAGCTTAGTTGTTCCTTAAGCTATTACAAAAAATATGTCCAAACAACCAGTCAATTCAGTCAAGCATTCAATCATTTGGCTTTATCTGTACAAGGCCAGATAGCTGGTGAGATTTTCTTTTCCCTTCTGTATTTCAACCTTTTATAGAAATAGCAGTAGTAACAAAACCCCAACTAAACAAAACACAAATGTGTTAAATATTTTCCAAATAAATTTATTTCAGACAAAGAAAAATTCATTCATTTAATAAATATGCATCGAGTACCTGCTGTGTGCCAGGCACTATTCTCAGGGAATAAAACAGAGATGCATGCCCTTGAAGAATTTATTAAACATATAATAAGCAAAATACATAGTGTGTTAGAAGTTTATAAATGTTACCAAAAAAAGAAAAAGTGGAACAGGGTAAGGGAGCTCCATGAATGTGGAGGGAAGTGCGTAAGATGCAGTAGGAAATAGGTGTTTAGAATAGCTTCATTAAGAAGGTGAGGTCTGAGCAAATTTTTGAGGAAGAGATGGAGTTGGGCAAGCACTGATCTGAGGGAGTAGTAGACCATAGCCTGATGGCAGGTGCAAGCCTGGCATGTTAACAGGTGGGGCAGGGCACCAGTGGAACTAGGACAGAATTAAATAGGAATAGAAGAAAATATCATAGAATAGAATTAGGAGGAGAGGAGTTAGATAGTTGAGGAGGGATGCAGTGCAGGTTATACATGACAGAGTAAGAGAAGGACTTTGGCTTTGCTCTGAGTAAAATGGAGAGTCAATGCAAGTTTTTGAAGAAAAAAAAGAATGTTGTGTTCTGGTTTACTTTTTAAAAGAATCACTCGGATAGCTGTGTTGAAAATACAGTGTAGGAGGAAAGGGGAAAAGCAGTGAGACCAAATTGTAAAATAGATTGTAGGGAGTAAAAGGCAGACCAATGAGGAGGGTATTTTAATATTCCAGAAGAAAGATGCTTGCTGGTGTCTCAGACCAGAATGGTAGCATGGAAGGTGGTGAGAACTAATAGTTGGGTTCTGAACATATGTTAAAGGTAAAGCCACATATTGGCTGAGGGACATGAGAGAAAGCAAACAAATTTAAAAGAATTTAAGGTTTTGGTCTGAGCAATGAAAAAGATGAAGTTGTCATTATCTGAAATGGGGACATGTGCAGGTGACACAGGTTTGGGGGAGAAAAAGAGGAGGTCAGGTCAACAAGTTGACTTCGAGATGCCTGTTAGTCATCACACTGTATATGTCTAGCTAAATGGTTTCATCAACGATATTAGTTTTCATATAAAGAAATTCACTCTGATACAGTTTTTGAGTTGTGAATAGAATTAAAATAGGTAAGTATCAAAGTTTATTGATTATTGCAGTTTTAAAAAAGCTAATGACATGTCTGAATGTGTGTCAGAAAGTAAAAAAAAAAAGATAA
This sequence comes from Homo sapiens, assembly GCF_000001405.40. Taxonomy (NCBI): domain Eukaryota; kingdom Metazoa; phylum Chordata; class Mammalia; order Primates; family Hominidae; genus Homo; species Homo sapiens. The sequence goes on along the minus strand of NC_000003.12, from coordinate 2,638,487 downwards.
ATGTTTCTTCATTACAGAAATCTTCAATTTGTAAACCGCAACTTTCTTTATAATACAAATAAAATTCGATTTACATTTTAAGGGCTTAAAGAGGTTTAAGGCATATTCACATCTTCCTGAAAGGGAAACCTTTTATTGCTACAGCTCTGTTGGGGACAGGGGCACAACACTGAATCACATGAAACCAGGAGTTTGAAGGTGAGGCTGGAAACAGAGAAAGGCTATTATCAAGGATCCAAAAGAGCACTAACAGGTTTAAAGAATCTGCACAGGGTCATGAATCTGAAGCCATGTGAGAATGGGCATTAAGGTAGAAGTTAATGGAAAAATTTTTCCAATAAGGTGGAAGTTAAAGTCAAGCAAGAGGAGAACAATAATTATCACTTGTTAAATTCCTATAAATTCCACCACTGTGGTTGGCAGTTTATACATGTAACTCATTAAAGACCTATCATTTATCTACCTCTATTGTAGAGGTACAATTTATAAATGAAGGAATTAGCAATTTGCCCATAGTTACAAGTTTAAAAGCAAAATAGATTCTGATTCCAGGTATGGGTTCCAAATTCTGGCTTTTTTAAAACTGCAAACCATGATCAAAGTTAGATTAGGCATTCGATGAAGAGTCAATCAAGGGAAGCGTCTGTAATCGGAAGTTAGAAATGTAGAAAATACATTTAGGCAAGGGTAGGCATGAGTATTAGATGACAGATCTAGAGGGACATCAGAGGTTAGGCAGATAACCCAATGTCACATGCGTGGTGACAACTATGGTAAAACATACAGGCTTTATAGGATTTATAGGAGTTGAATAAGCAGGGCAGTAATAATCAAGAGGATGAATTCAAATCCCAAGAGACACAGACAGCAGAGGTACCTTCAGAGCTCAGTGATGTTTCTTGTTGAGGCAGGGACCAATCACGGGGTGACATACTTGGGCCCCTGTATTGCACAACCTGAAGAACAGCAACTGAAGTGTGTGTACTCTGCTGGTTTCAGAGATAAGGCAAAGGAGGGCTCCTTTTGAAAGGAGGACTCTTCATCGAATGCCTAATCTAACTTTGATCATGGTTTGCAGTTTTAAAAAAGCCAGAATTTGGAAGCCATACCTGGAATCAGAATCCATTTTGCTTTTAAACTTGTAACTATGGGCAAATTGTTAATCCATTCACTTACAAATTGTACCTCTACAATTAGCTTATTTAAAAAAATGGTTTAAGCACCTTGTGTATGTAAAGAAAATGGAGGCCAGGTACGGTGGCTCAGGACTGTAATCCTAGCACTTTGAAAAGCCAAAGCAGGCAGATCACTTGAGCCCAGGAGCTCAAGAACAGCCTGGCTAACATGGTGAAACACTGTCTCTACTAAAAATATAAAAATTAGCCAGGCGTGGTGGTGCACACTTGTAGATCCAGCTACTAGGGAGGCTGAGTTGGGAGGATTACCTGAGCCCTCAAAGTCAAGGTTGCAGTGAGCTGAGATCATGCCACTCACCGCACTCCAGACTAGGTGACAGAGTGAGACGCTATCTCAAAAAAAAAAAAAAACCAAAAAAAAAAAAAACAAAGAAAGAAAGAAAGAGGAAAAGAAAATGGAAACTATGCACTATAATTACAAATAATTAAAAACTGATATAGAGATGTATATGAAAGGGTATTGTCAATTCTAAAGCCACTGCCTTTGAGATAGTTAATACTGTTTTGTCCTTCAGCAGCAAATACATTTAAATGACTAGAAAACACTCTTCATAAAATTTGATGCTTATAAAAATTTATCTACCTCTATTGGTAATTGGTGTTTGTAATTTTGTTTGGGTTTTATAAGCTTATTTGGACTTCACTGTTCATATTAGGAGTGGGGATACAGTTATAAAGTAATAAACAGATATGAGTTTGGGTTGGGAAGTTTGGAGATTATCCAATAAAAAAATGCATTAAGGAGGACTTTTATTTATTTTCTAAAACACTTCAATTCTAGATGTGTTTATTAACTCAGATAATTTAAAGAGTAGAGATAAATAATTCCTGGGTTTTTTTCCCCAGGTGAGCAGGTTGTAGGTGTCTGACTTCTATAAAATGATTACACAGCCCCTATAGGCAATAAATATTCTATCTTCTATGTCTAATTTACATAAGCATAATTAGTGTTCCTCAATAGTAACAGAGGGGCCAAAGAAGAGAGGGGATGAAGTACATTCTGATGCCTGATGACGTAAAGTTTTTAGAGTATGTGGAATTAGCTCTATTGTCCTCTTCCTCCTAATAGGTGGTGGAAGCTTTTGTTACCAATACCAAAATGCCAAGGTTTGGGGTTTGGTCTAGGTTCTGCTTTTCACTGCAGAGAAAGCCAATCACTGGGACAACAAGTATTGTCAGGGAAGAAGGCTTTAATCAGGTTCTGCAGCCAAGGAGATGGGAGATCAGTCTCAAATTCATCTGTCTCACCAACTAAAATTAGGGGTTTATATAGCAGGGAAGAAATGTAACCTTATGTGGGAAAACAGGAATTAGGGAGGAGTAAGGAAGAGAAGTTGGTCCACAGGAAGCAGGTGCTCGGTTAGGCAATAATGATGCGTGAGGGGTCTGGTGTCTCATTGTCCAGAGGTGGTGATCTGGTAAGTTTCAGTTCCTTGAAACTATCTGGGAGACCTGATGGTTGGTTTCCTGAGAAAGGAACTCAACAAACGTAACTTTCTCAAGTTTTAAGACTGGGAGGGTCAGTTTCTATGTTTATTCTAAAGAAACCATAAACATCAGTGCTATGGGACAATCTGGCCAGTTTCAATTTCATCAAGATCCAAGAGCAAGCTCTGAACATGGCCAGAAAAAGCCACAATAGGCAATGAGCAGGGCAGATGCTGGGTGGTGCCTCCAACTAACAAGTCCTGCTGTGGGCACATTCAAGGCGCCCTTGTGAAAGCTTCCAAAAATAACTGAAAGACAAAGGAACAGAAAATTGGGATCTAGTTATTCCATGGTGAAGGAGCCACTGGACATGGGGGATAGAGATGCATGAATGTTTATGTAGATATACACAAACAGCACCTTTTTTACTCACAGATTTTTCACTTTCAAATTACAGTTAAATGGGAGATAAGGCATGGCTAAAATTGTTAATAGAGGAAAAAGTGTGGGAGAACCAGAAAAATGAAGAGAAAATATTTTCATTTCCAATTACAGTTTGGTATCTCAATATCTCACACTGTCCTTTTTTGACTTTACTTTTATCTTTCTTTGGAGATTGTCAGATTGACCCATCAGATGTAACAGGCTATTTTTCAAGGAGATATAGAGGGAAAGGAATTTTAACAGTTATCCAGAGTGGTGGCATTGAACAGGTGCGTAGAGAGTGAATAGGTTTCAGTTTAAGTGTAATACAGCAACATCGCTCACTAGAAAAAAAAAATTCGATGAAAACTTACAAATTCCCCTAGATGGTTCCGAGATATCTGTCTTGCTGATCTATATTTAGTTACTACATGAAACGAATCCCTTCAATAACTGAGTGGCACATACCAGGTCTTTCTACTAAGAATAAAATCTTCACCCCAATACTGGATTTCTTTTTTTTAGATTTCAAGTGGTTAATGTATGTAATCATTTATAGAATTTTTTATTTTATTGTTATTTTTTGAGATGGAGTCTCACTCTGTCACCCAGGCTGGAGTACAGTGGTGTGATCTTGGCTCAGTGCAACCTCTGCCTCCCGGGTTCAAGCGATTCTCCTGCCTCAGCCTCCGGAGTAGGTGGGACTACAGGTGCATGCCACCACGCCCAGCTAACATATATATATATATATATTTTTTTTTTTTCTGTATTTTTAGTAGAGATGGGGTTTCACCGTGTTAGCCAGGATGGTCTCGATCTCCTGACCTCATGACCCACCTGCCTTGGCCTCCCCAAGTGCTGGGATTACAGGCCTGAGCCACTGTGCCCGGCCCTAGAATTTTTCAAAAACTAATATCCTTCTTTAGTTTCCAAAGCTATTATAGCATTGAGTAAGTTCTGAAAGCATTTTTTCAAATTTTTCAAAAAGTAATATCCTTCTTCAGTTTCCAAAACTATTATAGCATTGAATAAGTTCTGAAAGAGCATTTTTAGGAAGGAATACTTATTTGCTATATTAAACAAATATTGCCGCATACACAAATATTTTCTGCTACTTAAGAAAATTTTTTAAAAAGTGTAATTCTCCAGCATTGAGACTTTAAGCAGTGTTTGCATTATAGACTAGTTCAAATGGAGTAATATCTAAGAGAAAATACTACAGACTGAATGTTAAGATATTTATACATATAAGCTAATACATTTTTCATTTAACTACAGAGTGGAAGCTAATACATTTGTGTAGTGAAACTAATACATTTTTAATTCCTTAAATGCATAGTAGATAGTTCCAGAGTTACTAATGAATTTACATGAAATCCTCCAAAGAACTCAGAAACAATTTAAATTGTTTCCCAACCACTATGTTTATCTGTTCTTGTAAGGGATAGGATATCATTTGTAGAGAGTAGGCAAGCATTTCTTCATCTACAATATCAACAATGTTGAAAGGTAATGGAACTTTAAGTAGAAAATAGAAAATGCGTGTTTCCACTATACTACTTTACTCTCAGTATCCCATTTCTTCCTTTTATTTCCTGACAAGTGACGAGCAAATGCTTTTCTTCCTTTTTCTCCTTCTTAACAGGAGGTAGATTTTGAGGTCAAGAGCAAAGACCAAGTGACTTTCTGAATTAACCTCATGCCAGCAAGGTTATGAACACTGTGCTTCTGCTTTCTTAAAGACCTTTATAGGCGGTGGACTACTATGAGTGTGGAGAGGATATTTTGGATTTAGCTGTTTTTGTGATTACATTATCATCACTAATAAAATAGACATTAAAGATGTCTTTAGAAATATCCTCACCTAATTAAAAGATCTACTGCATTTTCACAATGGATTTAAGCCCCAAATCAAGCTTGACTTTCTGTATAAACGTGAGAAGCCTATGTGTTTATGGACCCAAAGTCCACCATGCTGAAATCCTCACAATTTACAATCAGACAATGTGTAGACATCTCTGTTTATTAAACATGTACAGGAGCAGAATTTGGACGCATAGCACTGAATGTAACTAATGAAGTGTGATAAAGAGTTTTAGGAGTTTATCTGTTCCTAAAATGTTCTTGATGAATCCAGTGCCTAGCTAGCAGGCAAGGGCAGTGATTGTTCTGCATCCTGGGTGGGGGCATCATTTATGTTGTGTTTTATGTGAACAGTGCTCCCAGCTGTTGTAGCCTTCGTGGGGCTATAGCTAAGGTTTGCATGACTGGACTCCTATTTACAAATGGCTGATGATTTTACTACCTTAAATAATTCTTTGGAATATAGAAACAACATGGAGAAGACTATTTATAAAAATCAACTTGAAGCGAAAGGCAGATAGTGTACAACCTTAGATTGTATATATAATTTATATATGTTATAAATAGATATTATATAAATGTATATATAAATTATATATACAAAATATAAATTATATATACTATTACTTGTAATTTTTCAATCAACATTTCTTAAGGAAAATGCAAAGCTAGATAGTTAAAAGCATTTGAGGTCTTTAAATCCTGATTTTGGCATTCACTGGCAGGGCAACCCTGGGGAATTTACTCAGCTTTTCTGAGGCACACCTGAGCTTCATCACTCATAACACAAAGACAGTGATGACATATACCTTGTGCAGTGTCATGAGAATTATTAAGTGCAGAGTTCATTCAATGTGGCTGGCATATAGTAAGTGCTAAAGGAATGTGAGGTCTTTATCTCTATTTGGTACAATATTTTGGCACCATTGGTGAATTTAACTTATGTGAGTTAAATCACGCCCTAAGAGGCTCAAGGATAATACTGTTCAGGGTTCTCTCAATGTCAATACTATGCCCCACAGTGAGCATGAGAAGAGAGACATAAATGTGCAACTCTTTGAGTAAGTCTTGATCTCTTCATGCCTCTCAATGTCATGTTGAGTGTAATTCTGGTGTATGAAAGAATATATTTTACGTACAACATGACCCCTGAGGATAGGAAAAGTCCTTTATCTAATGCTCAACTGAAAAACAGCCATATTTTTCCAGTGTTATGAAGAAAATCAGAAGTGTTGGGTTTACCGAAATGTCATATGTCAGTCTCCAACATGGGCTTTACCTAAAAGGTTTTGAAAACCAATTTTGTCTATGCACAGTTTTTAGAAATGAGACTCTAAATAAGATACGACTGCACTAGGTAGAAAATGTACCAGATGAGCACTAGGGGAATTAAACAATTAGAAAAATACAGTCTCTGTCTTTTAAGAGATTACAGATCAGGAGAGACATAAACAAAGTTTATATATATATATACATACATACATACACACACGTGTGTGTGTGTGTGTGTGTGCGTATGTGTATTTTGAGACAGGGTCTTGCTCTGTCCCCCAGGGTGAAGTGCAGTAGTGCAATCATGGCTCACAACAGCCCTGAACTCCTTTGCTCAAGCGATCCTCTCACTCAGCCTGCTAAGTAGGTAGGATTACAGGTGCACGCCACCATGTCCAGCTAATTTTTTAGTTGTTGTTTTTTTTTGTTTTTTTTTTTTTGTAGAGATACGGTCTCCCTATGTTGCCCAAGCTGGTCTTGAACTCTTGGGTTTAAGTGATTTTCCCATCTTGGCCTTCTGAAGCTCTGGGATTACAGGTGTGAGTCATCATGCCTGGCCAGAAATGATTTTTAATACTGCATAAACTTTGAACTCTTACTTACTTGGTTTGAATTTTACTTTACCTAAGGCATATTTGTTAACCTGACTTCTGTTTCTTCAAATTAAAAAAAAAAACTTTAAAATTATTTACATATGAAGCCCTTAATATGGTACCTGGTACATTATCAAAACTATGATCATTGGGACTTGAAAACCGGTATAGAACCAGATGGTGGACATGACTGAATCAATCTCATGCTCTGAATGGTACTGGGGATGACTGGTGGGTCTTGTATAGTACATGGTAACTCTTAAGGGGTATTTTGTTTTCATTGCATTATGTGTTGTTTTTAATGTCAAATTTGCTTTCTTCTTCTACTACATATGAACATCCAGCTAATCTCTGGGGGTTACTAAATCATTTGTGAGGTTCACTAACAGAAGCATTCTGTTAACTGCATATGGCTATTACATAATAAATGAAGTCTTTCAAAACTAAATATTCATCACAATAACCCATCATACTATATGGATTTTAACCTTAAGAGTAACTACTTTCCTTTTTCCCCCTTAAGCTAATTTCCTGACCTAGTGACCTTTGCTTTCTAGCAGTCAGAAATAACAAATATGGAAATAAAGCATTAAGCACTGCATCAGGGCTATTGCTCTTAGAAAACATTGTTAAGACTTAATTTCTGGAGAACAGATGAGAGATTTTGCCTTATAATATTACTACTCCCACCTCCACCAATATAGATTGAGATCTCATGGGAATGAAAGAGAACTTTTATAACTTGGTCAACTGACTATAAGTTGAGGTTTGGTAAGATGCAAGCAAAATAAACATTTTGAATGAACTGAAAATTTACTTGATCAAGTACAGACAATGCCTGTCTTCACCCAGGTAAATCTTTAAAGCTAAGAAGACTTCTGTATTATGAATATTTACATAATTTTAAATTTTACACATTTTTTAAATAAGAACGCTACTCAACAAATCCTAGTATTCCTAAGATTTTATTAAACATATAGTACACACACACACACACACACACACACACACTCCCTTAATAAACAGATAGGGATATACCATACTAATTCCTCTCAAATTTTACTATAATTACAGAGAAGAAGATTTAACAATATTAAGTTATAGTTTCTCAGTATTATTTATGATTCGTGTACTAATAAGAAATGGGAATGTATTGGGCTTGTCAAGCCAATAGGTAACGTAAAGCAATAGTCAGCAAACTTTTTCCTTAAGTATATGTTTTAGTAAGATAGATATACAGATTGTAAATATTTTAGGCTCAGATTCTTTGTTTTGAGACAGGGTCTCAATCTGTCGCCCAGGCTGGAGTGCAGTGGCAGGATCTTGGCTCACTGCAACCTCTGCCTCCCAGGTTCAAGCAATTCTCCCACCTCAGCCTCCCGAGTAGTTGGGACTACAGTTGTGTACCCCCATGCCTGGCTAATTTTTGTTGTATTTTTTGGCACAGATGGGGTTTCACCATGTTGGCCAGGCTGGTCTTGAACTCCTGACCTCAAGTGATCCGCCAGCCTTGGCCTCCCAAAGTGCTGAGATTACAGGCATGAGCCACTGCACAAAGACTTCAGATGGTTCTGTGTCTTTTTTTGCTCCTTTACAACTTCTCAATGCTGCTGTTGTTGTGTGATAACAGTCATAGATAACACATAAACCAATGAATATGGTTGTGTGTTCCAATGAAACTTCATTTACAAAAGCAGGTAGAGAGGCAGATTCGGCTCAGGGTCCTACTTTTCTGGCTCCAGGTAAAGAGAAATGATAACTTAGCAGAGGATGAAAGTTATATTAACGAGAAACATAGAGAAAACCCTCAAATTGAGTTTCTGCGGCAGGTTGGGCTGGCGGGAAATGTCCATGGATTAATACTAGTTTGTGGCATAACTGATACCAGAGTATCATGAACTCTCTAGTAATCTACAAGATTCCCCTTTAGAAAACAAACAAACAAACAGAATAACACAGCATCAGTGCAAGCAGGCACCACGTATTATACAGTCAACCGATTTTGATTATGACAAAAGCTAGAGAGATGTATCAGGAATATTAGTGGCCTACAGGAGAACCATGAACTGTGGAAAACTAAGAAAGCTGGTGCTGTAACTTAGGCTTTTCTATTTTCTTATAAAGTCAACTCACCAGCCTCCAAGGCTGGCAGCACCCCCAGCAAGGACCAGAAGTCAGTCTGTGAACCTAGAACGGGAAGGAACAGGGTAAAATTCTTCACTAGAAAATAGAAAATCAAATTCAGAAACCAAGTGGTGATCACCGGACTTGGGAAAATTGAATATTTGAAAAGTATTTTTTTAAAATTAGATGCTGCATTAGTCTGCTCAGGCTGCCGTGACACAATTCCAGCTAGTGGGTTGCTGAAACAACAGAAATTTATTTTCTCACAGTTCTGGAGGCTGTAAGTCCAAGACTGAGGTGCCAACAGGATTGGTTTCTGGTGAGGGCTCTCTTCTTGGCTTGCAGATGGCCACCTTCTCTTTGTGTCCCCACAGGGCCTTTTCTGTGTATGTCTCCCTGATGTTCCTTCCCCTTATTATAAAGACGGCAATCCTGTTGGATTGGTGCCACACCCTTATGACCTCATAGTCACATTTGGGGGTTAAGGCTTCAATTTGAGGGGGGACATTCAGTCTGTAACATAAGTTCCTTTCAGATACCGCTTCTTAAGACAAAATTTCACTACAGCTATGGACAATTGACCAAATTAAATTATTCTGAAGGTCCACTGTAACAGCAGTTGGATTTTTACTCAAATAGGCCTCCTAACCTATTTGCCACACAACTGGGGAAGCTTTTCTCAGACAAATTATATCATGAGTAAAAAACAAACAAAAAAACCCTTTTGGGTTATATCCAGTTCCAAATTGTTACAATCCAGAAAATAATTTTGTGATTAAAAACCACTTTTTTGGTTACGTCCAGTTCTGAATTATCACAAGACTACATTTCTTTCAGTATGGCAGTTACCACTGTCTACACATCAGACACGGAACTACTGGTTGAAGGATGTTCAACTGATTTTGGAGATTCAGATCTGATTTCTTTCTAAATTGAGAGAATAGAGAGCTTTGTTCTCATTTCACCGACACGGATAAAGGCAACTAGAAAAGAAAATCCCACTTCATCACTCCCTACTGATGGCAATCAGAGAAATTTGGAAATCTTCTCTCAGTAGTCACTTAGATGGCACAAAACTGCATCAGATATCCACTGCATTCTATCGAGAGTAGAAAATATTCTCATAAATCAAACCTGTTAAAGACTTTTCTCTTGCCCAAGGTCACAGCACTGTGGAACAGCAAAGTTGATCCCTAAAGCCATTTCCCTTAAGGTGTCCTACTCCAGCTCACACACACACAGCTACGGCCTCCTGCCCCTGCTGCTCAGTGTTCCTGCGGCACCTCCTACCTGGCTGCCTCACAATTGCTTTCACAAGGTCAAATTCCCTCTCATCTGTTACTTTGGAAAGCAGCTGAAAAAATAACTTCTGCTAAAAGGGGTACCGATCAAAACTGTCTTAATATGCTGAGGCTCCTCCAGGCATTTGTGGTTTATAAGGTAATGCGGGAGGAAAAACGGCTTACAATGGAAGGGGTGACAACTAATGGAGGCACTCACTAGCCCAAAAGGGGAAATATGTCTAGCTATAGAAGCCAGTTCAGCCACCTCTCAAATTATACTACGAAGCAAGTCCCTCATCAATTTGTACACAAAAATGTGACCTCCAGGATAATTCAACAATGGCAGAAAACTTGGTAACTACAACTTTTGTGATTACTTGACGACAGAACAAAATCTAAATGAATATCTTCAATTAAAGTATGTTAAATGTTAATCTGTTAATTAATCCTGATTCATAATAAATTTGTTTTAATAAACAAGCTTTGATGCATTTGTGGGGAAAAATGACAGTTGGCCAGGCACGGTGGCTCACGCCTGTAATCCCAGCACTTTGGGAGGCCGAGGCGGGCAGATCACAAGGTCAGGAGATCGAGACCATCCTGGCTAACACGGTGAAACCCCGTCTCTACTAAAAATACAAAAAATTAGCCAGGCGTGGTGGCGGGCACCTGTATTCCCAACTACTCGGGAGGCTGAAGCAGGAGAATGGCCTGAACCCAGGAGGCGGAGCTTGCAGTGAGCCGAGATTGCGCTACTACACTCCAGCCTGGGCGACAGAGTGAGATTCCATCTCAAAAAAAAAAAAAAAAAAAAAGACACTTAATGGCAACATCCCTCATGTGGATGACAGAGCCCTGTTGGTAAACAAAGTTTACTGCTACCCTAAGGTCAGTGGATTCAAGAAAAAAGAGTCAACTTGTCTAAGAAAAATGGCAGCTTCATGAAATCAGATGCTAGAAAATAAACATAACTTGCAAGAATGACTGGAAGGATCCATGTCAGAACTGAGTGCCTTCCAACTTAATGCAAAATCCATTTAAAAACTACTGTCTATGTGTAAACATTGTAAAATGAGTTGTACATGGTGCAAAGATGCAACATACATAGTCCTTGCCCTCAAAGTAGGGTGACCAATTTGTCCCAGGTACCTGGGGCTTGGTTTCAGCACTAAAAGTCCTGCATCCCAGGAGGTCTCCCAACTTCAGCCAAACCAGGATGGTTGGATATCCTACCTCAACAACATGTTCAGACTAGTAAGAAGATGAGGCACAAATCAAATTATATACAAAGAAGAGCAAAGTGGGGAGTGGGAACCAAGGGCAGACTGAGTATGGACACACAAAATACTAAGATTATAAAATGAAACACAGATAAACTTCTGTGTACTGCCCTTGCATGGCATCCCTGTGATGTGGTAAATGTGAGAATGGCTATCCAGATGTGGAGGCCTAGACGCTTGCTTCCTCCTCGTAACAATTTTTGTATCTCTAGCATCTAGTACAGTTGACTAAGAAAACAGACTCATGAAGTTAAATTAGAGGTGAATGCCACAGTAAGAGTAAACTTTTATTATCTAAAGATGCTAAGTAATCTGGGTTATCACAAGTAATTTTTCTATTTTTCTACCCACAGTGTAGCTACAGATGAAAAAATGTAAAAATAACCACTTCCAAGCCAATCCAATTCTTTCCTCTCCTCTTGGGTAATTATTTTCCCTCTTAAATGATATAAGGGGATTTTATTTAGTCCTTTTTACCCATATGAAAAATAGATTGTGGATTTTGTTTGTTTTTTGTTGTTTTTTTTTTGAGATAGAGTCTTGCTCTGTCGCCCAGGCTGGAGTGCGGTGGCGCGATCTCGGCTCACTGCAAGCTCCACCTCCTGGGTTCCCGCCATTCTCCTGCCTCAGCCTCCCGAGTAGCTGGGACTACAGGTGCCCACCACCACGCCTGGCTAATTTTTTTTTCGTATTTTTAGTAGAGATGGGGTTTCACCGTGTTAGCCAGGATGGTCTCGATCTCCTGACCTCATGATCCGCCCACCTCGGCCTTAGATTGTGGATTTTTAAGATAGAAGACACAAAGTACAATCATAAAGAAAAAACTTAATGGGCTCAACTATGTTAATATTAAGAGCTTCTGCTCTATCAAAGGACTCCAAATAAGAGTGAAAAGGCCAGCAAGCAACTGGGAGAATACGTGTGCAACTCAAGAGAACTGGCAAAAGATAGTGCCCAGAATACACAGAACTTCTCCAAATAAGGAGACGTCTAATTGCAAATTAAAATATTGAGATATCATTTCAAACTCAACAAATTGTCAAACAGGCAAAAGTCTGACACTGTCAAGTGTTGTCCAGAATGTGAAAGAACAGGAACAATTCGATACTGGTAGAACAAATGTAACAACAAAAATTGTTTGAAAAACAATTTAGTGTTATCTCGTGAAGCTGAGGATATAAATACCTCATGAGTCAACTCTACTTGTTAGAATCAGGCGCAGCAGGAGACATATTTAACAATATTCATAGCAGAAATTAATGATAATAGCAAAAAAAGAGAGGATATCAATAGTAAGTGGATAGCAAATTATAGAATACCAATTCACAAATAATGATGGAAAAGTGAAAATAAGATAAACAGATCTAGTTATAGCAGCATGGATGAATCTCAGGAACTTAAGCTGAGTGAAAGAAGCAAGTCACAAGTTTCAACGTAACTCTATTCACTCAAAGTTTATATTGGGAGATACATGTGGCAAAACCATAAAAGTAGTGGAATAATAAACACAAATTTCAGGATCATGGTTACACTTGGGAGGGAAGAGACTGGTATCACAGAGGAGCATTCTGGAAATTTCAGAGCTAATGGTAAATGATAATTGGCTTAAACTGTCATTAAGTATCTGTTACATAGTTATTCTTTATACCTTAGGTATACTTTGTAAGTATTCTTGTATATTGACCTAATATTTAATGCAAATAGTTTTAGAATAGAATATACAAGCCATCCTATGAAGAGGTCCCAAGATGTCCAGGGTCCCAGAAGTCTGCTCTTGTGGCGTTGTGGGAGGTGTGCATGGATTTTTAGAGACCCACTACCTTTTTGGAGGATGAAGATGGCAGTGGGTTACAATTCTTATTAAGCACGATTACAGTATGTACTGAAAACAATACTGGCAATTATGGATTAAGCTCTTACTATGTATTTTTACTGTTTTAAGTTCTCTTTATTGCATTTAGCCTTCACCACATCCCTATAAGGTAGCTACTATTATTACTCACATTATGAGTAAACTGAGGCTTAGGGAGATAAAATAATATATCTAGTTTCACATATATAATTAAGTAGTACAGCTAAAATTAAGAATCAGAGGCCAGGCCCAGTGGCTCATGCCTGTAATCCCAGCACTCTAGGAGGCCGAGGTGGGTGGATCATTGAGGCCAGGAGTTCGAGACCAGCCTGGCCAATGGGGTGAAATCCTGTCTCTACTAAAAAAATACAAAAATTAGCTGGGAGTGGTAGTATGCGCCTATAGTCCCAGCTATTGGGGAAGCTGAGGCAAGGGAATTGCTTGAACCCGGGAGGCGGAGGTTGCAGTGTGCCGAGATCACTTCTCTGCACTCCAGCCTGGGAGACAGGGTGAGACTCAGCCTCGAAAAAAAAAAAAAAAAAAAAAGAATCAGAAATTCCAATTAAGAGCCAAGACTCTTAATCTCATTGCAAACTTTATCTGTATAATACAAGTAAAGGAAATGGGAGCTGAATTAGCACTGATTAATCTGAAAAGCTTGCCATGGTCTCATGTTGACAGGCAGGTTGCAAGGTTGACAAGTAGAAGGTAAGGCATTAGTCCCCAAATTAATTTTTATTCATGGTAGATGCTGACTTGTGGCAAAATATATTGTACTGAATATATCAAAGTAGAAATTTTTCTCTCTCAAGCTTTCTAAAAATTAAATTCTTAAAAAGCTGAATCTCACCTAACATTAAAAACAGCATATCGACCATAAGAGTTCACACTTTTTGTTTCTTTCCTGGACCCTTTTAGTGTACTGGTGAAACCTATGAATGCTTTTTCAGGATAGTATTTTCTAGTGCATAAAATAACATACACAGAATTACAAAGACAACAATTTATACTGAAGAACAATTTTAAAAGTATTTTTAAATTTTGTAATAAAATATATGTTTCTAGTGGTGAATGTAATAGCTACTGAAATTTCAAAGTAGTGAATGGCATAAACAATATTTTGAGATATATATGAAGAAATCAATCAGTTACTTCTGGTAGTGGTAAAGCCACTGTAGCTGATCAAAATTCCATGATTATCTCATTAATAATTGAAGAAACAGCTAAATTTCAGTAAATGGTAAATGAACAGACAGGGTTTTTTTGTTTTGTTTTGTTTTTTTCTATGTGTGAGGCCTGGTTAAGAAACCCTGACGTACTGTATCTTGTTTTGCTTCTCCAAACTCACTTCCTTTTGACTGATCTGGATTTCCTAGTCAGGGGACACTCTGCTCTGTTCTCCTTACTGTTTCATTCAGGCTGATACACATATTACTGTTTTCCACTCTGTATTCCCAAGCCCTATGATGCATCCAAGCTACCGTGTTACTACAGTGGTTTCTATGCTTGCCCTTTCACCAGAGAGAGCAGTTTTATGATTCATCATTCATGCCACACAACCCTCTCTCCTAATATATAAGTTTGACAAAAGGCAGAGCACTTTGGGAACTAGCATTCATCATGCTTGTTTGCACAAACCTGATTTATGTTTACCTATCCTCTGACCTCCCCTGCCCCTCTGTTCTCTAGATTCCAGTAGGAAGCTCCACAGTAACAGCTAAATATCATCCCAAAGCCTAGGTAAAACTGCTGTGTGGTTGGATAAGGATTAATCGCCTACCACCAGAATATCTGTGCGGTGATCCATAAAACTCAGAAATGATTGCTGTGCTTCAGGATGAGGAGTTAAAATGACAAAAATATATGGACCATGAATGGGCAAAACAAGAGGGTAGAAAATCAGGGAAAAAAACCATGAGAATAAAAATGAAAAAAAAAAAAATTAGTCTCCATAAAGGATCTTTCAAGAAGCTAATATTTACTATTTGCAGGCCCACCAGAATATCACTTTTGAAAAACGTGAAGATGAAAGGATTTTGTCATATTACCATGAGCAGGGAAGTAGTTTTCTATAATGCTTTGCAGCATTTATTAAGGTGAGAGTAAATATGCCCCCACAACACAGCATGGATTTCTGATGTCACCCTTTCCTTTTCAGGTAAGTCCTTGATAGCTACAGAAAAACTACTTTATTATGTGTATATGCAGAATTAGTATTTGGTGAAAAAGAAAAGTAGCTATATGCTTCCATCATTCTCATATGACCTATTTTTCACACAAGGAAATCTAATCCCTAAGAGTGCTGGCTTTTGAGTCAGAGTGCACCAGTCTCAGATCTCAGCTTTTCCACACCAGCTGCGTGATCTTGCATGAAATATCTACTTATCTGAGTTTCCATTACTTCATCTGTAAATGGATATATTAACACACATCCTTACATGGTTGCTTTAGGTAGGCTAAGATAATGTATATGAAGAACTCAAAAGGTCTGGCAAACATTAAAACATTCAATGAACAGTACTAATTATTATTTCTCCATAACTGCCCCCATATTCCAGATTTTGCAGACAACTCCTCTGCTTCAAAACTTGCTTGTCCAGCTGAGCGTGGTGGCTCACACCTGTAATCCCAGCAAGCTCTGGGAGGCCGAGGTGGGCTGAGGTCAGGAGTTCGAGACCAGCCTGTCCAACCCATCTCTACTAAAAATACAAAAAATTAGCTGGGCGTGGTGGCACACACTTGTAATCCCAACTGCTTGGGGAGTTGAGGCACGAGAATCACTGGAACCCGGGTGGCAGAAGTTGCAGTGAGCAGAGATGTCAAAAAAGTAACATCACATTTCCTGCAGCCAGGTGTCTAGTAATGCTACTCTGGCAGACTGAAGTCTTTATATTCTTGTCCAAAGGAGACTATGTTTTCAGCTGGACTTTCATCTGGAAGTTATTCTTCCCACCAAAAGGTAATAAATATTAAATCTCCTCCTACTGCCATAGTGAGTACAGGATACATAACCAAACGCAGAATCTAGAAACAGCAAAGCAAAAGATAGGCATGCAGAGCAAGGGTAGACTGAGAGAAAGGGGGTGTTTTCCAACATTTAAAACAGAGATGGAACTGAAATTGCCTGAGCAATCTCTCTGGAAAAGGATCCCTTAATGTGAATTTCCTGCACTGAAACATGTAGCGAGGCTGCAGTTCTGCAGAGCACACCGAGTCTGGATATCAAGAAGCAGCATGACAGCACATAATGGTCTGCTGCAAGTACCATGCTGGACACACAAAAGATCCCAGAGAGAACATCAATCTTCTGAGAAGCTAAATCAGAATGAGGATCATTCTCTTGGCCATACCTGCTTGAGAGTCTCACAAATTCTTTTGTGAAATGGAATTAATATCACAGCCCACTGAAAAATGCTGCTTACAACTGTACAAGTTAAATGCATATACATTGTATTTCGTTCTCATTCCATGGGGTTCATTAAGTCACTCCCCACTTAATATTTTGGTGTTTTATTTTTAATTTTTTTATTATACTTTAAGTTCTGGGGTACATGTGCAGAACGTGCAGGTTTGTTACATAGGTATACACGTGCCATGGTGGTTTGCTGCACCCATCAACCGGTCATCTACATTAGGTATTTCTCCTAATGCTATCCCTCCACTAGCCCCCCACCCCCCGACAGGCCCCGGTGTGTGACATTCCCCTTACTGTGACCTGTGACCATGTGTTCTCATTGTTCAACTCCCACTTATGAGTGAGAACATGTGGTGTTTGGTGTTTTTATAAGATACAAAAGTTAAGACCTCTCCAGGTGTTATCACAAACAATTACTCAGATGAAGTAGAACACATCTGACGATTAGAATAAAACTTGTGGAAAGGAGCATAGGCAGAACAGAATACTTCCTTCCAGAATGTGTTGAGGCAGACTCAGTCTAGTTCCCTTGCTGCATGTTATACTTTCATATACATCAGCGATGAGAAGGTGAGGAGGAAGACGCGAGAACAGGGGGTGCTTAACGTTAACTGAGAACTTTCTATGTGTCCACGAACATGCCAAGATTTTTGCAGGACCTGTCTAAGTCAACTTTCCAGACAAGCTTATAAGGCAAGTATTATTTTCATCATTTCATTTTACAAAGGATGAAATTAAGATTTGGTGAGTTAAAATAACCTACTCAGCCTCAAATATGTACTTTCTAGAGCCAAATTTCAAGTCTTTCTTACTTCATGTTTAGGTTTGTGTCTTTTAAATGTATAGTCTCCTTTTGTTCAATGTCCAGAAGAGGATCCGAAAGGAAAAATCACACCTAACCAACTTTAATTTTTAACACAGGCATTCTGGAATTAGAGTGCTTTGTGTCAAAGGAAGAATAATTACACAGGAGGGGGGCTGTATAGAGTCCAGGGATGTGCATATTTCTGTGTAAATGAGGTTTTCAGATTTTCTAAAGTCCGATTTATTCCGCACACAAGGACATTCTTGTGTAAAGAGATTCTTCACTGAAAGCCAAGCAATTAGAAAGCATTAAACTCAACCTGTGGCAATATTTATTTTATACAGCTAAGTCTTTTATGAGTAGAATGAAGGTATGAGGCTAATATTTTATGATATAACCTATTCTATAACCTAGATTTCTATGGACCCTTAATAAATATATATATATATTTTTGGATACAGGGTCTCCCTCTGTTCCCCAGGCTGGAGCACAGTGGCACGATCATGGCTGACTGCAGCCTCAACCTGCTGGGCTCAGGTGATCCTCCTACCTTAGCCTCCCATGTAGCTGGGACTACAGGCACATGCCACCATGCCTGGCTTATTTTTTGTATTTTCATAGATACAGGGTTTTGCTGTGTTGCCCAGGCTGGTCTTGAACTCGTGTGCTCAGGCAATCCACCTACCTCAGCTTCCTCAAGTGCTGAGATTACAGGTGTGAGCCCCTGCCTCCAGCCTGAATGCCTATCTTAAATTCAAAACCACTTTCTGCATCACCAAAGTAACTGAGCTAAAGTAAGTGAGAAGTAAAATATGATTTCATATGGTATGGCATTGTCCTGCTTTTAAACATTGAATCTTAATATAATCAAATGAATGACTGGCTTACCTCCAGTTTGTACAGCTCTCCAGGGACTGGGACAGAGTATATTACTACTACTTGGGTACATATTTGAAGAGATATTTTCATTTATGCCAGGGGAAAAAAGTACCAGGTACAGAAACAAAGCATAGCCCCTATCTTAGAAACAACTGATTCCAAAACTGAAAAGGGTTAAAGTCATGAGCTCTGAGTTCTGATGAGGAAAATGAAGGCACAACAAATGCACTGCAATGTTTTGTGAACAGAGAGGATATAAGCAGTTGCATTCCTGGTAGTCTGTCTATGTTGCGTTATTAGCAGATCTGATCAGTACAAAAAACATTTCAAGGAAAAAGTGCTTGTTCCCTCATGTTCTTCGTCAGGCAAATGAAAAGACCTCTCCTTAAGGATTTAAAGAAGAGTCCTGAAATGTGCTGTGTGATATCCTAGAACTAAGTTCTACAGGACTTGCTCCTTCTCTCATTACTTAACTAAATAGTTCTTCTGATGTCCATCATTTTACAATTATGATCCAACAGCCACCCTTTGTCTCTGATCAACAATTTTGAAAGACTCTAAGAGATAACAGAAACACAAAATAAAGGTATATACAGAGGCTGCAAATATTTTCCCCATAGATGGATAATGGAATGTTTTGAATCCATTCTTCAAGATATTCATTTGAAAATATTTACAATCAATGCAATTTCTAGGTTGCTTCCATGCCTTTCAGTCAATGTCTATTGCTACTAGAAGCAGCACCAGCCTGGTGTTTTAGTCATAGGCCAGCTGGTAGCAAGAGCCCAGGAACGGAATTTCATTTACATTTGATCCTGATGAAAACTGTTTTGGGAATCATGATATTTTCTCTTCTTTTATAGTTTGCTTCTGCACTTATTTAGTATGTGCTTCTGAGACGACAGGGAGTAGCCTAAAGGATGCTGAAGACACAAAGTAAAAAAGACAGGGTCCCTGCCCTTAAAGAACTTACACTTTATGAAGAGATACTCAAGTAAACAGAAACTCTCAGGCAATATAAGTGCTACTGTCTCATTATTATGAAGGCACAACAGAGAGGTATAAGGTCAAGGAACATATCCTGTATTTTACAGATAACTGGTTTGGTGAGCCTAAATAATTTCCCAGTCTCTGCAATGATCTGTTGGAAGATCTATCACTTCTAACCTAAGTCTCCAGATTCCAAACTTACCACTCCTTCCACAATACCAGGTTGCCAATGTGTCTGAAAATACCTGACATTTTTAAGAGAAGTATGTCAGAGCAGACACAAATTGTTTTATTAGATTGGAACACTGAATGAAACATTGTAGGTTTCACTAATGATAAACAATTGAAGCCATATGATATGAACAATATTGATAATCAAAATTTCCAGTAGGAGATACTGATTAAATAAGAGCAATGACTCCAGAGCCTGACTTTCTGTGTTAATTATCCCCGCTGTGCTACTATTTGGGGCACCTTGAGCAAACTGTTTAATTTATGAGGCTCAGTTTCTTAGTTTCTGGAATAGGATCAATATACCTATTTCATAGGTTGTTGTAAAAATGAAGTGAGTGTGTATATACATGTACATATGGATGCTCATTTACTTTTTACAACAATCTTATAGAATAGATATTTATATTGGATATCCCACATATAGCTTATTTATATAGAGCAAACATTTGTAATAATATGTGTATACGTAAACATGTATATATACAAAATGTATAATGATATATGTACATACACACATATTTACACATATACACATATTATACATACATACACACATATACATATATTATTTATACACATATACATGCATATTCCATATATATATATACCCACATTTAATTTTTACAACACTTTCTATGTCCCAGGAATTGTTCTAAGAACTGTTTTCCATCACTTTCTATGTGCCAGGATGGTTCTAAGCATTATCCATTCCCCCATACCTATCCCATATTACATGTAAACATGTATCTGTTCTAACTACTACATATACAGTGTTTAAGGCACTGTCCTAAGTGTGTGGATAGTGCTCAGAACAGTTTCTGGCACATAGAAAGTGATGGCTGCTATTTTACTTAATATTTTCTACTTCCATTCAACAAATCATCATCCATCTCTTGGAAATTTGAAATAATTGTTGTAATGTGCTCAATATGACAAATATTTTTTATATGCATACTTATTTAAATCTCAAATACAAGTGTTTGCCCATTTCCAACTTTTTGAAAATGACATCATCTTGCACAGAGATTATAACCGAGAAGAAATAGAGACATTATCATTATGAAAGAATCCTTGTATTCCTTGAATTAGCCATGAGAGAACTATCCCTTTAAAAAAAGGGCATTTCTCGGGTCGGCCACCAGTGGCTCACACCTGTAATCCCAGCACTTTGGGAGGCCGAGACAGGCGGATCACTAGGTCAAGAGATCAAGACCATCATGGCCAACATTGTGAAACTCCGTCTGTACTAAAAGTACAAAAAAATTAGCTGGTCATGGTGGCGTGTGCCTGTATTCCCAGCTACTTGGGAGGCTGAGGCAGGAGAATCACTTGAACCCGGGAGGTGGAGGTTGCAGTGAGCCAAGATCATGTCACTGCACTCCAGCCTGGGCAACAGTGCAAGACTCTGTCTCAAAAAAAAAAAAAAAAAAAGGCATTTCTCTAAAGATCAGTGATGTTGAGCTGTTTTTCATATGTTTCTTGGCTACATAAATGTCTTCTTTTGAGAAGTGTCTGTTCATATCCTTTGCTCACTTTTTGATGGGGTTGTTTTTTTCTTGAAAATTTGTTCAAGTTCCTTGTAGATGCTGAATATTAGGCCTTTGTCACATGGGTAGATTGCAAAAATTTTCTCCCGTTCTGTAGGTTGCCTATTCACTCTGATGATAGTTTATTTTGCTGTGCAGAAGCTCTTTAGTTTAATTAGATCCCATTTGTCAATTTTGGCTTTTGTTGCCGTTGCTTTTGGCATTGACGTCATGAAGTCTTTGCCCGTGCCCGTGTCCTGAATGGTATTGCCCAGGTTTTCTTCCAGGGCTTTGATGGTGTTGGTTTTTACACTTAAGCCTTTAATCCCGCTTGAGTTAATTTTCGTATAAGGTGTAAGGAGGGGGTTCAGTTTCAGTTTTCTGCGTATGGCTAGCCAGTTTTCCCAGCACCATTTATTGAATAGGAGATCCTTTCCCCATTGCTTGTTTTTGTCAGGTTTGTTGAAGATCAAATGGTTGTAGATGTTGGGTGTTATTTCTGAGGTCTCTGTTCTGTTCCATTGGTCTATATGTCTGTTTTGCTACCAGTACCATGCTGTTTTCGTTACTGTAGCTTTGTAGTATAGTTCGAAGTCAGGGAGCACGATGCCTCCAGCTTTGTTCTTTTTTCTTAGACCATCTCATGACAGTCAGAATGGCGATTATTAAAAAGTCAAGAAACAATAGACGCTGGTGACACTATGGAGAAATAGGAATGCTTTTATACTGTTGGTGGAAATGTAAATGAGTTCAACCATTGTGGAAGACAGTGTGGCGATTCCTCAAGGATCTAGAACTAGAAATGCCATTTGACCCAGCAATCCCATTACTGGGTATATACCCAAAGGAATATAAATCATTCTACTATAAAGACATATGCACATGTATGTTTATTTCAGCACTATTCACAACAGCAAAGACATGAAACTAACCTGAATGACCAACAATGATAGACTGGAAAAAGAAAATGTGGTACATATACACCATGGAATACTATGCAGCCATAAAAAGGAATGAGATCATGGATGAAGCTGGAAAGCATCATCCTCAGCAAACTGACACAAGAACAGAAAACCAAATACCGCATGTTCTCACTCATAAGTGGGAGTTGAACAATGAGAACACATGGACACAGGGAGGGGAACAACACACACTGGGCCTGTTGGGGGGATGGGGGGTTAGGGGAGGGCAGCTAGATGACGGATCAATAGGTGCAGCAAGGCACCATGGCACACATATACCTATGTAACAAACTGCACATTCTGCACATGTATACCGGAACTTAATGTTAAAAAAAAAAAAAAGGCAGCCTGAGGAACTAGTATTCTTAATTTTGCCAAATAATCTACTGTAATTAAAGAGGAATTTATGGTATTTTAAAAGTTATTTAAGGAATAGATTACTCTTAATCCTTGATTCATCCCATTTAGAATCCTGTTTTTGATGGTAGCTGTAGCAGATGGTTGGAAACACTTGAAGGCTAGAAGGAAAGATGTATCAGTGCTTTTATAGGTCATTCCTAAAGGCTAGGTATATCTAGCCTCCCTCACAAGCTAATTTTGATACCTCATGGATAAATTTGTCCAAACTTTAAAATTTCCTTTATTCTAATTATACTCTGGAAATAATTGCACAACTCTATACATTTACTTAAAATCATTAAATTTTACCCTTGAAACAAGTATACTTTAGGGTATATAAATTATACTTCAATAAAGCTGCTTAGCCCTCTAAGTTTTTTTTTAGAGTGAAATAGATGATGAACTTCATTCCACTGTCTTAATCCAGGAGAAATCTTAATGATTTAATTAAGAATAGGGCTTTTAAAAATGTGAACTGTTTTAAGACACTGAATTCCCTTTACCTACATGAAAGTAGATAGGGGCTTTAAACATGTACAGATGTGAAAATGATCTGGGGGAATTTCAACACAAACAGATTAAAGATTCTTTCATATCATCACTGACACCTGCAAGGTTTAATTAAGCTGAAAGTCACCAACTTCTGCTCAAAATGCTGACTGGTTGCTTGTTAATTAGTTGCTTTTCTCATTGATTAGCAACTTATGCAATACCCTGTTATAAATGGCTGTAATGCTTGCTTTGTTTCAGAGCCTAATTAATATGATACAGACTATTTAACAATTGTGTCCTTGTTTGATTTATGAAGCAAATGCAGAGAATTTTATTGCTAACCCAAAACAGTGATGTGCAAAAACAAATTTTCAAAGCAAGCCAAAGCTAATAACATAAAACTTTCTTTGTCTTTTAGGGAAACTTTGAGGAAATGAGCCGTCACTGCTTGTCATGAACTATCAATTAATTTCTCAGCAATTGTGTTGTCAACAAATTTTCAAGACAAATGTTTCAATAAATAAGTACCCATCAATTTTCAGTTCTCCAAATTATACTTTAGAAGGCTCTGTGGAATTAATTAAAATAACTGTGTGGGCACTTCTTTGCTTTTTTATATGCAGATGACTACCAAATCTCTTATCTCCAGGCCTAGTCTCTTCCTGGAACTCCAGGCTGATGTATCCAACTGTTTATCTGGCATCTCTACAAGGATGTCTGACAGGCATCTCTATTTCAATAGGACCAAAACAAAACTCTCAATTCTGCCTGCTCTCTCTCCTCAGTGAACCTGCTTCCTACACATCTCTGAGAAAAATTCATCGTCTATGCCGTAGCTCAAGCCAGAAGTTTGAAAGTTCACCCCGTTCTCTCATTTCCTCACTTCTTCCATCCTATCTCCCAAACATCCTGAATCTGTTCAATTTTTGTACATTTCACTACACCAGTTTGGTCTTCCCCACCGTCACCTCTCACCTGGACAACAGCCTAATTGTACTTCAATTGTTTCCCTATGATACTGTTCCCATACCTTATCCAGTATGTTACCTTGTCACTTTTTGATCAAGTGGATCTTTCCAATGACTTGCCATTATATTCAGAATCAAAATCAATCCTTTTCACCTGGATTACATAATCTCACATGATCTAGTCTTCGCATACCTCTCTGACCTCATCTTCCTCTTTCCCACTTGCTGGCTACATTTCAAGCTTATTCCCACCTGAGGGTCTTTGCACCAGCTATTTCCAATGCTTAGAATATACTTCTCTGGTGTTTCCATGGTGGCTCCTTGTTGTCATTTAGATTTCAGCTTAAACTCTGCTTCCTCAGAGAGGACTTCCTTGACCCCTAAAGTAGTTACCCACTGGCCTGCTCTCACATGCTCTTCAGTATCTCACATTTTTTGTTTTTGTTGACTTCTCTGATTATTCTATTTTTTTCTCACAATAGAATGTTAGCTCTTTGAGAAAAAGTACTTTATCTATCTCATTCATTACTGTATCCACGAGGGTTAGAACAGCGGTCAGCACATAGAAGGTACTCAGTATTTGTGGACTGAGTATCTGAATGTAGGGATAGATTTGGTGAGGTTTATTCAATGTGGAACAGAAAGAAACTCAATGCTCATTTTCCTTAAGAAAGACAAACAAACAAACATTTAAGCTGTTGATCAGACTTTTATAGCACCCAATCAGGTTCTCTATTCAACCTTAAAAACAAATGCTTATGACACATCCGATAGTGATAACTGGTAAACTAAGGCTAATATTGATATTAGAGTTGAGTCTTGTCTTTTTCATGAATTATAGTGTAACTCTGATCATATAGCAAAAATTGGAGTCAAAATTAGCCCTACAAAAAGTCCTTATATTGCCCAAAAAGTACAATATACATGGTCTTATGTATACCATCTTATAAAGTAATATGAATGTATAAATGTGAAATACAAATAGTGCTTTACAGTACATTAATGAACAAATATGTTGCAGCACCTACCTAATCAATATTTAATCTCTTTTCTTTTTTTTCTACTGGAATCCAAAATTTTCCTTTGACTGGCCATGTGCATCATAGAAGATGGGCCCATCCACAAGTCTATGGTTGAATCACGGTTGATCTAAGTAAATGATCATGATATCCTTTTCCTTGCCAGGAATTGGTTTGGCTATGTGATGTCATTTTTGCTAATGAGAAGCGAGAAGAAACAGTTTGGGGGAGACTTTAGGAAAAGGTGTCATCATTAATAAAATACATGGAAATACATAGAACTTTTTCTTCTGAACAGGGAGTCTCCACGTGTGCTTAGAACTACGGAAGCTATCTTAAGTAAAACTAAGTTGCCACTCTCAGGATAACAAATTAATGATAAAATGAAAATCTTAGTTCACGGATGATGTATTGCACCACTGATAAGCAGACAAAGCCCCTGGCACAATATACAAGAAATACTTCTACAACATTGTGTTCTTAAACGTAATGCTCACATGCAGCACCCTAAGATGCTTCCTCTAGTCATGCATACAATAAAAAGAGATCTACTAAGTGATTCACTTCTTCTGTCTCAAGGTCACTAAGGCTAACACTCTTGGGGTGAAACAGTGTGAGAAATTGCTGATGCCATTTAAGTTGTTATATCCTCCTATTTCCTTTCATTTTAAGTTTGCATAGTTGGATTTGACAAAATTAAATGTCTATATGTTGGCATATTACTCTATTTTATTCTGTAATAGAGACATGAAAAGCTTGTTGGTTTCTTTAAAGAGTAAGAAATAAGATATGTAGCAATGCAGCTCATCACATGAAACTCCTAATTCAAATAATCAAAATATATTTTATCTACCTCATTCTACCCAGCTAAAAGCAGTATCTTCCTCACTGAATTCTCATAG
This sequence comes from Homo sapiens, assembly GCF_000001405.40. Classification (NCBI taxonomy): domain Eukaryota; kingdom Metazoa; phylum Chordata; class Mammalia; order Primates; family Hominidae; genus Homo; species Homo sapiens. Next base: position 2,612,582 of record NC_000003.12, on the reverse strand, counting down.
GGATAATAATGGCCTTTACCTTGTGAAACCAATATTAGTATATGTTGTATCTTGACTTCAAAACTGCTGCAAAAGCAACTGTGTGTGTTCCAATTCACACGCACACACACATATACACACGGTCCCCCAAAACAATACACATTCAGTAAAAATTGTACTTCAAATACCCATACAACCATTTTGTTTTTAAGTTTCTGTACAGTATTCAATAAACTACATGAGGTATTCAGCACTTTATTATAAAATAGGCTTTATGTTAGATGATTTTGACCAATGTAGGCTAGGTAAGTGATCTCATTATGTTTAAGTTAGGCTGGGCTAAGCTGCGACATTTGGTTTCGTTAGCTGTATTAAATGTAATTTTTGACTTACTATATTTTTAACTTATGATGGGTTTATCGGGATGTAACCCTATTGTAAGTCAAAAAGTATCTCTGTCTGTTGTGTGTGTGTGTGTGTGTGTGTGTGTGTGTGTATTATATGTATATATAAAACTGGTTATATTAAGTTGAATAATAGATTTTTCTTTGAAAGCATGTGTTATTTTTACCCATTAAAATGTTACCACCTGAGAATATTTTGTAAGAATCTTCATGAATGCAGCTTTATAAAGCTCCATCTCCTACATATCCTGAATAAAACTGGGCCACCTAGTAGTGTGTCTCACCATAAGTTTATTGCAATCAAAAGAAATACTCATCCAACATTTAAAAAAGTGATTAAAAACTGTATAGCCACCTGTATAAGAGATGCCACAGGGCACTCTGTTATACAACAGAGAGACAAAACATCTTGGCTAGTCTCCTCACCAACCTCTATTCCCCAAATGTTCAAGACAGCTTCTTTAAAATTTGTTGTTCTCATCCTTGTTCTCTGCCTCTGCCTCCATTGACACTTGCAGGTTCCTTCTCACTGTATTCCATCCATGCATTGGGTATTGGCAATAGTCAAAGCTAGGTGGACAGCAGGTAACCCAGGAAAAAAGGGAAAGAGAGGAATGGTGTGAACGTATCTAAGTCACATTTATTTTTGGACCTTACAAAGTGAATTCACACAACGGCTCTCCCAAGCAGGTACTATCACCCAGAGGCTACTTAGCTTTTCCTATAATCCTGCAGCTTAGGCTGAGGAAGGTGATGTTACTCTCCTTGGCCCATCAACTTTACCTGTCCTTCCCTCTGTCCCATGGCTATCAGTACCCTTGAAAGAGTCTTGTCTGTGATGAAGAAATTTTTAACAGGTTTTTTGTTTTTGTTTCTTTCTTTCTTTCTTTTTTTTTTTTTTTGGTTCCAGGTGCTGTGAGTACTTTTGTCCCCTAAATGTTCTGGTCTTTATGAGTTGAAAGTCTCCACTCATAGCAGGTGCTATATGATTTAATGAATGTTCCAACAAAATAGAGGCAAAGAGTTTGAAGTCCATCACTTTGAATCAATGTAACTTGCCTACACACCTTTAACTTTGCCTATAACATCTGTAAAATGGAGACAGCAACAATATCTATTGAAAATAGTCATCACCTGAATCAAATGAGATAATACATATAAAGCATGTTATAATGGAAGTATTGTTATAAGATGTATCGTATCGTTACATGAAAACAACTCTGGCAAAAAAGGGAAAATTATTTACTTATCTTTAAACAATCAATGAAATTTAAGTACCCATTTTAGGTCAAGTAACTCCCTGCATTGTATACCTGAAAAAATATTTCTCCCAAGTTACTAGTGGAAAACTGTGCATTTCTTTTTAGCAATGGAAAACGCCACCGTATTCTCAGACAATACACTCTGAAAATACTCATAATGACTGCCTTCTTGCTTGGCTGTATGTTTATAGTTTTTAAATTTTCTGGTATAAGTCATATGAGATACCTATTAATTTTCTCAAACTAACACAAATTAAAACAACATTTCCATGGTCTGTTCTCTACCTAGAATTTACTGTGATAACAAGCATTTGTACATTTATAACACATTAACCCACCCCCATAATGGCAAAATACACAAAGTGTAAAGTATTATAAAACAACACGTCATCATGAGTTTCTACACAGGCTGAAATGCGACTCAGTGGAAATCGTTGCAGAAATGGCGAGGGTGCTACCAAGAAGAGATGAAGAGATGTCAGAACTGACTGACTGAATCATTTTAGAAGGCCACGGGCTTAAAGTTTATCACATGAAGCAAAAGCAATTTAAAAACAGAGGTTCCTAAAGACTTAGAAAAAGTGTTTGCAGGATGGCAACTGAAGAAATAAAATTATCCCATTATACAAATAAGAACCAAGCTATCAGAGATGCTCTTACACATTTTGAGTTTTTTCTTAAGAGGAGATTATAATAATTTCAAGAATGGAAGTGAGCAAACTTCCCCAGATGATCTTAATAATATTTTAATAATATCTTAACTTATACTATGGTGAAAAATAAAATAGAGTGGGAGTGATAGACAATATGGAATGAGTGTTTTGTAAAACCTGGCATTTTGTATTTACTTGTAATACAGATAATTTAACCAGTCAACAGACAGTTAATTACCTACCATGTGCGGGCACTGTGCTCGGGAGAGACAGAGAAATCAAGAAGATATCATCTCTAACCTCAAAGGGACAAAGATAAAAGCTACTTTTATTTGGTAATTGTATTCAAAATTAAGGTGAAGAAAATAAAGTTTTATGCTAATGAAATCAATGACATTTGTTTAATGAAACCAAGTGCTACATATAAAGTTGCACAAATCAAAAAATACCTCTTTATTGATAGTAAAAAATTTATTTGAAAATTATAAAATGGAATTTTTAAAATGGAAAATATGTAATTTTAATTATAGGTGACTTTGGTGCTACCCAAACTACCCTAGAAAGACGTTTCATAGCACTGAACTTTTCAAGTCTCAAAGGTATATTTTCTTTATAGAAGTTCAAAGAGAGGAAACTAAAACTCATTTTTCAGCCATAATGTTTAATTAACTTTAGAGATAAGTTAGAGAGCTATCCTACTGAACATAATGCTTTTGAGAACTACCTATATTTTAGAAGTACAAATAGTTGTTTCATTGTTTGGGATTCCATATTAAATCTCTCTTAGTCCATTCCTGCTGCTATAACAAAATACCTGAAGCTGGGTAATTTATAAACAACATGAATTTATTTCTCACAGTTATGGAGGCTGGGAAGTCCAGGATAAAGGTGCCGGCAAATTTGAGGTCTGGTGAGGGCCCACTCACTGCTTCCAAGGTGGCACCTTGAATACCGTGTCCTCACATGGTGAAGGCAGAAGGGCAAAGGGTCCTAAGCTAGTTTCCTCCAGCCCCTTTCTAAGGTGCTAATCCATTCACGAGGGCACATCCTTCGTGACTTAATAACTTTCCAAAAGGCCACACTGCTTAATATCTCCACAATGCAGATTACATTTCAACACAAATTCTGTAGAGGACACATTGAAACCACAGCAATATCTATCAGCCCATGAAGCATATGTGTTAATATTTATTCTCTAAGAAAGCCTCGTAGAAAAATCAGTGTTTCCACAGAGTGGCTGAATGTGACTTGTCTAAAGTATGAGGGTTTTTAAAAAATTTCTGTTGTTGATTATCCTTTCTCCAGAGAAGATGAAAGGAGAACAAGACCAGACTCTTTATAGACTGTAAGCATCATCAGGCATGCCCCTGACTAGAGAGAATATTTGGCCTATGAAATCTCCCAGTAGTGGAAGAAAAGAAGAATCAGATAGTTCATGCCACAACTTCCTTTTCTATTCATTACTCTCAAACAAATGCATTTTTTAAAAAGAGCCAAGGGGCAAAGTGCAGTTGCTCATGCCTGTAATTCCAGGACTCTGGGAGGCCAGGCCGAGGCTGGTGGATCACGAGGTCAGGAGTTCGAGATCAGCCTGGCCAACACGGTGAAACCCCATGTCTACTAAAAAGAGAAAAAATTAGCCAGGCATGGTGGCACGTGCCTGTAATACCAGCTACTCAGGAAGCTGAGGCAGGAAAATTGCTTAAACCCATGAGAACCCATGAGGCAGAGGTTGTAGTAAGCCGAGATCACTGCAGCAGACTTTGTCTGGGGAGAGGGGAAGAAGAGCCTAGGGTTTCTTTTCTTTCTTTCTTTCTTTTTTAAACAGACAGCGTCTCACTATGTTGCCCAGGCTGTAGTGCAGTGGAATAATCATAGTTCACTGCAGCTTCAAATTCCTGGGCTCTAGTGATCCCCCCACCTCAGCCTCCTGAGTAGCTGGGGCTGCAGGTGCATGCCACCACTCCTGGCAAAAGAGCCTAATATTAACAGTGTTCAATTCAAGTTGTTCATATAAGTGGACTTGGGCACCTGGGACAATTCTTTTTCTCTGCCTCAGATTTCTCCAACTTGGAGCACACATGTTTATCTGAGTGGATTTAACAACTGTATCAGTAGATCATGTGGTCTTTAAGGTGGCTGAAACAATGCCTCAAATTTCACTACATTCAATTTATTTCAGTCCCTTGGTTAGATCTTACAATAAATTCCTGTGATTTTATTGAAGAGTTAACCTAAACGTCTAAATTAAGCATCACGCCTAAAGATGATTCAGCCAATCACAAGGAAAAAAGAATTTTATGATGTGACTAGATGTTATGAGCCACCCATAAAACCACAGAAGTGATCAAATACAGCTTGTAGGAAGAACTATAAAAGACACGTTTTTATTATATGATATTTTAAATTATTAAATATTTCTATCGTATGGAAAAAATCATAAATTGATACCCTACATAATCAAAAGCCAGACATAATAGGTAAGAACATTGTACAGATTGGTTAAAAACATATGTATCTATTTTTTAACATAGCATTTAAAAAGGGCAGATTCAACTAGGTCCTCCTTTCTCTCTTCTACCTGCTTTTATTCACTGAAGTTTTCTGAAAGGTTTATGTATCATTACCATGTTTTTATACTGTATTAGCCATTAGTTATGTGTGTGTGTGTGTGGATGCATATGTATATACACACGTATTATTTTGGTATTTCTAAAATATATATAAAGAGCATTACATTACGTTTTTATATCCTTTTGAAATTTTTTATTTTCACTTTACATTTTTGCAGTTATTCTTATTGATACATACAGCTTTAATTCAGTTACTTTATTATGCAATATTCCATTATATGAATAAACAGATTATTTATTCATTCCCTTTTTGTATGGACAGTTAGGTTGCTTCTACCATTTTGCTATTACAAATGATGCCTTGGTGAACATCCCAGTAATGTGTCTTCTTGTGTATATGCACCTGCTTTTCTAGGGCATATATCTAGAATTATCATGGCTAGATTGTAGGTAGCACATATTCAACTTCAGTGGAATGTTCAAATTGCTCTGCAATATGACTACAATAATTTCTACTCTTTCCTTTATTCACGTGACAGTTTCTAGCAAAAACAGACATAGTTTGAACCAGATGCCAAAAAAAGGTGGCCTTGGAAGAATGTAACAGTCACCAAGTCCATCAAATACTCAACAAGAGAAGTAGCACTGTATCAAGAAAGAAGATTAAATGTGTCCTAAAAACCTGGGGATAGGAGACTGTGGAAGCGAAGCACAAGGACATCACAGTCAGGAGCCAATGGAAAAAGAATAGAGCTAGCATCTGTAAAGCTCATGGGTCTGGAGATCTGAAGTCTCTGAAGTTATCATTTTTAACCAACACCAATACTGCCATGAGGCAAAGGAAAAGTTTAGGTTTTACTTACTATCTTCCATTTAAATGGTAAGTATGTATTAAATATTCAGAAAAACTTTCACTGAAATGGACCATGTGCTTTTAAAGACACAGACCTTAAAGAGGGAAACCACAGCTATTTGGGAAGTCTTCTGTGGATCATTTCATTCCCTAAGAATGCTGACGAACAAGCAGGGGTAGGAGCATGGAGGGGCAAATATTTATTTCACTTTAAAAACAAAACTAATGTCAACTTATTGTGTTCAGATAAGAAAAGCATATGGAATTAGTCATAACACAATAGCTTCCTAAATGGTTTCGTTGTCAAAGTCCTCTTAAAACCCATTATCCGCCCATCAGTCACTGTGAGTTATTTTATTTTATTTTAAGTTCCGGGATACATGTGCAGGATGTGCAGGTTTGTTACATAGGTAAACGTGTGCCATAATGGTTTGCTGCACCTATCAACCTATCACCTGAGTATTAAGCTGAGCATGCGTTAGCTGTTTTTCCTGATGCTCTCCCTCCCCCTCGACCCCTGCCCTACCACAGGCCCCAGTGTATGTTGTTCTCCTCCCTGTGTCAAAGACAAATTAGGTTATATTGTTCTCCGTTTGAAACCTTACAATAACTTCTTATTGCCAAGGAATCACGACAATCTAAAATTCTTCCCTGTCCTGCCAAGCCCAGTGTGATCTGGTCCATACTGACCTCCCTATCAATACAGAACCACTTTGTCCCCCCATTCGATATTTAAACTGCAATGACATATCTTCCCCTATTACCCAAGCCTTAGGATCCTTGCACTACATGTGTGTCTGCCTCGAGTGCTGCCCCACCAAATTCCCCTGCTTCCCCCATCACTTCACATCTCAGTCCTCTTGGCTCAGGCCTTAGCTCCCCAAGGCCTTGCCTGTCCAACGTAGCCACTTACATCATTCACATCCCCTTGATTAAATTTTCTTTCTAGCACTAACTACTGACTATTATCATATTAAAATTATTATTCGAATTATTTATCATTTGTCTTCTTTAACTAGAATTCAACATCATGAAAACCCAACTGCTGTAACCCCAACTGTGGAACAGCACTAGCACCTGACAGGACATCGGTTGGTTTTGTGGTATAAATGAATGGCATCTATATAGTAATAATTACTGTGGTAAACTCATATCTCTCATTCAATCCATTCACAAATCTGATAGCTCCACCTTCAAAATGCATCCAGAATCTGGCATGTCTCCCAATCTCTACCTCCACCACTTGGGTCTAAGCCATCCTTATCTTACATCGATTGCTGCAATAGCTGCCCAGCTGTGCTCCTGCTTCCATCACTGCCACCCTATAGATTATTCTCCACAGAGAAGCCAGAGAAAATTTAGATCATATCAAGACACCCCTTTGTCTAAAACCCTACAATGCTTCCCAGCTCATCCAGAAAAAAAATCCAAAGTCTTTACCTTGCTACAGGGCTCTCCCTGCATGATCTGCCATGTTGCCTTCTCTCTGATCCCCTTCTCCCACCTCCTAACACTGTCTTCACTCACTGCACTCCAGATATCCTGGTCTCTCTGCTTCTCAAAATGTTTAGCAGAGAGCTGGGCATGGTGGCTCACGCCTGTAATCCCAACTCGGGAACACTTTAGACCAGGAGTTCAAAACCAGCCTTGTCAACATAGCAAGAACTTGTCCCTAAGAAAATAAAATATTAGACAGGCATGGTGTGCATGCCTGGAGTCCTAGCACTTGGGAGCTGAGGTGGAAGGATCACTTGAGCTCAGCAGTTCGAGGCTGCCGTGAACTATGATGACACTACTGAACTCTAGCCTGGGTGACAGAGTAAGATTCTGTCTCTAAATAAATGTTTAAAAAGCCTAGCAGAACAGTTATGCAAAATATTAATAAGTTCTGGAGATCTCCCCTACAATATAGAGCATATGATTAACAATACTGTACTATTTACTTAAAAAGGTACTAAGAGGGTAGATCTTATATTTCCTTTATTGGCTCTTACTATAAGAGGAAATCAAAACAAAATAAAAACAACAACAAGGGGGCAGGAGAAAACTTATGGAGGTGATGAATAAGTTTATGGCATTGATTGTGATGATGGTTTCATGGGTGTATTCTTATCTCTAGACACATCAAGTTGTATCTCTTAAATATGTACAGCTTTTTATATGTAAATCATACCTCAATAAAGTAGTTTAAAAAATGCCTAGCAGAATCCTGCTTAGGGCTCTGCATTTCCTCTTCTATCATCTAGAAACCTTCACCTACTGATATTCATATATTATTTCCCCCCTTTTCTTAAGTTTTCCTTGGAACAAATCTGCCCTACTTTATTCTTCCTCTTAGCACTTTTTACCAACTGAAATATTACATAGATATGTATCTATTTTGCTGATTGTCAATCCAACTGAACATAAGAACTGGGAGATCAGCCTTACCTATTTTTGTTTTCTGCAACGTCTCCAAAGCCTAGCTGGTACCTTACATAGAAGGAGCTGAAAATTATTTGTTGAATAAATGAAAAAACATCTTTCCTCTGGTGACTAGGATACACAAAAGTTCAGAGGAGGGTCACAGGAAGAGGCATCAAGTCAGGGAAATCCTCCACTTTTTAAAAAAAATAACAGATTAGCATAATGAAGCTCAGACACACTAAGAGATTTATACAAAAACACATGGTGTGGTTGTCATTAGTGATATCTCTCTGGATATATGGTAGAATCCTACTTTCTTTTTCTTTGACTATGTGTCTTACTCTGGCAGATGAAATGTGACAGAAATTACATCTCACTTCCAAGTAGAAATGTTAAGAGCCTGTATGATTTGCCACATTTCCCTTTCCACTCTCCACGGTGTTTGAAGCAGGCATTGACAGAAAGCCTCCATCAGCCCAGGTCTCTGAATGACCCGTGGGCAGAGGCCCTCTGCCAATTCACCTTGGATAATGCGCTGTGAGTCAAACATACACACGTGCAGTACTGTGCCAGGGAAATTTCAGAAAGGGTTTCTACTGTAGCACAACTACACCATGTTGTATATCCTGGCTGATTCACAAAGCTATTAAGCAGAAGAGCTGAAACACACATCTGTTTTCTTTCTGTCATACTAAGCTGCCCCATGACAGTAGATAGAGCTTTGTTGAAGAAGTAATAGACCAGCCCATAACGGGCTGTTTTTATTCCACCGGAGCTCTCATATGCACTTCACTTTGTTTTCAAGGATAAGAAATAAGGCAAAAAATCTTTAAGCCATATGACATGAAACGTAAGTCATTAATCAAAACTTTCTGAATTTAATATTTAGAAACTACAATTTCTTCTACTTATATGCTCATTCTTTTTATTTACCTAATCCATTTTATTCAGACACTTTAATCAGCAGACTGCCAGCATTATTTTCTGTAGGATTTTGTTTCTGTAAAGATTTGATTACCTGCTTCTCTCACCACAGAAAAATACCGATAAACCAGGACTTCCATAATGTTACAAGAGACTGACAATTTCTAATGATTTTCCCACACTAGGACATCCTAAAGTACCTTCTGAATCAAAGAAAAAATTTCATGTTGTATATTTTCAATATCAAGAAATACGCTGCATTTCAAATCTCATTAGTCTTCCATGTTTGGCATATGGGAAAAATCATTTATTATTTAATTCACCTAAAACATCATTCCCTAATCACATAGAGTAACAGCAACTTTGTTCCATCCTAAATGAAAAAAACAAAATTCTCAGAAATTTTTTTTTTTGGCAGAAAATTGAGAGGCACAGAAAAATGAGAAAATACTCAACAATTTCAAAATATATCTTAACAACAAATTACAGTCAAGTAAGTGAAGAAAACATTTCCTCTCATAATTGTATTTACTAAGCCACCTAAGCCACCCTGAGAGTTAAACTTTCAAACAGTTCATTCAGTTGCCTTAATACAATAGGAAATACTCTAATGTCTGCTCACTGGAACCCCCCTTACTTAAGCCTTGCTTTTTCTCAAAGCTGAGACTTAAGAAAGCACATTCAGTGGGCAAAGGTTGTACTTGCTAAGGAAGACAACCTGTACTTTAGTTTTCTCTGCTTCTTCATGTATTATTACCATATAATGCTTGTAATCCTTGGGTGAACTGAAGCTATCTATACATAAGAATTCCATAAACCATTGGTAGCTTGATGGGGATGACATTGAATCTATAAATTACCTTGGACAGTATGGCCATTTTCATGATATTGATTCTTCCTATCCATGAGCATGGAATGTTCTTCCAGTTGTTTGTGTCCTCTTTTATTTTGTTGAGCAGTGTTTTGTAGTTCTCCTTGAAGAGGTCCTTCACATCCCTTGTAAGTTGGATTCCTAGGTATTTTATTCTCTTTGAAGCAATTGTGAATGGGAGTTCACTGATGATTTGGCTCTCTGTCTGTTATTGGTGTATAGGAATGCTTGTGATTTTTGCACATTCATGTTGTATCCTGAGATTTTGCTGAAGTTCTTCATCAGCTTAAAGAGATTTGGGGCTGAGATGATGGGGTTTTCTAAATATACAATCATGTCATCTGCAAACAGGGACAATTTGACTACATCTTTTCCTAATTGAATACCCTTTATTTCTTTCTCCTGCCTGATTGCCCTGGCCAGAACTTTCAACCCTATGTTGAATAGGAGTGGTGAGAGAGGGCATCCCTGTCTTGTGCCAGTTTTCAAAGGGAATGCTTCCAGTTTTTGCCCACTTAGTATGATATTGGCTGTGGGTTTGTCATAAATAGCTCTTATTATTTTGAGATACGTTCCATCAATACCTAGTTTATTGAGAGTTTTCAGTATGAAGAGCTGTTGAATTTTGTTGAAGGCCTTTTCTGCATCTACTGAGATAATCATGTGGTTTTTGTCATTGGTTCTGTTTATATGATGGATTACGTTTATTGATTTGCGTATGTTGAATCAGCCTTGCATCCCAGGGATGAAGCCAACTTGATCTTGGTGGATAAGCTTTTTGATGTGCTGCTGGATTCAGTTTGCCAGTATTTTATTGAGAATTTTTGCATCAATGTTCATCAGGGATTTTGGTCTAAAATTCTCTTTTTTTGTTGTGTCTCTGCCAGGCTTTGGTATCAGGATGATGCTGACTTTCTTCACAGAATTGGAAAAAACTACTTTAAAGTTCAGATGGAACCAAAATAGAGCCCGCATTGCCAAGGCAATCCTAAGCCAAAAGAACAAAGCGGGAGGCATCACGCTACCTGACTTCAAACTATACTTCAAGGCTACAGTAACCAAAACAGCATGGTACTGGTACCAAAACAGAGATATAGACCAATGGAACAGAACAGAACAGAGCCCTCAGAAATAATACCACACATCTATAACCATCCGATCTTTGACAAACCTGACAAAAACAAGGAATGAGGAAAGGATTCCCTATTTAATAAAGGTTCTGAGAAAACTGGCTACCCATATGTAGAAAGCTGAAACTGGATCCCTTCCTTACACCTTATACAAAAATTAATTCAAGATGGATTAACGACTTAAATTTTAGGCCTAAAACCATAAAAATGCTAGAAGAAAACCTAGGCAATACCATTCAGAACATAGGCATGGGCAAGGACTTTATGACTAAAACACCAAAAGCAATGGCAACAAAAGCCAAAATAGACAAATGGGATCTAATTAAACTAAAGAGCTTCTGCACAACAAAAGAAACTACCATCAGAGTGAACAGGCAACCTACAGAATGGGAGAAAATTTTTGCAATCTACTCATCTGACAAAGGGCTAATATCCAGAATCTACAAAGAACTCAAACAAATTTACAAGAAAAAATACAACAACCCCATCAAAAAGTGGGCAATGAATATGAACAGACACTTCTCAAAAGAAGACATTTATGCAGCCAACAGACACATGAAAAAATGCTCATCATCACTGGCCATCAGAGAAATGCAAATCAAAACCACAATGAGATACCATCTCACACCAGTTAGAATGGGGATCATTAAAAAGCCAGGAAACGACAGGTGCTGGAGAGGATGTGGAGAAATAGGAACACTTTTACACTGTTGGTGGGACTGTAAACTAGTTCAACCATTGTGGAAGACAGTGTGGAGATTCCTCAAGGATCTAGAACTAGAAATACCGTTTGACCCAGCCATCCCATTACTGGGTATATACCCAAAGGACTATAAATCATGCTGCTATAAAGACACATGCACACGTATGTTTATTGTGGCACTATTCACAATAGCAAAGACTTGGAATCAACCCAAATGTCCATCAATGATACACTGGATTAAGAAAATGTGGCACATAGACACCATGGAATACTATGCAGCCATAGAAAATGATGAGTTCATGTCCTTTGCAGGGACATGGATGAAGCTGGAAACCATCATTCTGAGCAAACTATCACAAGGACAGAAAACCAAACACCGCATGTTCTCACTCATAGGTGGGAATTGAACAATGAGAACACTTGGACACAGGAAGGGGGACATCACACACCGGGGCCTGTTGTGGGGTGCGGGAGGGGAAGGAACAGTATTAGGAGACATACCTAATGTAAATGACGAGTTAATGGGTGCAGCACACAACATGGCGTGTGTATACAAATGTAACAAACCTGCAGGTTGTACACATGTACCCTAGAACTTAAAGTATAAAAAAAATCTAAGCTGCCCTCCAAGGTCTAACAATCATATAATTAGAGCCCCAGAAAGAGAGGAGAGAGTAGTTTGGGGCAAAATGGTATTTGAATAAACCCTGGACTAAATTTAAAAAAATACTGAATGTTTAAGAATCCAAAACTTCTGCCCTTTATTGACCAAATAAAGAATGTTTTGGCAAAAAAAAAAAAAAAAAAAAAAAAAAAGAAGAATTCCATAAACCAAAATAGAGTTGGGGTAGAATCCCCAAATGAAGGTTGAACATTTTTGTCACTTGAGGAACAGATAGCTCCAAACTTCAATAAAGAAGATGTTTTGGACTCTTGCTAATAAGTAACTCAAGCTTCAGGCAACATAAAACCTCATCCAATTCATACCCAATGCTTCTTTCTCCATCTAATTCCCTCAGGAACTTGATCTCTGCTAGAGAATTGACAAAAATACACTCTCTAATGCAATAATGAATAATGCTGATGTAATTTCCTCTAAGGAATTACTTTCTCTGACTGTTTAGCTAGGGATTCTCTGCCATTACAAACTTTTAACCAAGAGAAGTTTGATAAAGGCTACAAATCATTCTACAAAAGATAGCCGTAATACAGAAACTGATGTAAGCCACACTCTGAGCAGATGGGCTGTCTGAGTGTCTTCTGTCTTCTGACTGTGTACAATAAAATCACACATGGGACTTGTTACTCACCATCACCTTTATAGTTCAAAAGAAGGTTTAGTTTAAGCAAACAAAAAGAATGAAGAAAAAGGCATCAGAATAAAAGGTCCACACATTTAGGCCCTGTGAAAAATAAATCCCCAAGGATTGGAGATGGCAATGCTACATGTTAGTCAACAGCTCAGATTCTGGATTCAGATATACTAGTTTTAAATTCTTTCTTCACCATTTACCAGCTCTATGATCTTGAGAAATCACTTAAATTCTATAAGCCTCAGTTTCATCATCCTTAAAACTGTGATAGAATGGAACCTACAACTAGTAACATTGCCAAGGAGTGGCCCAGGAGGGCTTTGGCCGAACCTCCAACTCTACACTCCATGGTCCCTACATGTGGATACACGCTAATCTCTGAAATAAACAACATACATTTTCCCAGTCTTACCTACAGTGTTGCTATTTTTAATGATCTATAAGGTATACACCAAGCTATATATGTTGAGCACACAATACTCAACATATGTCAGTTATTACCAATAATGTATTCTGTTGTATAGATGTTAGCTTATTTTCCTTAGATCAGAAATTATTTTTAAAAAAGTAAAAAATAACAATCTTCTCCCATTTGAAAATGCCCTTTAAATAGGAAAAGTTATTACCATTAGTAAGAGCTTGAGGCAATTTGTTCAGCCACAAAACCAAGAGAGTGGATCTTTAATACCCCTTTCATGTATATATGTTGGAGGGACATTTGTACAAATACAATGGCTCTACATGCACAAATAAACACATCAACTAACTGAACTGATTTGCGAAGGCTTAGCTGCTGGCAGCCCTTTATATTTTGTTGCTTTTACTTTCTAATTCTACTGAATTTCTATTACGGCTACATAAGTTTCCTTATATTTTTGAATTATGATGTAAAAGTGGTCTACATAAAATCAAGGAAAGAGTACTGGCTTTATTGCAGTTCAAGTACCATATTAAAAATATATATATGTGAATGTGTGCAAAAATACACACTCACTCACATACACCCTAAATTCAATTCTATATTGAAGCATCAAATTGAAATTGGTTCTTGAAAATTCCAGTCCTTCGTGATTAGAATATTGAGAGGGAGAGTTTGCTTTGATTTTTTCCCTCTTTACTCTCTAAAGCATTTTCTCCCTTAAAATACACCAGAAACTTCTCATATAATAAGGGCAAGATGATTAAGAGTATGCAATTGTACTTGCTAATACCACTGCAATTTACGGAGTGTGGAACTACTCAGACCTCCCAACATTGCCAACTGGGCTCAGTGATAGGACTAACGAGGTTGTTCGGTACCACAGCAAGTAGAAATTAAAATTGGAAGAGCAATCATGTTTGATACTGGAGGTCACTAAAGGAAGTCGGAAGAAAGGCAATAAGATGCTGCCAGGCTTGAAGCACCTGCTGAATTCACAGTGTGCTGCAACCTCAAAATAGCCCGGTAAGGGAAGGCTGCAAAAAAGAATTACAAAAATCAATTCTTGAGGAAACCAAGGCATGAATAAAAATTTCAGCAGCTGCCTGGTTAGAAACTGATAGATGCCAAAAAGTTCATTAGGTAAGGAAAAATAAGAAGAAAAACTGACAATTTTAATACAGTACTTTCTTCCTCCTACATACAGATTGTTCAAATGTGTTTACTTTTAGAAGTACTCTCCTACATTCTAGTCACATGATTAGATGGGAACAAACATAGGCTGTTTTATGGGACTAGTGAGAACGCTGTCAGGTCATTATCCAACACCTCAGGCTTGAGAAAGTCCAGTTTTCTCATTTATGCTCCCCTGACGTGTGCGCATCTCTATACTGGGGGATGGTTCAGTTGAAGTCTGTACTCCTCTGACTGGGCTCTTCCATAGGCACACAGCACCACTTCTCAGGTGCTGTCTTTTATGCATGCCTTCAGGCTGATGATTCTCAATTCTGCACCTTTCCTGGGGAACAGCTGGGTTACAGACACCAGATGCATCATGTTGCTAGAGCTCTATGCTGAAGATTATCAACATTACGACTCAGGAGCCTTATGTCAAGACACAATACTTTCGCATTTTTATTAACTTTGCTTAAGGCTCCTTCATTGAGGCATAAGGTGCTCCCTGCCAAAGGCCCTTGAAAGCTCCTAATACTTCATAAAAATTGTTAATGCTGAACCTAGAGGACAAACTACAAATGGTAGTAGAAGAGGCATTACCCCTTCCTTTGCAACCCAATGTTGTAGTCCTTATTAAATTTCTAACGAAGTACTGGCCTCAATGTGATTTTCATAACAATCTCTGAAATCTTGGCTATGGAACTGCTAAGGAAGAGGTGTGGTGGGTAGTAGTAGCTGCAAAAGAATGCAGGTGCCTTGGAAATGCTATGGAAAGGACAGTGGCTGCTAAGAGTAGCTGCTGCAGCATTTGCAAACTAAGTTTGGGTGACCTGGTCTTACAACCCCTTCCCACTACAAAGCTTATGGTATTTCATTCAGTGAAATCTCCAAATAACGGGTTTCTGAGTTTATATGGGCTATGTGCAGAAGCCAGAGAAACTCAAATTTAAAAAAAAAATGACCAGGGATGTTTTTACTTAATATCTAACTGTGTCCTGGACACAGTACCGAAAAAGATGTGGTTGACAATAAGATAAGTAGCCAGTTTACTGCAGATTCAAATTTTAATCTTTAAAAAACACTCAGCACATAGCATTTATTGTATTAAAATTACATGGATAGAATGGCCTTATAATTTACATCTGCAGTATTGAATAGTGATAAAGAGCATGGACCTTTAGAGTCAAATCGCCTAGATTCAAATCCTGCTTCCACTAGTAGAGTGAACAGGGGCAAATGATTGCACTTCCCTAATTCTCCATTTATCTGAGAAGCATTCATAAAAATAAGTTACTCCTAAGGGATGGTGTGCAGATTAAATGAAAAAAAATACAAAATGTGCATAAATATATATTATCTATTATATATGTATGCATATGTGTATGGTTATAGATGTGTAAATATATATGGATTGATTCCTTACTACCACCAGAATAAATATTCAACACATGATTGCTATTTCTGTTATTAAGCTTCAGATTATTGTCAACATTATCATCTTTATCTAAATGAAAACACAAAGAATTTGGAGGACAACCGATGTCCATTTTACTAGTATGTTTAAATTAAATAAATATGCTTAATGTATAAATGTATAAACTATAATTTGTTTAGTAAATTAATTTGTGTGTAAATCAATGTTTGTAGGAATTAGGTTATGATTCAATATGCTTCCCTCACCTGTTTCTCTCCAAGTAAATACATAAATCAAGGTGGGTTTAGGGTCTATTTTTAACATTTCATCCTATCTACAGTCAAACTGCAGGATTCTTAAAAATATATTCAGTGAGATTAATGTTGAAGCATATGTATTCATTCATTGCTTTTAATTAAACCTTCATGTAAAGGCACATGCTATAGTGTTATTTTTTATTCACAAAATTTAGACTTTGAGAATGATGTCATCTAATAAACTCTTAGAAGAGAAAAACCATGATAGCTTCACTTGTTTTATCCAGTACTAGTGCAATGCCACCCACATACAACAGATGATGATACATAATCCTCATGGCGATTACAGTGAGGTTTCCACTAAATGATGAGATTGTCTAACAGGTGGTCAACTTTGAGAAAATTTTTATACCTGCGTGTTTGGGGATCATGCAGATCTACTGTTGTAAGTTTAAATGAGCAGGACTGACTCAAAATAACGCTGGATACTCACTCTCTGAACTCTGGACAATATGACAACTACAGCCAGGGATATCCTACCTTCTCCCAGTAGGAGGGGCTACACCCAAGCTCAGCTTATCATACAACCAGGGGCTTCCACCTCCACACAAGGGATACTTTAGTATCCCACAGCGCCTGAGGGTCTCTGGGGGCCTGGAGCCAAGGGGTCCACTTATCCTTCATTGACAAGGTAGGCTACTGAAGAGAACGGACCCTTGCTAGGAACACAGAGCCACACTGCAGGATCAAGGCAGCCAGGTCCTGCCACACCTTTAGGTGGGATGTGGAAGATTATAGGACCCCTGGCTTCTCTTCTCATTGTTAAATCTTGACATATGTAAATTTCCCAATAAAGCCTTTTCTCTAGGCCATGCATGATATGTGACATTGTGGAATTTTTCCTGAAGTCTATTAATACATGCAGACTCAGATGGGATCTAACTGGCATGAAAACTAAGGATAATATCTTTAAAATGCCAATATCAAATTATTTTACCATGAAATTTATTGGCATTTGGTATTAACAGAAAGGATGCATCAGAAATACTCAGTCAATTGTGTAATATTAGCCAACATTTTGAAGGAGCTAATAAAAGCATGTCAATGGAACCTTAAGACATTCAAATAGAATAGTGTCACTATCAAGGGATGTACTGTTCCCACTAATGTATAGCTTGGATCATATCTGAAGTTCTGTATTTCTATATTTCACCTGGTTCAAGGCTGGTCACATACCCAATGTGAGATGGAATTGGGACTAATGTGACCAATGTTACTTCTTTTAAAAGGTGATGACTTTTCCAATTATGGTTGAATCTCACTTCTTTCCACTAATAGATTGGGATCAGAGGCAAGAAATAATGCAAAATTGATTATTTATTTTTGAAAATGAATAAGAAAAAACTACTCTAAATGCAAACATATACACATGACAATTACAGGAGGTACAGACACACACACACAAACAAACACACATACACATTTCTTCTGATCTAATGTGAAGGAACTCTTCAAGATCCATTTTGTTGGCCAGTGCGGTGGCTCATGCCTGTAATCCCAGCACTTTGGGAGGCCAAGGCTGGCCGATTCTGAGGTCAGGAGTTCAAGACCAGCCTGGCCAACATGGTGAAACCCCGTCTCTACCAAAAAAAACATAAATATTAGCCGGGTGTGGTGGCACATGCCTGTAAACCCAGCTACTCGGGAGGCTGAGGCAGGAGAATTGCTTGAGCCTGGGAGAGGGAGGTTGCAGTGAGCCGAGATCGTGCCACTGCACTACAGCCTGGCTGACAAAGCAAGACTCTGTCTCAAAAAAAAAAAAAAAAAAAAGATCCATTTTATTATACCCTGGTTAACCAGTTACTCCAGGGCAAATAATCCTGTACCAAATTATCTATTTACTAAATGGAAAGAATTTTTATGTTTTCATGGAATCAATGGATAAATATGTACTTTGTGTATAGAATTGGCCTCAAGGGATCTTAATCAGTAACATTTCAAATTGTCAAAAAAAAACCAGTTTCTCCAAAATTGTGTTCAACATTACTCCAAGAAAATGTAGCTCTCCAATCAAATGCCAGACAAAGAGCCAACAACTATGTAAGCAAAGTGATGAATTATGCTCCCAAAATAATCTCCTGCTTGTAAAACGTATCTTGAATATACGCCAATAGATTTTCAGGCAGGCAAATTTTCATGCTGTTCTCAAATAAGTCAAGGTCTTCAAGGTACTACATATTTGGAATACACAAATAATGAGACTGTCTGAAAACACCTATTTATGTTAAAATAATGTTATTCTTACAAAGCTCCAATATTTACTGAAATATATGATTTTATATAAATATAACTGCTTGGAACTAACTGGGACATCACAGGAAATGCAATATATTTGACGACTTCAGATGGTGATGGTAATGATGACATAGCCTCCACTTCTCTTCTTTATGACAAGTGATTAGTTTTTTATCAGATACTTTTAGCTATAAGGCAAAACTGGCTTTAATCATTGAATCCAAAAGCAGCTAACACAAATCCATCAACATATACATTCTCTTCCCTAAAATATTTTCAACATGTTTAGGTATAAGCTGTGGCAGTAACATTCTTATAAGATCTTCATCTGCCCATCCAAAATATGACTTATTCCTTTCTATCAAAAATACTCAGTCCTGATTCCAAGATCAAACAAATAGTTGTCATTACATGAACTTAAAAATCAATAACTATTACTTGATCATTTCAGAGGCCACAAATCCAAGTTTCAATTGCAACTCTGCTACTGGTAAGTGGCATTACCATGGGAAAATTATACCTAACCACCAGTTTTCTCATCTACTAAGCAGGGATAATCTCAATGTATCTACCTATCCGATAATTGCGAAGGTTAACAGAGGTAGATTCATTTAGTAGGTGCTGAATGAACAAATGTTATTTATTGGAGTTAAATATTTGAATACATGTGGGATTTCGCTATCCTGACATTGACTTATTAGCTATTAGCCAGTCAACAACCACCAAAATACAAAAATGATTTCAATTTCAGCTATAATATTATGCTTGTTACATAAATAGATGTTTCCATACATTCAGAAAATGTATAGACCAAATATCTGGTCTTTTTATCTGTGTGTATTAAAATTAGTTGGGAAAATCCAACATGTGAGTTCAGGGAGAGCTGAGTGGGTGTTATGTATTCTCAAATTAGGTAGGGCTGGTAAAGAGACAATTTGCTTAAACATATCCAATTCAAATTCAGACTTCCCATTCTGACACTGCTTTTCTCTTCACCTGATTAGAAACCCTCAGTACAATATAATACAAAAATAAATGTGCACAAAGGTTCTGTTTTGTTGTATACCAAAACTATTTCCTAACATCTATGTGAGCATTTCTAAGGCTGTGAAAACTTTAAATTATAAATGGTTTATTTGTTACCAACCCATGAATAGAACACTCCAGAGAGTGGTTAAACTAACTGTATTTGTCAGTTTTCACACTGCTGATGAAGACATGCCCAAGATGGGGCAATTTACAAAAGAGAGAGGTTTAATGGACTTACAGTTCTACGTGTCTGGGGAGGCCTCACAATCATGGCGGAAGGAAAGGAGGCACAAAGTTCTGTCTTACATGGATGTTGGCAGGCAAAAAGAGAGAGTTTGTGCAGAGAAACTCCCGTTTTTAAAACCATCAGATCTCATGAGACCCATTCACTATCATGAGAACAGCAATGGGAAAGACCCATCCCCATGATTCAATCATCTCTTACCCGGTACGTCCCACAACATGTGGGAATTATGGGAGCTACAAGATGAGATTTGGGTGGGGACACAGAACCAAACCATATCACCAACCCTCTAGTTTCAGAAAACTTAAACACTTTGAATTATATTTGTCTTTTCCTAACTTTTCTTCCTTATTTGCAATGATATAAATCATGCAGATAGGTAAAGTACAGGTCTCGAAGATATTCATATGTTTTCTTATGTATCAGTGCCATATTAATTGTCCTGAGGCAAAGCCAAGACAATAAAAAGTCAGGGCCAAGCTGAAAACCTTTAATGAAGGCCGGGCACAGTGGCTCATGCCTCTAAGTCCAACACTTTCAGAGGCTGGGGAGGGAGGACTGCTCGAGGCCAGGATTTTGAGATGCGCCTGGGAAACAAAGTGAAACCTCATCTGTACAAAAAATTTTAAAAAACTAGCCAGGTGTGTTGGCATGCACCTGTAGTCCCAGCATACTAGGGAGGCTGAGGGAGGGGGATGCCTTGAGCCCAGGAGTTTGAGGTTTCAGTGAGCTATGATTGCACTACTTACTCCAGCCTGGTCTCACAGAACGAGACCCTGCCTCAAAAAATAAAAATAAATAAAAAAATAAAAACCTTTCAATGATTGCTTCTTAGTCTCGACTCAAATAAAGAGCAGACTACTACACCTGGCATTCAACACTTACTTTTCTTTACCTCCCTTACATGAGAGACAAGTTGGGATCTCATTTTTCTTCGTTTAGGCCTTTCAAAAATTCACCTCATATTTTTTTTCGCTTAGTTTCAGAAGGCTACAATTTTAAAAAGTCACAAATCGGCCGGGCGCGGTGGCTCACGCCTGTAATCCCAGCACTTTGGGAGGCCGAGGCGGGCGGATCACGAGGTCAGGAGATCGAGACCATCCTGGCTAAAACGGTGAAACCCCGTCTCTACTAAAAATACAAAAAATTAGCCGGGCGTAGTGGCGGGCGCCTGTAGTCCCAGCTACTTGGGAGGCTGAGGCCGGAGAATGGCGTGAACCCGGGAGGCGGAGCTTGCAGTGAG
The DNA here is from genome assembly GCF_000001405.40 of Homo sapiens. Lineage (NCBI taxonomy): Eukaryota > Metazoa > Chordata > Mammalia > Primates > Hominidae > Homo > Homo sapiens. The sequence continues at coordinate 2,591,435 of NC_000003.12, read as the reverse complement.
CCGAGATCCCGCCACTGCACTCCAGCCTGGGCGACAGAGCGAGACTCCGTCTCAAAAAAAAAAAAAAAAAAAAAAAAAAAAAAGTCACAAATCTACTAGTTCTTCAAAGGGCAGACTACATCAAAAGTATCTAAGCACTTGACTTGTATTTCTTTAAGGGACTTTATCAGCTTATAATACAAACAATTATTCATATATTCAAAAATTTATTGAACATCTGGACAATGTGATCATGGAGATGTAGCAATGAACTCTACAGACACATTTTCTCTTCAAATGGAGCTCCAGTCTAGATGGTGAGATGCACAAGCGAGTTACTACAAACTGAGATGAAAGCAATTAGCAATTATAAATTGTAAGAAATATTGTGATGGTCTAGGCACTGTTTCCAACTTGGAAAATAACAAGGATCCTCCACAAAGGGACCTCCTGGAGTGATGCATTATTTCGAATATTGATGATGATTTCACAGTTATATGCCTATGACAAAATGTATCAAAGTGTATACCTTAATTTTTATAGTTTATTGCATGTCAATTATACTTCAATACAGCTTTTTTTTTTAATAAAAGAGAAAACAAATGATACAGTGCTATCTAAGTTTTATCAGGAAAAGTTTTTCTGCTGGAGAGGTATTTAAGCAGAAATCTACAGTATAAAGCTAGGCATAGACAGGCAAGGAGGAAGGGGAAAGACCATTCAAAAGAGAAAGTAAATCGCAGGTATGAAGGCCCTGAGTTAGGAAGCGGTTGACATGATTTAGTAATGGAAAAGAAGATTAGAATTTCTAGTGAGCTCAGAGGGAGTTGTATGAGATGAGGTTAGAGAAGGCAGCAGGAACCAACTCATGTAAGACATTATATGCCTTGAAAAGATCTCTAAATTTTATCCTATGTGTAACAGTAAGCCACCCAAGCAGAAAAGTGCGAGGCAGGCAGATCACTTGAGGTTAGGAGTTTGAGACCAGCCTGGCCAACATGGTGAAACCCCGTCTCTACACAAAATACAAAAATTAGCTGGACGTGATGGCATGTGTCTGTAATCCCAGCTACTGGGGAGGCTGAGGCATGAGAATTGCTTGAACCCAGGAGGCGTAGGTTACAGTGAGCCAAGATCGTGCCACTGCACTCCAGCCTGGGCGACAGAGCGAGACCCTGTCTCAAAACAAAACAACAAAAAAAGAAGAAAGGTGATATGATAGATTTGTGTTTTCAAATGATCACTTGGGATTCTCCATGGAGAATGGATTAGAAATGCACAAGAGTGGAAGAGCAGTGAAGATGAGGGAAGACCAACCAGAATCGTATTATGTTGTGTAGGTAAGAACTGACGACAGTTTGTCCCAGTATGAAAGCAAAGGAGAGGAACAGATTGTGGTGGTTTGAAATTACGTCCAAATATTCTTTGACACTCCCCCTTCTAAAATATAGAACTTATTTCCCTTCCCTTGAGTGTGGGGCAGAAAATAATGACTCGCTTATAATAAATTGAATATTATGGAACTGACAACTGTGACTTCTGCAACAAGCCACTTGGCTTCCTCTTGCTTTCTCTCTGGATCATCTGCTGAGGGAAGCCACAGGCCATGTCACGAGGACACTCAAGCAGCCATAGGGAGCTCCATGCGGTACAGAAGAGAGGCCTACCGTCAACACCTGGCATGAGCCTGCCAGTCACATATGTGACTGAGCCAACTTGAAAGTGGGTGCTCTAGCCGCAGTCAAACCTTCAGCAACCGCAGCCCCAGCTGATACTGGAGTATAATTTCCTGAATCAGAACCATCCAGCTAAGCTGCTCCCAAATTCCTGACCCAAAAAGTTTGCATGAGGTCATAAATGTTTGTTTTTATTTTATGGAGGTGAAAAAAAAGTTGAGAATGACACTTGCATTCTTCCAATGCCTGCACAATTCAGATATCATCTTTGTGGGAGGGAAGGAATGGCTTGAGTAGTCTTGAGTAAGGAAGAATTATACTCTAAGACACACATGTTTGAAACACTGGGCTTATTATGGTAATAGCAATGGATGGCTAAAAACAGAAACAAGATTGCACTTTTAACAGATCAGTGAACAAAAAGGCACTTCAAAGAAAGGTAAAAATAAGGCACTGAAACTAAAGGAATTCCAAGTTGTGTTTTTAAGAGCCAACTGGGCTCCCCAAGACTTTAAGAATGGTTTCTGTGTCAAATCTCCTACTACTAATGCCGCAACTACTCAGCACTCTGTCAAAATACTCTGGTGATTAAAGGATCTCCAGTCACAATAACTTTCTATGCCAGGCCATCGCTGTTCTAGGGCTGCAGTTCAGGGGTTAATCTGGCCCCTTTATGTCACTCATTGCATGCTATTATGGATGGGGAGAGGCAAGGAATAAAATGAGCTATAGTTTTACTACTTAGAAAGCTTTTCAACATCATTAAATTAAACCATAAAGGCAACAGTATTATTACATCTTAGCCCCAAATTGATTTACATCAACTTTTACCTAGTACATGAGTTAAAATACACAACAAATATTTACCTATATGAAAAATGTAGAAAGAAAAACTGATCACACACAAAAATATGATTCATCTGGATCACTGTTGCCAGAATATATTATTACATTGGGGCATTACAGCATCCACTTTTTTTTTTTTTTTTTTTTTTAGAGCTGGAAGATGCTTCCTCTTTACATTAGCATTTCTAAAAACGCAAGATGCACAACACTGGAATGGGAGATAATTTTTGGATTGTACAGAGATCAGGCACTAAAAAAGTACTAACTCATGGCCAGGCGTGGTGGCTCACACCTGTAATCCTAGCACTTTGGGAGGCCGAGGCGAGTGGATCACGAGGTCAAGCATTCAAGACCAGTCTGGCCAACATAGTAAAACCCCGTCTCTACTAAAAGTACAAAAAATTAGTTGGGCATGGTGGTGAGAGCCTATAATCCCAGCTACTTGGAGGCTGAGGCAGGAGAATAGCTTGAACCTGGGAGGCAGAGGTTGCAGTGAGCCGAGATCACACCACTGCACTCCAGCCCAGACAATAGTGCGAGGCTCTGTCTCAAAAAACAAACAAACAAACAAACAAAACCTAACTCACTTAAGAATAAGTCACTCCTCTTTCACTTAATTCTCTTTGAGTTCTTCTGATTAAACTAAAAATAAAGTCTCACTTGGTGCCAGCATGTCTTTAAAATCTCTCTGACACATGACAGTCTTATACTTGTGGTGAACTATCAAGGCTCAGGAGCAGAGTCTTCTGAGGACGTGCCAGGCTTTAATACATTTGTTTCTGTTGTCTTTATCTTTACGGCTACTTTTTACTTATAACAAGTGATACTGCTGTGATAAAGTTCCTTCAAGTAAAAAAAAAACATAATTAATAAAAAATTAAAGAGAATAATAATACAGGGAGCGTAGAGATTGGACAAAAATAGATGATAAAATTTTGGGAAACGCTGACCTAGAAAGCTCACTTGTGCTCCATCTCACTCTTTACTTGTGCAGAGTCTGAAATCCTGAGAGGCAGAGTGATTTGATCAAAGTCACAAAACCAGAAGGTAGCAAGTACAGTTCTAGACTCCTTGGGTTTCTATTACAATTACACCAAGAAAAAAAAGAAAGAAAGAAAAAGACTAAAACTCAAAAGCAATTTCTAATAACTGAAAAAAAATTCATAATATTGATTTCCTCTAAAATTTATTTACTGAACTGGAGAGCAAGTTTAAATAATATGAAATCCATAAACAATTATGAAATGCCATTGATAATCTTCTTAAATTCAACTGAATCGAGCGCATAGCTGAAATCATAAGGGAGGTACAAGAAATCTAGAGAATCACCTTCAAGTCTGGTTATATCTAGTTAGATAAATATTACATTAAAACCAAAGTTTTCATGTAAATATCACAACATTGGAGAGAAGAGCATTCCCAAAGACGGTATCCAAGAACCCTGCTGAAGAACTAAAGAGGATAAGGAAGAATTTATCTCCACTTGAAAATTTTTATTTTGCAAGGATCATTTGTGTGCAAATAATATTTGCCTGTCTTATCAGTACTTCATAACTTCCCAACAAAATTCTATACAGAATATCACATCAGGTTCTAGCAAAAGCTGTTGACCCTAACAAACAATACTTCTGCATTTTTATTATTTACTCTTTTGCTCAGAAAAGATGTGAGTTTAATTTGGTTTGGTTTGTTCTTTGAATTATCATAATTCCCCTGAGAGTGGTGTGTCATATTTTTTTATAGGAAAGACTTTGTTAGAGAATTTCACATTTGCCTTTAAAGAAGTACAGAAGATAATGTATATGGAATACATTCAATATATGGATATATTAGCCTAGTGAATTTTAAACAAACATAATCAAAACTTTACTCATTTTAACTCAGAGGGAAATGAACAGCTGGGGTTTGAAGGCATGTTTGAAGAAAATTTCATTAGCTAAAAGTTTATATTCTAAGCTAAGATATAATTAGACTGAAAAATCAAAGGAGGGAAGGAGGAAGGGAGAAAGAACATACCAGAGTAGGTCAGGAGGAGACATAATGACTGCTACTGTAGGGGCTGCAGAGTAAATAAGGTAACAATTCAGAGATAAAATGTTGGGTGTTGGAGGACAGTTGTCTTCTTGAGGGAAAGCAGAAATCACTACAGTGTGGTTGCAGTTACAGAAATAAAGCAATGGGAAATGACATCTACACAGTTTAATCTGGTTGTCTCCATAGTCATGTAGCAAATCAGTAACTGAGGAGGAAGCTATTGAAGGACTAGACTGAAGAGGCACTGGGACAGGGGACAAATGGTTTGAGTTTCCGCACAGGGACTATAAAAAGAAGAGTGTTGGTGGAGGGGTGCAGGCGGTGGCTCACGCCTGTAATCCCAGCACTTTGGGAGGCTGAGGCGGGCAGATCACGAGATCAGGGGTTCGAGACAAGCCTGGCCAACATGGTGAAATCCCATCTCTACTAAAAATACAAAAACTAGCCAGGTGTGGTGGTGGGTGCCTGTCATCCCAGCTCCTCTGGAGGCTGAGGCAGGAGAATCGCTTGAACGTGGGAGGCAGAAGTTGCAGTGAGCCGATATTGTGCCATTTTACCCCAGCCTGGGCAATAAGAGCAAGACTCCGTCTCAAAAACAAACAAATGAACAAACAAAACAACAACAACAAACAACAACAACAAAAATGGAGAATGTTGCACTGGAAGGAACACAGTAAGGTCGGAAGCTAAGGTTGACTAGGACAAAGTAGGTGGGAAGTATCTGGTTCTGGGGAGGCCATGCTTGTGTGACCTTCAGCCACTTACTTGACCCAATTTAGTTGCCCCATCTATAATACAGAGGTACAGAGGTACCAATATTAGCCATATTAGGGCTACTCTGAGCCCAGTATAAATTATATAATGTATTTGAAGCATTTAACAGAGAGGAAGGAGGATGGTAATTATCTTGTTTAAGCATTTATTATCTTCATTGATGAAATATATGATAAAAGTCACATGGTTCTAGTTACATCATTCCTAGAAACACTGAGCCTAGCTAGCCTCATTAGCTTTTTTTTTTTTCTCCCCCTCTGTATTGGGTTACTTTTCTTTTTTTTTTTTATTATACTTTAAGTTTTAGGGTACGTGTGCACAATGTGCAGGTTTGTTACATATGTATACGTGTGCCATGTTGGTGTGCTGCACCCATTAACGTGTCATTTAACATTAGGTGTATCTCCTAATGCTATCCCTACCCCTCCCCCCACCCCACAACAGGCCCCGGTGTGTGATGTTCCCCTTCCTGTGTCCATGTGTTCTCATTGTTCAACTCCCACCTATGAGTAAGAACATGCAGTGTTTGGTTTTTTGTCCATGCGATAGTTTGCTCAGAATGATGGTTTCCAGCTTCATCCATGTCCCTACAAAGGACATGAACTCATCATTTTTTATGGCTGCATAGTATTCCATGGTGTACATGTGCCACGTTTTCTTAATCCAGTCTATCACTGATGGACATTTGGGTTGGTTCCAAGTCTTTGCTATTGTGAATAGTGCCGCAATAAACATACGTGTGCATGTGTCTTTATAGCAGCATGATTTATAATCCCTTGGGTATATGCCCAGTAAGGGGATGGCTGGGTCAAATGGTATTTCTAGTTCTAGATCCCTGAGGAATCGCCACTCTGACTTCCACAATGGTTGAACTAGTTTACAGTCCCACCAACAGTGTAAAAGTGTTTCTATTTCTCCACATCCTCTCCAGCACCTGTTGTTTCCTGACTTTTTAATCATTACCATCATCAGTAGTGAAAAATTTGCTTAGGACTTTTAAGTCATGTTTTGATGTAAAAACATCAGTTAAAATAATAATTATTTGTAGTTAATGACAAAATATTAGGTGAGTGATGTAGTATTTTCCTCTGTTTTTAAAATTATCTAGTTCAAATATCAACAGATTGCCCAACAGACTTGGTAAAAATACAGAAAAAAGTGCTTATATACATTTTTTTCTGTCTATCTATCTATCTATCTATCTATCTACCTACCTACCTACCTACCTTCCTACTTCGTATCTACCTACCTACCTACCACTGTAGAGAACAAGATACAGTTTTACCCTGAGAATAATATAATTAAACAAAATAGGCATCAAGCTTGTTTTCTTCCTCCTTCCCCTTAAATGCAAACAATTATTTGATAGTGAGGGAAATTGTGACCTGTTCCCTTTTTTTTATTCTTTTTTTTTTTTTTTTTTTTTTTTGAGACGGAGTTTTGCTTTTGTCATCCAGGCTGGAGTACAGTGGCACGATCTCAGCTCACTGCAACCTCCACCTCCTGAATTCAAGTGATTCTCAGCCTCCTGAGGAGCTGGGACTACAAGCACCTGCCATCATGCCTTGCTAATTTTTGTATTTTTAGTAGAGATGGGGTTTCGCCATGTTGGTCAGGCTGTTCTCGATCTCCTGGCCTCAGGTGATCCGCCCGCCTCAGCCTCACAAAGTGCTGGAATTACAGGCACGAGCCACTGTGCCCGGCAGACCTATTCCGTTCTTGGTCAACTTTACAACAAAACTAAACACAATCACTTTTGACCCTCCTACTTGGAAGAATAGATACCTGGAAAATGACAGAAAGGCCAGAAGGCATGCGGCTCATGGCATTCTCTCTTTCCCTCCTACTCCCACAATTTTCCTTTTTTCTTTATTCCTACTATGCAAGTTAGGACCCATTGAAGGTAAAGTAGATGGAAGTGTTTTACTTGCATTGGAGCTCAGCGATAAAGAGAGGAGGCCATGGCCTTTTGTTATTAATAAATGACTACAATAGACATTATTATTAAGTGCTGACTATAGGGCAGTTACTGGGCTATTTTAAATGTTTTCTCAGAGAATTAAGCAATTTCCTCAAGCTCATACACTGAGCAACTATAATTACAGGTAGGTTTTGAACCCAGATTTTTCTCAGCCCCAGGACCATGATCTTATCCACTGTGGGCTGTACCAAGGCAGTAGCTTCTGATACTGTAACAATATGGTTCATTGACAGAAACATTGTATTTTGCCTGGATTTCTCACTTAAATCTGGCAGAACAGAGTTTGAAACAAATTGTGTCAGCCCACAAGATTATAAACTCCTTAAATTCATGGACTAAATCACAGATATCTCGGTACACCCAACATCTATCAGTACCCAATAATATAGGTGTTTAACAAATTGTTATTAAATGAATGAACAGTTATTTCATTCATAAATTAATAAATAAAGAATGCGTAAATATTTTCTGAGGAATTATAAGTTCTAGAGTTTAAAAAGTCATATCTTCTACAAATATTCTTTGCCACTGTATCAAAAACTGCATGGGCATTCACCAAGTTCCCCAAAACCACTATCTGAAATCTTTTGACAAAGCCAATCAAATACTAAAACACTCTTAATAAAATTCATTTTCATTTATATAGAGCTTAGACATGTTATAATGTAACTAGAAAACCATTATCAAGTATAATTCAGGAAGACATTCTCACTATTTTGATTCAAGTAAATCAAACATTCCCAGTATCTGAAAGCACTTAGCCATGTGAACTTGGGCAAATGAATTAATCTTTTTGCTCTTCGGTTTTCTCACCCTCCCCCAAGATAGGTTGGATGGGATGAGAAGACAACTTTGACAATCTGTGAAATGCTCCCTGTTGAAGTAACATATCTGCTGCAATGAGTTGTTATGTCAACCATGGCCAGATCTTCAAAGCTCCTTAGAAAAGAGTAGAGCAAAGCTTTCTTCTCTAGCTCAAGTTTATCCTGAGTTGTTTGTTTTGACATTTGTTTCCATTCCAAGAGGAATGCATTTCTAGTTTTGTTAGTTTTTTTCTGGTATAGATGTCACGCATGTGGAAACAATATAGTTGAAACTGGGGAGTTTAGATTGATTTTTGTCTCTTTTTACTTATGCAGCCCAAGCAACATATATATTGCTGCATTCATACGTTTTAAATCTATTTGACATCATTCTTTCTTCAGATAGTCTTTCTCCATTAAACTGCTTTTTTTTTTTTTTGTATCAGAACTCTTTTTAAAGCATTGGTCTGGGACATAACCCTCAGGTAGGGGGAAGTTTAATTACTGACTCAATATGGATTTTTAATTTTGGCCACCAGGAGGTTTGGCAGGAAATGAAAAGATATCCTGCTTCCTAGGGATGCCAATCTAGGACAAAATTGAAAATAGGTGAAGTGACTGCCTATCCTGCATCTTCAAGATCACTCTCACACCACAGAGGCTGCCCTCCTTTGCCCTCTAGAAGTCTTAAGTCTCCCTGCTCTTGGGGTGGAATCCAATATCACACCTCAGGTGAATTAACATGAGAGAGTTCACTCTCTGAGGAAGGTTTGTGCTTTATTCCTTTTCTCTAATTAAAGAAGTTGCACATTGTTGCTGGGCAGGGTGGTGGTAAGAGACCAGTGACTGCCCCTCCCCGCCGCCCCCAATCCCAGCCACCTTCCATGACTATAAAACACACAACAGGGAAGCTCCATAACGGAGGAGTGGAAGACAGATTGGGATTACAGTTTGGGAAACTTGGAATCTGATTATGCCACTCATTATCTGTGGGACTTTGGACAAATCAGTGTACTTGTGTGTAAAATGAGAGAACTGGGATAGGACTATAATTATGTAATTCTGTTTATCATGTATCAGGGAATTTGGCTCTGAGCAACTCTAACTTCCTGACAGCAGACAGTGTCTCTCAGGAGACAGTAGTACTTTTTTTCTCCTCAGAATATTTAATTGTTTTTATGGAGATATAATTCACACATCATACAATTCAGCCTTTTAAAATGTACAGTTAAGTGATTTTTAGTGTACTCACGAGGTTGAGTGACCATCACCGCTTTCTAATGCCAGAATATTTTCATCAGCCTAAAAAGACATCACATATCCAACAGCAGTCGTTCCTTATCCTCCCTCACTCCTTGGCTCTGGGAAAATACTATTCTACTTTCTGTCCCTATGGCTTTGTCTATTCTGGACAGTCCATAAATGGAATCATACAATATGTGGCCTTTGTCTCTGGCTTCATTCACTTAGCACGGTATCTTCAAAGTTTGTCCATGTTGTAGTATCAGTACTTCCTTCCTTTTTATGGCTGAATAATATTCCACTGTATGGGACTACCACATTTTTTACTTATTTATCAATTGATAGACATTTGGATTGTTCCCACTTTTTGGCTATTATGAATAATACTGTTATGAACATTTGTGTGCAAATTACTTCTGTTTTGGTCAATGCAATTTGCAGGTTCTCTGGAAAAACTTTACAAGAGAAAAAAAACTGGTCTTCACTGTTTTTTCTAAATACAAGACTCTGACATTCTCTCCTCTATGAAGGTGTCTTAAAGGGGATGTGTTAAAACAGTATTTACCTTATTCTTTGAGTCAACCATGACTAATACATCTAGAGTCCAGCTTTGTTTATGTCAGCCATATAACCTTGACCATGTTAGTGTGCTCTCAGATTCTCATATGTAAAATTGGGATACTGATAATTTCTGCCTTACTTGTCTTTCAAGAGTGCTTAATGTGGTTCTCAACCTTTCTTAAGCATCAGAATCCCCTTATATATTAAAGTCTCTGAGGTCAGACCAGTGGATTCTAAATGGATTCTGGTCTGACCTCAGAGTACTTAAGGTATAGCTTTAGCTGAGAAATAATTCCCCTCTCTCCTTGTCTTCTTGGAGTAGAAACCCAGGCTGGTAAGATTGAGAAACACAACCCTTGGAGGCCTTGTTAAAACAAGGACAACCCCACCTGCAGAGATTCCAATTCTGTAAGTCTGGGCCTGAGCCCCAAAATCCCCATTTCTAATAAGTTGCCAGATGACAATGATGCTGCTGGTTCATGAACTAAATTTTGGTAACCATTGGTTCAGAGTATTTTACAAGATGGTAAGCTTTATGAAGACAGGTACTCAATTTCAATAGTTATCATCATAGCATGACAATTAAAAGCCCAGGCTTTGGACCTGGGCAGACCTAAATTTAAATGCTGCCTTGGACTTCTACAAGCTCTGGTTTTATTGGTAGGTCATGTAACCCCTTATCTATGAACTTAGGATAATACCTCTCCCAGAGGGTTGTTTTGAGTTTAAGGGTGATAGTGCATACAAAACTGAGGTGCTGTATCTGGCATATAAATGCCCAATAACTTTTTACTCTTACTATTATTATTGCAGTTGTCTCTAATTCCTAACAGCCTTCTTAAATAGACTGTTAAGCAAATACTTTATAGACTCACAAGGACTAAATGAATTAAGGTCATTATTAAGTGGGGCTACATCATCCAACAAAGTTTCTTCATTCAGGTGAAATATCTGATTAAAATCAGCAAGGGGAGTTTGCGTGTGGAGAGGAATGGAAGATTATGGTGGAAAATGGAGTCTGTGCTGCAGCATATTCCAGTACAGTAACATTAAGGGCTTTTACGTGCTATTTTCTTTATGTTAGTTGTTGTTGCAAAATGCATTTACAAAGTTATCATTTTGAACCACTGGATCCTACTCTGTTTGGAACCCTATCCTCTTACAACTTGATAAACTACTGGAAGTACCATTATAGACACCTCCTCAGCTCTCTGCCACTGCCAGGCCCCCAGATGGATGTCTCTAATTGGCACTTGTCCTAGCTGCCTTGCTGCCAGGAGACAGACCCTAAATGTTCTGGCTGTCACCAACACCACTGGTTTGCTGTTGTTGCTGCTGCTAATGATGATATTAATAGCAACTGATACTTAGTCCTGATATTAACTGATATTAATAACAACTGTTACTTAGTCCTGTACTAAGACAGACCTTCCTGAGTGCTCTACCCACAATTACATGTACATACACATGTATGTACATACACACACACACACACACACACATACAAGCTTAACCAATTTAGGTATTTGTTCTGCATAGGTATTTATTATTGTAACACCATTGTATAGATAAGGTCCAGATGTGCTGTAAACCCTGTTCTAACACCTTCAACCACTGAAGAATGGCCAGAAACTAATGTTCTAAGAAACTAATATGGCAACATCATCGTCAACATCACTGTCACCATAATCATTATCATTGCCATAACAGGAACTATGTTTACCTTCAAACTAAGCTATTTAACATTTAACATAAACATTAACATATATTTAACATTTAACATATATATTAAATAGCTTAGTTCTAAGTTAAACATAGTTCCCACATTTGGAACCTTCAACATATGTTAAATTACTCAATGAATAATAGCTCATTAATCAGTGGGTTTGCAAAGTATCAGATGCTGCACTAAGTGCAAAGAATATATGCACGTTCTCAATCCTCACAGATAGCCTAAAGAAGTAAATACAGTTATTTTGCCTGTTTTACAGATAAAAAAAAAAAGAAACCCATGACCTAGGGAGATGATGTACCTTTATCACACAACTCATAAGTGGCAGACCTATCTATGTAATTTCGGAGTCCATATTCTCAACCGCCAGCTCTGCAGTGTCTCCAGCTGGTGTTTTTGGCATGATACCAACTGCCAGACTGTTCCTGCTCCCGTCATCCTCAAGCTTTGAGGCAGCATCACTGATCCCACATTTAAACAGAGAATGATCACACAGGTTGACGTTAGGTACACATAATTGGATTTTCACTTGTCTGGTTTTTTCCTGTCTTCCTAAATTGTTTCATTCAAAAGAGTTCTTCCATTTTTTTCTAGATACAATACGCCCTAGACTCTATCAGTAAGGGAGTTTTACTTATAGTTAAGACATCCAGCATGGCTGAGCATATCTAATGGACCCATTCACAATTTTACTTCAGGAGAGGTCTTAAATTGAACATTTCTAATAACTTTTGGGTTGTGTGCTTGCTACTACATGTCCATGCCTATGGGGATATAAAATCGCTGCCAGTTCCTCTATTTACCTCAACATCTTCATTACTGATTAACATTTTCCCACTATGGACTTAAATACTTAAATTTATGTTGAAAAGAAGTTTTGCATTTGCTATTTATTATTTTCTAAGTATACTTCCCCTATTTTTTTTCTTAACTTTCATCAATGGAGTCACTGCTTTTTAATCTAGTTATTAGCTGTCTTCTTGACTAAGTCTTTCTACCACATGGGCTTCATTTTATGGCCATAGTTATGAGAGAGCGTAGAGCAAACAGGAAACCCAGGCTTTGGCTTCGGTCAGCATGATTGTAAATACACCGGCAAGTCATTTTCTTACAAAGAGAAACAATAAAATACAGGACTATGCTTTGCAGTAACTAAATGAAAACTAACACTCAGCTCTCTTTTGGTCTTAATTGAATATTTGTTACTTGTGCAAGAACAGAGTAGTACTAGGTTTAATACATGGGTAGAATTGTGAATTATTTGACTGTTGCCTGTGTCTCTGTTTATTCTGGGGGAAAATGTGAGAATCTTGGGAATTGAAATATTATACCTTGCTGTGCAGTGAGGTCAAGCCTTGAAATGAACTACTGTGTGCTCTCCATCCTGGTGGGGATAAAAGGGAGGATCCTTCTGGGTTGGTCATGAGCTTTAATGAAATATTCTGAGTAGATAGAAAAATGGTGCTCATGGAGTCCTTTCATCAACATTAACAAATACTGGGAATTCCTCTTTTGTGTATTTTTGCTCTCAGAACTAGAATAAGCCCAAACTTTAGACAGCCTACTTCAGTCTTAGTGATGAGACTTCCTGAGCCTCAAAAGCCTTCTGAAGACCAATGAGCATTCTTTGTATGTGTTCTCATTGCAGGTTTGTATATATTTTTGTCTATCATAGATTCAAGCTACATCCTGTGATTGATGATTCAATCCAGGGGTCTTCCTTGCTCCACTTTTTGTGAACATTCACCCATTTCAGAATATGTCTCCTGTGAATTATACAGGATCTTTCTCCACTACATGCCCCCAGATGCAGATATAATAACGACATAGATTTTGTGAGCAAATCAACAAATGCTTGCATTTGGAGAGGATGCACTTTCTCAGAAAGAGATAATTGCTGAAGTTGGTAAACTGCACCACAGAGATGGGAATAAATTTAGCCTCCTTGAAACCAAGATCAACTGAGAATGTATCAAGCATAAATTTCTGCGCTCATTCACAGAGAGTTTTAAATGTCTTCACGCCTCTTGCTGCACGTAAACATATGGAGCAGCCATTTTCTTCTTTCTTTCAAATGCTGCCAATGTGAACAGAATCAATAGCACATGGTAAAGCATATGACCTATGTGAAATTTCATATTAGTTGAATAGAATTCCAGGCTGAGCTCTAACCCTATCGGCATACATATCTTCCTCTCAAACCATGTGTACAGATAGAATTGTAAATTACTGGAATTGAACAGGACTCTAAAACCATCTGTTCAACTCCTTCATTGTACAGAAGTATAAGCTGAATCTTAGGTACAATGACTTGCTCAACATCTGGTTAATAATAAAACAAGCAAATACTAAAAAGAGTAAAACTCCCTAATTGCAGGACCCAGATAATATTTATAGATATAACTACACAGTGGTTTGTGAGCATGTATTATGCAAACACATGCATACACATACATATATAGATCTATTAATACATACACAGTCAACTCTCCAATCATCTCTGTTAAAGCTGTTTTTTCCCACCTGCTTTCTTTCTAATTACTGACATGACCAAAACTAAGCTGCCTCTCTGCTATTAGCTGGTTTGGACTCCCCTAAAAGTAGAGGCTAAGAGCAGGACTTCCAAGCAGTTTAGTTTATTTAGGAGGTGATACCAAGAAGCAGAAGTAAAGAAGAAAAAAGTAGAAGGAGTTATTGTGGGAAACTGAGACTCAATCCAGCCTTGAACCCCTAAGAAAGTATGTTAAATATGCCTGAGAATTGACTTCCCAAAGGACAGGAGACAGAGGCATTTATCTACTGATTCTCATGCCCTCTTAGCTGAAGGCTGCCCCTAAGGACGGGGTTAACTTCCCATAGTTCTCCTTGCTTGTGACTCAGATAAAGACTTGAGGCAGAAAAATACAACAGGGGAACAGTTCTACCCCAGCTATAGTTAAAGTCAGAAATGGGCGAGGCGTGACCTGGTGTGGTGGCTCATGCCTATAATCCCAGCACTTTGGGAAGGCAAGGCACGTGGATCATTTGAGGTTAAGAGTTCGAGACCAGCCTGGCCCACATGGCAAAACCCCGTCTCTACTAGAAATACAAAAACTAGCTGGGCGTGGTGGTAGGCACCTGTAATCCCAGATCCTCAGGAGACTGAGGCAGTAGAATCGCTTGAACCTGGGAGATGGAGGTTGCAGTGAGCCAAGATCGTGCCACTGCACTTCAGCCTGGAAGACAGAGCAAGACTCCATCTCAAAAAAAAAAAAAAGAAAAAAACAGTAACAAAAATAAAATAAAATAAGAAATGGGAGAGGCAGTGTTGCACCAAGATATAGACTTCAAGGCACACAGACCAATTTTAATACTTTAGATATTTACATCGACTTTTGAAAAACATGTATGGATTAGCATCATAGTATTGCTAGTCCATAGAGTTGGTATCAGGGTGACTACAAAGCACCCGGGGTCTATAGCACAGCTTGAAACTGGAGATCTAGTCTCTTTCTCTCATGACTGGCCAGGCTGCAGCATTCATTCATTTGAAAAATATTTATTGAATTGCACTATGTGCCAGACATTTTCTGGATGCTGGGAATACAGCAGTGAACTAAAAGGACAGAAATATCTACCCAAATAAACCTTACAGTCTAGTAGGGAAAGTTATTTTGTATAAAAAGAAGAAAGCGGCTGGGCGTGGTGGCTCACGCCTGTAATTCCAGCACTCTGGGAGGCCGAGGTGGGCAGATCACAAGGTCAGGAGATCGAGACCATCCTGGCTAACATGGTGAAACCCCGTCTCTACTAAAAATACAAAAAAATTAGCCAGGCATGGTGGCATGTGCCTGTAGTCCCAGCTACTTGGAAGACTTACTCGGGAGGCTGATGCAGGAGAATGGTGTGGACCCGATAGGTGGAGCTTGCAGTGAGCCGAGATCACACCCCTGCACTCCAGCCTGGGCAGCAGAGCCAGACTCTCTCTCACAAAAAAAAAAAAAAAAAAAAAAAAAAAAGAAGAAGAAGAAAGCAAAATATATCATTATTCAGATATTGATGAGAGCTTTGAGGAGAAATCAAGCAATAAAAAGCATAGAAGATATTGGTCAAAATAAATATTGCCATTTTAATGTATTTACTGTGTTCAGGAAAAGCCTCACCAATTAGGTGACATTTGAGCACAGATTTAAAGAAGGTTAGACGGTGGGTCCTGGGGACATTTAAGGCAAGAGCATTCTTGACAAAAGAAAGTTAGTATAAAAGCCCTAAGGTCTAAGTGTATGCGGTATCATTTCTTTCTTCCTTGCCTTCCTTCCTTCCTGAGTCTGGCTCTGTCACCCAGGCTGGAGTGCAGTAGTACGATCTCGGCTCACTGCAACCTCTGCCTTCCGGGTTCAAGTGATTCTCATGCCTCAGCCTCCCGAGCAGCTGACATTATAGACGTGCACCACCATGCCCAGCTACTTTTTGTATTTTAGTAGAGACTGGGTTTCGCCATGTTGGCCACACTGCTGTTGAACTCCTGGCCTTAAGTGGTCCGCCCGCTTTGCCTCCCAAAGTGCTGGGATTACAGGCATGAGCCACTGTGCCTGGCCTTATTTTTTTTAATTACTTTTTATTTTTATACAATAGATGTACATATTTTGGGGATACATATGATAATTTAACATATTCATATAATTTGAAAAGATCAAATCTGTATAATTGGGATATCCAGAACCTTAAATGTTTGTTTATCTTTATGGTAGAAATATTAGACTTCTTCTCTTCTACCTATTTTAAAATATACTAATAGTTTATTGTAAAGCAAACATTTGAAATAAAGTGTCACAAAGTGGTGGACTAGGAACTGCATCTAGCCTGCAGACCATTTTGGTTTGCTTTATACAGGCCCTTTATTTTTACTTTTAAAACCAATTTAAATTTTATTCATTAACATTATGGAAATCCTAGAGAATTAGGAGTTTGTAGATTGAAAAAAAAAGACTGGGAGACTTGTCACAAAGGAGTAGAGCCGGGCACAGATTAATATTTTAGTGGGGCATGTTGTTTTCTAGTTTTCCATAGTCACTAACATTCCCTGTTGCACTGTACACTTTTACTTCTGTAAGAACATTTTACTCATTTGTTAGCTTCCTTGCTTTTTTAGGTAGCAGGGTTTTATGATCTTGAGTTTAAATTGGTGAAGAAGAAGAATAATGAAGCCAATTTTCATTGTGGCTGAACTTTTAGATTACTGGCATCAATAGTTTTGGTTTATTTGAAAATTATTGCCAGACACTGAGTCATCTGGCGAAAAAGAACATTCCCATTGTACCATAAAGTACTAATAAATGCCCTCAAATAATTAACAGATCTTATCAGTTGCATCCCTTGCAGGATGAGCCTGCTTGTATATTTGGATCCTGTCTTACTTGGGGAAGAAAAAGATCAGGAAAAGGCATATGTGAGAGTCACTAATTATGGTAAACATAACAGCTGTAAACATATCCCTTACCAAAAACTCACCAAGAAACCTCAGCCTGAAGATGTATAGAAAAGTTATGGATGATACACAAAAGGAAAAGAATGAGCAGTTTTTTGTTTTGTTTTTGTTTTTCGTTTTTGGTGAGATGGAGTTTCACTCTTGTTGCCCAGGCTGGAGTGCAGTGGCGTGATCTCGGCTCACCGCAACCTCCGCCTCCCAGGTTCAGGCGATTCTCCTGCCTTAGCCTCCCAAGTAGCTGGGATTACAGGCATACACCACCATGCCTTGCTAATTTTACATTTTTAGTAGAGACGGGGCTTCTTCATGTTGGTCAGGCTGGTCTCTAACTCCTGACCTCAGGTTATCCACCCACCTCGGCCTCCCAAACTGTTGGGGTTACAGGCATGAGACACCATGCCTGGCCTAAAGCAGTTTAAAAAATCAAAATTCAGCGAGTGGAGTGCTATGTAAATTAATGAAATCAAGACAAATAGCAAGAAAACAAAAACATTAATTAAAGCTTGACTTTCCTACACTGAAGAAGGCATATGGTAAGAGAATATTAATGCCGTGTAAAACAGGTCACAAAAAAGCCTCACAAAAACAATCAATACACTGATTCTCTATAAAAAGCTAAGTGAATAAAATAGATACAGTTACACACACACCTTAGGTGAGAATTCCCCCAAGTTTTTCAAAACACTACTGAAGAGAGTAGTGGCTTTCTTGATTTTTAACCCTTTCATATCTTGATATTTACTTAGCACATTGGGTTAAATAAACATTATGCTGTAGCCAAATATGAGAAATCAATTCACTGCTTTATGGCTTAAAGAGTACGTTTATACCAGAGTCATTATGAGAAGTTAAAACTCTAAAGTGTCAGTCGAATCCCTTAGGAGGGTCAAGGTCCCAGAGAAAAACAACTGAGGTATTAGAGCCTGGGCATACTGCTGGGAGGAAGATGAAGGCTCTGACCAGATGGGGGAAATAAATAATATCACTAAGAGGGATGCCAAGATGTTCACAATCATGCAGCGGGGAAGACGTGAACTCAACTAAGGCAAGAAGTTTGAAACATGAAGGTAGACTATTAAAAGATGTATAAGTAAATGAGGGTTTACATTTAGAAAAACATAGGAAGAATGAAAACAAAAATCTCAGAACTAAATTTGCAACCATAAACTTGCCAAATCCTCAAGACAACTAAAAGACCATACGCTATGAACAGGCAAGACTATAGTCGGCTTCGGTTTACATCTTAGCTCGACCACTTACTGGCTTTGTGAATTTGGGTGAGTTTCTTAACTTCCTGATGCTTCAGTCATAATATTAATATTCATAGTTAATACAGTGAAATAAATGATAAATGCTTACTTCTTAAGGGTCGTGGAAGAAAGAAATTGGATAAAGGATACCACGTGCTTAGCATATTGCCTAGCATAGAATGAGTGATCTATACATGTCAGTACTACCATTATTATTTTTGATTTTATAGCAATTGCAAATAATCTACTACAACAAGTTGTCAGAAGTTACAGCACTCAGTTAATAGAGCTCTAAGAGAGCAGTAGCATGTCTGTTTTGATCAGGATTATATTCCCAGATCCCAGTACAGGGCTGGCTTGTGACACGGTACTCAGTAACATTATTTGAGTGAATGCATACATCAAAGTAATGGTGATCCAAAAGTCATTTTTGCTTCATGTTGTAAAAATGCAAATATATTCAGGTGTCCCTCTTGGACTTGACACTCTGAATAACAAAACAAGTCAACTAGACTAATTTCAAAGGGGCGTGGAATGATACACAGCAGCCCAAGCTGCAAACCAATTCCCGCTGCATGCTGGACTTCTGATGCACCAGCACTTGAATGATGTATGTCAACTGCTAGACTCATATCTTCCAGAAAATGGAGAAAGCAATAGAGAGTATGTGTGAAGTTTTCTTTTCTTTTCTTTTTTTATTTTTTTGAGACCGAGCCTCACTCTGTTGCCCAGGCTGGAGTGCAATGGCGCGATCTCGGCTCACTGCAACCTTCGCCTTCTGGGTTCAAGCAATTCTCCTGCCTCAGCTCCCCGAGTAGCTGGGATTACAGGCATGCACCACTGCACCCGGCTAATTTTGTATTTTTAGTAGAGATGAGCTTTCGCCATGTTACTCAGGCTGGTCTGAACTTCTGACCTCGGGTGATCCACCCACCTCAGCCTCCCAAAGTGCTGGGATTAATGGTGTGAGCCACTGCGCCCAGCCATGTTTGAACTTTCCAAATCCCTTTTCTAGTAGTTGGCCATGAGTATATGGTAAAAACCTCCTGTGTTTTGCTTTCTAGTTCCTACTAAACTGTAGTACATTGAAATGAAAAAGAGAGTCAGTATCAGAAGATGGAGTGGTATCAACAAAGACACTGAAAGAGCTATCCAGATAAACGTCCATCCACTGAAATGAAAGTAGGCAACACTCCAGACTATATTATCAGTTTTATTGCCCAATATCTCTGTGCAACTGGGCACTGGGATGAGCAAAAATAACAACTTTCAAACTAAATAATGGCTCAAACGACTCTAAAAGGACCAGATAGACAGGTGAAACATCGGTGTCTATCTCTGGATACAACACCATGAAAAGAGTCACTAAAAGACCATCAGGAAGGTATATTCAACAGTGTCAGCAAATGCTAGTCATAGCAGCATATACTCTTGCGATTTTATCATTGCCGTCTAAAGTGAAGGCCCACTTTTGAATTAGTGTGAAATACAGTGGCATTTCTAAATCAAAAAGTTTTAAAATGACACTCTACCTGCAAGGCACAAAATGAATGATTGCAGTACCAGCAGTTCCCATGGCAACCTCATCTTCAGTTTCCGAGGTCAAAGGGAGTTTCAAGTCCAATAACAAGCGAATAGAATTGCTGCTTCTTTTAAGTTTTGTATAACCTTTAATCTGTGGGAAAGAAGAGACATTACAATGAGATTTGGGAATATTTCTCCTTGTGGTCTCTGCAAGTTTATCTTTACTCAAATATCAATAAAACTCACTTGTGGGAAAGTACCATTGGAGGGGAAGAAAGGGACATGTTAAATTATGAATATAAAGCTAATAAGACTCCTATTTTTTTCTTGCAGATAATAATTGGGCAGGGATTGGAGCTGAAGTGTCCCTGTGGCTTCTGAGTGAAGACAAGAACAGTTTCTGATTAGGCATGAACCAACCTGAAGGCAGGGGAATGCACTATGCTTTGCAAGGTCTCTCTTTGTCCAGATCCTGTTCTTATTTATTTTCCAATTAGTTAAAAAAAAAGCAAATACAGAACTGCCACAGAACAAGATAGGCTTAACACTGGTGGACCTCAGGTAGAAATTCCCAATTTTTCCAATGGAGTTATATCGTGTGGGAAAATGGTGACTACCCCATTAACTCAAACAATTTTTCCCCTCTGCCCCGTGTTTCACTTCTAACATGCCACAGAAGTATGCAGCTCCAGTGTCTAATGAGAGAAATCCAAACAGCTATCAGTAGCTGCCTACTAGGTTCATTTGGATATATCCAGAACATGATTAGGAACACTAATACTTCTGTTAGCCAAGAATACTGAATTAGGAGAATTCTGCAGTGAAGAGAGGCCACTCATTACCTTTACCAAAAGCTACAAAGTGAGTAACTGAGTGAAGCTGTGGGCAGACACTGTTATTCTGAGGAATGGAGGCATGTCCTTGCTTAAGGGAACAGGTGCCCCTCAGCTCAAGCAGATGGGTAATGTGGAACACAGATCCAGGGTTGCAGGGGCATCTACGACTTTTCAAAGAAAAGTTGAAAATATAACTGTATTTTGAAAATCTCCTAAGTTTTAAGTATTGAAAATTAGTTCAAAATACTTTTTAAGGCCAGGTGCAGTAGTTCACACCTGTAATCCCAGAACTTTGGAAGGCCAAGATGGGAGGATCTCTTGAGGCCAGGAGTTCAAGACCAGCCTGGGCAACATAGCGAGACCCCCACCTTTACGGAAAATTTTTAAAAATCAGCCTGGCATGGTGGTGCACGCCTATAGTCCCTGCTACTCAGGAGGCTAAGACAGGAGGATTGCTTCAACCCAGGAGTTCGAGGCTGCAGTGAGCCATAATCACTCCACTGCATTCCAGCCTGGGCAACAGAGGGAGACCCTGTCTCAGAGAAAAAAAAAAATTAAACACTGTATGACTCAAGTAAAGCCAAATTTCCCTCTGGTGCTGAAGGATTGCAACATGAAGTTAGTAAAACAGAACTCTCAACTGTGGTTCCTCTCATCCACTCATCCCTTCTCCCACCCATCCTGCCAGCCCGCCATGTGTGAATGTATATGTGAAGCATCTTCTGCTTGCCAGACACAAGGTGAAGCACTGGGCCCATCAAGAGGAACAAGGCACAGTCTCTATCCTCTAGAGTCTCTTTATCCAGTAGGGGCTGTTACTGAGAATTTCATATAATTGCAATATGATATCCCGTTATCAAGGAAGGAGGAAACTTTTTGTTTGGCAATCTTCACAAAGGAGGTGAGCTTCCCTTGGGGTCTGAAAGATGAGCAGAGTGCTACCTATTCATCAGTCAATCAAATAAACCAGAAATTTATGGAACCGGGAGATCTCATTCTATTTACAACTCTGGCAGGAACTTGTTATGTGGTCCTAGGTAGACCACTCCACCTAGCCTCTCTTTGAATCTTGTTTCAAGGGAAAACTCCTGGTTAAGTAAATGAAACTTCTTTGAAAACTCTGCAGCACCCTACATTGCCAGATGTTACTGTGGTCTCAACTTGTTATTTTAGCTTTCATGTAAAAAAATATATTACATTTATATTATTTTTAAATTGACAAATAATAATTGTATATATTTATGGTATACAATGTGATATTTTGATATATGTACACACTGTGGGAGCCCCAATATTTTTAAGCTGAAAATAACCTGAAGTTTCTCATCTTACTCCCACTTATAAGAAAAACACTGTGAGCAAACACAGGCTTACATGAAAACATGGGCCAACACAAGCTACTTAATAATGGGCTCTTAGCGTTAATTTACACCATGTGATCACTGCAAAGCCTGTATGTTTACCAGGGAGCTAACAGAAAATGAACAAGCATCATTAGAGAACTCGCCTTTCTTTTGTGCCCTTAAATAGCTTAGTTTCTGATAGAGCTGGACTTAATATATTGTGAAGACAAAAGGGACTCTTAACTTCGGATCTGCTGATGTGGCAGAAAGCTGGCCGTATCTCTAATTGGATATGTTCAGATACTCTTCTGACATGCATGGTGATTAGGCCATTTTAGATCAACAGGACGTGCTGATCAATGAAAACTATTAATGTCTTAAGCAAATGATCAGGGTATTAATAATTAATTTTGTGAGAGAAATGTCATCTCGGACCTCGGGATTGATCTACAATGTTAAGCAGTTTCTGGAAGCAATTAAAATTAGCTTAGGAAATGTATCCAATTACCTGATAAAGATTTAGTTCATGATATGATAGTATTTACAGTGCATGTTCTATTAAGGGCTGTAGATTTTTAAGGATGAAGAATTTCACGAATCCTATTGGCATTTATTTACATTCAGGTAGGTAAGGTTCACCTTTGCTAATCAGAAATAATGGGGTCGTGGACAGTAATTTGTCAGTGGGCAGTGGTAACCAAAGCATCCGGTTTTCTGAAGGGAGCTGAAGATTCATGAATCTCACGTGGGACTCTGGTGCAGGATACGAAGTTTCATAATTTCAATTTTTCTGTCAGAGTCAGAAAGAAAGCTGCAGGATGAGCCAAGAGTTATGGTGGCAATAGATCTCCCCTGCAGCTGTGAGCTCTCTCTGGCTTATCCAACAGTGGCTGTAGCAAAGGTAGTGTACTCAGCACTCATTTTGAGATCCTGCCCAAGAATGAGACTCGTAAATCCTAAGAAGGAAGCTACACAATAAAACAGGCCTCGATTGCTTTCTCTCATTGAGCCAGGAGGAGATGAATAACTGAGAATTGTACAGGGTGGTTTTTTTTTTTTTTTTTTTTTTTCACATTCTTGCACAGAACAAAACTTCCCTCAACCCTTCAAACAATTCTCATACTAACAGTGACACTGAAGACCTCAGTACAAAGTGCTGAAAACAAAAGCATGAATCAGTTTTCCCTTAAGAGTCCTGGTTTCCAAGAATCTACATGCAGGGCCTGGTCATGTATTTATTTGTTTTGAACACTCTGCTGAATTAAAATGTTGCTGGTATCCAAACAGTACTAATTCAGCTCAACAAAAAAAGTAATCGTGTTTACCATGTGGCAGGCACGGTGCTAGGTGCTGGGTGTGCAGAGGTTAGGGAGGTGCGGGTCTTGTCCTCAAGGAGCTCACAGTTTACTTAGCAGGAGGTGCTAATAAACCAGTCATTATAATTCGGTGCAATGTGTGCAGTAAGTTTATTAAGAACAAGATGTTAAGGAAGCAAAAGATTATCACTGAACTGAGCTGGGAGGTAGGGTAGGGCAGGAGTTTCAAGAAAGCTCCTCAAAGGGGCTACCATTTTGAACTGATTCTTAAAGGATAAATAAGAGGGAGGAAGGCCATTCTGAGCCAAGTGACAAGGAAAACAAACTGGCAAGAAGCTGTGAGAACCTTTAAGTTACAGCAGTGCAAGAAAATGAAAAGCGTAGACTGCAGAATCTAACTTGTGCTCTATTCCTAGACTTCCCACTCTCCAGCTGTGTGGTCCATCTATAAAAGAGCAGCAAGATATCTATCTGCCAAACTTATGGTAAGGATTAGTGAGAATGCATGGAAAGCACTGAGCTTAGGTACTGGCACAAAGTTGAAACGTCATAGCTATCTTTGTTAAAGACAGCACAGCGCAGCCTGAGTTTGGGAGTTATAGGCTGAGGGGGAAAGAGGCTGGAAGGTAAATCAAGAGCCTGGTCTCCAATCATCTTTGAACGTATATTAAAGATTCTGGACTTGAGGCCAGGCACGGTGGCTCATGCCTGTAATCCCAGCACTTTGGGAGGCCGAGGTGGGTGGATCACGAAGTCATGAGATCAAGACCATCCTGGCTAACACGGCAAAACCCCATCTCTACTAAAAATAGAAAAAATTAGTTGGGTGTGGTGGCACATGCCTGTAGTCCCAGCTACTAGGGAGGCTGAGGCAGGAGAATGGCTTGAACCCAGGAGGCGGAGGTTGCAGTGAGCCGAGATCGTGCATCACTGCACTCCAGCCTGGACAATGAGCAAGACTCCGTCTGAAAAAAAGAAAAAAAAAAAAAATTCTGGACTTGATTCTGAAGTCTACGAGGAGGGTGAGAATGACTTTCAAGAAGGGAAAGACCTAAAAAGATTTTATTTTCCTGTATGAAGATCTGCTTAAAATGCAATCCCCTGAAGGACATAATATCTATTTTACCTTTTTTGCTTTTCTCCTCTGGTTAGCAAGTTGACTACATCTCTAATTACTAAGAATACTTCCAACAGAGTATGTTTTTCAAAGCCTCATAGCAGCAAGACAGAGTGGGAAAACACGGATTCACGCACACTGAGTTCTTCCTGGATTTACTACAAATTACCTCACTTTGGGAAAGACACTTAATCTCTGTAAACATGTTTGCTTGCTTGTAGGTTAGGGATCATGCCAGAAGCCCTATCTTTCTTACAAGTGTGCTGTGAAGGTCCACTGGCTTGTTTTGTATGTGAGCATTAACTATCATCGTTTATTTAAACTTGGATTCAAATTCTGCCTCCTGGCCCCCACCAAATAGATTTTTAACTTTATGAAGGTAGGAATCTTTGTATTCTTGATTGACATTTTAGAGGCACATAGAATAGTGAACCACCAGAGCAGGCAGCCAATCAACAGCTAGTATGTAAATGAAAGAATAAAGGCAGCTAACATCTCTTGTGGACCTGCCACGTGATCTTACATTCACTTCTCATTTAATCCTTATAACATGGCTGGGAGTCAGGCATCATCATCCTCTATAAAATTAGAGCTTTGGCAATTAGAATATGAGAGGCTATGAAACTCGTCCAAGGTTAAATATCTAGAAATCAATAGAGCCAGTATTTAAATCTATGTCTTCATACTTCAAATACTGAACTAGTTTCTAAAGGTAATGAACTCTTCTAAAAGTATTGTGTCTTTTCAAGTGTGAGATAACATCCTGATGGTGACTCCTTTCTCTCTAACTTGGCTTTTCATGTTGTCCTTCTGCAGAAGTGAAGCCAGGTGCCAGTAAGCCAAGGTGCAGAATCTGTAATACTCATAATGTAAAGGATAGCACAGGTTTCAGAGCTGAGACTTTGTCGGAAGGCTACGTTTCACTAGTGTTAATTCAGAAGTCTTTTGTGATAGCATAACTGTGAATAAGTTTCTTTCCTCCTAAGTGTAAGAACAACATAAACATTTGCTTTCTTGCTAGTTATTATTTAGAGTGCTACCATTCTGAAGGCAGAGATTTTTAAAAAGGATCATCCACAGTTCCCATCTGTAGAGTTGAGAGTTTCCTAACTCTACAATTAGCTAATGAGGGGTGCAGTCAATCACAATGGCGAGGAAGCGGGAAACAGAAATGAAAGCAAGAGATTAAATAGGCTTCCTCAGAAAGCAATATGCCAATAATTTTAAAGGAAAATGGCATACAGTAAAATCTTAATGTTCAATCAGTCAATAGATATTTGTTGAATGTCCATGATTCAATTGGTAAAATGCAAAATATGAAGAGTTTTGGGTCAAGGTCTCCGCCCACAAGGACACTACAGCTCAATTGGATAGGAAAGATTATTGACCATACAAGATATAGTTTATATGTCAAATGAGTAGTTCAGGTCATCTGTATGTCCTGTGATTACAGTAGCTAGCCTATAGGTTCTTCTTGGATAATGAAAATTCCTATCACATCAGTCAATCAAATAACTTGCTGGATTTTCTCCTTTAACCAGCTTTATACTCTATCTACCAGTAAAAACAGATTTTCATTCCTATAGGTGATGTCTTTCAAACTTGACTGGAGATTGCAGTAAGTAGTCTGCTAGGAATGATGAGAAAATATGTGTTAATTGGTTTTTATCATTAGATTATTTGTCCCAAGCATCTGAAAATATGAATAGAACAGTGCAAAAGAGGGGAAGACATAAGGGACCTGGATGATATATTCGGGAAGCTACATCTATTAAACAAGAGGCAGACATGTATAGGATGGAATCCCTTATTTAGACCATACTCACCTACCCAATGGTTGATTTAGACACCGTTTCCATCATAATATCATAATACCACATTAAAGAGGACCTTGAGGAATGATGGAGGGTCAGCTAAGGTACACAGTTGCTCCCCATTTTAAAAGACTTTCCACTTGTGAAGATTCTAACCATAAATATGAGTACATTAGGCAGAAATCCTCTGAAATAAAAGCCAGGTAGCTAATGTATCATCATTTCACTTACTGAAGGATGTCTTCCATAGCCCGAGAGTCCACAGTTATACGGATTAATTTGGAAAAGTCTTTCATTGAAATTTCTTAAAGTATAAACCCACTACGGATTTCTCAAAATATACTTTCCCCTTATAGAAAACCTTATTCTACCTTTGATGTTGGACCTTTATATTTTGCTACCGAGAAGACCCTCTTCAAAAAACGGAAGTAACCTCAATAATCACAGTGATATTTCAAAAGATCACTGGGATAAGATTCAGAATAACTGCGTTCCAGGCTCAGTGCTGTTATTTGCTTGCTGGACAAGTTTCCTCATGAATAGAAGACGGGACTGGGCCAGATTGTTTTTAAGGATTCTTGAAACTTTGAATTACATTATTCTATAAGAAGAAGGTTATATATGCCAAAAATATTTAATTAGTTAAATGAAGTAAAGACTATGTCTTTGTCATCCCTAGAGCCATTTGAGGCTTGTAACAATTTTTCGGATTATATCATCTTCCCATCCATTAAAATTGTTTTAGATATATTGCTTTTAAATTCTATGTATTAAACTGTTACTGAAAATTTAACTCCAAGCCACAAGTCCACATTCACTATCCACAGCCTTCACTAAGTAATCACTTATTGTAATTTTTTAAAGTTTTATTTAACTTTTACTTTTATTAAAGGAATGCTTGAACATAGCTTAAATACTAGCTGTTAGTCCCCATAGGTAAATATTGTCCAGGGGCAACAAACTGCTTTTCTGTTAAGTAGTTCAACAATGATAATTTGAAAAAATAACATGCTTATACTACTATTTCTTGATTTTTTTGTCATATGTACTAAGTTCTTTTATGAATGATGATATTCAACTCTCTTAATCATTCCCAATGACAGACAGGAATACACAAATACAAACATACCTTGCTTCACTGTTGTCTAAACTTAGTTATAGCACATAATTTGGTAATTTGTTAGCTGAGCTTGAGAGTATACTGCTTTTCTTTTTTTTTTTATAGTACTTGTTTTTTCTGAGTTACTGTTATTTCCTCTTTAATAACAGGTTTCTAAGTATATACCACAAATTCATCCTAAACATTCTATCATAGCTAATGCTTTCAATATTTTTAAACACACCTTACAGTCCATCATTTTTAATAAGTATTATTTATTTGGACATATAGATACTTAACACTTCAGCAATTCAGTTGAAAAACAGACATGAATGGTTCTAGTCTTCTAACATTGTTTAGTTAAACACAGAAGAGCCATGTATTCAAAGCTATGATTTTTCTCACAATTATCCATACATATGAAGCTTATGTATTTGTGAGAGTATACAGTACAATGTAGTAAATCAGCAACATAAAAGGGTATGTGATTAAACTGGCAAACAATGTTGGAGATAACGTAATGGTAGAATATAGTACAAAACAACTGGTGAAATGATAAATAATAGATACCATTTAAACAGCATTTACTATATAGTAGTTTCTGTATTATTTGTTAACTCATATAATCTTTAAAAAAACCTTGAAGGTAAACAACAATATGATTTTAATTTTATGGGTTAACTAAGTTGAAATTAATAAGTAATAGATAGAACTTTCTCTGATTTTCCCTGTTTATTGTATATTTTATGCACTGACATGCGTTCTTTTTATGTATAGTTTGATGAGATTTCAAAAACTTATACAGTCATACAACCACCATCACCATCATGATGTAGAATATTTCTATCACTCCCAAAATGAATCCTGAGAATGCTCATAAACCTTTGGTGGGAATGTAAATTAGTTCAGCCACTGTGGAAAGCAGTTTGGAGATTTCTTAAAGAATTTAAAACAGAACTACCATTTGACCCAGAAATTCCATTACTGGGTATATACCCAGAGAAAAATAAATTGGGCTGGGCACAGTGGCTCACACCTATAATCCCAGCACTTTGGGAAGCTGAGGCAGGAGGACTGTTTCAGTCCAGGACTTCGAGACCAGCCAGGGCAACACAGGGGGATACCATCTCTACAAAAAAAAAATTTAAAAGTTAGCCAGCCGTGGTGGCTCCTGCCTTTAGCCCCAGTTACTTGTGAGGCTGAGGTGGGAGGATTGTTTGAGCTCAATATTTGGAGTCTGCAGTGAGCCAAGAT
This sequence comes from Homo sapiens, assembly GCF_000001405.40. Classification (NCBI taxonomy): domain Eukaryota; kingdom Metazoa; phylum Chordata; class Mammalia; order Primates; family Hominidae; genus Homo; species Homo sapiens. The sequence continues at coordinate 2,562,787 of NC_000003.12, read as the reverse complement.
CGTGCCACTGCACTCCAGCATGGGTGACAGTGTAAGACCCTGTCTCAAAAACAAGAAAAGGAAAAAAAAGAAAAGAAATAATTAAAAAAAAAAAGACACATGCACTTGTATGTTTGTCACAGCACTATTCATGGTCATAGAATCAACCTACGTGCCCATCGATGGTGGATTAAAGAAAATTTGGTGCATACACACCACGGAATACTATGCAACAATGAAAATGAATGAAATGATGTTCTTTGCAGGAAGATGGATGCAGCTGGAGGCCATTATACTAAACAAATTAATGCAGGAACAGGAAACAAATACTGGGTGATCTCACTTACAAGTGGGAGCTAAATATTGCATATCCAGGGACATAAAGATGGGAACAGTAGACCCTGGGGACTAGTAGAACAAAGAGAGAAGGAGGGGAGGAAGGGCTGAAAACTGCTTATTGGGTACTATGCTCACTGCTTGGGTGATAGGGTCATTTGTCCTCCTAATTTCAGCATCACACAATATACCTATGTAACAAACCCACACAAGTACCCCCTGAATTTAAAATAAAAGTTGAGATTATGAAGTTTGACTTAAGATTGTGGATATTTAAACACTCTGTTGAATTTCTCCCAAATAGGTATATGTAGCCTTATTATTAGAACAGCAGGCAATTGTAGTTTATATATAAAATATGTGGTATTTTCATCTTGCATTTAGATTGCCCCTCAGATACTTCATCCTTCCTTTAGAATGTCATTCCCGTGTTATTACAGTCTTATTACAATAAAATCAAGAACAAAAGTAGATCATAGTTCAAGACAGGAAAATACATGGCACCTCCACTCCTCTGTCCCACTCCTATGGAAAGCAATGCTAATTGATTATGGCACTCTTTGCTGCTTAGCCCAAGGGCAGCCCCAGAATCCTCTCAGCATGGCATTTCAAGTACACATGACAAAATCAATACAGGTTTCAAGTAAAATAAAAATTCCTTTGCTTCCCTATGGCAATGAGATCATTGGCTTTAGAATCACACAAGCCAGGTTTAAATCCCAGCTCTACCATTTAGCTGTTGTTCTTGGGCAAGTCATTTAACCTCTGTTAGCCTCACTTTCCTCTTTCATAAAGTGACAGTGAAAATACAGGGTTGTTGAAAGGAATATGAGAGAAAATCCATATAATTGGATTCTGCTAGAAAAAGTTTGAGTCGGCAAACTTGCTGGAAAAAACAAGAGGGGCAAGCAGTGGAAGGATCTGGTTCTGGGAGACCACAAATACAGGGAGCACACCGTGCCAAAGGGGGAAATCCATGACCCCTTGGATTTCCCACTGAGCACTGGAGGAGAGCGGATGCAAGGGACTTGGGGGAAATTGCAATCCCCAGAAACCCTGCTCTTTCCCATGCTTTCTGGGTACTGGGAAGTAAACTTTGCAAACTCTTAAAGCTTCTATCACCAGAGCAGGAAAGAAGGATTTCTTAGCAATCATCTCACGTTTGTTTTCCTTCTGCTCGCTGGTGTGCTGCAGAGTGCCAATTCTGCTAACCTCCCAAATAAATGACTGTTAATGAAGCATGCTGCACATACAGACAGCAACAGGCATTTTTTAATCACCTAAACTAAAGAAGAGCTAAAGGTAAGCACAAAACACTCTAATACCTAATATATTAGGTGTCAGATTAAAAGTGGCAAGAACCGTGTGACTTTCAGGGCTTTTACTTGGATACACTTAGTGGGGAAGTAAGCTTACTAGTATGTCCATCATTACGCACAGCTTGCTGATTGCTCGGACAGCCACATCAGAAAATCAGATAACTGGTAGCCTAAAAGGGAGTCTATGTCTGCTTAATCAGAAGCAGAAATAAGATTTCAAACATAAAAACTGAAGTTGTAATAGGCTATACCAAAGTAGGGTGTTAAATAAAATCTACTACGGCACTCTATCCTTTACTTACAAATTAGTGACTGAACATCTAGTAACTGACGTGCAGTACGATACAGCAATGAATAAGACAGGGTCTTCCCTCATGGAGATTATTTTACTCTACTGGGGGAAGATAATATAATACTCTAAGAGGGCTGCAACAGTGCACAAATGCAACAGTATCAGTCAAGAACATAAATGGTCTTTGTAGATAGACTTAAGTTCAAGTCTTGGACTTGTATTGTTTTAGGCAAGTTATTTCTGATCCTCCAGTTTTGTGTCCATAAAACGGAGATACTGAGCCTACTTCAGAAGTTTGTAGAGAAGTATATGAGATAACACAAGTAAAATGGTTACCACCATAATGCAAAAGGAACATAATATAAGTGTTGTTTTACTTAGAAGGAAGTCAGAAGTCATTCTCTTAAAATAAGTGGAGTGGGCCAGGCATGGTGGCTCACATTTGTAATCCCCAAATTTTGGGAAGCCAAGGCAGGCAGATTACTTGAGCCCAGAAATTCGAGACCAGCCTGAGCAACATGGTGAAACCCCATATCTACTAAAAATACAAAAAGTTAGCTGGGTGTGATGGTGCACTCCTGTAGTCCCAGCTACTCAGGAGGCTGAGGTGGGAGAATCACCTGAGCCTGGGAAATCGAGGCTGCAGTGAGCCATGATTGCACCACTGCACTGTAGCCTGGGTGATGGGAGTGAAACCCTGTCTTAAAAAAAAAAAAGAAAAAGAAAAAGAATAATAATAATAACAATATAAGTGGAGGTTGGGACAGGAAATCCCCCTACTTTTTAGCTAAACTATAATATGGGATCTCCCATCTCATGTAATGGTAAATAAACTGTGTATTCAAGATCCTGTGCCATTATGTATTTATAGCTAACTATTAGAACATTCATCTGAAAATATTCGTTGAACACATGCAATATGTCAGACACTGTACCAGCAAGCACTGGGTATCACGGTAAAGTTCAGTCCTGCTATCATGGAGCTTGCATTCTTCTTCATTTTCTAGGTTTATTTGCCTATGAACACATACTCTCAAAGAGCAGAAGTACACCTCAGTATCATCATGCTTTAGTTCATGACTACATGCAGATGGTGGGATATTTCCACCCCATTTGACAAATGCTATTGAATTCTTATTTGGTATAAAATCATTTTCCAGAAGCCTTCTGCAAATTAAACCACACTATTTATGAGAGCCTCACCTCCATTTTCTTGTCTTTTGCACCCAAATCTGGGTCTCAGGTATGAAAGATGATAAAGTGATAAAAATGACAACCTTTTTCTTTTTTTCTTGAGTACTTACTATGGGTCAGTTACAATACAAAGGTTTTGGACAGATTACCAAATGCTTACAATAACTTGAGGAGGCAGGTATATGATTATTTCCATTTGTCAAAGAGGAAAGCGGGGCTTGGAGGATTATGTGAGTCCCTTATTTCTTTAGTATACCTTTCCCTACCTACTTCCCTCTAGACCTGTAAGTGGCCAATTTCCTCCCAGTGTATTGTGTCAGGGCTGATAGTACTGACATTCAAAAATAAAAATAGAGTAGAAAGCCAGTAAATCACTTTGCGAAGTTTGCCATTCTCTGCAATGGTGGGGTACTTCATTATCAGATACAAACTAATATGACAGAATTACAGCACATGGATCCAGAATCCTTAGTATGTCAAGGGACTTTTTTCCCTCTTATATGAACAGCAGAAACCCTGAATGTGACAGTTTTTAAAAAGTTATTTATTGTCCTTATCAATGGGTGGTTATCCATCTAGTTAGTGTAATAGCCTGTTAGGTAGCAAGTGATAAATATGTTCTTTGTTTAATCAGGCTGACTTAGGCCAAATCGGGCAAACACTAACTGGTTCTCAGAGAACCAGATTTCAGGCCTGGCCTGTCACATATATAACAGATGTCTCTGTAGTTCTGGGTGTGAAATGAGTACATGCTGCCAATCTACTTTTAACCATTCTATTTATGTTCTTCTTTAAAATGAGATAGAGTGATCATTTGCAGTTATACAGTGAGTTTTATCCAAGAATCTCCAAAGGACAGCACATTAATTCTTACTACACTGGTTGAGATGAGGGTTAGGGTTGCAGTATAATAATTTTTAGGCAGGGAAACTGAGGCATAAAAGAGTATAGTGAGTATATCATATTTAGGAAATTAAGAATTTATGTGTCTTTGTCTAAAGCTAATGTGGGAAAACACTAATATCATGCTGGGAAAACTCAGTAGACTCCATATTAACCAAATAGTCAAAATTAGTATCACTAGTGATAAGACATACTGGCCTCGTGTGCCCTTTGATAGGGTGCACTGAGAGGGACATAATACTCTTCTATGGTATTTTGCCAACAATGCATGACATCAATAAAAAAAAAGGAGGGAACATCAGAAAATTGAGTAATATTCTACAACAAGATTGACTAGTAGTTTTCAAAAGTGTCAGGATCACAAAAGGCAGGCGAAGGCTCAGGAACTGGCACAGACTCAAGAAGAGTAAGAAGAAATGAATGCTATAAACAATGCAAGATTGTGGATTGCAGCCTGGACATTATGGAAAAACTGGTAAACCCCTAATAAGGTCTGTTGTTTAGTTAACAGTGTTATACCAATGTCAGTTTTCTGGTTTGGTGATCATACTATACTTACGTACAATATTAACATTAGTAGAATCAGAGTGATGGGCGTATGGAAACGCTGACATTTTTGCAACTTTTCTGCAAGTATGTATTTTAAAATAAAGCCAATGGTGCATAAATAATTTTCTAGCTTGAAAATCAGAGTTTTTAATATCTTTTTGTTTTTACATCAGTGGAGCTATCCTCCTTGAAAGATATGTACATACAGTATACCATTGCAGATTTTATATTTATAGTTTGCTGCATCATTTCCAGAAAAAGTTCAAGGATCATAAAAGTTTGCCTACAGAAGACCAGCTAGTCATAGGAAAAATTATGTGAAAAAATAAATTCTGAATTCCCAAGATGCAATCAATATAGTCAATGTTGTTACTTTGTTATGATTTAATTAAAATTAGACTGCTGAACGGTCAAACGTAGGTATGAAAAGAACCAAGATTACCATGCATTTTTTTTTTTTTTTTTGAGACAGAATCTTGCTCTGTTGCCCAGGCTGGAGTGCAGTGTTGCCCAGGCTGGAGTGCAGTGGTGGAATCTCAGCTCACTGCAAGCTCCGCCTCCCAGGTTCACGCCATTCTCCTGCCTCAGCTTCCTGAGTAGCTGGAACTACAGGCGCCCGCCACCACGCCCAGCTAATTTGTTTTGTATTTTTAGTAGAGATGGGGTTTCACCGTGTTAGCCAGGATGGTCTCGATCTCCTGACCTCGTGATCTGCCCGCCTCGGCCTCCCAAAGTGCTGGGATTACAGGCGTGAGCCACCATGCCTGGCCTACCATGCATATTAATGAAGAAAAAAATAAAGCCAGAATTTTGTACTTCTTGTATGCTAAAAATGCAGCATGCAGGTTTCCCCTAAATTTCTTATTTACTACTAGCGTAAGCTCCTTGCAATGCGATGTGAGATCTATGTAAAGAAAGATAAAAGTGGGAATAACTGTTAACACTGCATTTTTGCTTTGTTTGTGTCTTTTTCTGACATCAAATTTCCTCCTTGGATTAGCAGTCTAGGCCTATTGTTGGTAGGAGAAACTGTAGTAATTTTAGTTATCTGTGGAAACTAAGAAATAGTTGAATCATCTGCAAAAAAAATCTGAGGATAGAATCCTAATTAGTGATAACATGAATTTTGAGACTGACGCTATTTCAGAGATCTGGCAAAGGACAAAGAAAATCATAAATAGTTTAAGTTGCTTTAGGAAAATTCAATTTCATGATTTGTTTAAGATCCATGCCTACATACAGTTTTTCTTTTCTTGCCTACCAGCCCCTCTTTTACTACATCTTAGCTGCAAATTTCAAGACAGCATTTTCAAGTTTAGAAAAAACTTTGTTCCATTTCTTTTCAACATCTGACTCTCCACCAACAACCATAGCAGCCACTAACTAAACTACACACACCCTTAAGTTTGGACCTTAGAACTTGTGTTTCTAAGCAATGTTGAGTAGACATTCCTCATATGGTTAGAATACAGGAAAAATACAGAAATCACACTTCCAAATAATATATGTATTATATACATATACACACACATATATAAAATGTGATTTTTATATGTTTGTGTGTGTATGTGTGTTTGTAGGTACACATATATAAAATTTATATATGCACACATATATAAAACTTACCAGGGCCGAGCTGTTAACAGTATAATTTGTTGTGTGGAAGAAAATGGTTTATAAAAACCCTACTTGTTTATAAAAAAACCTACTGCACATCCTTTTAAGTGCTTCAGTGTGTCAGACTGGATAAGGTGTGCATGTTTCATATGTAGTAAACACAACACTATGCTGCATCCTGATTGAGGATAACTTCGTGAAATAACTCATGCGTTTGTAAGTAAACCACAGAGGTTCACAAGGACAGGCAGGGTGTGTAATTAAACGTTTGTATATTCATATGCCGACCAGTTCTGCTGTCTTAAAACAGACGTTAAGGTGAGGCTCTTCTTGGTTAATTGCTGTTGTCAAGGAAAATGCCCAGGTTTGCCTCCACATTTCCTTCAGGTATAAAACTCAGGCTAGCCTCTTGGTGCCAATTTTTGTTTTGCTATAAATACATAATAAAGCCTCCTTTCAAGTTTTTAAAAAAAGTCTAAAATTATTCCCTTTTTATGATATTTCCAGTAACCCCCAAATGGAAAGACAGTTTAATGTTTACACTAGCAAACAGATGGTTTCAGGGAAAAAAACATTACGTAGCTCTTGGTTTCTTGTCATAAGGTAGGAGTCTTGACAGCACCTTATCTGTCTAAGGGATGAACCTGGGGTAATAGGTTACCCATGGCAGATTCCCTGGGAAAGCTTCATAACAGCTTCAGAAATTCTCACTTCTGAGCAGTGTGCCCCTCCAGGCCATTCTCCACGTTCCAGCCACAGCTATATTACCATAGTACAACTCTGATCAAGCCTCCAACTTTCCACCTACCTTACATACTTTCACAAAGTCAGTAAAAACCTGCTTAATCCAACTCTCACCCATCTCTGCAGCATAAATCTATATTAGAGTTGTACTATGCACTGCCTTGATACATCAGAGAATCTTGTCTCCTTACCTTTGTACCTGCTGTTCCCCTCTCTCTTCCCTTCTGTGATTAGCTTCAAATTTGTAGCTTAGATGAACTCCAGGCTAAAAGCTTTCTCTGATTTCATAATAACAGTTTAGTACTTCTCATATGTGCTTTGACAGCATTCAGGATTTCTCTTATTAGAGAAGTTATCACATAATATTCTAACCTTTGTCTTTATGCCTTTGCTACTATCCATGCCCTAAAGGGAGAGACACGGTCTCTCTCATTCATTAATCGGTGTGCTTGGAAAATATCGTACATGGTAAATATATGTTGAACTGATTTAAACTACAATGGATTTAATTACCGAGGAAAAAGCAGAATAAGGCCAACGGCTCAAATTGTCAGCAGGAGCTAATGTGTTAGAACCTAAGAAGGGACTAATCAGGAAATTATCCAGAACCACTTAAGAAGGTTAGTATTTTTCCTGGTTACCTTTGTGGATAAGTGACTCACGAAGTTGACTCGGATTTAAAAAGATATTTCAATAAAGATATGCATATGACAATCTATATAGATATCCAAATGATCAGTTTGGAAACTTGTTTCTGAATCACAGATACTCAAATTATCTATGACAAAAAGAATTTCAAGGTCACATGTGTTCTGGGGAACTGAGTTAGCCAACAGAGACAGATCACTTTATTGTAAGATGTCTTATAGCCTTTAATAAGATGACATTGAATTTCAGTGTGTAAGAAGAAAGGCATTCTGTGCAGCATTTCCTAGATTTACTTTTTCATCCATGAAAATCCCATGGGACAAACGTTCTTCAGAACTCATTTTGGGACCTCATTTGGGGCCCCTGTCATGTTTAGCAACGACTAGGAAACTATGAGCTTTGGCCAAATTCCTTACAAATTATGGCCTAAATGCCAAATCCCAGACCCAAAGGCCGAAAGTCTAACATCTATTTTTGTAAGTAATATTGGAACACATCAATGCTTGCTCATTTTGGCATTGCCTATGACTGCTTTTGTGATACTATAGCAGAGGCAAGTAGTGTGACAAAAATCATATCGCCTATAAAATAAAAAATATATATATTTACTACCTACCCACTTACAAGAAAAGTTTGCTGATCCTCAATTTTCAGTAATTTTTTTTTCTGTTCTCAAGCTTTAATTTAAAAGTCTTCTCTGGGTATAACAAAATCAGCTGGCCTCACTACTGATGTGTTACTCAAAATCATTGTACAAATGCAGGATGAAATGACCCACAAACTGGAGAAAGTATCACTGAGCTGACCAGTGGTACTTTGTAAAGTGAAATGTGGACTAAGCAAAGTATGTTTGGGTTTTTTTTTGCTCTAAATCCTGTTTAGAAATTAATATATGTTATAAAACTAGCCAGTTAAAACTTACAAATATAAACACATTTACCAAAAGGAAGTCTGAAACTAATACCTTAAAATACCTATTTGGATAGATAACTTATTAAAACACTAAACATGCCAGAAATTTTAGCAAAGACAACTGAATTTTTATTCGCTCACTTGAATACATACTGGTATCCTAAAATACCTAAGGTACTTCATTATAAAGATTAATTTTGGCCAGACAGGAGTAAAGCTGAACAAGGTTTGTGATGTAGATTAATTTAAATGAGATATCAATTCATATACAGTACACCGATTATTGAGATAACTTTTTTATTCCAGTTTGGTAGTTACAGAAAACACATAGCTTTAACTCCTGGTAAAAATGAGCATTTTGTGTTTCTTTAGTTGTTAATTCATACAGTTAAACTAACTCGTCTACTGGTTTGGTTCAAGACATATTCAACATCATTTTCTAAGTGGCTAGAACCAACCTGTTTGATCATTAGTTTAATAGAAAAGAGTGAAATGAAAAGAAATAATTCAGTTAATAGTAACTTTTCATGATATATCAGCAGAAATAAATATTTCTTCTCTTTCCATAATTCAGCAAAGTTAGTTTGAAACCCAGTGTTCATATCCTTTTCTCTTCCTCATCCTTTTCAGCTTCCATCTCCCCCAAAAATACTGGAAGATATTACTGCTGGTTTCTAGCTCTGGTCCTTTTCTTCCTGTGTGTTAGTAACCATCATATTTGACATTTGATCCCTTAGGACACACTGTTAAATGCCTTTAGGTTCCTTTTTGAAGCCAAAGTTGATATTGGAGTTTTGATACTTATTTCAAGGCAGTCCTTTGACTAGAGTTTTAAATAACTTTGGTTTCCATATTCTTGTTCTTGAGATGAAAGGCCCAAATGCATCTTACATATTAATTTAAATGAATTCCACTATATGTGCTGTGAAAAAGGATAAAAACAAGCACATCAAAACATACCTATAGAGACAGAACGCTGTAGATAGCACATGCCCCGGAATGAGTGCTAGTTGGAACATACAAACCCAGTCCACCATTCTCATGGGAGGTTTCAGTTCTTGTGTCTCTGAAATAATGTGAGTATCTCCCCAGGCTGAGGATGATTCTTCTCTTTAAAGATATAACAGTTTTTTCAAAACATGGTTCCTAAACTCAAGCCAATTACTTTGTGTGGTGTTTAATCAATAACCTGGTGATCTACCCCAAACCTGGAAGAAAAATTTGCTGTATGGAATCACCGTGAGTTGATACACTGGTCTCCAACTAGACACCGTCGTTTTCCAGGTAAGACGTGTACTTGCCAAGGAGGTCAAATGGTCCTCAAGTACACACAGTGAGTGAGTGACAGAGACTAACAGAAACTCTAGTCTCCGGGTGCCTACTCAACACACTTCGCCATGCCGTAGCACGTCACCTTCCTCATAGACCATCTGCAGTCAAATTTCACTGACTCTTCTGAACACATCTCCCAATTTCCCTGACATCCAACCATGTTCCATCAAATTGGTTTTTCCATTCAGCAGCTTGCTGCAATATTATACTGCCTGCATAGCTTTGTTTTGACAGTTTTCTCCACCCCATACCTGCCTTTTAAAATAAAGTCTCCTCTCTTTGATACCCAGCTCACCTTCCAAAGAGATAACTTTTCTAGATGTCCACAGATCAAAGTTACCACTTCTCTGAATAATAAATCACCTTTTCTGTGCCTTTCCAGTGCTACTTGTCAAATGCCAATTTATAATTGCATATTAATTCCTTAATTAGCATGCAAGCTCTCTGAGGTTAGGTAGAGTCCACATGTTTTTAAATTTTGCTTCCCCCACAACATGATGAGCATTTGTCTTGTACTCTGTAGGTACCAAACCTATATTCCCTAATTTACAAGGGCAGACAAATGTTTCTGGTGGTATCTGTATTTTCCAGAATTTATTCTTTTACCTTTTCTTTAAAAGTCAAAAGAAGTGAAGTTGTTGTTCTGTGAGCTCTCTGGAATTTTCCCTAATCTACAGCATTCCTAAAACGCTTTTCTGTCGGTTTCTACTGAAACACCTGAATGTTCTTGTTTTTTGTTTTGTTATGTTTGTAAAAGTATCATGTGTTTCAACAGTAACAGACTGCAGCCTAGATCTATGAACCCATTTAAGTGAGGCTTGGTGCTCCTTTACTCTGGCCTCACTTATCTTAAGATTTAGTTTACCTTAAGTATGCTCTATGCCTCACTTTATATATTGAGAAAATTATTTTCCTTAACAGAGTGGATAGTGAAGACAAATAGTTTTGTTTTCATGAAAAGAAAGAAAAGGTATCTTGTTTTAAGTAACGGTCAGGTAGCAAGACATTCTGAATATCCATTTTATCCCATTTTATTTCCTCTCTGATACTTCACTGTTTCTCTAAGATGACAGCAATATTTAGGCTGTAAATGAAAGATTCTATTAATAACTAAAGAAAAAAACCTTTAAAAAGCCATTGCAATCGAGGAATTCCTGTTAAATACACAATCCATTATGCATAATTCTCTAACAGAAACTGAGATGAGAGAAAAGTTATAAAAGCATTGATGATAAACATGTTTCTGTACATCACCATTAGGGAAGGTATTTTTTTTACTTTTCTGCATTACTTAAAATCTTCACATGCCTAACAAACTGATTTTGCATGGGATTCCCTCTGCTATTATTATTTTCAAAAATCATTAGGGCTTTTTCTTTTTTTCAAAAATCCTTTCATGATCATTACAAAGTATTAAGGTGATGAAAATCATTCCATTCACTCCCATCCTAACATAATTTAGGTGTTCATATAAATTTGTGCATCTTTGGCCATCACAAACGGTCTTGATCCATTATCATGTGGATAAACGTAAGAAAATCTTGTGTGTATTTGTGTGTGCATGTGTAGGCCTACATACACTCAAGTACACACATGATATACAAACATATACAGCCACTTTTCTTCTCCTGACATTCATATAACATTTTAGATTTTGAGCTGACATTCTTCTCTATTCAAAATATTGCATTAGACCTCAAAAAAACCATACCATTTCTCAATCAGTAATGTTTTCCATTAAGTGATACCTTTCTCTGGTTCTGAAGGAATTAATGCAAACCTGTACAACATGCTCCACAGACCTCTAAAATGAAAGGGAGCTGACAGATTCTGCTTGCTTTACGCCTGGCATTTTTTTTTTATTATATTTTAAGTTCTGGGATACATGTGCAGAACGTGCAGGTTTGTTACATAGGTATACACGTGCCATGATGGTTTGCTGCACTCATCAACCTGTCATCTACATTAGGTATTTCTCCTAATGCTATCCCTCCACTAGCTTCCCCACTCCCCCGACAGGCCCCGGTGTATGATGTTCCCCTCCCTGTGTCCATGGGTTCTCATTGTTCAACTCCCACTTATGAGAGATAACATGTGGTGTTTGGTTTTCTGTTCTTGTGTTAGTTGGCTGAGAATGATGGTTTCCAGCTTCATCCATGTCCCTGCAAAGGACATACGCTCATCCTTTTTTATGGCTACGTAGTATTCCATGGTATATATGTGCCACATTTTCTTTATCCAGTCTATCAATGATAGACATTTGGGTTGGTTCCAAGTCTTTGCTATTGTGAATAGTGCTGCAATAAGCATACATGTGGATGTGTCTTTATAGTAGAATGGTTTATAATCCTTTGGGTATATACCCAGTAATGGGGTTGCTGGGTCAAATGGTATTTCTAGTTCTAGATCCTTGAGGAATCGCCACACTGTCTTCCACAATGGTTGAACTAGTTTGCACTCCCACCAACAGTGTAAAAGCATTCCTATTTCTCTGCATCCTCTCCAGCATCTGCTGTTTCCTGACTTTTTAATGATCACCATTCTAACTGGTGTGAGATGGTATCTCACTGTGGTTTTGATTTGCATTTCTCTAATGACCAGTGATGATGAGATTTTTTTCATATGTTTGTTGGCCGCATAAATGTCTCCTTTTGAGAAGTGTCTGTTCACCTAATATCAAAATTAAAAGAACTAGAGAAGCAAGAGCAAACAAATTCAAAAGCTAGCAGAAGACAAGGTATACCTAAGATCAGAGCAGAACTGAAAAAGATAGATACATGAAAAACCCTTCAAAAAATCAATGACTCCAGGAACTGGTTTTTTGAAAAGATTGACAAAATAGATAAACTACTAGCCAGACTAATAAGAAGAAAAGAGAGAAGAATCAAATAGGCACAATAAAAAATGACCAAGGGGATGTAAACACTGACACCGCAGAAATATAAACTACCATTAGAGAATAGTATAAACACCTCTACGCAAATAAACTGGAAAATCTAGAAGAAATGGATGAATTGCTGGATACATACACCCTCCCAAGACTAAACCAGGAAGAAGTTGAATCCCTGAGTAGACCAATAACAAGTTCTGAAATTGAAGCAGTAATTAATAGCCTACCAACCAAAAGAAGCCCAGGACCAGATGGATTCACAGCTGAATTCTACCAGAGGTACAAAGAGGAGCTAGTACCATTCTTTCTGAAACTATTCCAAACAACAGAAAAAGAAGGACTCCTCCCTAACTCATTTTATGAGGCCTGCATCATCCTGATACCAAAACCTGGCAGAGACAAACACAAAAAAGAAAATTTCAGGCCAATATCCCTGCTGAACACCGATGTGAAAATCCTCAATAAAATACTGGCAAAAGGAATTCAGCAGTACATCAAAAAGCTTATCCACCATGATCAAGTCGGCTTCATCCTTGGGATGCAAGGTTGGTTCAACATATGCTAATCAATCAATGTAATCCACCACTTAAACAGAAGCAAAGACAAAAACCACCTGATTATCTCAATAGATGCAGAAAAGTTCTCGATAAAATTCAACACCTCTTCATGCTAAAAACTCTCAATAAAGTAGGTATTGATGGAACATATCTCAAAATAATAAGAGCTATTTATGACAAACCCACAGGCAATACCATACTGAATGGGCAAAAGCTGGAAGCATTCCCTTTGAAAACCAGCACAAGACAAGGATGCCTCTCTTACCACTCCTATTCAACATGGTATTGGAAGTTCTGGCCAGGGCAATCAGGCAAGAGAAAGAAATAAAGAGTATTCAAATAGGAAGACAGGAAGTCAAATTGTCTCTGTTTGCAGATGACATGATTGTATATTTAGAAAACCCGACATGATTGTATATTTAGAAACCCCAACGTCTCAGCTCCAAATCTCCTTAAGCTGATCAGCAACTTCAGCAAAGTCACAGGATACAAAATCGATGTGCAAAATCACAAGCATTCCTAAACACCAAAAATAGACAAACAGAGAGCCAAATCATGAGTTAACTCCCATTCACAATGGCTACGAAGAGAATAAAATACCTAGGAATACACCTTACAAGGGATGCAAAGGACCTCTTCAAGGAGAACTACAAACCGCTGCTCAAAGAAATAAGAGACGACGCAAACAAAAGGAAAAACATTCCATGCTCATGGATAGGAAGAATCAATATCATGAAAATGGCCATACTGCCCAAAGTAATTTATAGACTCAATGCTATCCCCATCAAGCTACCATTGACTTTCTTCACAAAATTAGAAAAAACTACTTCAAATTTCATATGGAACCAAAAAAAGAGCCCATATAACCAAGACAATCCTAAGCAAAATGAACAAAGCTGGAGGTATCATGCTACCTGACTTCAAAGTATACTACAAGTCTACAGTAAACAAAACAGCATGGTACTGGTAACAAAAAGGATATATAGACCAATGGAATGGAACAGAGGCCTCAGAAATAATACCACACATCTACAACCATGTGATCTTTGAAGAACCTGACAAAAACAACCAATGGGGAAAGGATTCCCTATTTAATAAATGGTATTGGGAAAACTGGCTAGCCATATGCAGAAAACTGAAACTGGACCCTTTCCTTATACCTTATACAAAAATTAACTTGAGATAAATTAAAGACTTAAATGTAAGACCTAAAACCATAAAAACCCTAGAAGAAAACCTAGGCAATACCATTGAGGAGATAGGCATGGGCAAACACTTCATGACTAAAACACCAAAAGCAATGGCAACAAAAGCCAAAATAGACAAATGGGATCTAATTACAGTAAAGAGCTTCCGCACAGCAATGAAACTATCATCAAGGTGAACAGGCAACCTACAGAATGGGAGAAAATTTTTTGCAATCTATCCATCTGACAAAGGGCTAATAATCTATCTGAGAAAGGGATAATATCCAGAATCTACCAGGAACTTAAACAAATTTACAAGAATAAAACAAACAACCTCATCAAAAAGTGGGCAAAGGATATGAACAGAACAGATACACCTAGTCTGTTCACAGTCATTTTGTTTTCCTTTTTGCCTTCTTCAGTTAGCTTTAATACGCATGTCTCTGTGAAAACAAGAAATAATTTCCTGGGGATCTGTGGATTTTGGACAGTATCATGAGAAACATGAGGGTTATTAAGTTCTCTTTGGACTTAAAGATAAATGAAAATTCACTTTGTTTCATGGTTCTCTAGATGTAAAACTTCTAAAGGAGGTTCACAATTTTTGGTTTCATTCTGGTGAATGAAGCTACCTTCCCTAGGCATTTGACTATTAAGTGTTTTTCCAGTTGAGCCTCTCTGGAATCCCAGTTCCCAACTTTCTAAATGTTTACTGAATATTTCTTCTTGAATCATTCCATTAAATTCATTAAAAATTATCTCATGGCCAGGCATGATGGCTCACGCCTGCAATTCCAGTATTTGGAAGGCCGAGGTAGGCAGATCACCTGAGGTCAGGAGTTTGAGACCAGACTGGCCAACATGGCGAAACCCCATCTTTACTAAAAATACAAAAATTAGCTGGGCATGGTGGTGAGCACTTATAATCCCAGCTACTAGAGGGAGGCTGTGGCCAAAGAATCGCTTGAATGCAGGGGACAGAGGTTGCAGTGTGCAGAGATCGTGCCATTGCACTCCAGCCTGAGAGACAAGAATGAGATCCCATCTCAAAATAAATAAATAAATAAATAAATAAATAAATAAATAAATAAATAAATATCATACAAAACCCTGATCTCTTCTCTGTAAACCAGGTCTGTCAAAAGACACTCGTATTAGTAGATCTATACCATGTTCTTCCAGCTACCCAGTCTTGAAGACCTGGAGTTTTTGCTAATTTCTCCCAATGTTTAGCTTTCTCATTCCCTTTATTTTTATCACCTACATCGAATCTGTGGCTAAGCTTTTCCACTGGCATGTCTTAAATTTGTCTTAGATGTTCTGGTGCAGATTAATCAATATTACGTGGGATCTCTCAAGTACTCAATAAAAGTTAACTACTATCATCATCATACCTAATGATTTTACATTTTCCTGCTTTTACTTTTGTGCATGCTAGAACATCCGCTCGGAATGAAATTGGTGTAAATCTTACCAATCCTTCAGGATACTGCTCATATTCATTTTCTTCCATTTATCTTAAAGGCCAGGATAGCCCATGGCCATTTCTTCTTCTTCTACTCTGCTGAAGTATTTATTATTCCTGCTACCAATTTAATCAATATCTGTACTTAATTGAACTGATATTTGTCTCTTACATTGGGACTTTGTTCATATTTTGTTTTTTTTAAATTTTCATTTTTGGTTCAGGAGTACATGTGCAGGTTAACAAACATGTTACATAGGTAAACTGTGTGTCATGGAGGTTTGGTGTACAGATTATTTCATCATGCATATAATAAGAAAGTACCAAATATTTTTTCTGATTTTCCACCTCGTCACACTCGCCACCCTCAAGGAGGCCCCAGTGCCTATTCTTCCCCTCTTTGTGTCCATGTGTTCACTTATAAGTAACAATATGCAGTACTCAGTTTTCTGTTCCTGCAATTAGTTTGATTAGGATGATGGCCTCCAGCTCCATCCATGTTGCTGCAAAGGACATTATCTTGTTCTTTTTTTTTTTTTGGCTGCATAGTATTCTATTGTATATATGTACCAAACTTTCTTTATCCAGTCTACTGTTGATAGGCATTTAGGTTGATTCTACATCTTTGCTATTGTGAATAGTGCTGCAGTGAATGTGTATTTAGGGCAGAATGATTTATATTCATTTGGGTATATAACCTGTAATGGGACTGCTGAGTCAAATGCTAATTCTGTTTTAAGTTCTTTGACAAATCACCACATTGCTTTCCATAATGGCTGAACTACTTTACATTCCCACCAGCAGTGTATAAGCATTCCCTTTTTTCCTGCAACCTTGCTAGCATCTGTTATTTTTTGACTTTTTCATAATAGCTATTTTGAGTGGTGTGAGATGGTATCTCATTGTGGTTTTGATTTGCATTAATCTAATGATTAGTGATGTTGAGCATTTTTTCATAAGGTTGTTAGCTGCATACTGTATGTCTTCTTTTGAAAAGTGTCTGTTCATGTCCTTGGAATTAAAAGGCACAGAGTGGCAAGGTGGATAACAAAGCAAGACCCAATGATATGCTGTCTTCAAGAGAGGCCTACCTCACATGCGATAACACTCACAGGCTCAAGATAAAGGAATGGAAGAATATCTACCAAGCAAATGGAAAACAGAAAAAAAAGGAGAAGTTGCTATCGTGATTTCAGACAAAACAGACTTTATACCAGCAAAGATGAAAAGGATAAAAAAAAAAAAAGGCATTACATAACAGTAAAGGGTTCAATTCAATAAGTGAAGCTAACTACCCTAAATATATATGCAACCAAGACAAGGGCAGCTAGATTCATAAAGCAAGTTCTCAGAGACCTATGAAGAGACTTATATTTACACACAATAATAGTGGGAGACTTCAACACCCGACTGACAGCATTAGACAGATAATTGCGGTAGAAAATTAACAAAAATATTCAGGACCTGATCCCAACACTTGACCAAATGGACCCAAAAGACATCTACAGAACTCTCCAACCCAAAACAACAGAGTACATATTCCCATCTCCACATGACACATACTCTAAATTTGACCACACAATTGGACATAAAACAATCCTCAGGCAAATGCAAAAAACTCAAAATTGTAGCAACAACTATAGCACAACAAAAATAGAAATCAATCCTAAGAAAATCTCTCAAACCCATACAATTACCTGCAAATTAAACAACATGCTCTTAAAAGACTTTTGGGTAGATAATGAAATTAAGGCAGAAATCAAGAAATTCTTTGAAACTAATAAGAACAAAGATACAACATAACGCAATCTCTGGCACACAGCTAAGAGAGTGTTAAGAGAAAAGTTTACAGCACTAAACACCCACATCAAAAATTCAGAAAGATCTCAAATTAACAACCTAACATCACAACCACTGGAAATAGAGAACAAAGAACAAACTAACCACAAAGCTAGCAGAAGACAAGAAATAACCAAAATCAGAGCTGAACTGAAGGAAATTGAGATGTGAAAAACCACACAAAAGATCAATGAATCCAGGAATTGGTTCTTTGAAAATATTAAGAAGATAAATAGACTAGTGGCTAGACTAATTAAAAAAAAAAAGAGCAGAGATCCAAGTAAACACATTTAGAAACGACAAAGGGGACATTACCACTGACCCCACAGAAATACAAAAAACCCTCAGGGACTACCATGAACACTTCAATGCACACAAACTAGAAAATCTAGAAGAAATGGATAAAACCCCGGACACACAATCTCCCAAAACTGAACCAGGAAGAAATTGAATACTGTACTTTGTTTTCTTTTCCCAATTATAAGTTTCTTGAGGACAGAAACTCATATTGTTTTTATTTAATTAAAATGTATCCTCACATTTTTTGTATCCCATCAGAATGCCTAGCACAGCATACTTTAAAGGTGCTTAAAATGTTTGCTGATTTCTTGATGACTGGGCAATATTCTATTCAACTATTTTTGGTGAGACCAAGCTTGTTTAAGAATATACTTGGATTCTTGGATGGCCACAGTCTGCTTATGATTGCAGAAGAACAATCTTTCTTCCCATGTTCTCCAAGGAGGACTAAGGCACTGAGGAGCGTGTCTCCATCATTTACCAAAATACTTAAGCTTGATGCGTGAATAATTGTAAAAGATAAAGGCACCACTCGCTGTCATGGGACAATCATGAATATTGGCACGTGGGGTCTGAGAAAGATTTAATTTTATTTGTTAGGATTACAGGTAGTATCAGGTTCTTGATTTGTAAGTGTGAATTTATAAAAATATGTAGCTTACTCAAGAAAGGTTTCTGAATTAACAAATTAATAATAAGGATTCTCTTGTGTGTTCTCAAAGGAAAAAAGAGGACAGATATATCCAAAATATGAAAAGTTCAATGTCTACCACAGAGGCTTGTCGCTTCCTTACCTTCATACCAAGATAGCTCTTGATTGAATGATTTTTTAAAAGTCCACTGTGTGGAAATCAACCAGGTAATATTTGTCTTAATATATGCAAGTAAAACAGCACTTAAAACAACTTAAATACTCAATGTATAATATAAAGTTAAATAATGTATTAACTAATAGAGAAAATATCATTGTGATTCTTAATTCAGTCTTGGACCATTTGTGAACACAGCAAAGGGTTTTCTTTGTCTGTCCCATGAACTCTCTGCAACGTCTAAATGCATACTGAGGAAAAAGAAATGAGGTAGCAGAGATGGAGCAATGAAATTGTCTTGTTTTGGCTCCCTATTATCCTCACTGAAGCTAAAAATCGATGAAGCTGTGAAGCCTGTGAGCTCCAGTTGGCCTATGGTATCTCCAAGTTGAATGCACAGCAGAGTCCAGTGCTAAACCCGTACACACTGTTATCCCCTCCCAGGGCCCAAATCCCAGGTGACCCAGAGCTCTGGCTAAGTGGAACAAGCACTAAGACGGAAACACTTGACTACACTTAGACTCCCACAACTGCCTCTCCAGCATGCCTTATTATTTGTTTATTAAATGGTTTTCCTCTGGGTTTTGTTTTTAAGGATTGCTTCTGAATCTGAGTGCTTTAAGTGAACAGCTCTGTCTTCACCTGGTAACTCTTTCAAGCATAAGGTCAGGCGCTTAGTTCTTTATTACAGCTGCAATAACATTAGACCTCTGTTCCTTTCAGGCCAAAATATATCCTCTGTTATTTTTCAAACTAATGGTAGCCATTGAGCTATATATTTCCTGTAACTGACAAAATATAGGTTTCCCAGAGCAATGAAGAACTAAATAAATGGTAAAGATTTATCTTGGTCCATCCTATGGCATGTCCATGTATACAATCTGGCTGTGACCTTTCATAAAATTAATCTGTGTTAATGCTGATGATTTCCACTTCTATTCTATTAGTGCATGTTCAATATAGTGGTAACATAATGGGTGGAAATGTTTCTTTTCAAGGCCATCATGAATACAACGTAAGCATGATCAGTTGTTTTCTGATCTTCTAGTTCCACAAAGAGCACTGAGTCAGTCCCCTTACTGAATATGGATCCACTATCTGGCCCAGGAAACATGCCACTCACTCCCCAGAACAGCTAACACAACATTTTGCCTTCTTCCATTTGACTCAAGTGGCAATTTTGCCAGTTCATTTACGAAAGAAGAGAAAGTACCACAAAGCATCTCTATGATGACAGAAGCCTCATGCTGTGAGTTGATCTTGCCACCCTGAAACGAATCTGGAAATATTTGTACCTTAATCTCCTGCAGATATAAACCTTCCAGAGCTCTCGATCTGACATTCAGCAAAATTTGTACTATATCAGCGGTTGCTAGGCACACTGTTAGGAATAGAAAGAAAATGCAGAAGCTTAAATCCTGTGTCTTGGAGATTATTTCTTGTGTATATTCTTTGCAGAAGATTTTCTGGTGCTAGTTCATTACTGAGATTCTGTCTCCTATCTATACTGTTCTCTCTTGGCTATTTCTCTTCCTTTGGCCTTAAATCACAACTCACAATCAAACCTTTCAACCTGAGTCCATGGAAGTCCTGTTTTGCCTATCTGACTATTAGAGATTTTCAAAATGTAATTGCAGGCTTCTTATTTATCCAGGAGATAAGAATGATGGCTGAGAGGCCAGTTGGCTGCAGCTATTTCACAGTCAGTCTTACTTCTAGCATCTTTGCTGATCTTATCAAGAAGAGCTACTCCTCACATAATTTAACCAGCTGTTATGTCCAGGCTAAAAATAAAAATGATGCCTCTAATGTGGTGGCAGAAGGCAAGGGGCACTGTGCTACTGACCCAAAGGTAGATTGATACCTGCAGAGTGTCCTGTACCAGGTCACTCTATACATTGGTAGTTAGTTTTAATGGCCTAAATTAATAGTCTCTCCATTGCTGGTTTAAAATATTTGGAAACACCTGTGCAGTGCCTTTTAGTTTCACAACTCAGTTCCACAGAGATAAATATTAGAGTTGCCAAGGTCAGTGGCCCTGCCTAATGGTTCCCAGAGAGCCAGTCAAGATGGCATCTCCACTCATAGCAAGCTAATTAAGAGTTGAAGAAGGCCTCCAACACAGTGGCACCAGTACAGCCTCCCTCAGCACATATTTTTGCCCTTGGCGGTCTGAGAACAATCTGACATATACTCTGGTAGATGCTACTGTGCTTGCTTCAGCAAATTTAAGTGACTCTACCCTTTGCCATTGACTGCCAATTAATTTTAAACCAAATATCTTGGAGAGGTTATGTCAGATATCCTGAGAAAATGATATGTGACAAATGTAGGATAAACAGTGTCATGAACAGTGAATACTCTTAAAATTCCAAAGCTTACCTTCTATTGTACCCACTTTAGGGAGAACGAAGCTTTACTAAGTGCTATCAGAATTTTATATAAACCCTGCCTGTCCTATATGATTCCTTAATATGGAAAAAACGGTTTTTCTCTTGACTTATTTGCAAAATAAGGTGCATAATAGTACACTGAGAGGATCTGTTGGCATAGAAAAGTATTGAATACATAAACGACTATATGCTTTAATATTGTCTATTTTTTATAGCCTCACCTCACTCCAGAAAAAGAAAAAAACTAAGGAAAGTGCCCTAGAAGGCCCATACTCCACATTTCCAATAACCATTAGCCAAAGTTGCCCTGTGCAAGTGCAACACCTAATGTGAAGTTACTATACTTAAGAGTTTACAAAATTCAAATGAGTTTAAGGGTGCAAACAAATAATTCTTCAAACACCCTAAATCTGGCCCCAAGACCCAGAAGATAGCTGAAGAAAGATAGGAGATTAGACTTGGAGATAAGGACTTGGGTATAAGTTCCAGCTATGTAATGAGTGAAGAAATCTCATAACCCTCCGTTTACTCATATGCAAAACAGATGCTTTGAAATCCTAATATGTTTTTCAATATTTCTGTACTCGCCAATATAACATCACAGGTACAATTGGTTCCATTGTTAGTTTGACAATATTGGCTGCTTCCCTTCTTCCTATCTGATCCTTTTCATTTATCTCCTCTCTATTAATTGGCAAATAAACAGAAAAGTTAAGTAAGCACAGGATTTAAACTACTTTATAAACCTTGGATCAAGACAAATAAAATACATAAAGCATTGTTAAAAAATTGTACTTTTCCTTGTAATTGGACCCTGAATATTTTTGACTCACAATTACTTAAAGATTATGTTTATGAAATTGACTATTTAATATCTATACTTCTGTATATTGTGTATGAACATAATCCACATTAGGATTTCTATAGACAATGAATAAATCATACTGAAACTCCTACTACTTTTTAAAATAAAATGTCCATAGCAGTAGGCAATATCTTATGGCATCCAGTACTGGAGTAGAAGCAGAACCAAAAAAATGATATTCCCCCACCGTCTTTTCTCCTGTGTGCTCTTCAACCACACCCATGCCTCCACTCTCTCAGTCGGCCGCTTTCTGTTTTGCTGCAAGAGAAATTAACACTCCATGCCCACGAGACACATGCCTCCAAACTAGCTGTTTGGAGACTCAGCTGGGTGGTGCCAAGCAACATGATGCAATCCCACGTAACCAAACCTTGGGTGCCTGTTACCATTCAACCACATACACCTACCCTCAAGTTTGTTATTAATCACAAAAGGAAATAAACTTCCAAAGGGAGGCAAATAAATTCTATGGCTAGTAATTTATGATTGTTTCTATGGATAGGTCTTACAACCCCAATTTTTTATATCACCTATTAGTTAGCTGAAAAAATATTTGCTGATACACACACACACACACACACACACACAACACTGATGAAGCAGATTATGGCATATTATCTTGTCCTCTGCCATTTTCATTTTAATAATAGATACCTGTATTATTAAAAGTTATTCTCTCAATGTCATTATTGAGTCTGCATGGAAAAAAATTGGAATAACTCTTGAGTTCCCTCCTAGATCTAACACTGCAAGAGTTGAGTAATCACCGGCATTTTATAGTATGCAAAGCAGCATTTTCTTGAGGCAAACTGTTTCCAATCCTGAATATCAGTTATCATAAGGGAAAAAAATGCCATTTTATCTCAAAGATTCTATATTGTCTTTGAAGTACGTAGATGTTCAGCATTAGGTAGCAAAGCTCGGAAATCTGTTTACTTGTAACATTAATTTGATTTGTTTTCCTTCATTGTGAAAAAGATAAAAAGAAATCAAATTCATAAACCTAGAACATCTCATTGATTTTTGCATCAAGTCTACGTGGTAAAGGGCAAAGAGTCAAAGTTTGCTTTCCAAGTGTAAATACCATGGACGGCTTATTATACTCAATCTCTTCGGGATTTATACCTAGGGCATTTCTAAATACTTTTGTTCTCAAGATTATTATCATAAGTGGAGATTAAGGAAAAAATAGTTAAGTTGGTAAACTAAGAAAAATCTTATTTGTTTCCAAAACACGTCTCAAAAGAAATTAGTGCCAATTGACAGAGAATTTAAAGACAAAGCATTAGGTTGCAGGAATGGGGAAAGATGAGGTTCATATCAACAGCGAAAGCATTCACCTGATAAAGGACACAATATATTCAGAAAATCAGAATTCTGATTACTAAAATGTAGCATTAAATTGAATCTTATCCCTACATTACTGTTTTGTATACTGCTGGTTTATGCTAATTTCAAGAATAAATTGTCAACCTAAATTAGTCAATTTCACTATCATCTTGCTTATGGAAAATCCTTATGAAAATAATTACAGAAGATCAACAAAGTTTCATAACCTTTGACCTATCCTTCTTATGGTTAGGATAGTTATAGGTTCTACAGCACAAATTCCAATAGCTTAAAGCTAAAAAGAAACTAAATGTTCAATAATGGGGAGTAGTTACATCAATAATATTTTGAGCATATATATTTGATGGAAAATTGTATGGGGATTCCAAATATTCCATAAAGGTACTATAAAAGCAAATATATTTATAATATATTAAGTAATAAATCAAATTAAAGAACATTGTGGGTGTGTGTCTGTGTGTGCATATATATGTATATTAGAAATAGATAAAATACATGCACATTGGTGAAAACTAGGCATGAATACATAAGAAAAATAACTGCCATTAGGAATGATTATATTTTATTTCTTTGTTATTCATTCCTGTTTTTAAAAATTAGCCAATTTAAGAACTTTATAATAACATGAAATATAAGTATATAAAATAGCAGTTATGAAAGTTAACAAGTACAATCAATAGCTTCAAATGTAAACCAGATTACACCACCACTCTGCAGAATTTTTAACTATTAATACAAATTAGAGACAAGTTAGTATATTAATGTATATCAAAGTGAACGGATTAACTTTTTTTAATTTGGGAAATAACTATATATATTAAAACTATTAGAAATAACATAGAAACATATTTACTGACACAGAAGAATATCCAAAATGCATTGCTAAGTAGATAAAGAATAGTTTATGAAATGTTGGGGAAAGGGATTAATCCCAGAGTTTACTCCATGACTTTGTTAGGGCTGCTGTAACACAGTAACGTAAACTGAGTTAAACAAGAGAAATGTATTGTGTCAAAGTTCTGAAGACTAGAAGTCTGAGATCAAAGTGTCAGTGGGGCCATGTTCCCTCTGAAGGCACTAGGAAAAGGTCTCCTTCTATTTAGCTTCTGGTGGTTTCCTGGCTTGTGCAGAATAACTCCAGTCTTCACATGGTGTTTTCCCTGTGTGTCTATTTGTGTCCAAATTTCCCCCTTTTATAAGGACACCAGTCATATGACATTAGGGATCCACCATACTTCTATATGATATCACCTTAAGTAATTACATCTGCAATATCCTTATTTACAAATAAGGTCACAATCAGGTGTACAGGGGGGTTATGCCTTCAAAACAGATGAATTTTGGGGGTAGGGGGAGGAGCACAATTCATTCTATACAATTTACTTATGTAAAGAGACTTGACGGGAAGGAGGGAGTTTCATTCCACTTCCAGAAGGAGGGTTATTGGAGATGTACCCCCAATTACTTTGTTTTCAGCTTGCTCCCTTCTGCAGAAGGATAAGTAACTGAAGTAAATGTTTATGATGGGTGGATATGTGGATGAATGAATAAATGGATGCATGAATAGCGATTTTTTAGTTCATCTTTCTAAAAAGTCTCATGATCGTGGTCCATAAGACCAACGAAATTCCCAAATTTCAGAGAGTAGCTAGTGGTAAGGATGAATCTGATATCCTGGGTCATGAAATGTCAAGTTCCCTTAGAAGTGTCTTACTCTGCTCCAAGCAGATACATATGACAAATAATGTGAACAGTGGACAGTTTTCATCAGATGTAGGCAAAATCTTTACATTCAGAGAGACATATGAGGCAAGATGCAGGTGATCTGCATCTGGACACCTAACACTTAAAAGACAACATAAAGTATCCTGGTGACAAACGGCAACATCACAGACATAGCTCTCACAAATGCAAGGACTCTGAGGATGCTGAAGCCTTAAATTTTGGAGTCTATATTCAGTTATTATCCTTCAGACTTTGGAGACACTGTCTCAGACCCACCAACTCTAGGCTATACCTTCTGTCTTAATGGAGTCGTAGGAACCTCTGTGACTCAAACAATTATATATCTTCGGGACAGTATTCCAACTGTCTGTGTGACTTCATACCAGTACAAATATAGTGTATGAAAACATGCACTACATGGTTTCCTAAATTTCCCTTATAGAACGCATGTGCATAAAACACAATATTCCCCCCAAAATTTAGAAATCTACTGCATCTTTTCGTATACTGCAGTAGCACATACTACAGATGCTAGTGGGTTAAGATTCAATTCCATACTACTCATATATTAGGCACAAAAACACTACATGGTAGAGAGTGGCTTTTATATTATTTTATAAATGAGACAAGCTGAGGAAAGAAAATTTTAAGCAATATTCTCAAAGTCACAATGATCGAGCACCAAAGCCAAGATCTAAACTATATGGTGGTATTCTAGAACCTGGGCTCTTCAACGTAATGTTCTACAACATCTACTCAATATCAAATGTTGCATTGTGAAGTACAGAAAGAAGAGACTATATTTGCTGACCTAGGAAAATTGCTAGGCCTTGATATCTGAAAAATATATTCATTTTTTAGGGGTGGCTTGTGGCTCATGCCTGTAATCCCACCATTTTGGGAGGCCAAAGCAGGAGGATGACTTGAAGCCAGGAGTTCAAGACCAGCCTAGGAAATAAAGTAAGATCCAGTCTCTACCAAAAAAAAAAAAAAAATTATTTAAAAAATATTTTCTTCAGGGCTCAATTTCAGTGTACTACTTTGATATGACCTCACCTCGATAGGATCAACTGTTTTTATGATATATACTTGAGAAAACCAATTCAATCTTTTCAGCATAGGGCAATGACTTTCAGGTCAAGCTCTTCCAAAAATGTGAATTAAATAAAAATTGGTCTCAGTATATGAAGTCAAATATCACCACCAGTCACTGGGGAGATACAATGATGATTTCAGTTCTATAAATTTCAGTCAGCCTAAAAGCAGTAGGATTAGGCTTAAAAACTGGGACGAAAGAATGCATTTGAGTAAACTTTCCATCCAGTTGAACTTTGTGGATTTGAAATTTACCCATAGATCTAGATGGTTTTTAAAAGGTTCCCAGATATATAAACGTCATCTTTGAGTTATATGGTGGGAGATGTGGTTCTGAACTGTTTCACCCTTAAATCCCTGCCTATTGGAGAGTCCTGTGGACAGTTCTCTAAAGAAAATGAGGTTTTAAATGCAACATGGTGGCAATCAGATCTTCCGTCTACTACTTTTCTTTGTGACACAGAAAATCTACTCATTGTTCTTTCTTGGCACTAATAGCAAAACGGTGGGCTTGCTCTTTGAAGAACAGTCTTCAAAAACACAGCTTTGGGAAAATGGGGGATTTCTTCAGGCTTCCAAACTGTCAAAGACTTCCAGATTAGCCCTTTCACAGAGACATCTCAAACATTTTGAAAGTGTACTACTGAAAGGGATATTTTTGACTCAGTCTATTTTGAGGGGGTCTCTTAAACATGCATGGACAAAAAAAGGTTTTCTCTTCTTGTTAAAATGTTCAAAAACATAATAGTAGAAATAACATCAAAATATACAACTACCAAATCCAACAGAGATGCTTTTTAAGGTTTAACATAAAGAAACAGGGGTCCTCTTAGCACTTAGGAATAGATTAGAACATAGGAATCTCTATCATGAAAGGGCTAGTCCAAGCAGCATATGAACTGGGATGTGATATAATTACCAAGTACTGTGAACAAAAAGCAAGCAAGTCTCTAAAGAGGCAAGTGGAGGGCCTTGACGTCAATGAAAATCTCAACAGCTACCTACCTCACATGATGGTTGAAGGAGAAAAGTGAAAATTTGAAAGTACACTGATAGTATTAGAAAAAACACAGAAGAAGCCTATGATCAAATGAAAGAGAATTGAAAACTGAAACTTAGAAGTGAAGACAGATATCAGTAAGAGATACATATTTGGAAACAAAGGGAAAGCAGAACTCTTGCATCAGAAAGTCATAGCTTTAGAAAGAATTGAGGACAGATTTAAAAGGGGGAGGATCAAGTATCCAACCATGGGGGATGTGTCATAAAGACTACCAATAAACTTGCTCTATTTTTGTTGAAGTACAAGGTTGAAAGGCATCTTACGGGCAACTAGCTCTCAGAAGACGCAAAGAGGACAAAATTACCTTTAAATAATAGACAGGTATTCCTATTTAAAGTAATCCTCAAGAAAAGTGGGAATGGGACATAAGCTATGCCCAGAGTCAATTCTTGCTATTATGTAAAGAAGGTCCTTTAGAGCTGAAGCAAGGCTTTGACCTTTTACACTGCATGCAAAGATAGAACAGGCGATATGAAAATCCCATCTCCTCAACACACTTCTCGTTTCAGATGCTAAATCTTGAAAGACGTTTCTCCACAGCCACCTAAACTCACACAACCACAACAACCGCAGCAACAATAACAGCAACAGCAGCAGCAGCAGCATACATTGTTCCCTCATTTGGTGTGCCAGTCCTCAAGAGTAAAATGGCAGCTTTTAACGACCACTTCTAAGGTGACAGAACAGGGAGCAAAAAGGAAGACAGTGTAAGCAATTAAAACTTCAGAGGACATCCACATAAAAAGATGAAACAGGGCCAAGGCTCTGAAGTCACAGCCCTCAGCTGGAAAACAGTGCCAGAGGACACGTAATGACCAGAAGGAATCCAGAGTTCACACCAACAGTACATGGCTAAGATCTCCGCTCAACACAGTGTCTCAGAAAAAGCACTAAGCCCAAGTGCACCCACACTGCAGCTGGATGCAACCTCCATTCTTAAGGAATGCC
Source organism: Homo sapiens (assembly GCF_000001405.40). Lineage (NCBI taxonomy): Eukaryota > Metazoa > Chordata > Mammalia > Primates > Hominidae > Homo > Homo sapiens. The sequence goes on along the minus strand of NC_000003.12, from coordinate 2,534,476 downwards.
AGGACAGGAACAAGGCTTAAGAAAGATATAGACTAATGGAATAGAACAGAGCCCTCAGAAATAATACCACACATCTTTGACAAACCTGACAAAAACAAGAAATGGGGAAAGGATTCCCTATTTAATAAATGGTGCTGGGAAAACTGGCTAGCCATATGTAGAAAGCTGAAACTGGATCCCTTCCTTACAACTTATACAAAAATTAATTCAAGATGGATTGAAGACTTACATGTTAGACCTAAAACCATAAAAACCCTAGAAGAAAACCTAGGCAATACCATTCAGGACATAGGCATGGGCAAGGACTTCATGTTTAAAACACCAAAAGCAATGGCAACAAAAGCCAAAATTGGCAAATGGGATCTAATTAAACTAAAGAGCTTCTGCACAACAAAAGAAACAACCATCAGAGTGAACAGGCAACCTACAGCATGGGAGAAAATTTTTGCAATCTACTCATCTGACAAAGGGCTAATATCCAGAATCTACAAAGAACTCAAACAAATTTACAAGAAAAAAAAAAACCATCAAAAAGTGGGCAAAGGATATGAACAGACACTTCTCAAAAGAAGACATTTGTGCAGCCAACAGACACATGAAAAAATGCTCATCATCACTGGTCATCAAAGAAATGCAAATCAAAACCACAATGAGACACCATCTCACACCAGTTAGAATGGCAATCATTAAAGAGTCAGGAAACAACAGGTGCTGGAGAGGATGTGGAGAAATAGGAACAGCTAGTTCAACCATTGTGGAAGACATTGTGGTGATTCCTCAAGGATCTAGAACTAGAAATACCATTTGACCCAGCCATCCCATTACTGGGTATATACCCAAAGGATTATAAATCATGCTGCTATAAAGATACATGCACACATATGTTTATTGTGGCACTATTCACAATAGCAAAGACTTGGAACCAACCCAAATGTCCATCAATGATAGACTGGATTAAGAAAATGTGGTACATATACACCCTATGGAATACTATGCAGCCATAAAAAAGGATGAGTTCATGTCCTTTGTAGGGACATGGATGATGCTGGAAACCATCATTCTCAGCAAACTATCGCAAGGACAAAAAATCAAACACTGCATGTTCTCACTCATAGGTCGGAATTGAATAATGAGAACACTTGGACACGGGAAAAGGAACATCACACACCAGGGCCTGTTGTGGGGTGGAGGGAGGGGGAGGGAAAGCATTAGGAGATATACCTAATGCTAAATGATGAGTTAATGGGTGCAGCACACCAACATGGCACATGTATACATATGAAACAAACCTGCCTGTTGTGCACATGTACCCTAGAACTTAAAGTATAATTAAAAAAAAAAAAAAGAAGAATCAATCTGTCTTCTACATTTTCCGAGAAAGTAGCCAAAGTCCAGAGAGGTTAATGTCACATGTCTGAATTCATAAAGAAAGTCAATAATGAAAACAAGATTCACATCTAGAGATTTGGGCGGTGACTAAGCAAACCAATGATCAAGGATGGTTCTCATTTCTTATGCTGCTCTGTTAGCAGCCCCAGTAAACTCGTAAGGCTATGAGTTCTACAGTGTTTTTCAGTAAAATATAATCTCTTTTCCCACCCTGCCTCCCAAGCATGGATATATGTCTATTTATGTAAATATTAAATAAAAAAACTTCAGGGAAGATATGACTTTTTTCTATCAAAATATAATCTTATTACTGTATGACACGAAAGAGTATGAAGACTGCTATAGTTACTTTTTTAAGAATGTAAACAACTCTTGTTTTTAAATGAATATTTACAATAGTTTTCACTAATAATTGGTAAATTAAGCTTTTTGAGAGTAGAATATATTTGTTTTTGGTTTCCTTTTCTTCCAGTTAACTATGTGCAAAGCAGGAAGTTTAAAAAGTGGTTGCTTTCATAGAACTATATTTCCTTCGTTAGTCAACTTCTACTTACAATTTTGATTTTCAAAAATACAGAGTCTAGGGATGGCTACTATTTTTATTTTTTGTTCCTAGTACAAACATTTTGGTCAAAAGAAAGAATTCTCCCTTTAACCTGTCATAAGTTAGATGGATGTGGTGGTGCATGCCTGTGGTCCCAGCTACTTAGGAGGCTGAGGGAGGAGGTCCACCTGAGCCCAGGGAGATTAAGGCTGTAGTTAGCCATGATTGCACCACTGCAGTCCAGCCCAGGGTGACAGGGTGAGATGCTGTCTCTCAAAAAAACAAAAAACAAAACCCCAAATCCTGCCATAAGACCTAGGAAAAACTATCTCACAAAATAGAGAAATACTAGTCTATTTTACATCTTTGAACTTGAAATGTATAATCTTCCAATAAGCAGGAGATTTATAAGTACATATATTTAGCAAAATCAGCCACAAGAATACAGGTTGAGGGAACTCAAGACATGAAAAGTCCAGTGTGAGTTAAGAAGTCAATTACTCTCAAAACATGGCTTTTGTTACATTTCAAAAACAGGCAACACAACAGTTTCTCATTCTTTAGCACTGTAATGCTGGCTCAGTTGTAATTCTAAAATGTGTATAAGGTTGAAATTTTCTCTTACAAGATCAAGTATTAGAGCGAACACTGCCACAGGTTATTTCTGCTGGATGTCAGGGACATCACATAAGTTCTTATTATGAATATTAAGACAGATTTTGACTCGAGTTTGAATTTGTTAAATTGCATGCATTAGCCTCTCAAGAGCATTCATCACCATTAATATGGGGGAGATAATTCCACTCATCAAATGGAATCTTTACTTCTAAAGACAATATAAAGCAGGGGAAAAGGTCAGAAATCTCGTTAAGAGAGTCAGGAAAGAGTCACTACTTTCTGTTTAATGGAATAAGGGCGGTCAATGGCTGAAAGAGTAAATGGACATCCAATGGCAATCATTATACTACTCTCCCATTTGCAACTGAGAATTGTGAAAAGAGAACAACATTATTTAGGTCATGTAGTTATTAAATGTTAACAAGCTAGGGGTAACAGCTTGGATCCCTAAAGACTCACTGCCTCCCTGGTTGAAGGCATAGAGAGACAATGGAGATGGAGAAGGTCCCTCATTTGTTCCTCCAAACTTCTCTTTGACTAGACTGCTAATTATAGAGTCCTGACTATCCCTGAGGAAAACTAAGCAAAAATGTATCTCCCGTACCCAGGCCTACCCGCCCAAGCTCCTTCCTTTCCCTTGATGTTTTTGGCTCCAAGTGGCCCATGATGAAGGGAAAACACCCTGAAGACAACACCTTGTCTCCTTTCCTGGCTAACAGAGGAGGATGAGGTAGATCTCAAGACCTGCCGTTGTTTTCCAGTTGACAAGTGAAAATACTCACAAATGATAGTGTGCAGTTTAATGTCATCAAACATATTGACTCTTTTTTAGGAGGTTCTTTCCCCAGGCTTAGCATTCATTTTTGGATGTCTGTAGTCACTTCTGTTAGTAGAGATAGTATACTTCCACATGAGTCATCTATGAAGATGGCACAATTCTTTTAACTGCCAAATTAACACAACTGAATAAACAAGGTAAGAGACTGGGAAAGCTTCAACACATAGTTAAAAACAACTGAAACTATAACAGTGGTTTATGTCCTCTTTTTCCTGAAATTTAAAGAGAATTATTTCCAAATTATTTCAGACAATAAAGCTTAGAGTAACTTCTTGGCTGAATGACATTTCTTAGATCACGGGAGTTACACTTTTAAGAACATTTTCTCAAGGTAAAAAAATCTGGCTACATAAGTGTTCTCTAAATAATAAAAGGAAAATGCAAATAGCACCTAAAAGACAATGCTAACATACAACAGCTAAATTATGAGAAAATTAGAGGCCATAGTCCCAATCAACGTGGTTTTAAGAAGAAAATAGAGGCCAGGTGCGGTGGCTTACGCTTGTAATCCCAGCACTTTGGGAGGCTGAGGCAGGCAGATCACGAGGTCAGGAGATGGGGACCATCCTGGCCAACATGGTGAAACCCCTGTCTCTACTAAAAATACAAAAATTAGCTGGGCATGGTGGCGCGCATCTGTAATCCCAGCTATCCGGGAGCCTAAGGCACGAGAATCGCTTGAACCCAGGAGGTGGAGGTTGCAGTGAGCTGAGATCGTGCCACTGCACTCCAGCCTGGTGACAGAGTGAGACTCAGTCACAAAAAAAAAAAAAAAAAAGAAGAGGAGAAAGAAGAAGAAAATAGAGTATATTAGTGAAATAAACAGGTACACTGACAATGTATTATATTTGTCAAGCAGTGACAGAGCTGGATTTTATTTATTTTGGCTGAATTCTAAGTAATGCATATCAAGATGAAAATGTTGGAGAGGCAACCTAGAAAGAAAAGCTCCTACTGCTCTCAAATCAGTGGATTTATTACAAGATTTCTGAAAATCTATACTAGTAACAGCAGAAGGTAATGATTCCACTGCCAGGGAGGAAGTGTGATGATATAGCCCAAGCATCACATGAGGGAAATCTAAAAAGCACAGCATTTTCACTTTTTTATTTTCATTGATGAAAATATATCAAGTGCAAGGAGCTCATCTACTGCACTAGGGCCAAGAAAATAGAAGCCTAACTGGAATCAAACCAGCAGCTGTTAAAGGATTAGGATTTCAAGATATTCTGGTATTATCTATTGTCAGTGATGTCATCATCTTGGTCAATAATATAATCCTCCTCTTCCTTCTCCTCCTCCTCCTCCTCCTCATCATATGGTGGTCACCATTACCAAGTTACTCAAACAAGAGTAAAGACGATCAAGGCAGCTAAACAGAGTGTGAATAGTTTAGCCTATGCAAAGATCAACCTACCTGTGAAAAAAGGCATATCCCTTGAAACCAACAATGTCTCCTCTCATGTTGATTTCTTGACAGATAGGCTATGTCATTTTATTGGCTCTGTTGTTTGTATATAGTAAGTAATACATGTATTACAAATCATAATACATATTATACATTTTCTACTCCATACAAATATGAAAGTCAATAAACATTATCTAGCAATACCATGACTGGGTATATATCTGAAGGAAAGTAAATCAGTATTATAAAGAGATGTCTGCACTACCATATTTGTTGCAGCAATATTCACAATAGCCAAGGTATGGAATCAATGTAAGTATCCATCAACAGATGAATGGATGAAGAAAATACGTATATATACATAATGGAATACTATTCAGCCATAAAAAATAGTAATATCCTCTCACGTGGGGCAACATGGATGACTCCAGAGGACTTTATGTTAAGTCAAATAAGCCAGGCACAGAATGATAAATATTTCATCTTCTCACTCCTGTGTAGAAGCTAAGAAAAGTTGATCTCCTAGAAGTAGAGAGTAGAGTAGTGGCTTTTAGAGGCTGGGAAGAGTGGGGAGAGCAAAGATAGGGAGAAATTCATTAAAGGATACAAAATTCTAGGCAGATAGGATAAATCAGTTGTACTGTTCCATAGCACTGTACGAGTACCATAGCTAACAATAATTTATTATATATTTTCAGAAAGCTAGAAGAGAGGATTTTGAATGTTCTCAACACAAAGAAATGATGAATGTTGAGGTGACAGGATATGCTCATTAACCTAACTTAATCACTATATATTGGATGCATTGAGACAATACTATGTACTTCATAAATATATATAATTATGTCTCAGTGAAAAAAATCAAGAAATAGCTTGTCATACTAAAGGTGGAAACAAATTATTATATTGTAGGCTAATTATGGAGTATTAAGAGTTTTTTAAAGGCTAATATTGAAAAAAACCTTGGTTCATATTCTACCAGAGAATTGAAAAAATTTGTTTCAGTAATATACTTACAGGGCTTTAGCCACCACCTATAATCTCAATAATGCACTATACTATCTACCTCCTAAAAGTGCTTTTAAAAAATTACGTTTAATAAAATGGGTCAGTAAAGTAGTACAATCTCAGACAAATCAGTTTCGGTTTCACCTTGGATTGAATTATTTTAATGTCATAGCATGGTTTTCCTAATATCAGTGCTATTTTAGCATCTAGTTGTTTTAATGGGAATGATTTGATCTCTGGTGTATAACTGTGTTCATTTTATGGGCCAATGCATTGACTGATCATCAGTGTAGCATAACATGGTTGATATTCCTGATTTCTCCACATATGAGATAATACACAATCAAAATCCAATTCCAATAAAATAGAAATAACAATTTCAAATGTAAAATAATAAAATTTTAGAGGTTTCCTTTCTGAAATACAACAAAGAATCAAGACTACAACATCCATGGGGAAAGGAGGCAGTCCAATCAACATATGAGCTTGGATTTGATATATTAATAATTACTCAGTACTGTGAACAAGATGCAACCAATTCAGCGACAAGAGGAGGCCTTGACATCAATAAAAATCTGAACACCTACTTACCTCACCCCATAGCTGAGAATGAAAAGTGACAACTTGAAAGTACACTGATTGTTTTAGAAAGAACACAGAAAAAGTCTATGACCAAATGAAAGAACATTGAAAACTGAAACCTAGAAATGAAGGGAGACATCGGGAAGGGACATATATCTGAAAACAAAAGGAAAGCAGAACTCTTGCTTTAGAAAGAGATGGCTTTAGAAAGAATTGAGGGCAGATTTAAAAGGGGGAGGATCAAGTATCCAACTGTGGGGGATGTGTCATAAGGGCTACCAATAAACTTGTTCTATTTTTGTTGAAGAGCAAGGCTGAAAGACATCTAGGGGCAACTAGCTCTCAGAAGACACAAAGAGGACAAAATTATATTTAAATAATAGACAGGTATTTCTATTTAAAGTAATCCTCAGGAAAAGAGGGGATGGGACATAAGCTATGCCCAGAGTCAATGCTCGCTATTATGTAAAGAAGGTGCTTTACGGATGAAGCAAGGCTTTGACCTTTTACACCGCATGCAAAGATAGAACAGGCGATATGAAAATCCCATCTCCTCAACACACTTCTCGTTTCAGATGCTAAATCTTGAAAGACGTTTCTCCACAGCCACCTAAACTCACACAACCACAACAACCGCAGCAACAATAACAGCAACAGCAGCAGCAGCAGCAGCAGCAGCATACATTGTTCCCTCATTTGGTGTGCCAGTCCTCAAGAGTAAAATGGCAGCTTTTAACGACCACTTCTAAGGTGACAGAACAGGGAGCAAAAAGGAAGACAGTGTAAGCAATTAAAACTTCAGAGGACATCCACATAAAAAGATGAAACAGGGCCAAGGCTCTGAGGTCACAGCCCTCAGCTGGAAAACAGTGCCAGAGGACATGTAATGACCAGAAGGAATCCAGAGTTCACACCAACAGTGCATGGCTAAGATCTCTGCTCAACACAGTGTCTCAGAAAAAGCACTAAGCCCAAGTGCACCCACACTGCAGCTGGATGCAACCTCATTCTTAAGGAATGCCAGGACAGGAACAAGGCTTAAGAAGAATCAATCTGTCTTCTACGTTTTCTGAGAAAGTATCCAAAGTCCAGAGAGGTTAATGGTATGTGTCTGAGTTCATAAAGAAAGTCAGCAATGAAAACAAGATTCAGATCTAGAGATTTGGGCAGTGGCTAAGCAAACCAGTTATCAAGGATGGTTCTCATTGCACATATGCTGCTCTGTTAGCAGCTCCAGTAAACTTGTAAGACTATGATTCCCACAATTTTTTTCAGTAAAATATAATCTTCTTTCTCAACCTGCCTCCCAAGCATGGATGTATGCCTATTTATGCAAATATTAAGTAAAAAAACCTCAGGGAAGATATTTTTATATCAAAATATTAGTGGTATATTTCATGAATATAAGAGAAAGAATGTAAAGTGTGCAACAGTCACCATTTCAAAAAAGTACATGATTGGTTTACATGTAATAGTTACCCTAAATCCCATACGTATTTTGGTAAATCAAGTTTTTTCTTAGACTGGAATAAATTTATTCTTGGATTATTTTATCCTAGTTACTATGTAAGTTTTCACATTTTTTGCTTTTATACAACTATATTTCCTTCATTCATAAACTTCAACTTTGACAACTTTGATTTTTAGCAATTACAGATACTAGGAATGGCTATGATTTTGGTATTTGTTTTCCAAGCAGGAGAATTTTAGTCATAGGGAAGAATTTGTCCTTTAAATATGCCATAAAATGTAGGTGAAACTACCTGATACACTGCAGAAATACCAGCTTCTTTTCCTTCTTTTAACTTTGATAATTCTAACAACTTCTGAAACAGAGTATTCTCAGTTTTTACTAAGAATAAATCTAGACAGAGAAATGAGAAGGTGGAGAGAAAAAAGATTGTGGGGCGCATGAAGGGCCTGGGAGCTGAGTCATAGGGAGGACCATAGTGCCAGGGATGGGTAAAATGTGTTAGGAGGGTGGGCGGGATTATAAATAGAAACTCACTAAATGTACAGTATATACTGCAGTCACACTACCTTTTTGATTCTGTTTTGTCTTGTGCTGTCCCTGATTCAGTCTTAACTGATGTACTGTAAGATGTGTGATAAGAAACCTACCTTGTTAAGACCTTTATTTGTAGTAGCAATGGGGGTGGAGGTATAATGTGTATTTGTTTCCCTGTGACAATGTAAGCATGTGTTTGTGCATGTGTGTGCTAGCACATATGTATATATAAAATGTTTCATCATACTACAAAGCAAACTGAATAATATTTAATCAACCATTTCCTTCAGTACTCAGTTTATCTGCAATATTCACCTCTACATATACATTTTCAATATTCTTAGAAAGCCAGAATTTGATACTGATTGTGTTCCAGATAATATATTTGCTAGTAATAATACTTACTAAATGGAAAATCTTGGCATCTGTTAAGTTCAAATGAAAGAAAACTGTAGTGACAAGATTCTGCAGAAATGTAAAATACTGTATTTTTACACCTTGTGTTCAACATTGAAGTAACATACACACAAAGGTATGCCAATAACCTACATTTTAAGTAAAATACTTGCTTGTTTGATTTTGGAGCACATTAAATGCAGCTTACATCTATGCCTTTCACAGATATATATGGACTTTAAAATATTTTCAACTGACTGAAATTTACCGACAATATAAACAATATCCAGTCAGTTGTTATGTTCACAATACCTTTTATGATTCAGGTCAAGAAAGACAATTTTTGCAGAAATATATTAATATCTTTATTTTTTCTCAGAGCACTAACATGTTTATATCCCTTTTCTAGCCTATTTTCAATTGGAAAAAGAAAAGGCAGTCCCCATAGAATACTTGCAAAACATCAAACACACAGCAGTGGTAATCAAATGCAATCCAAACAGCCTTCCACAGTGCATGCTGCATGAACACCATAGCTATCTCCAGTGCATTAAATGAGCCTCCCCTCTAATAGGTGTTCTCATCCAGGTCGTCATATTCAGTGACACACACAGTGAAGATCTAATTCCAACTTGGATAGGCTCTAAATTTTATTATCTTAATTGGCACTTTCAGGGATGAGAAAATACAAGCTCAAAACCTTACTGCATCTTCAAACTCTGGATTTTAGAGACAGGTTGAGAGTTTCCCTACAGTGTTCTATGTTGCCATTCAAATATGCTAAGCCTCCAAAAGGCTGAGCTGGTATTCTATTAAACTTTTTTTTCCTATTGTGTTAACTAAACAATTATTCTTCTTATTCAAGTTGCATTTATCATGGTCTTAATAAGCAGAAATGACATACTCTTTTTTTGCAGAACAGAATTTAACTTCCTGCCTAGTATTCATATCCTTAATTCATGGACAGTGTGCCACTACTGAAGACAGAGGAGATGGACAAAAAGTGTTGGGAACATTTACTTTATAGAGACTAAAAAAATAAGAGGGATAGTTCCTTTGTTCAAATGAGTAAAACTCTTCATTGAGAAGCATTTTCGTTTATAGCCATTTCCATATTCTCTTTAGTTACATCCACTGTATTTCAGTGTTGCTAAAATTTAAACATATTGGTTAAAATCTTCGGTTCTGACTCATCAATTCCACTCCTAGGTGTATGTCCACACAAAAACGATTCCAGATTATTCATAGGGTCACTGTTCACAACAGTCAAAATATTTAGACAACCTAAATGTCCATCAACTAAAGAATGGATAAATAAAATGTAGTATATCTAAAATGATGAAATATTATTTGGCCATAAAAAGGAATGAAGTACTGATGCACACGACAATATGGCTAAACTTTGAAAATAGGATGCCAAGCAAGATAAGCCAGTCACAAGAGACCACATATTGTATGATTCCATTTATATAAAACATCCAGACGAGGCACAGAGAAAGAGATTATTGTTGGTCTAGGGAGGGATTGAGGAGAAATGGGAAGCGACTGTGAACAGGTGGGGTTTCATTTTGGGATGACAAATATATTCTAAAATTGATAATGCTGATGGTTATACAATTCTGTGAATACACTAAAAACACTGAATTGTACAATTTAAATGTGTTAGTTGTATGACATAAGAATTATACCATAATTATTCCACTCAAAAAAGCTGTTCAGAAAAAGATTTGGTTGAGAATTTCCCTTAAGGTTTTCCAATCTTTTCAATAATACATTCACAATGGGGTTTACAATAGAAATTTCAAATGATGGGTAGTTTTTTTGTGTATATTTACAAAACAAGGGTTATTTTGATGAAAATTGAAAAAGTGAGTCATTCATTTTGATTTCTAAGCACCCAGATGACTACCTCTTACGTGAGGATTCTGGGTAAATAAAGCTAAGGAGACCTCTCCTTGTCATGATATTTGCACATTTCAGAGAGACTCTGCAGTGTTGTTTACTCTCTGTTGCCGTCCTGATCTGAAAACCTCTTCATACTGACTCTGGACTTTCTTACAGAGGGTAACCTTTTTCAAGTTCAAAGCCAAGGTCATGTCCCTTCAGCTCAAATCCAGACTTGAGGCATAAATCTTTCAGAAAAGATCCTTCCACACTTGCATCACCAAAGACTCTGACTCATGTCACAATAAAGCAACTTTCATTAAGTTACAGCATTGAATGTACCTTCACTTGATGGATTCTGAAAAACTGTTCTATCTTTCCCCATTCCCATGACAGCTGTCATCATGTCACAAATAGAAAAAAGTTTTGTTTTTTTTTTTTTTTTAAGGTCTCTTGCTTTCCTGAGATTTGTCACCACTAGGAGCAACATAATATGCAATGTTACTAAGGGGAAATCAACAGTGTATAGGAAACTAGAGAATGCATATATTAGAAAAGCCCACATTTCACTTTCATAAGCCACAGGGTGAAAAATAAAGAAACAAACAAGAGTGTCTTTCATAATACTCCAGAACATTCCATATAGAACAGGTCTGTTTTGTCTCCAGTACATACCTCAATTCCTAGACTCTGGAGATAGCATCTATTCTAGCCATGACATTCACAATCTTTTACTTCACATATCTTTAAATAACTATCTACAAGACTCAGATGTCAGGCAAAGATGTACCAGATCAATTTAGGACAGAAAGCAAAGATTTAGGGCATAAAATAGTGTAATACAAAATGAGATGCAAACTTTTCACTTGACAGGTGGACAGAGCTATCAATCTAGTACTTTTTATTTTCTGATTTCAAATAACAATACAGTGAGACAAAGATGAAAGAAAAAGACACTCAAGAAAGAATTCCTCAGTTGGGAAATCTCATGTGGGCTGAACAGGGAATTCCACATGGTCTTTATCCTTATTACTCAAGTGTTATCTGTGGACCACCAAGACTGACATCATATGGGAGCTAATTAAAAATTCAGAGTCTTGAGTCCCAGTCAGTCTAACTGAATCAGAATCTGCATTTCCACACACTAATGTTTAAGAAGCACTGTCCAAACTGTTTTTCTACTAGCATCACTACCTAATGTTTGCACTCTTCGGTCATTGAAATAGTGCGTTTCTTATTATTAATAGCCAGTAAGTCAAATTAACATGAGAAAAAATATGTAATACAAGATAACAATACTGTATTGTGAAATTAATTATGATCCAAAGTTCAAAATATCAGATTTCTCATGTGAGAGCTATCCTAAAGCCTTAATATTGATGTCAGGCTAAGAGATATTGTAAATCAATTGATATTTAAGACTACATCGTTTGTTAGAGTCTCTGTGGAAAATGCAACCACCTTGTTAATACTGAGTATAGAGCTTTAACTTTAAAATACTACATCAATTTGAATCATGTTGCAACTTTGCATAAAAAGGCATGTTTCTAGACTATGGAAGTAAAGCATATTGTACTGGTAGTAATGTAATATCTTTCATATTAATTATTCACACACACACACACACACACACACACACACACACACACACAAACTGCTTAGGCAGGCCACATGCCATAAAATCTAATGATGTCAGTAGAGGATTTGCCTGCCTGATAATGGATAAATAAACCCCTAAGTGCTCTGTGTTTAATTAAAAAGCAGAGTTAGAAGGTTATTGAGCCTGTAGGCTCCAAACAGTAATGATCATTCCTCTCATCTTTTTTTAGGATCACACGGGATCAGGACCACTTTACCAAAGCTTAGAGCCAACTCTCTTTAGTGATAAGCACGATTACTTTTGCGCCTCTGATGATGTCAGATGCCCCCACAAATCACTCCACAGTGTTGAGCCCTCTGATAGTAGAAAAAAAGACAAAGCTGTCATCTACTCTGTAACTCCTTCTAGCTGGCTACTTCAAAACTTAGGTAAGCTTCTGAGTTACCAAAGGGAAGTCCGAAGGGAGAGAAAAGTCAATAGACTTGGGGGAAAGAAATTACAAAGTAGATAAACACTATATATTTTACTACCAATTTTCTTTTTATACGGTGAAATGAAAATAGTGCACTAAGAGCTCTTTTGCACTTAGTTGCTATAATATTTACTTCTAAATTATTATCTTTAATAGTAATAGCACTTTGCAGTTGTAAAACTTGTTCAAAAAAGCTCAAAATGCTTCCTTCCTCACATATTCATTCAACTCTACTTAAAACCATGTCCTAGGGAGGGATGGCTGTACCCTTATCTAGAAGTTATAAATAGGTTTCAAAATAGTCAATTTGGTCAACTCCACCATTTAAGGCAGGCAGAAACAAAAACACCTGAGAAATGAGTGACTTATTGCGGGGGGTGGGGGGGATGGGTAGAGGTCCACCCTTGTTCACAGAAACAAAATGAAGCAGAGGCCTGCTTCAGTAGCTGGATGGCCTGATTACAAAATCCTATCTTCAAACAAATAAGAGTTTGCCTCAATTACTCAGCTATTCTAGGCCCACATAATTTTGAGTTCACAAAAATATCTGAAAAACTTTTGTTCATCCACTTCATATGGCCTATATGAGATCAACTTAAATACCACAGAAGTATGTTCAGCTGGGCAAAACAGCCAACAGAGCAAGAAGAAGTAGTGAAAATAGGGACAAGGCGCCTCAGATCCAAAGGGTGGCTTGGAGAACACTGCCTTTCCTTTTTGTCACCATACTAGAATGCACGTACTTTCGTAAGGGTAGTAATTTTGTTTGTTTGTTCATATTGTTCATTTTCTATCTCTGAACTCTAGAACAAACAGTATGAGGTAAATGGCAGGAATTTAATTAATAATAAGTTAAATGAATTAATAAATATAGGCCAGTGGTCCTCAAGATGGGACCACCTGGTGATTCTGTCATCTGCACAGGTACGCAAGAAAAATGACTGTGCTTAAACAGCCCAGCACTGTGTTCTCTGTTCCTTTATCAGATAGAATGTCTAAAATGTCTAGTGGAAAATTAAATGGAATTTAGGCTCTATCTTGTGGTTTAAAAAAAAGTGTAAATTAGACCATTTTTCTATCCCTCTCATTTGCAGATTTCCTCTATTTGCCCAATTAATCAGTGAGTATCAAAAGTTTTTTTAAAAAAGGAAAAAAGGGCTGGATGTGGTGACTCATGCCTGTAATCTTAGCATTTTGGGAGGCAGAGGTAGGTGGATCACCAGAGGTCAGGAGTTCGAGACCAGCCTGGCCAACATTGTGAAACCCCCGTCTCTACTAAAAATACAACAATTAGCAGCGTGTGGTAGCAGGTGCTTATAATCCCAGCTACCCAGGAGGCTGAGGCACAAGAATCACTTGAGCCCAGATGGTGAATGTTGCAGTGAACCAAGATTGTGCCACTGCACTCCAGCCTGGGCTACAGAGTGAAACTCAATCTCAAAAAAAAAAAAAAAAAAAAAAAAAAAAAAAGGAAGCAATCACCAACCTATCTTTTTCTATGGTAATGTAAATCATGACTGGCAACTTTAGCACCCCAGTAGAAATAAAAATATTAAATATGTTAGTAAAATCAGTAACTACAATATAGTCTATTGACCTGAATTACTTAGGCATAGCAAAATATATTTATTGAATTCTGTGTCATTAACTTCAGACTCATACCTGTAATATGATTTCTTAAATCTGATCCTTATAAACTGACAATGAATGAAACATATTAGGGTTTAAAAAAAGCCTTGTAGGAATCCTTACATGCTTTACCTCATTCTCTTAGGTTCCTCCCTAGAAGTACCCAAGATGGATCATTAACACAGGTTCCCTCTCTTAGGTAGAGTATATGCCACTTCATGATGTGAATCCGCATATTTTTCCCGCAACCAATGAGAGATGCCTCAAATAACTTACCATAGAAGTTGAAAACTGGATGTTATGAATTCGATAGATGCGTTTAGCTTTCACACATTTTAAAAATAAACAGCAATATTTAAAATTTTTGAGATACAGCAACACTGGCCCCACAATCCAACATGGCCACAACACTTAGGAGGAACCCTGATGCACCGTTCTTTACAGACCCTGTGGACTCCCTATTGCCTGACAACTGGTCCACCTCACACTTCGTGTGTTCAGCCTGGTTTCTGCAGGTCTTTGGTTCTGGGTTATCTGGCTGCCAATAGAGTTCTAGCTTCGTGGTACAGAATGTGAAAAGAAATGCAAGAATGACTTTCTTGCCAGAGAAGGGAACCCATATGGGGCTCTGGAAATTCTAGATTCTATCCCTAGACAGACTACAAGAAGACCATTCTGTCTTGGATAAGCCTCTGGACCTACTGGTAGAGGAACAGACAAGACAATCTGTAGATCATGTCCAGGCCTAAAATTCCATAATTGAATGTCACCATTTTCCTTGTTGGCTAGGGTGTCATCCTTAGACACACAAGAAATAACTTATGGCAAGGTCACTTGTGAGGGATGGCAGAAGAGCCCTTATCAGAATATGCCACTTTGGCAAAAGGATTATTTTGAGCTAAAGACACTTGAAACACAGTTGGTACAAGGAGGGCAAGCCGATCTTCCCTTTTCATTGTCACATCAGGAGATAAAACTCCTATGTGAAAGATGTCTTCCCTAAACCAGGAGAAAAGAAACATTCTTATCACTAGAGACAGGGAGTCAAAACCAAGGGTATTCTGTACAAACAGATCTTGTTAAAATAACTCATATTTTTCTTTAGTTGCCCCATATATTTTAGTTATTTTCCTACAATTGCCTCTCTTTGTTCAACCTAATATAGAAGCACTTAGGTTTTGCCACTTCTTTGGGTCTTCATTTTCCTGTGGCGGCTCCCATGTAAATGTGAAAAATCTGTATGATTTTCTTCTATTAGTCTGTTTTGTGTAGATTTAAGTCTCAGGCCCACAGGCAAAGTTCTACCTTCCCTATACTTCCACATCATCATCACAAGTTCTGCTACATTCAAGAATCGCTTCCAAAATTGCTTATCAAAACTTTTAGGTTTATCCATTTAGCCATGGGCTAAACAATTCTATCTGTAAAACTATATGTTTTATTTACTAGTTATATATTTTTTATCTTTAACATATCTATTAAAAATTCCTGAGTACTCTGAGATTATCAAACATTCTACCAGAGGTATTTATTTCATACCTTGAGAAAACTCTGTGATGCTCAAAGTTCACCAAAACAGATATATTAGAAGAACTGTCAGAGCCTTAACCAGACTTGCAGACATGTTCCTAATTTTCTAGATTATTTTGCGACCGAAGACTGTCATGTACAACATCAAGAATGTTTCTCAAGTGAAATAGTTCAGTCTATCACTTTACATGAACATTCTGAGTATTATTCATGTATTACGAAAATGATTTGGAAAAAAAATCCTATTATAATCAACGTATCATTTAGACACAGCCCTTGATGAACATTAAAGGTTTGCAAAGATCTTAGCCTAGATGCGTGCATGTGCGTGTGTGCACACACACACACACACACATATTAACCTAAGAAACTGTTTTCCTCCTAATAATTTAGGTAAGAAAGTTTAAAAGTAAAGCCATTTTTAAAGCCTTTCACATCTCTTAAATGTACTCACATGCCACAAAAGGTACTTTCAACAAGAAATATAATACTACAAGAGAGGTTAACAACAGCAATCAACCGAATACCCTTGTGGATTCCTGCAGGGAGAGGTAGGGGAGGGGGACTCTAGGGAAGGATTGTGTCAGTCTAAATCTGTTGCTATTCTTCTCTCTAAGCACAAAGCCAGACAGCTGGATGGGAGTAGGAGTCACACACCTTAAATTACCAGATTCACACTTAACACACACATCAAAAAGATGCCAGAGACCATGTTTGAACACATGATTTGTTCTCTTCTGAGAGATGGTGGTTGTTTTCACCCCTGGAGTCAAGCATTATGCCTGTGTGTGAGCAGCTTTACCTATCTGAAAGGCACACACATATACAATGAATTCTAACCAGCGAGGAGGCAAAGTTCTTGCAAATGACCGTGTTTAATTAGTGGTATGACTCATTGAGTCCATGTCCAGCAGACAAGGTTATTTATCTAAATGCTTGGAAGACCTAAACATATTACTCTGGACAAAGTGCTTGGTAAAGGAAAAGTGAAGTGAAAGGATTTCAAGAAGTCATTCAGTATTGCATGGCATTACGCCCTACCGTAAGAACTTATTTACTCTCTGAAAGGTTGAAGTGATTTAATAAAATCAACCTCCTCAAACTCAGTCTTCTCACACCATCTCCTAGGACTATTTGGGGTAATACAGATCATTGGAGGGAGGAGTGGGGGATCAGAAACACAGACATTGGTAGAAGGATCAAGGTAATTTACTGGCAGCCTGTAAAAACTGCTATATAGTTTCCATAAATACATATTTATCAATATCTACTGAACTAGATGGAATATCCCCATTAACTACTCCAGAAACACTCACTGAAATAAGACAGACTGACTACGGTGTCACAATACCCACTTCATTTAAGATAATTACATTGTTAAAGTGTGTCAGCCAGTACAGTCAAATCCAACAGCACTCCTTTTTCTCTGTATCTCTTCACTGATCCAAATGTCTTAATTATTTCACAGTAACTTAGCAATACCTATGCAAAATATTTTTGAATTAGTCCCAATGTCCTTACACTTGATATATTTCATTCACTCACAATTTTCCTTTGCAGAATGAAACCACATCTCTTCCAACCACAATACAGTCATTCCTCTACTTCCTTATTTACATTTTTTTTTCTTTCTTTCTTTTGTTATTGCTTGCTTGCAGGGCACTCAAATTTCTATCCACTGATATAGGGTTTCCTTCTGGCAAGCATTAAATCTGTCTCCTTTAGTCCCCTGTGCCAAATGCCTGGCATAGTCAGCTTCTCTAAATTCTGCCATATCTTCAGAATGTATAGCCCTGCATTTTATATCTAACCATAAGAAACACTTTATTCCTTTGCAGCTCCTTCTGATGTGTTCCTCTCAATTTTAAATCACCCCATTCCTCCCTTAAAACATAGAGAAATTTCATGCAAAAATGCAGAAGGACTTCCCTTCTTACTTTGGAATAGAGGTGAAGACATGAAGCCATGTACAAGCCCTAGAGTCATGTCTATGTCCAATTTACTTTACCTTTTTAACTATACAATAAAACAGTCGGATAAGCCATTGGAGCTATTAACTAAGTAATATTGAATTGAACATCTCAAGTCAACAGAGGTACTAGATTAAAACCAAAAGCAATGTCCCTGAAGCTGCTTGGTAACTTTATAATCAAGGATTTGAGAGCCACAAATTATCAAACATTATCTGTCAGTATAATCTAGTTTGCATTGAAATAGTTCCTAAGTACAAAATCATTTTGGTCATAGATGGATGCACGACGATAAAACAAATTATTTCACATTACGGATTCTACTTACAACAGGCCTGCTGCCTAAAAAGCCAGGATATCTACTCAGTTTTATGAGATTTGGAAAATTAATTTTATACTCTGCATCAAAAATATATATATATATGCATCAAATATAGCCTACAAGTTCAATAAGGAATAACATTAATATTCAAACTCCAGAATAGTAAGACACATATAGAGACCTCCCAATAATAAAAATGGAGAGAAAAATGAGTATTTCAACTAACATTTAAAAGCTGTCATAACACTACCCTGATCTGAAATAAGATGAGCCCATCCAAGCTATTACTGTCATCAAATGGCCACTTATCATCCATCTTGGAGTACACTTGATGTTAAAAAATATTTATAAGTGTGTGTGTATATATATATAGTCAACTGTACAGTAAAATATTAGTCCGTAAATTTTTGTGCCATTCCATCTATTCCATTTAACAGTGGAAGAAACAAAAAGCACTACAATCCATGTCCTACAAGTATAAATTATGAAATTAATTTAGCTTTTTCCAGTATCTGCAGTAAAGATTCTCAAATGAAGTGTATTCACAAGTTGGTTCGAGTATATCAAGAAGCACTCATTAGTGATGGATTTAGTAACTTCTTCATCTGCTGTTTTCAACTAAGAGGACTTATCTAGTGATAAGCAATCCTAAGATTACAAGAAGTGTATCATTAAAAAAACTTTCCATAAAATATTTTTCCTATCTCATGTTTCACAAAGTTGCTTACTTCATTATGTGGACGGGTATCTATTTGTTAATAAAATGATGTATGCCTTTTATTTTTCCATACTGTTTGGCAAGACAATTTCTTACAGAAAAATCAAATCATTCGATGAACATATTTTCTCTTTTTAAAAATCAAGCTCTTTAATATCCTGCTACCTTGAAATGGGCTATTGTTTGTGCACTTGTTTTATTTTTAAAGTAAATATTGTTAGCTTAATACATTAAGATAAATCCTTCACCTTAATCATCTTCAATTTAGAGTATAAGATTAACAACACTCTTATTTTAAAAATTAACATGGGCAATCTATACACACTTACATATGCAGCATAACTTTCTGGGTCCCTGCTGCACATACATGCCTAAAGCTAAGTAATTCTAATATATAACAGAGCAGTATATCAGTAAGTCATTGATACTTCAATGAACTATCATAAGAGAAAGCCGCAAACAGGTTATGCAAATGAGCAGACAATCCGAACCTCGTTTCTAAAGTCACACTTGACTTGAGGACAATTAACTGATGAAAAAGAGAGAGAGGGAGGCAGAGGGAGAGGAGAACAGGGAACGGGACAGACAGGGAGAAGGAGAAGGGTAGAAAGAGAGAGAGGGAGGGGGTAGCAGAAGATGGAGGGAAGGGAAGGAAGAAAAAGGGAGGAAGAAAGAAAGAGAAATGAAAGAAGAAAAAATGAAAGCATCCTAGTGAAATATTGTTTAAAATGACAGCTAAGTCACATGTCACCCTGTCCCTAGGCAATTTGAAGGCCGTTCCAGGCATGAATGCCCAGTTAGAATAAGATGTCATGAGTTCGTAACTTTCTTAACCTCGGAAGGATCACAGAAATCATACTTCATTTTACTGGGGGCTATTGAGGCACAGAGAGGTAAAGCAGCTTGTTAGAGTTGCACAGCATCTTACAGGAGGTTAACTCAATCTTTCACTGTTACTAGAGATAACCAATGGAGTGTATACTTTGACAATGCACAGTTAAGGCTTGATAACATTTAAAATCATCCAAAAGTATTACAGTTACTAAATTAATTATTTTTCATTCAGTCATATTCATTTTTTTTTTTTTAAAGACAGAGTTTCACTAAGTTACCCAGGCTGGCCTCAAACTCCTAGGCTCGACCTATCCTCCCACCTCAGCCTCCCTGGTAGCTGGGACTACAGGCCTGTGCCACCACACCCAGCTCATATTCACTCTTTAACTTGTCATCATAGAGACAGTTCACAGAACTGCATTCCTTGCTTCACAGTGGCTGCCCTAAGCTGTTAAGGAGGGTTAGGGTATGATTTGTGTGCAGAGGTCCTGCTTCCAAATGCCGCTGAGGACGTTATAAAGTCCTCTTTGTGCTTAAGCCGGCAGCTCTGGGGTCAAACAAAACAGTCTGCCGAGGGTCCAAAACAAAGAATGCAAGGAGATTTAACTCTCTGCTGCTGTATCCCAATTTACAAAATTCTTTCCACTTGGCTCAACCCCAGGGCTTTCTAGGAACTAAAGAGCTAGTGTACTTGGGTAGCACAGAAATTGTCCACAATGTTGTTGGGTAGATTTGTATGCATGCAAACACGTACAGAGATGCACTATCTTTACATATACAATTCAAGACTTTTCCTTTATTCTCTTTCATAGCACTTTAAATTTATTTTGAAGACCAAATTGTTATGGCTTTAGAAGTACCTCTTACAAGGTATATCTGGCTTCCCGATCTGTCAAGAGACCACATACCCTAAACTGACCCCTGGAGAGTTCAATCCACTTTCCTGCAGATTAAGCAAACAACTAGGAAGACAGTGTCCCAATTTTATAAAATTATCTAAACATTCCGAAAGTAATAGAAGCAAACTACAAATCTTGCAAATACCTCTCTGAGATTTGTGGTGACTGACTACAAAAATGTTTAATATTGTAAGGTATAAGTTGAAATTTCTAAATATTTGAATGGAAAATAAAAATCAAATTTAACTACATTGGGAAGATACTCCTCTACAGAAGGCAATCGTTTCTGCTAAGTACAAATAAAGGGGTTCGGGACCCTGAAAAAAAAAGAAATCGAAACTCAAAAGAACACTATTTACTCAACCAAGTAGATACAAATTAAGCATTTGTTTAAAAAAAATCACTGGACCTTAACTAATCCTATTTCTGAACAGAAAAATCCATAAATCCCTCTTAAAACAAGATCACATCTTGCACAAGATCATATACTTGCAGTAGTCAGAAAAACACTAACAGTTATTTAAAAATATAGCTAAGGGTTCACCAGGAATCATCACTCACAAAGGTCAGTTCAGTTTTGTAAGAAGGCATGAGGCCAGCCTTTTGTTTAGGGACCATATAGCCATCAAAACCACTTGCCGTTACTTCAGATTTCATTAGCAGGCCTTTTTGCACACTTACTTTTTTCCAGAGAACTGATTACTTGGCAAGGACAGCCCTGGGACTGTTTGCTACTCAGAGGTACCAGAGTCCGTCTTTTGCTTCATCTTACCAGATGTTAAGCATTCTGTACTGTTTTGTGATCATTTTCCCTCCAAATCTCAAGCTCTGAAAATGCCTGTGCTCATGTAGACAACCATCTATTTTGAGTCTTCTCTCTCTTGCACAGTTCCTCTCCACCAAATCTAATGAGAACATACTCTGTCCTCACCAGTAAGATGCTTCTGTACTTCACAGTCTGTGGTTTTTCTCTGCCTTGAGACTTACTGCCTACTCAGGGAAACTGTATTTCCCACTCTGGAAATTATGGGACCATCAGGCTCCATGGTCTCAAGCTCAGTGTGGAAACTTCAATTCCCCTTTTCAGGTATTCATGATTTTAAGTTCACTTTGGTTCACATTAGCCCTGGCCATTGGTTCATGCTGTTCAAGCCACTTTTATTCAAATTCAATTTTTACAACAGCTCAATTATTCCACTTTTAATAAAAAAAGACAGGTGTGATTTATGTTTAGGTTAGGGAAACAGAAAAATCCACAAATCCCTTTCCACAGTGATAACAATCTTTAATTTCACTAAGGCATTGATCATGTGAAAGACATCATGCAAACATTATTAACAATATTAAATTCTAATAGCATTTTTACAATGAATCTTGCATGAATAATAAATATTAATTTGATAGATGGCATTTGAGGATACATAAAAAGATAAATGAACCAAATTTAAAGTGATTTTTTTTGTTTTTTTAATTCACATTACTTCTTAAGAAGTGGTGCATTCAAAAGCAATAAGGGGCTAAACACAGACTCTTATTTTATGTACTGTCTCATAAAAAAGGAGATATACAGTTTATATTTGCAAATATTCCAAACAGTTATCCTGCCCACCTCCATGGCAAAGTTTCTAAACAGCATGCAACTGAAAAACAAGAGAAACTTTTCTGTTTCTGCCTTTCTTAGTAGCAGCAGAGAACAGCAAAATAAACTATGTTAAATTTAAATTCTGGAAATACAGGCACTTCTTTTATACAGGCATGCATATAAAGATTATCTCTTTATATATATATTAGTTTTACTTACATTTTTCTTGCAATGGCCAGAGGTACAGAAGAAGATAAATATATGCTCTAATCATCCTGGCACCAAAGATAATGCAACCACACTCCCAAATTAAAAACAAAGCCAATAATTTCTAATTTCTATAAAAGCATTCTGAAAGGCTCCTATTTCCTTGTATGAATCAATTATATAAGAGATTTAACAGAAACAGCAAGCTCTAAACAGATCACACTCTACCTCACCAGCTTGATTCAACAAAGAGCAATGGAACAGAAAATCAAATGCAGCTTGCAAAGTCACATTCACATGGAGCTGTAGGGAGAAAGAGGGGGGTAAAACCTGGTACTTACAGACTGTAAAGTAAAATGTCCCAGTTTCGCTTTACATGTTACAGCAAATCAAACAGAGATTTCAGCTCTCAGCAAGTCCCTGCTTCCACTACACTGATCATCCACGCAGAACAGGCCCTTATGGATTGCTTAGGCAGCTGGGAGATAATGGGACCATATTCTCAGCTGGGACTAGAGATGCTGAACTGCTCTCCGCTGCGCGCTGCATGGCTCTCCGCCAGCATTCATCAAGGAGGACCCAGCTTCCTGGCTGTGTTCCCCAAAGGATCGACATAATTAGCACACGAATCAAAGACGCACACTGGGAGAATCACACACATCTCTAACTGGCTCTCCTCGCATCGAACCTGATTAGGAAATCAAGTTTGTTCTCCGATCAAATGTGTTCAACCTTTCAAAAATACACAGAGGCTCACACAGCTGTTGATAGATTTCGGGGGAGGGATGGAGATTAAGGCTTCTTTCCCAATGGGCAATTTATGTAATTCCTCAACTACAGAATATAATTACACTGGTTGTTTGGTACATAGGGTGGGTTTGCCCTATGATTCGGTTTGTCTGTTAGGGATTCTCAGCAGCTCCCAAGAAGGTTGTGGGTAGCAGCATCATCTCTTCTACGGATTTTATGCGACATACACGTGTATGTTCTTTTCAGAGTCAGTCTTTGGGGACACTGGCTGAACTAAAGCTGGTGTTTATGGGGGTGTTTCATGTTCCCCAAGTCGTGCCTCTTCATTGAATACTAGAAGTCCAGGGCATTCAAAGCAAAAGGGTTTGGCATGGCACACTTGGGACATCTAGTATTCTAAAAGGAACTGGTGATATGGATTCCATTTGCATAACTGTAAGAACACTCCTCCTTACTCTGTCTGCATCGTGATGCAGTCAGGGGTTATAAACCAGTAGCCTGTGGACATGCTTGGTCTGGCAAGAGAGAGATTTGAGAATCTGAATGTGAACATTTTTAAACAGAACATGTGTTCTGCGCTTTATCAAAACCTTGCCACACACGCTTTTGCCCAGACATGCTACCTGCTGGCCCCGGAAGACATTTGTTTATGTAAATTTGACCTTAGTTAAGCAAGTCTGGGTTATGGATATAAAACATTCCATTTTAGAAAAAGGGAGACTCAGCGCCTGTGTCACTCATAAAAAGGCTGTGATTAAGGCACCCGTGTGATCATTTAAAGTCCACCACACGCAAAGCAGCCAGTAGTTAAGGAGCCTGTATGATAAAGAAGGGAGAACATTGAGGGAGTCAGAAATCTGAGTTCTAATCCTCATCTTGCTGCAAAAACAAACAAATAAACAACAAAAAAAAACCCCAAACAAACAAACAGGTGATCTACACCTTTGTGAGTCTTAGTTTTCTTTTCTGTACAATAAGGGCTTTGCTGCAGACCTCTGAGAACGCTTACAATGTGACATTCTATTCTTGTCCTAAGATCTAGAAAATAGACCTTCACTAGAAAGGTGCTTACACCTCGTAATAGCACTGGGGTGACGGGAGTGAAATAAAGTCATGCTTTTTTGACTGGCAAAAATTTGGGGATGGAGGGTCTTTGTTACCTTTAGGGGCCAGTGATCAACTGGCTACTAACCAGCTGTTTCAGAAAACTTGAAACATCATGCTCAGTAAGTGTGAGTAAATTTTAAATGTGTGGGGAAAAAAGACAGCTTGGGCAGGAAATGGTCTT